>NC_000014.9:19611713-20861713 GCF_000001405.40 Homo sapiens
GAATTCGTAGTGCCCTGGTCAGCACAGTCACTCTTGTGATATACTTGGTGTATATACCAGGGTTAATTACTGGTCCAGAAGAACTTAATCTCAAGAGTCAATTTCTAGTTATCCCAACATGGCACGGATAAAATCTTGCAGAAAAAAAATCTTTGTCATTGAGACCAAATTATAGTTTTCATACAGTGGATTTACATTGTTGATGTTTTACTTATGTTTATGTTAGACTTAATTTATATTTGTAGAATCTACTGTTTCTGATTATTTAGAGAATGGGAAACTGAAAGAAATTTTAAAGACATTAAGTGAACATTATTTGTTCTAATGGGTTTCTAGTGAATTTCCTTCAAGGTGGGGCATAGAGATTGAGAGGAGAGGTTTTCTAGGAGAGTCTCAAACAGGAAGACAACCGATATAAGTGTTTATTCCTCTTGGTTGTCAGTGCGTCAGTAAAGCTTCTTTCCTTCTTTTTTCTAGCAGGCAGATAGAAGTTCATGTCACTTTCTCCTTTTTTATGGAGTAGGATGTGATACTCCTTCTAGTGGAAATACCAATCAAATGTCCATGGGTCATGAAGTGTCACTATGTACTCCTGAGCCTCTCTCCAGAAGGGAAAAGGGAACTCCTCTATGGTCAGCTTCTTTTGTAATTTTCCTGTATCATCTCGTGTGCTCTATTTGTTTTCTGAATGAACTTTGGTAAATTTCATCCAGGTAATATAGAGTAATAGTGAAAAACTGCTTAGACTCTAGTTCTATCACTGCTCTTTATGGAATTTTGGGCAAGTTCTTAACATCCTTGTTCCTCAATTCCTCAACTTTAAAATGGGGACAATAATAATTCCTGCTCCAGAGTTGTTGTGAGGGTTAAATAAAAAAATGTGTAAATAGCACTTGACACATACAAGCTGTATCTGATAACCTCCACCTCATGAAAAACCATTCATAGCATAGAAGTATAGAATTTGTACCAGCTAACAAAGGTACAGATGTACAGGGATAAAAACAAAATATTTTGTTTCATGTTAAAGATAAGTGTTTCTGTGATTTGCATTTGTGTGTATAATTTCCTTTAAATATAAATCATATTTCAAGTGAAAATATCGGGTCATTACAGAAGAGTTTATTTTCCAAACCAAAACTTTTTTCATCCCTAATTTTTAATATAGCCTTGTTAAAGAAAAAAACATCTAAGCAGTATGCTATTTATTATTGTCTGTTTTACTTGCAGAATTTGAATGTATTTTGTCAATTATTTTCTCCATTTCATGTTTGGGGAATAGGTCATTCAGAATCAAGTCTATCTTCTACAGCAATATTTTGTTCTTGTTTATGCCCTTGTTTCAATGAGTGCCGCAGTGTACTTATTTTATTACTTCCCTAGAGCAAGTAGATAGAATTTCCTGTTACTTCCTCTGTTTTTGTCATTTGTAATTGACTGGGAAGTACATTATATAGTTACTGCAGTAGATTTATGTTATGGTGTTTTACCTGTCCGTGTTAGAATCGGTTTCCATTTCTGGAATCTGGAATAGGATAATACCTATTTTATTTGAAATTGGACAGATAGTAGCCTTATGTTGGTCCAGATAATCTCATTTCTCATTTGGACAAGATATTTTGGGGTTTGAAAAATTCATATAATGATTAAAGGAGAAAGCTCTTATGAGTTATTGTATGCTGAGATATATGTGGACACACACACACACACACACACACACACACACACGCAGTTTATTGCATTGTTGGGTTTTATACATAAAATTACCCAAGTTGCAAATATATGTCTACCACCCTTGACTCTCAGGATAGTGCAGCAGGATGCAGCGGAACCCCCCTGACTTGCTGACAAGCGCAGACCAAACTAGAAGTGGCCCTGTACATGTTTCTGCGGAACCCTGACACTGAAGCTGTTCTGGTTGCCATGTCCTGTTTCCGCCACCTCTGTGAGGAAGCAGATACCCGGTGTGGGGTGGACGAAGTGTCGTTGCGTAACCTCTTGCCCAACTCTAACACATTCATGGAGTTTGCCTGTCAGCAATGTGATGTCAACAGGTAAATATGAATAGTGGTTTTTTTACTCAACCTCCCTAAAGCACATGGCATCTGATTGTGAGAATGTATTTAAGATTACTCTTCTGTAAGTTTACAGGAAAAATTCAAGTAGCTTACTTGAAATCCTTTTCTGAACAAAGTAAGATGAAAATAAAAAGCGTTTGAAATAAATTGTTAGTCTCCCACTGAGTTTTTAATGTGCTATAGATTTTAAAATTAACTGGCAGTACGTGTTACTATCAGTTATGACTATGTAATTTACGTTTGTATGACTATGTAATTTATGTTATCCATATACATAGTCAAATTACATATGACTATGTAATTTATGTTATCCATAACTCCGTATGTTATGGATAGTGAAGTTTACACACATTGGCATATGTTTTGAGTAAATTATAGGTGGGAATAGCTATTTTATGTTGTGGACATTGTAGAGTCTAAGATAAGTACCTTTCCTGTGAGGTTAGTGAACAGAAGTTTTTGGCTTTATCATTTGAGGCATTTGCTCTGCTCCTCCTACTCTGCCTTTTGGGTGGGCTTATCAGGTTGTCCATTGGCAGGCAGGGCTCTAAGTGCAGTAACTTGATTTGCTGTTGTAGTTGCTTAGGAACAGCAGCACTTCCGAAAGAGTGATGGCACTGCTGAGGCGCACTGAGCATCCCACTGCAGGAAACACTGAGGTGTGCCCTAAGCAACAAAAACACCTCTCCCAGGCACCCACGCTCGATTTTGGAAGCCTCTTGTTACATATGTGTGATCAGGAATAGCTTTGAAGTAAATCCAAGATATGTGCATATTACAAGTATAATATCTGAGTACTTAATATATATCAAGTTTGAAGCTTGGCTGTTGCTGATTGATGTTTAGCTCTAGACTTAAAGTTGCTTTCAAGTGATAACTGTCTTCATTTTAGACTTGGGAAGATACACATGCAAAATGGGAACAAGCAACAAAACTAATCCTTAGCTATCCAAAAGCCCAAATGGAAGATGGCCAGGTAAGTCTGTAAAGTTGACTTTTGTCTATTAACTGATCTGCTAAATATATGTCCTTCTCTTTGGTAATCTTTCACGAGTCACTCAGTAAAGTAAGCATATAGTTGTCTGAAAACTGATATTTAGTTGTGGTTTATCTAGACCTGTACTTTGTAATATGATAGCCACTAGCTACGTGTGACTCTTTAACTTAAATTTTAACATAATTAAAATTAAATACAGTTTAGTTCCTCAATCATATAGTAGCCACATTGCAGGTACCCAGTAGCCACATATGACAGGTACTTACTCTGTTGGACAGCAGAGAGAAAATGTTTCCATCATCACAGAAATACTGGGCAGCACTGCTAGAGACTGTTTGTTGCAAAGACCATTTCTTTATCTTTTCTTGCTCTTTCTCCCTTCATCAGGGTGTTTCACAGAATTTTCAGAAAAGGAGCAACAGAGGTAGAGAAAAATTAACATGGAAACCATTCATTTTGCTATTTTGTTAGGTATTCTAATTAAGGAATGTCTTGGGCAGAAGATGGAACCCATAGATAAAATAAAATTTTAAAATATGGACAGTTCCTTCTACTATTACTATTGACTGTATTATCCATTACTTTGGAAATTGATGAGTTGGTGTTTGTGTGTATATGATTTATAATGTTCACATTGCTCTCATTATTAGATTTATAAAAACTGGCTCTTCTCTCATGTTATTTTTCTGTCATGCTTAATTACAATAAGAAAAAAGTTATAGTTTTGTGAAGCAAAATTGTGTACCTAATACCTTTATTTGGAGGGGACATGTAGCTTTAGAATGAAAGCTTTTGGGGGGTAACTGTTACTATAATATGTAATTACATACCATACAATTCACGCATTTAAAGTGTCCAATTCAGTGACTTGTTAGCATGTTCACAGAGTTGTGCAACCATCACCACCATCAGTTTCAGAACAATTTCATCAATTGAGAAAACCCGGTATCCTTTAGCTATCTCTGCCTCTAACAACCCCCCCACTTTCTTGTCTCTCTTCCCCCCGCTTCTCCAACCCTAGGCAACCAGGAGTCTACTTTGTCTCTGTAGATTTGCCTATTCTGGATATTTTCTGTAAATGGAGTTTTAGAATATGTGGGCTTTTACGATTAGCTTCTTCCACTTAGCATAATGTTCCCAAGGTTCATCCGTGTGAAATCAAAGCTTTTTAAAAGAAATTTGATACTTGGGCAATTGTATTAGTGTATGACAAAAATAAATCAGTGGCTCTTTAAAAATGTATATGGTAATTTAGGGGGTTGATTTTAATGTATTTTTTACATTTTTTTGTACTTTTGTCACGGAAGAAATGTTGGATAAAGAGTAATTTGTCAAGTCTCAACTAATTTAGGTTTAATTCATGCTTTGCACAAAAATTTTGTGTTTAGGCTGTTGAAAGCTTCACAAGACCATTGTTAAGAGGCGAGTGTCCCATGTGAGTGGAGGAGGACCCATAGATTTGTCTGACACAGACTCCCTACAGGCATGCATCAACATGACTGGCTTCCTTTGTGCCCTTGGGGGAGTGTGCCTCCAGCAGAGAAGGAATTCTGGCCTGGCAACCTATAGCCCACCCGTGGGTCCGGTCAGTGAACATAAGGGTTCCATGATTTCAGTGATGTCCTCAGAGGGAAACGCAGATACACCTGTCAGCAAATATATGGATCAGCTGTTGTCGTTAATGGTGTGTAACCTTGAGAAAGTGGGACTTCAAATACGGACCAATGATAAGGACCTGGTGGGTCTAGAATTGAGTCCTGCTCTTTATCTGATGCTATTTAACAAATTGAAGAAGACGCATCAGCAAGTTTTTTGACTCCTAAGGACAGGTAAAGTGTGCTTTTTTTTATTTTTCACCTTTCCCTATGAATAGACTGACTTGTTTGAAATAATGAAGCCTTTTTCTTTCAGATTATTTAAATTAGGTACTCACAGTTTTTAAAAATTGTCAAAAAATTGTAGAAAGAAGAATCATCTCAATGAATGGTCAGCTTGCTTCTAGGAACTCTGATGTCTATGTGTGCCTGAGGGTATACGTGCCTTGTATATGGGTCTGAGTGTCTGTGTATATCTGTGTGCCTGTTTGGCTGCGTGCCTGTGGGTGCATGTCTCTATTTGTGTGTTTAGATCAGTCAGTTTCATCTCTCTAGGGATCTGTCTTCTGGGCATTGATGGCAAATCATTAATATATTTGTTCTCTCTATAGGTTTTATTGACTGATACCAATACTCAATTTGTAGATATAATGAAGAACTTGCTAGATAATCATACTGAAGGCAGCTCTGAACATCTAGAGCAAGCTAGCATTGAAACAATGATGTTAAATCTGGTCAGGTAAGCCTTCTACTGAAATGTAGCAGAAACATACTTTAAGATTTAAGAGACAAGAAAAACCTCTCACACATTGATATTGGTAGTAATTGATAAAATAATTTGCCATTCTTTACTGCACACAAACTAGGGTTGACAACAAGGTAACCAGAAATTGTGTATGCTCTCCTATAAATAAATATCTTACTGTTTTCAAACTTATGTTTAGCTCGTTTTATTTGATGGTTAAAGTATTTTGAATGCCTTATCTTGTGTCTGTATCTGATAATTTTTTTATTGTCTCTGTGTCTGTATAGGTATGTTCGTGTGCTTGGGAATATGGTCCATGCAATTCAAATAAAAACGAAACTGTGTCAGTTGGTTGAAGTAACGATGGCAAGGAGAGATGACCTCTCATTTTGCCGAGAGATGAAATGTAGGTGAGTTCTCAAAAGAGCAATGTAGGGTCTTGTAAATCTTAATTTGTTGAATGAAGTACAGAAATAGACTAGATATCTGGTTACTGGTAGAAAGGAAGACATAAAAAGAGAGCAGTTTACATGTTTGTTTTTCTCTGTGTCTCTCCTCAAATTTCCCTAAGCTTTGTGCCTGTGGCAAGCCTCCCTTTTTCTAAAACTCTGCTGTACTTGAGCTAAGAATTTGATCCTGTTTCCAATCTGATAGCATAACTAAAGGCCATGATGGAGGATCAGTATCCACGTTGCTTGTTCCTTCTGGCTTTTACATCTATGATAGCAGTATCTCTTTTATAAAGTCGTCATGTCACCTGGGTTATCTGCCAAATTATTTGCACCATAAGTAATCTTACATGACTGAAGGTGTGTGTGGGGGGGATATGACTTCAGAAAAATTGTTTGCTGTTTCTCTTTTCTCCACCATCCTATAGGAATAAGATGGTAGAATACCTGACAGACTGGGTTATGGGAACATCAAACCAAGCAGCAGATGATGATGTAAAATGTCTTACAAGGTAAAAAAAAAAAATGACTTTCAAATATTAGTGGGTTTTACTGTGAGAATTATAACTACTTCATTACAGCTTTATACTTGTATTTTATGTGTATTTAAACTTTTTAGATGTAAAACTTTTGTGTTCAAAATATGTAAAGACACTAATCTTTATTACTACTTTTTCTTGACCGATAGACTTTCAGGAAAAATAAATGTGCGAGAGCGGTATGTTTGGGAAGTTATTGTTGTCAGTTTATGAAGAATAGTCTACAGTTATTGGGAAATAAGATACATAAAGCCTCAGATTGCATTTATGTTATGATGAGATAGATAAAGGTATTATTTGAGAAACTCATTGTGTTGAGTCTAAGAAACAATTGATTTCCTGATTCAAACACCAGAGATAGACCAAAAAAGGAAGTAATTAAGTCTACTTTAATGATAAATACTTATTGACACATATCAGAAAGTGATTAAACACTATGGACTGTATAATAAGCATTTACATATGTTTCTTTGACAAAGCCTAGCTTTATAATACGGTCGTCTCTCAGTATCTGTCAGGGATTGGTTCCAGGAACCACCCCCCAAACTCCTGCCCACATCTCACTCCCATGAACACTAAAATCCACAGACTCAAGTCCCTGATACAAAATGTCATAGTATTTGCATATAAGCTATGCACATCCTCCCATATATTTTAAATATTTTTAGATTACTTATAATATCTAATACAATATAAATGTTATATAAATAGTTGTTTTACCATATTGTTTAAGGAATAAAAACAAAGAAAAATCTGTACATGTTGAGTATTTGAAATCCAGGAGATTAGGTTGGACTTTCAATAAATGGTGTTGATAAAACTGAGTAATGATCTGGAAAAATATCTTCATACCATTTATGAGGATAAACTCCCATAAATCAAAACAGCATGGCAAAGCAACGCCTTTTTCATCCATTCAAAATCCATAAGCTAGAAAGGAAAAGATTGATAAAATGAATTCATTCAAAAATCATAAACTTCTGTCTGGGACAAAAATGTCATGAGTAAAAACAATCCTATGGTTAATATCCTCGTCCAATAGTTCTCTTAGAATAGTCCTAAAAGTGCTTTTGTGGCTCAAAGAGCAATACCTTGAAATTTTTGGTGCATGTTGTCAGATTACCCTTTAGAATGCCTGTTGCTTTTAAAATATTTTTTTATTTTAGTATTTTATTGTTTATCCAATTATAGACTATTTTACATACTCAGTAGACAACATAAAGCCTCAGAGGTACTCTGTTCTTTTTCTTTTAGGCATCAGGTACCTGAAAAAGAAGAGATCAAGGCTTTGAAAACGTTAAGTATTTTCTACCAAGCTGGGGCTTCCAAAGCTGGGAATCCTATTTTTTATTATGCTGCACGGGGTAAGAAATACTATGTTTGCTGTCTCCTCTCAACAGAATTTTTTAAACGATAGCAATTATAGAGATGGCAAGTTTGGTTTTTCACATTTGACTTAACAAGAATTGAAGACAAGTTTACCTGGGAGCATACAGTGGGTTAAATAGCCTGCCTTTCCTAAAATGGTGGTCAGTATCTAGTAACTGCTTTTCAGACTACCCATTTCATATTGGTTTCCCTGTCCTACATCATTTTTTAAAATACTGCCTACAATGGATTAATTACCAAGAGTTAAAAAACCACAAAGCATCTTTTGTTTTCAAGTATATTCTGATTAAATAGTACAACATGATAAGCGGGAACTTTTTTTAAAAGAAGAAATAAAACTGTAAGAGCCTGTTTCTGAGAACTTTTAAAAATATGCTGTGTAAGACAGCATCAGGGTGATTTAGCAAATAATTCAAAGGGGTGGTGGGAAATCATGAAGATGGTGCAAGGGGTGGCCTGGGAAATGGTGCTTGTTCGTGCTGCCCTCAGTCGAGGCTGGTTCCTAGAAAGCCTTTCTGGAAATGTTGTGAGCTCTTCCTTAATAATAGATATGATGCTTGCATTGCCTTCCCTATCATTGTCTTTTTTTCTTGCCTCATTTTACCTTCCTTTTGAAAACTCTTCTGTGACATTATTTGGTCCCATTTACCATAACATACATTCATGGTAATTGAGCCTTAGAGACAACATGATACGTATAGAGACCACTGATTTTGGAATCTCAAGGATCATGTTTAGACTTAGTTCTGCCAATCATTAGCTATAGACTTAATCTTTACCGGTTTCCTGGATTTAACAGTGTTTAACATCCATGACCGTTAAGTTAGTAGACGTACATTGTTAGTCAATTTGCTGGCCACAGGTGGCAGTGTGTAGGAAACAAATTGAGGTTGAGAAATAGTGGAGAGGCGGTGAAGAATCAGTGGAAGATGGGAAACTTGTCTAATTAGGTCATTCATATAGCCTTAAGACCAAGAAGTCCAAAGGACTGGAGCATTAGGGAATCAAGAAAGTAAGAAAATTGTGTCGAACCTCCCCCTGCCCCCGCCCTTTAACAATTCTAAGTAACCCCTTCTCACCTTCCCATGAAAGGCCTCTCTCCAGCTCTCATCTCAGTTGCTATTTCTAAATTGCCTAAGATAATTTTAATTTTCTTTTTTCTTTTGGATTTTAGCATTCTAATTTTTTTTTATTATTATACTTTAAGTTTTAGGGTACATGTGCACAATGTGCAGGTTTGTTACATATGTATACATGTGCCATGTTGGTGTGCTGCATCCATTAACTCGTCATTTAGCATTAGGTGCATCTCCTAATGCTATCCCTCCCCGCTGCCTCCACCCCACAACAGGCCCCGGTGTGTGATGTTCCCCTTCCTGTGTCCATGTGTTCTCATTGTTCAATTCCCACCTATGAGTGAGAACATGCAGTGTTTGGTTATTTTGTCCTTGTGATAGTTTGCTGAGAATGATGGTTTCCAGATTCATCCATGTCCTTACAAAGGACATGAACTCATCATTTTTTATGGCTGCATAGTATTCCATGGTGTATATGTGCCACATTTTCTTAATCCAGTCTATCATTGTTGGACATTTGGGTTGGTTCCAAGTCTTTGCTATTGTGAATAGTGCCACAATAAATATACGTGTGCATGTGTCTTTATAGCAACATGTTTTATAATCCTTTGGGTATATACCCAGTAATGGGATGGCTGGGTCAAATGGTATTTCTAGTTCTAGATCCCTGAGGAATCGCCACACTGACTTCCACAATGGTTGAACTAGTTTACAGTCCCACTAACAGTGTAAAAGTGTTCCTATTTCTCCACATCCTCTCCAGCACCTGTTCTTTCATGACTTTTTAATGCTTGCCATTCTAACTGGTGTGAGATGCTACCTCATTGTGGTTGTGATTTGCATTTCTCTGATGGCCAGTGATGATGAGCATTTTTTCATGTGTCTTCTGGCTGCATAAATGTCTTCTTTTGAGAAGTGTCTGTTCATATCCTTCGCCCACTTGTCAATGGGGTTGTTTGTTTTTTTTCTTGTAAATTTGTTTGAGTTCATTGTAGATTCTGGATATTAGCCCTTTGTCAAATGAGTAGATTGCAAAAATTTTCTCCCATTCTGTAGGTTGCCTGTTCACTCTGATGGTAGTTTCTTTTGCTGTGCAGAAGCTCTTTAGTTTAATTAGATCCCATTTGTCAATTTTGGCTTTTGTTGCCATTGCTTTTGGTGTTTTAGACATGAAGTCCTTGCCCATGCCTATGTCCTGAATGGTATTGCCTAGGTTTTCTTCTAGGGTTTTTACAGTTATAAGTCTAACATTTAAGTCTTTAATCCATCTTGAATTAATTTTTGTATTAGGTGTAAGGAAGGGATCCAGTTTCGGCTTTCTACATATGGCTAGCCAGTTTTCCCAGCACCATTTATTAAATAGGGAATCCTTTCCCCATTGCTTGATTTTGTCAGGTTTGTCATAGATCAGATAGTTGTAGATATGTGGCATTATTTCTGAGGGCTCTGTTCCGTTCCATTGGTCTATATTTCTGTTTTGGTACCAGTACCATGCTGTTTTGGTTACTGTTGCCTTGTAGTATAGTTTGAAGTCAGGTAATGTGATGCCTCCAGCTTTGTTCTTTTGGCTCAGGATTGACTTGGCAATGTGGGCTCTTTTTTGGTTCCATATGAACTTTAAAGTAGTTTTTTCCAATTCTGGGAAGAAAGTCATTGGTAGCTTGATGGGGATGGCACTGAATCTATAAATTACCTTGGGCAGTATGGCCATTTTCACGATATTGATTCTTCCTACCCATGAGCATGGAATGTTCTTCCATTTGTATGTATCCTCTTTTATTTCATTGAGCAGTGGTTTGTAGTTCTCCTTGAAAAGGTCCTTCACGTCCCTTCTAAGTTGGATTACTAGGTATTTTATTCTCTTTGAAGCAGCTGTGAATGGGAGTTCACTCATGATTTGGCTCTCTGTTTGTCTGTTATTGGTGTATAAGAATGCTTGTGATTTTTGCACATTGATTTTATATCCTGAGACTTTGCTGAAGTTGCCTATCAGCTTAAGGAGATTTTGGGCTGAGACGATGGGGTTTTCTAGATATACAATCATGTCATCTGTAAACAGGGACAATTTGACTTCCTCTTTTCCTAATTGAATACCCTTTATTTCCTTCTCCTGCCTGATTGCTCTGGCCAGAACTTCCAACACTATGTTGAATAGGAGTGGTGAGAGAGGACATCCCTGTCTTGTGCCAGTTTTCAAAGGGAATGCTTCCAGTTTTTGCCCATTCATTATGATATCGGCTGTGGGTTTGTCATAGATAGCTCTTATTATTTTGAGATACGTCCCATCAATACCTAATTTATTGAGAGTTTTTAGCATGAAGGGTTGTTGAATTTTGTCAAAGGCCTTTTCTGCATCTATTGAGATAATCATGTGGTTTTTGTCTTTGGTTCTGTTTATATGCTGGATTACGTTTATTGATTTGCATATGTTGAACCAGCCTTGCATCCCAGGGATGAAGCCCACTTGATCATGGTGGATAAGCTTTTTGATGTGCTGCTGGATTCGGTTTGCCAGTATTTTATTGAGGATTTTTGCATCAATGTTCATCAGGGATATTGGTCTAAAATTCTCTTTTTTTGTTGTGTCTCTGCCAGGCTTTGGTATCAGGATGATGCTGGCCTCATAAAATGAGTTAGGGAGCATTTCCTCTTTTTCTGTTGATTGGAATAGTTTCAGAAGGAATGATACCAGCTCCTCCTTGTACCTCTGGTAGAATTCGGCTGTGAATCCATCTGGTCCTGGGCTTTTTTTGGTTGGTAAGCTATTGATTATTGCCTCAATTTCAGAGCCTGTTATTTGTCTATTCAGAGATTCAAATTCTTCCTGCTTTAGTCTTGGGAGGGTGTATGTGTCGAGGAATTTATCCATTTCTTCTAGATTTTCTAGTTTATCTGCATAAAGGTGTTTATAGTATTCTCTGATGGTAGTTTGTATTTTTTAATTTTCTTTTGTACTTGAGATGAACCATATTTGCATTCTAACCCCAACCTTTAATACAACCAGGATGTTTTTACTTTCCCTTTTTTGTGTAAGTAAAAAGCAAACATTGGTGAGGAAGGTAGAAGATGTGTGTCCCCTCCTCTTTAATTGTTTTTTTTTTTTGCGACAGAGTCTCGCTCTATCACCCAGGCTGGAGTGCAGTGGCTGGATCTTGGCTAACTACAAGCTCCGCCTCCCGGGTTCATGCCATTCTCCTGCCTCAGCCTCCCTAGCAGCTGGGACTACAGGCGCAGGCCACCATACCCGGCTGATTTTTTGTATTTTTAATAGAGACAGGGTTCCACTGTGTTTGCCAGGATGGTCTCTATCTCCTGACCTCGTGATCCACCTGCCTCAGCCTCCCAAAGTGCTGGGATTACAGGCATGAGCCACCATGCCCAGTCTAAAATCTGACTAGTTTACAAATAGCAAAGATTTCTGGAAAACAAAGTTGGGTTGGTTTTTTTTTCAGGATCAGAAACTGTTATATTTGTATTCCTTCTCTGTGGTGATCTAGAAAAAGCTAAAGGAAAGCAGATTGGACCTGCTGTAGATACTTCAGTGAGATTCAATCAGTTCGGTTTCCGTGAAACCTGTTGAGTCTTGTGGCTTGAGAGTGCTAAGGATTCTCAGCTCTGCTGCTTATTAGCTGCATACTCTTTTTTTTTTTTTTTTTTTTTTTTTTGAGATGGAGTTTCACTCTTGTTGCCCAGGCTGGAGTGCAGTGGCACGATCTTGGCTCACTGCAACCTCCACCTCCTGGGTTCAAGTGATTCTCCTGCCTCAGCCTCCTGAGTAGCTGGGATTACAGGCATGCACCACCACATCCAGCTAATTTTACATTATTAGTAGAGACGGCGTTTCACCACGTTGGCCAGGCTGGTCTCGAACTCCTGACCTCAGGTGATCTGCCTGCCTCAGCTTCTCAAAGTGCTGGGATTACAGGTGTGAGCCACCACACCTGGCTTTAGCTGCATAATCTTAGATAAGTTTATTTTTCCAAATCTGTTGCTTCATATGTTAAAGCTGGGGTGTGTGCTTATGAAAACTGTCCACCTCTCCTATGAAGTGTTTTGTGACCTATAAAGTTGTGTAAGGAGTAAATTGGAGATTTTCTTTTTTTCTTTCTTTCTCTTTCTGGGGGATATGGCACTGTCAGTTTCAGTTTTTCAGTCCTTTTAGCTTCTTACTTAGACCTACTGGAGCTCCTCCTGGCCTTCATTTTTGCCTGGTGGGAAGCCTAGCTCCAGGACAGATGAGTACACAGTACATCAGGGCAGAGCATCCATTTACTCCATTATGAAGGTCTTGTCTGTCTATATGCCATCAGCTTTGTCAAAGAGCACTTGGGTTTGACTTGTCTTTTGATACTCCTGTGTTTCTGCGGCTTAGACTACCATGTATTAAGTGATGCTTTTTGAATTGCGGATTTTCCAATCTCCTCATAGATAGTCCGCAGACGTTTCAGACTTGAAATGTCCAAAACTTAATTCAGTATCTCTTCCAATCAACCTCCTCTTCAAACCATATTTCTCTTTCTCAGTAGCATCATCATCTCTTCTAGTTCCCCATCTAGAAACCCTAATCATTTTAAATTCTTTCCTCTTATTTCTTTTTTTTTTTCCTGGTGTCCCCTGGGGTTTGTAAAGCTCTCCAGACATTGAGACTGTGCGGGCATGTCTCACTCCAAATTGGGCGAAATCAGTCATTGATTTTAATAGATTTTCACCAGGTACCTTTTCTGCGTTAAGCAGTGGGTTAGAGGCTAGACTCAGAGATGAGTAAAACCAGACCCCACCCCCTGACCTAGCCCTTCTTGCTAAGCCAACACTTGCTAAGCCAACACTTAGTGAGAGCATCGGAAAGCCTGGTGGGCTTCTGAGCCCTGGGACTGGAGAAGTGGGGGTCCCAAATCCCGTTACAAGATCAAAGAGAATAACAACAGGAAACTGCCAGAAATACCCAGTCATGGGCAAAGGGGCCTGTCCACATACCACTTGATGCACAAGAACCCATGTCCTTACTTGAGAGTACATGTGTGTTCACAAGCACGTGGAGCCCAAGGGCCTGTGCAGCTGTCCATGTGGGGATGGGTATCAGGCTTCTGATTGGGATGCACAAGTGGTGTGGGAGTCTCTTTTTTAATTATTATTATTATACTTTAAGTTTTAGGGTACATGTGCACAACATGCAGATTTGTTACATATGTATACGTGTGCCATGTTGGTGTGCTGCACCCATTAACTCGTCATTTAGCATTAGGTATATCTCCTAATGCTATCCCTCCCCCTTCCCCCCTCCTCTTATTTCTTTTATCTTCCTCATTGTTAGTCACCAAATCTTGATTTTACCTGTGAGAGCCTGGGCGATCAATTTAAGTTGTTCCAGTTAGGCTTTTATTGCCAAGCAGTCATTTGTATTTTCTTAAGGATCTTAGGAAAAGCATGAATTAGAGCAGAGCCTACCCAGATATAGAGAGAACTAGATGGCTGTGGGTTCTGGAACTGGCTACGCTCTTTGACTGTCTCTTGGTTTTGTGTTCAGCTCTTCCTCATGATTTTCATCTTTCTGTATCCTTTCAGCTTTTGCCCCAGATAGTAATCCCTTCATTATCTCAGTACTTGCATGTCTAAAATTCCAGAAAGAAAATATGATTCAGCTAAAAAATATCTCTGCTTGGCAGGACCTTTAATGTTAGGTGCTGGCCAGCCAGTTGATTTCTGGTGTCCCTATGTCCAGTATGTGCCTCAGCCTGCCGAGTAGCTGGGATTACAGCCACCACCACACCCAGCTAATTTTTTGTAATTTTTAGCAGAGACAGGGTTTCACCATGTTGCTTAGACTGGTCTTGAACTCCTGACCTCAGGTGATCCGCTCACCTCAGCCTCCCAAAGTGCTCGGATTATAGGCGTGAGCCACAGGGCCCAGCCCACCTGAGGCTTCTTTTTCCTTCCCAAGCCACATCACCATCCTGGTGGAACCCTCCTGTGAGGACAGCCAAGGCCTGAACTACCTGCGGTGGGGAGCACCTCAGGGTTTGCCCAGGCAACCAGCCAGCCCTGGTCCAAGGCATCCTGGAGCGAGTTGTGGATGGCCCCGTGCCCCACCAGACAGTGCGCCTGGAGGACCTGGACGAGAGCGGTGAGCCCCAGGCTGGGGAGCCAGTGCTGCCTGGCATCCTCCGGGCATCCTACCTGGCTGAGGGTCTGGGCCTGGGCCTGCCGGTGACAGCCATCCCTGTCCTTCCTGCTGAGGGGGCAGGCTGTCAAAGCTTATGTGAAAGCAGCTGAAGAAACAGTCACAGCCCATAAGGCAATGCTCCCTGGCCTTCGTTTCCACAGTGATAACGACACTACCAGAATATCCCCCTCAGTGCAGTGGCCAAAGTCAGAAAGTGGGATTAGCCAGGCATGGTGGCTCCCAGCACTTTGGGAGGCCAAAGCGGGTGGATCACTTGAGGTCAGGAGTTCGAGACCAGCCTGGAACATGGCAAAACCCCATCTCTACTAAAAATACAAAATAGTAGGGCGTGGGGGCGCACGTCTATAATCTCAGCCACTCAAGAAGCTGAGGCATGGGATTACGGCTGCCAGAAAAAATGTTGTTGCCCAAGCTAGAGTGCAGTGGCGCAATCTCGGGTCACTGCAACCTCCACCTGCCAGGTTCAATAGATTCTCCTGCCTCAGCCTCCCAAGTAAGTGAGATTACAGGCATGTGCCACCACGCCTGGCTAATTTTTTGTATTTTTAGTAGAAATGGGGTTTCACCACGTTAGCCAGGTGAATCCCAAAGTTCTGGGATTACAGGCAAGAGCCACCACACCCAGCCGATATTTTGAATTTTTAAGGTTCATCAGCTTGGTCATTTGTGTGATCCAAAGTTGTAGGCATTTTAAAAACATTAAAAATGTTTTCATTTTTTATTTCTTCTATAATTTTAGACACATATTCATTTTTATTTCTTCTGCAGTTTTAGTTATATATCCCTAAGGTCATACAGCTAGTAAAAGCTAGGATTCAAGCCCAGGTCTTCTCATTGTGTTGCTTCTCCAGTACTGCACTACCTCTCCAAGATGCTTTTGATGGTATCTACAGGATTGCTAAGACCATATATGGGAAAGGGCTTTGTAAACTGTGAGGCTTTTTTATGTAAAGCAGAACATGATGTGAGATTAAGAAAAGTAAATACTAAAGGAGAAAAGGATGATAAACCCATTTATATAGTCTGTCAATTTAACTTTTTTAATTTTTTTTTTTTTTTTTGAGACAGAGTCTCGTTCTGTCACCAGGCTGGAGTGCAGTGGCACGATCTCGGCTCACTGCAACCTCTGCCTCCCAGGTTCAAGCGATTCTCCTGCCTCAGCCTCCCGAGTAGCTGGGACTACAGGCACGTGCCACCACTTCCAGCTAATTCTTTGTATTTTTAGTAGAGACAGGGTTTCACCGTGTTAGCCAGGATGGTCTCGATCTCCTGACCTCGTGATCCACCCGCCTCAGCTTCCCAAAGTGCTGTGATTATAGGCATGAGCCACCCATACCCGGCCAAGTTTAAATGTTTATTTTAATGTTTGTGCAATAACGTCCAGTTTTACCAAGCAGAATGATGTGCATAGGAGCTTTTATGCAGAACTCACTGTTCTTCAGTTAGAGCTTATTACTCTAATAGTGAAATCAAATCCATCTTCAGTTGCTACATGGCTTTGTTAAACAGTTAAACTTGAGTTGGAGATGCTCTGTCGTAGGGAGGAATTTTCGCTCCACAGATGTGTTCATATAATGTATTTTCCCCTTTCCCCTATGGAAACTTTGTGGAAAGATTATTTCAGTGTTAACCCTGATTGATATTTTAGTAATTAAACAAGTGTCTGTTACTCCTTTATCAAGCATTTAATGAGTGTCTTCGGTGTGCTAGGCACTGCACTAGACTCTAGGGATTCAAGGATGAATCACACTTAGTTTCTACCCCCTGGGAATTCATTCTGGTTAGAGAAATTGTTAAAAAAAAATTATCATCCTATGGGATACTTTTTTAAAGTATGAAATGAGATAATGTATGTGAGAAAACTTTGGAAGCTTTACACATTTAAGATTTTTTTCTCCAGTGCATAGCCTGATGCCTCACATATTTTAAATGCTCATTATACCCTTGAATGAATTGGTGAAGAGCCAAGAGTTATGAGAGCATAATACTAGAGAGTAGATGGATTAGTTCTGCCTGGATGGACAGGTGAGATGCGGAGGCTTCCAAGAATATAACTTTTGAACTGGACTTGTAAATATAAGTTGCTTAAGAATTGAGAGAGAAACCGGGCCAAAGGCAGGGGTGGCAGGTCAGTGCTGCTCGGGGGCTTCTCCATCCAGGTCCCTGGAGCTCCCGGTCCCTGGAGCTCCGCACTTGGGGGCACAACCTGCATGAGGCAGCGCCACTCTGGTGACTGGCCGGCCATGCCGTCCCGGGCTGAGGACTGTGAAGTGTTGTACACCATTGGCACAGGCTCCTATGGCCGCTGCCGGAAGATCCGGAGGAAGAGTGACAGCAAGATATTAGTTTGGAAAGAACTTGATTATGGCTTCATGACAGAAGCTGAGAAACAGATGCTTATTTCTGAAGTGAATTTGCTTTGTAAACTGAAAAATCCAAACATCGTTCATTACTATGATCGTATTATTGACCGGACCAACACAACACTGTACGTTGTAATGGAATATTGTGAAGAAGGAGACCTGGCTAGTGTAATTACAAAGGGAACCAAGGAAAGGCAATACTTAGATGAAGAGTTTGTTCTTCGAGTGACAACTCAGTTGACTCTGGCCCTGAAGTAATGCCACAGACGAAGTGATGGTGATCATACTGTAGTGCGTCGGGATCTGAAACCAGCCAGTGTTTTCCTGGATGGCAAGCAAAACGTCAAGCTTGGAGATTTGGGGCTAGCCAGAATATTAAACCACGACACGAGTTTTGCAAAAACATTTGTTGGCATACCTTATTACATGTCTCCTGAACAAACGAATCACATGTCCTACAATGAGAAACCAGATATCTGGTCATTGGGCTGCTTGCCGTATGAGTCGCATGCATTAATGCCTCCATTTAGAGCTTTTAGCCAGAAAGAACTCGCTGGGAAAATCAGAGAAGGCAAATTCAGGTGAATTCTATACCGTTACTCTGATGAATTGAATGAAATTATTATGAGGATGTTAAAGGATTACCATCGACCTTCTGTTGAAGAAATTCTCGAGAACCCTTTAATAGCAGATTTGGTTGCAGAAGAGCAAAGAAGAAATCTTGAGAGAAGAGGGCGACAATTAGGAGAGCCAGAAAAATTGCCGGATTCCAGCCCTGTATTGAGTGAGCTGAAACTAAAGGAAATTCAGTTAGAGGAGCAAGAGCGAGCTCTCAAAGCAGGAGAAGAAAGGTTGGAGCAGAAAGAACAGGAGCTTTGTGTTTGTGAGAGACTAGCAGAGGACAGACTGACTATACCAGAAAATCTGTTGAAGAATTACAGCTTGCTAAAGGAACAGAAGTTCCTGTCTCTGGCAAGTAGTCCAGAACTTCTTAATCTTCCATCCTCAGTAATTAAGAAGAAAGTTCATTTCAGTGGGGAAAGTAAAGAGAATGTCATGAGGAGTGAGAATTCTGAGAGTCAGCTCACATCTAAGTCCAAGTGCAAGGACCTGAAGGTCCTTGCTTCATGCTTCATGCTGCCCAGCTGCGGGCTCAAGCCCTGTCAGATTTTGAGAAAAATTATCAACTAAAAAGCAGACAGATCCTGGGCATGCGCTAGCCGGGTAGAGAGACACAGAGCTGTGTACAGGATGTAATATCACCAACTTTTGGAGACTGATGTTCAAATGCTGTAGCGTTACATACTTGGTTCCATGAGCCGTGCCTTTTTGTATAGTCCACATGATATTTCAGAATTGGTGTTGCTGTTCTTCAGCAACTGTTGTACAAAATGTTCACATTTAATTTTTCTTTCTTCTTTTAAGAACACATTATAAAAAGAATACTTTCTTGTTTGGTTGGGCTTTTAATCCTGTGTGTGATTACTAGTAAGAACATGAGATGTGACATTCTAAATCTTGGGAGAAAAAAATAACAAGAAAAAAATATTTAATCAGGAGTAGCACTCACTGCATAGTTTTAAATGACTGAGTGGTGTGCTTACAATTGTCATGTCTAGATTTGAATTTTAAGTCTGAGATTTTAAATGTTTTTGAGCTTAGAAAACCTAGTTGGATGCCATTTGGTCATTAATACCATGACATCTTGCTTATGAATATTCCATTGCTCTGTAGTTCAAATCTGTTAGCTTTGTGAAAGTTCATCACTGTGATGTCTGTGTTCTTTTTTCCTTTTTATTCTGTTTAACAGAATAAAAGAATTCTTTAGATTCCCTGTAAAAAAAAAAAAAAAAAAAAGAACCAAGACAAGCGGTTCTGCCGGGGCAGCTGTCAGTCATTAAAGTGCCTGGATTTACATGAACCACATATCTACAGGCTAATACAGTTTATAGGATGCTTTTGTTTACACTATCTCTTTTGAGTCTTACGACAGTTCCATGAGGTGAATTCATACAACCAAGAGAAGCCCTGACCAGAACCTGGGTTCTAGGGTGTAAGAGACAGCATCCGGCCAGTTTTTTCTTTATAGTTTCACGAATGTTATGATTGCTAATATTATGGTATTTCTATTATTATATTTGTGAAAGCATGGTTTTCTGAGTTACAAGTATGTGAAAGACACATGTATACATGTAATGAAATGTATAGTTTTCCTTTTATTTCTGTAAAGCAAGTTAGCTTGTATTGATACATGATGAGTTTTTTTCAGAGGTTTCAGAAACAGGTTAGAAAATGCTTCCATAGTATTTCATAGATTCTTTATAATTTGAGCAGTTTTTCAGGGTTTTCAGTCCATTTAAACCATTTATCTAATGAACAGTAAATAGAAACTCTGAGCTCTACATTCTCTTGTAAGCTTTCTTTTTCTGTTATAGTTGAGCAAATTTGTTGACATTCTTATATTTTTGCATTTTGATTTTTTGCAAAATGTTTGGTTAAAATACTTTGGGGGAAAAATGCAAGTACTTTGTTCTCATTTATAGTTGACTTCCTACTTTGTTTATGTTGTCTTCTGTATGTATTAAGACAGTGAAGTACTGGCAAAAGAATAGGTAAATAGATCAATGGAACAAAATAAGCACCCCAGAAATAGACCCATACAAATAGAGGCCACTCATCTTTGGCAGAGGAGCAAACGCAATTTAATGGAGAAAAGATTGTCTTTACAATAAATAGTGCTGGAAACAACTAGACATCCACATGTGGAATAATGAATATAAACACTGACCTTACACCTTTCCCAACAATTAACACAAAACAGACCATAGACCTAAATGTAACACAAAACTAGCAAACTTCTGTAAGTTTAATAACATAGGAGAAAATCTAGGTGACCTTGGGTTTGGCAATGAGGTTCTAGATGCAACACAAAAACACCATCTACGAAAGAAAAAATGGGCAAGATGGACCTCATTAAAGTGAAACATGTCTGCTGTGCCAGAGACACTGTTAAGAATGAAAAGACAGGCTGGGCGCAGTGTGGTGGCCCATGCCTGTGACTCCAGTTACTTGGGAGGCTGAGGCAGGAGGATCCCTTGAAGCTCAGGAGTTGAAAGATGCAGTGAGCTGTGATGGTGCCACTGCATTCCAGCCTGGATGACAGACGCCATCTCTACAAAGAAAAAAAAGAAATAATGCAGAGAAATCTCATGTACGGGCCCACTAAGTTTTATAGTGTTTTTGCTTTATTGCACTTTGCAGATATTGTTTTTTACCTATTGAATGTTTGCGGCAACCCTGTGTCAAGCAAGTCTTGCGGTGCCGTGTTTCTAACAGCATATGCTCACTTTCTGTCTCTGCATTACGTTTCGCTGATTCTCACAATATTTTAGATGTTTTCATTATCATGTTATAGTGATCAGTGATCTTTAATGTTGCTATTGTAATTGTTTACAAGTTCATTGATATAAGAGGGTGAACTTAATGTTGTCTATGTGTCTTTTTGTTTTGTTTCGTTTTGTTTTGTTTTGAGACAGAGTCTTTCTCTGTCACCCAGGCTGGAGTGCGGTGGCATGATCTCAGCTCACTGCAACCTTCACCTTCCGGGCTCAAGCGATCCTCCCACCTCAGCCTCCCGAATAACTACAGCAGGCATGTGCCACCACACTCAGCTAATTTGTAAATTTTTTGTAGAGACGAGGTCTCATTATATTGCCCAAGCTAGTCTCCAACTCCTGGACTCAAGCAATCCTCCCACCTCGGCCTCCCAAAGTGCTGGATTATAGGCATGAGCCACTGCACCCTGCCAGTTATGTGTGTTCTGACTGCGTTGTCCACCATCCATTCCCAGCTCGCTCCTTCTTCTCAGTCCTCTCTATTACCTGATACACAACAATATTGAAATTAGGCTAATTAATAACCATGCAGTGCCCTATACATGTTCAGGTGGAAAGAAGAACTGCATGATTCTCACTTTCAATCAAAAGTCAGAAACAGCTACCTTTAGTGCAGAAAGCATAAGGAAAACCGACCTAGGCTGAAAGCTAGGCCTCTTGTGCCCATTAGCCAAGTTGTGAAAGCAAAGGAAAAGTTCTTGAAGGAAATTAAAAGTGCTTCTCCAGTGAATACACAAATGATAAGAATGCAAAACAGCCTTGTTGCTGATGTGGAAAAAGTTTTAGTGCTGGTTAGAACATCAAATCACCCACAACATCCCCTTAAGGCAAAGCCTAATCCAGGGCAAGCCCCTAGCTCACTTTAGTTCTGTGAAAGCTGAGGGAGGTGAGGAAGCTGCTGAAGAAAAGTTTGAAGCTAACAGAGGTTGTTAGTTCATGGGGTTTAAGGAAAGAAGTCATCTCTATAATATGAAAATGCAAGGTTGGCCGGGCGCGGTGGCTCACGCCTATAATCCCAGCACTTTAGGAGGCCGAGGCAGGTGGATCACAAGGTTGAGAGCTCGAGACCAGCCTGGCCAACATGGTGAAACCCCGTCTCTACTAAAAATACAAAAATTGGGCCAGGCACGGTGTCTCACACCTGTAATCCCAGCACTTTGGGAGGCTGAGGCAGGTGGATCACCTGAGGTCAGGAGTTCAAGACCAGCCTGGGCACTGTGGTGAAACCCCGTCTCTACTAAAAATACAAAAATTAGCCGGGCACAGTGGCACGTGCCTGTAATCCCAGCTACTCAGGAGGCAGAGACAGTTGAATCGCTTGAATTGGGAAGCAAAGGTTGCAGTGAGCCGAGATTGCACCATTGCACTCCAGCCTGGGCAACAGAGCAAGACTCTGTCTCAAGAAATAATAATAATAAATAAATAAATAAATAAATAAATAAATAAATAAATAAATAAATAAACTGGGCGTAGTGGCATGCCTGTAATCCTAGCTACTCGGGAGGCTGAGGCAGGAGAATCACCGGAATCTGGGAGGCGGAGGTGCAGTGAGTTGAGATCACACCACTGCACTCCAGCTTGGGGGACAGAGTGAGACTTTGTCTCAAAAACAAAACAAAAAAAAAAGTGCAAGGTGAAGCAGCAAGTGCTGATGTAGAAGTTGCAACAAGTTATCCAGAAGATCTAGCTAAGATCATTGATAAAGGTGGCTCCACTAAGCAACAGATGTTCAATGTAGAAGAAACAGCTTTTTGGTGGAAGAAGATGCCATTTAGGACATCCCTCCTAGAGAGAAGTCACTGCCTGGCTTCAGAGCTTCGAAGGACAACTGACTCTTCTCAGGGGCTAACACAGCTGGTGACTTTAAATTAAAGCTGTTGTTTGTTTATCATCCCAGAAATGCTAGAGCCCTTAAGAATTACGTTCAGTCTACTCTGCTTGTGCTCTGTCAATTTAACAACAAAGCCTGGAAGACATCTGTTTACAGTGTGTTTTGCTGAATATTTTAAGCCCACTGTGGAGACACACTGCTCAGAAAAAAAAGAATTCTTTCAAAATTATTATTTCTTTTTGACAACGCACCTGGTTCCTCAAGAGCTCTAATGGAGGTGTACAAGGGGAGGAATATTGTTTTCATGCCTGCCAATACAACATCCATTCTGAAGCCCATGGTTCAAGGAGTGGTTTTGACTTTCAAGTCTTATTAGTTAAGAAATACATTTTATAAGGCTAAAGCTGCCACAGATAGTGATTCTTCTGATGGACCTGTGCAAAGTAAATGGAAAGCCTTGTGGAAAGGAGTCACCATTCTAGATTCCATTAAGAACATTGATGAGTGCCAGGCACGGTGGCTCATGCCTGTAATCCCAGCACTTTGGGAGGCCGAGGTGGGCGGATCACCTGAGGTCGGGAGTTCGAGACCAGCCTGGCCATCATGGAGAAAACGCCATCTCTACTAAAAATACAAAATTAGCCCGGTGTGGTGGCACGTGCCTGTAATCCCAGCTACTTGGGAGGCTAAGGCAGGAGAATAGCTTGAACCTGGGAGGCGGAGGTTGCAGTGAGCCGAGATGGCGTCATTGCACTCCAGCCTAGGCAACAAAAGCAAAACTCTGTCTCAAAACAAATACATATATGGAAGCAAACTAAGTGTCTATAGATGGATGAATGGATGAATAAAATGTGGTATATATATGCAGTGGAATGCTATTCAACCTTCAAAAGAAGGAAATCCTGCCGTTTATGACAATGTGGATGAACCTGGAGGACATATGCTAAGTGAAATAAATCAGACACAGAAAGACAAATATCATGTGATCTCACTTCTCTGTGGAACCTGAAAAAGTAGAATTCACAGAAACAGAGTGGAAGGGTGGTTACCAGAGGGCAGGGAGCGGGGGAAATGGGAAGTTGTTCGTCTAAGGGTAGAAACTTTCAGCTGTAAGTTCTAGAGATCTAAGGTAGAGCATATGACTATAGTTAATAAAAATACATCGTATACATCCCAGCACTTTGGGAGGCCGAGGTGGGCAGATCACAAGGTCAGGAGATCCAGACCATCCTGGCTAACACAGTAAAACTCCGTCTCTACTAAAAATACAAAATATATATATATATATATATATATATATATATATATATATATATATATATATATATATATATATATCTGGGCATGGTGGCGGGCGTCTGTAGTCCCAGCTACTCGGGAGGCTGAGGCAGGAGAATGGCGTGAACCCGGGGGTGGAGCTTGCAGTGAGCCAAGATCGCACTGCTGCACTCCAGCCTGGGCAACAGAACGAGACTCCTTCTCAAAAAAAAAAAAAAAAAAAAAAAAAAGGGCCAGGTGCGGTGGCTCATGGTCTAAAAAGCCATCAGGGATAAAGGTTTCTCTGAGTGCTGCTAAAAGAAACCAAGACTGGGGCCCAGTGTGGTGGCTCATGCCTGTAATCCCAGCACTTTGGGAGGCCAAGGCAGGCTGATCACTTGATGTCAGGAGTTCAAGACCAGCCTGGCCAACATGGCGAAACCGCCCTGCCCCTGTGTCTACTAAAAAATGCAAAAATTAGCCAGGCATGGTGGTGCACACCTATAATCCCAGCACACTAGGAGGCCGAGGGAGGTGGATCGCTTGAGCCCAGGAGTTCGAGACCAGCCTGGCCAACATGGTGAAACCCTGTCTCTACTAAAAATACCAAAATTAGTCAGGTGTGGTGGCACGTGCCTGTAGTCCCAGCTACTGGGGAGGCTGAGTCAGAAGAATCACTTGAACCCAGGAGGCGGAGGTTGCAGTGAGCTGAGATTGCGCCACTGCATTCTAGCATGGGTGACAGAATGAGACCCTGTCTCAAAAAAAAAAAAAAAAGAAAATATACAATGCCTGGATTTCCTTTAAAATAATCCAGGGAGGGGAGAAAGGGTGGAGACTATAGATGAGATAAAACTGCCCATGAACTGATACTTGTTGAAGCAGGGTTAATAGTACATTATATCATTCTTTCATATACTATTATTTTGTATTTTTTGTATCCAATAGTTTTCATAATCAAAAGTTAAGTTTTCATAATCAAAAGTTAATTCTAAAATCTGAAAGAATATGCACAAAAATGTAGGAAGTCAATGTGAAATTACACTAACACATGAATACTTTCCTCCTTTTCTTCTTTTTTTTTTTAAACGGAGTCTTGCTTTATCACCCAGGCTGGAATGTGGTGGCTTGATCTCGGCTCACTGCAAGCTCCGCCTCCCAGGTTCAAGTGATTCTCCTGCCTCAGCCTCCCAAGTAGCTGAGACTACAGGCTTGTGCCACCAGGCCCAGCTAATTTTTTGTATTTTTAGTAGAGACAGTATTTCACCGTGTTAGCCAGGCTGATCTTGATCTCTTGACCTCGTGATCTGCCCGCCTCGGCCTCCCAAACTCCTTTTCTTCTTTTTCTGTAGCAATGAGCATGCATAATCAGAAAGAAAAATAATGTTTAAAAGTGGGTTTAAAGTCTCTGTACAAGTTGTGGCTAAAAGGGGCACCAAAAGTAGCCACTTGTGGGCAGGATGCTCCCTCCTCCCTCCGGGAGAAACACAGGTGCTGCTTTGTGCCTTTAGCTCCTGGATCCTGGGGCTGAGCTGGGAGGGAGTAAAGGAGAGGGGGATGGGAGGGTGTGTACTGGGGCCTGTATTCTACGCTGGGCAGAGTCCCAGCCACTCCTCATGCAGCTTGTGAGGAAGCCTTTGGTGGTCATCTTTTAACAGGTGAGTAAACTGAGGCTCAGAGAGATCAGTGGAGTCATCTGAGAGAATGTGCGTTGATGCATGTTCCCTGCTGGGCACTTCCTCTCTCATCTAATCCCTGAGGCCAGCCCTGTGGGGTGGGTATCATTCTCCCCAATTTATAGAGGAAGAAACAGCACCAGAGAGGGGAAGGGACTCACCCAAGGCAGGGGATCCTGAGGGCTGGTCTGGATCCTTTCCCCAAGTGCTTAATCCCACAGTTCAGAGGGCCCTGAAAGGCGCTAGGGGCTTCTATCTTAGCACAGGGCACTTCTGCCAAGGTCGTGGCAACGACTGGGGGTGCAGGAGGCCTGGATGCTTTGTGAGGGCTCTGCCTTGGCACCACCATGAGATCTGAGCTTTTCCCTCACCTGGGCAACTGGAATGAGCAATAGCCATCCGTGGCTAGGTGGGGTTGTGGCTTGTAAACTGTAAAGTCCTATGCAATGTGCAGGGTGGTGGAATGAGCATCTGTGTACCGCCCCAGACTGCAGTCTAGTAAGTCACTTGACATGAGTCACCCCGTCTGAGCCTCACCTGTGAAGGGGCAACATTAAGCTGAGGGGGGAGGTGGGGGGAAGAAAGGGGACAGCGAAAGGCAAGGAACCCAGCTAATGGAGTACCCAGACAGCCTCTCCCTCCCGCACAGCTCTCCATCTCCATCCAGTCCCCCGTCTCTACCCCAAACAGCTCAGTTCCCCAGAGAAGCTCCCTGGAAACCAGGAGGCTGACTTCTTCACCAACTGCAGAACCACCTGAGGCCACGTGGCAGGTGAGTCGGTGGCCTTTCTCCTGGACTCGCCTGCCTGGCTCCTTAAGGCTGTGCTGGGCTGGCCTGGGTCACTCACCCTTTGGAGTCTGGCTTCTTAAGCAATGTCCTATAAAGCCAGGGCTGAGCCTCCGCAGGCCCTCTGAGATGGAGCTGGCCTCCGGGGCTGCCCGACCCAGCAGCTGTGACCTCCCACCCCAGATCCTGGCTCCTTCTCTCTTGCCAGCTCTACTCCAGGCATCGAGCTTCCCTCTCTCTCTCTTTTTTGGTCTCTCTCAAATCTTTCTCTTTTCTTATCCTCTCTCCCTCCACCCCTTGCCATTTTAGTCAGTCTTTCTCTTTCCTTCTTCTCTTTTGTCTCTCAAACTCTTTTTTCTTTCTATCTTGGTTCATATCTGTTCAGGGAAAGCCTCTTTCTGTCTCGGCCTCTCCTTTTTTCCTTTTCACTGTTTATTCTTCCCTCTCTCCTTTATCTCTCCGTTGCTCTACTTCTCTGCCTTTTTCTGAGTCTGTTTCCTCTCACCATCTCTCTCTCCATCCGTCCCTCCCTGTATCTGCCTCTCTCTCCATCTCGCTGCTGTGTCCAGCTCTCTCTCTCGCTCATTCCTTCCTCGCCATCTGGGGATCTCCCCGGCTCCGTGTCCCCTGCAGTGCCCCGCGCCCCAATCACCGGCCAAAGCGCCCGCGGAGCAGAGCAGGGCCAGCCCGGCCAGCGCGCAGAGCAGGGGCCGCATGGTGCCGGCCTGGCTGAAAGCAGCACGGCATGTGCCCGCAGCCGCCCTTCCCGGATCGTGCCCGGCAGGCCCTGGAGACAATGCTCTCAGTCCGAGCCAAAATTCCTGGGCGGCTCCGGGCTTTCTGGCTGGAGAGAACCCGCCCCCTCCAGAGGCCCCTGGGCACCCCGTGGGCAGCGCAGAACCCAGAAACCCCCGGGAGCTGAGGCACCGACTTGCCACCCGGGCGCCTTCGGAGGAAAGGGGGCCGCCCCCCGAGTTGAGTTGGATGGAGGGGTTGGGTGAGGTCATGGGCTCAAGGCGACTGAGCCTGGGATCAGGAGTTTGTTATGAGCCCATTTCACAGGCAGGCGAACTGAGACTAGAGAGAAGTGTCTTCCTCAGCATCACTCTCAGCCATGGCACAAGATCTGAACCCTTGTCTCCTGGGAGTGTGGAAGGTTTTCTCTGCCTACCAAGAACAAGAAATTAATTCTAATTACATGGAACAGTGTCTGCCCCTAAGAGGGAGACCCAGACACTCACTGCTCTGGTAAGGAAGTGATAGCAATGTGAAAAGGTACTTTTCAAAACAAAAAGGTAAAGTCATGACTCTCGTAAAGATATGAAATTAGCATATACTAAAGGTTTTATTTAGTTCATTATTAATGAGGGAACAAGTAAGATGGTACAAGCAGTCCAAAGTTTAGAACACAGTAGTGGAAACTTCCCCTATGGGACATGCCCATCCAACAAGTGCAACAAGAAATTAAGTTTTAGTGAAAACACCAAGCAAAAAAGCTACAGCTCTAACTTCTCTGCTGCAGAGCCCTGAGTGCCTTGCCTGGCTGTAAGAGGAATACTTTCATCACCAAGCCTAGGAGAGTGCCTTTGTCCATCGAGGGTCCCCATTGGGGTTAACTGGAGCCCTTGCAGATCAAGGCTGCCTCTGCCTTCTGTGTTCCTGTCTGTGGCTGTGCTGTTGTCCCAGTCATCACCGTAACCAGTGATCCAGTTCTCACTCCCTCCTCCAGAGCAAGATAATAGCCTCAGATGAAGAAATTCTGGTTCTGAGCCCGAGAATCTGAGACAGACTCAGATCTAAATCTTTTTAAAGCCTTCAAGGAGATTATGATGCCCACGTGAGCTGGCTCAGAAGAAGAATTTATTTCAGGAATGCCAAGAATTTCTCATGCTTGGTGGTAGGACATTCCTTGATAATTTAGCCAGGTGAGAAGTTGTCAAAGAACTGCCAAACCCATAAGGATTCTTGTAGCTCACAGCCAGGAGGCTACCTTATATTTTGAATTTAAGATTAAGGGAAAAAAAAACACAAAAAACATATACAATACATTCTTGTTGTGGTCGAGCATAAAGTAATTAACTATACAGAGAAAAACATGAAAGTCTTTTCTGTTACGAATTCCCTCTGTCCAAGATTCAGGTCCAGTCCCCTCGGCTTGCTAGGCTCTGCCTGTTCCACATCTATGCATTCCCCATCTATCTAATGTATATTCAGACACAAATGTATATACATGAGATCAAATCATAGATATTTTGAAGATTTGCTTTCATTCATGTTTACCTCAGTCATAACATTAAATCTTGGCTGTGTGTAGTGGCTCACGCCTGTAATCCCAGCTCTTAGGGAGGCAGAGGTGGGAGGATAGCTTCAGCCCAGGAGTTCAAGACCTGCCTGGGCAGTATAGCAAGACCCTGATCTCCACAAAAAGGAAAAAAAAAGTATAAAAAATAAAATAAAATAAAAATAATAAATAAATAAAAATAAAGAAGCAAAAGTTTATACACTTAAATTGTGCTTCATAATGCATGTTTTAGTCTTTCATTTTTCCTAGAAATTATTTATGTACCCAGCAAATATCCATCAATTAAATGAGTACAAGGTTTTGAGTTACCTAAAGATCTTTGAAATTATTCTAAAGTGGGCATACCATGAAAGATAACTTTTTTTTAATTTTGAGATGGAGTTTCACTCCGTTGCCCAGGCTTGGAGTGCAGTGGCACAATCTCGGATCACTGCAACCTCTGCCTCCCAGGTTCAAGCGATTCTCCTGTCTCAGCCTCCTGAGTAGCTGGGACTACAGGCCCACACGATCACATCTGGCAAATTTGTAAATTTGTAAATTTTTAGTAAAGACGGAATTTCATTATATTGGTCACAGTGATCTCAAACTCTTGACCTCAGGTGACCCACCTACCTCGCCCTCCCACAGTGCTGGGATTACAGGTGTGAGCGACCTCGCCCAGCCAAAAGATAACTTTTGAAATAAAATTCATCAGTGCAATAAATCAATTTTGTTAAACACAGATTGACGTTTACATATTTAAACATGATGTAAAAGCAATGCTAGCTTATTTTATCAGTAAATATGTATAAGTTTAAGAAAAAAATATACAAGCAGAATAAAAATGTATGCTTGCATTATACAATAATATGGGTGTACATTTCCAGAGTTCTTGTATTCATACACTGTATAAGAAGATGACAAACAATTTTGCAATGAAAAATCTTGTTCATACATTTTTGGCATGCATCAGAATATATCTGTATTCCTGAGTCAAAGGGTTTGTGCATTTGTGATTTTGATTGATAATGCCAAATTGCCTTACAGAAGAAGTGACTTTAATATATCCTCTCATCCTCAGTGTATAGAAATGCTTTTTTCCTCACACAGCTCTAACAAGCATGTCATAAAACTCTTTTTTTTTTTTTGAGATGGAGTTTCACTCTTGTTGCCCAGGCTGGAGTGCAATGGCACAATCTCAGCTCACCACAACCTCTGCCTCCCAGGTTCAAGCGATTCTCCTGTCTCAGCCTCCCGAGTAGCTGGGATTAGAGGCATGCGCCACCATGCCCGGCTAATTTTGTATTTTTAGTAGAAATGGGGTTTCTCCATGTTGGTCAGGCTGGTCTCAAACTCCCAAACTCAGATGATGCACCTGCCTTGGCCTCCCAAAGTGCTGGGATTACAGGCATGAGGTACCGCATCCAGCCATAAAACTCTTAAATATGTTCCTCAACACGATAGGTGGAAAATTGTTCCCTTAGTACAGTATTTTTTTGTTTGTTTTTTGTTTGTTCATTAGTTTTTGTTTGTTGTTGTTGTCTTTTTTTGTTTTGTTTTAGACAGAGTCTCACTTTATCGCCAGGCGGGAGTGCAGTGGTGCAATCTCGGCTCACTGCAACCTCCAGCTCCCTGGTTCAAGCGATTGTCCTGCCTCGGCCTCCTGAGTAACTGAGATTATAGGCACCCGCCACCATACCCACCTAATTTTTGTGTTTTTAGTAGAAACGAGGGTCCACAATATTGGCCAGGTTGGTCTCGATCTCTTGTCCTCATGATCCGCCTGCCTCGGCCTCCCAAAGTGCTGGGATTATAGGCATGAGCCATCGTGCCTGGCAAATTTTTAATTAAAAAAAATAAAATAAAATGTCCAGAACTGTTTGTATTTCCTTTTCTGTGACCTAGATGTTTATATCCTTTACTTCTGTTTATTATTTTTGTGTTGGTAGGCTTCTTCCTATTGAATAGTGGAAGCTCTTTATGTATTAGGGAAGTTCATCTCTGCCTGTGATATGATTGCACATATTTCTCCCAGTTTCATGATTGTTTTCTCAGTTTGCTTACAATAGTTTTAACACAGAACTTTTTTATATTTCTACATTGTAAGATTTGCCAATATTTCCATTAATATCCCCCTATGACTTGTGGAGAACAGAGCTTTGGGCCCCAGCTGAATGGCAAAGAGCACAGTCCCTCAGTGTGGAAGACCCACTGCAGGTGACCTTGATGCCAACAGGCGGCGGGCCAGGGGGATGATGTTGATGACAATCTTCAACTACACTTGAGGATGAAGTGAGACATGGGGTCTCACTTCGACAGGGTGAGAATGAATTGGCCCAGAAAGCACTCATTTCTCCTTTCAGCAAACATTCTTTGTGAGGTCGCCACAGTCTTTGCCTATGTTTTACAAATGTGACTGAGAACAGATGAAAGATCTGCCCAAGGTCACACTGGATTCTAAAACCTGTTTCTAACTGTGTCATCCTCCAGAACGTGAATGTGCATCTGGGAGGATGATCCCCAACCAACATGTGATCTGAAAGTACATATTGCCCATTAAAAAAAAAAAATAAAAAAAGGCCAGGTGCGGTAGCTCATGCCTGTAATCCCGACACTTTGGCAAGCCAAGGTAGGTGGATCACTTGAGGTCAGGAGTTCAAGACCAGCCTGGCCAACATGGTGAAACCCTGTCTCTACTAAAAAATACAAAAATTAGCTGGGCATGGTGGCAGGCCCCTGCAATCCCAGCTACTCAGGAGGCTGAAGCAGGAGAATCACTTGAACCTGGGAGGTGGAGGTTGTAGTGAGTCAAGATGGCACTACTACACTCCAGCCTGGGTAACAGAGTGAAACTCCGTGTCCAAAAAATAATAATAATAATAGCTTATGTGGGGAATGGGGTTGCTTGTTTCTGACTGAGGTATAAGTTCATTTGTAATGCAGTGTTGAAATGATTGCTTCTCCTAAAAGCAGATCTTGAGAAAAAAAAAAAAAAAAAGAAAGAAACAGTTGTTGAATTCTCAGTGCTGTCTGATGGTGAGTTCCCAGCAGGCCAGATAAGCAGAGAGGACTGCGGAGGGAATTCTGCTGGGTGACAGCTGGGGCAAAGGTTAATATGTAATTGGGGGTCAATGTTAGTGGGGAAACTTGCCTCAAAGGAGCAGAAGTGTGGATTCAGGACCAACAAGAGATGAGTTTCGTGTGACACAGGGGTGAGGTTAGATTAGAATTTTTAGAATATCATAGGCAGAGTTTCGTTTAGAATAATTGCCACTCTTGGGAATCTCCAATTTGCTGTAGTTGATGCATAGGCCTTGATTAAAAAGAGATATATTCAGAACAGAAAACTGAGGGACTGTCACATGTAAGCGACTGCAGTAATGTGATTTAGTTAAAAACAAAACAGAAGGCCGAGGCGGGTGGATCACGAGGTCAGGAGATTGAGACCCGTCTCTACTAAAAATACAAAAAATTAGTCGGGCGCGGTGGCGGGCGCCTGTAGTCCCAGCTACTCAGGAGGCTGAGGCAGGAGAATGGCGAGAACCCGGGAGGCGGAGCTTGCAAAAAAAAAATAAATAAAAAAAAATAACAGAACATCAAGCACTGGCCTGGAAGTGAGGACTCCAGGCAGATGTTTCCCAGCTGTGCCACTTGTTTGTTCTGTGACGTTGGGTAGGTAGCTTGCCGTTTCTAGGTTTTAGCTTTCACTTTCTGTAAAATAAGGCTGCCGGTGAAGGGCTCAGAGCATTTGCAGCCCAAGCAGCGGAAAGCAGCCTCTTTCTGCTGCAGGCCGTGGGAAAGTGGCCTTGTTGGCAAGCCTGCCGTCTGCATTCCATGCTCAATTTCCTGCCCTGGAGAGGGGTAGGAGGCAGGCACGTCACCTTGCACCCAGATCCCAGGCCAGTGGGAAGACATGCCCATCCCAGAACCCGGAGGCTGCTGACAGAATTGGGTGGTGATTAGGACTTGCTGGGGGCCACAGCAATCTGATTTCCAGTCTCCATCTCTCTCTAGCTGTGAGCTCTCTGGTTAGTGCTGCCCCTGATCTGAGTAGCCTCTGCACAATGGGGATAGTACCCACTCCCCATGCAGTTACCGAAAAGATCAAATGAGATGTGTGTAAATGCTTAGAGCAGTGCTGGGCACATATTACATACTCAGTGCTATTTTTTATTATTGGCTTAATTATTTAAATCAAATATTAACCTCCTATCTAATGTAGGAATTCTCTCTACAGCGTATCAGACAACTGGCTATTCTCACTCTGCTTGAATGCTTCCAGTGACAGGGGACTCACTACTTCTCCCAGTAAATTGTTTCACTAGTAGATAGTGCTTCTGGAATTTTATGGAATTTTAAAGCTGAGAGGAACGTTATAAATCAAGTGTAACTGCCTCAAGAGAAAACCCAAGTTCAAGAGGTGAAATGAGGCCGAGCATGGTGGCTCACGCCTGTAATCCCAGCACTTTGGGAGGCTGAAGCAGGTGGATCACCTGAGGTCAGGGGTTCGAGACCAGCCTGGGCAATATGGTAAAACCCTGTCTCTACTAAAAATACCAAAGTTAACCAGGCATGGTGGTGCATGCCTGTAATCCCAGCCACTTGGAGGCTGAGGCATGAGAATCACTTGAACCCAGGAGGTGGAGGTTGCTGTGAGCCAAGATTGCATCACTGCACTCCAGCCTGGACAACTGATCGAGACTCTGTCTCAAAAAATAAATAAATAAATAAATAAATAAATAAATAAATAAATAAATAAATAAAATTCTACCTTCAAAATTACTGTCTCCTAATACTTTATAACTACTATGTAGTTTGAAGATGATCTGTTCTCTCTCTGGAAGCTTTTAGAGCTTTCTCCTTGTCATTATTATTATTATTATTATTATTATTATTATTATTATTTTGAGAGAGGGTCTCACTCTATGGCCCAGGTTGGAGTGCAGCGGTGCATGATCACAGCTCACTGCAGCCTTGACCTCCTGGGCTAAAGTGATGCTCCTGCCTGAGCCTCCCCAGTAGCTAGGACTACAGGCAAGTGCCACCATGACTAGCTAATTTTTTTGTTAATATTTTGTAAAGATAGATAGGGTCTCAAAATGTTGTTCAGGCTTGTCTCGAACTCCTGGCCTCAAGTGATCCTCCCGCTTTGGCCTTGCAAAGTGTTGGGATTACAGGCATAAGCCACTGTGCCCAGTCTCCTCATTATTTTTATTTATTTACTTTTTTACTTAATATTTTTAAATTTTATAGTTGTACCTAGGAATTGATTTTTCCTTATCTCTTCTTAGCTCTTCTTTATAAGTCCTTTCAAATAAGGTCATTTTTTTGGAAATGTATCTCCATTATTTGTTCAAGTATTTCCTCCACTCTGTTTTTACTTCTTACGCCAGCTGAATTTATTGCTCAGGTGTTCGCACTTTTATGTTTATCATCCACATTTCCAAGCTTTTCTTCTCTATTTCTTATGTTTTAGTCTTATTGTGAGACCGCCACAATCATGTGTTCATATATTCTTTCTTCAACTATATCCATTCTATTTCATTTGTCAAATTTGATTAATTTCCATTTATCAAATTCTTTGTTTTAACTATTTTATTTTTCCTACCTAATATTTTCACTTAGTTTTTTTTATGATATCTTGTTCTTGCTGCATATTGCTAACATTTTCTGTTGTCTCCTATTTAAGGAGCATTATTAGATTTTGGGACCTTCTGCTTCAACATATGTGATCAGATGATACATGCTGCTTGTGTAGACTTTTCCTCCAGTTATTTGGCTGTGGGCTCATTTTCCTTTGGGAAAATGTTTGGTCATATGTACTGGGAGGGGCCAAGGCCAGCCTCATCTGTGTTGGTCCCGGCCATGTGAGGACTGAGAATCCAGGGATCACAGACCCCTTAGTGAATCCCCGTCTGAGGCCAATCCACTAGTCATTCCTTTGGCTGGAGTTTTCGCTTTTAAACCCTTAGGAGGAAATAAGATAATCTACAGTCCTGGCAATTTGGTTGGAAGCATGGTGAAGGAACTACCTGAGGGCTGTCTGTGTCTATTTTTGTGAATTCTCTCCCATGCCCCCGCAGAGTTTGTGTTGCTGATATGAGTGGGCAGTGCTCCGGGCACTGTTAACTGTCATGCTGAAGGAGTCAGGCTGATGACTGTCTCTCTGAAGGCAACTTGAGGGAACAAGAGCGGAATGTAAAGGCTGCCCAACCAGTTCTTCATCATGCCCAGGCTCCACCCCCACACTAATTTCAGTAGTCTTCAGTCTCAGAGAGGGTAGTGAGAAATTCCCTAATTTCCCTGCTTAGTGTTAGGAATCCATGTGTCTCTCTCCTGTCCTTCCACTATCTGTTTAGGGTTGATTTTGAAGATCTTGGCAGGGATTCTCTACCATGTAGTATCTTATTTATGTATTTATATAGAATGAATGAATGAGGTGGTGTGTTATTGTCTTTTTCTTTTCCTTTTTTTTTAAAACAGGATATCACTCTGTGGCCCATGCTGGAGAGCAGTGGCATAATCACGGCTCACTGCAGCCTGGACATCTCTGCGCTCAGGTGATCCTCCCACTTCAGCCTCCCCAGTAGCGGAGATCACAGACATGTGCCACCACGCCTGGCTAATTTTTTGTAGAGACTGGGTCTGGCCATGTTGCCCCAGGCTGTTCTTGAACTCCTGGGCTCAAGCCATCCTCCTGCCTCAGCTTCCTGAAGTGCTGGGATTACAGGTGTGAGCCGCTGTGCCCAGCCAGTATCTTCATGTTTATAATATTTTATAGTATCTTCAACTTGAAATGGGGATAATGGTCACCTCAAAGAGCAGTTGTGGATTTTGGATATTTTATATCAGTTTCCAGAACAAAATAAATATTTGAAAAGTATTGAGTTTTTTTTACTTTCAAAAGACCTAATGCCTAATTTTTCTTCTCCGGGAAGGAGGAGTATGCGGATAGGTCAGTTGGCTAATTCCATCAGCATTTTCAGCCCTGGAACAACGCTCTTTGCCAGATTGTATTATGGCTCCAAATACTATTGACATTAACTACTAACCTCCCAGGAACAGTGCCTAGCAGTTTTTCTTATTGACGGTGTTGGTACATATAGAAACCAACGCTAAGCCTCAGAAATCAAGGCTGAACCATGTGATTTCTAGTTCTAAATTTTCTCTATTTTGCTACTCAAAAGTGGTCTATCCATCCATGTGGTCAAGTATGAGGAGCACAGGCTGCAATGTGGTCAATCACAAACCTTCCAGGAAAACTGTACTCGTGCTTTACGTGTTATAGTTTACAAAGTTTCTTTCTTTCTCTGCTTTATTTTCCCTCCCTCCCTTCCTTCCTTCCTTCTTTCCTTCCTTCCTCCTTCCCTCCTTTCTCTTTCTCTTTCTCTGTCTCTCTCTTTCTCTCTTGCTTTCTTTTCTTTCTTTCTTCTTTCTTTTTTCTTTCTCCTTCTTTCCTTCCCTCCCTCCACCCTCCCTCCTTCCCTCCTCTCTTCTCTTCTTTTCTCTTCTCTTCTTTTTCTTTTCTTTCTCTCCCTCCACCTCCAGGGTTCAAGTGATTCTCCTGCCTCAGCCTCCCAAGGAGCTGGGATTACAAGCAGGCACCACCATGCCTGGCTAATTTTTGTATTTTTAGTACAGACAGGGTTTCACCATGTTGGCCAGGTTGGTCTCAAACTCCTGACCTCAAGTGATCCGCCTCCCCCGACCTCCCAAAGTGCCATACAAATTTTAGGATCTTTTTTTAATTTCTGAGAAAAAATATCGTTGGAATTATTACTATTATTATTTTGAGATGGAGTTTCGCTCTTGTTGCCCAGGCTGGAGTGCAATGGCGCCATCTCGGCTCACCACAACCTCTGCCTCCTGGGTTCAAGCGATTCTCCTGCCTCAGCCTCCTGAGTAGCTGGGATTACAGGCATGGGCCACCACGCTTGGCTGATTTTGTATTTTTAGTAGAGACGGGGTTTCTCCATGTCGGTCAGACTGGTCCTGAACTCCTGACCTCAGTTGACCCACCCGCCTTGGCCTCCCAAAATGCTGGGATTACAGGTGTGAGCCACTGCGCCCTGCTCTATCATTGGAATTATGATGGGGATGGTGTTGAATCTGTAGATTGCTTTGGGTAGTATGGATATTTAAACAATGTTAAATCTTTCAATACATGAACATGGCATGACTTCCCATTTATTTGCATCTTCAGTTCCTTTCGTCAATGTTTTAGAATTTTCAGTGTAGAGATCTTTCACTTCCTTGGTTAAATGTACTCCTAGGTATTTAACTTCTTTTTAACTACTATAAATGGGATTGCTTGCTTGTTTTCTTTTTTTTTTTTTTTGATAACTTATTGTTAGTGTATGAAAATGCTACTGATTTTTGCATTTTGACTTTGCATCTTGCAACTTTACTGAATTTGTCTGTTAGTTCTAACAGGTTTGGGGTGGTATTTCAATTATTTTAATGATGAAACCAAGGTCTGGAAAGGTGACAAACTTGTCTAAAATCCTGTGGCTAGAGCCAGGTTAAATCGCATCTTCAATCTCAACTAGTAGGGTAATACTTTCTGATTTTTAAGTGTGTCAAATGTATCACCAGTATGCATGGTGATTTTAGGTAATAATTATCCTTTCTTTTCATGTGTATTAGAAAAAATATAATGAACAAACCGAGTCTGGAATTTCATAGTTATTCTTGTTTAGGAAATTTTTTTTAAAAGTGAATTTCTGGCCAGGTGCAGTGGCTCATGCCTGTAATCCCAGCACTTTGGGAGGCTGAGGCCGGCAGATCATTTGAGGTCAGGAGTTTGAGACCAGCCTGGCCAACATGGTGAAAACCCATCTCTGCTAAAAATATAAAAATTAGCCGGGCATGGTGGTGGGTGCCTGTAATCCCAGCTACTTGGGAGGCTGAAGCAGGAGAATCGCCTGAACCTGGGAGGTGGAGATTGCAGTGAGCCAAGATTGCACCACTGCACTCTAGCCTAGGAAACAGAGTGAGACTCAGTCTCAAAAAAAACAAACAAACAAACAAAAAAAAAAACCAAAATACTTGTAATCATAAATAATAAATTCAGATGTATTGTAGACATGATTAAAGTTGTGGAGGTGACCCCTATGTGCTTGAGATTTAGGTAACTCTTCCTTACCTTACATTATAGATGCCATTCCTCTCATTTATAACAATGTTAAGATTTCTTCAATTTAATCCTGTGCAATGTATGAATACAAGGAAAAAGTAAGTAAATGTTCATTCATGAATATTTCCCTGAACAGCATTTTTGTTTCTTTCTTACTTTTAAAAATTACTTTTCCATTTCCCACACCTATGTGACTGAACAGCATTCATTGTATACCAGAAGTATTTCCCTTAATCCAACATAATGACTTACTACAAATAGAAATGAGGCAATTGATGTACTTAAATCCTTTATAAAAGCTTAGAAGCCATCTTAAAATGCTTCGCAGAAGTAGCAAATACAGTATTTTGAGTAGGATTTTCAAATGCTTACTGTGGGATCAGAGCACAAATCTCCTCTCCAAGAAGAGAAATGTGAACATTAAACACTCCTATTGTCCAGCGTGGATGAAAATGGAAACATAATTCACAATTTGTTGTGGACAAGGAGCCTCACAGAGAGAATGTTTCCATTGTCTTAAAGTGTGTTACTCAGCTACCCTACTAGCATTTTTTTCACTGTGCTGACAAGAAAGGGAAGGAAAAATATTCACAACCCAGGTTGCTAAACTAAGAGCTTTAATTAATGAGACTCCAGAAAGGGCCCTAGCAAGATAAAAATGTGATTGCACTGTGCTCTCTGACCTCAGTTGCAAGTTCTTTGACTTCTCTTTCGTGTTCTCAGACCCTCAGTGTAAAGATATAAGGGCTTTCTGAGATTGCAAGTTGTTTTTCTAAAAAGCCTCTTTACACATCTGGAATATAACCTCTTAAACCTAACCCAGGCTTATGTTAACACCGTGGCTTTAAAGCATGTTTAGACTGCGTGGAATCATAAACATGTTGAATGTAGGAAACACTGTTAGTTTATAAATTGGGCCTGCTATTAAGTTCTGAGGTCATTAGTCTGGTTCTTTTTTGTTTTGTTTTGCTTTGTTTTTGTTTTTTTGTTTTTTGTTTTGTCCTTACTTTTTTATTTTTCCAAACTATATGTGCTTTGCAAATCTAAGGGGTGGGTAAGAAAACAGTTTAGCCTGGTTTTTTTCCATGGTTGCTTCCACCAAGATGGCTCTGGCCTTTTCTCATCCAAAATCAACATAAAGCTGTTTCTCCCATATCACCACCATGACTACCACACGAAGCCAGGATGTCTATTTTTAAATTTGTTGCTTCACAGACTTACTACTAAACTCCTGGATAATGGGGGAGGTGGGCAACACGACGCCCAGAGTCATGTCTGTCTGTGTGATACTGGGCAAGTTACTTTACCTCGCTGAGATGTTTATGGTTCTATGAATGGAATGATCTGCACCATTTGCTCACTAGATCCCCCTTTGCAACTAAGCCATGATAATACCCCAAATAAGATGACAGGATTTTATACAGGCATGCCTGCATATTGACGTTTTGATCAATGACACACAGCACGTATGACCCTGGTTCTATAGGATTAGAACACCACATTTTTACTGTACCTTTTCTATGTTTGGCTATTTTTTGCTTGTTTTGTTTTTTGAGAGAGTCTCGCTCTGTTGAACAGGCTGGAGTGAAGTGGCCCAATCCTGGCTCACTGCAAGCTCCACCTTCCGGGTTCAAGCCATTCTCCTGCCTCAGTCTCCCAAGTAGCTGGGATTACAGGCACCTGCCACCATGCCTAGCTAATTTTTGTATTTTTAGTAGAGACAGGGCTTCACCATGTTGGCCAGGCTGGTCTTGAACTCCTGACCTCAGGTGATCCGCCCACCTCGGCCTCCCAAAGTACTGGGATTACAGGCGTGAGCCACCGTACCCAGCCTATTTGGCTTTTTTTTTTTAAATCCCATCCTAAAGAAAAGCTAGGTACACAAATACTTACCATTGTGTTACAGTTACCTTCAGTATTCAGTACTACTCTATATGCTGTATGGGTTTGTAGCCTGCGGGCAACAGACTGTACCATATAGCCTCAGTGTGTAGTCAGCTCTGCCATGTAGGTTTGTGAGTACACCCTATGAGATCTGCACAGTGATGCACTCACCTAATAATGCATTTCTCAGAATGCATCCCCATTGTTAAGTGATGCATCCTGGGCTTTGTGCATTAAAAAAATGCCAGAACACTCCATACTTAGTGCATAGACTTTATCAAATGTTGAATAAAAACAGAAACAAAAAGGAGACAATCCTACAATGAAAAGGAGACACTCATGTCTACCCTAGTGATTCACTGTACGTGGAGGAGGTAAGTGGGGCATGGACAGGTCTACAAATATAATACATATATACCCGACAACCACAGTGCTTTGCATTTCTTTATCAGTGAAAAACAAACTGAGATCTGAAGTGTATAAACAGTTCCTTAGTAAAGTCTATTTGAGAAAAAGAATCAAATGTGCATCAATATATCAAAACTGACAAATACAAGAAAAGCATTCAGCTAGAGATAATTCACAGCATTTTATTAAAGTTAATCCATTTCATTCAATAATCTTCCATATTGTTCCCAGCACCACTATTACTATCATTATTTCTCTTCGGAGAAGACCAGGTATTAAGAAATCGGGTTTGAATTTCCATGATGCCTAACTCTATGGTCAAAAATCCTTTTCCTTACCAAAAACCAACTTCTTAATCACCAGAGAAAAGAGGGAAAGACTGAGATATATTTGCAGAAATTTATGTCCACTAAAGACAATTCATAGTTCATAATCTTTCAGGCTTGTGCTTTACTTGGTGACTCTCTTTTGGGGAGGGGCTTGTTTCTTATAAATGTTTGTCTAATACAAATCACTTGCCCCACTGTACCATGGAAGGGAAATGAGGGCTAGTCCCCAAAGAGCAAGCAAGCAGTCCTCCCGGGAAGAAGCCCTAATGGCTCCTAGTGGTGACACAGTCATTCTGCCAGGGTGAGGGGACACAGTCATTCTGCCAGGGTGAGGGGACACAGTCATTCTGCCTCCCCAACCTGTGAGCAATAATAAAATATAACCAAGTGAACAGGAGAGGTACTAACTAGCTGGATAATCCATGGTGGACTAGAATCTCTAAACAGGAATGTTTATGTGTTTTGAATAAATCAGAGCTGGAAAGAGACACTTTTGGAGAAGTGATGGAGAATAGAAAAGTATGAAAAAGATAAAGGTTTCTCACCAAGGAACCCACAAAAAAGGTAGTACCAGTCAAAGGTAGTCTTGGGCTTTTCTTTTGAGATGAGTGTACCCCACGTGGGTTGTGCCATTTTCATATAAAAATTGGAATGATAATGAACAAGTGAAAGTGAAATCAGTTTCCCTCCTTTGTTCAATAAACATGGATAGAGTACCTGTGTGCAAGGTAGTGGGACAGGTGCTGAGGGGAAAGGTAAAGCTGTTTAAGCTGTGGCCCTGAGCGAAAAAGCAATCTAGCAGCACCATCAGACTGCACACTACAGAGCAGAGTGTCCCAGGGGCCAGGTGGAGGGAAGGATCACTTCCAGCTGCAGCATCAGGGAAGGCACTCTGCAGTCTCCCCTGTGGGTTCTCAGTGTGCCTGTGTGACAGCTCAGCCTGCCCCATTCCAGGCACTTGCTCATCTTCCTTATCTTTCTCTCTAGCGTGAGAAGTGGAAGTTTAAGAGGATAAGATCCTGCCTCACAGGTACCTAATAAATGTGTGTGGAATTGACGTATGGTGGAGGTGTCACTTTATCTGGTGCAGCAAGGCGGAAAGAGCTTTGGGAAAGGAGAGCAAAGATGGTGGTGGTGAGGGTAAGGTGTTTTCATCAGAAGGCGAGAGCAAGGGTATACAAACCAAAAAGTCAATTTAGTATGTGGCTTAGCCCAGAGCACACGAGGGCACCAACACAGCCAAAGTCCATAAGAAGGTAGCTGAAGTCCTCTGCCAAATAGGACTGAAAAGCTAAAATCTTTCTCAGTTTCTTTCTTAAGCAACAACTGGTCTATTCAAGCTCAACCAGAGCATATAAGAGAAAAAATGACTAATGAGAGGCTCTTAAATAGTTTTCAAGGACAGACACTTTCTAGAAAGTAGAAAAGATCACTGAGTAAATACTGCACCTCCCTTACCCCACAAACACACACAAAAAAGATGAGGATGTGTAGAGCAAGCTTGTGGACATCCTCAAGTTTGGTTTTGATGCTTCTGTTGGTAAGCAGTCAAGATGGTGAGAGATGCCATCCCAAAGAGGAAAGTCTGTAGGAACCAGAGTAGCTGAGCGTGACCACTTGTGATGCCTTTATGCCTAAAAAAGAAAAAACAAAATTTAAACACCAGAATGTTAATCTTACAGTTTCATGGGAATTATTGTCTTCTATATCATTTTTTAAAATTTATACTTTCCATTACTTTCATTGGGTTTATTTTGCTGCTTTTCTCTGGCTTCTTATCTTGGATGGTTTGTTTATTTTTCTTCTTTCTTGTTTTCTAATAAATGTATTTTGGATGGTACACTATTCCTGAGAACCAGTCTGGCTGGCTACTCTCTGGGGCACAGTATTATAAGACTGTTTCTCATGTGATTCTGATGGGTGGATGGAGTAAAACGCACTGGTATGGCTTCAGATCAAATGTTTTGAAGATAGACCAGATGTAAATCCTAGCGTGGCTACCTACCAGCTGTGACCTGGGCAAATCACTCAGTATCTCTCCGAATCAGTTTTCTCAGCTGAACAACAAGAATGGCAGTAGCTAGCTCATTGAGTGTTGAGATAATTTATGGGATAATACACACAAAGTGCTCAGAAAGGAGCCTGGCACACACTCATGATAAACACCTGCTTATATTGTCATTGAAATTCAATTGCTTAAAACGAAGTGCAAAAAAAAAAAAAAAAAAATGACCCAATGGAAGTGAATGGCTTGCTACAGTCTCATCTGTATATAAATAAGTCTCATTTGGATGACTTTTATTTATAATTTTAAAAACAATATACGTAAAAACAGTATAATTTTCTACATTAACAGATTAAAGGAGAAAGATCACATGAATATCTTAATAAATGCAGAAGTGGCATTTGATAAATTCCACTATCTGTTCTTTTTCCACCCCCTCAGAGATGGGGGTCTCACTCTGTCACCTACAGCGGAGTACACTGGTACAATTACAGCTCACTGCAGACTCAAATTCCTGGGCTAAAGTTATCCTCCCACCTCAGCCTCCCAAGTAGCTGGGATCATCACAGGCATGCACCACCATGCCTGGCTAGGTTTCTTTTTTTTTTTCTTTTCTTTTTTTGTAGGGGCAGTGTCTTGCTTTGTTGTCCAGGCTGGTCTTGAACTCCTGGCTTCAACTGATTCTCCTGCCTCAGCCTCCCAAAGTTGCTGGGATTACAGGTGTGAGCCACCTGCGTCCACACTTGCCATCCATTTTTAATAAATGTTCTCAGCAAAGTTAGAAATACAATGGAACTTCCCAATTTTGATAGAGGAGATCTACAAAACTCTAGAATAAACATGACGCAAAATGTTGAAAGTTCTCCTTTGAGGTCAAGAACAGGGCACACTTCTAGTCAGCACTGCTGGAAGTTCTATGCAATAGAATAAGGGAAGAAACATAAATAAAAGTTATACACAATTGAAAGAAAGAAATAAAACTATTTCTGGACAGTTTTATACCTGAAAAACTGAAAATAATCTACAAACTATTAGAATTAATAAATTTATTTAGCAAGGTTGCTGGGTATAAGGTCAATATCAAAAATGGACTATATTCATAAAAACTACCATCAAACAATTAGAAAATGAAAAACAGCTGAGATCATGCCACTGAACTCCAGCCAGGGCGACAGAGCTAGACTCCATCTCAAAAAAATAAAAAAAGTTGGTGCGGTGGCTCAGGCCTGTAATTCCAGCACTTTGGGAGACTGACACAGGCACATCGCTTGAGCCCAGGAGTTTGACACCAGCCTAGGCAACATAGTGAGACCCCATCTCTCTAAAAAAGTCATTTATAATAGCATCTCAAAGTAGAAGCAGCTGGAAATTAATCTAACAACAGTGTGTAAAACCTCTTAAAAAATATAGGTATATTAAAGGAGATCTAAATAAATAGAGACAGATCATTTTAACATTTAGAAGACTCAATAATAGAAATATGTGATGCTTTCCTGACCTTAAGGGGAAAGAAAAGAAAAAAAATGTAATGGAAATATGTCAGTGTTCTCCAGATTAGTTCACATGGTCAATCCAATAAAAATCTCAACAGCTATATTTTTTGTTTTTGAACACAGGACAATGCATAGAATAAAAAGGTGTAGGAAAAGGCAATCCTATTGCACAAGATGAGAGGACATGCTTTATCAGATAACAATGATTATAAAGTTGCTGCTATTAATAGAGTGTTGTGTTAGCCCAAGGATAAACAGGCCGATGGAAAAGAATAGAGTGTTAAGAAACAGATCCATACATATAAGCAAAGACAGGGCACATCAATGAAGACTGAAAGTCTCAAGAAATAGCTCTGGGATAACTGGGCATCCAGATGGAAAAGGTAAAGTTGGAAACCTTCTCTTACAAAAAAAAGCTCTAGGTAGAATGAAAACTTAAATGTCAAAAAAAAATTCTAAAACTGTTAGAAGATACTGTAAAAGAATATAACTTTAATACAAATAAATGAATAAAATTGACTAAATTCCTAAACTTCTGTTTATCAAAAGGCCCAACAGAATAAAAAGACCATGAGAAAGGATATTTGCAAAACATCTAAATGACAAGGTACTGAAGATCAGAAAAAACAAGGAGCGCCTATGAGAAGGTAAGCAAAGGACAGACAGCCCATTAGAACATTGGTGAGATTGTGGGGAAATGGGCATTATCATATACTTCGGTTAGAAGCATAAATTAGTCCCACAGTGTTGAAGGCAATATGGCAATACATATTATAATTAAAAGGTCATTCTTTTTTTTTTTTTTTTTAGATGGAGTCTTGCTCTATCGCCCAGGCTAAAGTGCAGTGGTGCGATGTTGGCTCACTGCAACCTCTGCCTCCCGGATTCAAGCGATTCTTTTGCCTCAGCCTCCTTAGTAGCTGGAATTACATGTGCCTGCTACCATGCCAAGCTAATTTGTGTGTGTGTGTGTATTTTTAATGGAGACAGGGTTTCACCATGTTGGCCAGGCTAGTCTTAAATTCCTGACCTCAGGTGAACCACCAGCCTCAGCCTCCCAAAGTGCTGGAATTACAGGCGTGAGCCACAATGCCCAGACAAAAGTATTCATTCTTTAATCTTCAAATTCCAGATCTTGGAATTTTTTCCAAGGGAACAAATACCAAAGTGGGACAAATACATGAAATTCATGTTCATTGCTGTATTGCTTGTAATAGTAAAAAAGTAGAGACTTAAAAGTCCATCAGAAGGAGGATTTCTTAAATACATTAAGGCACATCTATATAGTAGAATTCTATGCACTAATATTAATGGATGAGTAAGTTTATACGTATAAACATAGACAAATAGGCATATGTTAGTCCAGCGCAGTGGCACACCTGTAGTCTCAGCTACTTGGGAGGCTGAGGCAGGAGGATCACTTGAGCACGGGTGCTCAAGGCCAGCCTGGGCAACATGGTGAGACCCATCTCTTAAAAAATAAAATAAAATACAATTTAAAATAGGCATATATGACAATGGAAACCAATTATAGAAGAGATTATATCTATATGTATATATATAATTGGATTACAGGCATGAGCCACCACTCCTAGCAACTTTCAATTTTATAAACTGAGTTTTTAACAACATTATTAACTTAAAAATAAACGTGTTTGTTTTGAAATGGGCAAAACAACAAAAATATTTTGTTTTGGAAAATAAATTTATATGATCCTGTAAATGTGTAAGATACTTAGGAAAGAAAAATAAAGATGAGTTGGCATCTTGGAAGAGCAGGCTCACTCAACAGCAGTGCTTGTTTCCTCCTCCTTCAGAGGGGTCACAGCTGATGGCCAGGTAACCCGGAGAAGGGTTTTCCTGGGGTCATCATAACTTGTTCTCATTCACACACCTTTATCTGTATTCTCAGCTCATTTTACCTATTTAAAAGACAAAAGTCTTTTAAGAAAGTTTTCTTAATTTAATTCGCATTTCCCTTAATGATTCTACCAAGACCCAGGCAGATGTAAAAATCTCTTTGTGAGTATACTGTTTCCTGCCTTAGGAAAAAATGTTACTTCTGATACTTGAAAATTTTCACAATTTACCTGTTTTGGTCACTCGAGGCTGCCCTATCACAGAGGACTTCCACTTGTCAAGAACTTCTATTCTGTTTCTACATGGTAATAAAATCTACTCTACATATAAATGTTTGCAAGAACTGAAAAACCTTTCTCAGGGCTGCAGAGCCAACTGGGGTAAACAAGCAGCAAGAATCTAATTTCTGAACTAAGAGAATAAGCCGTATATTCTGAATGGAAAACTCCAGGTTGTAAAAAGTTAACAATGAACATGAATGTTGGCCTCAAAGAGATACTATTTTATTTATTTATCTCTAAGGAAAAGCCGTTCTATTTTTCTTGTTGAAATATTATTATGTAACGAGAACTACAAGCGCCTTTCAAAGAAGAGTTGAACCTCACTTCGTAATCAAATAAATACAAGTTAAAATGGCTACATACCCTTTTTAATCTACCAAAATAGCAAAGGGTTTTTGCCCCCCATCATCAAAAATGGCCTCTTTTTTTTTCCTTTTTTTTCTTGAGACAGACTCTCACTTTGTCACCCAGGCTGGAGTGCAGTGGTGCAATCTCGGCTCACTGCAATCTCTGCCTCCCAGGTTCAAGCAATTCTCCTGCCTCAGCCTCCCAAGTAGCTGGGATTACAGGCGTGCACCACCATGCCCAGCTAATTCTTGTATTTTTAGTAGAGACGGGGTTTTATAATGTTGGCCAGGCTTGTCTCGAACTCCTGACCTCAGGTGATCTGCCCACCTTGGCCTCCCAAAGTGCTCGGATTACAGGTGTGAGCCTGGCCAGAAATGGCACTTTCATAGAATGGTAGTGGAAATGTAAAAACTTTAAAAAGTATTCCTGTCTCATTCTACTAATTTTAAAATTTCATTTATTTGGTTATATTTCTTCAATTTACCTGGGCCTGAATACTTCTTTCCTGCCCAGCATTAAGTTTAATTAATGTCTAATTTCTTTACTTGGTTTAGTTACTTTTGACCATGCTTGGTACACTTCTTGTGTAGCAGGCATGTAGAAATGTTTACAAGTTTATGGTCCTCATTCTTCCAAATCCCTAATGGCGGCACCCAAGAGACACATACCACAATGTAAACACATACACACACACACCCGCACACCCATACTCACCCACCTACACACACACACACACATCCCCACACACACCCATACTCACCCACTTACACACAGACACACACACACCCGTACACACCCATACCCACCTACACCCAGACACCAGACACACCCGCACACACCCCCACACTCCCAGACACACCTGCACTCACCCACACACCCAGACACACCTGCACTCACCCACACACACCCATCCTTTACTGCCATTTACATCCACACATCCACACACACGACGCACACACACATACCGACTAAAATTAATTTAGATGCCAGTTCTAATTATATTTAGAATCCTCCCCCCTCACACACCCTTTTTTTTAATACGGAGTTTTACTCTTGTTGCCCAGGCTGGAGTGCAGTGGCGCAATCTTGGCTCACCACAACCTCCACCTCCCAGGTTCAAACGATTCTCCTGCCTCAGGCTCCCTAGTAGCTGGGATTACAGTCGCCCACCACCAGGCCCGACTAATTTTTGTATTTTTAGTAGAGGCGGAGTTTAAACATGTTGATCAGGCTGGTCTTGAACTCCTGACCTCAGGTGATCTGCCCACTTCGGCCTCCCAAAGTGCTGGGATTACAGGTGTGAGCCACCGCGTCTGGCCTTATAATCCTTTTAAGAAGAAAGAACATCCTTAATTTTTTGAAAAGACTATTCTGTGTCCGTTTTATAATTTTTTGGCCACTGAAAAAGATATGTCCAATCATAGACACAGTGAATATAACAGGTGGTAGTTTCAAGTGTTGACATTTGGTCCTGTGTGGTGGCTCACGCCTGTAATCCCAGCACTTTGGGAGGCTGAGGCAGGCGGATCACCTGAGGTGGGGAGTTCAAGACCAGCCTGGCCGACATGGTGAAGCCTACAAAAATTAGTGGGGCGTGGTGGCGCATTTCTGTATCCCAGCTACTCGGGAGGCTGAGGGAGAAGAATCGCTTGAACCCAGGAGGGCCAGGTGGCAGTGAGCCAAGATCACGCCACTGCACTCCAGCCTGGGTGACAGAGTGAGACTCCCTCTCAAATAAATAAATAAATAAAATGTTGAATTTTTACAAGTCGTTGTTCCCATTCAAATTTTTGAATGCAACCGCAGCCTCTTACAAAACAGCCTTGTTAAACTAATTTGCTGATGTTAAATTCTTAAGTAAAAGGGGAATTCCACAGGAATTTATATTGCTCTTTTATAAATCTCTTGAACCTGGGAGGAGGAGGTTGCAGTGAGCCAAGATCAGGCCATTGCACTCCAGCCTGGGTGACAGAGTGAGAGTCTGTCTCAAACAAAAATAAAAATAAAAAAGAGGAAAAATCAGGCACAAGTATGCAGAGAAAGGTGAAGTGAGTAAAGGGTCTAACCCATAACTTTGAATTCCAAAGCTAGAGCTGATCCTCCAAAACACAGGAAATGCTACTTGCTTGTGAAATTAGTGTGCTTTTCATAAAAAGTAGAAAGTATTTGCACAGGTTTATGCAGTCCTGAGGGGCAGAGATGAATCTGTCATTTGCAGATATGAAGACAGCTCAAGGTGGTGATCCTGGACATTCAGGAGGGGAAATTAGACATGAGATCCGGGGCTGGATGCTTACTGAATTAGCCAGTCCCTGGGTCACTCAGGGGAAACCTATGCTGATTTCTGGAGCTCTTTCTTTGTATAGTCCATTATTTTAAATTTGAGATGCTCACTTAGCCCTCCTAAAATAATGTTTCTCTCTCTTCAATTCAGGGACTTCTCCAAGCTCTGTCTGGGTTCTGCTGTCAATGGTGTTGTCCAGTAAGTATCCCCAGGCAGAAATAAGAGGCTATTGTAGGGGTTGCATTGTTTGTGTCTCTTCTCAACTGGAGAAAAACAGTCCTTAGCTGCTGATTGTCTAATGTTTGAAAATGATTTTTTATATAGTTTGTCTAGTTTTCTAGTTGTTTATAGTGGAATCAGTCATTAGCTCCTGATTAGAATCTCTCATCTACTGAACTTTTTATTTTAATTTAAAACTTCTTAAAATGTTATATTTTAATTTTGTTACAGAATATAGTAATACATTATCCTAGTGTAAAATTTAAAAGGTAAGTAATACATAGTAAAAAAAAATTCCTCCCACTTTCACTCCCGGAAGTAACTGATGTTACAAAATTTTTCTGTCTTTTAAAGTTATTATATGTATCTACAAAACAAAACACAGGAAACTAGCCATAATAAAATAATGGGGTCTAAAGGAATTCAATCACATAAAATGTGAGGTCAAATTTATTGTGAGATTAATAAAAATTATACTTTTGTTAAACTATTTCTCTCACAAAAAGCACAAAATGATTGTGAAACTTACAGCACACGTTGCTGACTAGTGAACTGAGTAACCGCCATTGATTGTGAGGCAGTGACTTCTATGTCCTCTTCCCCATCTCATTACTTACAAGTCATGTATAAGAGTCTCCTTTGTTCTATAATTTCTCTGACAGTTGTGATTGAAATTTTCAATTTTTGTCAAGCTGGCTAATGTAAAACATCATCCTGTTCTATGTTTAATAGCATTTCCCTGATTACTAATATGAAGCATTATATATTGTCTATTCATGTTTCATATTTTGTATAATGTCTATATCCTTTGTTCATTATTTAATTGTGTTATTTGTATTCTTTATGTATTATTCTTTAACACATTGCTGTTTATATGTTGGTTATATTTTACGTTTTCTTCTAGTTTATGGGAAGTCTTTTTCTTTTCCTAAGGCAATCTGTTGATAAATATAACCTGTGAATATTAAAGTTATTAAAGTTATCAAACATTTGAGATAAATTTATTCATTAGCTCTTTATGAGTTATTGGTTTTTTTCAGGTTAAAAGAAATAACTTCTTTTTTTGTTTTTTGATGTGAAGAACTTGGTGGAGAAATTAAAATTTCAGATGCAGAAAAAGAAGCAAGAAAATTTCTGGAATGACAGGCATGAGTAGATAACAGGTGTGATGGTTAATACTGAGTGTCACCTTGCTTGGATTGAAGGGTGCAAAGTATTGTTCCTGGGTGTGTCTGTGAGGGTGTCACCAAAGGAGATTAACAGTTGAGTCAGTGAACTGGGAGATGCAGACCCACCCTCAGTCTGGGTGGTCACCCTCTAATCAGCTGCCAGCACAGCTAGGATAAAAGCAGACAGAGGAATATGGAAGGGCTCGACTGGCTCCACCTTTCTCCCATGCTGGTTGCTTCCTGCCCTCAAACATCAAACTCCAAGTTCTTTCAGCTTTTGGACTCTTGGACCTACACCAGGGGTTTGCCAGGGGCTCTCAGGCCTTCGGCCTCAGACTGAAGGCTGCCCGGTTGGCTTCCCTACTTTTGGGATTTGGGGACTCAGATTGGCTTTCTTGCTCCTCAGCTTGCAGACAGCCTATCGTGCAACTTCACCTTGTGATTGTGTGAGTCAATACTCTTTAATAACTCATTTTATATATACATTTATCCTATTAGTCATGTCCCTCTAGAGAATCCTAATACAACAAGACACAGCACCTAGTCACAGTGAGAAGGGTGGACATTATTTAGAAGCAAAGACAGTTCATCCATATGAAAAGGAGAGATAACAGAATGTAGGTATAGATATATAAAGATGAGCAGATGAAGAGACTAGAGATTTTGAAATTCTTGTCAAATGACCACTTTTTTTTTTTACAAGTGAAATTGAAAATAAAGTCATCAGTAAAGAGTTAAGATGGGAAGGAGAGAAAATAAGTATGAACTGTTACTCTGGGAAAGGATGAGAGTGAATGGGGCAGGGAATATTTTTTTCTGGGAAACATAAAGACAGGAGCTTTGTGATCATGAATTTCAGTTGAAACAAATTAACCTGATTCCCTCTTACTCTATTTTAAATTTCAGTTTTATTTATTTAAAAATCTGAACGTAATATCCATAATTATAGTATTATACAGAAGAGTTTCACTGCCCTAAAATTCCTCTGTGCTCCATCTGTGCGTCCCTCTGTCCCCCATAACTCCTGGCAACCACTGATTTTTTTTAACTGTCTCCATAGTTTTGCCTTTCCCAGAATGTCATGTAGCTGGAGTCATACAGTACGTAGCATTTCCTGATTGGCTTCACTCAGAAACATGTATTTGAGATTGCTTAATGTCTTTTTATGGCTTGATAGGTCATTTCTTTTTAATGCTGAATAACATTTAATTATTTGGATGTATTACAGTTTATCCATTTACCTAATGAAGGACATCTTGGTTGCTTCCAAGTTTGGCAATTATGAATTAAACCGCTATAAACATTATCGTGCAGGTTTTTGTGTGGACATGTTTTCAATTTCTTTGGGTAAATACTAAGGAGCATTATTGCTAGATTATATGATAAGAGTTTGCTTAGTTTTGTAAAAAGCTGACCAACTGTCTTCGTAAGTGGTGTAACATTTGCATTCCTACCAGCATCACCAGCATTTGGTGCTGTCTGCCTTTCATATTCACCAGGCTTAATCTTCATAATTGTGCTGCACTTACTTTTAAAACGAAAGTCTTCAATTCATCCCCTGCTTTGTTTCTTAAACAATCTTGAATGAGTTCTTTAAAGTCTAAAAATCTCCAGAAAATAAAAGTATTAACTATATATTGAGAGCTGAAGTTTGCAGAGCAGAGGAGTGACACTAAATTGGTGATGATATAAAACCTCAGCTGAAAATTCTAATAGCTAAAGAAGAGGTATGATATTTTCATTTATAGTTCCTTCTCATTTACATGTGTAAACTTAAGAAAGTCAGGAGTATTGTATTCTTAGGAAAATCAGAGCACTTCAAAAAATTGTTGTTTATAATGTTTAGAAATTTAGACCGAACATTTTCATGGTATAGACTAGAGTAGTCTTAGCTAAACAGAACCATTTATTAGTCTGTTGTACATATTGTTTCAGACACATTTATTATATTATAAACAAAAGGAGAATAAAGTAATGTAAAACTACTTTGAGAAGGTTTCTAATAAAAATAAGATAATTATGGGATTTCTATTATCCACACTCAATTAAGACTAATATTTTTAATTTAAAAAAGTTTTTTAAAGAAGAATTCCTGAATGGTAATTGATAATACATTACCTTGGCTTTTCTGATAAAAATCCTTGAAGAATAAAAATAATTTCTTCCTACTTCTATATTACGATCAGCATAATTGCAATAATATGCTTCAATTGTTAGTAAAGTAACATTTATGTTTTGGGATCAATGAAGCTAAGCCAGCACTAAGAATTTTATTACTATTCCTCCACTACATTTCAGAGAGTTATTTCTTCATCCTTAAACATACCACAATAATAAGTCTGCTAGGTCCATTTAGATTTTCAACCCAACCCTAAAAGAAAGAAGGTTTCTATTGGTTACACATTTCAGAAGATTGTTGTATCTTTGAAACATCTGCAGTCTCATCTTAATAAATTTCAAACAAGAGCACTGAGACCCCAGCCAACAGAACTATCTAATTCAGTATTATTAAGATCTGAAAGATCAGTGGCAAAGCATTGGCTATTTTCTGCACCTTGACTATGCAAAAATTAAAATTTGGCCAGGATTGTTGTTCGTAGCAGGAGTCATGAATGGTTTTGTGGTGTTTTATGACATCTTAAGGGCCACATTGAACCTTGTTCTTATATTATGATCTGCTAAGCAATTCACCAACCATACTTCTCCACCTCAGTCCTGACTTTAGCCTCCTTAGGAGAATATTGGAGACATGATTGGTAGTAATGGCCCATTTCTTGACATTTTTGACCAGCTATAGAGCCCATGCCAGATACACATATGTATGTGTGTGTGTGTATATGTAGTGTGTGTGTGTGTATATGTAGTGTGTGTGTGTGTGTTGACTTGCTTAAAGATGTTACAGGGAAGATTATGTTTAAGAACAGTTAGAGGGAAATGTCTTTTTGAGTTTGTTTCCTAAACCCTAAGCCATTCAGCTGACCTTATTATGTCTCTTTACCTCATAGTGTAAAAGTCAAAATGTGTGTGTATAATGGGAAAGGAGAGAGGCGGGAGGAGAAGATGAAGGGATTAATATCCATGAGCCTTTTAGTAAGGACCTGCCTTTTACTAGAGACTGAGCACTCCTCATACATTGTCTCATTAAACCAGGTCTCCAAAATAGTATCCCTCCTGTTTTATGGAAGGGACAACTCAAAAATTTTGCATTGCCAGTAAGTGGTGGAGCTGGAATTTATCCGCCCCAAAGCTTCACAGACTTGCTTTAAAGAAGATGGTATAATTCTATCTCACACCAGTTAGAATGGCGATCATTAAAGAGTCAGGAAACAACAGGTGCTGGAGAGCATGTGGAGAAATACGAACACTTTTACACTGTTGGTGGGAGTGTAAACTAGTTCAATCATTGTAGAAGACAGTGTGGCGATTCCTCAATGATCTAGAACTAGAAATACCATTTGATCCAGCGATCCCGTTACTGGGTATATATCCAAAGGATTATAAATCCTGCTACTATAAAGACACATGCACACATATGTTTATTGCAGCACTATTCACAATAGCAACAACTTGGAACCAACTCAAATCTGTATCGATGATAGACTGGATTAAGAAAATGTGGCACATACAAGCCATGGAGAACTATGCAGCCATAAAAAAGGATGAGTTCATATCCTTTGTAGCGACATGGATGAAACTGGAAACCATCATTCTGAGCAAACTACCGCAAGGACAGAAAACCAAACACCGCATGTTCTCACTTGTAGGTGGGAATTGAACAATGAGAACACTTGGACACAAGGCGGGGAACATCACACACGGGGGCCTGTCCTAGCATGGAAGCTAGGGGAGGGATAGCATTAGGAGATATACCTAATGTAAATGACGAGTTAATGGGTGCAGCAAACCAACATGGCACATGTAGACATACGTAACAAACCTGCACATTGTGCACATGTACCCTAGAACTTAAAGTATAATAAAAAAAAGAAGATAGCATAATTCAAAGTACTTTTAAAAGGACATAGCACTATACTGAGGTTAGGAAAAACAGTATTCCCAAACTGGGATCCTTCTGTGCACTTTGTAACCCTTGTTTACCCTGGCAGTTGCAATACTACCAATTTGACCATTAAGAACATTCGGTATGTTTAAACTATAGTGGGAAAGCCAAGATATGAAGCCATCACCCATGGGAATTTTGAGGCTAGAGTAATTAGAAGCTAATTTAAGATCTCCATTCAACTCTAGGACAGTCAGGGTAACTGCCAGAGAAGCTGCATGCTGAGTAAATCCTGATCCCAAAGTGGAATTTTGCCCTAGTATAATGGGTTCATATTTGATTGGCTGCACTTAGCTATAAATCCTGAGGAGGAGGAAGAGGAGGAAGAGGAGGAGGAGGAGGAAGAGGGGAAGGGGAAGAGGAAGAAGATGAAAGAAGAAGGAGAAGGAGGAGGAGGGGGAGAAACGACATCAGAAAGTAATTGGGCTAGAAGAACTTTAATTTGGAAGCAAAACACAGAATCCAGGTGAGTGGGCTTACTGGGAAAGGCTCATGCCATGTTGCTCCCACAATGGAGGGCCTTATGATGGCGATGGTTAGGTTTCTGCTCTCCTGTTGCACCACCATTTCTCCCAAGGCCTTGATGTAGGTGCAAGAATTGGGTGGATCTCTGATCAGCTTGGGTGTGATCTCGTCAATAACAGCATCGTCTAACCACGTAAAAGGTAGTCAGAGTGAAAAGAATTCTAGCAGCATATGTTAGACAATAGACCAAAAGGAAAATGTGACATGCAAATAGTCAAACAAAACTTCCACCTTTTAGCCTTGGTTCTGGAATTTAGTCACACAATACCAAGTTTGAGGGTATACCTGTTCAAAGCATGCATGAGCTCTTTGCTCTTCACTGCTAAGCCCAATCTCATCAGCCAAATCCTATGCCCTCCCATCTAGAGAGATAGGTAGGTAGAGAGACCAATAGAATCAATAGCAATACCACTTTATTATTACTACTAGTATAGGGCTATTAGTACTACTTTATTAGTATGACTTTAACACTACTATTTATTTATCAATTACTTTATCAATACTACTACTTTATCTGTAGTAGTACTAAACTGGAGGTTATTACATACAACCTCTTTACTTCCTCTCCAAGAAGCTCCTAAGTACATTCACTGCACACATTTTTGAGTCCCAGTCATTCTCCCAATAGTGTGCTGGAAGCTGCGTTCAGGGAGTTTGAGGCTCTCATCCAAGGTGTTTCAGTGGCAGCCCTGTTCAGTGTTGTCCCATAGAAACCCGGTGCAGTGATCCTGAAGAGTTTAGCTTTACATTTAAAAATTTTCATTCAATGCAAACCAAACCAAAGTGACTACTTTTGGCAGACTGACAATCTCCTAGCAAATCTATGTAACGCATTTTGAAGGTCTGTTTAGAGTCTGTGCTAATAACTTGCTAATTATTTCCAGAGATTTCCAATGAATTCTGAAGTCTGTCAAGTGGGGTGATTATAGTACTCTGAAATTGCTTCAAAACCATGAATATTGAATTCTCCTACTTATAATATGACATGTATCATGAATAACTGAGTTACCATAGCATCAGCCTAATCTTTCTTAAAAATATGTCAGAACTGGCCTGGCGGAGTGGCTCACACCTGTAAGCCCAGCACTTTGGGAGGCCGAGGCGGGCGGATATTGAGGTCAGGAAATCGAGACCATCCTGGCCAACATGGTGAAACCCCGTCTCTACTAAAAATACAAAAATTAGCTGGGTGTGGTGGCACATGCCTGTAATCCCAGCTACTTGAGAGGCTGAGGCAGGAGAATCGCTTGAACCCAGGAGTCGGAGGTTGTAATCAGCCAAGATCGCACCACTGCACACCAGCCTGGTGACAGAGCCAGACTCCAGCTCAAAAAAAAAAAAAAAAGAACCATTTGATAAACCCAAAGTCTACACATCTCTAAGAGAGCAAAAAAATATTGTCAATTAAATATGTAACATTTATTCTAGCTGAGAGATCTATGTGCTTAAATTATTGATATAGCGTTTTAAAAATTAAGCTGCCATTCTAACTGGTGTGAGATGGTATCTCATTGTGGTTTTGATTTGCATTTCTCTGATGGCCAGTGATGGTGAGCATTTTTTCGTGTGTCTGTTGACTGCATAAATGTCTTCTTTTGAGAAGTGTCTGTTCATGTCCTTTGCCCACTTTTTGATGGGGTTGTTTTGTTTTTTCTTGTAAATCTGTTTAAGTTCTTTGTAGATTCTGGATATTAGCCCTTTGTCAGATGGATAGATTGCAAAAATGTTCTCCCATTCTGTAGGTTGCCTGTTCACTCTGATGGTAGTTTCTTTTGCTGTGCAGAAGCTCTTTAGTTTAATTAGATCCCATTTGTCTGTTTTGGCTTTTGTTGCCATTGCTTGACATAAGAACGCTTTTACACTGTTGGTGGGAGTGTAAACTAGTTCAACCATTGTGGAAGACAGTGTGGCGATTCCTCAAGGATCTAGAACGAGAAATACCATTTGACCCAGAGATTCCATTACTGGGTATATACCCAAAGGATTATAAATCATGCTACTATAAAGACACATGCACACGTATGTTTATTGCGGCACTATTCACAATAGCAAAAACTTGGAACCAACCCAAATGTCCATCAACCATAGACTGGATTAAGAAAATGTGACACATGAGACCAGCGGCGGCGGCCGCAGCGGTGCTGGAGGCGCAGAGGGCGGCGCAGGCGGAGCCTGGCGAGCGCCTGAGCTAGCGGAGACCTGGCGGCCTTTCGGGAGGCCGCGGCGGCACCCCAGGCCCAGCCGGCACGGGAGGAGTTCCAGGGCGATGGGGCCGTGGTCCGGGCTGATGCTTTGACAGCTGAAAAGAGCGCGGAGCCAGCGCCTGGTCGGGAGGGAGGGGAGCGCGGCGAGGAGAGCGCCAGCTAGCGAGAGAGCGAGCGAGCGCCTGGGAGGGGGCCGGGAGCCAGGGGCAGCTCGGGAGAGCCGGGGCGGTGGCGGCTGTGGCGAGGCTTGGAGCCCTCTTCCCTGCAAACCATGTTTGCCAAAGACAAAGGCTCGTTGGTGCCCTCGGACGGGCAGGCTGGGGAAAAGTTAGCTTTATACGTCTACGAATATTTACTGCAGGTAGGAACACAGAAATCTGCACAGACCTTCTTATCGGAGATTCTCTGGGAAAAAAAAAAACATCACGTTGGGAGAACAGCCTCGGTTTTTGCACTCGTGGTGGTGTGTATTTTGGGACCTTTACTGTGCAGCTCCTAAAAGGAGAGACACTTGTGAACATTCAAGTGAAGCAAAAGCCTTTCCTGATTCTAGTGCAGCAGCTGCCCGGAGCCCCGTGCTTGGCAACATTCCCCCCAACGATGGGATGCCGGGAGGCCGAGTCCCGCCAGGTTTCTTTCAGGGTCCTCCGGGGTCACTGCCCTCGCCGCATGCACAGCCTCCACCTCACAATCCTAGCAGCATGATGGGACCCCACAGTCAGCCTTTTATGTCACCGCGATATGCAGGCGGCCCCAGGCCCCCCGATCAGAATGGGAAACCAGCCTCCTCCGGAGGAGTTCCTGGGAAACAGCCATTGCTGCCCAATTCCATGGATCCCACACGACAGCAAGGCCACCCCCACATGGGAGGATCAATGCAGAGAATGAACCCTCCCCAAGGCATGGGGCCCATGAGTCCCAGCCCACAGAATTACGGCAGTGGCATGAGACCACCACCCAATTCCCTCGGCCCCGCCACGCCCGGGATTAACATGGGCCCGGGAGCTGGCAGACCCTGGCCCAATCCTAACAGTGCTAACTCAATTCCATACTCCTCCTCATCACCTGGTACCTATGTGGGACACCCCCTGGTGGTGGCGGCCCTCCAGGAACACCCACTATGCCCAGTCCCTCAGATTCAACAAATTCCAGCGACAACATCTACACAATGATTAATCTGGTGCCACCTGGAGGCAGCCGGTCCAACTTCCTGATGGGTCCCAGCTTGGACGGTCCAATGGGCAGCATGGGTGGCATGGAGCCACACCACATGAACGGATTGTTAGGGTCAGGCGACATAAATGACTTCCAAAAAATTCTCCTAACAACGTGAATAGTATTAGCAATCTTCCAGGCACCCCTCGAGATGACGGCGAGCTAGGAGGGAACTTCCTCCACTCCTTTCAGAATGACAATTACTCTCCAAGCACGACGATGAGTGTGTGATCCCCCCTTCTCCAAGATGCTGAGAGAGCTGGCATTGCAGGCAGGAAGATGCCAGAAATTATGCAAGAAGTGAGGTGTCATTACCCAGGAGCTGGTGGAGAGGGCATCTCCTGCTCCCCTCAACCCCCTCCCACCCCATCCACGCCCACCTTTTCCAATTTTAGTTTCATGCAGTAAAAAGGCCGAACTTTTTATTCCATGAAACAAAAGAAAGAAAGAAAGAAAGAAAGAAAGAAAGAAAGAAAGAAAGAAAGAAAGAAAGAAAGAAAGAAAATGTGGCACATGTACACCATGGAATACTATGCAGCCACAAAAAGGGATGAGTTCATGTCCTTTGCAGGAACATGGATGAAGCTGGAAACCATCATTCTGAGCAAGCTATCATAAGGACAGAAAACCAAACACTGCATGTTCTCACTCATAGGTGGGAATTGAACAATGAAAACACTTGGACAGGGCAGGGAACATCACACACAGGGGCCTGTCCTAGCGTGGAGGCTAGGGGAGGGATAGCATTAGGAGAAGTACCTAATGTAAATGACGAGTTAATGGGTGCAGCAAACCAACATGGCACATGTATACCTATGTAACAAACCTGCACGTTGTGCACATGTGCCCTAGAACTTAAAGTACAATAATAAAAAAATTAAGCTGCCAGAATATGCTAGTGTGATTTTTCTGATCAATGTGGTACATTTATTTCTATTTTATACAACAGAACATAACAATACTACTTTGATTGTAGAAAATCTTCACTGTTATCACCTTGCTGACATGACACATTTTTGAACAACTAAGATGTGCAGAAGGTTAAGACTTATTCAGAATCACAACTCTCAGTATTAATGCCTCATTTCATCCTGGGGTAGAACATGGGCATTGACAATAATGTTTCCATTTTTCTTGCTTTGCTTCTATGAGTGCTGAGTGTGTTCTGGATACTCAAATGACTTTTCATTTAAATTGAATGGAGAAAGATTGAGGGGTTCTAGAATTAAAAACAACTTAAACTACATAGAAATATCAAGGATATTTTAATTATATGGTCACCTGGAGGCTGGGAAAAAGTGTAGGATGATGCAGACACCTCTCCATCTTAACAATAATCCTACCTTATTTCATTTGTGGGTCAACAGTGGATTGACTGACCTGAGATCATTTTCCCTCAACTGCAAAAATATACAGTTTATAAAAACCAGGTCTTGAGAAAATAGAGCTTAATATCAATAAGGCTGTAAAGAAAAAATTCCTAGAAAACATCAGAGCCCAACAATGTGCTGGGATTGTATGTCACGTGGCTAGTACCAGTTGCTGTCGTTAATGTTGGAGTACATGGAAAGGATAATACTTGGGGGGATGGGGCCTTATAAAGTTTAGTAGCTTTGCTTGTCTTGGAAAATGTTGTTTTTGGTTGTTGTTGTTTTGGTTTGGTTTGGTTTATTTGGGTTTTTTTTTTTTTTTTTTTTTGGAGACGGAGTCTTGCTCTTGTCCCCCCTAGGCTGGAGGGCAATGGTGCAGTCTGGGCTCACTGCAACTTCTGCCTCCCAGGTTCAAGCAATTCTTCTGCCTCAGCCTTCTGAGTAGCTGGGATTATAGGTGCCTGCCACCACGCCTGGCTAATTTTTGAACTTTTAGTAGACACGGGGTTTCACCATGTTGGCCAGGCTAGTCTCGAACTACTGACCGCAGGTGATCCACCTGCCTCGGCCTCCCAAAGTGCTGGGATTTCAGGCATGAGAAAATGTTGGTAACACACATGCAAGAAATTTTAATATTCTATAGATGGCTTGCCTCTGCTGTTGTTATTTACACCTGTATTCCACTGTTTAATCTTCTCATTCCAATTTTACTTGTGAAAATAGCAATAATTATATTCATTCTAAATTCTCAGGCTATTATGAGGGTAAACAAAAATTTTCACAACTGCATTTAAGATCTTTGATAAAACAAAATGAGCCAAAAATCTAAGGCATTCCTATTTTTAAAGAAAACAACAAGGGAGCATCATACATCTGTGTAGGTAATAGTTGGTTTTAAAATGTCATTTCTGGCCAGGTGTGGTGACTCTAACCTATAATCCCAGCACATTGAGAGGCCAAGGAAGGAGGATCGCTTGAGTCCAGGAGTTTGAGACCAGCCTGGGCAACATAATAAGACCCTGTCTCTACAAAAAGAGTTTTTAAAAATTAGCTGGGCTTGGTGGCATGCACCTACTCAGGAGGCTGAGGCAGGAGGATTGCTTGAGCCTGGGAGTTGAAGGCTGCAGTGAGCTGTGATTCTGCCACCCTACTCCAGCCCGGGTGAAAGAGTGAGACCCTGTCTCAAAATGAAGGAATGAATGAATAAAACAAATAAAAATAAATTATCGTTTATAATACAGCCAAAGAGACCATCTGCTAGCTCATTCGGCCACTTCCTAGGATCAGACAGGAGATTAGTGTAAACATGCATATGCACTGATTGGGCAAAGCCCTTCTCAGGACTTTCACTCAATTCAGGGTTGCTGCTGTTGTTTGTTCTCAATATGTTTTTAAACAGTAAATAAGTTAGCATGGATAAAAACCACTATATTAACCAAAATACATGTCTGAAATTAATCTAAATGTTCTTCAGTATACTCAAGAAGATGCTTTGACCCATGGGTCTCAAATACTAAACTCGAATTGCTTCAGAAGAAGCATAAAGTCATTAAAAATTTCAGAGAGCATTATGTGTATGTCTATGTGTGTACATGCATAGACACATACATAATTTCTTCTAAAGATTACTATCAATTTTGGTTTCAAACTTATTGAATCAACATGATGATATCATTAATAGTTACATTATTTATGTATTTATGGAATGAAATGCCAAGAGGCATATGTATTTTCCCTCCCTCACCTTCCAATTTTCTCATGCAACAAGTTGGCAAGCCTAGTGGTTTATGAGGAAATCTGTTAGAGAGTAAGTAGTGGACACACTGTCTTATGATAACATTTGCTCTTTCTTTCTCCAGTCTAAATTATATAGTTCACTTGATTGTTGTAGTTACAAAGTTGTATTTGTTCACGTGTCTGTCTCCCCATTGGACAGTGAGTCCAGGAGAGCAGGGATTATGATTTTTATCTCTGTGTCTAATCACTTTTCTGCCCCCAGGAGCCAGCTACCTTATTCAGTAAATGGATGCTCTTCCACATGGTAATCTTGATTGGCCAATTTCTGTACTATATAAGGTTTTGGGAAGCAGAGATGGACAATGATAAGAGAGAGTAGAAGAAAGGAAGATGAGGTTATAGGGAGAATGTGGGAAAGGAAAGAAGGGGATATCTTCATAGAGCAGGAAGCAAAATTGGAAGTCAAAGTGTCCAGTGGCAGTGGTGAAAAGTGTTGACCAACCTCGATTTGGTGAAGGTGGCGTCACATCAATTTAAACTTTTCATGGGGAAGCAGGGTATTTCTCAACCTAATGCTTATGGAGAATTGGCCTCTGTATTTCCCTCCAGACTTTCGCGGACTACTCAGCCTAGCCCAAACATGAGCCAGATGCCGAATGGACTGCCAATGTGAAAATTATTCGATTTGATTAAGAAACAATTTAATCTTATTCTGGCTTGTATTTAAAGCCTGCTAATATCAAAGTACACAGAATTTTCATTTTTATATCAGCAACTTAGATGCCATTTAGAAGCTGTGCCACCCTGAAATTAAAAGCACAAGTGCTAGAGTCAGCTTTCACCATTCCCCTAGAAGAGATCAGCTTTTTTGGTGTTAACAATGTGTTCTATAGCAGGAAGGCAAGACTACTGTCCAAGATCTGACCTCCTTTCCTATCTCCTGGAGGGCTGTGATGAGGGCCACTGCTACTGGCTGTGAGGGTCTCCATTTCCCTGCCCGTCAACCCTGTACCCTCAGTGCACACACCACCTTTCCTTTCTTACATTGCAGACTAGCTGTGTCTTCTGGTGGCCACATAGCTTCAGAAGTGTGGTTTTTAGTAGGTACAGATCTACTAGGACCTTTCATTCAGTTAAAGCTTCTAGGAACTGAAAGACAACAGGAGGCGAGGAGAGCAGGAGAAGGAGGAAGCAAGGAGTATTAGAAGATAAACGATCCTCATTTCAAATGAAGACTGCTTAATGAAAAATCTCCTTAAGGCACTATTTCCCAAACTTGCCTGTTCATCAGTGTGAATTACACAGGGCCCCTGGGAAAAATTCAGACTCCTGGCTGCCATTTTAGAACCACTAAATAGATCTGCAGAGGTAAGAGTCTGGATAATCTGTATTTTCAACATGCCCTGGAAATTCCAACAGTCAGGCAAATTAGGGAATCACTAATTTAAAAGAAGTCCACTCCATCAACTTAAGTTGTTAAGATTTGAATAGATCAGGATTAGCTCTCAAAAATGCATTGCTTCTTGAAGTAAACATTTCAACAGAATTAAATTTTGAAAGAATTAAATCCCCTAATGCTATCCCTTCCCTAGCTCCCCACAGGCCCCAATGTGTGATGTTCCCCTCCATGTGTCCATGTGTTTTCATTGTTCATCTCCCACTTATGAGTGAGAACATGTGGTGTTTGGTTTTCTGTTCCTGTGTTAGTTTGCTGAGGATGATGGCTTCCAGCTTCATCCGTGTCCCTGCAAAGGACATGAACTCATCCTTTTTTATGGCTGAGAGTATTCCATGGAGTATATGTGCCACTTTTTTTATCCAGTCTATCAGTGACGGGCATTTGGGTTGGTTCCAAGTCTTTGCTATTGGGAACGGTGCTGCAATAAGCATGTGTGTGCATGTCTTTATAGTACAGTGATTTATAATCTTTGGGCATATACCCAGAAAGGGGATTGTGAGGTCAATTGGTATTTCTGGTTCTAGATCCTGGAGGAATAGCCACACTGTCTTCCCCAATGGTTTTACTAATTTACACTCCCACCAACAGTGTAAAAGTGTTCCTCTTTTTCCACATCATCTCCAGCACCTAATGTAGATGAGAGGTTGATGGGTGCAGCAAACTACCATGTCATGTGTATACCTATGTAACAAACCTGCACGTTCTCCACATGTATCCCAGAACTTAAAGTATAATAATAATCACAATTAAAAAGATAGAAAATTTAAAATTTTAATTTAAATTGGGCTTTAGTTACTTGCAAAATACATTGTATTTCCAAACAATGTGCAAAACAAAGAGTTATTGTATGCATTATCAATAAAGTTATATCACTTCTCATAAAAATAACATTAAAGAAAAATAATTAAATCCATTTTAGGACAATTAAAAAATGTATCTGTCAATTTTAACTGAAAATTCTCTTACATTTATACATCCCACATTCTAATAAGGACTAATTGACACTTAATTATGAGCAGTAAAGAAATATGTGTTTGCATGTCTGTATACTTACAGATCTGTTCCAATGGAAATATCTATTTGGAGTCAGAAAATCTGTTTGGTCCCAGTTCTCACTAAAAACATGATCTCATTAAAAATACTTAAACACAATAAACTTTACTTTCTCATTTATTAAAAAAAATTAAATCCCTGGCACTAGAAATGTAAAACATGGCAAGTATGCATGTTCTAATCTGGAGTTAATTTGGTATGTGTAATCCCATAAGCAAAGCAGTAGCCATGTCCTATTGTTTTTTTTTTCTTTCCCAATACACATGCTAATCTACTGCCTCCCCCAGCCCCTGGCCATATTAATATTACTGAAGCCCACTTTCATCAGTGTCTTTCCACGATAAAAACAAATGAACAAGCAACCAAAAACTACACAAAACCACATGCACACACATGGCCCTCCTTCAATGGATCTCCACTGCCTAGAGAATTAAATCCAATTCCTCTGCATGGTATGCAAAATCTCCACAGTACGGCCCAACCTGCCTCTCCAGCTTGATCTCTAACTGCTTCCCTACACATAACACATGTGCTGCCAAGAGGGACTTCTGGCTGTGTCCCAAACACACCTGGGTTTCCCAGCTCCAGTTGCCCTGCCTGGTGTCTGTGCACATCTCACCTATCCACACTCCTCCCACTCTTCCAAGTCACCTCATATGCCTCTCTCCACTCCACCAGACTTAATATGTACTGTTTCCCCATCACCCCACGTGTATAATTCTGCCCTGTTCTATTTGTCTGGGACGTGAGCTCCTTGGGAACAGTCTATATCTTAAGAAAGCACCTTTTAATCTCTAACACTGCCGAGTATGTGAGTAGACTGGAAAGACCATGAGCTTCAGAATCAAGTGGCCATGGATACCTTTCTTGAAAGGTAAAGAAAGTCTTGAGAGACTTTCAAGGAGTTACTTAGCCTTCCTGAGCTTTTTGCTCCTTAATTAGTATAGCAGTGATAATAAATCAACCCTACAATATTAAGTTATGGAAATAAATGTCTGTGAAAGCATCTCACTCACAGTGATTGCTCAATAATGACTCATCTCCTCCCTTCCCTTCTTAATTCAGATTTATTAACATATGTTCAATAAAGCAATAGGTATTTGTGATTCCATTTTTCTAGTTCCTAATTCTAGTTATTTCAGGTTTTTATACAGGCGCAGAAGCCCTTTTCCTCTACACTGGTTCCCCTAAGAGGAGTTACCTTGACCTAAAACATAAGAAAAGCACCAACCGTAAAACTCTGCCTTTCTTAGTCAGTTATGTGCATTTTAAAAAATAAACTTTCTACTTAAGCTGTTATTCTGGAAAACCAGAATTTCACTGGCAATCCCTGATCCATTTATGCCCCTAAATTTCCAAGGTAAATACAGCAAATAGGCAGAAGCTGGTAATATGAAGATAGAGATGAGTCAGGATGGGAACTGGTGGCTGGGATGAGGGCCAGAAGAAAACTACAGGTATAAGAGCCAGGAAAATTAGTTGCTTAACACTGATTAATGGCCATGCTTGTCCTACTCATTACAAACATTAACTTCTCATTTAAGTTATTTTAAAATATTTTTATGCTGACATGCTAAAGTTTTTGTGCTAACAAAATCAAATTTCATCTTTCTGGAATATTTCAGAGCCAAGGTAATCTAAAATTTTTAGATAGGGGCTAAAGAAAGGGAGCTCAGGCCCGACAGTCTCAGGATATAGGCCGAATAGAAAATGGAGGGAGCTGAACGAAGAGAGACGTTAGGCTTGCAAAGGTAGGGACCAGGATGTAAGCATGAGGTTCAAGTTCACAGTCCCATTCACTTTATTAACAGCACTGAGCAGTATCACTGCTGCCCAAGCCATCAGAAAGGTCCTGGCCAAAAATGCAAATCCTTCTTTATCTTCCAGAACTGGAATTCCCATTCAACAGATTTTCTGGAAAAATAAAGTTTCCTTTTACATTGTCATGGCTATTTTTTTGAGATCACAATGCCCAGAGTACAGCTTCTAGATTATCTTGATGTCTAACTCCTGATTCCTTAAGAACAGCTGAAATACTAAGAGCAAATGACAGCTGCTAGACCCCTTGAAGTTACTGTTTAAAAAAAAAACTGTTCCCTAGGTATTTCTCTGTTTCACTGAAAGAAAAACAAACTCCCAGGGGAAACAGAAACCTAAAAACCTTTGAAAATAATTCTTTTTTAACACAGGCCAATTACTAAATAGAGAACTCATCAAAAGTATTTTCTTAAAGCAAAAAACTAAACCTGCATTTAGGTAAATTAATGTTTATTCATAACGATTTTTAATGTTATTTGTTATTCTAAAACTTGCAAAAATTCCATCTGTTATAGGAGTTATTGAAATAGTCATAGATGGGTGTATGTGCGGGGGAGAAGATGGCGGCGGCGGGGGAGGCAGCGTGAGCAGCCGGAGGAGCGCCGAGTCCCATTGAAACCGGCAGCCATGGCCCTCCACAGCCCGCAGTATATTTTTGGAGATTTTAGCCCTGATGAATTCAATCAGTTCTTTGTGACTCCTCGATCTTCAGTTGAGCTTCCTCCATGCAGTGGAACAGTTCTGTGTGGCACACAAGCTGGGGATAAACTACCTGATGGACAAGAATATCGGAGAATTGAGTTTGGTGTCAATGAAGTCATTGAACCCAGTGACACTTTGCTGAGAACCCCCAGCTACAGTATTTCAAGCACACTGAACCCTCAGGCCCCCGAATTTATTCTCGGTTGTACAGCTTCCAAAAGAACCCCTGATGGTATCACTAAAGAAGCAAGCTACGGCTCCATCGACCAGTACCCAGGCTGTGCCCTCGCTTTGGATGGAAGTTCTAATGTGGAGGCGGAAGTTTTGGAAAATGATGGTGTCTCAGGTGGTCTTGGACAAAGGGAGCGTAAAAAGAAGAAAAAGCAGCCACCTGGATATTACAGCTGTTTGAAAGATGGTGGCGATGATAGTATTTCCGCAGAAGCCCTGGTCAATGGCATGCCAACTCAGCAGAACAGTGTCAGTGCAGAGGATGCAGAATTTATGGGTGACATGCCCCCGTCAGTTACGCCCAGGACTTTTGACAGCCCCCAGAACTCCACGGACTCTGTCAGTGACACTGTGCCTGACAGTCCTTTCCCCGGAGCACTTGGCAGAGACACCGGGACTGCAGGGCAGCAGGAGGGGGGTCCCGGGGTTGATTTTGGTCAGTCCTGCTTCCCTGCAGGGGCTGGCAGACACACCCTGTCAAGGACAGCTGGGGCTCAGCCCTGCGTTCGTACCGATACTACTGAAAACCTTGGAGTTGCTAATGGACAAATACTCGAATCCTCGGGTGAGGGCACAGCTACCAACGGGGTGGAGTTGCACACCACGGAAAGCATAGACTTGGACCCAGCCAAACCCGAGAGTCCATCACCTCCTGCTGACGGCACGGGCTCTGCATCAGGCACCCTTCCTGTCAGCCAGCCCAGGTCCTGGGCCAGTCTCTTTCACGATTCTAAGCCCTCTTCCTCCTGGCCGGTGGCCTATGTGGAAACTAAGTATTCCCCTCCCGCCATATCTCCCCTGGTTTCTGAAAAGCAGGTTGAAGTCAAAGAAGGGCTTGTTCCAGTTTCAGGGGATCCTGTAGCCAGGCATTGGTTGCTTTCCCGCCGATGTACCACCTGATGAAGTTCATTCCTCTGTATTCCAAAGTGCAAAGGCCCTGTACGTCAACACCCAAGATAGACAGCTTTGTTTGGCTAATGAATGAGTTTACTAATATGCCAGTACCTCCAAAACCCGGACAAGCTCTTGGAGATGAAATCGTGAGGGATATTCACCCTGGAGTTGCCTTTGAGCCCACGTATATTTAGACTCCTGACAGTTAACAAGTCAAGCCTGTCTGAAAAGGATCGACAAGAAGATGCTGAGGAATACTTAGGCTTCATTCTAAATGGACTTCATGAGGAAATGTTGAACCTAAAGAAGCTTCTCTCACCAAATAATGAAAAACGTGCGATTTCCAATGGCCCCAAAAACCAGTCAATGAAGAAGAGCAAGAAAAACAAGGTGAAGGAAGCGAGGATGAATGGGAACAAGTGGGCCCCCGGAACAAGACTTCCGTCACCTGCCAGGCGGATTTTGTTCAGACTCCAATCACCGCATTTTTGGTGGCCACATCAGGTCTGTGGTTTACCAGCAGAGTGCAAAAGAATCTGCCACTTTGCAGCCATTTTTCACGTTGCAGTTGGATATCCAGTCTGACAAAATACGCACAGTCCAGGATGCACTGGAGAGCTTGGTGGCAAGAGAATCTGTCCAAGGTTATACCACAAAAACCGAACAAGAAGTTGAGATAAGTCGAAGAGTGACTCTGGAAAAACTCCCTCCTCTCCTCGTGCTGCACCTGAAACGATTCGTTTATGAGAAGACTGGTGGTGTCAGAAGCTTATCAAAAATACTGAATATCCTGTGGACTTGGAAATTAGTAAAGAACTGCTTTCTCCAGGGGTTAAAAATAAGAATTTTAAATGCCACAGAACCTATCGGCTCTTTGCAGTGGTCTACCATCACGGCAACAGTGCGACGGGTGGACATTACACTAGAGACGTCTTCCAGATCGGTCTGAATGGCTGGCTGCGCATCGATGACCAGACAGTCAAGGTGATCAACCAGTACCAGGTGGTGAAACCAACTGCTGAACGCACAGCCCATCTGCTGTATTACTGCCGAGTGGACCTGCTGTAAACCCTGTGTGCGCTGTGTGTGAGCCCAGTGTCCGCTTTGTAGGACACCACCTCACACTCACTTCCCGCCTCTCTTTATTGGCTCTTTAGAGAGAAACTCTTTCTCCCTTTGCAAAAATGGGCTAGAATGAAAAGGGGATGCCTTGGGGTTCGTGCACAACATAGCTTCTGTTGACTCTAACTTTGAAATCAAAATCATTTGGTTGAAACAGACTGTCGCTTGATTTTAAAAAATACACAAAAACCCATATTTCTGAAATAATGCTGATTCCTGAGATAAGAAAGTGGATTTGATCCCCAGTCTCATTGCTTAGTAGAATAAATCCTGCACCAGCAACACTTGTAAATTTGTGAAAATGAATTTTATCTTTCCTTAAAAAAGAAATGTTTTAATCCATCACATTTTTCTTCCCTACCCTTTAGTTTTTGATAAATGATAAAAATGAGCCAGTTATCAAAGAAGAACTAGTTTTTACTTCAAAAGAAAAATAAACATAAAAAATAAGTTGCCGGTTCCTAACAGGAAAAAAATTAGTAATTGTGCTGAGGGAAACTGCTTACATAGACATTGCAGATCAAATATTTGGAGTTAAAATGTTAGTCTACATAGATGGATGATTGTAACTTTACTGCCATTAAAAAGATTTCAGATTGCATTCATGCTTCTGTGTACACATAATGAAAAATGGACAAATAATGAAGATCTCTCCTTCAGTCTGCTCTGTTTAATTCTGCTGTCTGCTCTTCTCTAATGCTGCATCCCTAATTGTACACAGTTTAGTGATATCTAGGAGTATAAAGTTGTCACCCATCAATAAAAATCACAAAGCTGGTTTAAAAAAAAGAAATAGTCATAGATGATGGTATAGGTGGAGAGGGGTTGCTGGGCTTTATGTAAAGTGCTATTCAAAGCTTCACATATAGGTTTCATTCAAACTTTAAGAAGAAAAAAATGAACAATCAGAAATGGGTAAGATGTGGGGATATAAATAGATATTTTGCACATAAGACTTCTGCATCCCCAAATATTAGCTTGTTGTGGAATTCTGTCATCTATTCTTGTTTCAGTCAAAACAAGCAAAAAAAAAAAAACAGTCAGAACAGTATGAACAACAATCATCTAGTTCCACCAAAAACTTTTCACTCAGCAAGCAAGCATTGAGTCCCTAGCTGAAGATGCAAAGAGGAGCAAGAAATATTCTCTTCCATTGAGACGGTCATTGTCTAAAGGAAAATGTAGATAAGCAACCAGACATTCAGAATGACCTGTGTTACAAGCAATAATAAAGCTGAGCGCTGGGTACTATGGGGCACTTGGGAAGGCTGCCTAAGCCAGAGAGCTTCACAGGGAGCCTTGATGTCTGAGTAAGAATTAACCAGGTGAAGCAGAAGGGGAAATAGGCTCTAGGAACAGAGAGCTTTGAGCGCAAAGGCAGGCAGAGTGTGAGGAGAGGAGGCCTTACTTCCTTGTGACTGCAGCATGAAGGTAAGGGGAGGGCTGAGAGAAATGAGGCTCCACAGGTGCTCCTGGATGTCCTAATTAATTTTGAATTAACAAATCATAAGTATGACTTTTTCTCTGTTTTTTTTTTAAAAAAACTTTGTTCCTTAATTGCATGCAAAATGTATCTGTTGAGATAAAATAATTTCATACCTATTTCTAATTAGTTGCTCAAATAATTGTTATCCTTGGAGAGCAGTAAATGACAGATGAACATTAAAAATTTTGTAAAAATATCAATTGCAGTTTGTTCATATATCATGTAGCAATTACCAGCCTTGTCTGGCTGACATATACCTGAGGGAGTGTGGAAAGTGCCGAATGCCTGAAGATAAATCAACTCTTCCTCTGGGAGGTGAGTTTATTCTTCTTTGAAACCCATGGGTATTTAGTGTCTGGAGATGGTGGTATGGAGTACATAGAGAAGCCCTTCATTAGGAGTGAACTCTTACTTATTGTCTCTGATGAACTCTCAGACTATTTTGCTGCCTCAAATTGCACTACGACCTGTCAGGCGTTAGAGAGATCAGCAGTGGAGACAGTCCCAGGAAACAGTCTGGAAACAAAAGGGTCTGCCCCTCTCCTGGGTACATCAAATATGGAAGCATCACATTTGCCAAGAGACAACACCATAAGAGGATAACTGACAGCAGTCAATTCTATCCTGAAAATGCTCTGAGGCTTTAAGCATAGTTTACTGCCTTGACATTGGGCCTCAGAGTACACCTGCCTTTTCTCCCACTATCCTGATAAATTCTGCACTCTAAAATGTTTCTCTGTATCAATGTAGCAAACCTCCATTTATTAGCAACTTTAAGTAACCTCCAGGTCCTTTAGATGACTTTCATTCTTCTTTGTCCTGGACATTTTTATATGACAGACAAAAATATCTATTCTCAGAGCTGGAGGAGATAAAAATGTTTTCCCTGAAGGGAATGAACTCTTAATTAAGCTAAAAGTTTTTAAAGAGTATATATTAAATGTAAATACAGTATTATAGAAAATTATAATGTAATAAATTTACTGTGAAAGAGTCCATTTTTCTGGTATAATACTTTTTATGTAGAGTTTAAAAAAAAATTGAACAAAAAGCAAAGTAAACTTAGTGAAATGGAGCAGAATAAAGAAACAGAAAACAAACCTATCCTGAGACCCAAGCTGTGTCCTAGGATGAAAGTGGTTTCTGCTGGTTGGCAAGAAGAGAAGAATCCTAGACACTATTTCTCTTGCATAATAGGACAGTAAGGAAAGGGTGTCTCAGCCAAAGAAGTCAAGAGAACTTCTGCCAGATCTTGGAGCAATTCTTATTCTTCGTTAGTTCTTCTTTACTAATCATTTGATTAACTGATATTAAACACTCCCTAGCACTGCAATAAGTGTTTTATATAACTTTATTCAACCTCACAACAATCAAATGGGCCCATTTTACAAATGAAGGACCTGGGGTTCAGAGAGGCCAAGGGACTTTCTCAAAGTCACACAGCTAGTTAGTTGTGGAGCTATGCCAAACTCATGTCGGAATCAAAAATGTTTCTTCTGAAATTTTATACTATTCATTGTACTTGCTTTATCTAGTGACAATGCTAAGTTCATTAAGAAGCGAGAAACCACTTCTTTGTATAGTATTCCCAAGTACCTCATGCAATCCTATACAATTTAGCAAAATGTTTCTTTAAGAATTTTCTATCCCCCTTCTCTTTCAGCAGTATATTCCCCACCAGGGGATGAAAGAGGTAACAGGGACAAGGTAACTAAGGCTAGCACCGTTTCAAAGCATTTTGCTGCAAAACTGTTTCTCTTCATCATCTCATTAATAGACAGCTACAAAGAATCAAAGAGAGCAACATTCTACTCACACCTTGATCCCTTTATTTGACCAATTACTCAAGGGAATCGACGATTTTTTTTTTTGGCTCCACAGGGCACGGATAAACAACTTCATCGATGTGCTTCAGGTTACCATTTGAAAAGGCAGTAGAGATATGTATAAAGGCTTCCAGCTTTGGCATCTGACTAGCCGTAAGAGCTTCTGGGTGGCAGTGATGTTAAGTTGCACAGCATGTCTACAGAAGATTAAGCAGAAGGAAATACAGTGAGATAAGTCAGCATCATGCCTTGCTATAACTGCACCTACTCCCATAACTGGCATACCTATCAGATTTTGGTGGCTGCACCAAAACACCAGGAAGAAAAGGATGGGGCACGGCTGCACAGTTATGTGATACTTGGAATGTCTTATGTATTGATGATGTGTTTGTGTACATAAACCCTATTCACTGATGCACTGTATGGCATATTTAGAGGTCACTTGGCTCTAATCAACTGGAAAAAGAATCACAATCCTCTGAATTTACAAAGGTGCTTCTATAAGCAGCCATTAAAAGAACAAAAACATGTAAATTAAGCATCTAACTGAAGAAATTGGAAAATATAAATAAACTGGAGAGAAGCAACAGTGGATTTTTAAATGAGCAATATAAGTTGTTATAAAGTTCCAGGCCAGACATGAAAATTGATGTCAAAATCTGAAATTGCAACTACTGGAATACAAAGCTATATAGACAGTATGTGATAACAATGAAATACTTCATTCTAGGAATACATGGTTTATCGAATACCAGGAAACTTATTAATTTAATTTAACTCAAAAAGAGAAAAACTATATAATAATCTGTATGTATTTTGAAAAGTTTAAGACGATGTTTAGTTTTCATTTCCAATTTCATTAAATGAATTCACTAGAATAGGAATAAAATGATTAAACAATATGTATTTAATTTGCTAGCCAATGTCATTCTTAATGGTGAAAAGCTAGGAATACTGCTGGTAAAGCCAGGGCTAGAAATAATGCCTGCAGTCACAACTACTACTTAACATTGTTCTGAGGTCCTAGCCTTGTAAGTAATTAGAAAGAAAACTAAAATTAATGAAGAAATATAGATATTAAAAAGACAGTCACAAAAATTACTATAGGATTATATAATTGCATACCTGGAAAACAGAAGCAGCTTTTTTAAAAAGCTAAAGTGTACTATAGTTCAGTAAGGTGTCCACTGATAAAAATTATATGAAAAGGCCAGGCACAGTGGCTCAAGCCTTAATCCCAGCACTTTGGGAGGCTGAGGCAGGCGGATCACGAGGTCAGGAGATCGAGATCATTCTGGCTAACAGGGTGAAACCTCGTCTCTACTAAAAATACAAAAAAATTAGTCGGGCACGGTCGGTGGCGGGTGCCTGTAGTCCCAGCTACTCGGGAGGGTGAGGCAGGAAAATGGCGTGAAACCGGGAGGCGGAGCTTGCAGTGAGCCGAGATCGCGCCACTGCACTCCGGCCTGGGCAACAGAGCAAGACTCCATCTCAAAAAAAAAAAAAAAAAAAAGAAAGAAACATTAGCTTGCCTGTATATAAACAAAAATTAGAGAATACAATGCAAGAAATTTTCAAATGTGAACATTTATATCAAGTTAATCATAAATTAATATAATAACAGAAAGCAAAAATTGAATAAATGGGAAAACATATTGTTCTTGGATAGGAAGAGTCAATATTTTAAATATGCTAAATGTTTCTAAAGTATTCTATATCTATAAAGTAATTCCAACCAAACTCCCAAGATTTTTAAAAACCTGGCAAGATTATCTTAAATTTAATCAAGAAGTATATGCAATGAGAACAGTCAGGAAAACTCTATAAAAATGAGAGTGTGGGAGGTGGAGGTTGCACTGAGCCATGATTGTGCCACTGCACTCCAGCTTGGGCAACAGAGTGAGACTTCATCTCAAAAAAATTAATAAATAAAGTAAAAAATAAAAATATAAACTCCTCATGTATGACTTCTGTAGTCAGACACTAACACTGTATTTTTATTAGAAGCAGGAATTGGGGTAGGGGCATTAAATTTATATAACGCTTTTGAAACAATTCAGAAGCCTTTAATGTGGTCTCTTAACAATCAACGAGTTAGCCACATGACCTCATTTTGGTAGTATCCACAGGAGATTTGGCCTCTACTTCATTGGGCTCATTGAAGGTAATCAAATCTTTTCTAGTCATGAGAATCTTTGATCTTTAATTATTTTACTAAGTCTTGCTCTTCAAAAATAACTGTCTTATTTAGTCCCATTAACCCACCAAGACCTGCTTACACATATACATATATATATATGTAAAAGAAAAGAGTAAGGTCCCTTAAACTAAGGGGCAATCTCTGTGGAATATTTGGTGTCCCAAGGTGAAAGAGACACTGTAACATTTTACAGAGAATTTGTAGAGTGCTGAGTAAAAGCAAATAAATGAATTCTACAAATTAGCTCCAAGTTTAGAACAATTAAACACAAATAAGTACATTCTAATTTAAGCAAAAACCATTATACCCAATGTACAGATTAACAGAAATTCACAAAATGTTAAAATTTTTGCTAGTTCACCAGTAACTCCCATAAGATGTAAAGATTAGTCGACACGTTTTTAATGCTTTAGCAAGGATCATTTCTATAACTCCATAAGGCAGCATGGTATAGTGGTATGGCCGTCAAACTTCGGCATATAGCAGGGTTGCCTAGGAAGTTGCTCAAACAAACAAACAAACATATGTCCTGACCCTGGAAATTCTCATTCAGCAGTGTCAAACTTGGGCATCTAGCTTTACTTTGAACACACTCTCTAGTAATTCTGATACACTCTGAATTTGAGAACCATTAGTGTATTGGAAAGAACTCAGGCCCTTTGGAGCCATGAAAGACTGGATTTGAATTCTGATTCTGCCATTTATTTGCTATGTGCCTGGGGCAAATTACTTACCTCTCTGCACCATCATGTCTAAAATGCCAATCATTTGACTAACTTATCAAGTGATCGCAGAGAAGTAGGATTAAGCACATATTATGCTGTTCTTATAGACAATTTTGCATTTAACAAAATTTTAGTTCATTTTGCATAGTAATCTATAATAAATGCTAAATGCAACACAATGTTTGATTCACCATCTTGTCATGTTTTCTTTCCACACCAAAGGTCAATTTCACAGAGTTCTTTAATAATTCTTTCTTGCAGCTGGGCAGGAAAGGAACTAGGGTGGCTAGGAAGTTGAACAACCTTAAGATTATTTCTGCTCTGCAACAGAATTGGTGGTGTCGCTACATTATTCGTGCTAGAGGATGGAAGAAGTGTTGATACTAACTCAGAAGTGACAAGCAATAGTTTCCCCTTCTTCATGATATTGTCATGGAGGAAGAAATTTCCTAGGAGAGGCAATAAACTACAGTAGGGAAAGTATGGGCTTTAGAGATTAGAGACCTGCATTCCAATTTTGCTGTATAACTGGGCACAAATTACATAACCCTGGATAGAGGACAGCTTTCATGAACTAATATCTCATCTGTGATATAGGAATAGGCACACTACAGAGATTTCTGAGGATTAGAGTAATGAAGTCAAATGTTTGTCTTAGTGCCTACCACATTGTAGGTCCCTAATGACAGGAAAATTCCCTTTCTACTTCCACAGCAGTACTCCATTTCCAAAAGATGCTGGTCAGAAAGCTGTGTCGTGTGTGTGTATGTGTGTGTGTTTGTGTGTGTGTGTTGGGCTATGCCAAGGTTGCTGATTCTATTCTGTGATCCAGAGTGTATGACAAAATCATGTTGAACCTCATGGCTCTTGAATAAAATAACTACGGGAAATTTGAAGCTTTTAAGAAAAAGACGGTGCGATTGGAAGAGATTTTTAAGAACAGGAAAGAAGCTGGACATGTAAAACCATGCTGGTGATTGAATTAGTGAATGATAGTGTAAAAGAAGGTAAGAAAGAAATTGAGAAAATAAATTGCTTCTGTTTCTGGAACTGTTAGTGTATCCCCAGGACTACATTTCCTTCCCTCCCTCCCTCTCTTCCTCCCTCCCTCCCTTTCCCCCTTCCTTCCTTCCTTCCCCTGTAACTGGCCCACAGGGGAGAGGTTGAACATGCTTCAGCTGATCTGACTCCAGTAACAGGAAAACTGAAAACTAGTTACACTAGAGGCCTCTTGCTTTTTGTGAGATAATTTCTTAGGAAAAATTTTTAAAAAAAACTAATGAACACAACTGGCTTTGGAAGTTTAAGTGCAAATATTTATAATTTTGGAAGTTTCCAAATGCCTTTCCAAATGTTCCCAATTGCCTTTGCCTTATATAGAGATTTAACAGAATCATTAATGTCAATCAGAAACTCATTTTTGAAAGTTGAGAAAAAGCAGCTTTTATACAGGGAAGCCTGGGGCAAGCATAAACACACTACTTTTTTTTTTCCTACAAAAGAGTCTAAAAATTATCAAGGAACTCGTAAAATAAAATTAGCACTTCTATTGTGTGCTTCTTTAATAATCAACAGTGTTGCTCGCAGTCCCAGCGCTCCCAACGAGGATGCCTCTCGTTGACAACAACCTGAGCAGACCTGCGCCTAGGCCCTCCGCCAGGCTTGTGCTCGCCTCGCCCAGGGGGAGGAAGACTGAGCCCGGCTCAGGCGGCGCGGCGCGCGGTCCCATTTCCTTCCAGCGATCAGTCCCCTGGCTTGCCAGCGAGTCCCCTGGCTTGCCCCAGCGCCCGCCGCGGCCTCCAGCTGCCCCCGCCCTGACCACTGGCCCGGACGTGCCAGCGGCCGCCGCTGGCAGCGCCTGTGCCATGGGGCTGCCCACTCTGGAGTTCAGTGATTACTACTTGGACAGCCCGGATTTTAGGGAGCGCTTGCAGTGTCACCAGATTGAGCTGGAGCGAACCAACAAGTTCATCAAGGAGCTCATTAAGGACGGCTCTCTGCTCACTGGGGCGTTGAGGACAGGTAATGTTGATTGCCTGCCCAGTTCCCTTGCCCTTTCATCCTTTCCAAAGGAACCCTGAGTTCCTTCAGTAACACACCTCTACCCAGGTTGGAGATCTGTCTATGGCAGTGCAGAAATTTTCCCAGTCATTACAAGATTTCCAATTTGAATGTATTGGTGATGTTGAAACAGATGATGAAATTAGTATTGGTCAGTCACTAAAATAATTTGCAAGACTACTCATTGCAGTAGAAGAAAAGCGAAGACTGATCCAAAACGCTAATGATGTATTAATTGCACCACTTGAGAAACTTCAAAAAGAACAGATAGGTGCAGCAAAAGGTGGAAAGAAGTTTGACAAAGAGAGTGAAAAATATTACTCTATCCTTGAAGAGCATTTAAATTTATCTGCAAAGAAAAAGGAGTCTCATTTGCAAGAGGCAGATACACAAATTGATTGAGCACATCAGAACTTCTATGAAGCATCATCAGAATGTCTTTAAATGGCTCACGCTTGTAATCCCAGCACTTTGGGAGGCCGAGGCGGGTGGATCACCTGAGGTCAGGAGTTGGAGACCAGCCTGACCAACATGGAGAAATCCCGTCTCTACTAAAAATACAAAATTACTGGGCCTGGTGACACATGCCTGTAAAGCCAGCTACTCGGGAGGCTGAGGCAGGAGAATCGCTTGGATCCAGGAGGCAGAGGTTGCAGTGAGCCGAGACTGCACCATTGCACTCCAGCCTGGGCAACAAGAGCAAAACTCCGTCTCAAAATAAATAAATAAACAAATAAATAAAAATAAAAGAAAAAAGAATATGTCTTTAAAATTCAAGAGGTTCAAGAAAAACAGAAGTTTGAATTTGTTGAACTGCTTTTGTCATTTCTTCAGGATTTATTTACTTTTTTACCCCGAGGGATATGAACTTGCCCAGGAATTTGCACCAAATAAGCAACAGCTGCAGTTCGACTTGCAGAATACAAGGAATAATTTTGAAAGTACTTGACAAGAGGTAGAGGGGTTGATGCAAAGGGTGAAATCTGCAAGGCTATCTGCATGTCCAGGAGAAATGACCACTTGGTTTTACATGGATTAAACAGCCTTGTTACTAGCTCACCGGAAATGTTCAAAATCTTGTATCCAACAAAAGACAGATTCAATTGACAAACAATTCTGCTTCGACATACAAGTAGTTGAAAGCCATGGGATCATCACATTACAGGCCTTCTCAGAAGCTAATAGGAAACTCTGGCTTGAAGCCACGGATGGGAAGGAACCACTTTATACTCTGCCTGACATTATAAGCAAGAAAGAAGAAATGTATTTGAATGAAGCAGGGTTCAATTTTGTGAGAAACTGCATTCAAGCTGTGGAAACCAGTGGTATCACCATTTTAGGCCTCTACTGAATAGGAGGAGTGAACTCCAAAGTTCAAAAACTCGTGAATATCATATTTTCTCCTAAATCCCCTCCTGATATTGATATTGAACTGTGGGACAATAAGACAATAATGAGTGGGCTGAAAAACTACCTCAGGTGCTTTGCAGCACCTCTGATAACTTACAAGTTACACAAAGATTTGTATCACTGCTGTTAAATCTGATGACCAAAACTACAGGGTGGAGGCTGTACATGCATTGGTGTGCACATTGCCAGAGAAAAACAGAGAGATGCTGGACATCTTAATAAAACATCTGGTCAAAGTATCACTGCACAGCCAACAAAATCTCATGACTGTCTAAAATCTTGGTGTCATATTTGGCCCAACTCTAATGAGAGCACAAGAATAAACTGTGGCTGCTATGGTGAATATTAAATTTCAGAATATTGTGTAGAAATTCTGATAGAGCACAGTGAAACAATTTTTCATACTGCTCCAGACCCAAGCATTCCTCTTCCTCAGCCTCAGTCTCGATCTGGATCCCAAAGGACAGCCTCAGTCTCGATCTGGATCCCAAAGGACATGAGCAATCTGCCTCTCTACAGGCTCTAGGAAGCCCAGAGGGATGTGTACTCCATGCCTGGCTGAACTTGATAGTGATTCCTATAGCAGCAGCACAGACAGCACCCCCATGGGGAGCATCAAGTCACTCTCTTCTCTTTCCTCAGAACAAAATAGCACTACAAAGTCAGCTTTCTGCCAGCCCAGGGAGAAATCTGGAGGGATTCCTTGGATTGCAACCCAATCTTCCAATGGACAGAAAAGCCTTGGTCTCTGGACAACTAATCCTGAATCAAGTTCTAGAGAAGATGCAACCAAGACAGATGCAGAATCAGATTGCCAGAGTGTTGCTTCGGTCACTAGCCCAGGGGATGTTTCCCCACCCATAGACCTAGTCAAGAAAGGGCCTTATGGGCTTTCAGGACTGAAAAGAGCTTCTGCTTCTTCTCTCAGATCCATCTCTGCAGCTGAAGGAAACATTAGCTACAGTGGATCTATTCAAAGCTTAACTTCTGTAGGTTCCAAGGAGACACCCAAAGCTTCAAACCCAGACCTGCCTCCAAAAATGTGCAGGAGGTTAAGACTAGACACCACCTCAAGCAATGGCTATCAGCGTCCTGGCTCAGTAGTGGCAGCAAAAGCTCAACTGTTTGAAAATGTTGGTTCACCTAAGCCAGTTTCTTCTGGGCACCAAGCCAAAGCCATGTACTCCTATAAAGGAGAGCACAGCGTGAGCTTTCCTTCCCACAAAGAGCGATATTTTCCAGTGTGGACCCATCAGTGGAACCAGGATGGTTAAAGGCAGCTTATGAAGGCAAAACGGGACTAGTTGCAGAAAATTATGTTGTCTTCCTCTACTACTATTTAGTGGATGGCAGTATCTTCATGGTATCCGGTAACAAATAATAAGTGCTATGATTTTATCTGACACAGATACAAGGGGATCAGCCCACTAAGTGAAAACAGTCAATTTCTATCAAGTTCTTCACCAGCAGACTATGTAGCTCCTTATTAATGGAAAAAAAGGTTTAAATGGTTGGCCATTCTTTTTTGGTTGGTTTCTTATTTTAAAATTTCTTGCTTCTGAAAAATTTATTTTTGGATAATACGTAACTCTCCAGAATGTCTCTTCCATAGCAATTGTAGAGTTTCAAATACTTTATTAAGTACTATATCCCATAAACTTGGAAACCAGAAATCTGCTGTATGGATTTTGAGATGTGTCCTTTACTGCCTGGCATTCTCTAAGGATCTCTGAAAGTGCTACTTAAAAATGTTACTGAAAAGCTGGTTACCTGCCCTTTGAGTGCCACAGTCCTGACCTGCTTGTTCTTGACACCTTACATATTACTTCGGAGTTCCCCACTGTGCAGACTCTCAGGTATTAACTGTATAAAACTCTTTACATGCTATTATAATCTGCAATCTCAATCTCTTCTACTTTAAATTAATGTTTCTAGAATAGGTTAAATACACATATACACACACAACTATGCCTGAGAAAAGTTATGCTTTTACAAATAAAAAGAATAGATTAGCATTAACAAGTAGGGTGAATAACAGTAGGCAGAGTCAGAATCAGAAATAAATACCAGTGAATCAAAATAAAAGAATGAAAAATATTCTGTATTAAAAATTGTCAATGTAATGTAAAAGTCTGATAAAAGATTATTCTTTTTCTTTTACCTCTGACTGTTGACCTCTGTACACTGTAATAAGGTGTTGCTGGATGGAACTTCTTGATCTAGGTCCTTGGTGACCTTAGTAGTAATAACAGCATTGCTGGCACCCTAATTACCCTCTGCTGAAACAGAAGGTAGTTTATCAATGTACCAATCCCTTAGTCTATACTTGGTTTAAACACGCTTGCCATCATCTGGTATCCTGCTAGATTAGAACCTCTTAAAAGCAAATTGGTTTTCTTTCAAAGACCAACCTGACTCCAAAGACAGATACGGAATCCTGCTTCTTCTGCTGCATAAAGAAATCTCAACCTTCATTTTACTTGAACACAGACCGAAGTGTTCCTACTTCTGCGTTGTCTGTGAGCTAGTTCTACGGATGTTCCACTCAGATTTAAAGCTTTTTATTGCACAGGACGTGGATATGAAGCCTAACTCTTGTATCTGATGGCAAGGCATATGTTGTAGCCACAGTACTGGCTATGGTCCCTTTGCTGAAAGAAGCTACAGAAGCACTGATTCAAGCTGTGTTTGTGCTAGAAGTTTTAATCTTGTAGATTTGTGAGGATGGCTCTTTTTCCTTCATAATAGATTACATGTACAAGCAAGTCAGGGCCATATACTGGAGACAGGCTAAAGCTGCTTTTCTCTTAAAGAAAGTTTCCTACAGATAAGGTATTTATGAGCATTGAGAAAGTCAGGACGTGTACTCTAAATCACACAGAGTGTTAATTCCACAGGAAGGCAATGCCAGACATTGGAAGAGGATCACATTCAACTTCTAATAGTAGTTCAATAACAAAACCTTAGCTTTTCAGAAAAAAATGTGAAGAAATGGAAATCTGAATCATAATATAAACTTTCTCTACAAGATACTTGGCCTGGTGCAATGTCTCATGCCTGTAATCCCAGCACTTTGGGAGGCCAAGGCTGGTGGATCATGAGGTCAGGAGTTCAAGACCAGCCCGGCCAAGATGGTGAAACCCTGTCTCTACTAAAAATAAAAAAATTAGCCGAGTGTGGTGGTGGGCACCTATAATCCCAGCTACTTGGGAAGCTGAGGCAGAAAATTGCTTGAACCTGGGAGGCAGAGGTTGCAGTGAGCTGAGAATGTACCAATGCACTCCAGTTAAAAAAAAAAATTAACCATTTAGATCAATGCTGTCTGGTTAAATATTCTGTGATAATGGAAATATTCTATACTTGCCCTGTCCAATAAAGTAGCCACTCGCCAAGTGTGTCTATTGAGCACTTGAAATGTAGCTAGTATGACGGAAGAACTGAATTTTAAATTTCATTTAATTATAACTGATTAAAAGTTAAGTAGCTAGTGGCTACTATACTGAATACCACAGATATATACAACAAATTTTAAAAATTTTCCAAACATGGGAATGGGTCACCTAAATGATTTTAGATACCAAGCTAAATAAAAACATCTGGAGATGATACTATTTTGACTCTAATAATTTTTTTGTTGAAAGCAATATATATATTATATATACACACATATACATATAAATATATACACATACATGTATATATAATCTAGAGGTTTCTTTCCTTTCAAAAATACTTCATACCTGTAACTTAAAAAATATAATTTTATCTTTCTTGTCTTTATTTTGAATTTTCAGTCATTTCAAAGTTAATATGAGCAATAATATCATTAAAAAGTGGGCAAAGGATATGAACAGACACTTCTCAAAAGAAGTTGGCCAACAAACATATGAAAGAAAGCTCAACATCACTCATCATCAGAGAAATGCAAATCAAAACCACAATGAGATACCATCTCATGCCAGTCAGAATGGTGATTATTTAAAAGAGTCAGGATACAATAGATGCTGGTGAAGCTGTGGAGAAATAGGAATGCTTTTACACTGTTGGTGAGGATATACATTAGTTTAATCATTGTGGAAGACAGCATGGTGATTCCCCAAGTATCTAAAACCAGAAATACCATTTGACCCTCCAATCCCATTACTGGGTATATACCCAAAGGAATATAAATCATTCTACTTATTGCAGCACAATTTACAATAGCAAAGACGGGAACCAACCCAAATGCCCATCAATGACAGACTGGATAAAGAAAATATGTCACATATACACCATGGAATACTATGCAGCCATGAAAAATGAATGAGAGCATGTCCTTTGCAGGGACATGGATGAAACTGGAAGCCATCATCCTCGGCAAACTAACACAAGAACAGAAAACCAGACACTGCATGTTCTCATTCAGTGGGAGTTGAACATTGAGAACACATGGACACAGAGAGGGGAACAACATACACCACGGTCTATTGGGGGATAGGGATGAGGGGAGGGAACTTAGAGGATGGGTCAATAGGTGCAGCAAACCACTATGGCACACGTATACCTATGCAACAAACCTGCACATCCTGTACATGTATCCTTTTTTTAGAAGCAGCAATAAAAAAAATGATCACTTCATTTCAGGAGGTAGACTTTTCCTCTTAAAGCTTTTCATATTTTTATCCCAAGGGTTTGGCTTTTTATGCATCTCAATACGTGTAATTTGCAGTTAATACATCAATGCCTTCTGCTCTTGTTACTTCTCTCCTTAAAACAGTACATCTTTTTGATTAACTAAAGTGGTGACTCTCTCTCTCATTTTTTTTTTTTTTTTGTCAGTTCCTATTGCATTTTTCCCCACTTCGCACTCTGGTATTATAACCTGACACCGAGAACGTTTGTCTCAAGAAAAAAACTGGAAAAACAATGTTTTTCTGGTATAGATTAATTCTGTACTCTTGGCTTTTCCTGATGTATCCAGATTGTTCTATGTAACCAGGAAATTTCACATGCTCTTTCTTTTTCTAAAAAGCCATCCATTCCACCTGGTGGAGGTACTACTTGTTTGTGTGTGTGTGTGTGTGTGTATTATTATTCTATAATATGGTTTACATATAACTTTAGACATACACTCTTCCAGCGTCTAGTTGAATTAAAGTAGTTTTTCATGGGGTTTAATTTCCAGTTTACTCAAAAGGGCATATACCAAGAGAAATGGTCATATTACAAAAGGTTTTTTTGTTCTCTCTCTCTAAGTAATCCACCTAACAAGCAGATATTTTATGTTTTAAGATAGCTTCTTGTGGTTTGGGCTGTCTTTATTCGGGTTTTGACCTCCTGAAAAAACTAAGTCATCTCTAACACAGGTCTAAGTATTTTTTTCTCTTGACCAGGTAACTTTTGAATTTGTTTTTGAAGTCTTTCCATTATTACTCTGGTTAAATAAGTGACCATTATCTCTCAAGGATATGTAATTCTACTTTAATTAAATATTTTTAGGCTTTTTGCATCCAAACAAATGACAAACTTCCACAGAATCAAATTCAAATTTAAGTCTTTTTCACTTAAAATTGACTAAGGGATTTTATAGTTGGGCTCCTGGGAAGTCTCAAAAGATTTGCCTCCCATTAGGCTTGCTTGATCAGCTCCCAAAATCTTCTCTAGTGTCCGTGTGCTTTCTTTCAAAACAATATATAGCATTTCCCTTGCTAGTAAACCCCCAATCTTCTCTTTGTCCTTCACACATATAGAAGACCACCGTGGTTTTCAGTTTTGTTCAGAACTACAATTCTGTGATTCCCAAATAAATTGTATAATTTAGAGATCCATCTTTATTTTGACTTCAATAGTGGTGATAAATTCTGATACAATATTCAAGAATATGTTTTATAACAATACTAAGTCAATTTAGAAATGCATTTTAGTGTGATATAAAATCCTTAACTTTTCTCCTCCACTGACATTATGTATGATTTTGTTATTATTTTACAAGCACTTAAAAATTCTCTATTTTACATAAGGTTTATATTAGATATAATTTTGTGAGGAAAATAAAAGTTCGGTTTTCTATTTGCATTGTGCTAATTCAGACTGCACTTGGTTCTTCATGCACACTGTATAAGCTAAAGTTTAGACAAATTGTTGTAAAAACTGATACACATATAGACCATTATAGTGTTATTTTTAAAAGCACAAGAAACTACTTTAAAAGATCACAAGGAGATTACAGCAAATGAATCTTCATATTCATTACCTCAATGAAATATAATTTAACACTAGTTTCGATTTTTTTCCAAAAGACTAATTTTCAAGTGAAAGCTTTAGATCTTTGAAAGTAATAGAATTAAAGATAAAGATAGAAAAGATACATAATTCATTTCAGCAGTTTTCTGAGAAATACCATATTTTCCAAAATATATATGTTCTTATAAGAAATGGATTCTCTTTAGGCTATTAGATTATCAATCTTCTACAATAGGCCAATTTTCAAAGCACTAGGCCTATGTTCACTCAACCAGTCTCATGAAGCAAAAACTGAATTAAGATATTGCATTTATTTTAGTCCACATATTTATCAAGCAAAGAAACTATGGAACAAAGACTCTTTCTTGCTGAAGTTCTTGGGATTTCCATGGTGCTTAATGCATATTTTTTTAAATTGTGAGATCAAAGAACACAAATCTTGAGCCATTGTGTATGTTACCTGGGTAAAAAAAATTAAACTTGATCTTTTCAAATATCTAATGGAATCCCAGGCATTGTGATTTATTAAAATATGAAGTTAAATATTTAAGAGAAAATTAATCACAATGAAATGAGTTGACTTTCTAAGAAAAGCAAGTATGTAATTAAGGAATCATTAGCAGACACTCTCAAAACAATTACAACATTTAAAAGCAATCAACATTACAACTCTTAGGTTGTGTTTTAAATTCCTCATAACCTAAACATATATATTCACTAATTATTCACTTGCCAATATGAACAATGAAAGATGAGTTAGAAAAACCAGAGGCTTTAGTTCAAAAATGACAATCTTTGGTACTGCAGCAAGGAAATAACTAGCTGGTGAAATTAATGACTCCACCTGGCTTTATCTCGGTAATGTTCTGAAATACATGCAATGAACAACTTGACATTGTTTGATGTTCTTAATTCTTTACAGCCATCTCTATTGGTGGTCTTAATAGATCAGATCAATCAGAAATGATCATATTATGAAATGTAAATCACTTCACATGACTTATCTGGAAAATGTGCTTGTACTTACTTGCACCATCTCAAGTTCCAAGAGCCAAAAACATACACATGCTCATGGAGGAGAATTTCCTTTCTGATTTTAGAACAGTCTGAAAGGGTGTGAAAAAAATGAAAAAGAAGGGGGAGCTTACAAATAACAAAAATGTATATCCAAATGAAAGTTAGAATGTCTATGGAACTAGTAGTAGTAACAACAGTAGACAAAAGATAGGATGTAGATGTTAAGAAGATGTCTACAAGGGAAGCACAAGACTCCAGATGCTCTTGCTACTAAAATGCAGATTCAAGGTTTACCATCTGTAATATTCTGCTGCCATGTACATCTATGGCCACTAGTACTGTCTAAAAGGAGGATATATATTAAGAAATCATCAAAAAGGACTGCATAGCAGAAACTTTCCTGATATCAAGGGATCAACTTAACTACAATTATATACAGGTGCCAATTTCCTCTGGAGTAAACTACCACACTGGGCCTCATGTACCAGTTAGATAATCCAAGTCAGCCTTTATTGCATAACCTATCTAAAAGATTGGACTCTACATTTTGGCTCTGCAGAACTGAGAGAAGAAATGTATAAATAGGATAGTGATATTGCCTTTGTCTATGGGAATTCTTGAGTCTAATAAAAAAATCTGGGAAAAATCTAACTTCATGATTACACTCGGGCACATAGATGATTAATACGAATGAAGTAACAACCATAAATACAATCATAACCACAAGAACAACAGTAATTCAAATTTTCTCACTTCATAGATGTTCTTACAATGTTTTATTGGTATCTCGTAGGTGCTCTCCCCAAGCCTCAGGTGTTATTCCACAATCTCAGTTGATGCAAAGGCAAACACCACACTCTCCTCTGTTCAATGTCTGCCATCCTTGTCTTTTTGGCCTCTGACTCTTCCCTATACTACTGTCTATGCACTTGAGATCTTCACTGATATAGCTTGGCTCTGTATTTATTGATAAGAATATCTCTTTTCTCTTAGACTAGGTATGACCAAAAGGTTAATCTGGATTCAAAGATTAATGACAATGACCACTCAGTTTTTATTCAAGATCAATTTTATTTGTTGTAAAAACAAACATGGGTTATGTTCCAGACAAACAGATATAAGTGAGTAGACTTATGCCTTTGTGCCTCCTTGACTCTTCACAGGTTGCAAAAACAAATCCTGCCAGCAGGAGGTGGCAGGTTGCTGAGGTGGCTGGTTGCTCTTTGAGCCATCTTGGCCTTGTCTGGCATGCACAGGCCCTGGCACTGCAAAATATTCAGGGAGTAAGAGTGTTGCACAAAGGATTTTACCAACCTCGTCACATTAAGCAGCGTTCAAGGATTTGCTGACCACCACTTAAACAAATTTTGTGTTATGCTATAGCAATGAACTTACTTGTTCTATTTCTAAACACAACATTGGGTTCACACACAGGCCTGGACAAAGCTTCCCACTTCTGAACTATTTACTGATCTTCCTGTTCTCAAAGAATGCAAGATGAATGATGTGCAATACCATGGCTATGGCATGTGACTTTTCTAGACCTGGATGGTTAGTGTCCCAATATTTAACTGATTTTTTGGGGGGTGAAAATATGCCAACAGTTCTTCCTTCTATCATCCCCATCACTACCATACATGTAATGACATAATCATGTCAAAGTGTGTCCTCAGAATCACTATTCCTAGCTGAGTATACTAAGGCTTTCTATCTAGGTCAGTTCATTGTGTCTGTGTCTCCTCTAAACCCTCCTTCATCATGCCTACCTTGAGGAATTCAGCAAGTGATCATTCACACAAGCTAAAGGATTTTAGCTTTCTCTGCCATAAAGATTATTGCTAAAATACACACCATACAACAAACCAACCCATTTCCCACAAATCTTACTGTCTGACTTCTCACAAAATACATAATGGCTTTTATTGTGTCTCTTCCTTCTGTGTTTCTCTTTCCTAACTGAACTTTGTTCTTTATCCATGCCTTCTTCCAATCCTGACATATTTTAAAACCTTTAGCATTTCTGCCTATAATATTTGGGTTTTCTCCTTTTCCTATCTTTATTTAATAAGTCCCATACAAATATTTTCCCCGTAATCACAATGTTTTCTTTTCACTTTGCCCAAGAACTGAGTTATGAGTTCCAAATTTGGATAAACTCTACATTGGCTAAGTTTTAGTCATTTGCACTGCTAAGAAAGATGGCAATTCAACATGCTGAAGATGACTTCCTCCCTTATAAAGGGGCTAACACAGAGGGCAATACTGTTCATGCTTCTGAGTCTTGATCACAAGAATTGCTTTAGGCAATTACAATCATGTCTCCTCTGACACATCATATTATTCAAGTGAGACAGAGAAAGAATATGTCCTATGTCACACAGCTGGGTGGTGACAGCTGCTTTAGCATCAGCACACTGCGTTCCCTCTGATTTCTTCATTCATCTCTAAGTAGCAGTAAATCCGGTCCTGAATACTGACTTTGACACTCAGCTTTCTCCACATCCTTCCTGTCACTGCCTTTGAGACTACTTCAGATTCTTCCCTTAGCTTCTATTTCTCCATTTGTAAAATGGGTTGATGAGGGTATCTTCATCAGTAGCTGTGACAATAAAAATGGGATCATCATGCATCCTCCTTAGCCCCATGAGTAAGCTCCCAGTAAGTGAGGTTGTCATCATTACTGGATATTTAAGATTATCTACCTATTTGAAAAACCCTAGTGAAAGCGTCTCAGTTGCTTTTCTTTTTGCGTGAATGATCACTTGCTGAATTCATCAAGCAGGCGCTTTAACATTTACCTTCCTTTATTATGCTGGAGCATTTTTCATGTAGGAAGCTTCTGTGGCTTCTCACTATGACTGCTTTGTTTGTTCAAAACTTATACAGGTTGAGTATCCTTTATCTGAAATGCTTGGGTCAGAAGTGTGTTGGGTTTCAACTGTTTTCAGATTTTGGAATATTTTCTTCTATGTAATGAGATATCTTGGGAATGGGACCCATGTCTAAACACAAAATTCACTCATGTTTCATACACACTTAGCCACATACACATAACCTGAAGGTAATCTTATACAATATTTTAAATAATTTTATGCATGAAACAAAGTTTTGAATATGTTTTACTGTGACCCATCACATGAGGTAAGATGTGTGGAATTTTCCACTTGTGGCATCATGTCAGCACTCAAAACATTTTGGATTTTGGAGAATTTCAGATTTTGGATTTTCGAGTAGGTGTGTTCAATCTGTATATATGGGCCAGATTAAGTTGTTTCCTTTAATCCTTGGCTGAAGGAAGCACAGAAGACTTTGGGGCCTCAATCTCTCATATGCAGTGACATTCTCAAAGCCATTGACTCAGCTTCTCACCTGGCTTTCCTTCCAGTGAGCCACAGATAGAAGTCACAGGTGATGACAGGGGCCTGCTGGCTGATGGCATTCCAGTACTGGGTTGTGAAGTTGCTGGTGGTGAAATCAGCATATGGCCTCATCAAAGCTCTCTCAAATGGAATTGGAATTTCAAAGGTTGCCAAGACCTGGAATCCTGGGGAAAAAAAAGAGAGTAAGTGCTAGAGGAGAATAGGAAAATATATGCCCAATATAGTGGAAGGTATTTATAATGGGTCACAACAATAAAGACGAAGGATTTGCTGTGTAGAGTCAAGAATCAATTTCTGAGAACAAGGTAAAGATTTTTATGCTAGGCAAGTGGTTATCTGCAAAATGAAACAATGTGAATGGATTAAGAATTGGACCATTTATTTGAAACATCTACTCTAAAACAAATTCTTGGGGAAACACATGTAGTCAATAAAAGGGGGTAATGTTCAGAAAAACATAAATCCACATTTAATTCTAAGGTTATCTAGTTTATTCTGAAAGCCCCAAGACAGAGGCTAGAAACTTTATTTTCCTAACTGGACCATTACTGTCAGAACCATTTAGAAAGTTTCTTAACATTTTATTTGAATCTTTATTAAAAGTGTAACTAAAAAATTCTAAAGGCAAGATTTTCTTGTGTTAGCTTACTTTAAATATTTCTCCGGGAATATGTCAGACTCAATTGTCCACTCTGGTATCCAGGGTTTTATTCATAATAGTGTTTTTCTTTTTATATTAATACTTACATTAAGCTTAATTAAGAACATTTTACATACATTTGTGAATTCAGTAGTTCTTTCAAAAAGATACTCATTTGAATTCAATTCTATTTAAGGTATGTAGGTTTTTGCAAGGCATATGCCTAAGCTCATTATTCAATTATGATGTCAGTTGTTATAGTAAAATGATTATTGCCCTACTTAAAAAAATGCCAGCTAAAAATCTATCTGAAAAACATAACTCCTCTTCAGAGAAGATTCTCAAGAATCATCTGGTCCATATTGATTTATACTTTAAAAAGATGGGGGTAAAAAAGAAAGTTATGTACAGGTTGATCGCATAAGAGATTCTGATCTCAACACTGACGTTCTGATCTATATATCCATATAATTGTTCAACATTTCCACCTGGAGGTGTAATAGACATTCACATTTAACAGCTCTAAAATGGGCCTCCTGATACACCCACTGCTAACCACCCCCTTCCCAATACATACACAAACTTGCTATTTCACCAGTCTTCTACCTCTAACCAAATGCTAATTCAATTTGTTTAGTAGTTCAGCCAAAAACTTTGGGGCTATCCTTGATTCATCTCTTTCTTTAACAACCCACACACAGTTGAACAAAATCTATCAGCTCTCTGCTTGAAAAATATCCAGAATCATAATTTCCACCTGCTATCTCTCTGATCCAAACGACTACTGTAGCCTGGAATGTTACAATACTGTCCTAAGTGGTCTCTGCCACTACCCCTGTACCCCTAGTCGGACCTCCATGTAGCAGCCAGAGTGATTCTTATAAAATGTAACTCAGAGTATATTACAGGAACTTCCCCATTCAGAACCCTTCAATGGAATCTCTTCTCATTTAGAGGCAAAGCCATGGTCTGCAAGGCCTTGCACTCTCTGCATCCTCACTCTCTCTGCCCACCACTCTGACTTCATCTCTTACCGCCCTCCCTCTCAGTGCTTCTGGTGCAGCCATACTGGCCTCCTTGCTGTCCTTGAATATGATTAAAGAACTTCAGCACTTACTGTTTCTTCAACTTGGAATATTTCATCCACAAGTCTCTCTGATTTGCCCTCTCACTTCTTTCAGGTCTCTACTAAGATGACACCTTATCAGAGAGACTTTCTTTGGCCATCACATATCAAATAGCAGCCTTCCCACAATACTATTTACTTCTTTAATCTGTTTTATTTTTCTGCAATCACTCAACCATATCTAATGCATATTTCTCCTTTCTAAGATTTAAGTACCATAACAAAATTTTGTCTGTTTTGTTTGAACCTATACAGTACCTTGAAAAGTGGCTGACAGGTAATCAGTGCCTAATAAACATTTTTTGACTAAACGAATCAATAAATGTCTCAGCAACATACACTTACTTTCCTTTTCTGAAATCTATATCAATCCTTCAATCCTTCCTTTAGCCATTTCAAATATATTTATTTAGCATTTAACACTTGCCAGGCACTGTGGTAGATGCTGAGGTAAAAAAAATTACATATGATATATTGTCTTTAGAGAACTGGCAATCTGGTGGGAGATGTGGACAATTCGTGATTACAATATTTTGCCTGAGTATTCTGCTAGAGGCCAGTACAATATGCACTGGAGGAATACAAAAGAAGCATCTAGCTCTGTCTGGGTGCCAGGAAGGGGAGGGGTGGGGCTGGGTTAGGAAAGGCTTTCTGAGAAAGCTGTCCAAATGGTAATAGCAAGCATTTACTAAAGTGTTCACTGTTCTAACCACTGTACTAAGCACTTTATCTCACTACATTCTCCCAAGGGCTCCCTAGAATAGAATAATTATTATTCTCATTGACAGATAAAAAAATTGATTTACAGGGAGAAACTGAGAGACTTTTTCAAACTGATACAACTAATAAGTAGTGGAGTCTAGTAAATGGTGGGACACATACCAGCATGTAACATCTATGTGAGCATGGATTTCTGTTTAGTGATATATCCTCAGCACCAAGAATAATGCCTATTTAATGAATACAGGAGTGAGTGAATGAGCTATGATGTGAATCCAAGTCTATTAGATCTCAAAGCCCAAGACTTTTAACAATCAAGCTACTGTCTGTCTGATGTGAGGGACAAGTAGAAACTCATGCACATGTAGAAAATGTAATTTGGCAATTGAAAACTGCACTCTACATCCTCACAGGTCAAAGAACAAATTTGAATGAAAAACGTTTAAGGATTAGAGAGTAATGATAACATAAACATTATACAACAAAATGTGTGGGATACAGCCAAAGTGGCATTTGAGGGAAATATCCAGCCATAAATGATGTATTAGACAAGCCAAATATTCGTGGGCTATATTTCTAAGTTAAAGAGAAGAAAAACATAATCAAAGAAAACAGGAGGAAGGGGAAAAAAGAGATAAGGCAATACATCTATGCAATAGAAAACAAAGCAGCATAATAAAGAGTCAATAGGCTGGGCATGGTGGCTCATGCCTGTATTCCCAGCACTTTTGGAGGCTAAGGTGGGTGGATCACCTGAGGTCAGGAGTTCAAGACCAGCCTGACCAACATGGAGAAACCCCATCTCTACTGAAAATACAAAATTAGCCAGGTGTGGTGGCACACGTCTGTAATCCCAACTACTCTACTCAGGAGGCTGAGGCAGGAGAACTGCTTCAACCCGGGAGGCAGAGGTTGTGGTGAGCCAAGAAATTGCCATTGTACTCCAGCCTGGGCAACAAGAGTGAGACCCCATCTCAAAAAAAAAAAAAAAAAAGAGAAAGAAAGAACAAAGAAAAAAGTCAATAAAGGCCAAAGAAGTAAATACATTTTAAAACAGACAAAATCTTAGAAAAAGAGACAAATATAATTTACTAAAACTGATTCCAGCATAAAATAGAGCCTGCAAAATTCTTTAACTATTAAAGACACTGAAGCAATAAAAAGTCTTCTCACAAAAAATTATGAATCCAGATAATTTAAAGGTGCTTTTCACTTACTGTAGCCTTGTAGTATAGTTTGAAGTCAGGTAGCGTGATGCCTCCAGCTTTGTTCTTTTGGCTTAGAACTGACTTGGCGATGTGGGCTCTTTTTTGATTCCATATGAACTTTAAAGTAGTTTTTTCCAATTCTGTGAAGAAAGTCATTGGTAGCTTGATGGGGATGGCATTGAATCTGTAAATTACCTTGGGCAGTATGGCCATTTTCACGATATTGATTCTTCCTACCCATGAGCATGGAATGTTCTTCCATTTGTTTGTATCCTCTTTTGTTTCATTGAGAAGTGGTTTGTAGTTCTCCTTGAAGAGGTCCTTCACGTCCCTTGTAAGTTGGATTCCTAGGTAGTTTATTCTCTTTGAAGCAACTGTGAATGGGAGTTCACTCATGATTTGGCTCTCTGTTTGTCTGTTATTGGTGTATAAGAATGCTTGTGATTTTTGTACCTTGATTTTGTATCCTGAGACTGCTGAAGTTGCTTATCAGCTTAAGGAGATTTTGGGCTGAGACAATGGGGTTTTCTAGACATACAATCATGTCATCTGTAAACAGGGACAATTTGACTTCCTCTTTTCCTAATTGAATACCCTTTATTTCCTTCTCCTGCCTAATTGCCCTGGCCAGAACTTCCAACACTATGTTGAATAGGAGTGGTGAGAGAGGACATCCCTGTCTTGTGCCAGTTTTCAAAGGGAATGCTTCCGGCTTTTGCCCATTCAGTATGATATTGGCTGTGGTTTTGTCATAGATAGCTCTTATTATTTTGAGATACATCCCATCAATACCAAAATTAATGAGAGTTTTTAACATGAAGGTTGTTGAATTTTCTCAGAGGCCTTTTCTGCATCTATTGAGATAATCATGTGGTTTTTGTCTTTGGTTCTGTTTATATGCTGGATTACATTTATTGATTTGTGTATATTGAACCAGCCTTGCATCCCAGGGATGAAGCCCACTTGATCATGATGGATAAGCTTTTTGATGTGCTGCTGGATTCGGTTTGCCAGTATTTTATTGAGGATTTTTGCATCAATGTTCATCAGGTATATTGGTCTAAAATTCTCTTTTTTTGTTGTGTCTCTGCTCGGCTTTGGTATCAGGATGATGCTGGCCTCATAAAATGAGTTACAGAGGATTCCCTCTTTTTCTATTGATTGGAATAGTTTCAGAAGGAATGGTACCAGTTCCTCTTTGTACCCTGGTAGAATTCGGCTGTGAATCCATCTGGTCCTGGACTCTTTTCGGTTGGTAAGCTATTGATTATTGCCACAATTTCAGCTCCTGTTATTGGTCTATTCAGAGATTCAACTTCTTCCTGCTTTAGTCTTGGGAGGGTGTATGTGTCAAGGAATTTATCCATTTCTTCTAGATTTTCTAGTTTATTTGTGTAGAGGTGTTTGTAGTATTCTCTGATGGTAGTTTGTATTTCTGTGGGATTGGTGGTGATATCCCCTGGCCAGGTACTCCTCTGAGACAAAACTTCCAGAGGAACGATCAGACAGCAGCTTTTGTGGTTCACGAAAATCTGCTGTTCTACAGCCAACGCTGCTGGCACCCAGGCAAACAGGGTCTGGAGTGGACCTCTAGGAAATTCCAACAGACCTGCAGCTAAGGGTCTTGTCTGTTAGAAGGAAAACAAACAAACAGAAAGGACATCCACACCAAAAACCAATCTGTACATCACCATCATCAAAGACCAAAAGCAGATAAAACCACAAAGATGGGGAAAAAAATGAGCAGAAAAACTGGAAACTCTAAAAAGTGAGCATCTCTCCTCCTCCAAAGGAACGCAGCTCCTCACCAGCAACAGAACAAAGCTGGATGGAGAATGACTTTGATGAGTTGAGAGAAGAAGGCTTCAGATGATCAAACTATTACGAGCTACAGAAGGAAATTCAAACCAAAGGCAAAGAAGTTGAAAACTTTGAAAAAAATTTAGATGAATGTATAACTAGAATAACCAATACAGAGAAATGCTTAAAGGAGCTGATGGAGCTGAAAGCCAAGGCTCGAGAACTACGTGAAGAATGCAGAAGCCTCAGGAGCCGATGTGATCAACTGGAAGAAAGGGTATCAGTGATGGAAGATGAAATGAATGAAATGAAGTGAGAGGTGAAGTTTAGAGAAAAACGAATAAAAAGAAATGAACAAAGCCTCCAAGAAATATGGGACTATGTGAAAAGACCAAATCTACATCTGATTGGTGTGCCTGAAAGTGACAGAGAATGGAACCAAGTTGGAAAACACTCTGCAGGATATTATCCAGGAGAACTTCCCCAATCTAGCAAGGCAGGCCAACATTCAGATTCAGGAAATACAGAGAACGCCACAAAGATACTCCTCGAGAAGAGCAACTCCAAGACACATAATTGTCAGATTCACCAAAGTTGAAATGAAGGAAAAAATGTTAAGGGCAGCCAGAGAGAAAGGTCGGGTTACTCACAAAGGGAAGCCCATCAGACTAACAGCGGATCTCTTGGCAGAAACTCTACAAGCTAGAAGAGAGTGGGGGCCAATATTCAACATTCTTAAAGAAAAGAATTTTCAACCCAGAATTTCACGTCCAGCCAAACTAAGCTTCATAAGTGAAGGAGAAATAAAATACTTTACAGACAAGCAAATGCTGAGAGATTTTGTCACCACCAGGCCTGCCCTAAAAGAGCTCCTGAAGGAAGCACTAAACATGGAAAGGAACAACCGATAGCAGCCACTGCAAAACCATGCCAAATTGTAAAGACCATCAAGGCTAGGAAGAAACTGCATCAACTAATGAGCAAAATAACCAGCTAACATCATAATGACAGGATCAAATTCACACATAACAATATCAACTTTAAATGTAAATGGACTAAATGCTCCAATTAAAAGACACAGACTGGCAAATTGGATAAAGAGTCAAGACCCAACAGTGTGCTGTATTCAGGAAACCCATCTCACGTGCAGAGTCACACATAGGCTCAAAATAAAAGGATGGAGGAAGATCTACCAAGCAAATGAAAAACAAAAAAAGGCAGGGGTTGCAATCCTAGTCTCTGATAAAACAGACTTTAAACCAACAAAGATCAAAAGAGACAAAGAAGGCCATTGCATAATGGTAAAGGGATCAATTCAACAAGAAGAGCTAACTATCCTAAATATATATGCACCCAATACAGGAGCACCCAGATTCATAAAGCAAGTCCTGAATGACCTACAAAGAGACTTAGCCTCCAACACAATAATAATGGGAGACTTTAACACCCCACTGTCAACATTAGACATATCAACGAGACAGAAAGTTAACAAAGATACCCAGGAATTGAACTCAGCTCTGCACCAAGTGGACCTAATAGACATCTACAGAACTCTCCACCCCAAATCAACAGAATATACATTTTTTTCAGCACCACACCACACCTATTCCAAAATTGACCACATAGTTGGAAGTAAAGCTCTCTTCAGCAAATGTAAAAGAACAGACATTATAACAAACTGTCTCTCAGACCACAGTGCAATCAAACTAGACCTCAGGGTTAAGAAACTCACTCAAAATGGCTCAACTACATGGAAACTGAACAACCTGCTCCTGAATGACTACTGGGTACATAACGAAATGAAGGCAGAAATAAAGATGTTCTTTGAAACCAACGAGAACAAAGACACAACATACCAGAATATCTGGGACACATTCAAAGCAGTGTGTAGAGGGAAATTTATAGCACTAAATGCCCACAAGACAAAGCAGGAAAGATGCAAAATTGACACCCTAACATCACAATTAAAAGAACTAGAAAAGCAAGAGCAAACACATTCAAAAGCTAGCAGAAGGCAAGAAATAACGAAAATCAGAGCAGAACTGAAGGAAATAGAAACACAAAAAACCCTTCAAAAAATCAATGAATCCAGGAGCTGGTTTTTTGAAAGGATCAAAAAAATTGATAGACCACTAGCAAGACTAATAAAGAAGAAAAGAGAGAAGAATCAAATAGACACATTTTCTTAATTCAGTCTATCATTGTTGGACATTTGGGTTGGTTCCAAGTCTTTGTTATTGCGAATAGTGCTGCAATAAACATACATGTGCATGTGTCTTTATAGCAACATGATTTATAATCCTTTGAGTATATACCCAGTAATGGGATGGCTGGGTCAAATGGTATTTCTAGTTCTAGATCCCTGAGGAATCGCCACACTGACTTCCACAGTGGTTGAACTAGTTTGCAGTCCCACCAACAGTGTAAATGTGTTCCTATTTCTCCACATCCTCTCCAGCACCTGTTGTTTCCTGACTTTTTAATGATTGCCATTCTAACTGGTGTAAGATGGTATTTCATTGTGGTTTTGATTTGCATTTCTCTGATGGCCAGTGATGATGAGCATTTTTTCATGTGTCTTTTGGCTGCATAAATGTCTTCTTTTGAGAAGTGTCTGTTCATATCCTTTGCCCACTTTTTGATGGGATTGTTTGTATTTTTCTTGCAAATTTGTTTCAGTTCATGTGCCACATATACACCATGGAATACTATGCAGCCATAAAAAATGAGTTCATGTCCTTTGTAGGGACATGGATGAAGTTGGAAACCATCATTCTCAGCAAACTATCGCAAGGACAAAAAACCAAACACTGCATGTTCTCACTCATAGGTGGGAATTGAACAATGAGAACACATGGACACAGGAAGGGGAACATCACACGCCAGGGCCTGTTGTGGGGTGGGGGCAGGGGGGAGGGATAGCATTAGGAGATATACCTAATGCTAAATGACAAGTTAATGGGTGCAGCACCCCAACATGGCAGATGTATACATATGTAACACACCTGCATTTTGTGCACACATACCCTAAATCAAAGTATAATAAAAAAAAGGTAGGTATCAAAAACATAACAATTCAAACTCTCTTTTAATTAAAGTTGGTTCTTGTATTGGTAGTAAGTAGGGAGCTTGGCTGGAGAGATGTGTACAAGTGTAGATGGAAGTCCCCGGGTAAAGCTCTTGTTTGGGAAGATTCATTTGATTGTATGACATGTTCCTCCATTCTCTCTCTCTCTGTCTCTGTCTTTTGTTGTTGTTGATGTTGTTGTTGTTGTTGTTGTTGTTCTAAGAATCTAGAATGAAAACCACAAGGCCAGGGTTTGCTACCATGGACCACTCTCTCCTTTGCAGAAAGAGCTGCTTCTGAGTGAAATAGAAGGACAAGGGTGCCAAATTAACTCCTCTCCACAAAGTGACGCCACGTGGAAAAGTACTTGAGAAACTCTGTAAAGACGTGGTAAAAGCTTACCAAAGACAGTAGCATTATCCTTTCCTTACACACAAAGTGGAGGGAAAGCGTGGGTAAGTGGTGTGTCTAAAAGCATTGCTTTAAATTATACATCCATTTGTAAACATTAATTTTTTCTTAACTACATGTCGTTTGTAAATTGGACAAAAAATGCATATTTGTCATGGAAAAATTAGGAAATAAAGATATTAGCATAAAAGAGGAAACAACGAATCTTAATTACCCATAATCCCATGACTTCATGTTTGTGTGAGATTATATAATAATATTGTTTCATGATCTGCCATTTTCACTCAGTGACATACTTTGCACGTGAAATACATTTTACATAAATATTTGTATAATTTGAGTAGTTATTACCTTAAGACTACTGGAAAGAAATCCCTTAGTTCTTCTACTGCACTCATTTCTTCTCTACAGCATTAATTTCTGGGGTAAATCCAGCTCTTTGGCTTGCATGGCCGTGTAGTTCTGAAGTTAGCTACGCAGGACTTAGCCACATTTCCCAGAATAGGATGTATGGTACAGCAGAATTCTTATTGAACTTGAAGTCAGAAGAACTTGCCCCTTCACTTACTATGGGTGACCTTGGACAGTATACTTGATTTCTTTGAATCTCATCAGTGAAATGAGTATGGGAATGTCTACCTTAACTGTGTGATGACAGAATTTGTGAGGATGAACTGAACAACTATATAAAAGTGGGAAATGCTGAAGAGCTCTACAAATGGAAGACATTAATAATATTAACTGAAATAGATTCCATAAATACTATGTGTAAGATCCTACCTTGATTTACCTCATTTATTCATCAAATCCACTGTCTGACAGAAGTATTATCATTAGTTATATTTTATAGTCTAAACAAATCTAGGCAGAAAGGTCAAATAATTTGCATAAGCTCACACAATCAGTGACTTAGATTTGATCCAATCTATTTCATTCTATAGTGTTGGTCCTTTCCCCCGATAGTAGTAAAAACTGTGGGCTCCATTGTTAGCCTGCCTGAGATCAGACGCCATCTCCAACTAGGCAAGTTACCTTTTCTGCCTGTTTCACTCTTCAAAAATTAGAGATACAATAATACCGACCTGATTTCTTTGGGTTTCATAAGTAGGAAATAAAATAATACATAGAAAAGACTTGGAATATTGCCTGACACAAAATAGTTGCCTTAAAACGTTAATTATTATTATTTTCAATGTTGCCAAGAGAACAAACCCTGTGGTGGTGAATTTGCATATGTAAACCTGTTAAACTAATACACAGTCTTTCTTTTCTCATAATATTGTCGCACTTGCACTTTATGTCCTAAGTTTTCTAGTAATCTTGAATGTACATAATGTTTGGTTGTACAAATAAATTTTCCTTTGTGAGGGAATTAGTTGTAATTGAGGGTAGAGTCAAAGTTTGTTCAGCTTAGTGAGCATTTAAAGGGAGCTAATAAACACCATGACTTGTATTTGAAAGTAGAAAATACCGACTTTCAATTGTCATTTCCCCCAAGGAAACCATTAACCAGCACAATTATTTTTAAATATCAACCTGAAATAACACTGTATTTTTATTGCTATTCTTTCTCTCTCCTTCTCTCTCTTTGGGATACAGTTTGGCTTTGAAAAAATATGGTATATATGCAGTGTTTGGTCAAATAATTTAGCACTATGGAAAAGGTTGTGAACCAGTCATAGTATTTGAGGTTGTAAGAAGAAACCTTTGCAAAGGTAGTGGCTGCACAAATGTATTAACTTAGTAATACAAAGTAGGGAGTTCTGAAACTGTGGTGGAAATATTGCCTGCCTTGACTACCTGTTCTTCTTGAGTCCGTTTGCTGATCAGAACTCAGGTAACTTAAAAGTCATACACCCTGGAAAGGAGTAAAGAAAGAGGAAAGATCCTCAGCGGCTATACAAGTGAGAGATATGGCAGAGTTCTAATAAGATTGAGTAAAAGCTTGATACTGTCTTACATGAAAGGAGCAAATAATTGTTCTACCTGGAATGTCCGGGCCCCAATTCACAAATGCATTCTTACCTTTTGAACTGAATAATGATCTCTTTCCCAATAAACTGTTCTAAGACAAAAAATCTGAAAGGAAAATTGTTGCACACACATCATATTCTTATATTCTGTATTTTCTGGGACAGTCTGTTTCAGATTAGATGATGAGTCCTAATTTAGGTTTGCAAAATATTATCAAGGCAAATCTTTATGAAGATTTTATTGAGATATTATTTTATAACAAAAAAATGGGATAACTGTAATGTTCAACAAAAAGATTGGTGGTAGAAGGAAGGAAGATGTTGGAGTGTTCAGTAACCTTACCCCAGAATGCTGCAGTACAAATTCTGTGAGAAGTCATTCTTGTGTAGTAGAGGCATTCATTTTTCTCCTAATATCCCTTCTGAAAATTCCCTTTTACTAGTCAGCTCTTAGCTTCTTGAAAGGAAGGCCCTTTGTCTAGGACAATGTTCATCTCACCACATAAAAATTCACAATTCATGGCACGTTAGTTCAATAAAATATTATGCTTTCTATGAATGATAATTATAAAAACTTGCTATAAATGGGAGCGAGTTTAACATTAAATCACATGAAACAGACATATTAACAAAAATAGATACATTAGAGCAATTGAATTATAAATGCTTTTTTCCTTCAAAAATTTTCCTTCATGTTATTTTCACATTCTTTTAGCAGCAAATGACAATGAACTGCCATTGATTTTATTTTATTTTTTGAACTTAAGTAGTGTATCCACAAGTATACCATTGCCCTGTCCAATCTTTAGGGGAGATATTCTATTATCTAAAACTCAGTAAATTGACCTATCATGTTGTTGGTGATATCTTATTTAGGTAAAAATATTAGGTATTTAGAACAATGCATTTCTGAATATTTTGACTGATATTATTATAGATGGATTTAGAATCTGCCCTTTAGGGGTCCAGAAGGAGGTAATGTTTGGATATCATTAGGCTAGAATATTTTATTGTCCTACAAAAATGTTGATAAATTGCTTATAAGGGCTTATGTATTAGTAATGACCATGTCACCAAAATAATAAACCCAAATATGATAAGAATCACAATCAGAAAATATATTTTTTCTTCTTTTATTTACAACCAACCAAACAAAATAACATAGCTATAATTTTGTCAATCTCAGAACAATAAATTTAAGTAAAATAGAACATAAAGAATTTTTATCACAGATGAATCAGATGGAAACTATCCAGAAAACACCCAAATATGTGTATTCCTCAGTTAATACTCAGTCTAGGTGCCAAAGGGAAACCACACGCTTCCATTTATCTATATGATTTGGCAACTTTAATTTGTAAGGGGTCCAACAGGTGTTTAATTTCATAGGCTGATATAGTCAATATCACTAGGTCCATATTTTTTAGATTTCAATAACTATATAATTCTGATTTCTCTTTGTTAGACTGTACTGATCTGATCATGGAGGAATAATCTAATATGCCTTAGATTATGTTGGAACTCCCCAGAACTTTCCTCAGGGCTGCCTTTATCTCCTTATTCTGGAGGCTATAGATAAGGGGATTGAAGAGTGGGGTCACCATAGCATAGAACAAAGTTTCAATTTTCTGCATCCCTGTAGAATGTCCGAGTCCTGGGCTCACATACATGACCATAAGAGGGCTATAGCACAGTGATACCACAGCCAAATGAGACCCACAGGTAGAGAAGGCCTTATGTCTCCCAGTGCTTGAAGGCATACCCAACACAGCTTTCAGGACAAGAGTATAGGATCCAATAATAAAGAGGAAGTTACCAAAAATAACTAATGAGCTTAGAGTGTAGCAAAACAGTTGGATTCTTGGGGCAGAAACACAATCCAATGCAAATAGTGGCCCTGGGTCACACACAACATGGTCAATAATGTTTGGGCCACAGAAGGGCTTCTGAGAGATGAGAACAATGGGGATCAGGAACCACAGAAATCCACAAACCCAGCACAGTATGACCAGTTTGGCATAGAGATGCCCAGTCATGATATTAGGATAGAGCAAGGGACGGCAGATAGCAAGGTACTGATCAAAGGCCATCACAGTCAAAAGCAAGCATTCTGATGTACCCAAAGAGAAGAAGAAATAAAACTGGAGAAAACATCCAGCAAAGGAGATGTTTTTTTTCTCTGAAAGGAAGTTGACCAACATCTTGGGAACTGTAGAAGAGACATACCATATCTCTAAAAAGGAGAAATTTCCCAGGAACATGTACATGGGAGTGTGAAGTCGCCGGTCACACCACAGGACAAAAGCAATGGCTCCATTCCCTGTTATAGTCAGTGCATATATTGTAGTAAAGAGTGAGAAGAGGAAGATCTGAATTGTCCACTCACAAGAGAAACCTTGGAGTATAAATTCATTTACAAAAGCAAAGCTGGAATTTGGCTCAGAGACATTCATTAGGCCAGTGACATGCAAGGTCAAGGGACACATTATCAGTCAGGACTCTTTTATAAAATGTGTTCCGGCCGGGCGCGGTGGCTCACGCCTGTAATCCCAGCACTTTGGGAGGCCGAGGCGGGTGGATCATGAGGTCAGGAGATCGAGACCATCCTGGCTAACAAGGTGAAACCCCGTCTCTACTAAAAATACAAAAAATTAGCCGGGCGCGGTGGCGGGCGCCTGTAGTCCCAGCTACTCGGGAGGCTGAGGCAGGAGAATGGCGTGAACCCGGGAAGCGGAGCTTGCAGTGAGCCGAGATTGCGCCACTGCAGTCCGCAGTCCGACCTGGGCGACAGAGCGAGACTCCGTCTCAAAAAAAAAAAAAAAAAAAAAAAAAAAAAAAAAAAAAAAAAAAAAAAATGTGTTCCTTTTTTAAGAATGAAGAGAAGATAATGAACATGAAGTCATTTTTCAAAAGAATAATTAGGAAGAGAATGTAGTTTACTTTTTCTCGGCTATACAGTATATGAGTTTTGGGCTTCGTAGGTAGCTGATTGAACAAAAACAAACTTCTGCCATCTTCTAAATCTCTCCTTAATATGCAATCGTGATAGAACTAGGTAAAGTTAAATTCCTTTTGTAAGGTCATTATTTTGAGACAGAAATGATTGAATATAGTTTCTGGATAGCATACAACTCAAAGTTAGTACTTTGAGAAGGCACAAATGTGTTAGTTTCTTACTGCAAACCCAACTTATGGTGCAATAGACTCAGTAAAGAAAGTTTTGACCATTTACATTTCAGCTAAACATATTACTTAACATTATTTACATATGCAAAAGAAATGCACATATTTTAAAATAAATTGGTAGCAATCACGTTAAAGCCATTATCTCTGAATTTCTATTGCTGCTGTTGTTAGCTTAAGTGATTATCTAATGTTACTCACCAATATTGATTTTTAATATTAATATTGTAAAGCTGCAATGTTTTCTGTAGAAAGCAAAGGCTTTAAGCTTCTGATTAATCTTTTACTTTAATTTCATAAACTGATATAGTGATTATTATATTGATAAAATCAATATAATATTGATTTAGTCATTATGTACAAAAGTTTGCAAAGATCTAGACATTAAACTTTACTTTTGAAGGTATTTCATAAAATTTTGAGATTGATTTTCCTTATATGCTTTTTTTAAAATTGAAAATTTTTACCAGATGACAGAAATCAAACACTTATTTTGTTATAGGTAAACTTCCTTCTTCCTACATTCTTATAAAAATATATTAGGGATTTGAGTTACCTGGAAAAAACTTTTCTTTTCCTCAGAAATATGGAGGGATGTGAGTCCTAGATATCAAGAGGACATTTTGAGCAGAAACACAAATTTTCAAAAGTTTTTCTTCCAACTTGCTCTCTACACCAGTGCTCTGGGAAGTCTTTTCGTATGACTAGTTAGAAGTTATGTTTGTGCTTCTTTTAGTAATATATGTCTCTTTAATAGGCTTCCAACCAGAATCATTAATAAACCAACATTAAGAAATTATGGAATGAAAAGGGATTGACACAGGAGTGTCATGATTCTCAGCAGTGCTCAAAAGGTGAAGCCATCATCGTTTTGACAGGAACCAAATCTCTAAATGATTTATTTTATAAATCATATTATGTCTTCAGCTAGACAGAGTTTTATTGTGGCCCCAAAATTAAAAATGCACTTTATGAAACTCACATTCTCCTGGGATGTAGCCTCTATAGCATTAGGAAAGTTATCTTCCAAGATGAATCTTTAAAAAGTTAATGATTACATATTCTCTGAAGAATCAGTAAAGAGTAATGACAACTATTCTAAGGCATCATTATTTACAAAGAGCTTGCCCACCAGACGGATTCCAGAAAATCTTCTGGAAGACACAGTCTGAGGAGAAATAAGATACAAAATGTTACCAAAAGTTTTGACATAATGTTTAGGAACATTTCAAGTGTTACTGTGCATATATTGGAGGATATACAGCCCAGTGAGGAAAATACTGAGGTTCCAACATTGTCACACATTGAACAAAAACTTACAGAATTTAGAAATAACTTTTAGAAGGATGGCACTTTTTTGCCAGAATCCTTTAGATATGAGAAGAAAGTATAAGAAGTAGCAACATTTAAGTTAATTAACAGAAATACTTCAGAGGAACATGTGATTTCCCAATTAATAGAGAGAAGTATTTACTTGTATTTATTAGTGTCTCTTCTATTTTTACTTTATGACATTTAGGGGCCAACATAGTGTAACTAAACACTCATGTGTGAGTGAATGCTCATACCAAGTGCTGTGAAGTAGTTGAGGACATCAGGGATGTATGCCCTAGGACCACAGACATCTGTCTAAAAGCAAACTTCCACTTTGAGAGACTACAGAGGAAAATGTTTATTCAGACCTTTATTATCACTTAGTCATAATACTTAGAAACTTCTAAAACATAGCTTTGATATTCTCATCTGCTCAAAAGCTGTCAATGATTTCAAGTTCCCAAGTTCTCCACAAATTGACTTCAAATGACTTTCTTGGTGTTATTTTTCCCTACTCTCTTTTGCAGATAAATTAGACAGTAGACAGCATTTCATTCTCTGAATAGCTTCAGTTTCTTATGTTCTCTTCTTTGTGATCATTTTCTGTATTTGGAATTCTATTTATCTCCATCTACATCTGTACAAACCCTCCTTCAAGGTCCAGTTCAAAAGACATTTTTTTTTTCCCAAAATGTTTTCCTCTCTTCCCCTAACCAAAGCACATTTTCCATTGTTGCTTTTTTTTTTTTTTTTTTTTTTTTTTTTTTGAGACAGAATCTCGCTCTGTCCCCAGGCTGAATGCAGTGTCATGATCTCAGCTCACTGCAACCTCTGCCTCCCAGGTTCAAACAATTCTTCTGCTTCAGCCTCCTGAGTAGCTGGGAATGCAGGCATGCGCCACCACACCCAGCTAATTTTTGTATTTTTAGTACAAACGGGGTTTCACCGTGTTGACCAGGATGGTCTCTATCTCTTGACCTTGTCATCCACCTGCCTTGGCCTCCTGAAGTGCTGGGATTACAGGCGTGAGCCACTGCACCCAGCCCCATCCTTGCATTTTTATTTTACCATCTTTGTGTCTTTGTCATGATACTAATCACAAGCTGCCTTATATCAGTATTCATCCATGATATTGGCTTGAAGTTTTTTTTGTTGTTGTTGTGTCTCTACCAGGTTTTGGTATCAGGATGATGCTGGCCTCATAGAATGAGTTGGACAGGGGTCCCTCCTCCTCAGTTTTTTTGGAATCATTTCAGCAAAAATGGTACTGGCTCTTCTTTGCATATCTGGTAGAATTTGGCTGTGAATCCATCTAGTCTTGAGCTTTTTAAAATATATATATTTTTTGGTTGGTAGGCTATTTATTACAGATGCAATTTTGGAGCACGTTATTGGTGTGTCCAGGAAGTTCCCCATCTCTTACAGGTTTTCAAGTTTGTGTGCATAGAGGTGTTTGTAGTAGTTTCTGATGGTTATTTTTTATTTCTGTGGGGTCAGTGGTAATATGGTCTTTTTCATTTCTAACTGTGATGTTTCTTTCAAAAGATTAGAATAACTAGTAAAAATTATACTTATTCTGAATATGGCTTCTAGGTGTTATTAAATGTTTACACCTTTAATTTACTCTGGTCAACAGTATAAGTTACCTTTGGGGCTTTTTTCTTAAATAATCTTGTCACTAAATCACTATACTTAATAAACAGCCTAGTTAAATGAACATGCATTTGAACATTAGACTCTAGAGAGACAAGATTAATTAACCTTTGACACAAGAAGCTCACAGTGCAACAGGCCACTGTGATAGGACAAAAGTCCTAGGAAGTCTATGTCGGCAAAATCCCACCTAAGGGCTAAACTTTAAGCTCTATTCACGTTTAGCTAATTAAGTAAATATACCACCATCCCATGCTGATAGTGATGGGCAGTCAAGGGGGAGGTTGACTTCTACAGGGAGGTGGGAGGAGGATGTGTTTCTGCACTTTGCTTCTTCAATCAGGCACTCTGTGACTTCTTCATTTCCTTCCTCTCCTCTTTAAGCCCTGGCACGTTGGCTCAGAAGCACAAGAGGGCAGGATAATCCTCATTGTCTCATTCACACTGACTGAAGCCCTGGGCTTTGAAATACACACTCACTCCTCCCAAGCTCTACTCACTAATGCTGGGAGCAATTTAGAGCAAATGTTATCCAAAGTGACATTACCTAGATCACTAGGTTCTTTCTTTCACCCACCTCCAATCCTGCTGTTCTTTCAGTTCTAAGTCAAGGATACTACAAGTTTACACTTTGCAGGAGCCCCTGGAATATTTGAGGTTTCATACTGCACATCAAAACTATTTCTCACTGACACAATCATCTATTAAAAATTTTGTTGAATTTCTGCCATTTTAATGGCTATCTATCTGCCTTCGTATGAACTTCTTGGTATTATAGTAGTCAGTGTGCTTCCAAATTAATCCCAATTCGTTTACTTTTATTTTAAGATGAAATGTAGGCCAAGCATGGTGGCTCACACCTGTAATCCCAGCACTTTGGGAGGCTGAGGCGGGCGGATCATGAGGTCAGGAGTTCGAGACCAGCCTGGCCAACATAGGGAAACCTGGTCTCTACTAAAAATACAAAACAAACTAGCCAGGCATGGTGGCGGGTGCCTGTAATCCCAGCTACTTGGGATGCTGAGGCAAGGAGAATCATTTGAACCTGGGAGGCGGAAGTTGCAGTGAGCCGAAGTCGCACCACTGCACTCCAGCCTGGGTGACAGTGCGAGACTCCGTCTAAAAAAAAAAAAAAAAAAAAAAAAAAAAGATGTAATGTAGCTTAGAAACCATTCTTCCATAAAACCAAAACCATATCTCTTTAAGAGGATGTTGGAAAATCAGCCTTTCTCATAAAGTGGTTTCCCCCACAAATTTAAACACATTACTCCATTATAAGTTTAGAGACTATTTTAAAAAACTATTATGCTTCAGCTTTTCCTGCACCTTTCTCTTTCTTGTCTCTTACTTCCTTCTCTGTGATCTGGTCCAACAATTATTGCCATGGCAACAAAGGCTCTGTGACATCTCTAGTAAGCTCATTGTCTTCTGCCGTATTAAACTTTAATGGGTAGCTGGTAGACAATTAACACTCTGGGAGGGCTCAAACCACATAACCAAATGTGCCAAGATAATCCTGAGCTCACTCATTGTCAGGTAAGACAAAGTATTTTAGCGCAATAGCAAACAATTAATTAAACAAACAAAAACAGGAAGCCTTTCTTGGGCCAGGAAGCCATTAATTAGCTAAGCTCAGAGCCACTCATTGAAACTAGGTCCTGACTGGGTTTCTGGATTTGACCACTGGGCAGAAACTAGGACCCGAAACCAATTAGAATGAAATGGTCCCCAGATATTGTTTTCATGTAAGGATAGGTTTGGAAGTATCCAGACTTAGTGGTGGGCCAGGCCTCCCCTGTGAGCAGTACAGTTCAGGACACCTGGACTGCCCTTTCCCTCTGCCTTCCCTAGGGTAATGTGAATGGCTTAGTCTTTCGTGTTCCCATCTGTAACATGGAGGAGGAAGAGAAGAGCCTCATTGCACATATTGGGTCATTAAGATTGATCTTAGAACCATAATTTACAATATTTTGAAGTTAGGTTTGATTTTTACCATTCCACTACTCCTCTCTCCCAATATGTTGTGCCAAATTGTAAGTAATTTGCAATTAAAACACATTGAAGACATATATTTGAGCTGTTAGAGAGTCTCACCTACCTTTGAGGTAACTTTTTGTACTTTAGGTTTTCTCAATTCAGAGTTTTGAGTCCTTAAATCAGTGTTGGGTACTGATAAAATTTTGACACATAAAGTTAATTGCCTAAGCTTAGTAAATGGGGGACAGGCTTGCTTATCAACAGTCTTTGCGGTGTTTTATGCTGAAAAAGCCTTGAGGCTCAGACTCAGCCCACAGCTCTCTGCATTCCCTCCACCTCCCTTCTATGTCTTTCATGTGTATCCTTTACAGCAATTTTTTTTTGTGTGAGTTCTTTTCCTTTTTGAGATCTCTCTTAAGGTTAATGGTGTACAGTAGATATCCAGAACTTATTCATCCTTTTTTTTTTTTCTTTTTTTTTTTATTTTATTTTTTTATTATACTCTAAGTTTTAGGGTACATGTGCACATTGTGCAGGTTAGTTACATATGTATACATGTGCCATGCTGGTGCGCTGCACCCACTAACTCGTCATCTAGCATTAGGTATATCTCCCAATGCTATCCCTCCCCCCTCCCCCGACCCCACCACAGTCCCCAGAGTGTGATATTCCCCTTCCTGTGTCCATGTGATCTCATTGTTCAATTCCCACCTATGAGTGAGAATATGCGGTGTTTGGTTTTTTGTTCTTGCGATAGTTTACTGAGAATGATGGTTTCCAATTTCATCCATGTCCCTACAAAGGATATGAACTCATCATTTTTTATGGCTGCATAGTATTCCATGGTGTATATGTGCCACATTTTCTTAATCCAGTCTATCGTTGTTGGACATTTGGGTTGGTTCCAAGACTTTGCTATTGTGAATAGTGCCGCAATAAACATACGTGTGCATGTGTCTTTATAGCAGCATGATTTATACTCATTTGGGTATATACCCAGTAATGGGATGGCTGGGTCAAATGGTATTTCTAGTTCTAGATCCCTGAGGAATCGCCACACTGACTTCCACAATGGTTGAACTAGTTTACAGTCCCACCAACAGTGTAAAAGTGTTCCTATTTCTCCGCATCCTCTCCAGCACCTGTTGTTTCCTGACTTTTTAATGATTGCCATTCTAACTGGTGTGAGATGATATCTCATAGTGGTTTTGATTTGCATTTCTCTGATGGCCAGTGATGATGAGCATTTCTTCATGTGTTTTTTGGCTGCATAAATGTCTTCTTTTGAGAAGTGTCTGTTCATGTCCTTCGCCCACTTTTTGATGGGGTTGTTTGTTTTTTTCTTGTAAATTTGTTTGAGTTCATTGTAGATTCTGGATATTAGCCCTTTGTCAGATGAGTAGGTTGCGAAAATTTTCTCCCATGTTGTAGGTTGCCTGTTCACTCTGATGGTAGTTTCTTTTGCTGTGCAGAAGCTCTTGAGTTTAATTAGATCCCATTTGTCAATTTTGTCTTTTGTTGCCATTGCTTTTGGTGTTTTGGACATGAAGTCCTTGCCCACGCCTATGTCCTCAATGGTAATGCCTAGGTTTTCTTCTAGGGTTTTTATGGTTTTAGGTTTAACATTTAAATCTTTAATCCATCTTGAATTGATTTTTGTATAAGGTGTAAGGAAGGGATCCAGTTTCAGCTTTCTACATATGGCTAGCCAGTTTTCCCAGCACCATTTATTAAATAGGGAATCCTTTCCCCATTGCTTGTTTTTCTCAGGTTTGTCAAAGATCAGATAGTTGTAGATATGCGGCATTATTTCTGAGGGCTCTGTTCTGTTCCATTGATCTATATCTCTGTTTTGGTACCAGTACCATGCTGTTTTGGTATAGTTTGAAGTCAGGTAGTGTGATGCCTCCAGCTTTGTTCTTTTGGCTTAGGATTGACTTGGCAATGCGGACTCTTTTTTGGTTCCATATGAACTTTAAAGTAGTTTTTTCCAATTCTGTGAAGAAAGTCATTGGTAGCTTGATGGGGATGGCATTGAATCTGTAAATTACCTTGGGCAGTATGGCCATTTTCACGATATTGATTCTTCCTACCCATGAGCATGGAATGTTCTTCCATTTGTTTGTGTCCTCTTTTATTTCCTTGAGCAGTGGTTTGTAGTTCCAGCAGCACATCAAAAAGCTTATCCAACATGATCAAGTGGGCTTCATCCCTGGGATGCAAGGCTGGTTCAATATACGCAAATCAATAAATGTAATCCAGCATATAAACAGAGCCAAAGACAAAAACCACATGATTATCTCAATAGATGCAGAAAAAGCCTTTGACAAAATTCAACAACCCTTCATGCTAAAAACTCTCAATAAATTAGGTATTGATGGGACGTATTTCAAAATAATAAGAGCTATCTATGACAAACCCACAGCCAATATCATACTGAATGGGCAAAAACTGGAAGCATTCCCTTTGAAAACTGGCACAAGACAGGGATGCCCTCTCTCACCGCTCCTATTCAACATAGTGTTGGAAGTTCTGGCCAGGGCAATCAGGCAGGAGAAGGAAATAAAGGGTATTCAATTAGGAAAAGAGGAAGTGAAATTGTCCCTGTTTGCAGGCGACATGATTGTTTATCTAGAAAACCCCATTGTCTCAGCCCAAAATCTCCTTAAGCTGATAAGCAACTTCAGCAAAGTCTCAGGATACAAAATCAATGTACAAAAATCACAAGCATTCTTATACACCAAGAACAGACAAACAGAGAGCCAAATCATGAGTGAACTCCCATTCACAATTGCTTCAAAGAGAATAAAATACCTAGGAATCCAACTTACAAGGGATGTGAAGGACCTCTTCAAGGAGAACTATTCATCCTTTTTAGCTGAAACATTGTACCCTTTGACAAACGTCTCCCCATATCCCCTGGGCGCAATTTTCAATAGGTAGTTAGGGAAAGCCTCAATGAAAAGGTTGGGATTTTGGGATGCTGATAATATTCAGTTTCTTGAACTAGGTACCTTTACACAGGAGTATCAGTTGATAACAATTCATTGAGAAATATACTTATGAGCAGAGATATATTTGACTGTTTGGTGAGACATTCTGGAGTTTAAGCTGTCACTTAAACCAGTTACAATTTTCCATAGGGAGCTACTCTGTCACTTGGGTCTTTTCCCAATTAAGCAAGGCTACTTTCCATGGAATCATTATCCAGTATATGAGATTAACTTGGCACTTGTTCAATATGTGCTTGCTTTATAATAGGTGATTGAATATTTTTTATTTTATATTTTAAAAACTGTATGTATTTGTGGCATACAAGATGATTTTTTGATATGTATACATGGTGAAACGATTAATTCAAACTAACATATTTATCACTTCCACATACTTTCATTTTATTGTATGAGAACATTTAAAATCTCTTCTAAAAACTTCAAGTATACTTTTGGCCCTATGTTTCCATGAGTTCCACATTCAGGCATCCAACCAACTGGATAGAAACTATTAGGACAAAAAACCCACAAAAAATACAATAAAAGCAGTAAAAATAAAAAAATACGTTATAACAACTATTTATAAAACATTTATATTTTATTAGTATTATAAGTAATCTATAGATGATTTAAAGTGTATGGAAGAATATGCATAGGTTACATGCAAATATAAAATTACATCATTTTATATAAGGGACTTGAACATCCCAGGATTTCGGTGTCCTTGGGGAGTCCTGGAACAAATCGCCCCCCAGATATTGCAGATATTTAGGGACAATGGTATAACACATGACTATTAACTACAGTCACTATGCTGTACAGTAGATCTCCAAAACTTATTCATCCTGTTTAGCTGAAACATTGTACCTTTTGACCGATATCTCTCAATTCCCCTGGGTGGAATTTTCAATAGCTAGTCAGGAAAGGCCTCACTGAAAAGGTGATATTTGGTCAAAGATTTGAAGGGAGTGTGGGGGAAAGAAACATAAATATCTGGGAAAAGAGCATTCCAGGCAGAGGAGATGGCATGTATACGGGCCACAAGGCAGGAGCATGACTACCATACTTGAGAGACCGTAAGGAATCTTCATCTTTTCCTCATGTCTTTCTCACCTCCAATATATTTAAATATGGCTTCCCCCCACCACACCCTTAAAATGGCCATTGCATAAATCACCAATAACATTTGTTTTAGTCCATTTTACATTGCTATAAAGGAATACCTGAGACTGAGTAATTTATAAAGAAAAGAGGTTTATTTGGCTCATGGTCCTGCAGTCAGTACAAGCGTGGCATCAGCATCTTCTTAGCTTCTGAAGCCTAAGGAAGCTTTTACTCATTGAAGAAAGCAAAGGGGGAGCAGGTGTGTCACATGGCAAGAGAGGGAGCAAGGTGGGGAGGGGGTTGTCCCACACTCTTTTTAACCAACAGATCTGATGGTAACTCTACTACGGGTAAAATGCAAACCCATTCCTGAGGGTTGGGTTGGATACCATCACCATCCCATGAGGGATTCACCTCCATAACACAGACACCTCCCACCAGGCACCCCCTCTGACACTGGGGATCACAATTCAGCCTGAGATTTGGAGGGTACATTGAGTATAATGTGAGCTGTAGGCTTGTAATACATGGTCTTTATTGTGTTGAAGTATATTTCTTCTAAACCAACTCTGTTGAGAATCTTTTCATGAAACAATGTTGAATTGTTCAAATGCCATTTCTGCATCTAATTAGATGATTATATAATTTTGGGGCTTCATTTTGTTAATGTTGTATATCACATTTATAGATTTATGTATGTTGATCCACCTTGTATCCTTGGGGTAAATCCACTTGAGCATGGTAAGTTATCTTTTTAATATGCTGTTGAATTCAGTGTGCTAGTATTTGATTGAGGATTCTTGCATCTATGTTCATCAGGGATATTGGCCTGTAATTTTTCTTTTCTTTTCTTTTCTTTTTCTTGTTCTTGGCTGGCTTTGGTATCAGAGTAATGTTGGCCATGTAAAAAAAGTTTGGAAGTGAAGTATTCCTTCCTCTTAGATTTTTTTTGGAAGAGTTTGAGGATTGCTAATTATTTAAATGTTTGGTAGAATACAACAGTAAAGCTATTCTGGGCTTCTCTTTGATGGGAGACTTTATTACAATTCAATCTTATTCATTTTTGGTCTGTTCGTACTTACTTTTTCTTCATGATTCAGTCTTGGTATCTTGCATGTATCTTGGAATTTATTTATTTCTTCTACTTTATTCAATTTGTTACTGTACAATTTTTCATAGTACTCTCTTATGAGCTCTTTTTTCTTATGAGCTTTTATATTTCTGTGGTATCAGTTGTAATGTCTCCCTTTTCACTTTTGATTGTATTAATATTTGAGTCCTTTCTCCTTTTTCCTTGGTCTGGCTAAAGGCTTGTTGATTTGTTTATCCTTCTGAACTCTTTATTACATTGGGTTCTTTTCTGTTGTAGTTTTAGTCTCTATTCTGTTTATTTCTATTCAGATCCTTGTTATTTCTTTCCTTCTGCTGACTTTGGGTTTAGTTTGTTCTTTTTTTATTAGTTACTAGAGTTGTAATATCAGGTTGTTTATCTTTTCCTTTTTAAATTTTTATGGGTACACACTGACTGTATATGTTTATGGGGTACATGAGATATTTTTCTACGGGCATACGACGTATAATAATTACATCACGGTAAATGGGGTATCCATCACTTCAAACATTTACACTTTGTTTGTGTTACAAACAATGCAATTATGCTCTTTTAGTTATTTTTAAATGTACTATAAATTATGTTTGGCTATAGTCACCTTGTTGTTCTATCAAACACTAGATCTTACTTATTCTATCTAACTGTATTTTTATGCCGATTATTAATTCTTCCCCTTAACGTTACTATTCTTCCATCTCTGGTAACCATTACTCTATTCTCTATCTCCATAAATCCAGTTATTTTAAGTTTTAGCTCCCACAAATAAGTGAGAACATGGAAAATTTGTCTTTCTGTCCCTGGCTTATTTTATTTAACATAATAACCTCCGGTTCTATCCATGTTGTTGCAGATAACAGGATCTCATTCTTTTTCATAGCTGTATATTACTCTATTGTGTATATTAACCACATTTTCTTTATTTATTCATCTGTTCATGGACACACAGTTGCTTCCAAATCATGGCTATTGTGAATAGTGCTGCAATATGCATGGGAGTGCAGGTATCTCTCAGATATCCTGATTTCCTTTCTTTCGTGTATATACCTAACAATGGCATTGCTGGGTCATATGGTAGCTCTATTTTTGTTTTTTTTGAGAAACCTCCAAACTGTTCTCCATAGTGATTGTACTAATTTACATTCCCACCAATAGTGGGTTCCCTTTTCTCCACATCCTAGCGAGTATTTCTTACTGCCTGTCTTTTAGATATAAGCCATCTTAACTAGGGTTAGATGATTCATCTTGTAGTTTTGGTTTGCATTTCTCTGATGAGCAATGATGCTGAGCACTTTTTCACATGCCTGTTTGCCATTTATATGTCTTCTTTTGAGCAAGATCTTTTGCCCATTTTTAAATTGGATGATCAGATTTTTCCTATAGAGTTGTTTGAGCTCCTTATATATTCTGGTTGTTAATCCCTTGTCAGATGGATAGTTTACAAATATTTTCTCCTATTTTATGATTGTCTTTTCAACATCAAGTGAAATGATCCTATGGTTTTTGCTTTTAACTTTATGTGATGAATCATATTTATTGATTTGCATATGTTGAATCATCCTAGCATTTCTAGAATAAAACTCAATCGATCATGGTGAATTAAATTTTTAATGTGCTGTTGGATTTAGTTTGTTAGTATTTTGTCGAGGATTTTTGTCTCAGTGTTCATCAGGGATATTGGTCTGTAGTTTACTTTTGTTGATATGTCTCTTTCTGGTTTTGTATCAGAGTAATGCTGGTCTAATAGAATGAATTGGGAGGTATTCTGTGTTCCTATATTTTTTGGAATAGTTTGAGTAGTGTTGGTATTAATTCCTCTATAATATTTGGTAAAATTCAACAGAGAAGCCACCATGTCCTGGGATTTTCTTTGCTGGGAGACTTTTTATTAGGGCTTTGATCTCATTACTTGTTATTGGTTTCTTCAGGTTTTGGATTTCTTCATGGCTCAGACTTGGTAGGTTGTATGTATATAAGAATTTATCTATTTTCTCTGGATTTTCCGGTTTATTGGCATATGGTTGCAAGTGATCCTTTTAATTTCTGCAGTATTGGTTTTATGTCTTAATTTTATTTATTTGGGTCTTTTCCCTTTTTCTCTTAGGTAGTTTTGTTGATTTTATCTTTTCAAAAAACAAACTTTTCACTTTGTTGATCTTCTGTATTGTATGTTTTGTTTCCATTTCATTTATTACTACTCTGATCTTTATTATTTATTTTCTTCTAATAATTTGGGTTTGTTTGCTTTTGCTTTTTTAGTTTTTAAAGATACATCACTAGATTATTTGGAATTTTTCTACATTTTTGGTGTAGGCACTTGTAGCTATAAACTTTCACTTGCCAGGTTTTGGTATCAAAGAGATGCTGGCTTCAAAGAACGGGTTAGGGAGGAGTCCATTCTCCCCATTTTTGGGAATAGTTTCAGTAGAATTGGTACTAGCTCTTCTTTCTATGTCTGGTAGAATCTGGCTGTGAAGCCATCTGGTCTAGGACTTTTTTGGTTGGTAGATTTTTATTGCTCCTTCTATTTTGGACCTTAATATTGGTCTTTTAGGGTTTTAATTTCTCCCAGATTCAATCTTGGGAGGTTGTTTCCAGAAATTTATCCATTTCATCTAGATTTAGTAGTTTGTGTTCACAGAGGTGTTCCTAATAGTCCCTTGGAGGATATTCTGTATTTCTCGGATCATTTGTAATGTCACCTTTGTCATTTCTTAATGTGATTGCTTGAATCTTCTCTCTCTCTCTCTCTTTCGCTCTCACTCTCGTTCTCTCTCTGTTACTGTAGCTGGCAACCCCTCAATCTTGTTTATCCTTTTAAGGAATCAACTTTTGATTTCATTGATTCTTGGTATTAATTTTCTGGTCTGTTTCATTCAGGTCTGCTCTGCTTTTAGTTATTTTTTTCTGCTAGCTTTGTTTTAGTTTTTCTAGCTATTCTGTTGGATGCTAGATCATTAATTTGAGATATATCTAACTTTTTGAGGTAATTGTTTAGTGCTATAAACTTTTCTCATAACACTGCTTTTGCTGCATCCCAGAGATCTTGGCATATTGTGTCTCTGTTTTCAGTCATTTCAAAGACTTTTTTGATTTCTGCCTTAATTTCATTGTTCACCCAGAAGTCATTCCGTAGCAAGTCACTTAATTTCCATGTACTTGTGTAGTGTTGGGTGATGTTTTTATGTTGGGTGATGTCTTTATTTTTATATGATATACTATTCTAAGCTGACAACAACAACTGTACACTTTATTTGCCAACAACAACTGTACAACTTTATTTCTCCTCTCCCACATTTTATGTTTTTGATGTCAAAATTTACATCACTTTCTAATGTGTATCCATTGACTATTTTTGCTCTATGTGTTTTAATAGATTTGTCTTTTAACCATTGTACTATAGGAAAAAAATTGCTTTACACATCATCATTACAGTCTTAGAATATTCTGGATATGAATTTGTATTTCTTATACCATTGCATTTGTGTTCTCATATGTTTTATGTTTTTAATTAGCAGCCTTTTAATTCAGCTCAAATAACTTCCTTTAGTAATTCTCTTAAGACATATTTAGTGGTGATGAACTCCCATAGCTTTTGTTTGTCTGGAAAAGTTTTTGTTTTTCTCTCATTTGCCAAGGACAACTTTGCTGGGTTAAGTAGACTTTTTGGCCTTGTTTTTTCCCTTCAGCACTTTAAACACATTATCCTACTCTCTCCTGGTCTCCTGAGTTTTTGCTGAGAAATCCAGTGACAGCTATTTTGGTATTCCCTTCTATGTGATATGCTTCTCATGATTTGCTGTTTTCAAAATGTTTTCTTTTTCTTTAATTTTTGGTATTTTGATTACTATACATCTTGGATAACTCCTATTTGGCTTAAACTTGTTTGGATAACTCTGCATTTGCTGTGTTTAGATGTTAGCAACTTTCTCCAGATTTGGTAATTTTTTAGAATTTCTTCTTCAGATATGCTTTCTGGTCTCTTTTCTATTTATTTTCTTTCCAAAAACTGCTATTAGATGAATATTAGGTCTTAATAGTTTCCCTTCATATCCAGAGTCTGTCTTTATTCTTTTTCATTCTTTTTATTTTTTCTCTTTTGACTGAATTATTTTAAATGTTTTGTCTCTAGCTTACTGTTTGTTTCCCTTCTGCTTGACTGAGCCTGTTGTTAGAGCTTTCTATTGCATTTTCCTTTCCATCATTTTATTCTTTAAGCTTACTATATTTTTATTATTTCTATTTCTTTGTCAAACATCTTATATTGTTTGTGTATTATTTTCCAAAATTTATTTAATTATCTATCCTTATATTCTTGTAGTTCACTAAATTTTTAAAGAGGACTTTTCAGAATTCTTTGTCAGTCATTTTGCAAATCTCCATTTCTTTAGAGTCCATTGTTAGAGTTTCATTAGTTTATTTTGGAGGTGTCATCATTCCCCAATTCTTCACAATCCTTGTGTTCTTGCACTGGTGTCTGTTCATTTGAGGAGGCAGCTACCTCTTTTTATAGGTATTAGTTGGCAGGGATAGACTTTCATTATTTAGTCTAGCCTTTGATTCTAGATTGGCCAGCTGATACCAACCCTAGGAAAGCAGATCTTTCTTTCTGCTTTCAGGTTCTCCAGATGGCTCAGCTTTTGTCTTTGCTCTGAGTTCAGCTGGGACTACTGGCTGGGTTCTGATTTTTGGTAAAACCACTAAATGAGCTCTGCACTCAGACAAAATTGCTTGCTTGGATGGTGATTGCCTCTGACTGGGCCAGGCCACAGGATGTATTTCCTGGCTAGATGGTACCACTATTTGAGTTCTGCAGTTGTATGGGGTTGCAGGCTTACTCACAAAGTTAAGTGGGGACACTGCTCAGGATGGAGAGAACAGCTAATATACTTGGTGGGAATGCACATTTGATGTTTGCCTTCTGCCTGGGTGGGACCTTGGGGTGGGCTTTGAGATTGAGCCAAATCACTGTTTGGATTCCTTGTTGGGGTATATATAGCCCTTTCACTTTGCCAAAATGCACCGCAGCAGGTATCTCCCTCTCCCAGTGGGCTTTGGGGATGATTTTGAGGCTGAGTTCAGCCACTGTTCAAGTCCCCAGGTAAGGCAGTTCTAGACCCTACACTGTGCTAAAAATGGGCTGTGGTATGCATTTCCCTGCCTGGCTGGGTCCCCGTTGTGGGTTTTGAGACTAAGCCAAACCACTGTTTGGGCTTCTGAGTGGGGCAGGTCTAGCCCTTGTATTTTACCAAAATGTGCTGTGGTCATCTCCCCCTCTGGGCAGGGCTTTGTGGTGGGATCTGGGGCTGGCATGGAGGCTGATTGTCTAGGGATTCAAGCCAGGTAGAACTTCCTATTTCCAGGGGCAACCAGCTTGACTTTGTTGGTTTGTTATACTTTTGGCTAATACCCCTAATCACATACCACTGCTGGCAGTTACATAGAGCTACCACCAAGATCTGCATGTTTGTCACTATGAGCTCTGCCTTCCTCCTCTGTTTCTACCTGATCACAGGTAGTCTAGCCATGATATTACCCCTATGCTCCTTGCAAGGTGAGACCAGAGTAGGCTTCCTGGGAAGTATCTTGGAATGCAGGGAACGTGAATGTCCACCTCTAGTTCTCTTTTCCTACTGTAGAAACTGTGGGCCTAGAAAAATTCTAAGTGGTGTTGTGCTGACTTGAGAGAAAGGGAGAGGTGATGTGGTCAGAGTGAGACTATTCTTTTTACCCTTTTCATGTGGCATTTTGTTTGGTTCTTTAGTTTACACAGGTTTCTCGGGCTTAATCCTGAGTTTTGAAGTGTTCACATAGGAGTTTTTGTCTGTGTACAGTTGTTAATTGAACATTCTATGAAGGGTAGGGAAAACTGGGACCTCCTATTCTTCAATCCTCCTGATGTCACAGAGAGCCTGCATTTTGAAAAGATCCATAGGTGATGGTGATTGATATGGACATTAAAGTTGAGAACTACTAGGTTAAACATCTATTTCATGTGAAATATGAAAAATAAGCTAGATTTTGAGTTGCAGTTATAGGGTAATACACATTTTTCAACTTTTTTGTCTTTACTCTTGTCCATAAGAGGCTGCAACTGATCCAAAAACAACTTATTCCCAGGTTATAGCAAAGGTTTTCAAACTCAAACAATGTAGAATTACAAAATGTAGAGTTCACATCTTCTCTGGTTAAGATAATGTTGACTAATGAAAATAATGGTAGATTGGAAAATCTATTTGAGTTACTATACTTTCTTGTACCTAAGATAAAATACCCATATGATGATTATTGTTAATCCTCTACAGAAACATGATGAAAAGAAGTTTTAGTCAAGCAGAGGAGATAGAAAGCAAGATCACAGGGGGTTGGGGAGTGAATATGAAATGAAGAAGTAGGGGTTGACTATACTCTTTCATGTCACTTGGCACCCTCCAAAGTAAAAGGAATTTGATGTAATCAATTTGCCACCCATTGCTGGCTGGTTTTCTCAAAGATTGGTGCCATATTGAGGGCTTAGCATTGGTTTCTCATCGAGGCTGCATCTTCAGTGGCTCAGTGATTTGTCACCAACCTTGGTAAGATAATGCCTGTATTTTTTGGCTTGTGGATATTTTCCATTTATACAACTTTCTTTGTATTCCCTTTTATAAGCTCTGAGGTGAATGAAATCAGAGCTGACTGACATTTTTAGATGACTTATTCTTTTCACCTAGGTATTGAGTGCCTCCACTCTGGAGGATACTCTCTAATGGGCACAGAGTTGAGAAACAAAGATCTGCATACTTTGTGCTTATTCTCATAGGCCCATACATAGGCCTCCACCTCAAATTTCATTAAATCTGATTTTTCTGTATTTTGGGGGGGCTTTGCTTAGTGAAGTTTTTTTACAACAATCATTATTCTACACATATCCTTATCTTGCATAGCAAGCTATTTTTCCCAACATTCAAAGTGGACAACTAAGTATATTGCTACCAAATCATTGGTTTATGAGGATTTCCTCCACCACTACATTCTATGGCTACCCTGGAGAGGCGTTAAGCTGCAGCATTAGTCAGTTTTTATCTTGTCTAAGTGTAGATTCAGACAATCCATTTGTGAGCCAAGCCTGAGGCTGTTTCTTCCTTTATTAGCTGGTTGTGTGAAATACCATGAAGCCATAGGTATGAACTGAGGAAGAGATATTGTCACAATGAAGGCATGTTTGTATCTTACGGAAATGCTTTTTACTGTATCAAATAGTTTTCAATTCTTTCTATCAAGTGCCAGCAAGCTCAATATGAGATAGAATTTAATATTGGTAAGATAAGATTGGTTAATGATCAACTTGAAGATAATTACAAATATGGGCACTGTGCACATTTATAACAGTTGAGATTATATTTTATTAAGAATTTCTATCATTTTTTCTCATATAATTAAGAAATATAAACAAAACTGGCATGGACAGGTGAAACTCAGTGCTAAATTTATCAGCACTTTAAAGAGAGCCCACCGTTGAAGTCAGTTTGAACGAAGTTCTAAATTGTTTGTATTTTCTTCCTATATAAAAGAGTTTTTCAGGCAAGTATTTAGCTACTTAATTTACATTTCACATGCGAAGTATAATAAAACAACCACTCTTTTCCCCAGAACTCACATAAATCCTTCCTTTCAAACCCAGAAAATATTCTCAACTCAGCTTCCTTGTGACACAAAAACTAATTGCAGTAGCACCTCATTTTGTGGAGCAAATAGCTATGAAGTCTTACAAATTAAAATTCTGTAAACTACATTTCATATTGTGATTCCTTTTTATTAAGTTTTTGAGAGTTGTATTTGAAAAAATGGCATAGAACAAAAGTCAAAATTAAAGCAAGATATTAGTCAAATATTTTATAAAATGGATTTTAAGAGTTTTGTTTTAGTACTGTCCAGCAGTACTCAAATAAGTCACACAGTATTAATACTAAATTAGTTATGATATCAAATCCTGTGTTTAAAGTGGGTTTACAACAAAGCAAGCTATATCCTGAGTAATGCTCACCTTTTTGTTTAGGTCTTTGCTGCACTATATTCCAGGTAACAAATCTGCTTTAAATTCCTAATTCTTGGTTGTGTACTCTCTGAAAAAACACTGAATATCAAACTAAGGCTATTAGTCTATTTACATAATGTAAAGACCACTTGCTACATTTTGACAAGCTGGACTTCTTAAAACTTGGCTCTTTTTCAGCCAGTATCTCCTAGTGGATAATGATTGGATTATAGTGTTAATTGTGAGAGCAGTCTATGATATCTGTCACATGTGTTATCAATTGCTTTAGCTCAGTAATACAAAAAGGATGTCTGTATTCTTTTTGAAAAGTTGAATTACATATACAGGTTCTGATTTTACATACTTATTATTCACTTCAACAGAAAATCTAGTTCACTGTTGAAACATACTTAAATAAGACCACAGTAATGCAGATTGTGGTGAGTGGTATTTAAGATGTTAATGGCTCATTATTATAGCAGTTGTTAAATAAAACAATAAATTTGTAGACAAATATTCATGTATAATAAAGTTACATTTGATAAATGAAAATTGTCTCTTATTTATATTTTATTAACATCTTTTCCAGTCCTGAAGATTTTCCTCAGAGAATCTTTCATCTCTTTGCTCCTGAGACTATATATTAGAGGATTACAGAGTGGTGTTATCACAGAATAGAACAAGGTAATGATTTTTTGCATTTTTACTGGGTGTGCTGATCCAGGACTAACATACATCACCATGATAGAGCCATAAAACAAGGTGACAACTGCCAAATGAGAGGCACAAGTGGAGAAAGCCTTTCGTTTGCCAGCCTCTGAAGGCATCTGTATTACAGCCAGAATCACCAGAGCATAGGAACAAAGGATAAAGAGAAAGGTGCCAATCATGAAGATAGAATTGAATGTGGAGTAAATGAGCTAGGTGATGATTATGTCTGCAGAACAGGACAGCATCACCAATGGTACAGGATCACAAACAAAATGGTTGATAATATTTGGGCCACAGTAGGATATCTGTGAAATGAGAATCAACAGAATTAGGAAGATTACAAAGACACATGACCATGCAAAGATGATAAGGCCAGTGCATACTTGCTTATTCATAATGCATGGATAACGTAGAGGGCGGCAGATGGCAAGATACCTGTCAAAGGCCATGATGCAAAGGAAGAAGCCCTCATCATACCCCAAAGATAAGAAGAAGTAGAACTGTGCAAAACAACTCATGAATGAGATGGACTTGCTTGTGGAGAGGAAGTTGGCCAGCAGTTTAGGAACAGTTGTAATAACATAACATATTTCCAGGAGAGAGAAATTTCCCAAGAGGGTGTACATGGGAGTGTGAAGGTGCTGGTCCCACCACACAGCACAGACAATGGATGCATTTCCCATCAGGGTGAGAGTATAGGCTAATGAGAAGAGACCAAAGTAGAGGAGCTGCATTTCTGGGCTTGAGGGAAAGCCCATGAGGATAAAGTAGCTAACAAAATTAATCGTTTCCATGCTGGACATATTCATTAGTCTGGAAGACATGGAGATGGCAGAGGTAATTGAAACATGAAATGGAGCATGCTGTTTCTTCTTGGAAACAACCAAAATTCTTTATCATGTATATTATAAAGTAGTAAACAGTTAGACTTTTGCTTAAACAACAATACTGTGACTTTCATGACTCAATTCCTACATATATTTATTTTGATAAATCACAACAATAGAAAGGAGGGAAAATATGAATTGTGGAGAGTTTTTTTTCTTGCTAAGAACACTAGACTTGAAACCAAGAATGCAAACTTTTGTGATTCCAATAAATTACCTATACACAATGAGTCTATTCTTTCTTCTGTTTACCTGCATTATTGATACTATATTTATCTGGGTATGTAATTCTTTCAACAGTACTATGAATACATGATTCATTATTATTTATTAGTGATATAAAAATAAAATACAAAACCAAGATATTTAAAAATACTCTTTCTCAATATAGTGCCATGCCAAGGCACAAATTCATATTTACTTTCAATTTCAGCTACTCCAGGTTACTTGTAGTGTTTTAAAGTGGAAATAAGAAAGAACTCTGTCATTAGAGGATATATGGTCTTTTATGCTGTTTCATGTATCTGTACCAATGTTTAGCATAAAAAATACATTCTTTTATTTTTAGGCAGCTGCATACACTATATGATATGAGGAAGTGTGCCATACTTTGTCTCTTAAATTGCTCTGACTAAATATTTTTATATGCTTCCGGGTGAATGTATGAACTTCATATGCCCATTATGACATTGACCTTAGGGAGAACAGCTGGTCTGCATGACTGTGGCCAAGTTCAATGTGCTTGTTATTTGTTAACCATGGTCAAGTCAGCTGCAGGAAAATAAGAAAGGCAGATAGAATTTATATTACAAAAGTTTCCATGTTTTTTATTCACTGCTTTCTTCCACATGTTCCTTTTCTTCCTTTGACCTTTGGTGTTATTTTGCATCTCACTGCGGTTGTTCTCTGAGGCCTTTCCTATCTAGGCAAATGTGAAACATGAAACTTTTCCCTTCATTACTCTCTGCTTAACTTCTAGCCCAAATAACAACAAAAACAAAAAAAAGTCATATGAGCTGAAGATTTTTGTTTCTTAAATAATAACTAATTTGTATAATACCAAGTCTTATTAATGTAATGGAACTGAAAATCAGTATTTGGGCTTGAGAAAGAAAATATTGCTGGAGAGAGAAATATGCCATATTTCTTCTGCTCACCAAATAACAAAAATTACCAAAATATACCCTTCTCCAGTAATTCATCAGTTAATGTACATCTTCACTTGAAATACTATTCTTTTTGTCTATATGGCGATTCATGTTTTAAAGGGATATGAACCATAATTGAAAAATATTTTCCAGAATTCAGGGAAACAAGAAGAAAAACTTATATTTTTCAGCTTCATTCTTTGCCAGCATTTCATTCTGAGATACATTTTTAGTTTTCTCAGAGACAAGAAAAAAACATTTTCTATGATTTTTGCAAAAAAACTGGGTGACTTACATGTTATATACTTCCCACTCACTCTTTGAGTGAATGCTGAGAAGGTCAGGGACAGGAGACAAAATATTATTCCACAGAGCCAAAGACATGTGAAGAACTTCCAAGAAATTGCATGATCCTGTTTGTTATCTCTCATGGGTTGCAAAAAGTAAACCCTAAAAGATTTTCCCCACCTTCAAAGCATATATTAATGGTCAAAATGCAAGCTCAAGTGAGTGTATTATATATATATCTATTTACTTGCATCATACCCTTTTGGGACTTGGAGCTCTGTCTCTCTTGGGATATTTTGATAGTGTTTGTTTAAAAGAAGATAACAATTTGAATTTTCACAGTCAAAAGCCAGTTCTTACTATCCCCTAAAGAATAGTGAAAATGTAGAAGCAGATCTTATCTTTTCTTTTTTCTTTCGTGTTCATGTATTGTCAAAGCTTCCTGAGGAATAATTAAGTAGTAAAAGGGATTGTCATTTAAGCTACAGTGGTAAGCTTTACCATAATACTCTCTAGATCTATTTTGAAGAAAAAGAAATCATTCTCTGGTCATCAAATATTTGTACCTGCAGAGTTATTAGAGATATTTGAGTTGAATTTTATGTAGAGCACAAGAAATTTAATTGGCATTTAGTTATTCCACAAATATTTACTGAATGCCTACTGTATACTTAAACATATACTATATATATTTTTAATTTTTTGAGGAACCTCCATATGGTTTTTCATAATGACTGTACAAATTTACATTACCACCAACAGTGTATAAACGTTCCCTTTTCTCTGCATTCTCACTAACTATTGCCATCTTTTGTCTGTTTGATCATGAACATTCCGATTGGGCTGAGGTGCTATCTCATTGTGGTTTGATTTGCATTTACCTGATGATCAGTGATGCTGAGGATTTTTTCATATGCTTTTTGGTCATTTGCACATCATATTTTAAAAAATATCTAGTCAGGTTTTTTGCCCACTTTTAAATTGAATTATTTGGTGGTTGTGTTGTTTTTTGCTATTGAGTTGCTTGAGTTCCTTATATATTTTGAATATTAACCCCTTATCAGATGTATAATTTGCAAAAATTTCCTCCTATTCTGTAGGTCATTTTTGGTTCTGTTGTTTCTTTTGAGCAGAAGCTTTTTATTTTTTTTCATTTTTTTTTCAAATACAATTTTATTTTTATTTTTTTTAGCTATTATTAACTTTTATGAACATGAATTCCAAAATTTTTATTTTATTTTTATTTATTTTTTTTTAATTTTTTTTTTAATTATACTTTAAGTTTTAGGGTACATGTGCACATTGTGCAGGTTAGTTACATATGTATACATGTGCCATGCTGGTGCGCTGCACCCACTAACGTGTCATCTAGCATTAGGTATATCTCCCAATGCTATCCCTCCCCCATCCCCCGACCCCACCACAGTCCCCAGAGTGTGATATTCCCCTTCCTGTGTCCATGTGATCTCATTGTTCAATTCCCACCTATGAGTGAGAATATGCGGTGTTTGGTTTTTTGTTCTTGCGATAGTTTACTGAGAATGATGGTTTCCAATTTCATCCATGTTGGTGGGACTGTAAACTAGTTCAACCATTGTGGAAGTCAGTGTGGCAATTCCTCAGGGATCTAGAACTAGAAATACCATTTGACCCAGCCATCCCAATACTGGGTATATACCCAAATGACTATAAATCATGCTGCTATAAAGACACATGCACACGTATGTTTATTGCGGCTCTATTCACAATAGCAAAGACTTGGAACCAACCCAAATGTCCAACAATGATAGACTGGATTAAGAAGCTTTTTATTTTGATGTAACCTCATTTGTCTATTTTTGTTTTTCTTGCCTTAGCTTTTGCCTACATCAATGTTGTGTAGTTTTTCCCTTATGTTTTCCTTTCTAGTAGTTTTACAGCTTTAGGTCTTATGTTTCAGTGTTTAAACTATTTTTAGTTGATTTTTTGTATATGGTATGAAGTAAGGGTATAAGTTCATTCTTCTGCATATAGATACCCAGTTTTCCCAATACCATTTGTTGAAAAGACTGTCCTTTCCCCATTGTGTGTTCTTGGCAGCTTCGTCAAAATATTAGGTGACTGTGTATCACCTGCGGATTTGTTTCTGGGCTCTGTATTCTATTCCATTGGTTTATGCATCTGTTTTTATGCCAGTATCATGCTGTTTTGGTTACTATAACTTTACAGTATACTTTGAGGTCAGGTAGTATGATGCCTCCAACTTTGTTCTTTTGGGTCAAGACTGCTTTGGCTATTCCAGGTCTTTTGTAGTTTCCATACGTATTTTAGGATTGTTTTTTCTATTTCTCTGAAGGATGTCATTGTTATTTTGATAAATCCATAGCTTGTTTTGGGTAGTGTGAACATTTTAACAATATTAATTATTTGAATCCACGAATGCAGGATTATCTTTCCATTTATTTCTGTCTTCAAATTTTTTCATAAATGTTTTATGGCTTCATTGTAGATATCTTCCACATCCTTGGTTAAATTAATTCTTAAGAATTATATTTTTTTATTTTGGAGCTATCATAAATAAGATTGTTATCTTGAATTCTTTTCAGACAGTTGATTATTACCACATAAAAGTGCTGCTGATTTTTGTATGCTGATTTTGTATTCTGCAACCTTACTGAATTCACTTATCACTTCTAAGAGTTGTCTTGATAATGTTTTTATGTTTTTCTCTATATAAGATCATGTCATCTGCAATGAGAAACAATTTGACTTCTTCTTTCCCAATTCAAATGCCTTTTATTTCTTTCTCTTGCTGATTCTCTGGCCAAAACTTCCAGTACTATATTAAATAGGTGTTGTGAAAGTGAGAATCCTTGTCTTTTTTCAGTTCTTAGAAGAAGGATTTTCTGTTTGTCGTATGTCAGTATGATTTTCACTGTGAGTTTCTGATATATGGCCTTTATTATGTTGAGGTATGCTCCTTCTATGCCTAAATGTGTTTAATTTTTATCATGAAGCAATGATAAATTTTATCAGATGCTTTTTTTTTGCATCTATTGAAATGATCATATACTTTTTGTCTTTTATTCTATTAGTGTAATGTATCAAACTTTTTGATTCATTTATACTGAATAACCCTTGAATTCCTGGAATAAAACCCACTTGGGTGTGGCAAACTGTCTTTTTAATGTGTTGTTGGATTCAGTTTGCTAGTATTTTGTTAAGAATTTTTGCATCTATGATCATGTTATTGCCTTGTAATTTCTCTTTCCTTCCTTCCTTCCTTCCTTCCTTCCTTCCTTCCTTCCTTCCTTTCTTTCTTTCTTTCATTTCTTTTTTCTTTCTTTCTTTTCTTTTTTCTTTCTTTCTTTCTCTCTCTCTTTCCCTTCCCTTCTTTTCTTTCTTTCTTTCTTTTTCTTTCTTTCTTTCTTTCTTTCTTTCTTTTTTTCTGACAGAGTTTCACTCTTGTTGCTCAAGCTGGAGTGCAATGGTGCCATCTCAGCTCATTGCAACCTCCGCCTCCTGGGTTCAAGTGATTCTTCTGCCTCAGCCTCCCAAGTAGCTGAGATTACAGGTGCCCACCACCATGCCCAGCTATTTTTTTTTTTGTATTATTAGTAGAGACAGTGTTTCATCATGTTGACCAGGCTGGTCTTGAACTCCTGACCTCAGTTGATCCACCTGCCTCGGCCTCCCAAAGTGCTGACATTACAGGTGTGAGCCACCATGCCTGGCCTTTTCTTTTTTTTAAATTTATGTTAAACTTTGGTATGTATGTGGTAGGTGCATATATTTATTGAGTACATGAGATACTTAGATACAGGCATGCCATGCATAATAATCACATAATGGTAAATGGGGTATCCATTCCCCTCAAGCATTTTTATCCTTTGGGTTACAAGCAATTCAATTACATTCTTTTAGTTACTTTAAAATGTACAATTAAATTATGATTGACAATAGTCATCCTCTTGTGCTATTAAATACTAGATTTTATTCATTCTTTCTAACTACTTTTTGTGCCCATTAACCATCCCTACCTGCCCTCCCATCCCCCTAACCACTATCTTTCTCAGTTTCTGGTAACTTTCCTTCTACTCTATATCTCCATGAGTTCAATTGTTTTAATTTTTAGCTCCCACAAATAAATGACAACATACAAAGTAGGATTTATCCCAGGGAGGCAAGAATGGTTCAGTATATGCAAATCAATCAATATGATAAACAATCAACAGTATGAAGCAGAATAACCATATGATCATTTCAACTGATGCTGAAAAATTTGATAAAGTTCAACATCCATTCATCATAAAAATTCTAAAAAACTGGGTATAGAAGGAGCAAACTGCAACATAATAAAAGCCATATATGACAGACCCACAGATAGAATTTTGATGAATGGAGAGAAACTGAAAACCTTTAAAATCTGGAGCACAACAAGAATGCCAACTTTTACCACTTTATTGACTATAGTACTAGAAGTCCTAGCTAAAGCAGTCAGACAAGAGAAAGAAATAAAAGGCATCCAAATTGGAAAGGAAGAAGTCAAATTATCCTTGTTTGCAGATGATGTGATCTTATATTAGGAAAGACCTAAAAACTCCACCAAAACACTATTAGAACTGATAAACAAATTTAGTAAAGTTGCAGGTTACAAAATCAACATATAAAAGTCAGTAGCATCTCCATATGTCAACAGTGAACTGTCTGAAAAACAAATCAAGAAAGTAATCCCATTTACGATAGCTACAAATAAAATTAAATACCTAGGAATTAACCAAAAAAGTGAAAATCACTACAATGAAAACTATAAAACATTGATGAAAGAAACTAAAGAAGACACAAAGAAATGGAAAGATATTCCATGTTCATGAATTGAAACAGTCATTGTTAAAATGTTATGCTACCAAAAGCAATCTACAGATTCAATCTCTATCAAAATACCAATGCCATTCTTCACAGAAATAGAAAAATCAATCCTAAAATTGATATAACCAAATGACCCAGAATACCCAGAGCTATCCTGAACAAATAAACCAAAACTGGATGAATCACATTACCTGACTTTAAACTACACTATAAAGCTATGGTAACCAAAAGAACATGGTACTGGCATAAAAAACAGACCCATAGGTCAATGGAACAGAATACAGAACCCAGAAGCAAATCCGTATATCAATAGTGAACTCATTTTCTACAAAAGTGCCAAGAACATACATTGGGGAAAGAACAGTCTCTTCAATAAATGGTGCTGGGAAAACTGGATATCCATATGCAGAAGAATGAAACAAGACCCCTATCTCTTGGCATATACAAAAATCAAATTAAAATGGATTAAAGGTTTAAATCTAAGACCTCAAAAAATTAAACTACTAAAAGGAAACATTGGGGGAAACTCTCTTAGACATTGGTCTGGGCAAAGATTTCTTGAGCAATACTCCACGAACACAGGCCACCAAAGCAAAAACGGACAAGTGGGATCACATCCAGTTAAAAAGCTTCTGCACATCCAAGGAAAAACAATCAACAATGTGAAGATTCAACCCACAGAATGGGAGAAAATATTTGCAAACTGCCCATCTGACGAGGGATTAATAACCAGGAAACAACTCTATAGGAAAACAACCTAATAATCTAATTTAAAAATGGGCAAAGGATCAGAATAGCGATTTCTCAAAAGACAATACAAATAGCAAACAGATATATAAAAAGGTGCTCAACACATTGATCATCAGAGAAATGTACCTCACAGCTACAATGAGATATCATCTCACCCCATTTAAAATGGCTTTTATCCAAACACAGGCAATAACAAATGCTGGTGAGGAAGAGGAGAAGAGGGAACTCTCATACTTTGTTGGTGGGAATGTGAATTAGTACAACCACTATGGAAAACAGTTTGGAGATTCCCCCAAAAACTAAATGTAGAGCTACTTTATGATCCTGCAACCTCATTGCCAGACGTAGACCCAAAAGAAAAAATAGCGGTATAACAAAGAGTTATCTGCATTCTCATGTTTGTTTTAGCTTTGTTCACAATAGCCAAGATTTGGAAACAACCTAAGTTTCCATCAATAGATGAATGAATAATGAAAATGTGGTACATACATATACAATAGAGTACTATTCAGCCATAAAAAGAATGAGATCATTTGCAACAACATGGACGGAAATGGGGATTACTGTGTTAAGTGAAATAAGCCAGGCACAGATAGACAAACTTCCCATATTCTCACTTATTTGTGGGAACTGAAAATTAAAACGATCGAATCATGCAGATAAAGAGTAGAATGATGGTTACCAAAAACTGAGAAGGATGGTGGAGGTGTGGTATGGGGAAAAATGGGGATAGTTATGGGTAAAAAAAAAAAAAGAATAAATAATATTTAGTATTTGATAGCACAACAGGGTGAATATAGTCAATAATGATTTAATTGTCATTTAAAAATAACCAAAAGAATATAATTGGATTGTTTGTAACACAAAAGATAAATGCTTGAGGGGACGAATACCCCATTTACCATGATGTGATTATTATGTATTATATGCCTGTACCCAAATATCTCATACTCTATAAATATATACACCCACTATGTACCCACAGAAATAAAAAATAACAAAACAAAAAAAATTGTTTAGCAAGCCCAGCTAAGGGTCATCTGACTCTCTAGCAAATGTGATTTTGTTTAACTTACTATATATGAATTATGGAATCTCAGACATTGTATAATTACATATAGCTAGATGTTATAGAAAACTGCTACATTGTATCTTTTTAGCGTGGTAGAAAAGATAATCCCAAAGATTAAGGTCGTATTGCCCCTTTTTAGAGCTGTATGAAAGAATATGAATATTTTTGTGATGTTGATATTTTTTAACTTTTAAGTTCAGAGGTACACATGCAGGTTTGTTATATAGGTAAATCTGTGTCATGAGACATTAACTGGATTACATCAAATTTAACAATTTTATTTTAGTGTTCATTTTTTGCTCTGATTATGTAAAATCACACTTTTCATATTCTTTTTGGAATGGACTTTGTTATCTTGCTATCCCTCATTAATTAGTTAAATACAGTTTTTGATGCATTCATTATGTATTTGTTTGAGAATTATGTTTTATGATATTTAAAAAATAGACTTTGACAGTCTATAGAAAATTAAATTACTAATGACAACAGATGTGTTTTCTGGATACGATCCATGAATAAATGCCAGTAGGTAAGCTGCTTGAGGTTTCAAGAAATCAGGTGTTGTATCAAGACTCTATATTACCTTAAAGGATAAATACCAAGCTATCCCTGGAATTATCCCAGAGATAAATACCTTAGCTTGGTATTTATCCTTCAGCTTCTGCTACTTCAAGGAGCATGATTGAGATAAAAACCAGTGAGAGTCTTCTTCAGATACAGACTGAGGCATGGAAAATGGATGGCATATACAAATAAATCAATGACAAATTACAAATTAATCAATCCAAAGTAAGTAAAATAAGTGGGTTCTGATATGCAACATGTCTAATTGCTTCAGAGCCTGCAGGTCCAAAGGTCAACTTCCTAGCAAGAACTAAATTTAACACAACTCAAACAGCAGCAGCCTAGGGAATCCCAGGGCTCATTAAGCTAAGTAGTGTTGTAAGAACCACAGAAACCTGATACAGCTAGAGTCCTAGGGATAGGAGATATTTCCAGTTCATACAGCCAGCCCTCAACTAGGGCTTGGCTTATAAGGAAGCAGTTAAGACATGTGCTGGGCAGCTGCGATGATCATCTGAGGATAGCCCATTTTGCTGGCCTGAGGCTGAAGAGAGGGTTGATAGGATGAATGGCAGGATAAAATCTTCCTTCCTTGAAACCACATAGCTTCTGACAAGCAAAGATGTAGGTTTCTCAGATATGTTTATTCAAAACTCCCCTCCCCTTCCTGCTCCTCTGTTTGATGCTATTTTTATGTTTACTGTTGTCCTCACTCTTTTTCTCTATATACTCTGGCATTGATCATTTTTAAATTTAAGAGATCATTTGAGTTTTTTGTTTTAAATTTACTCTTAGAAACATTCACAGAACAGTGAAATTCCTATAGCATCAAGGAATTCTAGGGCTAGTGGCATCTTAGAAGACAGTTGCAATATTTGGATAAGATAGGCCCAAATTCACATAATGGAAGGCATGGGTTTCATGGCAATATTTTCTTAAGACTACCTAATTCTGCTATAGTCCCTTCTAGATTCTGTTTTCCATTTCTTTAATTATTAAAGTTTCTTTTTACTAAAATCCTCTTTATGTTCCACAGGTACAATATAGAATGCAATGTTTCAAACAAGGCCAAAGAAGTTTAGAGCAGAAAGATTGTTTCTTTCTCAATAGAGAATACCACTGTAGGTACCATCTTCAACTAATGGTGTGTCCACTTCTTGGTTTTCAGGAGAAATTTAAAAATGCATCAAATGTGTCTAAAAGGAATTCATATGCAATTGAAACTCCAGCTAGCCAATCATTTTCTATTGTTGAGGTAGTCAAATTTCCTCCTCTAATAATGCATTTAGCTCCACACAGACCAAAATAAATACAAGACAAACATAATAGCAAAATATGGTATACTGTTATGCTTAAAACACACACATGCACAAGTACCAGGAGAAAAATTTTACTCCTTTTCTTCATATTTTCCTCATAAACATCTCCGGTTCCCTGTTTAGAAAGAAGAGAGACCAGCTGCTTAGCTGTACACAAGTAGCCTTTGATATTTAAGGTGTTTTGGTTTGTCCTCTTCTCTCCAAGCAGGACCCTTCCATGAAGACTTTCATTTTGCATTAAGCATTCTCAATTTTTTTGGCTCATTTTGTGTACTTAAAAATATTTTTATTGACTTTTTCACATTCTTAGGTTATTTTTAGGATATGAAACATGAAATGCTTGATAAGGTCTCATCTTACTGCTAATGGGATAATGAAGCTGGTGTTTTTGAATGTGGCTTTCCAAGCCCTGCAGGGCTTTGGCAAGGGAAATTATGTTGTGACTGGGGTTAGTTTTGGGGTGTAGACATTCCTTCATGTTGATGGGTGTATTGTTCTTTTCATTCTTCACGGAACAGTCACAGGCTTAATTTCTTATTGTGATCAGACTTCAGAAACACAGAAGCTGGGAGATGACTCTACCAAATGTGGAAATGTTACTAAACCTAAAAGGGAGCTTTCTATATTGTTTAGTATTATGTTTCATATTGTCTGAGGATTGCAAATTTATTGTCATTAAAAAAATCCAAGAATAACCAGAATCCAGCCCTTACCTTGATTAAAACTCAAATAACTGACATACAGGGCTGCCTATTTTTATCTTATGTGATTGTAAAGATTTTTATATCATTATTAATCCAAATCTTATCAGAGTAATCACCTAGGAACTGTCCAGAATATTTATAGTACTGAAATTTCCTAATATTAAATCTTACTTTAAACAAGTAGGCAATAAACTCAGGCTTATAAATAGTTTGTAGTAATTTGGGTTAAAATATATTTTACATATTCTTCCCTTATTTAATCTATCCTTCTGATTTATTTAATTTTAATATTGTCTGTTTTAGTATAATCTTTTCTTTCTCAGCATATGTTCGGTGGAAAAAACAAGTGTACCATACACCTTTGGTATACTATGCCTTCACATTAGGAAATAATCACTTTGTTTCTCAGCCATATTCTGAGACTAAATTATAACATTGTGTAGGATTATGTGTTCCCATTGTTTTCTGGCTTCTAGAAACCTTTTTTAATTAAAAAAATAACTTTGGTTTCTCTTTCTCAGACTTTTCCAGTTTTCCCAAGATTATTTTAAAAATTAGATCAATAATTTTAATGAGACTTGACCCCTGTTAATTATACATTTTAGATAACTGAAAAGAACATCAAAATGAGATTTTCTTATGGAAATTTACAATCCTTGGTGCATCCAAAAAAGATTAGAGAATTTTCAATATAGCAGAGCTCAAGTGAGGCTGTACATGTAACAGCAAATCGTTCCCTAACTTGTATTTCTTTCTTTGTTTTATTTTCCAATTGACTCTAGAAAGTGAGGTGATTCCTTCTATCAGTTATGAGATTATAGATTTAGATACACCTGTGCACTCGGCTATATAGGCAGATGAAGAGGATGGTCACAATCATGGTGTGACAGAGGCATCCAAAGGTGGCTTGAGTCCCAAATCTCTCTCTCACTGGCTTATCTTGGAATAACATCCTAGAGAAAGTTTTGTTGTCATTAGAGGTTTTCATTTTTAGAATTTAAGTACTTTTCTGCATTGTCTATGTAAATACCTGATATCTAGTATGAAGGATTTTATTGGATAACATTCTCTGAATGACTTGATAGAACCCAGTGCAACATGGATTACAAAGCTTGGGACACAAAATAAAATTTTGTCTTATTTCATATTTTGTCTATAGCTGGTTTTAGATAAAAAAATATTCTAGACAGGCATCTACTAATTTTTAACTACTTCAATGGAAGAAATGTATCAATGTTCTCTGATTTTCTGTTTGTAATCCAAGGTACTGTCATCAAATGTTGGGGATGAATATGAGTGTAGAGCAGGGGAAAATGGATCTAACAATATCTTAGCAAATCTTCTTTATTTTCTTATGTATCTATGGTTGTTGAAAAGTCCAGAAGCAACACAACTCTGGTTTCTCTTATTACTCTGTCCTGTAAAGGGTCATGGTGGGCTTTTGTGCATGCCTCCGTGATATGGGTCATGGCTCTTGGTCTCTTCTCTTGGTGATTAGTGTCTTTTAATCATTATCCTACTCATCCCGAGTCTGACGCTTCCCTAAATCTTAAAGATTGAGACTATTGCTTCTTACCTCATTTTTACAAACTTCCTAATTTCTGTGACCTGGGATAGTAAAGACAAAAAATATGAGCTCTGTTTCAATCCTTCCTAAATGATTTGTTTCCTAATATATTTATTCATAGTAACTACTAACCTTTGTACAACATAGCAATTTGTTGTTTACAAAACATTCTTCCTTCGATTTGATAAATTATTGAGCTTCTGCTATGCAGTAAGTATTGTGTTGCGGATACAAAGATGAGTAAGATATTTCCTCATCTTGAGAGATTTAGTTTTTTTTATGGTGCACATAGGCATTACATTTGATTCTCAAAACAATCTTGGGAGATATTATTAACTGTGCATTAAATTGAATAACCAAGGAATAAAATTCAGAGAGGTTTATTTTCTTGCCTGAGAGTACTCCATTGATAATGGTGGAGCTAGGCATTCAATCTAGATACTCCATTCCAGAACTTTTGTCCTTAGAGGACATTATTCTGTCTATTAAAAGAAATGGAAAGATTAGCACTTATCACCTAATGTCCACGTCATTGTGTTTCTTTCTTGTTTATTGTGAATGCAATTTAAAAGCACTACAGGAATAAAGAGTTGGAAGAAATGAACAAAATTCCTCATTCTATCAATATAAGAGTGTACTGCCTATATTACCCGATAAAACTTGCTAAAATAATTTTTATGTAATTTATATATTATATACTATATGTATATAGTGTACACATATATATCTACCTTAAATCTCCCTTGTTCTGATTTAATTCTTCTTTAGGTCACTTGATATTCTTGGCTTGATGAAAAAAGAACAAGATTCTAATGTGACAGAATTTGTTCTTCTGGGCCTATCATCTTCTTGGGAGCTGCAGCTATTTCTCTTCTTACTATTTTTGTTTTTTTACATTGCTATTGTCCTGGGAAACCTCTTGATAGTGGTAACAGTGCAAGCCCATGCTCACCTGCTCCAATCTCCTATGTATTATTTTTTAGGTCATCTCTCTTTCATTGACCTATGCCTGAGCTGTGTTACTGTGCCAAAGATGTTAGGGGATTTCCTACAGCAGGGCAAGAGCATCTCTTTTTCAGGATGCCTGGCCCAGATCTACTTCCTCCACTTTCTAGGAGCCAGTGAGATGTTTTTGCTGACAGTCATGGCCTATGACAGGTATGTTGCCATCTGTAACCCTTTGCGCTACCTTACAGTCATGAACCCCCAGCTATGCCTTTGGTTGGTTCTTGCCTGCTGGTGTGGGGGTTTTATCCACTCTATCATGCAGGTCATACTAGTCATCCAGCTGCCTTTCTGTGGGCCCAATGAACTGGACAACTTCTACTGTGATGTCCCACAAGTCATCAAGCTGGCCTGCATGGACACCTATGTGGTAGAGGTGCTGGTGATAGCCAACAGTGGTCTGCTGTCTCTTGTCTGCTTCTTGGTCTTACTATTCTCTTATGCTATCATCCTGATCACCCTGAGAACACACTTCTGCCAGGGCCAGAACAAGGTCTTCTCTACCTGTGCTTCTCACCTGACAGTGGTCAGCCTGATCTTCGTGCCATGCGTATTCATCTATTTGAGGCCTTTCTGCAGCTTCTCTGTGGATAAGATATTCTCCTTGTTTTACACAGTGATTACACCTATGTTGAACCCCCTCATCTACACACTCAGAAATACTGATATGAAGACAGCTATGAAGAAGCTGAGGATAAAACCATGTGGCATTCCATTGCCTTGTTAAGGAATGAGCAGAAGAGGTGATTTGAAAAACACACTCTTTCTTGGAAGACTCTTAACTCATCTTGTACATGGGTAAAAACCACTTTGATGACGTTGGTATAAAAGAGGAGATAGCATAAAGATTATAATGGATCACTCTTGATTACAATTTAAAAGCATAGGTGGCACTCTAGAAAGCCACCTATGCCTTTTGACCATAATCAAGAGAACTCAGGAACTCAGTAGAATTTACTGGCCACAAACGATAACAAGCATTAATTGAAAGATCAACTTTTCTATCTTTATGTCTCTAAGTACTGTTCATTTATTCAATTTTTTCCACTTTTTAATCTATTCAAATGAAAGAAGATATATCTCTTTTTGTGTTCAGTTCCTCCAGCATTTAATGATTCCTAGTGTTAGGAAGTTCCTTCTGATGTCTCATCAGATCCTTTTCTGAAGTAGTGTGAATTTCTTTGTTCTGTTATAACAAAGCCTGAGAACAGTAACAACCACCTATGTGTAGTATTTACCTCAGAACTGTGTTCCACAGTGTCCCAAGTTTTAGAAATGTAGTCAGGCATCAGTCTAATGAACATATGCTCTTAACAAAGTTTATGCGTGAGAGAAAGGAAGTCCAGGAGTGCAGGGGTGATGGAAGCTGTTAGTATTCTGTTGTAGAGGCTTCTCAAGAAGAGGTACCTAGTTTCACACTGAGTTTTTCTTTGATTGGAATTACAGTGGGGGTGAATAGATAAGCTGGCTCTTCAACTGACCATAATGTTTAAGAGTTTTAACCTCTAAAGGAACAGAGGAAGAAATGAACTGTGATTGAAAGCACTCATTTTTGAGATGCTCACAGTTATTACCTCTGAGTCTCAAACATGCTTTGAGGAATAAATTTACTTAACTTCATTTTTGAGAATGAACTCAGAGTTAAGTGACTTGCCCATGACCACTTAGAAGAAATGCAATCAATCAAGAAAGCTCTTTGTAATCCCAGCACTTTGGGAGGCCAGGGCAGGCAGATCATCTGAAGTCAGGAGTTTGAGACCAGCTTGAGCAATATGGAGAAACCCCGTCTCTACTAAAAATACAAAATTAGCCGGACGTGGTGTTGCATGCCTGTAATCCCAGCTACTCAGGAAGGCTGAGGCAGGAGAATCACTTGAACCCAGGAGGCACAGGTTGCAGTGAGCTGACATCGCACCACTGCACTCCAGCCTGGGCAACAAAAGCAAAACTCGGTCTCAAAGCAAAAAAAAAAAAAAAAAAAAAAAAAAAAAAGAAAGCAAGCTAATAATTATATAATTAAGTTAATATTTTATTTCTCCTCAGAAAGAGTATTTATCCCAATTATACAGATTGCTTCTTTCTTTCTTTTTCTTTCTTTCTCTCTCTCTTTCTTCTTTCTCTCTTTTTCTCTTTTTCTTTCTCTTTCTTTCTTTCTCTCTCTTTCTCTCTATTTCTTAGAGTATTTATCCCAATTATACAGATTACTTCTTTCTTTCTTTCTTTCTTTCTTTCTTTCTTTCTTTCTTTCTTTCTTTCTTTCTTTCTTTTTTCTTTCTTTCTTTCTCTCTCTCTTTCTTCTTTTTTCTCTTTTTCTTTCTCTCTCTTTCTCTCTTTCTTTCTTTCTTCTTCTTTTTTTTTTGAGACAGAGTCTCACTCTTGTCTCCCAGGCTGGAGTGCAGTGGCACAATCTTGGCTCACTGCAACCTCCGCCTCCCAGGTTCAAGTGATCCTCTTGCCTCAGCCTCCCAAGTAGCTGGGATTACAGGTGCTGGCCACCATGCCTGGCTAATTTTTGTATTTTTAGTAAAGACGGGGTTTCTCCATGTTGGCCAGACTGGTCTTGAACTCCTGACCTCAGGTGATCTGCCTGCCTCAGCCTCTCAAAGTGCTGGGATTACAGGCATGAGCCACGACACCCGGCCAGATTACTTAATTTCTATAATACCTGTATAGGAGCTTCAGAGCTGGAAAATCCCTAAAAAGGTTAACTTAAGCATTTATATTTAAGATTATCCATCTCTGACATAGGATCCTTGCAATATTTTATGGCTATGAAAATGTGTTTATTCTATTTACTATATAATAAGATAATGACAAACTTTTACAATGTTTTTTATATTTTGTCACTTTATCTCCTAATGAATTGCCATAGAGAGGCTTTTATGATTACTTAGCTGAAAAATATACCTGTGAAAAAAATGTCTGAAACTCCATCTAATACTAGGATATACTGGAAAATTGCAATAACCCTGGTCGTGTAAGAGCTTTCTTGATATAGGGACAAAATATGTATTTTTATTTTTGTGTTGGGAGTTAATGACTTTATATTTAAGAAGCCATATATATGTATGTGTATATGTATATATTGCTATAGAAGGACTCCTCACAGACTAGGAACTAGGCTGCCATTTGGGAGATTTCTAAATAGTGTGGGTGAGGGTGAGAATGACATACCTGGAACATCATGTTCTTCTCTTTAGCTTCACTCTACTCAACATTTTCAGGGTTTTTTGCATACGATGAATATCCTGAAGAGCAGTATGATATCCCGAAGATAATATGTTGGATATCCTGAAGTGCAGGAAACTGCCCAAGAGTACTGCGTGAGTTACAGAAAGATTTGAGTGGTGCTAGGGATTACCAGGCATGTTTCAAGGACATAGAGCTCCAGGCTTTCTCTTGGTATAAGCCAGCTGCAACATCCCTTTTTTCTGATGTTCTCTTTCATAGCAAAATGTATAGTCTTGGCAAATCATTTTAAATGTCCAGTTGATAGCTGGAATTGGTAGCATTATTTTAAGAAAAGCAAGAGCTTTTTATATTCCCTTTTGCATTTTCAAGTCTCTGTTTGTTTCCAGGAACAAAGCCTACTTGATCGTGGTGAATTAACTTATTGATGTGCCGCTGAATTTGGTTTGCTAGTATTGTGTTGAGGATTTTTGCATCTATGTTCATCAGGATATTGGCCTGATGTTTTCTTTCTTTGTTTTGTCTCTGCCAGATTTTGGTATTAAGCTGATGCTAGCTTCATAGAATGAGTTAGGGAGGAGCCCTTCCTTTTTTATTTTTTTGGGAATAGTTTCAGTAGGATTGGTACCATTTCTTCTTTATATGTCTGGTAGAATTCAACTGTGAATCCCTCTGGTCCTGGGCTTTTTTTGGTTAGTAGAGTTTTTTTTTTTTAAATTACTGATTCAATTTCAGAGCTTGATATTGACTTATTAAGGATTACAATCTCTTCCTAATTCAATCTTAGAAGATTGTGTTGTTCCAGGAATTTATCAGTTTCTTCCAGATTTTCTAATTTGTGTGCATAGAGTTGTTCATAGTATTCTCTGAGGATCTTTCGTATTTCTGTGGGATCAGTTGTAATGTCATTTTTGTCCTTTTTGACTGTACTCATTTGGATCTTTTTTTTTATTTTTTAATCTAACTAGCAGTCTAACAATCTTATTTTTTCAAAAGACTAACTCTTGGTTTCATTGACCTTTTGTATAGATTTTTGCACCTCAATTTCATTAAGTTGTTCTCTAATTTTTGTTATTTCTTTTCTTCTGCTAGCTCTGGAGTTGGTTTGTCCTTTGGTTTCTAATTCCTTGAGGTGCAAAGTGCAGGAAGATGAAGCTAGACCCTTGCTTTTCAGCATATAAGAAAATTAACAGGATAGATTAAAGATTTAAATATAAGACCACAAACTATGAAAATCCTAGACCAAAATCTAGGACATATTTTTCTTGACATTGGCCTTGGGAAAAAAATTAGCTAAGTCCCCCAAAGAAATTGCAACAAAACCAAAAATTGACAAGTGGGACCTAGGTAAATGAAAGTGCTTCTGTACAGAAAAAGAAACTATCAAGAGGGGAAACAGACAACTTACCGAATGGGAGAAAATATTTGCAAACTATGCATCTGACAAAGGTCTAATATCCCAAATGTAAATAGAACTTAAATAATACAACAGACAAAAAACAAATAGCCTTATTAATAACTGGAAAAGGACATGAATAGATCCTTCTGAATAAAAAGACATACAAGCAGCCAACAAACATATGAAAAAATGCTTATCATCACTAATCATCAGAGAAATTCATACCAAAACCACAATGAGATACCATCTCATGCCAATCATAGTGGCTACTCTGAAAAAGTCCAAAAACAACAGATGCTGGTGAGCCTGTAGAAAAAAGGGAGTGCTTGTACAGAGTTGTTGGGAATGTAAATTAGTTCAGCCCCTGTGGGCAGAACTTTGGAGACTTCTCAAATCACTTAGAACAAAGCTACTATTTGATCCAGCAATCCTATTTCTCTCTCTCTCTCTCACTGTATATATATATAATATTTTATGTATATATAATAGATTATGCCAAATAGATTATGCCAAAAAGACCAAAAAGACACATACACTTGTATGTTCTTCTCAGCACTATTCGGCAAAGACAGAATCAACCTAGGTGCCCATAAATGGTAGACTAGATAAAGAAAATATGGTACATACTATCAGATACTATGCAACCAAAAAAAAGAATGAAATCATGTCTTTTGCAGCAACATGAATGAAGCTTCAGGCAATAATCCTAAGCAAATTAATGCAAGAACAGAAATCCAAATACTACATGTTCTCACTTACCAGTGGGAGCTAAACATTAAGCACACATGGACATGTACATGGGAACAATAGACACTGCGGACTACGAGAGGTGTGAGGAAGGGTGGAGGGGATGGGTTGGGAAACTACCTGTTGGGTACTATACTTACTACCTTGGTGCAATAAACCCACGTAACAAACCTGCACATGTACCCTCCGTATCTAAAATAAAAGTTGAAATTAAAAAAAGAATGAAAGGGAACGAATAAAGCTGATGTTTATAGGCCCTCCCAAAATTTCTGGCTTATAACATGCTTTCAAAGATTTTATAAAATCATTTTTAAATTCAATAATTTTTAAAATTTGGAATGTTTATAGATTTACAGAAATGTCGAATATCACAGAATATAATTATACCTCATGCTATTTTCCTTATTGTTATATTACTATGGTACATTTGTCAAACAAATAAACTAATATTGATGCATTATTACTAACTACATTGCAACTTTAATTCAGATTTCATTAGTTCTTCCTTAATGAAATGGCTTACTCAAGTTGTCTATTTTTTCATGGCAGCTATTTAATTTATTGCCGTTATGTTCTTTATGTTCCCAAAAAGCTCTTTGTAATTACTCTGTAAATAAATACTTGAAAATACCTGGTGAGCTTCCATTACTTAGAGGAAATGGTGAAATCTATAACATAAATAAAGTGCAGTTCTAGTTTTTATCTCTTTAAGTGAACATTGACTCCCCCCCACTCTGTTCACATCTGTGCATGGTTTCTTATTTATTTATTTGACATGTAAAACTTTTATATATTTGTCATGTACAACATGATGTTTTGAAATAAATATGTCTACATAGTAAAATGGCTCAGTTGAGTCCATTAGCATATACATCCTAACCCTACCAGTCTCTCCCTCTTATTTCATCAAACCTATACTTTCTTGTTTGCATGTTCTATCCTACCTCAGATTCTGGTACACATATGAGATTCTGTAGGCGTGTAGGGTCTGCATGGTGATAAGAAAATCTAGGATAATAACTAAGATTTCTCATACTACAACACCACTCTACACCTTAGGCCTTGTTCTAGTAGAAAAACTTGTTCTAAGATCAATTATCAATACTAATTCCAATTTCTGTCCAGTCCTGTTCCACTGTTTGAACCTCTGAACCATGTGCAGCTTCCTCATATTTCTATGTCTCTGAACATGCTGCTACTTCTGCTGGAATTATTGACCAACTTTTCACTTTCAATACTCTAATTAAAAGTCTTATTTTCAGCCAGCTTTCAGCATGGTTTTACAAGGAGTTATTTAGTAGAGACTACACTTGCACTTTCTCTGCCTAATCATATTCTCCAGCTGCTTACCCAATCACTTGTCCAGCATTTCCCTCAGGGTTTTGATGATGCATAAAGATTGCTGAGAGTTTCTTCCCCTTGGCAGCCAGGAACGTAGAAATCTTTTGCATACCAAGGTTAGAAGCTATGGCATGGTTGTAATCTCATAAAATACTATCTTTCTGAGGGAGAGAGAGAGAGAGAGAGAAAGAAGAGAGAGAAAGAGAAAACAAACTCAAGACCGCTTTTTAGGCTGTACAAGAGGAAATGTGGCATGTATATAAAAGAAGTATCATTATATAAATCTCAGTCTTTTAGTGTGCGTATCTTGGTATCAATCACATTTTTATTTCAAAGGCTTTTCTGATCCAAGATCTCGGATTGTTCAAATCCATGCAGTGGGACCACACTCAAGAAAAAGTCCAGGGTAAGCTTTCCATCTAGAATGATACCTTAACCACCAGTGAAAGAGGCAAGGTCAATTTTCATTGATTCAAATTATATTCAAAGGTAAATTATTTACTTCTGTAAATTCTTCACCTGCTTTACAACATCTGTTCTAGTAATTAATTTAAGAAATAGTATATTACAATTTAACGTGTGTATCAATATAATTTCAATTGGAATTTACTCCTAGGTTTACTAGGTTTACCACCATCAGTAAACTTATATAATTTAATTCCCTCTCTGTACCTTATTTGTTTCCCAATGGTTAGATGAGTGTGAAAAGATCAAACAATCTTTAAAATCCTTTACACATAGATAAGTATAGGACTTAACATAAATTATGCTTCAGTCTAAGATGATTTAGGGAGCTCATTTAAAACTGCTGCTCTAAAATAAATGGTTTTATGTCAGGTATTGGGTCACACTCCTCTTTTTGTATTCACAGTGCAGTACCAGACACAGATAATATGTTTAGTAAATATTAAGTGAAAGGATACATTAATATTGGTGCTTATGAAATATAAATCAAATAGATGATACTTTAAGCAATCTATACATTGTGCTATGCTAACTCATTTGCAGATTTTTTTCAATATTTTTTCCTTATCTTTCAGCTCCACAAGACTAGTAATTGTTTCCTCAGTTGGGGCCAATTAGAGGAACAGGATAGGATTAATAAGTAATAAAGTAATGTCAGGTAACAAGAGACATAAAAACATGCACATGTGTGACAATGTCTCTATGAGGGATATTGAAGTCAAGAACACTATTGCACGAAAAGTTTTCCGTGAGATAGAACTTGCTGTGAGGAAAGAGATCCAGAATAGTATATGGCTGCCCTTTGTAAATCCCTCATGAGAGGAACTAAGACAATCTCTTTCCCAGAAGATTCCAAGAGTTGCATTCTTTGAAATTGTTCTATTGGAAATAATTTATGTAGGCTCATGGAGTTAAACAAAGGAGGAAACATTTTTCTTTAACTACACAAATCCTATATCAACTAATATATATTCTTTAGCATTGTCTTAGAGAGATCGAGTTTAACCTAAGAACCTGGGTAGACCAGTAGAAACAATCCACCCCATAGAGGCTCTGGTTCATAGAGTTCAGATGTCTAATACTGGTGTTCCTGAAATTCTACCCCCAAAATGATCAAGAGTTAGTTTGGCAGATTGTTTATTGCTTTTTTGTCCATTATCTAATTTGAGTCTTACCATGGGTAGCATTATCTCACAGGGGAGGTTAATAGATGTTAGAAAAAATATTTTAATGTTACACAGCCTGAAGAGGCAGAGCTGTGAGTTGTTCTATCTTTAAATCCTGTGCTGTTTCTCCCAGCAAAGATAGCAAAAAGATCTTGGGTCCTAGACTTTGATTAATTTGATGAACTCCTCAGGAGGAGTCTAGATAAAGTTGAGTTGTCACCACTCAGGGTGAATAGAGCAGCTACCCAAACATCTTTGGGCATCCATGCTTGAACTCTTTAATACGTCTATGCAAGGACATAGAATGTACTCTGTTGCTGCTCCAGTCAAAGGAGTATATTTGAGAGGGTAGGTGTGAGCAGTAGATACAGTCTAAGATTTGGACAAGCATGAGCATACATATAGGTGAGAATCAGGAGATTAACATAGTAAGGAGGTTAGTGTTCTAAGATGACTCCTATCCAGGCTTCTGTCTCTCCTTCCAATCAACATTTTCTCTGATAGCTAAGATGGATAATGATAATTATATATTCACTTAAAGTATGTTATGCACATAAGTGCTTTATATGTAATATATATTTAATATGTATAACACTCTATATAAATGTACTATTCTTATCCACGTTTTACACTTGGGAAAACTGAGGCAAAGGGAAGTGAAGTAACTTGCCTAAAGTCATAAAGTTAGCAAATGGTGAAGCCGAAATTTGAACGTAGACAAGTTGGGGTTCCAGGCATCTTCTTTTTCACAACTTCTCTCCCCCACCTTCCATCGCAGCTACTCTCCTCCTGTGACTGGATCTTTCTTTATGGCACCCCAATTAATTCAATTGCTAACTTTTAAGCTTAACACACGAGCCTCTGTAATCTAGACTTGCCTTCTTTTCAGCCTCATCTCCTGACACTTTCCTATGTGGGTTCTGTGCTGAATCATATTCAACTTGCTGGCACTCCCCAAAGAGGATGGTGTAATGATTTTTACCTTCACATATTCTATTTGCTAGGCCTGGAAAGTTCTTCCTGCCCTGTCTATTCTTTTGTGCCCACACCCTGCAATCCTCATCATCATCAGGTTAACTCTAACTCATCTATCAGAATTCCACTCAGTGACAACGTTTGAAAAGGCAGTCCTGTCTCTCCTGGTCTTCCTTCCTGAGCCCTTTCACAGAGAACTGTCACAGTTTACATGTGGACCTCCTCCACTTGATTGACAATACTTGCCAAATCAAATAATGACTGAATTGATGATCAGTATCACATCACTTGTTATTACATCCCCACTGTAAATTTAATTTGAGAAAAGTTGGCACAGACTCTATGCTGTGATGATCTTGCCAGTTGCAGCTATAGTCTTTGTCTCTAAATAGTGTCTATAATTTAAAAAAAACTTTTCATGATTAGAAGAAAAGGAGTCTTTTGATTATTGTAGAAGGTTTAAGGCTTTCAAATGAGAAAGATATTTGGTGGCTCTGATGCCATCAGACCCAGGATATGCATAGTAGTTAGGAAAATAGATCCTGAAGACCCATTATGTAGGTTCAAACACCAACTCTGCCAATCACTAGATCTATAACCTTGGGCAAGTTACTTACTCTTTCTGTGCTGCAGTTTCCTCATTTCTGAAGTGGTAATAGTAGTGATAGACTACTTTATAAGATCATTATGGGAGTTAAATGAGCTATATGTAAAACATCTAGAATCAAACTTGGTGTATAGTAAGTACAATATAAGTGTTTTCTGTTTACCTAAACATTTTTTCAGCCCTTATGATTTTGTCAACTGGGGATGACTGAGCACAATTTGGCTTTGCTGGTATAGGGCACAGACTACTAAAAGATTTTAGGAATGTGAAACATATTCTCCAATTGAAGGACTTTGCACGATAAGAAAGCAATTGTTTAAATTCAGTTCTTTTTGTGGTGGCAGGTGCCTGTAATCCCAGCTACTTGGGAGGCTGAGGCAGGAGAATCACTTGAACCCAGGGGGCGAAGATTGCAGTGGGCCGAGATCGCACCGTTGCACTCCAGCCTGGGCGACAGAGTGAGACTTCCTCTCCAAAAAATAATATTAATAAAAAAATAAAATAAATAATAAATTCAGTTCTTTTTATGGGAAATTATTTATCTATCATCTATCTAGCTATCTATCTATCTATCTAATCTTTCTATCTACTTATGATTTATTTAAGGATATGTAAGTTATATGTGTTCTGGAAAAAGAATACCACAATTATACCAGTCCTTTCACTGAAAATTATATTGGGCAATTTGCCTCTTTAATCTTTAGTGCTCTGCTCAGTAAAATGGAGATAATAAAAATTATGATATTGTTGTGAGGATGGAATTAAGTAACATATGCAGAGTTTAGCACACGATTCTGCACATGGTAAAATACTCAGTAAATGTTAACTACTATTAATGATATTTCTTTAATGGAGATTGGCACATATTATAGCTATTATCTCAGAAATAAAATTGTATATATTTTTAATATTTTCTAGTAGTTACATTATATAGCTTTTATATAATAATTAAATGCACCAAATTTCAAATTGTGCTTACTAGAGAGATTCCACTTGATAGATTCAAATTGAAAGGAAACACCTCATAAATTCAAAACATGTTCTATAGATCTCATTTGAATTCTGAAACAGCTTTGTGCGGTAAAAAATTTTATCATTCATCTTCTATAGATGAGAAAACTGAGATCCAGGGAAGATAAACAGATTTACCCAAAGTTATAAAGCTGATGAGGGCACTCAAACTTACACCACTCAGCTTCTGGTCAGTGCTCTTTCTGCTATCCATGCAGAAAAGAGGTATTCTGAGTAACGACGGAAAATAGCTAGTAATTTTCATATTTCAGAAAAGCCATTTTTATTTCAAGAAACTTCAGATCTTGTCTAATATTAATCTCCTTTAAGAATTTTTTCCTGATTATTTTTATCCATTATTTTTCTCTGTATGATGCAAGCATTCCTATTACAGTTTATAAAATGGCTTCAGACACTTATTTTTAAACTATCATTTATAACATTATCTGTATGATAAATTTCATTCCTAATTTTTCCTGTGATCACAAGGACAGAGAGTTATCTGGGTCTTTTTCAAGGCAAAGGGATTGAGGATGACAGGGAACTCAATAACTTTTAAATGTTTCAACTCTTCAGAGCAACATAGAAAAAAGTATTTCTCCGTATAAGTTGATCACTTCTCATGTATTCCTTATTGGCAAGCAAAATGGAATTTTCAACCAGCAGGTCCAGGCTTATGATTCAAACTTCCTCAATGTTGATTTATAAGCACTAAAAATGACTTGATTTTTAATTGAATTGAGACTTTTAATCTAATTGAGAAATTGGAAACTGAGTATTCCTCTCTTGATTAAATAAAATGTTACTTTTCTATAAGTGAGTAGTATATATTATATTTGAAGGATTCTGAAATTTTATACATCAGATCTTATACTCTGACTTCATGCTTTTATTTACAGCCTCAAAAAATTAAGTAATTAAATAAACAAAGTTTTCACTCCAAAGTAAATTTCTGACAAAAGAAGTTGGAGGTGGGGGGAGAGAGAGCACTGATTAAGGAAAAACATTAAATTCAATAAAAAAGACGCAGATTCTCTAGATTCTTGTATGGAAAAAAGGAACTATAAGACTAATCATGAAATAAATTCAAATGTGAGTCAATAATGTGGAAATCAAGCTAATGACAAGAAAAATATTCATGAACTATTTTCAAGAAATATGAAGAACTTTCTCTACCATATTTAACATCATGTAGGTATTTTCACAAGACTCTTACTGATAGACTTTATCGTGCTTATAATGGTTTATAACATGTGTTTATTTTTGCGGAGGACCAGAGTCACTGCACCAGTCCTGCCTGGGGACCCACGAAAGTGGCCAACAATGTCACTGAGTTTATATTCCTGGGACTTTCCCAAGATTCTGGAATGCGATGGATATTCTTTGTCTTATTTCTCCTCTTCTACATCGTGATCATGGTGGGAAATTTGCTCATTTTTCTTATGGTCTTTTCTGACCCCCAACTACACACACCCATGTATTTCTTCCTCAGTAACCTGTCTTTTGTGGACATTGCCTATTCCTCGGCCACAGCACCCAAGATGATTGCAGACTTTGTTTCTGAGAAAAAGACTATTTCCTACTGGGGCTGTATAACTCAGATGTTTACCTTCCACTTTTTTGGTTGTGCTGAGATTTTTGTTTTGACTGTCATGGCTTTTGATCGCTATGCTGCTATCTGCCAACCCCTCCGTTACACTGTCATCATGAGTGCTAATGCTTGTACTGTGCTGGCATCACTGTCCTGGTTGGGGGCCCTGGGTCATTCCTTTGTTCAGACCCTCCTGACCTTCCAGCTGCCCTTCTGTAATGCTCAGGTTATAGACCATTACTTTTGTGATGTCCACCCAGTCCTAAAACTTGCCTGTGCTGATACAACTCTGATAAATATGTTGGTAGTTGCCAACAGTGGTCTCATCTCCCTGGGTTGTTTCCTCATTCTTTTGGCCTCCTACAAAGTCATTCTGCTTAGTCTTCAAAAACAGTCTGCAGAGAGCCGACGCAAAGCTCTCTCTACCTGTGGATCTCATCTGACTGTAGTAACTTTCTTCTTTGTTCCGTGTATCTTTATTTATCTCCGTCCATCCACTACTTTCCCATTGGATAAAGCTGTGTCTGTGTTCTATACCACCATCACCCCAATGTTGAACCCACTCATCTATACTCTGAGGAATGAGGATGTAAAGAATGCCATGAGGCAGCTATGGAGTAGCAAGATCTCCTTGAAGGAAAAACAGAGAGGATAGTTTGTCAGAATTGCAAAATCAGAGAATTAGTGGATACCTTCAATGATCCCTAATTTATTAATAATTAAAAAAATAGTTCCTAAAAATGCAGCTTTTATAGGTTGTCTAAACAGGAAATAATTTGAGGCTATTTTAGACAGGCTAAACTTAAAACTTTCCATACTTGGCAAGGTTTATCCTCTCTTACTTCTAGAGTAAACGAGTTAACACTCCTACTCAATATCTCATTTAACCTCGTTAGATCCCTTCTATTCACGTCAAACTCTCTTAAGCTACCATTCAATGATTTAGAGTGGGGTTATAAGAGAAAGATATCCCTGATCATATCTTCTCACCATATCATGTCTCTTCAAAAAAGAAGTCTAATTTACCAGAAGCTGCACCTTGTTCCCTCCTTCTTTCCTTCCTTCTTTTGTTTTCTTTTTCTTCCTTCTCTAGTCTTTTCCTATAAATATTGCAAAATCTAGTCAGGGAAACAGATTTGCAAGGAGACAATTATAATACAATACAACAAATGCAGACATAGAAATATACACTTCCTACAATGAAGGGGGTTAGTATAAATCAACAAATTGCCCAAAGGATGGTTTCTGTGCAGGAAAAAAAAAATAGAACTTTACATATTTTGAAGTGGACAGCAATTTCTTTAAAGACTCTCTTGGAGAATTTGAATACTCTTCTACCCATTACTGTAATACTATCTTTACTGAAAGAAATCTTACTTTTTTTGGCAATAAAAACACAGACTAGATTAATGCAACTAAAATGAGTTGATATTTGTACCATTGAAATGACTAAGGAGATGTAATTCTATTATAAATTTTTAGTTGAACTTGTCCTCAGTTCCTTAAAACAACAAAATGGAATAAGCACATTTTCTTTTTGTGGTATTCTTAGTAAAGTTGAGAAATAGATAAGTATTCTCAGTATTCTGGAAAAGGCATTTTTCTTCTGAGAAATTTTCTTAGATCTTGTCTCATGGCTCATATTGTTCAAGAATTCTGCCCTGATTATTTTTATTCAACATTTATTTTCTATATGCCTTAAGCAATCCTGTATGCAATTTATAAAATATCACTTACCTTTTTCTCTTTTTTAGTGGATTTTTATCTGAGATCTACAACTTAAGAAGAATATAAGTGATGTATATTCTCTTCTACTCTTCATGTATGGAATAGAGGGGCTTGCACAGTAGGTACTTGTCAAAATCTGTTGATTGTAACTCCAATTTCTATTTTTTTCCTTAGTAATGGGGACCTGACATTATTTATGGTGGCCCAACTAAAATATTGCATTGACTTGCCTCAGGCTCTTTTAAACTTCAATTCAATAATTTAGAATGACCTTATAAGAAAAAGATATTCCTTTTGAAGCCCAGTGGACAATCTGATGTTAATAGTAGTTGGTTGGTGGGACTTTTGAAAAGTCTTTAAAATGGTTTGTCCACTCCAGCCCTCTCATACATGATCACCATTAACATTTTGATGATTAAAATTTCCTTATAGTTATTGCATGTCCTTACAGTTATTTTCATATTACTTGCCCTTTGCAAAAGGGTCATTCTATCCTTTTCTTAACTCCTGATTTTTTAAGATAAACAACAAACACACAAATTATATTAAAAAATGATAGACTATATTAGGTTTCCTTTTCCCTCCTAAGAGCAAAGTATTAACAATAACAATAACAACACTTGCAGTAAGAAAAAAATGGCTTAGACCCACAGGAACAAAGAAACAAGACAGGAGTTAGATGCAGAGGAGAGATTTCAACAAAAGTTTGGAAAAGGTAAGACAAAAAAGTAGTAACTGATTTGGCGGGGTCTGGAAGTCTAAGTCTAAATTACCAACAAGAGGAATAGTGCGGAAAAGGGAAGAGATTCGCTTCCTGGAATCCCTGCAATGATTGGGATGCAGGATGCCAGGTCAGGGGGAGGTGAGTTTCAGGGCTGCTAATGAAGATTAAGAGAAAGGAACAGTTCAATCTTCTATCCTCTCTTTCTGCTCCCAGATGCTAACGGTAGCATATGAGTCACAGACAGAATATTGGCACCTTTGTTTAAGAAACTGAATGTTAATGTCACATCTGCCTTCGGAGATTACAAATGAAATGGTTACCTCTCTACTGGAACCCTGACCAGAAGCCTGCCAATTAGTAAGCTGGCTTAAGAGATCAATCTAAAATTTACATAAGGCTTTTGAAAAAAAGAGAAAAGTCAGCCTTTAAAAAAGCCAAAAGGAAACTGGTGGAATTAGAGGTAATTCAGGGGGAAAAAAACTGTAAAAAACTTTATCTTCTCATTGATGAAAGAAAATATTTGTAATCTTTAAATAAGAATATGACGCATTGAAAAAATATAGAAAAATTATTTTTGGAAGGTAAATAAAATCAAAAAGAACAATAAACAAAATTAAAACAAATTAGTATGGCATTAAAAGAAATAAAACAAGTAGTCACAGAAGTCATAAAAGTACAGTCTCTGTGAAAGTAGAATGAAAATGTCAAAGAAATAGAAAACATGAAAGATAAAAACAAGAAACACAAGGAATCAAGTTAGGGGCAAACCATTCAACTCACACATATTCCAGGAGGACAAATTAAAGAGAAGGATGGATTTAAAAGAAACAATGAAAATACATTTCTTAGAATAGAAAAGCTTAATTTTCCGGATATGAAAGATTTACTGAATGCCCAGCACAAGATTTAAAAAAAAATCCCAAGGCACGTTATTATGAAATTTTATCACCTTAATGATTGAAAATATTGTAAAATTATTAAGAAAAAACCACATAGCTCACAAATGAACAGAAATTCAAATGGCATGAGTATGCTCTGTAGCAAACTCATCCTTGGAATACAGTGGAAAAGTTTCTCACACTGATTTTCAGCCTAGAATTCTATACAGAACAAACCTATCAGGAAGATAGAATAAAGCATGTTTAATCATGCAAAAATTTGTAAAGTTTGCTTTGTAAGTACTCTTTTTTTTTTTGAAAGTGTGGGATAATGTATCCCAGCAAAACAAGAGGAAGAAATGAGATCAATAAATTAATATATGCAATGCAGGGTGGCTAAAACCACTTTAAAAAAAAATCCCAATCTCTTTTTTCTTTCTTCATGTGAATCAGGTAATGTGTATATGTCATAAGGTTTGAGGGAGGTACATCTCACACAGGAGTGCAAAAACTCAGTCATCACACTTATGAACCACAAAGGGATCAAAAGCCACTTTTAAGATGACAGATGTATAGTAGGCATAGGAGACAACAGAAATGGATGAAAGCAGAAGATGGAAGCCCTCCAGGTTCATAAAACAGAAAGGAAAGGGTGAAAATTTATATTGTCTAATATATTGAAGCATCTTAGTTGTAAAGGTACAGCCAATAGGATGAAACAAGTTGATGCACTCAAGGAAGGATACATTTATAGAAAATGATATCATTTAGAGTTCCAACAGGAAGTTAATGACACACTTATTATAAGATAATTTGATAAAGATTTATTTAAAGAGATGCTGTCTATGAGTTTATAGGTATAGAGTACCACAGAGGCCAGTGCTATAATCAGGGGTAAGATGCAGTGGAGCTGTTTACACCATTGTGCCTGAAGGGACTGAGAGAGGGAGGAAATACAGAAACCCCAAAAAGATATTTATGATAGCCATTTGAAAGGAGGAATGACCTTCAGTGGGAGGTCAACCAGCATGTGGCCACATGGTCTAGCTTATTCTCCTTCATTCCCCTTTTTCAGTTTTATTGAAGTATAATTGACAAATAAGAATCATACATATTTAAGTGTGCAACTTGATGTTTTGAAATATGTATACACTGTGAAATGGTCATCACATTTAAGATAATTAACATATCCATTACCTCACAGGGTTATGTTTTTGTGTGTATGGTGTGAACCCTTAAGATCTACTCCCTTAGTACATTTCAGTTGTCCAATATAGTATTGCATTGTAATACAGACACCATGTTGTGCATTAACTCTCCAGAACTCATTCATTTTTGCATAACTGAAACTTTGTAACCTTTAGTCCATATCTCCTCATTTCTCCCTTTCCTTTCCATTCCTGGCAGCCACCATTCTACCTTCAGTTTGAGTATTTTAGATTCCACATATAAGTGAGATCATGCAGTATTTGTCCTTCTGTATCGTGCTTTTTAAAGGCTGAATAATACTCCATTGCATATATATAGTACAATTTTTTTCAGGCTTTATTGAGGTATGATTTACAAATAAAATTTGCATATATTTAGGGTATATGCATACTTATGAAATGATTACCACAACCAAGCTAATTAACATATTCATCATGTTACATCATTACCATTTGTGTATAATGTGTGTATGTGTATGTTAACACTTGAGATCTACTTTCTTAGCAAATTTGAAGCTACTGTACATTTGGTCTCCAGTACTTACTCATCTTGTAGCTGAAGGTTTGTACCCTTTGACCAACATCTTCTTTTTCCTGGCATTTGCCAGCCTCTGCTAACCACCACTCTACTGTCCATTGCTATGAGTTTGATTTTTTTAAATATTCCACCTGTATGGGATATCGTGTAGTATTTGTTGTTATGTGTCTGGCTTATTGCACTTAGCATAATGTCCTCCAGGTTTATCCATGTTGTGGCAAATGGCAGTATTTCCTTCTTTTTAAGGATGAATAATCCATTGTGTGTGTTTGTACCACATTTTAAAAATCTATGCATCTGTAGATGAACACTTAAGTTGTTTCTGTATCTTGGCTAGTATTACAATGCTGCAGTGAATTTGAGAGTGCAGATATCTCTTTAAGATAGTGGTTTTATTTCTTTTGCATACATACCTAGAAGTGGGATTGCTGTATTATATGAGAGGTTTATTTATTTTTTTTTTGAGGAGCCTACATACTGCCTTCAATAATGGTTGCACTAATTTATATCTCTACCAAAAGTTTACAAGGGTTTTGTATTAGTCCGTTCTCACCCTGCTAATAAAGACATATCTGAGACTGGGTAATTTATAAAGGAAAGAGATTTAATTGACCCACATTTCAGCATGGCTGGGAAGGCCTCAGGAAACTTACAGTCACAGTCATGGTGGAAGAGGAAGCAAACATGTCTTTCTTCACATGGTGGCAAGAGAGAGAAGACTGAGAACTGAGTAAAGGATAAAGCCCCATGTAAAGTCATCAGATCTTGTGAGAACTTACTATCACAAGAATAGCATGAGAAAACTGCCCCCATGATTCAATTATCTTTCACTGCATCTCTCCCATGACATGTGAGGACTACAGGAACTATAATTCAAGATGGGATTTGAGTGGAGACACAGCCAAACCATATCAGATTTCCTTTACACCCTTGCCAACACATGTTATCACTGGACTTTTTGATAAAAGGCAATCTAACAGGTGGTTGGTGATATCTCAGTGAGGTTTTGATTTGCCTTTATGATTTCTGATTTTGAGCATTTTTTCCATATACCTTTTGGCCATTTGTGTGTCTTCTTTGGAAAAATATCTATTCAGATCCTTTGCCCATTTTATGAAATCATTTTTAAAATATCTTTTGCCCATTTACAAGCTTGTTTGTTTGCTATTTGGTAGTATAAGTTCTGTATATATTTTGGATATTAACTCCTTATTGGATGTATGGTATACAAATATTTTCTCCCTTTCTGTAGATTTCCCTTTCTACAAATAAAGATGAGACCAATGTCCAGGAACTTTCCCCATGTTTCCTCCTAGGAGTTTATGGGACCAGGTCTTATGTTAAGTCTATAATCCACTTTGAATTAACTTTTGTGATTGGAATAAGAGAAGCATGGATTCTTTGCATGTGGATATCCAATTTCCCAACATCATTTGTAGAAGAGTCTGTCCTTTACATTGTAAATTCTTGGTACCTTAGTTGAAAAAATTAGCTGACTGGATGTATGTGAGTTTAGTTCTGAGCTTTCTATTCTGTTCTATTTGTCTATATGTTTTTATGCCAGCAACATCTGTTTTGATTATTACAGTTTTGTAATGGAGTTGAAATCAGGAAGTTTAATACCTCTAGCTTTGTACTTATACTCAAGATTGCTTAAGATTTTCATGCTCTTTTGTGGTTGCATATGAATTTCAGAATTATTTTTTCCATTGCTGTGAAAAATGTTCATTGCCATTTTGATAGGGATTGCATTGAATCTACAGATCATTTTCAGTAGTATGGACTTTTTAACAATATTAATTCTTCCAGTTCATGAATATGGGATATGTTTCACTTATTTGTGTCTTCCACAATTTATTTCATTAATGTTTTACACTTTTCCATGTACAGGTATTCTACCTCTTTAGTTAAATTTATTTGTAAGTATTTTATTCTTTTTGATGTGCTCATAATGATAATTTTTCTTGACTTTTTCTTTCTATAGATCATTATTGGTGTAAAGAAATGCAACTGAATTTTTCTGTTGATTTTGTAGTCTGCAAAATTACTGAATTTGCTTATTAGTTCTAACAGTTTTTTAGTGGAGTCTTCGGGATTCTTTCTACATAGGATCATGCCATCTTCTAACAGAGACACTAACTTTTTTATTTGGATGCACTTTATTTCTTTTTCCTAATTACTTTGGTTATGACGCCCAGTACTATGTTGAATGGAAGTGGGGAGAGTGGTCTTGTTCTTGATCTTAGAGGGAAACATTTCAATTTCTCATCATTGAGTACAATGTTTATCATAGGCTTGTGATATACAGGCTTTATTGTGTTGAGGTACATTCCTATAATTAATTTGTTGAAAATTTTGTATTGTGAAAGAATGTTGAATTTTGTCAAATGATTTTTCTGCATTTGTTTAGATTATCTCATGGTTTTTATTTCTTATTCTGTTAATGTGGTGTAGCACATTTGTTGATTGTGTATGTTGGATAATTCTTACATCCCAGGAATAAATCCTACTTTGTCATGATGCAAAATCTTTTTAATGTCCTGGTATATTTGGTTTGCCAGTAGTTTGTTGAGGATTTTTGGACCTTTGTTCACAAGGGATATTGGCCTATAATCTATTTTTCTTGTTGGTGTCCTTATCTGGGTTTGGTATGAAGGCAATGTTGGCATTGTAAAATGAGTTTTAAAGTATCCCCTCCTCTTCAACTTTTTGGAAGGATTTTAGAAGGATAGGTGTTAGTTCTTTTCAAAATATTTGGTAGAATTCAACTATGAAGCCATCAGGTCCTAGGATTTTCTTTGATAGGAGATTTTATTATTGATTCAATCTCCTTACTCATTACTGTTAAGATTTTCTATCTCTTCATGATTCAGTCTTGCAGGCTGTATGTGTCTAGGAATTTATCCATTTATTCTAGGTTATCCAATCTTTTGACTTGTAATGGTTCATAGTATTATCTTATAATTCTTTATATTTTTGTAGCATCAGTTGTAATGTCTCCTTTTTCATTTTGGCTTTTATTTATTTAAGTCTTCTATTTTTTCTCAGTGTAGATCAAGTATTGTTGATTTTATTTATATTTCCAAAAATCAATCTTAGTTTCATGATCTTTTCTACTGTTTCTCTAGTCTCACTTTCATTGATTTCTTTTCTAATCTTTGTTATTTCCTTTTTTTCTAACTTTGGGCTTAGTTTGTTCTTTTTTTAGTTCATTGAGCTGTAATTTTAGGTTGTTAATTTGAGACCTTTCCTCTTTTTTTGTAAACATTTATTACTATACATTTCTCCCTTAAAACTACTTTTGCTGCATCCCATACCTTTTTGTATGTCATGTCCATTTTCATTTGTCTCAAGATATTTTTACATTTACCTTTTGATTTCTTTTTTTGGCCCATTGGTTGTTGTTTAATTTCCATATGTACATGAATTTTCCAGTTTTCCTGTTATTATTGATTTTAGTTTTACACCACTATGGTCAGAAAATATATCTGATATGATTTCAGTCTTCTGAAATTTGTTAAGACTTGTTTGTGGCTTAACATACAATCTGTCCAGGAGAATATTCTGTGTAAGCTTGAGAAGAATGTGTGTTCTGCTGTTGGATTGAATATTCTGTGTATGTCTATTAGATTCATTTAGTCTGAAGTAGTTCAAGACAATGTTTTCTTAATAATATTCTTTCTGGATGATTTATCCATTGTTGAAAATTGGATATTAAAGTTCTCTATTAATATTGCATTGCAGTCTATCTCTTGCTTTAGATTTGTTAATATTTGCTTTATATATTTAGGTGCTCTGATGTTGGGTGTATTCATATTTATAACTGTTCTATTATCTCAATGAATTGACTTTCTTATCAATATCTAATGACCTTCTTTGTCTCTTGTGACAGTATTTAAAGTCTATTTTGTCTGATACACATGTAACTGCTACTGCTCTTTTTTGATTTTCATTTTCATGGAATATTTTTGTTTTTTACCCCTTTACTTTTAGTCTGTGTGTGTTATTAAAGGTGAAGTGAGTTTCTTGTAGGCAGCATTAAGTTGGATTTTATTTTTATAAATCAATTCAGCCACTCTTTGTCTTTTGATTAACAAAATTTGCTTATTTATAGTTGGTAAGTAAAGATTTATTATTGTCAATTTATTAATTGTTTTCTGGTTGCTTTGTAGATCCTTTATCCCTTTATTACTCCTTTGTTGTTTTCCTTTGTGATTTGATCATTTTATTTGGTGGTATGCTTTGATTCTTTTCTGTTTATCTTTTGTGTATTTACTATAGATTTTTAATTTGTGGTTGCCATGAGGCTTACATAAATATTCTTATTGTTTAACCAATTCATTTAAAGACGATAACATCTTAACTTTGATTGCTAAAGAAGCTCTGTACTTTTACTTCCCTTCTCTTACATTGTGCTTTTGATGTTACAGTTTACATTTTTTGTATGTCTTAAGAATTTATTATAGCTATAGTCATTTTGCATACATTCATCTTATAACTTTATAATGATGGTGTGATTCACACCACCACCATTATAGTGTTTGAATATTCTAAATTTAACCATATATATACTTTACCAGTTAGTTTTACATTTTTGTATGTTTTAATGTTACTAATTAGCTGCCTTTTATTTAATCTTAAAAATCCCCCTTTAGCATTTCTTGTAAGGCAAGCAATAGTGAAGACTCACTCAACTTTTTTTGTTTTTCTAAAAAAGTCTTTATCTTCTTCATTTCTGAAGGACAGCTTTGCTGGCAAAATATTGCTGGTTGGCAGTTTTATTTTTCTTCCATCACTTTGAATATATTATTTCATTCTCTCCTGATCCTCAAGGTTCCTGCTGAGAAATCCACTGATAGCTTTATTTGGGTCCTTTTTTATATGACATGATTCTTTTCTCTTGCTGCTTACAAGCTTCTCTGTTTTTGATTTTTGCCAGGCTGATGTTAACGTATGTTTGTGGATTCTTTTTTTGGTTGAATTGACTGGAGAACTTTAGGCTTCGTGCATGTGGATGCTCATTTCTTTCCGGATATTTGCTAAGTTTCCCATGATTATTTCCTTAAATAAGCTTTCTATCTAATGCTCTCTCTATTTTTCTTCTGAACCTACGATAATTCTAATGTTAGCTCTCTTGATAGTATTCCATGGCTTCTGTAGGTTTTATTCTTTTTTTTCTTTTATCTCCACTTACTGGATGATTTAAAATGCTCGGTCTTTGAGTTCACTTATTTTTTTATTCTGCTTCATTTAGTCTGATGTTCAAGCCTCTATTACATTTTTTTTTAGTTTAGCTGTTGTATTTTTCAGCTCCAACATTTCTGTTTGGTTCTTTTTAAAATATTTTCTCTCTTTATTGAGCTTCTCATTTTGTTCTTGGATTGTCTTCCTGATTTCATTAAACTATTTATTTGTGTTCTCTTGTAGTTCCCCAAGATTCCTTATGTAATTATTTTGATTTTTTCCAGGCAATTTATAGATCTCCAATTCTTTGGGGTTGGTTACTAGAAATTAATTTTGTTCCTTTGGTGGTGTCATGTTTTCCTGCTTCTTTGTGATCTTTGGGTGTTGATTTTGTCAGTGACTAAACCTGCTGGAGTCCTCTGTGGAGTTAAGTACTATAGTTTGCGCAGTGATCATTGTGGGTTCCTTGGTAGTGAAAGCAGTGTGGTATGTGCAGCTGATAATGGCAGGAGACAGACAGATTCCTAGGCAGACAGGTATAAGTCCCTGGTGAATCCCAACCTTCAAGCCAAAGACAACATGAAGCCTGAAAACCAAGCCACCAGTTCCAGGTGCAGTCCACGACCCAACTGAGAACTTCCTCAGTGCCTTTTAGTCAATTAAATGGTGCTTTTTCCAGGCCTGCCCATGAACCAGTCAGCACACATTCCTCCATTCTGAGCCCATAAAAACCCCAGACTCAGCCTCACAGATGGCTCTCTGCTTTCAGTCCCACTCTTACACAGAGGGCTACCCACTTTGGCTACTCTCTTGTTGTCATGAGTTTTTCTGCCGCTCAGTAAAAATCTCATCAGCCTTGCTCACTCTGCGGTGTCTATATGCTTCATTCCTGTTGGTTGTGGGACAAGAATCCGGAATCCACTGAACAGTGGGTGCGAAAAGAGTTGTAAGACACGCTCCTGTTCACCAAGCTACAGGAGTGAAAAAAAAAATGCTGGGTGCCACACGTCCCCAGTTGCTGAGCTGTGGGCAGCAGGACTGAATGAGCTGTGACATACCCCCATTTGCTGAAGCTGTCGGCAGTGAGAACGAACAAGAGCTGTAACACTTCCTGGGGGCTCAGACCTTGACTCCCAGAGGAAAAGCTGTAACACCTCTTTGGGCTCCACAGTTGCTGGCATCTCTGAGTTTTTGGGCACTGCTGCATCCCCCTTATCCAGATGTCGGTGTTCAAGGCAGAAGTCAGTCATAGCATGCCCAAAGCAACCATGGGCTGAGCACTGAGCTACAGTGGGTGTCATGGGATCTGGGTGAGTGAGCATGAGTGGAGCACAGCCTGCCAGGCCAAATGAGCAGAACGAGTTCAGAGGGCCTCAGTGAAGCCTCAGCAGAGGCTCTGCTGGCCATCGAGATTTCCACTTGGCAAAGTGGCCCTCAAAGAATCCTGTGTCACATCCATGAGGGCTGTTGAGGTCCTTGGTATAGAAGGCTACTGGAATTCTGCTCAGATCAGGCTACTGGGGACTGCATTGATTTCTACCACATGACTGATACTGATAGACCTCATCATTTCTCTTTGTTACCAGCAGTTTACAGATTTCTCAGCTATGTTGGTCTCCCTAGCAATCTGGGATGGGTGAAACTTAAGCTGGTTGTTTGGGCAATGCTCCAGTAGGCTGGGTAAGAGAAAAGTTCCCCTTTCTCTGCAAGGGGAACTTGCAAGCTGAGCAGTGACCTCTCCATACTGAGCACTGCCAGCCTGAAGGAGATGAAGCAGGCAAAATGAAACTGTTTTTTCTACCATTTTTTGTTGTTATTCTTGAAGTTTTTCTGTCTGCTCTATTGTTTTAACTCCTTAAGTAGATTCCTGATCTCTGCTAGTTATTTTCATTTGTGGATATTTTCCCAATTGTTGTTCCTTGTAGGAGGAATAAAGACTGAGATGACCTACTCTGCCATTTTAGCTGATGTCTAACACATTTTCTTTGTTCATCTGTCTATGGACTTTTAAGCTGTTTCCGTATCTTGGCTTTTGTGTATATGCTGCAGTAAACATGGGTGTGAAGGTATCTCTTTGAGGTTCTGATTTCAATTCTTTTGGACATATTCCTAAAATTGGGATTGCTGAAACGTATAATAATTCTGTTTTTAATGTTTTGAGGAACTGACACATTATTTTTCATAGTGACTGCACCATTTTCTGTTTCCACCGACAGTGTATAGGAGTTTCAATTCCCTAAATTCTAGCCAACATTTCTTTTGTTTTTTGATAATAGCCATGCTAATAGGCATGAGGCAATATCTCATTGGTGTTTGGATATGCATTTCCTTGACAACTAGTGATGCTGAACATATTTGCTGTTGGCCATTTGTATATTTCCTTTAGAGAAATGTCTTCAAGTTTTTCACCCACTTTGAAATTGCATTATTATCATTATTATTTTTGCCATAGTATGACTGATTTTTAAGTGCTTCTTATATAATGGAGTTATTTAAATTTATTTTTTCTGTTTATTATTTGCCTGTTAAATTTGTCTTTATTTTCTAGTGATTTTAAATTGTTTTAATTTCTAACATTTTCCCTATATATGTGTTTGCCATTGATAAGTTTTAAATTTCATTATCAAATATGCTATAACTCTTTTTGTATTGTTTTTCCTTCATAGGGGCAGGATATACTTAAAAGTTTTTATTTATTCCAAAATAATTTAAATAGTCTCTCTATATTTCTAGTAATTAAAAAAATTACTCCTTTGCAATTTATGTTAAGTATAAGTTATAAAATATAATTCTTTTTAAAAATCTGGTTAACCAGTTGTTCCAGCACAACTTATTGTGTCCTCTGGGACAATAGAATTGAAAATGCACATTTTCCACCCCTAATCCTGGGAAATTCGCCATTTTTCTTACTTCTTCTGTGAAACTCAAAAGTTGTGTTTCTATGCTCTTTGGATGAAGTGCAAATCAACTTTTAAATTATCCCCTCAAGGCTTATGTTCCTACCTGGCTTCCCCTGGCCTCCAGAGGATTGATTTTTGTAGTTACAACCCATGCTGCTAGTTAGTTTACTGTTACATCAGGGCAGAAACTGATGGATACCAACATGTAGAGGATAAAGTCCTCCACTGTGGGTGGTGGAAGAGGCTTCTTCTACCTCCTCCCCATAGTTCCTGAAGGCACCAAGACTGTCACAGTAATTGGTAGGTGGAAAGTTGTTATAACCTTTACATAAACTATCCTATTTTTGAGACAGTAGGATAGATATAATGATGGGAATAACTATGTAAAATGCTCAGAGACCAGTGGTTAGAAACAGAAAGCAGCATGTAAGGAAATGTCTTAGGGAACTGTGATGATAGTGTAGAGCAGGTCATAGCTGTAGAGTGGGTGGACAAATTGTTTCTTCTCGGCCTTGATCTCAATAATTAAAGCATTTTAAAGTCAGGATTGAACAGGGCATTGAAGAGACAGCTTGGTCATTTTATACTCATAGGATGAATCATTTGTAAATAAGCTCAGAGAAGGCTGTTTTGATTTATGGGTCTTCAGAGCATGACAGATTGTTAAAATAAACTTCCAAAATTTTGAATCCCTTTACTCCTGAAAGAAAGTCAGGAAAACCCCAAGATCTTTAGTTACTTCTTCTTATAGTTCTTCAAGATGATCTCTGTGAAGAGGATGGGAAAGGTGAGGCTTGAAATATTTCATTTCAAAGGGATTAGTGTTAGTAGTAGTAAAAGCTTTGAAAATAAATAGAAAAGCAAAAAAGAAACTTAAAAGCAAAGAGACTCTTACTTGAAATAAATGTGGGTGAAATATGTATTTTAACAAAAAGGATTCCAAAAAGCAAAATTAGGAATTATGTAACAGGGTAGGGAAAGACTAAATGAATTAATAAAAACAATTAGATGTTGTGGTGTTTAATTTTTGTCAAAGTCTATTGATTTATTTATTCAATAAAAAATCCATGTAATCATCCCATCCATCCATCCATCTATCCATTTAACAAACACATATTGAAGACCATAGTATGCTAGGAACTACTTTAGGCAGTAGATATATAAATGAGACATACTCCATGACCTCAAGGAGCTCAGAGTTTCTGTTATATTTTGCAAAATACAAACTGAAAAATTACAATGTAATGAGTTAAAATTTGTACTGGAGGTGTAAACAGAGTACTATTATGGGAGCCATAGAAATGTGACATTTTTATGGAACTTATATATACAAAACTCATACAAAATTTCAGGCATTTTAGAAAACAAGCTTCTGAGAATAGATGAAGGATTTAAAAATAGGGATACATCAACAATGTAACAGGACTGTGGGTCTGGGAAAAATGTGGGGACCATTATATGCATTAATCACTACAATACCTATGAAGTAGGTACTGTTATTATTTCCATTGCACTGATGAGGCACATTGAGGCAGAGGTATGTGAGTTGCCCAGGATTACATAGCTAGTAAGTGTTCAGCTGTGGTTAGAATGAAGGCACTGAGAAATAAAATAAAAATGAAACCCTTAGCTCCCCAACCTACGGAATGGACCCTCTCTTGGCCAAGGGCACCCCAGAGTAACCTTAAAAGCTGAGTTTTCATCCATGACAAGATGGGCGGTCAGAGGTGCCTTCTTACATCCCCGCCCTCGCTTAACTGCCATTAGACTTTCCTACCTAAGTGCTAAATAGAAACCAGCTCTTTTGAAAGACTCCACTGCTGATATCAACCAACCACTGAAGCTGTCCCTCTTTTTTTGTGGTTTTAACACGGCAATTAACCAGCATTGCTTCCTGATAAGAGACCAACTATATGCTACTCATGAAGGGGCATGAAGCACAATTGTGCATGTGCACGGTTGTCCTTTCATAAATATTCATGACTCCTCCTATAGCTTATTGAGCATATGTATTTGGCCACCTCACTCAGTATATATTCCTTCTGACACTGTCTCGAAATATTTGTTTGTGGCTCCTGGCCAGAGGCTATATTTCCCAGCCTGTCATAATAGCCACCCTGCAGGCTGCAACTCTATGAGAAATAAAGGTCCTCCTTTCCAAATTTATGAACCTCATCATTCTTCAGTTGACAGCACTAACACCCCATATCTAAGTATATTAAAAGAGAAATAAGCAGCAAATATATATATAATATAATATATATTATAATATATAAATATGTAATATATGTAAATATATAATTATAATATATAAGTATATATAATTTATATTATATATAAAATATATTTTAATATACTTCAATATATTCAAGTAAATTAAAAGAATATATTAAATATATATTAGTTGTATATAAAATATTTTAATATACTTTAATAATATATTAATGTATATTACTATATATTAATTTTAATATACTTTAATAACATATTAAAGTATATTATTAAATATAATATAATAATAATAATAAAGTATATTAAAAGAGAAATAAGCAGCAAATGATCTTCAAGATAGTATAATATTGAGATCAGCCCTTCTCTGATCCTAATGGTTTCTTCTTGCCTAGTTTACTGTGGGCAACGATGCACACAGAAAATCAATGTAATAACTACATCATGATATTTTCTGCTACTGGTTTATTTATGACACTCGAGGTCCCTGGGTTTCCTATACCCGTCTATATGGTGAAGATGCTTCTGTATACTCCTTCCTCACCATCCCACAGAATAAGTGAGCTCAATATCCTAAAAATAGGAAAATTAATTCGCATTATTTCTAAGAAGTGTTGTATATATCCACAATGGTGATTACATCACTGTTTCTCCCTATTGCTACCCAAATCATTCTTAATTTACCTTTCTGAGAATTTTACTCTTCATAGGATTTTAGAGGTAGAACATTTCTTAAAACTCTAGTTAAAAATCCCTCCTTTTGCTATGAAGAAACTGTCATAGAGGAAGATTTCATGACCTCAACATCACGCAGATTCTTGTTTTCCCCCAAAGCATTGCTTCTCTTGAGGAGATTTCACAGTTCACTCACCTACAGAGAATGTACCTGTACTCCTGGGTATTTCCATAGTCACCCTCTAGGTACTACGTCCCTGTAGATTAAGAATGGGAATTTTCTAGATGTGGTTAAAAGAGAAGCAGAAGCTTAGGAGAAGTAGGTGGGTGGATGTAAGACGAAGTAAATCTTTTTAAGCAACTTATCCAACCACTGGTCTAAGAGTAAGCACTGATTTGGAATAGACATCCCCTCCTCAATGGCAACCTTAGAAAAAAATGCCCTAAGTCAATCTTCATGAGTGGCTTATCTCCCCCAAGAATTTCCCATAAACATAATTGCTTTGGGTTTTCTTGGCACAATTCCCAGCCTTTCTTGGGGTGTTACAGTGCATACCCAAGTATGTATAGTTTATTTAGCCCAATTTTATTAAGGTCGTGGTATGTGCTGGATGAACCTCATTTTAGACACAGAAGATAGGAAAACAATATTTTTAAATTGCCATTGTGGAGTTCAAATTCCAGCTGCCTTTGGTAGTATGACAATAACAACATATGATCCACTGATAAATCCTGCCAGTTGCATCTCCTAAATATTTTCTAAACAAATTATTCTTCTCTCCAAATAGTTATTGCTGTATTGTTTAAGCCATATATATATATATATATATATATATATATATATATATATATTGTTTGTTTGTTTTTCCTGTAATGTTGTCTTACTCCAGTTTATTCACATAGCAGCCAGGGTGATATTTCTAAATTGCAAATTGTATTAAGCTATTCTGTCGAGTTTTATTTTAAAACATATTGAAAGAAAATTGGAAATCCAATTTTATTATTGTGGGCTACATTACTTGGTCTTTGACTAACTCTTTATTTTGTTCTTATGCTTCTACTAGTTGTGGGTCTTCTACAGTTCTTAGAAAGTCTTTCATGACACAAGGCCTTTTCATTTACTATTCTGTATTCTTAAAATGCTTTTCTTCAAACTTTCAAAGTTAGAAAAATGTCACCAACTCAGAACCTTTTCTAAAATACTCCATCACACACATACCACACCCATCATCATTTACTCTACCATTGCCTTCTTTTTATTTCCTGCTTGTCTTTTAGAACCAGTAGCAATTATTTTATTTTACTTATTTATATTTTATTTTATTTTTATTTGCTTGTTTACTTATTTATTGTCTATATTTTCAGAATGGAAGTTTGATGAGGCAGATATTGATTCTTCCTTGTTCATTGTTGTGTCTCAGCAGGTAGCATATAGTAGATACTCTCTAAATGTTTGTGGGATAAACAAATGAATAGTTTATAGAAGTGACACAGAAGCTATATATTTAGGAATAGACTTTTTAATATCACAGGTAGATAGCTTTGTTTTGACATGCATTAAATGACAAGTGCTGGACAGAATAGGAATTGTTGCATCATTTATGGTATTTTAGGTAATGGTTATGTTAATGTAGGGAAACTAGGTGTTTGTTCTTCCTTGAGGAAGTGACATGGTGTAGTGGTATGTGTGTGTGTGTGTGTGTTATGAGTAGTGGCTGAGCATTACTAGCTTTGGGAGTAGGGAGTTTGATTGGCTGCCTGACTATTGGATTAAGATGCTCCAGCAAAATATTTCTTTTCCACTTGACACTTGTGAAGGGTGGAGGACAGAGACACTCATCAAGAAGTGTGGAGGGATGAATCCTTTGTATTTTTGTCCTAAGGAATAAATGTGATTGATTTTGGTTCTTAATGCAAAGTATATACATCATTAGTTTCTAATTTTATGTTGTATCTTGAACACTGAGGTACAAAAGAAAATCTCTTTGACACTTTTTTCTGGTAAAATCACCCTTTCTATTCCATAATACCTGATGTATGTTTGTCTTTTCAAGACATCAACACTCATTCACCTAAATTCTTTCTAGATTAGTGCCATTTTCTACTTCTGTTTTGGTGGAATGGGTATGGAGTAGAGCAGAGGAGGAAGGGGTGATTTGTGTGACGACACTCAGAATCATTGCATCATGTCCCCATAATAATAAAAAAAGCATATGATCTTGTAATGGTATTTACCGCTTTAAAATATTCACCTCCTTTCAATAATAAAGGGACAATTATTTACTTAGGAAAAAATAATCACTTCCATCTGGTCAAAAACTACATGGCATAATAGCAAAATATGTAAATGAGCTGAGTAAATCATAATATTTCAGATGCTTTTGGTAGAAATTTATTTGATTGTTGGAACCTCATAGTTGACTTATCAGTGAATGTAAATGAGTTAGTATATAACTAGCTCAAGCCCTCATAACTAATAACACAAGTATATATTTATAAGCTATACCTGTTGCGTTATTAGTTATGGGGGCTATGAGCTGCTTCCTTCAGGTAAGTACAGTAAGATCATTGTTTTTTGGAATCTTAGGAAATATGTCATTCTGGATAACCTTATTATCTTTCTTTTGATTAAATCTTCCTAAACCAAATTTTAAATTTTTCAATCTTATTAAATATGCTTAATTAACTCACTGAAGTCCATACTGGGCAATTTATGGACATGGGGAAATTGATCCCTTTTCTAAATAGTCCCACATTACTCAATTTCTGAGTATTTTTACCTTTCTTCCACTTGCTACCAGATTCCTGGAAAACACTGTTTTTGTGCGTGTGTGTGTCTGCTTGTAGTAAGCCATCCCTTCTTCAAAATACAATGCTTCTATAAGATACTGAAAGCCATTTATCTATGTTTGTTAAAATTATGTATAAATTGAGTCAGTAGGTTCCAAAAATGGCGCATTTAATTTCTTTTCTCAGTAGTATACATAGTGCCCATAAGTGTTTGGACACAGCCACATCTGTTTGGTTTTACAGAACCTTAACTTTTTAAAAATTCCTTTTAATATTTAATTTTTTAAGCAATAGGAGAGGCAATATCATAAAATATCACATCAACAGAAAAGAAACAACTCTCTTGTATTTGCTGTTGGTTACAACAAAACTTACCTTGGTGTGGCAGTTTTTAACCTTACTTAAAGAAAAGCATATTTGGTAACGTGAACTGTTATTTCATTTTTATTTGACAAGTTTTGTTCTACTTAGTGGTGTCAGGTTCAATACAGGGCAGTAAGCAAAATTTTAAAAATAATATTATTCCCATTGTCACCTTGAAACAGCAGAGCGGATCAGCTCAGAATCAAATTGGGTAGCAAGCATACTCATTTCCCAGATCACTACACCTACTTAAGTTCCTGCAATGGTGAGCAAATTTCATACTCAATGTAGTATCAGGTATTGATGAATCTGGTCACAGCTAGAAGAATTTTTTATATAGGGCCTTGCATAGCTGTATGTTGTGGCTGGTTACCTGTTACCAAGGATTAAGCTATACAGGTTTTGGTTACGCTTATGGAAAAATATGTCCATTCAGTACTTATGAAGCCTTGGGATCTCTTTTCTGTATCACAACTAAAATACTGCTAGATCTGTATGTGTGCTATTAGAATGCAAGCCTAAGTTTCCAGGTTGGCATGATTTTGCAACAAAAAATAAGATCTAGAAAAAAGAGGCCACATCTCTGATTGCCAGTCTAAAATTTGGCTACACTCAGAAGTAGCTTCACATATTGCTTACTAATGTAGATGTTTGGGGGAAGAAGTAGTGCATTGCCGAATTTCAGAAAAAGTAAGATTTTTAACATTAACAAGCCGAGATTTGAGTTTCAAATATATGCCACACTTCATATAGTTTTAGTGTTCCCAATTTATAAGTTCATCACATACTTTCTCTTTCTTGGTTTATCAAATATAAAATGGGCAACCAAATGTATCCTCATGTAATCTGTTAGTGACAGAAAACGTATGACAATTTTGAAAGCAGTGATATAACTCTAGATAAATGCTATGTGGACTAATTATAGTTTCTTTAATTTTCATAGTTATATTATGAAAAGAGTAAATTGAAGAAATGGAAACTGCAAATTACACCAAGGTGACAGAATTTGTTCTCACTGGCCTATCCCAGACTCGGGAGGTCCAACTAGTCCTATTTGTTATATTTCTATCCTTCTATTTGTTCATCCTACCAGGAAATATCCTTATCATTTGCACCATCAGGCTAGACCCTCATCTGACTTCTCCTATGTATTTCCTGTTGGCTAATCTGGCCCTCCTTGATATTTGGTACTCTTCCATTACAGCCCCTAAAATGCTCATAGACTTCTTTGTGGAGAGGAAGATAATTTCCTTTGGTGGATGCATTGCACAGCTCTTCTTCTTACACTTTGTTGGGGCTTCGGAGATGTTCTTGCTCACAGTGATGGCCTATGACCGCTATGCTGCTATCTGCCGACCCCTCCACTATGCTACCATCATGAATCGACGTCTCTGCTGTATCCTGGTGGCTCTCTCCTGGATGGGGGGCTTCATTCATTCTATAATACAGGTGGCTCTCATTGTTCGACTTCCTTTCTGTGGGCCCAATGAGTTAGACAGTTACTTCTGTGACATCACACAGGTTGTCCGGATTGCCTGTGCCAACACCTTCCCAGAGGAGTTAGTGATGATCTGTAGTAGTGGTCTGATCTCTGTGGTGTGTTTCATTGCTCTGTTAATGTCCTATGCCTTCCTTCTGGCCTTGCTCAAGAAACATTCAGGCTCAGGTGAGAATACCAACAGGGCCATGTCCACCTGCTATTCCCACATTACCATTGTGGTGCTAATGTTTGGGCCATCCATCTACATTTATGCTCGCCCATTTGACTCATTTTCCCTAGATAAAGTGGTGTCTGTGTTTCATACTGTAATATTCCCTTTACTTAATCCCATTATTTACACATTGAGAAACAAGGAAGTAAAGGCAGCCATGAGGAAGGTGGTCACCAAATATATTTTGTGTGAAGAGAAGTGAAAGATAAATTATACATTTTATAGTCCTCCTGAGGATCATTGTCCTAAAGCAGGAAGTATTTGCAGTAATAATGCTGCATTCACTTCCTCCGTTCATTTGTGTTCTTAAAATTTTACTATAATTTTTCTCTATTAATTCCTCTTTATATTGAAAAAATAGAGGCATTAAGATGAAAATAAATTTACTCACACCTACCCTGAAATTCCAGGCAGATCATTATTAGAATTTGAGATATAATAATAATCTGCTAAAGTACATTTTAACTAATTGTTTATTGAGTAACTACTCTGCAGAGGCTCTGGCTTTGAGGGGAACATGTTGATAAAAATAAATAAGACATGGAGACGTGTCCATTACAAATATGAAGTAAATGGCAAGCATATGGATGCAGCTAGCTTCAAGTTAGCAAATAAATATTGTCAAGTTTCAGTGTTGGCTCAGTGGAATGGTATCTGGTAAACATCTTGCTGGGTCTGGAAAAACAGATTATTTGTCCTTTATCTCCTCTTATTTCCAGAGTTGATGGAAAATGAGGATTCATTTATAGAAGGTATTTCAGTTTATATTTCAGGTGGTGTCCATTCAACAGTTGGAGACAGAACTCAAAATTTTATCACATTATGAAAACAAATTTTATGAATTCAAAGCAGAGTATAATTTGGCTGATACATGAGATTCATGTCATTCCAGATGAAGCCTCCAGGCAACTAGCAATTTTTATAGCCAGTCCCTACTTACATCCTTCAGAGTGAAAGCAGGCTTGGGGAGAAAGCTTCTAGGTTGACTGGAATTGGTAGACATCTAGCCGTGTAGTTTTTTTCTAAACTATCATCTCCTTTGCCACTTTTGTATGTTTTCCGTAATTGCTAATCCTGCCTCTCATGTTAAACTTAAATTGGTTAGGTGCTGTTTTTGTTAGCGCTTAATTCAGAGTTATTTCCCATTGAGAGACCTGGATGTGTTGGTTCCCATGATCCCTTAGAGAATTATTAGGGACTGATTTCCTATTTTCAAGCACTAAAAACTCACTCTCCAAGCTTCTGAATGTAAGAGGTAGATTAGAACATTTGATTTTATAGGTTATGTTTTTTACTTAAATTTATTAGTTTTTCATTTCAAAACTAGGAAATATTTTCATTGAAGGGCAAGAATGCATTGGGTGTATTAAGCTTTAGTCTTCTTTTTTAAATTTGATAATGTAATATGGACTAAATTTTAAGTGAATTAGATCCTTGTCAACATTAGGAATGAATATATAAAAATAAATCGTATAACTATTCCTAGAGTTACTATTTATTTACAGAGATTTATTTATTAATTGAGGAGGTAATTTATGCCAGACCCAGTGTACCTCGGATGCACAGGATGGAATGGTGGTACACAAAGCTTGTTTTTTGCTTTGGGAATTTTTCCTTATGGTGACCTTCTTCGATCTTCAATGCTACGTTACTTCTCTTCTAGGAACCCAAAGGCATGGATTGATGTTATGAGTCCTGATTTTTGAGTTGACTTCTCATCACCTGGAAGTGAATAAAGCAGTAGACTTCTCTAACATTTTGTAACACAGCATGAAAAAATATAAAGTACAAAAGATATATATATATAATATGATAAAATGATGAGTTATGTTTCTAAATCTTTTATCATCTTACTGTCATTTCTCTGTATTTGATCTAGCCAGACTTCTATTCATTTTGTCACTTATCTTTCATCAAACTAGGGCTGATGTTCTTTGGAAAGGGACCACTGATTTGATATGCTCTTCAAACACCAGCACACTGTACTACAGAAGGATATTTACTGAAAATACTGAAGCTAGTAATACAAAGGAAAAAGGCATAAAAACAGTAGTGTGATAACTAATTGCTTACTTGGGAATATTATCTGAAATTAGAAACTAATATCAATGAAGAAAAAGGGGAACTTTTGGCAAACTCTAGTAAGTAATAACTGAGCCTGATTCATGGAGGACATAATTGGAATAAGGACTGAGAGCAATTTCACCCCTTGGAGGACATTTGGAAGTGCCCAGAGACATTTGTGGTGGTCACAACTGAGGACGTATATTGGCATCTTGTACTATTTAGACATCTTACAATGCACAGGACAGCCCCCAGCCCCTGACTCCCACATGAATTATCTGGCCCAAAATGTCAATAGTGCCGAGAATGAAGAACTCCATCAGGTTGAGAAACTCTGACTTAAATAATGGGCAGGGATAAGGCAGGTTAGTGTAGAAGAAATAGGTGTTAACCTCATATGCAATGTTGTGTCATTGAATATTGTTTCCAAATAGCTCAGTATCCTCAGCAATCACATACAAAATATGCCTCAGGACTCCTTTTCCCTATATAACTCCTACATTTTCTTTCAGTTACTTTTAAATGTCTTTTAATCTCTTTTTTTCTTTCAGTCTCTCCTAGTCCTCCTTCTTTCAAAACTGCTGCTGAGCTACTATGTTTAAAATCAGCAATATCTCAATTGAGTAAATTATCTTTAGCTCAGTATTGTGATTATACTTTCAATTATACACTGACTTGTGTGAGACTTTAGAACCCAAGTCCCATTCATCTTCTGGCTTTTTGCTAATCTCAGTATTAACCAGAATTTTATTATTACATCTGGTTAAAAAAGAGCTTTATTGCTCAAACAAAATTAAAGTTTTTTTGTTTTTTTAATTACTAAAAGAATATATATTCATTGAAAGTTAAAAACATATGAATATATAAAGAACAAAACAAGTATCACTGGCAATCGCTTTTCTCAGGGATTTTCTTTAACAAGGTTTATAAAGTCTCACCCCTCCAGCTCCATTGGAAGCAGGCCAGTTGGCCTATCATGCATTGTTCCAAAATATAATTACCATTAAATAGAGGTCCAGGTGAAGACAAGCTACAACATGCTTTACATAAATAAGTGTAACCCTCAGATTTTATATCCCACAAAACTGGCATTTAAATAAAAAGGCCACAAAGTTTTAAATATGCAACAAAAATCTGAGAATGTTGTTTTTAAGACCTCTTTTGATGAAATTATCAGAGAACAAGTTACAGTCAAACATATGACTAGGACAAAAGGCTGGGTACACACACACACACACACACACACACATATATATATATACACAGTAGTCCTCTTTTATCCATAGGAGATATGTTCCAAGACACCTGTGAATGCCTGAAACCATGGATAGTACCAAACCCTATATATACTGTGTTTTTCTTATACACACATGCCTATGATAAAGTTTAATTTATAAATTAGGCACAGTAACAGATTTATAACAACTAATAATAAAATAGAACAATTATAACAATATGGCAACATTACTACTTTTGCACTTTGGGCCATTATTAAATAGAATAAGGATTACTTGAACAGAAGCACTGTGATGCTGTGTCTAACTGATAACCAAGGTGGCTACTAAGTGACTAATGTGCAGGTGGCATGTATAACATGGATACACTGGCCAAAGGGATGGCTCATGTCCCTGGAAGGATGGAGAAAGAGAGCTTGAGATTTCATCATGCTACTTAGAATGCGGCATAATTTAAAACTTATGAATTGTTTGCTGCTGGAATGTTCCATTTAACATTTTTTGGACTGAAGTTGACCATGGACAGCAGAAACTACAGAAAGCAGACATTGTGGATAAGAGGGGGCTACTGTATTTAATCTAATATTAGGCTTATTAAACTATAAACCTAAGACTAATTGGCTGGGTGCGGTGGCTCACGCCTGTAATCCCAGCACTTTGGGAGGCCGAGACGGGAGGATCATCTGAGGTCAGGAGTTCAAGACCAGCCTCAACATGGAGAAACTCCGTCTCTACTAAAAATACAAAATTAGCCGGGTGTGATGGTGCATGCCTGTAATTCCAGCTACTCGGGAGGCTGAGGCAGCAGAATTGCTTGAACCTGGGAGGTGGAGGTTGCGGTGAGCCGAGATCGTGCCATTGCACTCCAGCGTGGGCAACAAGAGTAAAACTCCGTCTCAAAAAAAAATAAAAATAAAAATAAAAAATAAATAAATAAATAAATAAAGACTAAAACTAAGGTAAGCAAGGTAGAACTGTACGAAATACTATCTGCTGTGACAATGCAGAAACCATAGAACTCTACTCCATTTCCATCCTGTGGATCTCTCACTAAAAAAAGAAGAAAAGATATGTTTTGGATAAACATCTTTAAAAATATAAAATTCGGAAGCCAGAGAAATAAATGAACAGAAATCAGCTTTTACTGTGAAGACTTACATTCTGTTTTCAAGACTGGTGGTGGGGCTGCAGATGGATAGCAGACAGAGCCCAGGATTCACACCATGGTATATTCACCCAATGATATATTCCAAAACTACCTAAGGTCCCAAAGGATATATATTCTTAGGGTAGTATAAAATAACTTTTTAAAAAATCCCACCACCTCAAAAATGCAAAAGAGATAAAAGAAAAATTAATGAAACACAAATGGGATCACACATTTTTTGAGTTTGAAATTCCTTGCAAGTTGATAATTTTGTTCACTGCATGCTAATAATTTTGTTCAAAGTTTCTGGTTCCAGACTTGTAATGCCTCTTTACAGAAGGAAACACCAATATCTTCTGGAGGTTCTTATGTTTATTCCAGGACTCAAAATATTCTGTAGATAGACTTTCAAGGAATAAGAGCTGGCCGGGCACAGTGGCTCACGCCTGTAATCCCAGCACTTTTGGGAGGTCGAGGCCGGCGGATCACGAGGTCAGGAGATAGAGACCACCCTGGCTAACACGGTGAAACCCCGTCTCCACTAAAAACTACAAAAAATTAGCCGGGAGTGGTGGCGGGTGCCTGTAGTGCCAGCTACTCGGGAGGCTGAGGCAGGAGAAGGTCGTGAACCCGGGAGGCGGAGGTTGCAGTGAGCGGAGATCGCACCACTGCACTCCAGGCTGGGAGGCAGAGAAAGACTCTGTCTCAAAAAAAAAAAAAAAAAAGCAGAAGAGCTTACAGTCAGACATGAGTGAATATGCAATAAAGCAAGGCTCTGTGAGGGAGAATCAGAAGAACAACACAGAGAAAGACCAAAACCACAAAAGAGATATAGAATGTAAATTAAGTAGATTTGGTATGTTTAAAAAAACAAAGAAAGGAATGAAAATATGAAGAGGGATAAAGACGCTGTAAAAATAAACAGAAAATATTAAGAAAAAGAGAAATTCAGATTCAGATTAAAAATTCAACAAATGTATTTAGTTGTAAATTAGAATCAGTAACTTAGCATATACAGCTAAGGAACTGAATTATGCAGGGAAGAAACATACTGGTAGGAAGAGACTAAAAGACATTGAAAATAGAACAAAACGATCTAAATATATCTCATTAATTTCAAAGGAAAGGGTAGATAAAATGTAGTGGAGGCTATATTAAAGAAATATTGCTGACATTTTTCCAAACCTAATAAAAGACACCAAACTTCATAATCAGGAATCCCACCAAAATATTAATAGGATAAATGTTTTAAAATACACATTTAGGGGGCAGGTGTGGTGACTCGTACCTATAATCCCAACACTTTGGGAGGCCAAGGCGGGCAGATCACTTGAGCACAGGAGTTTGAGAGCAACTGAACTACATGGCGAAACCCGGTCTCTACAAAAAAACAAAAAAAAATTAGCTGGGGTGGTGATGCCTAATTGTAGTCCCAGCTACTCTGGAGGCTGAGGTGAGAGATCAATGGAGCCTGGGAGTTTGAGGCTGCAGTGAGCTATGATCCCAACAGTGCACTGTGTGTCACCCTAAGTGACAGAACCAGACTCTGCGACAAGAAAAAAACAAAAAGCAAAACAAAACAAAACAAAAAAAGATGCACATTTGGGCACATAATAGTAGAACTGCAGATCAACAAAGACAACTAAGCAGACGTTGAAAGCAGAGATCATCTTCAAGGGAAAGGCAGTCAGGATAGTATCTCACTGGTTTCCTTCCTTCCTTCCTTCCTTCCTTCCTTCCTTCCTTCTTGTTTTCCTTTTTTTTTTTTTTTTTTTTTTTTGTTTGTAGCAGAGTCTCACTCTGTATCTCATGCTCCAGGGCAGTGGCTCGATCTCGGTTCACTAAAGCCTTTGCCTCCCAGGTTCAAGCAGTTCTCCTGCCTCAGCCTCCTGAGTAGCTGGGATTACAGGCCTGTGCCACCATGCTCGAGTAATTTTTGTATTTTTAGTAGAGAAGAGGTTTCATTATGTTGGCCAGGCTGGTCTTGAACTCCTGGCCTCAAATGATCCACCCGCCTCTGCCTCCCAAAGTGCTGGGACAGGCATGAGCCACCGCACCCGGCTGATCTCACTTCTTTAACAACAAAAATGTAAACCAGTGAAGAGTTATATTATGACAAGAGGAAATAGTTTTCATCTCAGTGAAAATATAATCAAATAATAGCTTCTTCAGAGCTGGATTATACTCCTAAATGTAGTAACTAGAAATATAAGTATCTAGAAGAAAACATAGAAGAATATATTTGCTTACAAAATTGGAATAAGTAATGATTTCTTAAGCAGCATAAAAGCAGCTGTAATCATAAAAAGTGATCAAATGAACCTCAAAAAATTAAAAATTACTGCTCATCAAGATATACTATCATCAAAATAATAAGAAAACCATACACTGGGAGGAAAATTTGGTCTCTCTTAATCTCCCTGTTTCTCTCTGTCTTCAAGTAAAGAAAAATCAGCAAAAAATTTGAACAGACATTCCAGAAAAGAAGATACAGAAGTGATTAGCAAGTTCATGAAAAGATGCATGTCATTACTCAGCAGGGAATGGTCCATAGCACACAATCAAGTGTTCAGGCAGAGCACGCTCCCACTACTCTGAGAAACAGGACAAACTAGCTTAGAAGGAAAAGAGGAAGGAGTTTATCTAGTGCCCCAGGATCATATAACATATTGGAGACTAGACACGTCCATAAAAATGACTCAGTTTCCCCATTGCTTGTTAGTGCTGCCTGGTCAGTGGACCAGATTCCTCTTTGGCACTAGGAAGGCAGTCAGTTCTCATCCCCTTCGGAGGAATCTTTCTAGAAGCTTATATAGCCAATTACCAATACGTCGTCACCCTCACGTGCTCTCTCCTGGACCCCGGATGCTCTACCAACATGGAGAAATATAGTGAGTGCCTCCAGGTACTCAGTCCCAGGCACTTGACACTCTAGACTATGCAGCAGCTCTGGGAGGACTCAGCTTTCCGAGCTCCACAATTTTATGTTGGGAGCCTGTGGCAACTACTGACAAAAACAATGTAGCTGCCATCAAGATGTAGACCTTTTCTGCTGCACCAATTGTTTTAAAGGTGCCTGGTATTTATTTTAATCAGGAATGGTAAGACACACTGTCATGGAAATGACTGTCATGAAAGGAAGAAGTTTTTAGACTCACAAATCCCTAGAAATAGGAGGTTGGTTAGGTGATTGGGGAAATGGGAAAAATGTGGGTAAGAGCCTTTATCATAGTTTCTGTGGAAATAAATGGATGGGGCAGGATAAGCAGGTTTAGGATTGGCTAGATTGAATAATTCCAGTGGGCTCTGGAGGATAGGGGCTGTCTCTAAGTGTCTGGTACTTGGCCCTAGGGTGATTAAGGAAGGGAAATAGTGGCCTGGAGTGTAATAGCGCTATAGGTGCCTGATAAAAGAAGTGGCTGGAGTATGGGTTCTGGATTGGTTGCAAGTGAGGCTTTTACCATCTCTAGGAATTGGCTAGCCATAGGAGGGACAGTTCTTCCAGGGTTAGGAAGGCACAAGATATCAAAGTATTAGAAATGCAGAAAATATAATGGCATAAGTAAAACACAACACCAAATGTTGGTGAATTAATTGTTGGAGTAACTTGAACTCTCATACATTGATGTTGGGAATTTACAATGGCTAACCACTCTGAAAAACTTAATAGAAACTTCAGGTAATTTCAGGTAGATGTAAACAAACAGCTACCTTATGACCTGATAATCCCACTCGTGTTTAGCCAAGACATGTCTATGAAATGATTTAAATTAGCATGCTAATGAAAACCTTATTGGTGGCCTAAGATTTGAAACAACCCAAATGTCCATAAAAGGATAAAATGATAATAAACAAACTTAGGGTTAACTATATAATGAAACATTAGTCCGCAGTAAAAAGAAACAACTACAGAAAATGCAACAACACACATGAATCTCTAAATCATAATGCTGAGTTTAAAAGCCAGATACAAAATAACACATCATATACTTCTGTTTTTATAAAATCCAAGAAAAGGCAAAACTAACCTATGCTATTAGGAATTAGAAGATGAAAGCTCATTAAGGTGATAGATGGGTGGGGTGGATGGCAAAGATCACAAGAAACCTTTCTGGAGTGATGGAAATATTCTTTATCTTGTTTGGAATAGTAGTTTCTAAAGTGCATATATTTAAGAGAAGTTACCAAGTTGGACACTTAGATATGTGTATTCTAATGTATATAAATTATATTCTAAGAAATACAACCAAGAATTTATTTTCATGCTTGCTTGTAAATGCACATAAATTTCTTGAAGGACACAAAAATTAATATTAGCTTCCAAATTTTGAGGTATGGGGTGAAATGGGCATATAGGGGACAGATATAAGAAGGACATTTCTCACTGTATGAAGTATTTTTTATTTAAAAATGTGAATATGTTACCTATTAAAAAATTTAATACATTTTTAAAGTCAAGTATGTTTAAAGCACACTGCCTAATTTCCAACCTTATGGCTATACCATTAAAAATTCTGAGTTATGCTTGCTTCCACACCTCTCATATGCAGTCCTTCAATAAGTCCCATTGATTATCTCTCCAAAGGTTATCTTTGGTATAAATACTTTCTTCTGTCTTCTTTTTTACCTCTTAACCTAACCTACCATCATCTCTTATTTATATGAATAGTACTTCAAATGCTCCCTACTGTTCCCCTTGCCTCCACTTCTTGCATTCTATAGCCCGTTTTTCACTCAGTAATCAGCACAACATTTTAAATATGTAAATCAGATAGGAACACTCCTCTGCCTGTTACATCTCACACATAGTATGTTGACCGATTGCCATTTGGCCTATGTCGGCTCTACCTCTCTAATTTCCCTTACACTTTTTTCCATTTGCTCACTACTGTCTTGCCACACTAGCCTTCTTTCTGCTTCTCAATGCGCTAGTCTCTTCCTTCATGAGCTTTCAACAAGTCTATCTTCAGATCTTCATAGAGATGGTGTAGTTTTGTCATTCAGATCTTAGCTGAAATGTTGTCACCTTGTCAGAAAGGCCCTCCCTGGCCAGCTCACTTGGAATAGTAGTCTCTTCCCCTATCTCTTACACTTTTATCATAGCACTCATTACAATCAATTGTTTTCTCTCTGGTGTGTTTGTCTGTTGTCTGTTTCCATGCATTAGGATGTAAAATCCCCAGGAACAGGGACATTTTTCTGTCTTGTTCGGTGCTGCATTGTAGACACTACAATACAGCCTGGTTCATGGTTTTAGCTTCTAAGATAGTCTAGGGAGACAAATCTTTCCTAGCAGGAATAACAAGCCTCCATTCTAAGGATTAATTTAGATCATGAGACTGCCTTCATTTTAAGTATTGTGGAAAACATTAGGAAGCAAAGTCCCTAATTATGTCTATAATTATGAAAAAATCATATTTTAAAAAGTCTTTGGTAGCAAGAAAGACTGTAATATACTCTAAGATGGGAATGTTTTTCCACATATGTTTCTTTACTTACATCACTTGTTTTCTGTTTCTTTTAAGAAAGTAAACACTGTGTTTTTTAGTTTATTTGGTACATATAGTTTTGCAAAATATGCATTTTCATGCCTCTCTGTCTTTTCATTTCCTATTATTCCATTACTGTCTTTGCATTTGTTCCTGTTCTTGCATTTCTCCCCGCTCTTTTTTTACCTTTATGATTTTGTGTATCTCTTTCTCCCTTTTTCTCTTTTCCCCATTTTCCATTTTTCCCACTTTTTTTCTGAATTGGACATAAATTAGAACAAAATATTTTTGAGTATGCATTATATTTGTTGAAAAATTGTTTAGTATTTTAATTTTTAAAATAAAAAATCTTTTTAAATAAAAATAAATCTACTGAAATTTAATTATATTGTGTTCTACTATATGATTCTTAATTACTTTTCTTCTGTTTAGTAATATTTAGCTTAAAAACATAGTTGATATTGCTTTAGTGGAACATAGGAGACACTTATTCCTAAAATGAAAACAACAAAGGTCAAGACCACAATAAGGTGTATTTAAGAATACATCTCTTTGTGAGGAATTAGTCCTTCAACATGCAGTTCTCCTCTCCAAGAAGGATTATGCCAAAGAGTCTTTGTGAACATCGTTTATTTTTCTTTGCCTGTTTCTTTGTCACCAGAAAGATACTGAATTTAACATACTACCTACCTGACCACATTACTTCCTTTCTTGTTATATCAATGATTTCCTATTATATACTTTTTTAAAAAAAAATAGTAATGTAAGAAATAAAATAACCTCTTTCGGCTTTCTGCCCACATGGACCTAATAAACATGCTGGCTATTCTGTAATGTCTGTCACTGATAGAATGTTGATTTTAAAACTTAGAAGTGACATAGTGACTTTTAAATCATATATACTTCACTATTTATATATAACATGTTTCTAGTCTCATTCTTTGACTGTATTTTGATGGCATTTCCACAATTGAAAGTGTTTTGCAGCTTTTTTAGCCTTCAAATTCCCAAAGTGTATTATTCTCCATTGCATCACAAATTGATTGCAGATTTCAAAGTGTAAGATATTCCTCTTTGAGAAGAGATATTTAAGAATGAAGTCAGGAAAAATCAGTTATTGTTCCTTCTATTAGAAGGAGGTTATATCTGCCGTATGAGAAGAGCTTTAGATTACTAGAGACGTAAATGTTTTTGTCATTCTCCGTATTTATAAGGAACATAAAGAAGGAAGAAATGGAAACAGATATTGTAACACCTCAGGTGGGACATCTGCTGCTTTGAAATGCAAAGATCAAAATTATAACAGACATAGATTAATATGTTGAATCTGAATTCGGTAACACAGTAGCACCTTTTACCTGTTCTTAATAATATAGCTCCAGTTTCTCCTAATATTTAGAATTAATTTATTAGGAATATATAAAGCCTTTATTAACATTGCCTTGGGAATGTTTATACTTGGTCCTAAACCTATATCTATTAACTGAAAGGCATGAGGGAACAGAAATCATATCCAATGCAGAAATGCCAGAGTGCAGAGAAAATCTTCACCAACTTCACGATTTTGCAGGAGACTAGCTCTGTCTAGTTCCCACACCTGCAGGGATGAGAGGTTCTTTTACAAATAGTCTTACCATATACCAATCTGGGACTTTGAGAGCTGGCTGAAGTGAAGCCTCCATAAATTCTTTTCTTGTAATCTCTAAAATTTATGTAGCTACCATTACCCTAGTGACTCATTTCAAAGGCAGGGACAGAGGATCTATATTATATATTTACTTCTTAGAAACTAAAGGCCCTCTTAATATCTACATTTTTTCCTTGTTTATTTTTGGTTTAGTCGGACTTCAATATGCTAATTATTGCTATCATTCTCATCTTATTATATTCATAAATCAAGACAGTGAGATAAAATAGCTCACGCTAGGGAGATGACCTTCCCAAGATCTCAGGGTTAAAAAAATTGCAGGATGAAGAATTTAAACCCAGATAGACAGATGCCCAAATGAGGGCTTTTTAAATGGCATCCATTACTTTGCCTAGAAATCATGGCATTATAAACATTGGTATCAGTTAATGATTTGATAATACTCTTTAACTTTATCCACATTTTTCAGAACACACAAAAAATTAGTGATTATTTAGGTTATGGGTTACAAACCAGATAGCACATATTAATAGACATCACATTCTTATTCTTATTTCGGGGACATTTATAAAATGTGTTTTTGCTGGTAGGGTGGATTAATGAGAAATTTCTTTCAAGCATAAAGGTGAATAGTGCCACTTTTACTAAGATCAGTTATAAACAGACAAAATATTTGAGGTAATGGGAAATAATTTAAAAGTATTTACAAAGTATATTTTAAGGAGGATACTATTCAAGGAAAGTAATTTAGTACTGAAAGGTGGGTTAGTTATTTTTAACTCTTAGAAAAATTGGAGTGAAGAAACTTCATGTGCTGTCTTTACTATTGTTTCAAAAGAAAACAATAGTGATGCTTCTCAGAATTAATGGGAAGGCAAATATGCGATCTAATAAAGGAGAAATGAATAGAGAAGACAAGAAGAGAGAGTGGAAAAATATTGGAAACTGCAAGGACATTGAGAAATAAAAGTAACAGAGGAGAAAAAATAGAAGAGAAACAAGAGAAAAGCAAGGGGAATCATTAGAGGACAAATACGAGAGAGAAAAAGGGAGAAGATAAAAATAGAGAAAAAGAAATCAACTTAAGTAAAAGTGTAACTTAAAAAATGAAGTGTAGAAATATTTAGTGAGATGGGAGTGGAAGGCCATAAAATAAATATTTTAAAAGGAGGTATGAGGAAATATAAAGAAAAATGAGTGAATTAGTGCCTGTGAATGGGAATCAAGTCTCCAAACACCTGCTCCATGAATTTTCTAACAAGAGCCTAGACTCTAAGCATGAACAGTGCACAGGGCAGCCTTTAGCTGGAATGCGTGTGTGCCCCCACCCATTACTCTTTCCTCTTCTGCGCTGCTCCAGCATTGTCAGGAGCAGATGAAAGTTTGTTTCTGTTGAAATTGAAATATAAGATAGAGGGAATGGCAGTCATTCAGATTTCTATTTCAGCTTCCACTGACAGTGATCCTTCTAATATAGTTATGTTCTTCTAATATAGTTAGACAAGACCAAGCTTGTCTTTGCAGGAATTTCTGTGCTTTTATTTTGCTGGGACTTAATTCATTTTACCTAGAGGAATGTCCACCTTATGAATATATATATTTGGTCTCTGGATCCATAATGAGCATGATGTGAGCACTGCTGGTATAACAAAAGAGCTTAGCGGGAAGTACACAACGGGAACACAGTGAATCAAAGATATTTGATGGTAGTGGGTTCCAGATGTTACAGAGTCAATAGGAGAACAGAAGTGGATGATAGGGAATAAAATGCAAGGTACAGTGCAAGAACCTAAAACTCCCAATCTCAGAGATACTTGAAAGTTTCTCCTATGACCCAAATACATCCTCAGTTTTTGAAAGAGTGTGAAATAACAAACTGCATAATAACGTGCAAGATGCACACAACTTAAGAGTAAGCAGAGAGCGATTCCTGACTTTTCTATGAGCAGGTTTTATATGCACAGAAAGACTGATAAATATGAAGATCAATAAATTGCCAAGTGCCAAAAAAAAATAAGAAATAAGAAAAGAAGAAGGGTACCATATGTAAAACTTTATGCTTCTGTTTTGGTTAGGATACAATACGTGTGTTTGTGTGTATTTATGTGTGTCTGTGTGATGTACATACATGTGATGTAAGATACTTCTTTTTTGTGAGACAGAGTCTTGCTCTGTCACCCAGGCTGGAGTGCAGTGGTGCGGTATGGGCTCACTGCAACTGCCACCTCCCAGGTTCAAGCAACTCTCATGCTTCAGCCTGTGAAGTATCTGGGACTACAGGCTCCTGCCACCACGCCTAGCTAATTTTTATATTTTTAGTAGAGACAGGGTTTCGCCAGGCTGGTCTCGAACTCTTGGCCTCAAGTGACCCACCTGCCTTGGTCTCCCAAAAGGGTGGGATTACAGGTGTGAGCCACAGTGCCTGGCCTAGGTACTTCTTTCATAATTCCCAATTTAAACCTCTGCTGAAAACCTCTGCTATTAATTAATATATTAGGGTTAGATATATTTTTAAAAGCATATCTTCTGATGTTTCAAATAGATGTGTCATTATAAATATTTTCTTTGATTTCTTAATTTGGTACTTTATTGTTTTTATTTCTTTCCCTCTCCTCTTACACGCTGTCTCCTCATTCAGTTAGTTAATGAACCTCTTTCCCTCTACTCTACACTTCATATTCCACATTATTTTAAAACAATTGTGCCATTTAACAGAAGCATATGAAATATTTTTCTGTATCACATTGTAGTGTTTTGTTCTAGCTCAAGATCTTTAGCTTTTAATTTTTTTTTATTTCAACCACAAACCATTTTTTGAGCATGCACCAAAAACATACATATCTTCTTTATGCATTTCATATTTAATTATACCATGATTCTATATAAACTGTAAAACGTTCAAAAATAAAACTTCAAAGAATAGGATACAATAATGTAAGTGTAGAAAATCTCCTATTATTGCTTTCATACCAATAAATTATTATGCACATCCCCAAACATGAGCACAGTCTCAATTTGGAGGCCACTGTACAGAGAAGCCTCAGATCTTGTTTTCTCCAGAGTGACCGAGAGTCTTTTTATTTAGACTAGTTCATTCGGTTGATGTTCTATAGAGAAAAGGGAATTACTTCTGGTAAGTACAGTTGCCTTTATAAAAGTTTTTAGATAAACATTCCTAAGGTAGCATTTATATAAAACAAATTGTACTAATTGCCGTATGGTTCAATACTCAATAAGTTTTGACAAGAATAGATACATATAACCATTATAATTAAAAATGGAACATTTCTGTCCCCTTGAAAAGCTCTGTCATTCTTCTTTGCTGTCAATCCCAGCTCATCTTCCATTCAAAGCAAAACATGAAGACCTCAATTACTGGGGTTAAGTTTTTTCTCAGTCAGAAAAACTTTCATGTGCCTCATAAAAATCAGGAACAAATTCAGAGCAGTAGCACCCAAATCTTGCATGAGTGAACACTTAAACAGAAGCACAGGACTGAAACAGAAGGAAGAGTGTGGCTTCAGGACCCGGGTGTTGGCCATCATGAAATGAGGAAGCATAAACAATAGTGATTTCTCAGGTTGTTGAGATAGATAGAGTAATATAAATGTGGCATACCTTGTGTTTAGTTCAAGAACTATAATCTAGATGTAACACCTGAAAATAAACTCTTTTATTGATATTCTACAGGCAGAAGAAATAAAGATAGCAAACAACACAGTAGTGACAGAATTTATCCTCCTTGGTCTGACTCAGTCTCAAGATATTCAGCTCTTGGTCTTTGTGCTGATCTTAATTTTCTACCTTATCATCCTCCCTGGAAATTTCCTCATCATTTTCACCATAAAGTCAGATCCTGGGCTCACAGCACCCCTCTATTTCTTTCTGGGCAACTTGGCCTTCCTGGATGCATCCTACTCCTTCATTGTGGCTCCCCGGATGTTGGTGGACTTCCTCTCTGCGAAGAATGTAATCTCCTACAGAGGCTGCATCACTCAGCTCTTTTTCTTGCACTTCCTTGGAGGAGGAGAGGGATTACTCCTTGTGATGTAGCCTTTGACCGCTACATCGCCATCTGCCGGCCTCTGCACTATTCTACTCTCATGAACCCCAGAGCTTGCTATGCAATGATGTTGGCTCTGTGGCTTGGGGGTTTTGTCCACTCCATTATCCAGGTGGTCCTCATCCTCCGCTTGCCTTTTTGTGGCCCAAACCAGCTGGACAACTTCTTCTGTGATGTCCCACAGGTCATCAAGCTGGCTTGCACCGACACGTTTGTGGTGGAGCTTCTGATGGTCTTCAACAGTGGCCTGATGACACTCCTGTCTTTCTGGGGCTTCTGGCTTCCTATGCAGTCATCCTGTGCCATGTTCGTAAGGCAGCTTCTGAATTGAAGAACAAGGCCATGTCCACGTGCACCACTCATGTCATTATTATACTTCTTATGTTTGGACCTGCTATCTTCATCTACATGCACCCCTTCAGGGCCTTACCAGCTGACAAGGTGGTTTCTTTCTTTCACACAGTGATCTTTCCATTGATGAATCCTATGATTTATACCCTTCGAAACCAGGAAGTGAAAACTTCCATGAAGAGGTTATTGAGTCGACATGTAGTCTGTCAAGTGGACTTTATAATAAGAAACTGAGAAGGAGGAATTCTGGCTGGAATTCATATCATTCATTTAACAAGTCCTGTTTTTCACTGAGTACCTCCCATTTGCCAGGTACCACTGTAGGCAATGGGGGAGAGTTATGCATAATGAGAGAATAAACTTATTTTATTTAACGAATATAAAGGAAACCCCAGAGTGGTTGAAGTATAATGAGTAAGTGTTAAGAAATTTAGGAGTTAAGTTTTATGTGACTGCAAGGGTCTTTTAGTCTGAGGTAAGAATTTTTTCAAATCTTAATTGTGGTAAGAATCCATTTTAATGTTTTAAGCAAAGGAGCAGTCATCTACAATGCTTTCCTCTATTGGTTAGAGCAACATCAGCAAGATTTTAGGCAGAGATTAATAAGCTGTAAAATATCAAAAACCAAATGTATGTGGCAAGTATGTTCTGAAAAAGACTATATATAGTCTTTTATACATAAATATATTAAAAATTATATATATTTTAATGTTTTTATATATATTTTATAAATATGTATATTTACATATACATATAAAATAAGTAAAATATTTTTATATATTTATAAATATATATTTTTATACATTTAATCAATATATAAATAAATATATATTTCCCCCCCAAATTTGGTAGAGAGATAAGAAAGGAAGCCAATTTGTTTCATGGTAAAATGTCATGAAATTATTTCACTTATTTTTTCTTCAGAGCTTCACGATGATTATTAGACATTATCAGATATTTAGTACTACATATTATATTATAGATTACATAAATCACTCCAGTTATTTTCAACATAGTGAAGCAGCTTCGTTGTCTGGGGAAATACCTGCAGTTCATTGTCTCATGCTGTGCAGATTAATGACACGGACTCACACATGGAGCGGTTTAAGGAGCAGAAAGTTTATTGGGCAAGAAGGAAGAGAAGAGCTCCCCCATACAGAGGGAGGCGGGCTCTGAATGGAATAACCCCACTTGCGGGGAAAGCAGTCAGTTACATTGGGAGGCTCAAGGAGGTAGTGTCTGATTTGCATAGGGCCCAGGGGATTCGTTTGACCAGGTGTGTCATTCACACAACCCATGAAAAGACTGGACCTCCCACCCTAATCTTTTATTCTGCAAATGCGGCTTCTACCTGGCTGTCGCCATGATGCCTGCACATGTGCTTTACTTGGCTGGTGCCATGACACCAGCACATGTGGCAACAAAGTAAAGTGAGTGGGAACAGTCATATTGAGTGGACCTGTCTCTTAGCCACCTGCATTTACTTCTGCAAGCCTGTAATTTACATACCTAGGCTTCCAGCATGGCTTTTCAGGCTGCTTTCTGTTAGAAAAGAAGTAGTTTGGGGGCTGCTTTTTTATTAAAAGGAAAAGCCTTTGCGAGGACTCTTTTACCCTTTCTAGCTGCCTAAAAATAATTTCTTAATAACTCCTGTATTAATAGTGGGGTCTAATGTGAGAAATTAGGTACTTATAAAATTTTTCAAGTATAGAAGACCATTATTTATGCTGGGCATCTATTACAGAAGTTGTTGCCAGAAAAACACTGTAGAACTAACCTGCTAGGTGACCTATCCCTGCAATAACCAGGAGGCCGAGAGGACAAGAAGCCACTTTCCCAGCTCCTGGCTCAAGGAACACATCAATCAGCCACGGTCTGGCATGAACTGAATTGTAGAGAGCACCTCTCATGTTATTGTCTCTCTAATTATTTTTTCTAAATTAAATTTTGTATGAGTATATTTGATAGAATCTGTAATGCTAGTGGCAAAAGTCTTTGACAAACCTGTCTATATGTTGACAGCTTCTTCAGAAAACAAACAAAAATGGTGGTAAAATATAGGATAAAAAGTTTGCAATCTTGGAGGTGAGAAAGGCCATTGAAGTTTGACAAAGAAAATGAAAATAAAAAGATACATTAAATCTTGATGTCTTCTACATATTTTGATATGTAAAAATGAAAAAAGTTTATATGGGCAAAAGGCAGAAAAATGCTGAAAATATTTCTATGGCATATAGATGTGGAGATTATTTTCTGCACGATTATAAGGTTTGCATGTAAATTGAATATTTTCTCCCTACTCCAAGACTGTATAAGAGGACAACCATGCATAAAAATTAAAATAAAAATTACTAAAAATTGATATAAATAATAAAAATTTATCTAATACATAAAGAATTTGCTTAAATGAATATGAAATAGGTACATAGAAGGAAATGTGGGCAATGAACAAAGGAAAAAATGAAAAGGCTTATAAGCATGAAAGTAAGCTTACCCTTAAAAATCAACCACAGAAATGAAAACCACTGATTTTGATTAGCATGTAGGATAACGTTGCTCATGTATTATCAATAAAGAAGTACAGAATAGGGAGAGGTGCCAGAAGCAGCTATCATGTGCCACTCATGGAGAGGGAGACAGGGTGGTGAGTAAACACTAGCTCTTCAAGTGGCTCATCCATGAGGCCATGTTAGGATTCATCAAGGAAGCAACTGCAATCGATGGACAGCAGAAAGGGGCCAGGCAGGAAAGCAGTCCACCCAGGATTGGCATAGAGCCAGGTGAGGCTCCCTACCATAGGGAAAGGGTGAATAAGAACCTCCTGGGACCCACACTTCTGCCATGGGCCTTTGCAATCCTGGCACAGGAGATCTCCCGTGACCCCGGGGGGCCTCCAGACCAACACAGAGAGATTACTTGAGTCTGGACAGAGCTGCAGCTAGGCTCACCTGGAGCCCCATGAGCTTTGGGGCCCTGAGCACCTTGGTGCCAGCTGCCATAGCCCCACCAACAAGGGAGGCCAGCTCTCTTGCATGCCTCTAGAATAGGGGCTGCATCCACGGTGCTGAGGAGCAGACTGACTGCAGGCCCCGCTTGCTTTAGCAAACCAGGCAAAACCCACTAGCCTGGGTTGCCCACGCAGCCACCCCACTCTCACCTGAACACTCAGGCCAGTCAGGGCTCTCCATTTCTTTGGGAAGGAACTCCCAGAGGTAACCAATAGGCCTGAGATTTCTGGTACTGTGGTCTCCCACATGCTGCCCTCAGGCTGGGGAGGGATCGAAGAGCACAGGAACTGTCCTAGACCTTCAGCAAGGCAGCTGTCATACGAAGAGCTGTCATACAGAAAAGCGGCCAGATTATTTTCCACGTGGGTCCCTGTCCCAGCTACTCCTCACTGGACAGGGCCTCCCGGCCTGGGGTCCCAGCACAACCGCCCCACCCCCACTTGATCTTTCATTTGGCAGTGGCCCTGAGTTTCTCTGGGATAGAGCTCCCAGAGACAACCGGCAGGCTCTGTGCCATCACCAGCTGAGTGTAAGGCCCTTCCTTGCTCCCCGCAGGCTAGGTAGGGAACAAAGAGCCTGACTGCAGCTGTCCTAGGGAGAGAAGGCCAGATTGTCTTCCTTGCGAGACCCTGACCCCCGCTACTCTTCACCAGACATGGCCCGGCTTGGGCCCACAGCACAGCCTCCCCACCCCTGGATCCTTCCCCTTGGCAGTAGCAGTAGCTCTGGGTGGAGTTGCTAGAGGCAGCTGACAGGCCATCTGCCACTGCTGCCACCCCCCAGGCTAGGGAGGGAACAAAGAGCCTGCTTGCTGTGCTTGCACATCCAGCATGCCACAGCTGCTCTATGGAGAGGAGGCCAGACAGTCCCTGCAACAAGCCCCCGATCCCTCTGCTCTTCACTAGGGAGGGCCCTGGGCTTGGGCCCACAGCACAAACGTCCCATCCCGGGCTGGTCATTCTGATTGGCAGCGGCTCTGAATTTCTCTGGGGTGGAGTTCCCAGAGACAAATGACAAGCCCTCTGCCACTGACACCGCCAAGGTCCCGTCCCCTGCTCCCCCAAGCTGGGGAGGGAATAAAAAGCCCGAGCTCGCCCCAGGTCCCACACTAGAGCGGGAAGAGAAACCCACACTCTCAGAGCACTGAGAGGGGTAACCGCGTGGGTTCCTCGGCTGCTGTGGGAGCAGGGTACGCCTGGAAAACGTATGGCCTATCTCCCTGCGGTGGCCTCTGCCTGAGGGAGCCCCGCAGCCTGGAACACCTAGCAAAAGAAATGATGGTGCAGTGCTAGTGACCGGAGGGGCTTCCCCCAAGGCTCAGGAGCGGACCTGGTGAGGGGGTCACTTCTTTCCCCGCTGTACTGGAGACCAGGCTGTAGATGTGAGGAAGTACAAGGGAACCACAGGCCTGAGCAAGAGCCTATCTACTGTCCATTACTCTTAAGCGACGTCTACTGGATTGCAGCCAAAACTGCTACAACACCAAAAATATTTTGCTAATATCCCCCAGTGAAATCAAAGGCAAGAATCCAGCCACAAATAAAGACCCTGCACAAAGCCTTGGCTATCTGAAAACATTCAGAAACAAAGCCAAGTGACTATACTCAAGTTACACCACAGGTAAAGGAACGCCAATGCTTCCAGATGAGAAAGAACCAGTGCAAGAACTCTGACAATTCAAAAAGCCAGTTTCCCCATACCTCCAAATGAGTCCACCAGACCCCAAGCAATGATAATATTTTTTTTATTTGCTTTCCTTATTTGTCTGCTTGTTTTGGGATAACTTTTACTTTTTTAATTTTAATTTTTTAACTTTTAGGTTCAGTTATACATGTGCAGATTTGTTATATAGGTAAAATTGCTTGTCACAGGGGTTTGGTGAACAGATTTATCACCCAGGTAATAAGCATAGTACCTGATAGTCAGTTTTCTGACCCTCACCCTTTTGCCACCATCCAATCTCAACTATGCCCAAGTATTTGTTGTTCCCTTCTTTGTGTTTATGTGTATTCAACGTTTATCTCCAATTTATAAGTAAGAACATGTAGTATTTAGTTATTTGTTCCTATGTTAGTTCACTCAGGAAAATAGCCTCCAGCTCCATGCATGTTGCTGCAAAAGATATGATCTCATTCTTTTTTATGACTGCATAGTATTCCATAGTATACTTGTACCACATTTTCTTTATCAAGTTCACCATTGATGGGCATCTACGTTGATTCCATGACATTGCTATTGTGAATATGCCTGTGATGAACATACTTGTGCATATGTTTTTATGGCACAATGATTTATATTCCTTTGGGTATATACCCAATAATGGGATTGCTGGGTTGAATGCTACTTTGGTTTTAAGTACTTTGTGAAATCGCCACACTGCTTTCCATAATGGCTGAACCAATTTTTATTCCCACCAGCAATGCATAAGCATTCCCTTTTCTCTGCAACCTCGCCAGCATGATCTATTATTTTTTGACTTTTTAACAATAGCCCATCTGACTGGTGTGAGATGGTATCTCATTGTGGTTTTGATGTGCATTTCTCTAATGATTAGTGATGTTTAGCATTTTTTTCATATGCTTCTTGGCAAAGTGTATGTCTTATTTTATTTTATTTTTTTTGAGATGGAGTTTCACTCTTGTCACCCAGGCTGGAGTGCAGTGGTGTGATCTCGGCTCACTGCAACCTCCACCTCCTAGGTTCAAGAGATTCTCCTGCCTCAGCCTCCCCAGTAGCTGGGATTACAGGCACCTGCCACCATGCCTGGCTAATTTTTGTATTTTTAGTAGAGACGGGGTTTCGCCATGTTGGCCAAGCTGGTCTCAAACTCCTGACCTCAGGTGATCCACCCGCCTTGGCTTCCCAAAGTGCTGGGATTACAGGCGTGAGCTACTGTGCCCAGCCTTGACAACTTTTTTTTTTTTTTTTTTTGATGGAGTCTCGCTCTGTCACCAGGCTGGAGGGCAGTGGTGCGGCCTCGGCTCACTGCAACTTTTGCCTCCTGGGTTCAAGCAATTCTCCTGCCTCAGCGTCCCGAGTAGCTGGGACTACAGGCATGCATTTGCAAATATTTTATCCTATTCTATAGGTTGTCTGTTTACCCTGTTGATAGTTTATTTTGCTGTGCAGAAGCTTTTTAGGTTAATTAGTTCACATTTATTAATTTTTGCTTTTGTCATCTTTGTCATGAAATCTTTGTCAGGGGCGATGCTGAGAATGGAATTTCCTAGGTTATCTTCCAGGGTTTTTATAGTTTTGGGTTTCACATTTAAGTCTTTAATCCATGTTGGATTTATTTTCATATATGGTATAAGGGAGGGGTTCAGTTTCCATTTTTTGCATATGGCTGTCTAGTTATCTCAGCACCATTTATTGAATAGGGAGTGCTTTTCCCATTGCTTGTTTTTGTCAGCCTTGTTGAAGATTAGACGGTTTTTGTTTTTAGTTCTGCTTATGTGGTGAATCACATTTACTAATTTGCATATGTTGAACCAACCTTGTGTTCCAAGTATAAAGCCTACTTGATTGTGGTGGATTAGAGTTTTAATGTGCTGCTGGATTCAGTTTGCTAGTATTTTCTTTTTTTTGCTAGTTTTCTTTTTTTGTTGTATCTCTGCCAGGTTTTAGTATCAGAATGATGTTGGCCTCATAGAATAAATTAGGGAGGAGTCCTTCCTCCTCAAATTTTCAGAATAGTTTCAGAGGAAAGGTACTAGCTCTTCTTTATGCATCTGGTAGAACTCAGCTGTGAATTCCTGTGATCCTGGGCTTTTTCTGGTTGGTAGGCTTTTTATTACTAACACAATCTTGGAACTTGTTATTAGTCTGTTCAGGGTTTCAATTTCTTCCTAGTTCAATCTTAGGAGGTTGTATGTTTCTAATAATTTATTAATTTCTTCTAGTTTGTGTGCATAGAGTTGTTCATAGTAGTCTCTGAGGGTTTTTAAAAAATATTTCTTTGGGGTTGGTGGTAATGTTCCCTTTGTCATTTCTGACTGTGTTTATTTTTCTCTCTTCTCTTTTTTGCTTTATTAGTCTAGCCAATGCTCTATCAATCTGATGTGTTATTCTGAAGAAACAAAACCTGGATTTGTTAATCTTTTGTATGGGTTTTTGCATCTCAATTTCTTTCAGTTCAGCTCTGATTTCAGTTGTTTCCTTTATCTTGCTAGCTTTGGGACTGATTTGCTTTTGTTTCTCTAGTTTCTCTCGGTGTGATGTTAGGATGTTAATTTGAAATCTTTCCAATCTTCTGATGTAGTTTTTTCTTTAGTGATATAAACTTACCTCTTAATACTGCTTTATATGTGCCCCAGGGATTTTGATATGTAGTATGTTTGTTCTCATTAGTTTCAAAGAATTTCTTGACTTCTGCCTGAATTTCGTTGTTTACCCAAAAGTCATTCAGGAGAAGGTTGGTTAATTTTCACATATGCTTTTGATGTATTTTATTGTATTGATTTCAATGTTTATTGCATTGTAATCTGAGAAAGTGTGGTTTGTATGATTTTGGATTTTTTGAATTTGCTGAAAATTGTTTTATGATCGATTGTGTGGCTGATTTTAGAGTATGTGCCATATGCAGATGAGAAGAATGTATATTCTAATGTTCTTGGGTGGAGAGTACTGTAGATGTCTGTTAGGACCATTTTGTCAAATGTCGAGCTCAGTCCCGAATCTCTTTGTTCATTTTCTATCTCAATGCTCTAATACTGTCAGTGGGGTGTTGAAGTCTCCCAGTAGTATTGTGTGGTTATTAAAGTCTCTTCAAAGGTCTCTAAGAACTTCCTTTATAAGTCTGGGTACTTCTGTGTTGGATGTATATATTCTTAGGATTGTTAGTTCTTCTTGTTGAGTTTAACCCTTTACCTTCATGTAATACCCTTCTTTGTCTTTTTCGATTATTATTGGTTTATAGTCTATTTTGTCTGGAATTAGAATCAGACCATTTGCTTTTTTCTGTTTTCTTTTTGCTTGGTCTATTTTTTCTCCATCCCTTTATTTTGAGCCCCTGGATGTCATTGCATGTGAGATGGGTCTCTTGTAGAGAGAATACAGTTGGGTCTTGCTTCTTTATCCGACTTGCCACTCTATGCCTTTTAATTGAAGCATTTAACTCATTTACATTCAAGGTCATTCAAGGTTAGATTGTGTGTTTCCCAGCAATGATTCCTTACCCATAATAAATTACTGAAATGACAGACATAGAATTCAGGATCTGGATGTCATGGAAGCTCATTGAGATTCAGGACAAATTTGAAATCCAATCCATGGAATCCAGCAAAATGACAGAAGAGCTGAAAGACAAAATAACCACTTTAAGAAAGAACCAAAGTGAAACTCTAGAGTTAAAAATTCACTAGAAGAACTTCATAATACAGTTGGAAATATTAACAGCAAAATAGACCAAGCTAAGGAAAATATCTCTGAGCTCAAAGACCGGTTCTTTGAATTAACACTGTGAGACAAAAATAAAGCAAAAACAATTTTAAAAGTGAACAAAACTTCTGAGAAAGATTACATAAAGAGACCAAATCTACAACTCATTACCATTACTGAGAGAGAAGGACAGAGAATAAACAACTCGGAAAATAAATTCGAATATATAGTCCATGAAAATCTTCCTAATCTTGCTAGAGAGGATGATATGCAAATCCAAGAAATAGAGAGAACCCTGGCTAGATATCGTACGAGATGTACAAGGCACATAATCTTCAGATTCACCACAGTTAATGCAAAAGAAAAGGGATCTAGAAAGAAAGGTCAGGTTATGTACGAAGGGAACCCCATCAGGCTAGCAGCAGAACTTTCAGCAGAACCTTTATAAGCCAGAAAAAATTGGGGGCCTATTTTTAGTATTCTTAAAGAAAATAAATTCCAACCAAGAATTTCATATCCCACCCAAACTTAGCTTCATAAGTGAAGGAAAAATAAAATCCTTCTCAGAAAATAAAATGCCAAGGTAATACATTTCAACTTAGCTAGCCTTACAACAGGTCCTTAAGGGAGTGCTAAACATGTGAACAAAAGAACAGCATCTGCTGCCACAAAAACACGCTTAAGCACATAGCCCATAGACACTATGAAGCACTACACAGTCAAGTCTATAAAATATCCAGCTAACAGCATGATGACAGGATCAATATCTGACATATCAATATTAATCTTAAATGTAAGTTATCTAAATGCCCTACTTAAAAGGCATAGAGTGGTAAGTTGGATAAAAAGGCAAGACACCACTGTCTGTTGTCTTGAAGAGACCAATCTATATGTAATGAAACCCACAGGGTCAAAGTAAAGGGATGCAGAAAGATTTGTCATGTAAACAAAAAACAAACAAACAAAAATAGTAGGGGTCACTATTCTTATAGCATATGAAACAAGCCAACAACAATTACCAAGGACAAAGAAAGGCATTACATAATGATAAAGGGTTCAATTCAACAAGAAGACTTTATCCTAAATGTATATACACTGAACATTGGAGCACCCAGACTCATAAAACAAGTTTTTCTTGGCCTACCAAAAGACTTAGACAATCCTACAATAATACTGGGAGACTTCAATGCTCCACTGATGGTATCATTAAGGCAGAACACTAACAAAGAAATTCTGGACTTAAATTTGACACTTGACTAATTGGACCTAATAAACATCTACAGAACACTCCACCCAACAACCATGGAATATTCATTCTCATCTGCACATGGAACATATTGTAAGATCAACCACATGCTTGATCAGAAAGCAAGTCTCAATGCATTCAAAAACACTGAAATCATCCCAGGCACATTCTTGAACCACAGTGCAATAAAATTAGAAATAAACATCAAGAAGATCTCTCAAAAGTACACAAATTCATGGAAAGTAAACAACTTGCTCCTGAATAACTCATGGGTGCACACTGAAATTAGGCAAAAATCAAAAAAATTCTTTGAAATTAAAACAGGGACACAACTAACCAAAATCTCTGAAATGAAGCTAAAGCAGGAAATAAATATTTTTTAAATAAATAAGTAAATAAGATAAGAGGAAAGATTATAGCATTAAATACCTTCATCAAGAAGTTAGAAAAATCTGAATTTAATAATCCAACTTTGCACCTAAAGGAACTAGAAAAAAAAAAAGCTCAAAGCTAGCAGAATAACAGATATAACTACAAACAGAGAGAAACTTAATGAAATTGAGATGCAAAAATACGTACAAAAGGTCAGTGAAACCAATAATTGGTCCTTCAAAATAAAAATAAACAAAACTGGTAGATTGCTAGCTAGATTAACATAGAAAAAAAGCAGAAGACCCAAATGAGTACAATCAGAAATAAAAATGATGTTGCAACTGATCCCACAGAAATACAAAAGATACTCAAAGAATACTATAAGCAACTCTATGCATACAAATTAGAAAATCTAGAAGAAATGGATAAATTCATGGAAACACACAATCTCCCAAGATTGAATCCCTGGAAGAGATTGAAACCCTGATTAGACCAACATCAAGCTGTGAAACAGAATCAATAATAAAAAAAGCCTATGAACCAAAGTAAGTCCTGGGCCAGATAGATTCACAGCTGAATTCTACCAGATTTTAAAAAAAAGAACTCTACCAATTTTATTGAAACTATTCCAAAAAATTGAGGAGGAGGAGCTCCTCCCTAACTCATTCTATGAAGCCAGTATCATCCTGATACCAAAACCTGGCAGGGACAGAACAAAAAACAAATCATCAGGCCAATATCCCTGATGAATACAGATGCAAATATCATCAACAAAATGTTAGCTAATTGAATCCATTGGCACATCAAAAAGTTAACGCACTGTGATCAAGTAGGTACTATTCCTGAGATGTAAGGCTTATTCAATGTATGCAAATCAATAAATGTGATTCATCACATAAACATAATAAGAGACAAAAACCACATGATCATCTCAATAGATGCAGAAAAAGCTTTCAATAACATCCAACATCCCTTCATGATAAAAACCCTTAACAGACTAGATTTTGAAGGAATACACCTCAAAATAATAACAGCCATCTATGACAGACCCACAGCCAACATGATACTGAATGGCAAAAGCTGGAAGTATTCCCCTTAAGAACTGGAAAAGGACAAAGATGTACATTCTTACCACTCTTCTTCAATATAGGACTTGAAGTCCTAGCCATAGCAATTATGCAAAAGAAAGAAATAAAAGACATCCAAATAGAAAAATAAGAAGTCAAACTATTTCTATTCACTGATGATATAATTATATACTTAGAAAACCCTAACTTTCACAAAAAAGCAACTAGAACTGATATACAGTTTTAGGAAGGTTTCAGGACATGAAATCACTCTACAAAAATCAGTAGCATTTCCATACATCAATAATGTCCAGGCTGAGAGTGAAATCAAGGACACAATCCCATTTACAATAGCAACAAAGAAAATTAAATCCCTTGGAATACAGTTAACCAGAAAACTCTACAAAATTAATGGCAAAACACTGCTGACAGAAATCAGAGATGACAGAAATGAATGGAAAAAAATTCCATACTAATAGATTACAAGAATCAATGTTGTTAAAATGGCCACACTGCCCAAAGCAGTCTACAGTTTAATGGTATTTCTATCTCACTACCAACACCATTCTTCTCAGAATTAGAAAAAAGATCTAAAATTCATACAGAGCCAAAAAAGCCTGAATAGTCAAAACAATCCCATGCAAAATGTACCACATGAACATATGCACCTACTCTGTAACCCAGAAATATTGAAAAAAAAAAGTAAAAAAAATGAAACTAGAGGCATCACACTATTCAAACTATAAGGCCACTGTAACCAAAACAGCATGCTACTGGTACAGAAACAGACACATTGACCCATAGAACAGAATAGAAAACCCAGAAATAAATCCATGCACTTACAACCATCTGCTCTTCAACAAGGCTGACAGAAACAAGCAATGGAGAAAAGACTCTGTTTAGAAGCCCCTACTGAGGAAAGTTGTGGGCTTGAGTCTGTAGCCTAAGAACATTCAACCAAGCTAACTCTCAGGTCTCTCTATTCAATAAATGGTGCTGGGATAACTGGCTAGCCAGATACAAAAAAAAAAAATGAAACTTGACCCTTATTTTTCACCATATACAAAAATCAACTCAAAATCGATTAAAGATTTAAATTTAAGACCTCAGCCTATAAAAATCCTAGAAGAAAACCTAGGAAATACTCTTCTCAGCCACAGTCTTGGCAGAGAATTTTTGGCTGAGTCCTCAAAGGTAATTGCAACAAAAACCAGAGTTGACAAGTCGGGCCTAATTAAACAAAAGAGCTTCTGCACAGCAAAAGAAACTATCAATAGAGTAACCTACAGAATGGGAGAAAATATTCACAAGCTATGATTCCAAACAAAGGTCTAATATCCAGAAACTATAAGGAACTTAAACAAAGCAACAAACAAACGAACAAAAAATCCACTTAAAAATGGGCAAATAAGGCAATCCTAAGCAAAAAAGAACAAAGCTGGAGGCATCACATTACCCAACCTCAAACTATACTATAAGGCTACAGTAACCAAAACAGGATGGTACTGGTACAAAAACAGACACATAAACCAATGGAACATAATGAGAGGCCAGAAATAGTGCTGCACACCTATAACTATCTGAACTTTCACAAAGAGGATAAAAACAAGCAATAGGGAAAGGACTTTCTATTCAATAAATGGTGCTGGGATAATGGGCAAGCCACATGCAAAAGACTGAAATGTAACCCCTTCTTATACCATATACAAAAATCAATTCAACATGGATTGGAGAATTAAATGTAAAACCCCAAACTGTAAAAACCCCAGAAGATAACCTAGGAAATTCCATTCTCAAATAGGCCCTGGCTAAGATTTCATGGTGAAGACACCAGAAACATTGACCACAAAAAAACAGAAATTGACAAATGAGACCTAAGTAAACTAAAGAGCTTCTGCAGAGCAGAATGAACTGTCAACAGAGTCAACAGACAAGCTACAAAATGGGATAAAATATTTGCAAACTATGCGCCCAACAAAGGTCTAATATCCAGAATCTACAAGGAACTTAAATTATCGAGCAAAAAACAATCTCTTTAAAAATTGGGCAAAGGACATGAACAAATGCTTTTCAAAGACCTACATGCAGCCAAGAAGCATATGAAAAAATGTTCGACATCGCTAATCATTAGATAAATGCACATCAAAACCACAACGAGATACCAACTCACAGCAGTGAGAATGATTATTATTAAAAAGTCAAAAAATAACATGCTAGTGAGGTTTCAGAGAAGAGGGAACACTTATACACTGCTGGTGGGAATGTAAATTAGTTCAGCCATTGTGGAAAGCAGCATGGCAATTTCTCAAAGAACTTAAAAGGGAATTATCATTTAACCTAGCAATCTCATTATTGAGTACATATCCAAAGGAATATAAATCATTTTACCATAAAGACATATGCACACATATGTTCAACACAGTACTATTCTCAATAGCAAAGTTGCCATCAATGGTAAACTGTATAAAGAAAATGTGGTACATAGACACAATGGAATACTATGTAGCCATAAAAACAATGAGATCATGTCCTTTGCAAGAAAGAGATAAAAGGAAAAGAGTCAAAATTAATGAAATATAAAGTAGACAAACATTAGAAAAAATTTTAAAAGTCAGAAATTGGTATTTTGAAATGATTACCAAAATTGATAAACCCATAGTAGAATGATGAATTTTAAAAGAGAAACACACAAACTACCAATATTAAGAATAACAAGAGAAGCACTATTAGTCCTAAAGAAACTGAAGGGATAATAAGGGAATATAAAGAATGACAATATGACAAAACACATTCGCCAAAACTGGCACATCAAGATATACAAAATCTAAATAGGAATATATTTTAAAAGGAAATGAATGTAGAGCTGAAAACTTTATACTAAGAAAATTCCAGGTTCATATGGCTCAACCAGGGAGTTTTCTAAAATATGTAAGAAACGGGTAATGCCAATTGTATCTAAACTCATTCATAAAATAGAAGAAAGGATACCATTTCCCAACTTTCTTTATGAGCTCAGTATTACCCTGATACCAAAATCTGACACAGGATTTTGCATTGCAAGGATTTTGCATTACAAGGAAAGATGATTTCTCAAAAACATACACATATGATTTTATTTTATTTTTATTTTTTTGAGATGGAGTCTCACTCTGTCACCCAGGCTGGAGTGCAGTGGTGCGATCTCGGCTCACTGCAAGTTCTGCCTCCTGGGTTAATGCCATTCTCCTGCCTCAGCCTCCCAAATAGCTGATACTACAGGCGCCCACCACCACGCCTGGCTAATTTTTTGTATTTTTAGTAGAGATGGGGTTTCACCGTGTTAGCCAGGATGGTCTCAATCTCCTGACCTCGTGATCCGCCCTCCTAGGCCCCCCAAAGTGCTGGGACTATAGGCGTGAGCCACCCTGCCTGGCTACACATAAAATTTTAAAACAAAGTATTAGCAATCCGAACATGACAATACATAAAAAGTTGTGACCAGATGGGATTTATCCCAAAAACGATAGTTGGCTTAACATTTGAAAATCAATCAAGTTAATTGCTATATTCACTGAATGAAGGTGGAAAAATGATATGATCTCGCCAAGAGGCAGAAAATCATTTGTTTTAACATCCATTCATGTCTGTAAAAAATTCTAAGTAGATTGGAAATGAAAGGGAGCCTCTCCAGTCCAATAAAGGGCAATTATGAAAAACCTATAGCAACCATTATAACATATGATGAAATCTTGAATGCATGCCCCCTTAAGATTAGGAAGAATGCAAGTATACATGCTCTCACCACTTCTATTCAACATGTGCTGACCATTGAAAGAAAGTTGTTTTTTAAAGGTATTAATATTAGGAAGAAAAAAATAAAAATCTATTTATTCATAGAAGAAATATATGTGTAGAGCATACTATGGTATCTTTAAAGAACTAGAATTTACAAGGAAATTTATCAAGGGTTGCAGGATACAAGATCAACATTTAAAAACCAAATCTTGGTGAGAATGTGAAACAACTATTAACTCTGAAAAACGAAACAAAGTAAACTTAAATGTTATTATTCTTCTTCCACTGATTTTTTTATATAAAGTGTTAAGGGTATAAAAATATTAGAAGTCATGCCATAGAAGTAAAAAAAGAAAAGAAAATTCTCTTTGAATTTTCTGTTATTTTTTGACTTTTCTTTTTTTTTTTCTTTTCTTTTCTTTTCTTTTTTTTTTTTTTTGAGACAGAGTCTCGCTCTGTCGCCCAGGCTGGATCTCGACAGTGGCGCAATCTCGGCTCACTGCAAACTCCACCTCCCGAGTTCACGCCATTCTCCTGCCTCAGCCTCCCGAGTAGCTGGGACTACAGGCACCCGCCACCAAGCCGAGATAATTTTTTTGTTTGTTTGTTTGTTTGTTTGTTTTTTGTATTTTTCAGTAGAGACGAGGTTTCACCGTGTTAGCCAGAATGGTCTCGGTCTCCTGACTTCGTGATCCGCCCACCTCGGCCTCCCAAAGTGCTGGGATGACAGGCGTGAGCCACCGTGCCCAGCCATTTTTTGACTTTTTAATAATAGTCCTTCTGACTGGTGTGAGATGGTATCTCATTGTGGTTTTGATTTGCATTTCTCTAATGAATAGTCAAGCTGAGCATTTTTTTTCACGTGCTTATTGGCCGTAAACATGTCTTCTTTTAGGAAGTATCTGTTCATATAAAAAGTGGTAATATTTTTTGAGGAAAAAAATGAATAAATTCAGAGACAAACTCTTTTGTTGGATAAAAACAATATTATTGAATATATACATGTCAATGCATAAATTGAATATAATTTAATAAAATACCAGTAATACTTTTCATTGTAAAATTAATTCAAGATTATCTAGAGGAAAAAATCTATCCAAGGTGATAAAACTTTCCTAGAAGGGTTAAAAAGTCTCCATTTTGAGGACTATTTTAGATCTTCAGATTACTTTTATCTTATGAATTAGAGTGAACATTAAGAGGTGAGTAAGATCCTGGATTATATGCACAATTATGAAAAAAATCATATTTTTAAAAGTTTTGGTGGCAAGACTAACCTACTCCAAGATGGGGTTGTTATTCCACTTAAGAACGTATCTAACCTCATGTATTTTGCTTCCTTTCTCTATTTTCCTCTGTGCAGCTCTCTTTATCATGGTTTTCTTTTTGTGGTTATATGGATTTGTAGACTGTGCATTTATATGGAATGCCATGCGAGCTGTCACAGCCCAGGCAGTGGAGTGTGGTTGGCTTGTGGGTAGTAAGAAGAATTTACCAACAACTGTATAGATTTGAAAAGGAAAGTTGTATTAGCTGGAAAGAACGCTGCAGAGGAGTGCAGCAGGGCTTCTCAGCCAGAGAGGACTGAGTACACCACTGCAGTAGATTTTTCCTTAGGGTATTTATGGACCTTAAAGTGGGAGCTTAAGGGTAATTTTTACCATATTAGCCACATAGGTCATGGTAAACAATTACATTTATAGACATTTTGGTGCCTTGATGTCAGCAAGAGTTGCACAATGAGTTTAGAATACATGCATTCCAGAGATGTATAGAAATTCTAGTTACTCACAAATTTTTGGAAAAGAAATCTCATACCAGATGCCAGCTTTACATAATAGGGATGTCTAATTACTTCTGAATTCCTTGGATAAGGAATTTCGCCTCTGGATGGTCTTGCTCTCCTTGTGGACTAGTATCTCTCTGTTTCTTCACCTTTTTTTTTTTTTTAAGTCATACAACTATCTTTCCATTTATGTCTCTGCTAGTCTTCTTTTCCCTTTTCTCTTGATCTTTATTTTGATTATTGTAAATTTTTCTGTACTTCTCTCTCTCTCTTTTCTTCTTTCTTTCCTTTTTCTACTCTTACACTTTGTTTTTGAAATGTAAAATAAATTAGAACAAATATATTTGGTGATAAATTATGTTTATTACCCCCAAATCTGTGTTCTTATTTCACTTGTAAAGTGACCCATAAACTCAGTGTTTTCTCTAAAGCCAAAGAAAAGATTAAAATAATTTTAAAATAGAATTAATAAAATAAATTTGTATTTATTTTTTCTGACTCAATTAATTTTTAAAATTAATAATCTTTAATGGAAAAATGTTTTTCATCCTTGTTTTAGTTGAGCAGAGTGAAAGTGAACAAATTACAAATACCAAGATCATGATGCATCTTTTCATGCTATGTAGGAGGTCACCTTCCCTTTAGCAATTGTTCTATCCTATACCAAGAAACTATTTTCTCTAAGAATAATTATGCAACAGTATTCATGAGCTTTTTAATATTTCCTTTGCTAATGTCCTTATCACCGTCAACATCCTGCTACTGAGTAAGGTGCTTATCTCGCATGCAAAATTTAAAGGCGTGCCCAAAAACTCAATAGTAGAGATAAACATTTTAATCAATATTTTGAGAAATCAAAATTAATTTTAAAATTTGTGATAAACAAAGTACCAAATTTTAAGCAAAGGCAGGATCAGCAACTGCCATGTTGAGCCATGTTGGAACCTGAGGCAACAGGAAAAATAAATAATATTGGTGAAGTCTTTTTTAAAAATTATACTTTAAGTTCTGGGATACATGTGTAGAATATGCAGGTTTGTTACATAGGTAAATATGTGCCATGGTGGCTTGCTGCACCCATCAACCTGTCACCTACATTAGGTATTTCTCCTAATGCTATCCTTCCCCTAGCCCCCCACCCTGTGACAGGCCCCCATGTGGGATATTCCCCTCGCTGTTTCCCTGTGTTCTCATTGTTCAACTCCCACTTAAGAGTGAGAACATGTGGTGTTTGGTTTTCTGTTCCTGTGTTAGTTTGCTGAGAATGATGGTTTCCAGCTTCATCCATGTCCCTGCAAATGACATGAACTCATCCTGTTTTATGGCTGCATAGTATTCCATAATGTATATGTGACCCATTTTCTTTATCCAGTCTATGATTGATGGGCATTTGGGTTGGTTCCAAGTCTTTGCTATTGTGAACAGTGCCGCAGTAAACATACATGTGCATGTGTCTTTATAGTAGAATGATTTATAATTCTTTGGGTATATACCCAGTAATGGGATTGCTGGGTCAAATGGTATTTCTGGTTCTACATCCTTGAGGAATCGCTACACTGTCTTCCACAATGGTTGAACTAATTTACCCTTCCACCAACAGTGTAAAAGCGTTCCTATTTCTCCACATCCTCTCCAGCATCTGTTGTTTCCTGACCTTTTAATGATCACCATTCTAACTGGCATGAGATGGTATCTCATTGTGGTTTTGATTTGCATTTCTCTAATGACCAGTGATGATGAGCTTTTTTTTCATATGTTTGTTGGCTGCATAAATGTCTTCTTTTGAGAAGTGTCTGTTCATATCCTTTGCTCACTTTTTGATGGGGTTGTTTGTTTTTTTCTTGTAAATTTGTTTAAGTTCCCTGTAGATGCTGGATATTAGCCCTTTGTCAGATGGATAGATTGCAAAAATTTCCTCCCATTCTGTAGGTTGACTGTCCACTCTGATGAGAGGTTTTTTTTTGTTTTTTTTTTTTTTGTTTTTTTTCTGTGCAGAAGCTCTTCAGTTTAATTAGATCTCATTTGTCAATTTTGGATTTTGTTGCCATTGCTTTTGGTGTTTTAGTCATGAAGTCTTTGCCCATGCCTATGTCCTGAATGGTATTGGCTAGGTTTTCTTTTAGGGTTTTTATGGTTTTAGGTTTTCCGTTTAAGCCTTTAGTCCATCTTGAGTTAATTTTGTATAAGGTGTAAGGAAGGGGTTCAGTTTCAGTTTTCTACATATGTCTAAGCCAGTTTTCATAACACCATTTATTAAATAGGGAATCCTTTTCCCATTGCTTGCTTTTGTCAGGCTTGTTAAAGATCAGATGGTTGTAGACGTGTGGCATTATTTCTAAGGCCTCTTTCCTGTTCCATTGGTCTATAGATCTGTTTTGGTACCAGTACTATGCTGTTTTGGTTACTGCGGCCTTGTAGTATAGTGTGAAGTCAGGTAGTGTGATGCCTCCAGATTTGTTCTTTTTGCTTAGGATTGTCTTGGCTATACAGGCTCTTTTTTTGTTCCATATGAAATTTAAAGTCGTTTTTTCTAATTCTGTGAAGAAAGTCAGTGGTAGCTTGATGGGGATAGCATTGAATCTGTAAATTACTTTGGGCAATATGGCCATTTTCATGATATTGATTCTTCCTATCCATGAGCACAGAATGTTTTTCCATTCATTTGTGTCCTCTCTTTTTCCTTGAGCGGTGGTTTGTAATTCTCCTTGAAGAGGTCCTTCATATCCCTTGTTAGTTGTATTCCTAGGTATTTTATTCTCTTTGTAGCAATTGTGAATGGGAGTTAACTCATGATTTGGCTGTTTATCTATTAATGGTGTATAGGAATGTTTGTAATTTTTGCACATTGATTTTGTATCCCGAGACTTTGCTGAAGTTGCTTATCAGCTGAAGGAGATTTTGGGCTAAGAAGATGGGATTTTCTAAATATACAATCATGTCATCTGCAAACTTTGACAATTTACCTCCCTCTCTTCCTGTTTGAATACGCTTTATTTCTTTCTCTTCCCTGATTGCCCTGGCCAGAACTTCCAATACTGTGTTGAATAAGGATGGTGAGAAAGGGCATCCTTGTCTTGTGCTGGTTTTCAAAGAGAATGCTTCCAGTTTTTGCCCATTCGGTATGATATTGGCTGTGGGTGTGTCATAAATAGCTCTTATTATTTTCAGATACGTTCCATCAATACTTAGTTTATTTAGAGTTTTTAGCTTGAAGGGGTGAATTTTATCGAAGGCCTTTTCTGCATCTATTGAGATAATGATGTGGTGTTTTTCACTGGTTCTGTTTATGTGATGGATTATGTTTACTGATTGGGTATGTTGAACCAGCCTTGCATCCCAGGGATGAAGCTGAGTTGATCATGGTGGATAAGCTTTTTGATGTGCTGCTGGATTCGGTTTGCCAGTATTTTATTGAGGATTTTTGCATCGATGTTCATCAGGGATATTGATCTGAAATTTTCTTTTTTATGTGTGTCTCTGCCAGGTTTTGGTATCAGGATGATGCTGGCCTCATAAAATGAGTTAGGGAGGAGTCCCTCTTTTTCTATTGTTTGTAATAGTTTCTGAAGGAATGGTACCAGCTCCTCTTTGTACCTCTGGTAGAATTTGGCTGTGAATCTGTCTGGTCCTGGACTTTTTTTGGTTGGTAGGCTATTAATTACTGCCTCGATTTCAAAACTTGTTATTTGTCTATTCAGGGATTTGACTTCTTCCTGGTTCAGTCTTGGGAGGGTGTATGTGCCCAGGAATTTATCCATTTCTTGTAGATTTTCTAGTTTATTTGTGTAGAGGTGTTTGTAGTATTCTCTGATGGTAATTTGTAATTCTGTGGGATCAGTGGTGATACCCCTTTATCATTTTCTATTGTGTCTATTTGATTCTTCTTTCTTTTCTTCATTAGTCTGGTTAGTGGTCTATTTATTTTGTTAATGTTTTCAAAAAACCAGCTCCTGGATTCACTGATTTTTTGAAGGGTTTTTTGTGTCTCTATCTCCTTCAGTTCTGCTCTGATCTTAGTTATTTCTTGTCTTCTGCTAGCTTTTGAATTTGTCTGCTCTTACTTCTCTAGTTCTTTTAATTGTAATGTTAGGGTGTCAATTTTAGATCTTTCCTGCTTTAAGCTGTTGGCATTTAGTGCTATAAATTTTCCTCTAAACACTGCATTAGCTGTGTCCCAGAGATTCTGGTACATTGTGTCTTTGTTCTCATTGGTTTCAAAGAACTTATTTATTTCTGCCTAAATTTCGTTATTTACCCAGTAGTCATTCAGGAGCAGGTTGTTCAGTTTCCATGTGTTGTGCGATTTTGAGTGAGTTTCTTAATCCTGAGTTCTAATTTGATTGCACTGTGGTCTGAGAGACTATTTGTTATGATTTCTGTTCTTTTGCATTTGCTGAGGAGTGCTTTACTTCCAAGTATGTGGTCAATTTTATAATAAGTGTGATGTGGTGCTGAGAAGAATATATATTCTGTTGATTTGGGGTGGAGAGTTTTGTAGATGTCTATTAGGTCTGCTTGGTCCAGAGATGAGTTCAAGTCCTGAATATCCTTGTTAATTTTCATTGATCTGTCTAATATTGACAGTGGGGTGTTAAAATCTCCCACTATTATTGTGTGGGAATGTAAGTCTCTTTGTATGTCTCTAAGGACTTGCTTTATGAATATGAGTGCTCCTGTATTAGGTGCATACATATTTGGGATAGTTAGCTTTTCTTGTTGCATTGATCCCTTTACCATTATGTAATGCCCTTCTTTGTCTTTTTTGATCTTTGTTGGTTTAAAGTCTGTTTTATCAGAGACTAGGATTGCAACCGCTGCTTTTTTTTGGCTTTCAATATGCTTGGTAAATTTTCCTCCATCCCTTCATTTTGAGCCTATGTGTGTCTTTGCACGTGAGATGGGTCTCCTGAATACAGCACACCAATGGGTCTTGAGTCTCTATCCAATTTACCAGTCTGTGTATTCTAACTGGGGACTTAACCCATTTACATTTAAGGTTAACATTGTTATGTGTGAATTTGATCCTGTAATTATGATGTTATCTGGTTATTTTGCCTGTTGGTTAATGCAGTTTCTTCATAGCTTCAATGGTCTTTACAATTTGGTATGTTTTTGCAGTGGCTGGTACCAGTTTTTCTTTCCATATTTAGTGCTTCCTTCTGGAGCTCTTGTAAGGCAGGCCTGGTGGTGACAAAAATCTGTTAGTATTTTCTTATCTGTAAAGGATTTTCTTTCTCCTTCGCTTATGAAGCTTAGTTTGGCTGGATATTAAATTCTGGTTTGAAAATTCTTTTCTTTAAGAATGTTGAATATTGGCCCCCACTTCTTTCTGGCTTGTAGGGTTTCTGCAGAGAGATCCACTGTTAGTCTGATGGGCTTCCCTTTGTGGGTAACTACTTGACCTTTCTTTCTGGCTGACCTTAACATTTTTTCCTTCATTTCAACCTTGGTGAATCTGACAATTATGTTTCTTGGGGTTGCTCTTCTCGGGGAGTATCTTTGTGGTGTTCTCTGTATTTCCTGAATTTTAATGTTGGCCTGTCTTGCTAGGTTGGGGAAGTTCTCCTGGATAATATCCTGAAGAGTGTTTTCCAACTTGGTTCTATTCTCCCCGTCACTTTCAGGTACACCAATCAAACGTAGGTTTGGTCTTTTCACATAGTCCCATATTTCTTGGAGGATTTGTTCGTTCCTTTTCAATCTTTTTTCTCCAATCTTGTCGTCACGCTTTATTTCATTAAGTTGATCTTCAATCCCTGGTATCCTTTCTTCCGCTCCATCGATTTGGCTATTGATACTTGCGTATGCTTCATGAAGTTCTTGTGCTGTGTTTTTCAGCTCCATCAGGTTATTTATGTTCTTTTCTAAAGTGGTTATTCTAGTTATCAATTCCTCTAACCTTTTTCAAGGTTCTTAGCTTCCTTGCATTGGGTTAGAACATGCTCCTTTAGCTCAGAGGAGTTTGTTACTACCCTTCTTTGGAAGCCTACTTCTGTCAACTTGTCAAACTCATTCTCCATCCAGTTTTGTTCCCTTGCTGGCAAGGAGTTGTGATCCTTTGGAGAAGAGGTGTTCTGGTTTTTGGAATTTTCAGCCTTTTTGCTCTGGTTTTTCCTCATCTTTATGGACCTATCTAACTTTGTTCTTTGATGTTGGTGACCTTCAGTTGGGGTTTTTGGGTGGACATCCTTTTTGTTGATGCTGATGCTATTTCTTTCTGTTTGTTAGTTTTCCTTCTAACAGTCAGGCCCCTCTGCTGCAGGTCTGCTGGAGTTTGCTGGAAGTCCACTCCAGACCCTGTTTTCCTGGGTGTCATCAGCAAATGCTGCAGAACAGCAAAGATTACTGCCTGTTCCTTCTTCTGGAAGCTTTGTCCCAGAGGGGCACCAGCCAGATGCCAGCTGGAGATCTCCTGTATGAGGTGTCTGTTGACCCCTGCTAGGAGGTGTCTCCCAGTCAGGAGGCACAGGCATCAGGGAGCCACTTGAGGAGGCAGTCTGTCCCTTAGCAGAGTTCAAGCGCTTTGCTGGGAGATCTGCTGGATCTCCTGGATTCATTGATTTTTTGAAGAGTTTTTTGTGTCTCTATCTCCTTCAGTTCTGCTCTGATCTTAGTTATTTCTTGTCTTCTGCTAGCTTTTGAATTTGTCTGCTCTTAATTCTCTAGTTCTTTTCATTGTAATGTCAGAGGGTCGATTTTAGATCTTTCCTGCTTTAAGCTGTTGGCATTTAGTGCTATAAATTTTCCTCTAAACACTGCATTAGCTGTGTGGGAGATCTGCTGCTCCCTTCAGAGATGGCAGGCAGGAACATTTAAGTCTGCTGAAGCTGTGCCCACAGCCGCCCTTCCCCCCAGGTGCTCTGTCCCAGGGAGATGGGACTTTTATCTATAAGCCCCTGACTGGGGACGCTGCCTTTCTTTCAGAGATACCCTGCCCAGAGAGGAGAAATCTAGAGAAGCAGTCTGGCTATAGCTGCTTTGCTGGGTTGTGGGGGGCTCTGCCCAGTTCAAACTTCCTGGTGGCTTTATTTACACTGTGAAGGGAAAAGTGCCTACTCAAGCCTCAGTAATGGCAGATGCCCCTACCCCAACCAAGCTCGAGTGTCCCAGGTGAACTTCAGAGTGCTGTGCTGGCAGCAAGAATTTCAAGCCAGTGGATCTTAGCTTGCTGGGCTCCATGGGGGTGGGATCCACTGAGATAGACCACTTGAATCCCTGGCTTCAGCCCCATTTCCAGGGGAGTGAATAGTTCTATCTTGCTGGCATTCCAGGTGCCACTGGGGTATGAAAAAAAACTCCTGCATCTACCTCAGTGTCTGCCCAAATGGCTGCCTAGTTTTGTGCTTGAAACCCAAGGCCCTGGTGGTGTAGGCACCTGAGGGAATCTCCTGGTCTGCAGGTTGCAAAAACCATGGGAAAAGCCTAGTATCTGAATCAGAATGCACCTTTCCTCTCGGCACAGTCTCTCACGGCTTCCCTTGGCTGGGGAGGGAGTTCCCTGAACCCTTCCACTTCCCCGGTGATGTGATGCCCCACCCTGCTTTGGCTTACCCTCCGTGGGCTGCACCCACTGTCTAACCAGTCCCAATGAGATGAGCTGGGTACCTCAGTTGGAAATGCAGAAATCTTCTGTGAGTAACCTTCTGCGTTGGTCTTGCTGGGAGTTGCAGACCAGAGTTGCTCTTATTTGGCCATCTTGCCAGCCACCGTCTAAAGTTTGGTGAAGCCTTTAATTGAAAAATTTGAGTCTAGTCATATATATATATATGTATATATGTATTTTTTGCCTCATCCTACCCCTGCTTGCTTTCGTGGTACAAAGCAATAATCTCTCATCATTTATTTAATATTTTTCTCCTTTTGAATTTTATTATAACACGTAAATTTACTTCTCTCAAACTTCTATTTATTTCTGGACTAAAAAATATGCTTCTGAATAGGGTTCTGTCTTTCTCACGATAGAATTTTTGTTTTAGAACTAGAAAGTAAGTCAGCTTGGTATTATGTAGCACATTTAAAAAAATTTAGTTCTTGCAAACTCTGGTATTTTTCTTTGCCTTATTTATTTGATAACTAATATAGCTTGCCTAATAACTCCCTTTGGAAGCATTCAGTGGGTCATGGTAGTCTCAAATCTCAAAAGAACTTTCTCCATTACAATAGAGAGATTTTAAAATCTAAGGTTCCTCATGTGGCAATGAACATTTATGAACAATGGCAAAACTGGTTAGTCTTACTAGGAGAGGGAGGATGCCTACTTTGTGAGAGTAACATAAGATCCCTGAAGGCTTAAATTTCTGGAGCTCTTCATATATATACAAGAAACAAGAAGAAAGGGACAATAGAAAAAATATTGCAACTATTTTACTTGTTCACCTGATATCTTAGATTGCAGTTGAATAGACAGGTCAGAGTATTAGCAGGAATAGCCACAGGCTAAGGTCTAAATTCAGCAGTGGGGCACTATGTACTCTCTCTCCTAATAGATCTCCATCTGCATTTAATGCTTGGGATTACTTTACTGGCAAACAAAACCTTTAATTCTATTATAATTTTCCATAGACTCAAGAGAATTGACATCTGGTGTTAAAAACCAAAAATCATACAAATGACTGATATGTATCATTTTCCTTATTAAATATGGAAGAAAAGGGAGGAGGATGCAGAAATGGTAGGCTAAAAGCTCCAGAGAAAAACTTAACAGATTTTATGATTTTGCAGAAGATAAGTCCTTGACCTCTTCATTTTCACATTCAGCAGGTATGAAAGTTTCTTCTGTTGCATGTGGTTATATCATTCATTCTTAGAATTTTGACAGAAAGTTGTAGAACCAAAAAAAAGCTTGATATACAAACCACTAGCTGTACTGGCAATTTTACATGAAGGCATTACTGACCCTCCACAACTTCTCTCTATTAACTTTTCAGATTTATGCAACTACCATTATCCCAGGGGTTACTCAAAGACATTGACAAAAGATCTAGCAGCATTCTGTCCATTCAATATAACTACTTTTAACATCTAAATATTTTCAGGATTAACTTTGGTTGAAGTGTACTTGAATGAATTACATATTAATACCATCATCACCTCATTTGATCCTCATGTTACCCCCATCAGACCCAAAGAGTCAATACATTAAACTATTTGGTAGATGACAACTCAGGCTTCTGAAAGCTAAGTGACTTTCCCAGAATCACACAATAAGTTAATTGCTCATTCAAGGCATGAGAGTCAGATAAATGATTCCCAAACCAGGGATCCTTTTATGTTATTACATTGCCTAAAAAACTGGCATTCAAATGGAATTTAGAGGCCATTTAATCTGGCCATCTCATTTGATTGATGAATAAATTTTCTGGCTAAGAATCTATACATTTGTTTAGTGCTTTATATACTCATCAGCAGCATCAGCATAAATTAAATTTTCTATTATGTTCTCAGCCTGATTCACACTTTTTAGAAAATATAAAACTTATTATTTCATACTCAAATAATTTACTAACCTTGCATCATTAGTGAGCTATTACTACTAATATTACATCCCTATTTTTGAAATTTGTATTCAATATATTTATTTCATTAGGATGCTACTAATGAAATTAACTTCTTTTTTTTAAAAAAAAGGTGAATCATCTCATTTTTATCAGGTTCACTTACAAGTATGAAGTAGTTGATAAGTGACTCAGCGTTGGCCAACTGCAAGAATACCACTTAAAAGTAAATGGTTATTACTGAAGAGTGAATTATATATTTTCATTTTGTAGACTTAATATTTAAAATGGAAGATGGTGGGAAGCACACACATTTCTCACTCTTGTTGGGAAAGAAAATGACAATAAGATTTTCTGGTTTTTGTTTTGTTTTGTTTTTAGATGTATTAGCAAGACAGGTGTGGGGTAGAATGGAGTAGCCATGAACATAGACGAAAAGTGGAGAGAGTGAAAACATATCAGAGTGAAAAAACATAGATAAATGTAAGGGAGAAGAAAGAAAAAATAATAAAGAACAATATTTAAAGAGAACAAAATAAATAGAGCCAGAAAGAAACAGAGAAGGGGAAAAGAACAGGCAACAAATTAACAGGGAAAAGAAATCACAACCAGAAAAAAAAAAAGAAAATAAACTGCTTATTGATGAATAAAGAAAGAGAGAAAAAGAAAAATAAGGAAGGAGGTTGAGTAAGCACATAGGATCTCTAAACACTTGGCTCCAGGAGCTCATCTGACCACACTCAGACTCCAGGCATGCACACACAGAGTTGCCTGGAGATGTTTCTGTGTCTCCACCCTGCAAATGTGGTGAACCCTTCTCCTTCATCTTCCCTATTTCTGTAGTGTGTCATCATGGCCAGAAACTGATCAATGCACGAATTAGCTGAAATGGCAAGAAGGATTAGAGATACAGTGAGGAGGGTATGGTACAGACTTTTGACAGAACTTTCTCTACTAATTTGCCTAAAATAGAACACTTTACTCTGCTGATGCCATCATATATGGATTTTTTTTTTGGCAGAAACTTATTTTATTTTGCTTAGAGGAATGCTCATCTGATTAGACTCTGCGTCTATTCCAACCACCATTTAGAGAAGGTAGAGATAATTGAAAGATGGAAATGGGACAGGGAAGAAAGTTCATCAAGAAGTCAAGTAGTACAGAATCCCATCTGTTAAGAAACAGTAGAAAAATAACAGTGAGGCTGGGACACAGGCAGAATGGAAGAGCTTATAACCTTCAATTTCAAAGTCCTTCAGAAATCCTCAAATGTCTCAGGGATATTGTTAAATGCTAACACATCAAGAAATACCTCACTGTATGTTAGCATGTGGGATACATAAAACACATGAGTAAGTACAGTTGACCCCAGAAAAACATGGGTTTGAACCACACAGGTCCACTTATATGTGGATTTTCTTCCACCTCTGCCACCCCTGACACAGAAAAACTAACCCTTCCTTTTCCTTCTCCTCCTCAGCCTACTCAGTGGGAAGACAACAACGATATGAACTTTATGATGATGCATTTCCACTTAATGAACAGTATTTATATCTTCCTTTCCTTATGATTTTGTTATATTTTATTTTCTGTAGCTTAGTTTATTGTAGGATTATAGTATATAATACATAAAACATAAAAATATTTGTTATTCAACTGTCTATGTTACCAGCAAAACTTCAGATCAACAATAATCATTAGAAGCTAAGTTTTTAGGGAATCAAGGTATGTGCTAATTTTTTATTGCACAGGGGGTCTGCCCCCTTAACTCCTGCATTGTTCAAGCGTCGACTGTAGAAGGGGCTCTTGATTTAAGGAAATTTTTATATAGGCAGATAGTAGAATAAATGTTGAGACAAATGGCTGGCAAAGGGGGAAAGGTTAAGACATGAGCAGAAAAGCTCATTTGAAGGAACTACAAAATATTTTTTCCTATTACAATTTTGTGTGTGTTTGTATGTATTTGTGTGCATACGTGTGTGTTCATGTGGTATTTGCATATGTATATATGATGATGTGTCTAAGTATGACTTTCATAAATTCCACATGTGGCTGCCAGTAACACCCAGAAATTTCTGTATTAACCACTCTATTCCATTCTAGGGATACATAAAGCAGATAGTTTTAATGCTTCTTAAAATACGTACCCTAAGATGACACTATATAGATGTGCTGTCTGTCTTTTGGTGTTTGTTTGCTTGTTTGTTTTGATTTTCTATTTCTCTCTTCTTTCTTCCCTCATCCTATATCTTCTTGTCTTTCTTTTCTAGGTACTGTTGCAGTAGCATTTTCTGTCAAAGAAATATTTTCCCTTCCTTCCGCACCCCATGTGCTAGAGCACTTATTTATTTATTTATTTATTTATTTATTTATTTATTTATTTATTTTGAGACGGAGTCTCGCTCTGTCGCCCAGGCTGGAGTGCAGTGGCGCGATCTCGGCTCACTGAAAGCTCTGCCTCCCGGGTTCACACCATTCTCCTGCCTCAGCCTCCTGAGTAGCTGGGACTACAGGCAACCACCACCACGTCCAGCTAATTTTTTTGTATTTTTTTAGTAGAGATAGGGTTTCACCGTGTTAGCCAAGATGTTCTCGATCTCCTGAGCTCGTGATCCACCCACCTAGGCCTCCCAAAGTGCTGGGATTACAGGCATGAGTCATCGTGCCCGGCCGCTAGAGCACTTATTTAAAACAAATACACTGTTTAGTTAAATCATATTAAGAATATCCTTTTATATTACAGTTTGTATTTTGTTGTAGGCCAGTAATTTTCAAACTTAAAAAATCTATTCCCCTAAGACATTTTTTGAATATATAACCTTAAATGTATGCATATTTATTTATAAAGTATATATAAACCATTGTACTATGTTATCCATTATAAATATTAAAAAGTGAATTTAGAAAACAACGAAATGTAGTGATACATATAAAATGTTATACACCGACTAAATATAGATAAATTACTATGTTCTTTCTATACTTCAGTGGATTATCATGTGCACCTTCTGGAATGAGTATACCCCATGAAAACAATCTGAATTTTAAATATGAATTTTCTTCACAATGCACATTGTTTTTCTTTTTATTTAAACAAGGTTGAACTTACAAATCAAAGCAATATGGGAGTGATTTTAGACTAACAATATTATTTTTAGTTATCCAAATGCACAAAAAGAACATTCATTCATTGAAGCTGTGATTAAAAAATTCTTTATCTATTTAAACTGAAGAGTATACACTTGCATTATCCTACTACTTATCAAGCAGAGCAAAAAATAAAACTCACTCTAAACTTAAGTAATATAACTACAGGTTATTTCTCATCTTTGAAATGGAAGAATAACACTACAGTATCTTTATGGCTACTTACAGTGTATCTATGCTATGACTTTATGAGTTGAGATAATGATATTTTAAAGTTTTATACTTGCAAATTTTATATTGTAGCATATTGTTTGTTAAAAGGCTGTATCTTGGGTGTCACACTGGGAACAGAGAAAGAAATGTGTTGTGAGTTTATTAATATTTGAAACTCAAAAAGTGCTAAATAAGCTGCATGCAGGTGTGGAGTGGCCACAGGAGTGGTGCTCAAACAGAGTTACAGCTGGAGCACTGTGCCTGTGTTAGGTCAAAAGTGGAGCTATAGCTTGGGATTCTCGTGAACAGTCTGGGAAAAGAGTATACAAGGATATCAGACCAAAAGGAGTATAATAAGAAGTAAATTAGATGATAAGACAGAGGGTAAGGAAGAGAGTTACCAGCTAGGAACTGGGAATTACACAGGAATTGAGGGAAGAAAATGTCTAGGAAAATTTTGGGGTGGTGTGGACAAGGAGAAAAAGGGTCTAATCCCAAGAAAAGAGCTAACCCTCAAGCATAGTATATCCACAAAAACTCAAAGACCTTCAGATTTGAAGTTAGGTTGTGTCTCCATTAGGAAACTTCCATGATTTAAGAATGTAGGAATCCCAACGTGGAGGATACCAGACCCCTAACATGGAAAATGATTCTGTAGAAGCACATGGTTGAATGGGAATAAAACTGTAGCTTTGAGAACCATATTGTGTTTTCATTTTTCATTTTAAATTTGGAGAAATTAAGGTAATGGAGTTTCCCCAGAATAGGAGAGGGATGGGAAATGTTGTTTTTAGCTGAAGTACTGCATGTGCCAAATATTTTTTAGCTGTATAACTAGTATCTAGTTGGAAGACATAGTAATAACAATTAATTCTGCTTCTTAATGTACTGCAGGCCAGGGAAATGGAAAGCGAGAACAGAACAGTGATAAGAGAATTCATCCTCCTTGGTCTGACCCAGTCTCAAGATATTCAGCTCCTGGTCTTTGTGCTAGTTTTAATATTCTACTTCATCATCCTCCCTGGAAATTTTCTCATTATTTTCACCATAAAGTCAGACCCTGGGCTCACAGCCCCCCTCTATTTCTTTCTGGGCAACTTGGCCTTCCTGGATGCATCCTACTCCTTCATTGTGGCTCCCCGGATGTTGGTGGACTTCCTCTCTGCGAAGAAGATAATCTCCTACAGAGGCTGCATCACTCAGCTCTTTTTCTTGCACTTCCTTGGAGGAGGGGAGGGATTACTCCTTGTTGTGATGGCCTTTGACCGCTACATCGCCATCTGCCGGCCTCTGCACTATCCTACTGTCATGAACCCTAGAACCTGCTATGCAATGATGTTGGCTCTGTGGCTTGGGGGTTTTGTCCACTCCATTATCCAGGTGGTCCTCATCCTCCGCTTGCCTTTTTGTGGCCCAAACCAGCTGGACAACTTCTTCTGTGATGTCCCACAGGTCATCAAGCTGGCCTGCACCGACACATTTGTGGTGGAGCTTCTGATGGTCTTCAACAGTGGCCTGATGACACTCCTGTGCTTTCTGGGGCTTCTGGCCTCCTATGCAGTCATTCTTTGTCGCATACGAGGGTCTTCTTCTGAGGCAAAAAACAAGGCCATGTCCACGTGCATCACCCATATCATTGTTATATTCTTCATGTTTGGACCTGGCATCTTCATCTACACGCGCCCCTTCAGGGCTTTCCCAGCTGACAAGGTGGTTTCTCTCTTCCACACAGTGATTTTTCCTTTGTTGAATCCTGTCATTTATACCCTTCGCAACCAGGAAGTGAAAGCTTCCATGAAAAAGGTGTTTAATAAGCACATAGCCTGAAAAAGGGCGCAAAAAAAAAAAGAATAAAAATAGACTGTAGAATTTTATCTGAAATTGATTTGTTTATTTCCAAGTACTGCAATCACTGAGTACCTCCCATTTGTCAGGACTATTCTGGGAACTGAAAAAAGAAATTACTGAGGCAGATAAGGTCCATCTGCTCTCCAAGAGATACAACCTAGTAAAAATAGACCACCATTAAGGTAGAAAATAAACAGCATAGTTTCAGGAAGAGATACTGCTCTGTAAAAACTAAAAAGAAAAGTGAAATGATAAATTGTGACTCTGGATTGGGAGTAACCAATTTGTGTTTAATAATCAAAAAAGACCTTGAAGAGCTGACGTTTTGGATGATATCTGGATAAACTGAAGAAGGCAAACATGCAAACATTTGTGGTTATAGTAATCTAGACGGAGGGCACAGGTAGTGCAAAAACTCAAAGATGATGATGAACTTGGTATATTTGAAGAATACAATAAAGTCCATGTTACCCGGAATATAGTAATTTAATATGAAAATGATTAAAGTTGGAGATACTGGTAGTGTCAAAAACATACGGTCTACATAGTAAATATGAGTTTTCATTTTATTACAATTACAATAAGAAGCCATTCTGTGGCTTTAAGCAAAAGAGTGATTCCTCTACTGAAGGGTCATAAACAACTTAGCACTGTAAACTCAAGATTCTATGCGGATATCAAAGACTTGAAAAATATCATTAAGAGGAAAATATTATATTTGTAAGTGCACTTTGAAAGATATTAAACTACCAATTTTTCTTACATAAATAAGCAGAGAGTGGCAAAAGAAAGCTGGTTACTTTTACTGAAAAAGATCACAAAAACATTTTACTTTTTTTTTCTAGAGCTTCATGATTACTCCTAGCAAATTTTTATGACTTTTAGCTGTATGTTTGACCTTATTGCCAATTGATTTCACTCTAAGTTTAATAACAACAGTCTTTTGGTAGAGCAATCAGGATTTTGTGTCAGAGACAAGAAACCATTCTAGCTATTTTAAACAAAACATCATTTAATATCGAGAGTTAGGTGTTCACAAAATCACTGGAAAGTCTAAAAGAGAAGACTATAGGCTGGACGTCCAGAGATGCCTTACAGACTAACACAGGTGACCAATGTTGTCAGGGAAGTTGTTCTTGCTACAATCTTAGCCATCTGTTTGTCTGAAAAACACTACAATTTTAGCCATGTGCCTGGGATCAAGTTGATGATCTGGAATCACTTTGGACCTAACAAATCGCCCCTAGTATAACAGAAGCCTCTCCTACTGCATCCCTTTAACTAGCTGACTATATATTCAAATCTCAAATGAGTACATTAAATGGGCAGCATCCAAAACATCTGGAACCCCAAATGCAAGGGGGTCAAAAATTGAGTTTTAAAATATTTTATTTTTGATAATCGCCAAAGTTTATACTTAGGAATATAAATTTTGTACATGGTAAAAATATTCAGACTATAGAAAAAGTGGTCTGAATCTTCAAATAATCCTTCTCTATTCTCACTCTGTTTATTGCGTTGCTTCCTGTTTTAGTGAGAAAGGTAGCAGGTGAGAATTCCTTAATCTCCCATCACTACCACTATACAACCTGCATCTGTGATTAAGTTTCCTTTAACTTCTCCTGAGACTGAGTGACCTGATCCTGCTCCTACAGAAGTAAACCCTTCCACCTGTGCACCAGATTCCATCCCCCTCCTCTCTACTAAAGGCAATTACTCTGGTAACTCTCCTTTCCCTCACCTATAACATGAACTTTGTCCTCCCTATTGGGTGTAACCTTTAGCGTGTAACCACATTTCTTCCCTCCTAAATAAAACCTTCTTGCCACCTTTTCCCCTGTCCATGTCACTTCATGAGTCTTTGTGTCTCCACATGAATTTTAGGATTTTTAAAAATTTCTTTAAAAAATGATGTTGGGATTTTCACAGAGATTGCATTGAATCTATAGATTGCTTCAGGTAGTGTGGATATTTTAACAATATTAATTGTTCTATTCCATTAACATAGAAAGTCTTTCCATTTATTTGCATCTGCTTTAATTTCTTTCATCAATATTTTACAGTTTAAGTGTACAAGTCTTTCACCTCCTTGTTTAAGTTTACTCCTAAATATTTTATTTTTTGGTTCTAATGGAAATGAGATTAATTTCTTAATTTCCCTTTTAGATAGTTCTTTTTTATTGTATAGAATTGAAATGATTTCTTTTGTAGATTTTTAAATTTATAAAAATTTAATTGACAAATAAAGGTCAAATATATTCAAGGTATATGAAATGATAATTTGATATGCATATACATTGTATAATGATTACCACAATCAAATTAACACATTAATCACCATCCGTGTTGTACATTAGTTACCAAGAATGTGTTTATCTTATGGCTGAAAGTTGGTACCATTTGACCAACATATTCCCCTTTTCTCTGACTTCAAAACCCTCTGACAACCACTGTTCTACTCTCTCCTTCGATGAGCTTTTTTTTTTTTTCAGATTCTACATGTAAGTGAGATCATATAGTGTCTGTCTTTCCGTGTCTGGCTTATTTCACCTACCGTAATGTCTATTAGGTTTATCTATGTTGCTGCAAATGGCAAAACTTCCTTCTTTCTGTGGCTGAATGACAGTCTATCACATATACGTACCACAGTTTTTATACTCATTCATCAATTGATGTACACTTGGGTTGTTTCCATATTTTGGCTATAGTGAATGATGCTGCAGTGAACATAGCAGTAAAGTTATCTTTTAGAGATACTGATTTCATTTCCTTTGGGTATATATCTAGAAGTGAGATTGCTGGAACATATGGAAGTTTTATTTTTTATTTTTTGAAGAACATCTATATTGTTTTCCATAATGCCTGTGCCAATTTACATTTCCATCAATAGCGTAAAAGGGTTCCCTTTTCTCCACATCCTGACCAATACTTGTTATCATGTGTCTTCTCATAATAGCCATTTCAGCAGGTATGAAGTGATGTCTCATTGTGGTTTTAATTTGCATTTTCCCAATGGTTGATGGTGTTGAGCACCTTTTCATATGCATGTTGGCTATTTCTATGTCTGTTTTGGGAATGTAGCTGTTAAAATCTTTGCCAATTGTAAAAATCACATTGTTTGTTGTTTTACTGTTGACTTGTGTACTTCCTAATATATTATGAATATTAACCCCTTATCATACATATGGTTTACTAATATTTTCTCCCATTCGATAGGTTGCCTTTTAATGTGGTCGATTGTTTCTTTTGTGGTGCAGTGGAATTTTTAGTTGATATAGTCCCACTTGTTTATTTTTTGTTGCCTGTGCTTTTGTGGTCATATCCAAAAAATGATTGCCAAGACTGTTGTCAAGGTGTTTTTTCCTTATGTTTTCTTCTGGTAGTTTTACAGTTTCAGGTTATACATTTAAATCTTTAATTCATTTCCAGTTAGTTTTAGTATATGTCATAAGACAAGACTTCAGTTTCTTTCTTTTGCATGTGGATATTTAGCTTTTCCAACAGCATTTATTAAATAGACTTTTCTTTTCCCATTGTGTATTATTGGCACCCTTGTCAAATCTTAGTTGGCCATATATGTGTGAATTTATTTTTGGGCTCCCTACTCTGTTCCATTGTTATATGTCATGTTTTTATAGTACCATACTGTTTTAATTAATATGGCTTTGTAGTAGAGTTTGAAGCAGTGAGTGTGATGCTTCCAGCTTTGTTCCTTTTTCTCAAAATTACTTTGGCTATTTGGAGTCTTTTACAAGTACGTACAAATTTGGTTTTTTTTTTTTTCATTTCTATGATGAATGCCATTGGAATTTTAATAGGGACTGGATTGAATCTGTAGGTAATTTAATTATTTTAGATATTTTAACAATATTAATTTTTTAAATTAATGTACACAGATATATTTACTTTTAATTCTCTTTTTCCATTTATTTCATCAATGTATTATAGTTTTCAGTGTACAGAGCTTTCACCTCCTTGGTTGAATTTATTCCTAAGTATTTTGTTTTAATTTTTTTATAGTTATAAATGGGATTGTTTTCTTGACTTCCTTTTCAGATAATTCATTGTTAGTGTTTAGAGATCCCACTGGTTTTTGTATGTTCATTTTTTAATCTGCAGCTTTATGAACTCATTTATTCTAAAAGGTTTTTTTGAGGACATCTTTAGGATTTTCTCGATATAAGATCACGTCATCTGCAAACAGATAATTTTACTTCTTTTCCAATTTGGTTGCCTTTTATTTCTTACCTACTTACTCTAGCTAGTACTTTCAGTAATATTTTGAGTAGACTCGGTGAGAGTGGACATCCTTATTGTCTTTCTGATCTTAGAAGGAAAGCTTTCAATTTTTCACCATTGAATATGATGTTAGCTGTGCGCTTGTCATATGTGGCATTTATCACTGTGGTAGGCTCCTTCTAAGCATAATTTGCTGGAATTTTTTTATCATGAAGGATGTTGAATTTTGTCAATGCCTTTTCTGCATCTATTGAGGTGATCATATGGTTTTTGCCTTTCATTCTGCCAATGTGGTATATCACATTTATTGATTTGCATATGTTCAAATATCACAAACAGTGAATTATCCTTTTAATGTGCTGCCAGATTTAATGTGTTAGTATTTTGGCATTTATGTTCATCAGAGATACTGGATTGAACTTTTATTTTAGTATCCATCTGTGGCTTAGGTATCAGAGTAATGCAGGCCTTCTAAAATGAGTATGGAAGTGTTCCTGCCTCTTCAATATTTGGAAGAGTTTGGAATAAATTGGTATTAGTTCTTTTTCAAATGTTTGGTAAAATTTAAAAGAGAATCCATTAGGTCCTGGGCCTTTCTTTGCTGGGAGATTTTTGAAAGTATTGATTCAATTTTATTCCTTACTGATCGGTTAAGATTTTTTATTCCTTCTTAATTTAATTTTGACAAATTGTGTCCAGAAATTTATCTATTTCTTCAAGGTTATTCAATTTGTTGTAGTATAGTTGTTAAAACTTACACAAATTAAGTTTTTTTTATAGTTTTTGACATATTTATAATGTCAGGTATTCATTTCTACAGCATTAGAAAGAATAATTTCTTCACCCTAAATTGTTCTTCAACTTAAATTATTCGACTCTTCTTTCTTCTCCTTGTACTCTTGGTAACCACCAGTCTTTTACTGTCTCTATAGTTCTAATTTTTCTAGAATGTCATATAATTGGAGTCATACAGTATATAACCTTTCAAAACTGGCTTCTTTCAGCTAGCATTATGCATTTAAGATTCATTCACGCTTTTTTATGGCTTGGTAGTTAATGTCCTCTTTATTGCTGAATAACATTCTATTGTAAATATAGCACAGTTTGTTTATTCATACACTCGTTGAAGAACATTGTGATTGTCTCCAATTTTTGGCTGTTAGGGAATGAAGTTGCTGTGAACATTCATGACTGGGTTTTTGTGTACACGTTTCAAATCAGTTGGGTAAGTGCCTGGGAGTGTGACCATATGGTAAGGCTATGCTCAGCTTTGTAAGAAACTTCCAATTTGGTCAAGATGTCTGACTAGTTGCAGCCAGGTAGAACAGCTGTCACTGTGGGACTGGGATGACTGGCACAGTCCTAACAGGTCCTCAAGACACAAAAGCTGGGCAGAAGCTGGGTGGGGCTACAGTGCAATGGGACTCGTTCCTCACCCCCAAGAACTTTGGGGGAATGGGTGAGTTGAACTGGCAAGAAGCAACCTACTCTTGCCACAAGCCTCTGGAATCCCACTGGGAGGAGACCCCTCAATCACTACAGACAGAGTTGGCAGGGGAGGTGCTTAGAAGAGTGGTAGGAGCAGCACGCTAGCCGATATGGAGCCCAGAGGGTTTGTTGCAGGAACATCTATAGCAGAGCATGGCCAGGGATGCCCATCCTTCCAGACTTGACTTGCTTTCATAGGAGACTTTAGCCCTACGGGAACTGTCGGACATGAATTCTGCAGGGCAGTCTTCCCATCAGATAGGGCAGATACAACCTTAGTACCCCCTGGTCTGCTGACCTCTCCCAGTGCTCCAGCCTGGTTTTTTCCTGCTTGCAGTGCAGACTCAGGTTCCCTGGGGACCCGCATCTTAGCTTCTGCAATGGCAGACCATATCTGATTGGTGGAGAGTTCCAATGGGGTGGCCCCTAGGGCCATGCACCAACCTGCCTGCTCCCTCCCTCTGCTGCAGCTTCTTCCAAGCCCATGGCCAACCGCCCCTGCCCCCTGACATCATTTGGCTGGCTTGTATGTGTGCAGGTGGATTTTCCCTTCCCTTCCCCACCAGCTTGTGTGAGCACGTGAACCCTGCCCTGCCTCTGCTGCCAGCAGGAGTGCACTCTGCTCCCCTTCCTCTGCCATACTGCCATTGCAGTCCGAGCTGTAGTGGGCACAGAGCCCACCAGTCCTGCCTCTGTCAGTGACCTGCCCCTGTGCCAACACTGCCACCAGAATGAAACTAGGCACTGAAAACAATGAACCCTCCCCCTGCCCTGAGTAGCCACAGAGGGTGAACACACACCTGCACCCACCAGTGCCCTAACCCCATACTAACACCACCATCAGTGCAACAATGCACACAGTCACCAATGGGGTCCTGCTGACCCCCCAAGTTATGCTGACTCTACCCCTGCTGTCAATGCCTTCATGGAGGCAGGCATCTCAGCACCTGCTAGCAGTCTGCTGCAGCTGACAAGCATGCATCCTGATTTAATACTGCTGGTGCTGGTACTGCTAAGGGCACCTGTGAATGAGGACAGATCCCACTGCCACCACACTACAAAACCCTTTGACTAGCACCATTCCATCAACATGTAGTGACCAGCAGTCCAGGAGCACCTTAGCACCCCCATCACAGTCTGTTCATAATCTTGAGAAGTCAGAGAACAAAGTAGGGTAGGATACAAGTCCCCCAGAATTAAAACATGCAGTTGGGGGGATGACAGCTGAACTGTGGTCCCCAAAATCTTCCAGAAATGAAGCCAGTTGACTGAACCCATTTTATAACACAATCAAACTCTCAAAGTCATCTAACAGGATTAAGAAAAAAAAACATCCAAAGGAAAGGAACGTCAAAGATTGAAAAAACACTAGCCCACAAAAATGAGAAAAAACCAGTGCAAGAACTCTGACAAGTCAAAAAGCCAGCATACCTTCTTTCCTCTGAATGCCTCCACCAGCTCTCCACCAAAAGTTTTTAACTGAACTGGGATGGCTGAAGTGACACAAATAGAATTTAGAGTATGGATAGAAATGAAGAGCATCAAGGTACAGGAGTATGTTGAAACCCAATCCAAGGAAGCTAAGAATCACAATAAAACAATGCAGGAGCTGACAGACAAAATAGACAGTATAGAAAAGAACATAACTGACCTGATAGAACTGAAAAACACACTGCAAAAATTTCATAATGCAATCACAACTATTAACAGCAGAATAGATCAAGCAGAAGAAATGATATTAGTGCTTTAAGACTGGCGTTCTGAAACAAGACAGGCAGAGAAGAATAGAGAAAAAAGAATGAAAGAATGAAAACGAACAAACAAAACCTCTGAGAAATATAAGTTTATGTAAAGAGAACAAATCTGTGATTCATTGGTGTCCCTGAAGGAGATGGGGAGAATAGCAGCAACTTGGAAAACATATTCCAGGATATCATCCATGAGAACTTCTTCAACCTAGCTAGAGAGGCTAACATTCAAATTCAGAAAATACAAAAACCCATGTAAGACACTTCACAAGAAGATCACCTCCAGCATACATAATTATCAGATTTTCCAAGGTTGAAATGAAAGAAAAAAATGCAAAAGGCAGCTAGAGAGAAAGGTCAGGTCACCTACAAAGGGAAGCCCATCAGACTAAGCATAGCTCTCAACAAAAACTCTACAAACCAGAAGAGGTTGGGGGCCAATATTTGAGATTCCTAAAGAAAAGAAATTCCAACCCAGAATTTTACATCTGGCCAAACTATGCCTCATAAGTGAAGGAGAAATAAGATCCTTTTCAGACAAGCAAATGCTGAGGGAATTTGTTACTACCAGACTGACCTGCCTTACAAGAGCTCCTGAAGGAAGCACTAAATAAGAAAAGGAAATATCATTACCAACCACTTCAAAAATACACTGAAAAACACAGACCAATGACACTATAAAGCAACCACACAAATAAGTATGTATGGTAACCAACTAACAGCAAGACGACAGGATCAATTCTACGCATATCAATACTAACCTTGAATGTAAAAGGGGTAAATGCCCCAATTAAAAGGCACAGAGTGATAAGCTGGATAAAAAAGCAAGACCCAATGGTATGCTGTCTTCAAGAGACATGCAATGACACCCATAGGCTCACATGCAATGACAGCCATAGGCTCACATGCAATGACACCCATAGGCTCATATGCAATGACACCCATAGGCTCAAAATAAAGGGATGGAAGAAAATCTACTAAGTAAATAGAAAACATAAAAAATAGAGATCGTAATCCTAATTTCATACAAAACAGACTTTAAACCAACAAAGATAAAAAAAGACAAAAAAGGATAATGACATAATGGCAAAGGGTTCAATTCAACAAGTAGTGCTAACTATCCTAAATAAATGTGCACTTAACACAGCAGCACCCTGATTCAAACAAATTCTTAGAAACCTACAAAGAGACTTAGACTCACACACAATAATAATGAGAGACGTCAACACCCTACTGACAGTATTAGACAGATCACTGAGGCAGAAAATTAGCAAAGATATTCAGGACCTTAACTCAGCACTGGATCAAATGGACCTGAGAGATGTTTACAGAACTCTCCACCAAAAAGCAACAGAATATACATTCTTCTCATCACCCCATGGCACATATTCTGAAGTAAGCCACACAACTGAACATAAAACACTCCTTGGCAAATGCAAGAGAACTGAAATTATAACGACCATTCTCTTGGACCACAGCACAACAAAATTAGAAATTAAGACTAAGAAAATTGCTCATAACTATAAAATTACATAGAAATTGAATAACCTGCTCCTGGCTGACTTTTGGGTAAATAATGAAATTAAAACAGGAATCAAGAAGTTATTTGAAACTAATGAGAACAAAGATACAACATACCAGAATCTCTGGGCCACTGCTAAGGCAATGTTAAGAGGGAAATTTATAGCACTAACCACCCACATCAAGAAGTTAGAAAGATCTCAAGCTAACAACTAAGTGTCACAACTAAAAGAACCAAAGAACCATGGGCAAACCAACCTAAAAGCTAGCAGAAGACAAAAACTAACCAAAATCAGAGCTGAACTAAAGGAGATTGAGACACAAAAAGAACATTCCAAATATCAACCAATCCAGGAATTAATTGTTTGAAAAATTCACAAAACAGACCACTAGCTAGACTAATAAAAAAGAAAAGAGAAAAGATCCAAATAAACACAATTAGAAATGACAAAGGGGATATTATCACTGACGCCACAGAAATACAAATAAATATTGGAGAATATTTTGAACATTTCTGTGCACACAAACAAGAAAATCTAGAAGAAATGGATAAATTCCTGGAAACATACACCCTCCCAAGACAGAACCAGGAAGAATTTGTATCTCTGAACAGACCAATAATGAACTCTGAAATTGAATCAGTAATAAATAGCCTACCAACCTAAAAAAGCCTTGAGCCAGACAGATTCACCTCTAAATTCTACCAGATGTACAAATAAGAGCTGATACCATTTCAACCGAAACCATTTCATGAAACTGAGGTTTCGTGGATAAGAAGAATCAATATTAGTAAAATGGCCATGCTGTCCAAAGCAATTTATAGATTCAGTGCTATTCCTATCAAACTATCAATGACATTCTTCACAGAACTAGGAAAAACTATTTTAAAATTCATATGGAACCAACAAAGAGTCCAAGCTGCCAAGGCAATCCTAAGCAAAGGAACAAAGCTAGAGGCAACATGTTACCCAACTTCGAACTATATTACAGGGCTACAGTAACCAAAACAGCATGGCTACAGTAACCAAAACAGACACATATAACAATGGAACAGAATAGGTATATGATTCATTTGTTCCCAAACTATCTTTTCTCTATTAAATTGCCCTTGCACCTTTGTTGAAAATAATTGACTCTATTTCTGTGGGTCTATTTTTAGGCTCTGTTTTCTGTTTCACTGATTTAAATGTCTATTCTGTCACCAATATTGTACTGTTATTTTATTTTATTTTATTTTATTTTATTTTGTTTTGTTTTATTTTATTATTTTATTTTATTTTATTTTATTTTTTGAGACACTGTTTCTGTCTCCTTGGCAGGGTGCAGTGGTGTGACCATGGCTCATTGCAATCTCAACCTCCTTTCTCAAGTGATCCTCCTGCTTCAGCCACTTAAGTAGTCAGTACTATAAGTGTGCACCACCTTGCCTGAGTAATTTTTAATTCTTTTGTAGAGATGGGAGATCTCACTATGTTTCCCAGGCTGGTCTTCAACTCTTGGGCTCAAGTGATCTTCCTGCCTCGTCCTTCCAAAGTTCTGGGATTACAGGCACGAGCCACCATATCTAGTCCATGATGTCTTAATTAGAGTAACTTTATATTAAGTCTTGATGTCAAGCAGTATGAATCCTCCAAATTTGCTCTTTTTCTTCAGTATTATGTTATCTATTTTAAGTCTTGTGCCTTTCCATGAAACTTTTGAGTTAGTTTGTTGCTATCTACAAAACCTCTTTTCTACTTTTAATGACTTCTGTGATTTTATTGAGCTCATTCTGTTAATACTGGATAATCTCTCTATTGTAAGGCAAGCTGATTAGCAACCTTAAATCCATCTACAAAGTCCCTTTTGGCAATTCAGGTAACATATTCACAGTATAATATTGTAAGGTCTTATATATACTTGGTCTATATATAATTTGTTGTTCTCAAGTCCCTTATATTAATTGTCAGTTGTTTTCTGTGCTTCTCCAATATTACTTAGATATTACGGTTTTATAATTTTTTTGCAGATTTGATCTTCAACAAAGCTGACACTGGGGAAAGGACACACTCTTCAATAAATGGTGCTGGGAAAATTGGATAGCCACATCCAGAAGAATGAAACTGGACCACTATCTCACTATATACAGGAATCAACTCAAAGTAAATTAAAAACTTAAACATAAGACCTGAAACTATAAAAATACTTGAAAAAACCTAGGGAAAAATTTCCTGGACTTTTGTCTAGGCATAGAATTTATGACTAACATCTCAAAAGTCACAAGCAACACAAATAAAAATAGACAAATGGGACTTAATTAAATTAGAAAGCTTCTGAGCAGCAGAAGAAATAATCAGCAGAGCGAAGAGACAACCTCCTGAATGGAGGAAAATATTTGCAAACTATTCATCTAATAGTGGGCTAATACCTAGAATTTACAAAAAACCTAAACAACTCACAGGAAAAAAAATAATTCCACTGGAAAGTGGCCAAAGGATATAAATAGACATTTCTCAAAAGAAGACATACAAAAGGCCAAAAGATATATGAAAAAATACTCAACATCACTAATCATTATAGAAATGCAAATCAAAGCCACAATGAAATATTATTTTCCCCTAGTCATAATGACTATTACTAAAAACAAAAACAAAAACAAAGCAAAACAAAACAAAACAAAATATAACAGATTGAAAAAGGAACTCTTCTACACTGTTGGTGGGAATGTAAACCAGTATAGCAACTGTGGAAAACATTATGGAGATTCCTTACAAAAGTAAAAATAAAATTACCATTGGATCCAGCAATTTTTCTACTGGGTATTTACTCAAAGGGGAAAAAAAAAACAATATATCAAGGGGTTACCTGCACTCACATGTTTATTGCAGTACTATTCACAATGCAAAGATATGAAACCAACCTAAGTGGGGGTTTGGGCTTATGAAGCTGATAGTTAAAAGACTCAGGGTTTGTGAAGTTGGTGAGGGATTTTGCAAAGCTCTTCAAACTGCATGCAGAAATGTTGACCAGTGAGGATGGCAAGGTGGACAGCTCAGCAGCCAGGGATGTGCTGGTGGGCAGGGGCAGTAGCATGATGTGCAGGTGTACCCAGCAATGTTTGGGGTACTCAGGTCCCAAGTGGTGCTTGGAAGAGGTGATGAAGCTCTGAAATAATTTCTGAGCATGATCTATTATCAAGCCAGTAACATACAAAATACAGAATATTTCATGATGATATCCTGCAATAAAAATCATGAAAAAATAAAACAGAAAACAAAACAAACCAACAAAAAATGTGGTGTATATACACAATGGAATATTATTCAGCCATAAAAAAGAATGAAATAATGTCACTTGCAGCAACATGGATAAAACTGGTGTGAAATAAACCAGGCACAAAATGGTAACTATCCCGTGTTCTCACTTATATGCAGGAGCTAAAAAAATTTCATCACGTGGAGGTAGAGAGTGGAAAAATAGATCACAGAGACTGGGAAGAGTGAGTGGAAAGGGCAGGGGAAAGAACAAAGAGAAGTGCACTAAAGGATAAGATAGGAGGAATAAATTGAATGTTTGATAGCAGAGTAGCATAACTACACTTTAAAAAGTATCGTACTGGAGTGACGAACACCCTAAATATCCTGACTTAATCACTATGCATTACATACATGTAACAAAATTCCACACGTATCCCATGAATTTGTATGAATAAAAAAAGTTTAAGTTAGCTAAAAACCAAAACATAAAGCAAACAAACAAAATGAAATAATATTTCTAATTCTTGAATACTTTAATCTGATTTGCCTTCAGACAAATTTTGAAAATTATTTTGTGAACTCAAAAATATCTCATGGTTTATTGAATTTTATTTTATAGGAGGGAAAATGTATGTGTTGAATGATGTTGCATTTTCCTCCAATACCATAAGTATTTAAATTTATTTGTCAACTTTTTTCTTTTTTTAGAATAGTATAGCTTTTGTCATTTATAAACAACACATTTCTGTTTAAGATTATTCCTATTTAGTTTATATAGCCTATTGTTCATCTTAATAGATTCTTTTTGGCTACATTTTAACATATTACATTTTAACATATTACATATTTAATATAATGTTAAATATATTTATTTAACAATTAAATATATTTAAGTTCAATATATTTAAGTTAAATATATTTAATTGTTGAATAATTTATAAGAAGGTTATTGAATTTATATTCTCATTTTGAAATTTGCCCTTGTACTGAATTATCTGGGTTTACTTTTTAAAATTCTACTTTATAAAATTATCTTAAAGTAAAATGGACCTTTTCTTTGTTCTGGTAAACAATCCATTAATTTTAGCACATATACAGATTATGTAATCAGCACCGCAACCAAGATATAGAACAGGTTACTAATACCAAAAAACTCCTTCATGCTCTCTCTTTATGAATTATTTTTTATTTCTATTCTTTTTCTGTTTATTCTCTTGCCTTTTCCAGTATTACTCTAATAATAATTATACCTGTTTTCCAGGATTTATACAGTTTTCCAGGATTACTCTAATAATTATTATATATCCTTATTTTTTGTTTTACAATGGGATACATATTTTAGATTTACAGCTAGCCCTCTTTTTCTGTGGGTTCTATATTCTTGGATTCAACCAATAGTGGATCCAAAATATTAATAAAAAACAATACAAATAATACAAATTCAGAAAGTGATACAGTATAACAACTAGTTACATAGCATTTATATTGCATTAGGCATCATAAGTAATCTAAGATGATTTAAAGTATATGGGAGGATGTGTTTAGATTGTATACAAATATCATGCCATTTTAACTCAGGGATTTGAGCATCCATGGATTTTGGTATCAGCGGGGGTCCTGGAACCAATCTTCTGTGGATACCAAGGGACAATTAGAAAACTATTAAATCTTTAACCAGTTTTGTTAATTTTTTAAAAAGTCATTTCCTTTTTCTTCGTAGAAGGAAAAACATCTTAAAACTAAACTTGCTTCCTTATTTCAAAGAGTGCTAGAAATGTGGTCAGCTAGGGAAGATTTTCTTGGGCTCTATTGCCAGACCTGTGGGGAATGTAGGATGGATATGACAGTTGTGAAGAGTTCAGTCTTTGAGGTATTTGGGAAACAAGTTGTGCTTAGAGAGCAAGCCACAGATAAATGATTGACCTGCAGGTAAATATGGCAAGACCCTTGGTTTATGGTTTTAGGTTGTGAATCCACATCTATATCTTCCTGGATAATCCATTATGAACACTTCAAAAATAATGATAATTATTATAAACATCTCTGCTATTATTTCTACTATATTAAATACTTTCCTTGTAGTAAGCAATGAACTGAATGTTTAAAGTTTATTTCTATAATTTAATTTTTACACTATTCGTCTAAGGTACTCCATACTACCTCTCTTCTCTTCTCCTGGCTATGATGGACTTTCCAACATCCCCCTTTCTATGATTCACCTATCCCTCGAAACAGCTATCAGTATTAGTTTGTGCTAATTTTTTAATGTATTGTCAGAAACTTTAATGCATGATTCTTCCTTTAATACGCAACTTCCAGTAAGCAAGTATTTGCTGGAGAAAAATTGCCTTAGCCTAAAAGAATAATTTTCCAATTACGGTATTTTGAACATTGGGGCATAAATATGGGAATATTTCCATAATTAAGGAGTAATTTTTTGTTCCCCATATGCTCTGTAAATGACTGCTTCAATGTTTTCTTCTCCTAGGCCAGTCCCAGTTGTGCTTTTCTCCAATGAACATTGCTACATCACAGGAGTGCATTCCCACTTTAAATAGCAAAGACACACTTCACAATTCTTGTTGCAACTCTGTGAAAAGTTGGGTCAACATTTTAATGACTCCCACTGCAAGTAGATTATAGTGTTTAATCCCTGATCTAATCAATGTCACTGCTTTCTAAGGGGTTTTATATAAAGACAGGAGAAAAATATACATCCATACTCCAGGCTTCTGACGCTTACTAAAGAACTATGGTGATTTCAGTAGGCTTGTCAACCTCGGAGGAAATGGTGTTTTTGATGCTAGGTGCATAACTGGTAGGTTAAAAGCTAGATATGATAGTAAGGGTCTTCAGAAGCAGTTGTGGTTTGCATTCTTCAGATAGCAAAACAATTGACATTTATTTAATAATTATATAAAACAGAAATAATGGAGGAATAGTAAAGAAAAAATTATATATGACTTAAAGACAAAAATGGATGGTTCCATTAAATAGGAATTAAAGCATTCTTTCTGGTGATGAAAAGGAGAAAAAATATAAATATAAATTTATGTATATGTTTAAATCAATATAAGTGTAGTTCCCATTAGTAAACAAATTGTAGTAAAATAGAAATATTCAAATGTGTGAAGCTGAGGGTTTTCAATGCATTTAATATAAAAGGAACTTGTGCCATTTTCATATGGAAAATGCAATTTCAAACAGATGAAATTATTTTGGTAGTACATGGTCTTTTTCTAAACCTCTGAAGTTAAATAGATTAGAATTTTTATTGCATGTTATTAATATTAAAACACACTGATTATTTCTGAACAGCATTCTTAAATTTGGATTTTGAAACCTAGAAAGTTCCTTAAATTTTGCCCAGAAAATATGCTTCAAGCTTTACATAGACCATCTAATATAATTCTAACAAGTAGAGGTCAAATCTTAGGCTACTGAGACATAAGTGAAGTCAAGAATACCCTAACTACTCTTAACTGCTGGGCAATAGACTCCTTTTAAGAATTCTCGAATATCATTCTACGACAAAATTTAAAAATAATTTTTCTCTTTTTTTTTTTGAGATGGAGTCTAGCTCTGTCATCCAGGCTGGAGTGCAATAGTGCCATCTCGGCTCACTGCAACCTCCGCCTTTCAGGTTCAAACAACTCTCCTGCCTCAGCCTCCCAAGTAGCTGGGAATACAGGCATGCACCACCACGCCTAGCAAATTTTTTTTATTTTCAGTAGAGATGGGATTTCACCATGTTGGCCAGGCTGGTCTTCAACTCCTGACCTCGTGATCCACCCACCTCGGCCTCTCAAAGTGCTGGGATTATAGGAGTGAGCCACCGCACCCGGCCAAAATAATTTTTCAATATTGACAAAACAGTTTAAATATGTGCAGATAAATGGAGATGTAACCAGATTTTCCTCCACATGGGAAAACATGAGGTCATCTAAAGGAAAAATATTGCTGAAGGTAACATTTATTTGTATTTTTATTTTTGAGATGGAGTCTTGCTCTGTCTCCCAGGTTGGAGTGAGTGGTATGATCTCGGCTCATGCAATATCCGTCTCCTGGGTTCAAGCAATTCTCCTGCCTGAGCCTCCCGAGTAGCTGGGATTACAGGTGCCGGGATTACAGGTGCCCACCACCACACATGGCTAATTTTTGTATTTTTAGTAGAGACGGGGTTTCACCATTGTTGGCCAGGCTGGTCTTGAACTCCTGGCCTCAAGTGATCCACCCATCTCGGCCTCCCAAAGTGCTGGGATTACAGGCATGAGCCATTGCACCTAGCCGTGAAGGTAATATTTAAAATTTTGATATTCAGTGTTCAATCACAGAATGAGTTAAGGATGGAATAATACGGTAAATTGTAATTAACTGAGTACAATTCATTTCCAGTACATTTGCTTCTGCACAGCAACAATTAAAAACAAATTAAAAATTTTAAAAATGAATCAGGTTTTTTCCCATTTTTATTTTTCCACTTCTAACTGGACTCTGAAAGTTGCTGCAACAGAACAATTGCTATAATCCTTCTATTCTAAAGTCAGAATGTGTAGTCAATGTAAAATTTGTGATAGTTAACCAAAAAAGAAGCCAAAATTGTTTTGGAACATTTGTTTTAGTTTTTACTACAAATCAGGTAAGACTTTTTCTTTAGACTAGAAACCATGCCACTACTTTTAACTAAAAGCAGTCAGCTAATCTGCAAATTTAATCAGCCAATCAGTTAATTCAGAAAAAAGGGGGCACATAATCATAAAACTTATTTTTTCACGGAATTGATACATTGGCACTGTCAGACAGTTAAATTTATATGTGTATTGATCTACAATCTAAAATTTCAATAGTCAGTAGTCTCAGGCATTCATAATGCAAGATTTTCTTTTTTATTATTTATTTTCAAGAATTTTTGGAAGGATCATTGGGAATAAATTAATGGAAGAGAATGAAGAAAATAAAAGTCAAATAGTTCTTATCTTCTTTTTTTTTTTTTTTTTTTTTGAGACAGGTACTCAGTGCTCAAGCTGGAGTGCAGTGGCATGTTCTCGGCTCACTGCAGCCTCTGCCTCCGCCTCCCAGGTTCAAAGGATTCCCCTGCCTTAGCCACCCGAGAAGCGGGTGTGGGATTACAGGTGTGTGCCACTATGCTTGGCAAATTTTTGTATTTTTAGTAGAGACAGGGTTTCGCCATGGTGGCCAGGCTGGTCTCAAACTCCTGAGCTCAAACCATCCGCCTGCCTCAGCCTCCCAAAGTGCTAGCATTACAGGCATGAGCCACTGTGCCCGGCCCATTTTTTGACTCTTCTTCCATTTTTTCATTCTTTGAGTTTATAACAATGATTTTATTCTTTTCTGAGCATATTAATATAGACTATAACTTAAATATTAGTATATTGATATTTTAAAATTTTTGACATTCGTTTACCATGTTTCACTGACATAATGAAATCTTTTTTAGTGTACCTTGAAAACTTTTATTGAAGAAGGAATGAAATATTGCATTTTCAAAGACGGATAAGTTAGAATACAGGATTAGATAAAATTGCATTATCTATTATAGTTAAATTATTATCAAAACTAGATAAATATTCAAATGTATAAAGTGAAATATTCAAATGTGTAATATAACAAGGGAATTCATATAGTTTTCCATGTGAAAAAAGCAATTTAGCTAAAAAAATGATTTAGATGCATATAGACTTATAAATGCCTGATCTAACACTATATTTTTTTACTTAATTAATTTTGGTCTCATCAAATTTTCCGGTAACCCAGACAACTTTCCAGTTATCCAGCTAAAATTTCTGTAGTCAAAGGCTTAAATTTCATTAGGTGGCTGGCAAAGTAAACCCTACCTGGTCACAAAATTAACTTTCATTTACTAGGGCTAAGTTTCATTTGCTTTGTACCACATTTTTGACTGTTTGGTAAAGACATTGATATTCCATAGGAAATAAAATTTCTAGAACTTGGGAAGCACTGTAAATGAAAAAATTAATTTTGAAAAATAATTCTGAGTTCTTAATGTATCTTTTTTGTTTGTTTTTTCTAGTTTAAAATATAGCTTTGGGTAGAATGAAAAGAATTAAAGGAAGGAGATTCTCTTTTTAAAACATGTTTCTATGAAATAATAAATTACCAGAAGTGGAGAATAACTCTTGTAGGTTACAAGTATGCCTTTTGGTTATCAGTTGTCTTATGGAATTAAGAAATTAAAAATTAAATAATTTATCACCCTCATAAGATATTAAATGGATCTTCTGAAATCATTATAGTAAAGTCTTAGTTAAGTCTAGTGTTTAACAATAGTCGATTCAAAATATTCACATTTTTGTGTGTAAGAGAAACCTTTGAGAGTTCAACACTTATTTTATTTTTAGTTTTATTTATATGCCTTATTCAGTAAAGCACACAAATGTAATGATCTGCCTCAATAAATGTGTATTATATAACTCGTTAAGTAGTATTCAGATAGGTATATAATTGTGTGGGCATGTGATGACTACAGCTCAACGTGTACTGATGCTGGTCAAAACCAAGAGGTTAAACTTTTCAGATTATATCTGGTAGCAACTGTTAAGTGATTCCCCCCAAAAATGTTTACCCTGAGAATTTTTAGTTGGATTCTAGTTAATCAATCTTTTAGCGAATGATAAGTTAATATGTGGTTGTAGAAATATCACATTTTCAAACTCTGTAATTTTGTTCCTTTTACAATTATAAAGCCGAGTCTGCAGATGAATGGAGGGGTTCAACTGTTCCAGAGTATCTGAATTCATGTTACTTGGACTTACTGATTCTCCTGAACTCCAGAGATTCTTTTTTGTGGTATTTTCTGTCTTCTATTTAATGACCATGTTGGGCAACTGCCTGATTTTGCTCACTGTGCTATCCACCTCACACCTTCACTCTCCCATGTACTTCCTGCTCAGCAACCTGTCTCTCATTGACATGTGCCTGTCCTCCTTTGCCACACCAAAGATGATTATGGACTTTTTTGCTCTGCGTAAGACCATCTCTTTTGAAGGCTGCATTTCTCAGATCTTTTTTTGCACCTCTTCACCGGGACTGAGATTGTGCTGCTGATCTCCATGTCTTTTGACAGGTATATTGCCATATGTAAACCTCTCCATTATTCAACAATTATGAGCCAAAGAGTGTGTGTTGAGCTTGTGGCCGTTTCTTGGACAGTGGGCTTTCTGCATACAATGAGCCAATTAGCTTTTACCCTCTATTTGCCCTTCTGTGGTCCCAATGTTGTAGAGTTTTTTCTGTGATCTTCCTTTGGTCATCCAGCTAGCTTGTATGGATATTTATGTTCTTGGGATCTTCATGATTTCAACCAGTGGTGTGATTGCTCTTATAAGTTTTCTGCTTTTGCTCACCTCCTACATCATTGTTCTTATTACTGTCAGGGACTACTCCTCCACAGGATCCTCCAAGGCTCTTTCTACCTGTACAGCACATTTTATTGTTGTGTTAATGTTCTTTGGGCCCTGTATTTTCATTTATGTGTGGCCTTCCACAAACTTCCTGGTAGACAAAATTCTCTCTGTTTTCTATACCATCTTCACTCCCTTTCTGAATCCACTTATCTATACTTTGAGAAACCAGGAAGTGAAGACAGCAATGAAGAAGAAACTGAATATTCAGTATTTCAGTCTTGGGAAAACTGCTCCGTGATTCTTCATGCAATGAATAGAGATCTCCTTTGTGAGATATAATATCAACAGTTATGCTCTTAGAGCAATCAAAAAATTAAACTTAGAATTTACTTTTCAAATCATTTAGTTTAGATTTATGAAAAGAAGTCAGGGATAAGAAACGTGCGACATCTTGATGAAAAGTTAGCGCAGTGTTTACAAACCTTTTGAGTTATGGGTCTATTTGATAATCTGGTGAAATGTAAAGGTTATTTTCATAGAAAAATGAACATATCATCAAAATTGTGAACATAAATTCAGGACTTCATAGACCTCTGGATCCTACAAACATACCTCGGATTAAGACTACTTAAAAAAGCCTGAGATAAAATATGAATCTCCTGTTTTCTAATCCAGAATATTCCCATTCTGTACAGCCTTGTGGTACTCTGATGGTGTTTAGATTAATTTAGAACTATAATTAGCAGTGTAGGACAAAACAAGTATAACACTGGAAATACTTTTATGGGAAAATTTATACTGTGAAGAGATTCTTTTAGGTAATGTTCAACAATCTTGATTTAAGGGGTTCAGTTTTTCAAGTTCTGTGTCAACTTTGAAAATAAGAGAACAGTTCAAAGATTCAGAAATTTAACAATACAGTTTCTTAATAGGTGTTTATACCACTGTCACACTTCATAATTAATATAGCAAATAATCAAATAATAATTTGTAAAGTTTAAATCATAGACAGTAAACTACTCAAATCTGACTGGCTTTCAAAATCTGGCTGAAAATTATAAGTATGATGAACTTATTGACTACCAAGACTCAATGTTTGGGAAAAATATTAGCTATTAAATTAATCATAAGTTTTTCATTTCCAAAATAAATATTGCAGCATATTATTAGTCTTAGAAGAAGCTTTGTGTCTAATTTTCAACATAATGTAACCTGTGGAAAGAAAGGAAAAAAAGAATTTAAGAAATACATAGCATGATTCTCCCTAATTTGGTATATTATTGATCATGTTAAATAGATTTTTTATTACAAGACAGTCTTTGGAAATCAGCCAGCCAATCCAATTTTCTAACAGCTGAAGTATTGAAGGTCCAGAGAATTCACAGGACAGATTTAAGGCTGAATTACTGTAAGGGGCAAAGACATTTCTCTAGACAAACATGGACCCTGGAATTAAATCTTGATTCTGTCATTTCCTAGTTGTATAATCCCTGGGGATTGACTTTACCTCTCTCCCTTTCTCATCTCTAAAAAGATTGTAAAAGGTAAATTAAATATTTATCATGACTGTTTTATGGAAAGTACACAGAATGGGTTCTAAAAATGTCATTTCTATTTCCCCATAACTTCTTCCCAAAATACATCTTATATTAAAGTAGTATGCCTTTGAAGAATAACGTCTTTCAAAAAAAGTCACTAGCAGGTTAAATTCGATATTCTAGTTTTAGGATGTCTCTAAGACTGCAGCTTGTTAAGACATATGACAGAAAAACGAATAGAACGTTTTCCAGTTTTTCATTACTAATATGGTTGGGGTGACAAAACTAGGTTAGACTGCATGGTATTTTGATATACTGATAAAAATGTGTCTACTTAAAATGACTGACGTATATAAAAAGAGTTCTGGAAGCAATCGGTCATCATAGATTTGAACAGCGAGTAGCATGAGAAAAACACGACTTTGCCTTGCAAAGAAAGAAATGGCATTAATAGTTTTGCCACTTAAAAGTCCAAGATAATTGTAAAACATGCTTCAACACAACCTCCAAGCCAAATATTTAACATTAAATAATGTGCAGAAGCTTATGAAGGAATGTAGTGTTGGAGCTAGATAGAAAACCACATTTTAATTTTGAAACACTAGTTCATTTTAACAAATTATAAACTCTTCCTTATGTCAGCTAAGCAAATAAAAAAAAGGTTAAGGTGGAAATGTACTTTTACCTCATTTTGACTTTTCTGCCAAAATTCTCATCTTTGTTTTTGGATATAAATCTCTGCTCCTGAAATGTCAATCTTTAGTTCAATAATTATTTGTTGAACATCTACTCTGTTTCAGGCCCTCGCTGGGTGCCGGAGATCCACTAAAATACAAAATCTGTTTCTCTGTCTTTGAGGGACATGTATCCAGCAATCAGTTAGATCAGTCTGTGGTAGGTGTCGATTCCAGTGTCACAAATTTCTTGTTTTGCAACGTTGAGCAAGTTTTTTTCAATGTTTCTAAGCCTCAGTTTTTTTACCTACAAAATGTGGTAATAATATTTAACCATTAGTAATGTTGTGAAAATTAAGCAAAAATACATGTAATATATTTAACGATGCTTGGTGTTCATTAATGCTTTAATAAATACTAACTAATTATATTTTTGTTATTTTTGCTGTTGTGTTAAACATGCATAAGATAGCAGGTACTAGAATGGAAATAAGGGTTCTTACTTGAAATTAAATGGCAGAATTTCATACTGTAATAGGATGTATCGATTTACCTAGTATTAATTATTGTTAAAATACTGGATTTTTGTCAATTATTATTAGTCTTTGATGCATTTCTGTTTAGCATTGTCCTTTGTATGTGTTGGCCTTTGCATATTTTTCCAAAGAAGTATTATACTTTTGGGGTTTCTTATTTTGAATTGAAGAATATGCCAAGATTGCATAAAAGGGAAAAATAATAAATACACTATGTTCAATAGGTCAATGTCTTGTTTTTTGTTTTTTTCACAATGATTTTAAATTAAATAAACATAGTTAAAAACTCTGAAGTATTTTGTCCCTCATATCTTACCCATTCAAAAGATAGTAATGGAAAAGCTGTCTTATATATATTAACTGAGAAGTAAATGACTTAATAGTTATCTATTGAATTTTTTAAAAACACGTTAATAAATAAGGCAGACTTTGTCCAGATTTATAAAAATATAATAAATTTTTTATTTTGAGACATGGTAGAATGTACTGTTCAGGAAATTGTTAAAAATAAAACCATAAAATTAAAGCATGAAGTAAGATATTTCATCTGACTAATAAAGTCCTAAAGCTGGAGAATAAATATCTAATCTCTACCAGGGAATTTCTGGTAGTGGAGCTCATTTGGGGGGAATCAGTTAAGCCCTGAACTGTGCCCTCAAAGCCTTACTCATGGAGCCTGGTTAAAATTTCTGCATAAATACAGCATGTCAGATTAGCCATTCTTCAACATGTTACACATGCCAATATCTGAATATGGCTCTCACATTTGCAGTACCCTTGACTCTTCCTCAGACTGCAGTTTAGGTGACTCACTCTAGAGCCCTTGTCATCAAAGAAGGAAGATGAGTCAGAGGTACAAAGAAAAGAAATTGGAGGTAGAATGAGAGGAAAAATGGATGTAGTCAAATAAATAATTAGCTATTAATAAATTCACAATTTTGATTCCCCCTTTTTTCTCATCCACTACTCCATACAATCCACTAAATAGTCCTCCTATTTTAAAAATATGTATTGACTTAATTTATGTCTCTTCATCTCTGCTGCCACTGCTAGTAGTACCACCTCACAGTATACTATTATAGGGTAGTACATAGAGTACTGCTTAGTCAATACCATTGCAACGACCTGCGAGTTGGCCTCTCTACCTTTCTCCTCATGGTTTCCCATCTTCATTCTCCACATAACAGCAAGAAGTATTTCCAAAACATAAATGTGAGCATGAGGAACAGTGGAGCACAGGTTGAATTCTTCATCTGTATATCATATACTCTCAAGAGGTCTATGAATAGAATCCAGGAGGTCTGGGGACCTAGGTGAAAAAAATCACACATGTATTTTTTTTACTAATATCTAATTGACCTGTAACATTTCTTTCAATTATGAATGTAATCAGTATTATCAATACTTGTAATAATGTCATCACAAATAGATTTATGTCATAAAAAGCTGTTGCAGACATCTCACAGGATTGTTAAAGATCACTATTTCATTTTATTTTTTAACTTTTAAGTTCAGGGGTACAAGTGTAGGTTTGTTACACAGGTAAACTTGTGTCATGGGAGTTTGCTGCACTGATTACTTCATCACCCAGGTATTAAGCCTACTAATCATTGGTTATTTTTCCTGATCCTCTCCCTCCTCCTACCCTCCTCCCTCTGAAAGGCCCCACTGTCTGTTGTTCTTCTTTGTGTCCATGTGTACTTAATGTTTAGCTCTTACTTATACATGAGAACATGCAGTATTTGGTCTTCTGTTTCTGTGTTAGTTAGCTAAGGATAATGACTTCCAGCTCCATCCATGTCCTGGCAAAGGACATGATCTCATTCTTTTTATGGCTGCATAGTATTCCATGGTGTATATGTACTACATTTTCTTTATCCAGTCTATCATTGATAGGCATTTAGGTTGATTCCATGTCCTTGATATTGTGAATAGAGCTGCAATGAACATATACATGCATAGGTCTTCATAATAGAATAATTTATATTGCTTTAGCTATATACCCAGTAATGGGATTGCTGGGTTAAATGGTATTTCTGTCTTTAGGTCTTTTTGAGGAATTGCCACAGTGTCTTGCACAATGGCTGAACTAATTTACACCCCCTCCAACAGTGTGTAAGCGTTCCCTTTTCTCTACAACCTCGACAACATCTGTTATTTTTTGACTCTTTAGCAACAGCCATTCTGACTAGTGTGAGATGGTATCTTATTGTGGTTTTTACTTGCATCTCTCTAATAATCAGTGATGTTGAGTTTTTAAAATATGATTATTGGCTGCATGTATGTCTTCTTTTGAAAATTGTTCATGTCCTTTGCTCACTTTTTAATGGGTTGTTATTTTCTTGTAAATTTGTTTAAGTTCATTATAAATGACAGATATTAGACATTTATCAGATGCATAATTTGAAAAAATGTTCTCCTTTTGTGTAGGTTGTGTGTTTACTCTGTTGATAGTTTCTTTTGCTGTGCAGAAGCTCTTTGGTTTAATTAGATCTCATTTGTCAATTTTTGCTTTTGTTGCAATTGCTTTTGGCATTTTCATCATGAAATCTTTTCCCTTGCCTATGCCCTGAATGGTATTGCCTAGGTTGTCTACCAGGGATTTTATAGTCTTGGGTTTTACATTTAAGTCTTTTAACCATCTTGAGTTAATTTTTGTATATGGTGTAAGGAAGGAGTTCAGTTTTGATCTGCTGCATATGGCTAGCCAGTTATCCCAACACCATTTATTGAATAGAGAATTCATTTTCCATTGCTTGTTTTTGTCAGGTTTGTCAAATATCAGATAGTTGTAGGTGTGTGGTCTTATTTCTGGGTTCTCTATTCTGTTTCATTAGTCTATGTGTCTGGTTTTGTACCAGTGCCAAACTGTTTTGGTTACTGTAGCCCTGTAATATAGTTTGAATTCAAGGAGCGTGATGCCTTCACCTTTGTTACTTTTGCTTAGGATTGCCTTGATTATTCAGTCTCTTTTATGGTTCTATATGAATTTTAAAATAGTTTTCTCTAGTTCTGTGAAGAATGTCAATGGTAGTTTGATGGAAATAGCACTGTGTCTATAAATTGTGTTGGGCAGTATGGCCCCTTTAACGATATTGATTCTTCCTATCCATGAGCGTGGAGTATTTTTCCATTTGTTTGTGTCATCTCTGGTTTCTTTGAGCAATGTTTTGTAGTTCTCCTTGTAGAAATATTTCACCTCCCTAGTTAGCTTTATTGCTAGGTATTTTATTCTTTTTGTGACATTCGCTATTAGATTGCGAATGGAATTTCATTCCTGATTTGGCTCTCAGCTTGACTGTTGTTCATGTATAGGAATACTAGTGATTTCTGAACATTGATTTTGTATCCCAAGACTTTACTAAAGTTGTTTATCAGCTTAAGAATCTTTTGGGCTGAGACTATGGGGTTTTCCAGATACAGGATCATGTCATCTGCAAGCAGGGATAGTTTGACTTCCTCTCTTCCTATCTGAATGCCCTGTATTTCTTTCTCTTGCCTAATTGCCCTGGCCAGAACTTCCAATACTACATTGAATAGGAGTGGTAAGAGAGGGCATCCTTGTCTTGTGCCAGTTTTCAAGCGGAATGCTTCCAGCTTTTGCCCACTCAGTATAATGTTGGCTGTGGGTTTGTCATATATGGCTCTTAATATTTTGAGGTATGTTCCTTCAAAGTCTAGTCTGTTGAGTGTTTTTATCATGAAGGAATGCTGACTTTTATTGAAAGCCTTTTCTGCATCTACTGAGATAATGATGTGGTTTTTGTTTTTAGTTCTGTTTATGGATCATTACTATTTTAAAATTGGTTTAGCTATTAGATTCTCACTAGATCTTATTCAGTGTGTTCAGAAAGCACTTGTATTACTATATCACAATTGAAAAAATATTTGAATACTACAGTTTAGTATAATTGATTTTCTTTGTGTTCTTATATTCTTAAGTTTAATTTATTTTTAATTGACAATAATTCTACATATTTATGTGGTACATAGTGATGTCATACATACAACATGTAGAGATCAGATCAGGGTAGTTAGGTAGTTAGCATACCCATCATTTCAAACATTTATCATTTTTTGTTGGGAGTATTTGATATCTTTTCTTCTAGCTATTTGAACATATAAAGAATATTATTTTTGGCTATAGTCATCCTACAGTTCTATAAAACATAAGAACTTTTCTCTAATCTAGCTGTGATTTTGTGTCCTTTAACAAATATCTCCCTTTCTCCTTTTTTCTCTACATTTTTCAGCCTCTAGTAATCTCTATTCTGCTTTTTCCTTCTGTAAGATCGAACTTTTTTTTCTTTGTTTTTTTTTTTTTTTTTTTTTTTGAGATGGAATCTCACCCTGTTGCCTAGGCTGGAGTGCAATAGCATGATCTCTGCTCACTGCAACCTCCGCCTCCGGGCTTCGAGCGATTCTCCTGCCTCAGCCTCCCAGAATAGCTGGGAATACAGGTGCCTGCAACCATGCCCGGCTACTTTTTGTATTTTTAGTACAGACAGGGTTTTGCCATGTCGGCCAGGCTGGTCTCAAACTCCTGACAGGCGATCCGCCCGCTTTGGCCTCCCAAAGTGCTGGGATTACAGGCGTGAGCCACCGTGCCTGGCCAAGATTAACTTTTTAAAATTTCCACATAAAAATGAGAACATGTGATGAACAGCTTTTTGTTCCTGCTTTATTTCACTTAACATAATGTACCCCAGTCCCATACATGTTGTTGCAAATAACATGATTTCATTATTTTTATAGCTGAGTAATATTCCATTGTATACATGTACTGCATTAAAAAAAATCTCTTCATCTGCTGTCAGACACGGGTTGATTCCATGTCTTGGTTATTGTGAATAGTGCAGCAATAAATATGAGGCTACAGATGTCTCTTTCATATATCGATTTTCTTTCCTTTGGATAAATGCCCAGTAGTGGGATGGATGGATCATATGGTAGTTCTATTTGTAGTTTTGTTTTGTTTTTTAAAGGAAACTCTGTATCATTCTTCATAGTGGCTGTGCTAGTTTATATTCCCACCAATAGTGTATAAGAGTTCCCTTTTCTGGCTCACGTTTGATCCCAGCACTTTGGGAGGCCGAGACAGGCAGATCACGAGGTCAGGAGATAGAGACCATCCTGGCTAACACGGTGAAACCCCGTCTCTACTAAAAATACAAAATATTAGCCGGGCGTGGTGGCGGGCGCCTGTAGTCCCAGCTACTCGGGAGGCTGAGGCAGGAGAATGGCGTGAACCCGGGAGGCGGAGCTTGCAGTGAGCCGAGATCGCACCACTGCACTCCAGCCTGGGTGACAGAGTGAGACTCCGTCTCAAAAAAAAAAAAAAAAAAAGAGTTCTCTTTTCTCCACATCCTCACCAGAATTTATTATTTTGTCTTTTTGATAATAGCCATCCTAACCAGGGCGAGACAACCTATCATTGTGGTTTTGATTTGCACTTTCCTGATGATAAGTGATGTTGAGCATTTTTTCCATATATTTATTGGCCATTTGTAATTCCCTGTATATTTTATCTTATGCGTGCAAGATATTATTCTGAGAAGGGTTCAGACTTCACCAAACTTCCAAAGGGATATACGATGCATTTGTATATGCACACACACACATACACACACACACACACACACACACACACACACACACACACAGCTAGGAACCCCTGCAGTGGGGATCGAGAGCACCATAATTGAAACTGGATTGCCTGATTTGAATCTAAATTTTCACCATTTACCAGGTTTGTGGCTTGGGGAATGTGAATTAGCTTCTCTATTCTAATTTTCTCATCATCTTCTAAGCAGAGTTTGTAAGTTAGCAGGCTGCAAGCCACAACTGTCCTCTATTCCCAACATGTTTTGTGTTCCCTCAAAGATTTTTAAAGAAATCAAGTTAATTACCAAAATTAGATAGTGGAAAATTTCACAAACAAATATAGATTTATTTATTTTCATGAAAAATGAAACAACAAACAAGCCTGACAATATTTGGCCAGAATTCCAAGTTGGAGCTGAGCTTGTAGATCGAATTACAACCAGAGGCCTCGTCTCTCTGTTTTGTTTTGCACCAGGTCACTCCATTCATATATATTACACCAGCAATTCTGCCTACATGAATAGAGCAGCCTGGTGCAAAACAGAACATGCCCTTTCTACTACCATGCCTACAACTTTTTTTGCATCTCTAACTCTCACTTTACTGTAATCCACCCTTGTTCCTAGCCTTTCATGCCTTACTCTCAACCAACATAGCATTCGTTGAATCACCAGGAATATAATGTTCTTACAAATTAATCCTATATGAGACATTAGGTCAAGCAGGGTTATAGAATCTGTTATACTTCCATCCTCTTCTTGTGTTATACCTCTCTCCCCTTGTGTCCTGATTCGTTTTCTGTTTGCACTCTAGCAGAAATCTGTTTTCAGTCATTGGCATTTCATTACACATTGAAGAGCTATGCTAGCACTTCCAAGGATACGTCTAATTATAAGAGGATGGGATTTTTCTCTAGATGAAGTATCTCAGAATTAGTAGGGAGGAGATGACTGTCATAAGTTGGATTTTCTGCCTTTTAGGCTCCTCTCAGTAAAGATAATCCAGGAAATGTTTTTTGGCCCTTTTTACATATCAGAATCTGTGAGATGTACTGAGGAAACAGAAATGATAATACAACTTTCCTATCCTTGAAGAGATTATATTCTAACAAGAGGAAAGATAATTGCCATGGTATAAATTTGCATTCAGTGATATGGGAACCTAGGAAAAGGCAAGTCTGAATGTCCCTTGCAAAGTCAGAGTAAGCTTAGAGATCAGAGGTAGTGCTGAATTTGAGATCTGGATGACAGGTTGGAGTAAAATAAGCCAGGAAGGGAAGAGCATGAACAAAGGCAGAGGAGCATAAAATGCCCAATGAATTCAGGAGCTGCATTTGGTTTACTATTGCTGGAGCACAAGATATTAAGTTAGTAGTAGTGGAAAGAGAATCTGTGCTGATAGGAGGTGGTCAGAGCCTTGGATGCTACTATAATAAAAACATTAGGCCTATTGTAGAGGTGATGGGGAAGCATTGATTAAGTGGGGGCAGACTACCAGCAGCTGCTTAACTTTTATCCAGTTTCTGCTGTGAGAACTTTTTACAGACTTCTCGGGTGATTTGCTGAGGAAGTTTTATCTTATTTTTCTATGTAGTGGATAAAAAGGTGCTAAACATATAGTCTGCACTTGAAGACTATATTGGAGCTACAGAAGAAAAGTTACCCTTGTTCTTCTTGTCTCTTTCTACCCCTGCTGTATAACTTTGAATTTGCTTGTTTGACCCACATACTGAGACTTGGCTTATGTGGAGTTATGTGGACTATTAGCCTAGTAATTTCCAGACCGAAGTCTCTCTTTTTCCTCTTACTACCTTCTTTCCTCATCACCTTATGTCTTGAAGCAAATTCTCAGAGTCTCTTTACCTCCCATACTCTGAAATGACCTATTGGTTTCTAGAAATCTGTTCCTCTGCATTGCAATTCTTGCATTTTCACAGATGTGGCAGTTGGTGGAAGCCTAGACATTAAGATGATAGAACACCTGGAGGGGAGCAGGAAGGACTGCCAAAGAGATCTAGATATCCCTCACAAGGGAGGCACTGCTCAGCACTTGTTTTTCCAGGTGTGAAGTATCCTGACCTGATACTAGTTTTGACAATTTTCATCCACTATTGATGAATATCATATATTTATTTATTCTCAAATATTTATTACTAAAAGTTTATAATGTGATGGGCATTATTTTATGGATTACAGAAAAAATAGCAGTGAGGCTTGGAAATAGAAAGCAACAAATTACTACAATGTAGGATTCTGCCTACCTCCACAGCCCTATTTTGCATTTTTCTCCCCCTTGAACACTAACTTCCCTTTTCTTCTAGTGTGCCGGGCTCCATGCTGTTGGGGCCTTTCCCAAATGCTATTATATCTGTGTAATGATATCCATTTTCTCAACCTGCCTGTGTCCTGTACATGTACCCTCAGGACTAAACCTTGATGGAATTTCTCCAAGAAGTCTTCCAATGACCACAGCAACCGGGGAAGGTTCCAACATTATATGTTCTTTTGCTATTCTATACATGTTCCTAATAGTGCACAGCATAATTATAATTAGAAATGATTATGCTATCCTTTATTGAATACCTTTATATCCCCCCTCTAGACTAGAATTCCTTGAGGGTAGAGCGAAATACATCATATTTACTCTCTATTGCCAACAAGTAACAGAAGGTCTGGCATACAGATACTCATGCACTTGTTGAAATATTAAATGAGCTGCAATGATAGAAGTATCTGCAGGTTAGTTTTGGAATATAGAGGAGGGATTGGCCAATTATGACAGGTATAAAGGAAGGTTAATTGATGTAACAGAATGTGGTGATAGTCTAGTAGAATCTTAAAATAGGATCTTAGGACAGCAGGATTGAGGGGAGAGCATTCTAGGCAAAAGGAAGAGCATATGCAAAATGTGGAGGGTAAAACAACATGATGTGTTCTGAGAAGCGGAACTCATCCATCAGTTTAGAAGAAAAAGATGCTGGTTAGGAGACTGGTAAGCTATGAAGCTAAAGATTTAGGCATTTAGATAAACATTAAACTACTTATAAAGGCAATTTTCTATTTACAAATGTGCATACCTTTTGAAATAAAATCTTATTACTGAGGATTTATTCTATGAATATGTCTGGATATGCAAGAAATGGTATATGTTCACTATTACTTATCGTGGCACTATAATAAAATAAATAGGAGAAAACTTCATTACCTATCAATAAGATACAAATTAAATAAATTATCCATAGAGTGAAATAATATGAAATGGTAAAAATAATTAGAACTCTCTGTACTGATATTAAAAGCTCTCTTCCATACTATTAAGTAAACAAAAAAAAAGTTCAGATATGTAAAACGAATACTCATTTTAAATGATAAGAGGCAAAAAGTATTAATCTAACCAAATCTGCTTGTATTTGGTTAAAGAAAACACAGATATGGTAACAAAAATTAAATAAAATTAATAAAGTAGATTCAGATGCGTGTGTGTTTGTGCATGTGTATGCATACATGCAAGGGAAACTGGAGAGATAAGAGCAGGGATGGAAAGCACACTTTCAATTTTATATATTTTGATATTATTCTGATTTATTCTTTTTTATTATATTACCTTATTTTTATTTTAGTATTATACCATGCTTCAGTTTTATCTTCTTATCAAGGTTGATATACACCCTTTCTTTATAGAATTTCTTATCAATATCTTTATTTAAACAGTTACATTTTTAATTATGAACATGACAATTTCAGCAAAAATAATGTACCAACTTTGTGCCAATAGTAGTGGAGGATGCAAAGGAAGGCAAAATCTAGTGCTCTGGAGAATCTTCCAATTTAGTCAGGAAGACATGCAGCACATAACTAGGTGTATGTGTAAGTATTTTACCATAGGTCTACAACATTCATGACATAATCTCAGCTGCACAGGGCAATGGGAACACCTTAAGTATTGTCAGGTAAAATAATAAGAAAATGTAAGTGATATTTTAGCAGTCAGTTATGCTCACTACCTGGGTGATGAGATCATTTGTACCTCAAACTTCAGCATCATGCAATATACCCATGAAACAAACCTGTACGTGTACCCTCTGAATATAACGTAAAAGTTGAAATGTTTTGTACATATTATGGGGTACATGTGATGTTTCGATACAGGCATACAATGTCTAATGATCAAATCTGGGTAACTGAGGCATCCATAACCTCAAGCGTTTATCATTTCTTTGTGTTAGGAGCACTCCAGTTCAACTCATTTCGTTATTTTTAAATATACAGTAAATTATTGTTAATTATAGTCACCCTATTGTGCTACCGAATACTAGACCTTATTCCTTCTGTCTAACTGTATTTTTGTACCCATTAGCTATATCCTTTTTACCTCTCCCTCCCCACTACTCTTCCCAGCCACCAGTAGCCATCATTTTATTCTCTCCATGAATTCAATTTTTTTAGCTCCCAAATATGAGTGAGAACATGTGATATTTGTGTAAGTCAGCTTAATAGACAGCTTCTGAACAGCTTGGCTAAAGAAACATACATTGTATTTTTTTCTTTTTTTTTTTCCTAACTAATGTTGGTGAGGATGTGGATAAAAGGGAACCTTCGTATGCTCTTGGTGGGAATGTAAACTGGTACAGCCACTATGGAGAACATTATGGAGTTTCCTTAAAAAACTAAAAATAGTACTACTATATAATCCAGCAATCCCATTCCTGGGTACATATCCAAAAGAAAGGAAATCAGTATATTGAAGAGATATCTGCTCTCTCATGTTTATTTCAGCACTATTCAAATAGCCAAATATGGAATCAACCAAAGTGTCTATCAACGGACGAATGGATAATTAAACTGTGGTACACATACACAGTGAAATATTTTTCAGCTATACAAATGATGAAATCCTGTTATTTGCAAAAGCATGGATGGAACTGAAGGACATCATGTTAAGTGAAGTAAATCAGGCATGAAAAGACAACTATCACATGTTCTCACTCAATTTCTCATATCTCAGCTAAAAATAATTGAACTCATGGAGAGAGAAAGTAGAATGATGGCTACTGGAGACTAGGAAGGGTAGTGGGGAGGGAGATATAAAGAGGATATGGTTAACGGGTACAAAAATACAGTTAGAAGGAATAAGGTCTAGTATTCGGTAGCACAATAGGGTGACTATAGTTAACAATAATTTATTGTATATTTAAAAATAACTAAAACAGTTGAACTGGAGTGCTCCTAACACAAAGAAATGATAAACGCTTGAGGTTATAGATGCCTCAGTAACCCAGATTTGATCATTACACATTGTATGCCTGTATCAAAACATCACATGTACTGTATAAATATATACAACTATTATGTATTCATAGTATTTAAAACAGTACTATGATTTTTGAAACATGGGAACATATTATCTATTAAAAACATACTGGAAATATAAAATGGAAGCAAGGAAGGAGGGAAGGAAGGAAGAAAGGAAAGCAAGTCCAGATTAAATCCTGGCTCCATAATTTATTAGTGGTACAATGTTAGTTAAATCACTTAAACTTGACCGGGCGCGGTGGCTCACGCCTGTAATCCCAGCACTTTGGGAGGCCGAGGCGGGCGGATCACAAGGTCAGGAGATCGAAACCATCCTGGCTAACATGGTGAAACCTTGTCTCTACTGAAAATACAAAAAATTAGCCGGGCGCGGTAGCGGGCGCCTGTAGTCCCAGCTGCTCGGGAGGCTGAGGCAGGAGAATGGCGCGAACCCAAGAGGCGGAGCTTGCAGTGAGCCAAGATCGCACCACTGCACTCCAACCTGGTGGACAGAGCCAGACTCCGTCTCAAAAAAAAAAAAAAAAATCACTTAAACTTTTCTCAATTTTTCCATGTCCAAAATAATAATAATAATAACAGTAATAATAATATATACCTCATACAATGTTAAGAATTCAATTAATATTTAACACACAAACTTAATTAATTACAACATATTTATTAATATATAATTAATTAAGCATCTCTGGCAGAGTGTGATGCATATTGAATATTATATGTTACATATTAGTACAGTTTAATTTCCATCCTGAAGAAGATTGTTGTCTTGCCTCAGAGGCTTCTCAGGGCATTTCCTCTCAAAGCTCAGTGTCATTAACAGACACATGGTGATTAACCAGGTTCACCAGAACCACTTGAGGGATATCAAATCGGGGTCTCATTTCCTACAGACTCTGAACTCACAGAACTGTGATTTCCTACTCAATTAACAAATTTTCATGGCCATGATACAGAATGTGTAACACATCTCTTGATATATTTGCTTTTCTCTGTGTTAGAAAACTAGGGGTCATTAGCATTAACATAAAAGCAAACACTAGAAAATGTCTCTCTGCATCCCTCCTTTTCTGTAGAAACTTGGTAGGTAAAGTCCTGGTGACTGGGTTTCTGAGGACCACAGATACCAGGTGTGGTTCCATCCATTTTTATGGTCTTTCATATATTAATAGAAATCCCATCAGCTTCTCTTTCCCTTACTTCCTCACCACTCTTTTCCTATTTGGGATCCTCTCAGTCACCCCCCTAGAAATCAGCTTTTAGGAAGTTTTATACGTGAACTACCATTGGACAAAATGAATTGGAAGGCAGGAATCCTACACACCAGAATATTAGAGCTTGAAAGGACCTCAGAGAAGATTTAATCACATCAGTGGCTTGCAGAGGGTCCCATAGCTAATGACAGAATTTGACAGGAACATTTGATAATCTCTGAAATTCTTTTCACTTCAACATTTCTATGATTACTATATTTTATATTCAAAGAGTAATGGAATAGCAATAAGGAAAATATAAAAAGGACATTTATTTAGAAAAAGATAATTACTGTACTTCAAAAAGTGTAACAAGTCACCACTTTAACTGTTCACTGAATCAAATACTATAGCAGATACTAAAAACGAAGCAAAACAAAACAAATTTGCCAACAATTGAACAACAATAACAAAACAAAAAAACAAGAAAGGGAAAAGTCCGCTCTCAAAATGCTTATCAACTATGAGAAGAAATAATACAGTCTGAAGAATTGTTTAGGTAACAATATATTGCAATGCATAAAATCAATGATGTAAGACATATTAGCTCTGAAAAAAATAAAGACAGAGAAGTCAATAAAAGAATTGAAGAAGATTCCCTGAAGAGACGGGGCTTAGATTAAACCTTGAAGGGTGACGTTATAAAACTGCACTGTATTTTAGTTCTAAAACCATTGAAAATTTTGAAACAAATATTGTAAAATTATTTTAAAAATAGATTTTCTGGAAAAAGAGTGGGACACAATTATAACTGACCAGAAAAAAATGGCATATCAAACACATTCTTTCTTTGTCAAGTTTCCTATAGTGAAGTTTCACAATTCCCCGACCACGTCTCATATGGAAGAGCACTTTGCTGACTATCATCTCAGCTTCTAAGATGAGCTGGGGAAAGTAGTTGTTTAAGTAGAGGCAATGTATTTGCTGTGGGGAGAGAAGTATGACTAAAGGAACTTTTATGCCAGGAATGAAGTTTGGTGCTGAGGTCTCAGTGTTTGAAGCTCATCTAGTTTGAGACAACTCTCAATTTTCTTTGTGCATGTATACATTGAATTTTTTGCACAATGGGAAGTGTTTTTACATCTCTCTACATTTACTCCTGGTTTCATTTATTAGACCATAATTAGAAATCAACTTCTAAAATCATGTAAACTCAATGGAGGTAAATAAGGAACAGAAAAATCTAGTCAATTAAAAAAAGAAAAAGTGAAGAAATAAATTAAATGACTCTACAGAACCACACTTCAGATAGCTTTGATTAGACCAACAACTCTTGGAGTTTAAGACATAGCATCTTGAAATTATACTTAATAGTCCCTTAAAGTGTTTGCTAGGTACGTCTTTAACAATGAACCATGGACACTCAGTGTTAGGCTTTTCTGTGACTATGAGAATCAAAGATTAAAGAGCATGCTCAGATAAGTGATTGTCAATAGACAATATGAGGCAGGGAAAGAGAGGACTCCATCAATGGATGGATTAGAATGGGAACTGGAATACGCCTTTACTCAAATTTTCTTAGGTTGGTGATTATATGACCTATCTGTATTTTTTCCTTAGGGTTAATTTCCCAGGTTGCTTTCCTAAGGCTTAGAACTGATGGCTTTACTTTACAGCATATGCAAACTTTAATATAATGGAAACCATGACATTTATTTGGTTATAATTCCGGTAATGTATATATTAAGATGCTGAACAGGCACACAAAATTCATAGCCTGATAAGGAAACAATTATACTATATTCTCAACCTCAATCAGCCAACCATCGAACATTGACTAAAACAAAATATGAACAACCCAACTTAAGAGATTTGGTCTTATTACAAGGACTGAGAAGGCAGGTTTATAATGTTCCGAGAGCCATATAAATAAAGAACATTATTACTATTTTTTGTTTAACCTTTATTCATTATTAGATCTCTCCAGTAATCATTAAACACATTCATAAATTGAATTGGCTGTACTTCATCACAAGAAACACTTTTAAGATTACGTCTTTTTAACTATGCCAACTTCCTTAACTTTTACAGCAATTTTAAACAAGTAAGGCAGTTTACAGTTGGTACAGGCTCAATATAAACCCATAGAAACTATTGAGTCAGTATAGTAAGATGTATATTCATTTCTTTATCGTTGTTAAATTATCTATCCACCTATATTGCCATATGTATATATATGTATCCACCCATCCATCAACTTATTAATCTATCTGCCCATATACTTACCTATTGGCTATTTTATCTATTCGACTCCTTAAAATCTATTCATCAGTCATCTAAATATCCATCTGTATTTATACTCAGGCTAAGGAAATATTACTCAGAATATTATGTAAATTTTGACAATTCTAGGGAATTGGCTAATTATTAGTGATTACAATAGCTCAGTTTTATACATTAAACATTTCTTCTACATGTAGCTCTCAGAATGACAATGACCAAAATGCTCTTGGAGATAATCTGGCCCTAGTTCAATAGAGAGGAAAAGGAAGAGAGAGACAGAGAGAGAGAGAGCATCTTTTATGCTAGATTCTTTCATTGAATAGCTTACTTGGGAAAGTAACATCATTCCCTGGTTCTCAATTTCATCATCTGTAGAATAAATAGATTTGACTAGATGATTTGTATTTTCTAAAACCTCCACTTATTAGATATATATGTTGAGGAACCTCTGTTTAATGAAGTCCTTACATCAAATACTGTGTTTAACCATAGGGAGAATGGCTCAGATCCTTTAAACCCCACTATTTACAATGTGGCTTTGGATTAAAAAATGGTACAGTAGCGCCCTCACCCTCGCCCTCGCCCTCTTTGCACGGTCTCCCTCTGATGCCCAGCCGAGGCTGGACTGTACTGCCGCCATCTCGGCTCACTGCAACCTCCCTGCCTGATTCTCCTGCCTCAGCCTGCCGAGTGCCTGGGATTGCAGGCGCACGCCGCCACGCCTGACTGGTTTTTGTATTTTTTGGTGGAGACGGGGTTTCGCCGTGTTGGCCGGGCTGGTCTCCAGATCCTGACCGCGAGTGATCTGCCAGCCTCGGCCTCCCGAGGTGCCGGGATTGCAGACGGAGTCTCACTCACTCAGTGCTCAATGTTGCCCAGGCTGGAGTGCAGTGGCGTGATCTCGGCTCGCTACAACCTCCACCTCCCAGCCGCCTGCCTTGGCCTCCCAAAGTGCCGAGATTGCAGCATCTGCCCGGCCGCCACCCCGTCTGGGATGTGAGGAGCGTCTCTGCCTGGCCGCCCATCGTCTGGGAAGTGAGGAGCATCTCTGCCCGGCAGCCATCCCGTCTAGGAAGTGAGGAGCGCCTCTTCCCGGCCGCCATCCTGTCTAGGAAGTGAGGAGCGTCTCTGCCTGGCCACCCATCGTCTGGGATGTGAGGAGCCCCTCTGCCTGGCCGCCCAGTCTGGGAAGTGAGGAGCGCCTCTGCCCAGCCGCCACCCCGTCTAGGAAGTGAGGAGCGTCTCTTCCATGCCGCCCATCGTCGGGGATGTGAGGAGCCCCTCTGCCTGGCCGCCCAGTCTGGGAAGTGAGGAGCACCTTTGCCCGGCTGCGACCCCGTCTGGGAACTGAGGAGTGTCTCTGCCCCGCCGCCACCCCGTCTGGGAGGTGAGGAGCGTCTCTGACCAGCCGCCCAGTCTGGGAAGTGAGGAGCCCCTCCGCCTGGCAGCCGCCCTATCTGGGAAGTGAGGAGCGTCTCCACCCGGCAGCCGCCCCGTCCAGGAGGTGGGGGGCAGCCCCCGCCCGGCCAGCCGCCCCGTCCGGGAGGTGGGGGGCGCCTCTGCCTGGCCGCCCCATCTGAAAAGTGAGGAGCCCCTCTGCCCGGCCGCCGCCCCGTCTGGGAGGTGCACCCAACAGCTCATTGAGAACGGGCCATGATGACGATGGCGGTTTTGTCAAATAGAAAAGGGAGAAATGTGGGGAAAAGAAAGAGAGATCAGATTGTTACTGTGTTTGCTACAAAGAAGTAGACATAGGAGACTCCATTTTGTTCTATACTAAGAAAAATTCTTCTGCCTTGGGATGCTGTTAATCTATAACCTTACCCCCAACCCCGTGCTCTCTGAAACATGTGCTGTGTCCACTCAGGGTTAAATGGATTAAGGGAGGTGCAAGATGTGCTTTGTTAAACAGATGCTTGAAGGCAGCAAGCTCGTTAAGAGTCATCACCACTCCCTAATCTCAAGTACCCAGCGACACAAACACTGCGGAAGGCGGCAGGGCCCTCTTCCTAGGAAAACCAGAGACCTTTGTTCACATGTTTATCTGCTGACTTTCCCTCCACTATTGTCCTATGACCCTGCCAAATCCCCCTCTCCGAGAAACACCCAAGAATGATCAATAAATACTAAAAAAATTTTTAAAAAAATGGTACAGTAAACATCATGACACCAAAACAATTTGTTACTGCTTAGGAAATAAATATCTATATTTTTAAGTGAATGATGTAGATTTTGTCTCTAATTAGCATGATTTTGAAAAACCTAGTGTATCATTGGGTCTTATTTTTATCTTTTGTAGAACAGGGCTATGGATGAGATTTGTTGTATAGTACTCTAGGTTCCTTTTAATCTTTTAGATAGATAGATAGATAGACAGATAGCTAGATGTGATAGATACACATAGATATAGATATGACTATAAGAATTTGCATGGAGTTTCCTATACTGTTTTAAAACTATGAAGTCCACTCTAGGGAACGTAGGGACTAAAGATAAGTAAGATACATTCCTATTCTTACCCACAATGGGTTACAAACATATTAAATGGCAAATATTTTTACTTACCAAAAACCCTCTATTGCCTTCTGAATTTTGAGCTACAAAAAACCCACATTCATTAGCTTCTTGTCAGCAATAAACATTCTATTGCTACTTTAGTGTATAGGGTACTATACTAGGTGCTGCTGCTTTTATACTTGTCTTTTTTATTAGAGACTATTGCTAGAGATAGGGAGGAAATCTACTCTTTCTTAAAACATGTGAAAGTCTCAAAGGAAATTATATTCAGATAGATCTGAAAAAAATAAATATTAGACATTGTGGGTCCTTTCACACTAAAATGTTAAGTATACATTTTATAATGCTCTATAGTAAATGTTAGGTTGTGTAAGAAACAATTAATATGACCAGAACTTCATGACAGCTGAGGCTGATTACAGAAACAGTTCTACCATGAACTAATTGAGTTCTTGCAATAGCATCAATATGTTGACCAACTGAATGAGGGGGATAAATGCTGAACAGGTATTTTATTTTCCTATGAGGAAAATTAAGGAGTATGATCAGTCTTCCTAGATTTAAAGATATGGCTGCTTAGTTTCCTCATGGAATACTTGACATCTTTATTCCTAACGGTATAGATCACTGGATTCAAGAGGGGAGTGTATATGGTATAAAATACTGAGAGTACTTTGTCTATTGGGAAATTTGTGAAAGGCCACACATAAATGAAAGTGCATGGGCCAAAGAAAAGGGTCACAACAGTAAAGTGGGCACTGCACGTGGAGAGGGCTTTGGAGGATCCACCAGAGGAACGCTGCCGAACGGTGACCAGGATGATAGTGTAAGAGATCACCAAGAGGATGAAGCACACCAGGCAATCATGCCACTGGTTGAGATCATGAACACCCCCAGAATATATGTGTCAACACAAGCAAGTTTAATCACCAAAGGGAGGTCACAAAAGAAACTGTCTACTTCATTGGGTCCACAGAAGGGCAGATTCACTGTAAATGCTAACTGACTCAGAGCATGGAAGATGCCGACAATCCAGGAAAGTATCACAAGCCCAACACACATTCTTCGGCTCATGATTGTTAGGTAATGTAGAGGCTTACAGATAGCCACGTACCTATCAAAGGACATGGAGATCAGCAGTACAATCTCAGCACCCCCTAAGAGATGTAGGAAGAACATCTGGGTCATGCAGCCTTCAAAAGAGATGGCTTTGTGTTCTCTAAGGAAGTCTGCAATCATTTTGGGGGTGGCAAATGAGGCCAGGGACATGTCAATGAAGGAGAGATTGCCCAGCAGAAAGTACATAGGGGAATGAAGGTGTGGCTCTGATGCAATGGTGACCACAATAAGAAGGTTCCCCAGCACAGTGGCTGCATAGACTATGGAGAAAAACAGGAAGTAGAAAATCTGGAGTTCTAAAGAACTGGACAGACCCCGTAGTATGAATTCGGTTACCGCAGACTGATTGCTCCAGGCCATTTGCTCTGATTTCTGGAAGGACTCTAGCATTTCCAGTTGGGAGGAGAACTAGGAAAAAATATAGCAATCAAACTCAAAGTGGGATTTTTGCACAGACTAATTTAGTGGCAGCCTACCATCAGATAGTTCCCTATTGTCTCTTTTCCAGACTCACAGTGGCCAAAAATTTTTCCCAATGGCCTTCCTAGATATTTCAAATGATTCAATTACATATTATTTTTTATGACTTAGCAATTTGTTTTACAAGTAAAATACAAATATTCATAAAAGAAGTAAAAATTAATGGTTTCAAATATTTACTCCTCAGTTTGTGAAATACTTTTTAAATTTCACAGCTTGCTGACAGCAGCCTTTTGTAAGAAAAGGGAGTAAAAACCTTTTTCAAACATCATGAAGGGTGAAAGACGGAGGAGGAATATTTGAGGATCAAAGCTTATTATTAGTGGGAAGGATATGGGCACTGGTCTCTTGCAGTGGCTAGGAAAAAGGAATCAAACATGAGGGAAGGAGGATGGCTACAGAGAAACATCATCTGTTTCAATTTTCCAGTGGAGATTGTCTAGAATAAAAGTGAAATGGCTGGGCTCGGTGGCTCACACCTGTAATCCCAGCACTTTGGGAGGTCGAGGTGTGCAGATCACGAGGTCAGTAGTTCGAGACGAGCCTGACCAACATGGCGAAACCCTGTCTCTACTAAAAATACAAAAATTAGCTGGGCAGGGTGACATGCGCCTGTAATCCCAGCTACTCAGGAGGCTGAGGTAGGAGAATCGCTTGAACCCGGGAGGCAGAGGATGCAGTGAGCCAAGATCGTGCCACTGCACTCCAGCCTGGTGACAGAGTGAGACTCTGCCTCAAAAAAAAAAAAAAAAAAAAAAGTGAAATCACCTCTAATTATTTGTCCTTTATTTTAGTTATGCAGATATTATGAATGACACTTGATGTATGTCACCAATGCCATACATTTTTCAGAGGCTAATGAACATGTTCTGGTTAAAGCCTGAAGTACTCATACATTTCTAAGTACATTTTAAATAGAAAGACTGTTAAATACCATGCTGCCAGAAGCCAGGCAATTTTTAAATGCTAGAAATTATTGATTTCACAGAAGCTGTTTGAAACAAAAAACACTCTTCCTGTTTCCAGAGTTTACATGGAGCAACTGTTGAGACAAGTTTACATCAGACAGAAGAGAGTAATGAATTTATAAGTTATGTAATATAACGCACCTCAAAAGTTGTAACTTGGCTGATTAAGGAAATCTCTGTCTCACTGAGATCTGAGATTTACAAAGTGCACTGAAAGCCAATTGAAATGATGTGTACTCAAAATTCATAACAAAACTTTTTCATCTTTCTACTAATCCAAGCATTTGTTTTTCTTTTCTTCTCAAACCTCTGTTACAACTATATATTCTAAACAAATTGTTCTAAGACCAAACCCAATTTACTCATTCAACTACCTATTGTTCTTTCGCTTTCTATTAAAAATGCTGTGGCCTTTGAAAAACAAATAAACAAAAAACCTTCACATTGTTCTTCTAGCTTTACCCATCCCAGAAACTTTTAAATTTCTTTTGTACTCACCTACCTGATTTTTAAATAGAAGTCTCTAGCACAGCACTCATTTAAATTGGTGTACCAGAAATAACAGTGACCTGAGAGTCAGAAAATGGGAATTGAAATCTTGTCCTAGGAGTGTGGGATCAAGTAATTTACTGAGTCAACCGATGCTTCCAAGTCTTCATATGTAAAATAGGGGTGTTGATCTAGATAATTTTAAGATCCTTTCCACACATGTAATATAATAACCAACTCCTGAAAGCAGGGACAACTGCGTCACAGTGAAGTTAGGTGAATCCCTTGCCTAATTTCTGGGGAAAGGAGGCTCACAGTCCTTGAGACCTTTGTATTTATGACAGTTGTATTGATATGAAATAATTTTGTGAATTACATGGCAAGAAAAAGACCAGCTGCTGCTTGGGGAATAAACAAATGTTCAAGTTGCAGTGGGAGTTATTAAAACTTTCTAGTTGGTTTGGCCATATTTAAAGGTGAATTACAGAATGCATGATTGCTCGTAAATGTTTCATGTACAGGACATGGATGTGATTGGCTGGGAAAATATAAAGAATAACGCGTATCTTGGACCACAGCAAAGACAAGACAAATAGTATCTATTATTTGACTTATGAGACTACAAGTGTTATCTCCCAGTTCCTCCATTAACAAATGAGTATAAGGCCTGTGTATCCCCATTTGGAAAAAAACTGATACAGAAAATAATAAAATGAATGTTCGAGAATTTAAATTTTGTACTATTCACTTGAATCATTATGGAGTAATGGAAGAAAAAAGTGAAAAGTGAAAAAATTCTGGTTTATAAATTCTAACTATGTAAAGAATGTGAAGTAATCATCAAAATTTTAATATCTGCTAAAAATCAGAATAACAATCAATAAAATTTAAATGCCACCCATACTTAAATATTTCTCTATTAACAAGAAAGTTTTGACTATATTTCACAGAGCTTGTATTCATAAGATGAAAAGAAATAACTTGATGAAACTGCATTATATGCCTCTAGTGTAATATAAAGAACATTGAATCTCAGATTTGGAGGCCTGAGTTTACATCACAGTACAAGACTTTATTATATTATACTGAGTACATCACCACATTATCATAAATCTCAATCTCCTCATTTGCACTGAGAGATAAAAAAACAAAGCACTGGTATATCAGTACATAAAAAGCTATTAAATTAGACAATAAAAAGACCAAGAACCCTGCATAAAATGGGAAAAAAGCGCAAATAGCTATTTTCTATAGAAAAGATGCTCAAACTCTTTTTTATATGAACATATGTTGAAATTCATTGAGATACCACATATCAACTATCATATGGTAAATGTTTCTATCAGGCAGCAAAATTCTAGCAGCTTGAACACCTGCTCTAGATGACACTACAGTGAGGTAATGCCAGAAGGAATATAAAATAATAAAATCCCATGGAGGAACATTTAAATATATTAAATATACACATATATATTTAAATAGGTATATATATGTGTGTGTGTGTGTGTGTATATATATATAAATACACATATATATACCTATCTATATATATACACATATATATACCTATTTATATATATATACATATATATACCTATTTATATATATATACACATATATATACCTATTTATATATATATACACATATATATACCTATTTATATATATATACACATATATATACCTATTTATATATATATACACATATATATACCTATTTATATATATATACACATATATATACCTATTTATATATATATATACACATATATATACCTATTTATATATATATACACATATATATACCTATTTATATATATATATACACATATATATACCTATTTATATATATATACACATATATATACCTATTTATATATATATACACATATATATACCTATTTATATATATATACACATATATATACCTATTTATATATATATACACATATATATACCTATTTTTATATATATACACATATATATACCTATTTATATATATATATATATATATATATTTACCTCTAAGGAGAGGGAGATGATAGGGGACAATAGGATTGACATGTTGGAATGTCAGGGATAAAATCAAAACATCTCTGATTTTATCTACATTGTTAGTTTTGACTTAGGTTAAGAAATAGAGTTCAACTTAGAAAGCAGAGCTACCATGCACTGTAGGATAAGGCATTTACCATAGGAATTAGACCTTAAACAATTCTGGAAGGACTTAGGAAAGCAAAGACATGAAACAGGGAGCTGCAGAATCAGAGGCAGCAATAGCCAGTCAATCGAGAAACCAAGCCCATCTAGCCAATGAAGTAGAGGTCATGAAAGGAGCAAAATTTAGAAAATTTTGCTGGTAGAAAAATTTTTGTTCAGTTGCTGCTTCTGAGGATCTGCAGGCAGGCAGCCTGAGGCTTCTGTTGATCCTCCAATTCAGAAGTTGGGAAAAAGGTGGACGCAGAGTGAAGTGGCTGAGAACAAAACAAGCTAGAAGCTGTTGGCACCTCTGCATCTGTATAGCCACAAAGATCAGAGAGTAATGGCTGGTGCTTTGGGCTGCTTTTCAAATTCCAAACACATTTATTTTTAGACAACTCCAATACGGAAAGACGTGTAGAAAAGAATTCTGGGAACTGTAGTTCTCAGCTTAACCACTTTGACAATAGAAAGATGTAAGGTGCCACTCTCCGGTCTGTAGGAAAGACTCATGCACTTGCATTATTTACCTGGGAGCTCCGCTGGTACTGGAACTTTCAGAACGGATTTCCTAACATATCTTGTGCCTCACCTGGAGTGTATCAGATGGCTAGGGTCTGGCTGGTACTCCATATTTACATATAATATCTCATCATTCTGTATTCCTCCCGTGTGTGTGTGTGTGTGTGTGTGTGTGTGTGTGCGCGCGCGCGCGCGCGCACATGTGTGTCTATCTCTCAATGTTTCTTTGTATTTATTCTATTTATCCTAAGACCCTGATGAGTTAAAAAATAAAATATATAAACAGTGCTGGAGTCACGCATTGACTTTTAAAACTTCTGCTCATGTGTGGCATATGATACTTCTAGTCACATTACATTGAACAAAGTCATGTATCCAAGGTTCTGGTAGATAAAGTGAGGGTTATACTCCTTCCACAGCATGTGAAGGTCCCTGAAGGGATGAGCCATATACAAAAAGGTAATCAATTTTGATTTTCTAAAATTCAGTCGGCTGGGTATGGTGGCTCACTGTTCATCCCAGCACTTTGCGAGGTGGAGGTGGGCTGATCACTTGAGGTCAGGAGTTCGAGACCAGCCTGGCCAACACGGTGAAACCCCGCCTCTACTGAAAATATAATTAGCAGGGCATGGTGGCACATGCCTGTAATCTCAGCTACTCTGGAGGCTGAGACAGGAGAATCGCTTCAACCAGGTGGCGGAGGTTGCTGTGAGCCAAGATTGTACCATTGCACTCCTGGCTGGGTGACAAGAGTGAAACTCTGTCTGAAAAAAAAAAAAAATTCAGTCTACTACATAGACTGCACAGGAGAATAATCATATTATTAGTATTCAATAAATAAAAATATTCATAATGACAGTTACTTGGATGTCTCATTTAATTAATTACAATCACATTCACATTTCTGGTAACTTAGTCAAAATTATCTCCTTATATCCATTTCATTAAATGATCTGTATTAAATTTCTCCCTTCTCCAAACTATCTAAATAAATGCTTACATAATACTGCTTTCAAATAATCATAATTCTGCCCCTGACATTAAAATGACCCGTTATCTTTTATATCAAGTTAAATTTTTAGAAAGGCAGTCTTGCTCTTCTAAACTGCTAACTAAATATCCTGTTTCATGGCAAATAAGCTGCACTGTTTTCCTTCCCCGTGCATTTTTTTTCTTCTGCCAATTAATATTTTAGTTTTCATTCTAAGTCAAGTTCATGACATGTCTCCTGCAAGAACACTTGCTTGATTGATTCTGCACATTACCAGTTTTGTTTGTTTGTTTGTTTTTGTTTTTAACTAAAGTCTAGTTCATCCATGGTCTCTGAGAATTGACTGAACATGAGGTTTATTTGGTGGTATTTTTCACCAATTGTTTTATTTATAGGTGTTTAATATTTCCAAATAACTGTAAATTACTTGAAGCAGAGATGAATGTTTGGATTTTGTTCTCCGTTGCTTCTAATATAGCATTAGAGAACCAAGAGTGCTTATTAGAATTAGTTGATTTGATATTTCCTGCTGCTTTTTGAAATTAGGACTTTCCCAACTTCTAGTCCCTGACTCTCTCAGGTCCAGGTGAAAACAATCTTTGTAAATTCCCATAAGATTCTTGAAATATCTTTCCTTTGTCAACTCAATAATGCCATCTTTGTTGTTTAATAAATCCCATTGCAAGGTGATTTCTTGTTCAATTCCCATGTCCCTACAACATCCATTTTATCCACAGCTGATACACAACTAATGATTCAACTAGGTCATTTATTTATATTTTAAATTGCCTTCGATGCTCTGTCAGAAGCCTACTTAACACTGAATAATCTAAAGCCCTGGTTCTTCTATAGATCTGATAAGTAAAAGTGTTTTACAAATGAGTTCTACTGAAATATTTTAAATGTTTGCCCTTCCCACTCCCATTTCCTAATCCCTATTCCATGAAGCTTAGGTCAATACAACAGTTTACATATGTTAACATTTACAGAAGAAGAATTCAAACAGAGGTGAAATGAAAGAGACTGATCTTTGAGCACTTTCCCATGAAAATGTTGTTATATATCCTTTGTGATATAAAATTTTAAATCATAGAATTATAAATATTTATAAGGAACACAGTCATATTTTAATTAAAAAGAAAGGACCAAAAGAAGTTAAATGCCTTTCCTTTGTCTGTATGACTGTATTGTAATAAATTAGTCTCTCTGGATGAATATCAGCAAAACTAACTTTCTATGTATTTCTTTTGAGTTTCAAACAGGAAACTTTATCTGGGAATACTTTAACAGTTCATCTCTGGAAATTTACAAGAGCTCTACAACTGTCCATCGAAACTTCACTATAATGTGCTTAAGAGCCCTTATATGTGATATAATTTTTATATGTTTTCATCAGTAAGGATATCTTTATGGACAAATTCCAAATGACTAAACATGTATGTGTATGTGTGTTTCACACATTGTCAGCATAAAGTAAGTTCTTACTGTTATCGTTAGACTTACACAGATGAATAGATGGACAAATAGGTAGGTATGTCTGTTCAGAATGATATTATCTTGGTTGGATTGCCATTAGTATCAGAAAAGAAAGTGTTCTTTTCAATACCTATGATTTAAGGAACATTTTGCTATAAGCTCTAATATTTCATAATTTCCATTCAAAACAATATACCAAATGAGAAGGATGGAAAGAATAGTCAAGGTAAGTTTTATGAGAAGATAAAATTTCTGAAAGTAGATAATTGGAAATGAATCTTTTGCTTCTATTGAATCTGACTTTCCTTTTTTTTTTTTTTTTTTTTCGTGATACAGGCTTCTGCCTATGAATCAAGACAATGGATGTGGGCAATAAGTCTACCATGTCTGAATTTGTTTTGCTGGGGCTCTCTAATTCCTGGGAACTACAGATGTTTTTCTTTATGGTGTTTTCATTGCTTTATGTGGCAACAATGGTGGGTAACAGCCTCATAGTCATCACAGTTATAGTGGACCCTCACCTACACTCTCCTATGTATTTCCTGCTTACCAATCTTTCAATCATTGATATGTCTCTTGCTTCTTTCGCCACCCCAAAGATGATTACAGATTACCTAACAGGTCACAAAACCATCTCTTTTGATGGCTGCCTTACCCAGATATTCTTTCTCCACCTTTTCACTGGAACTGAGATCATCTTACTCATGGCCATGTCCTTTGATAGGTATATTGCAATATGCAAGCCCCTGCACTATGCTTCTGTCATTAGTCCCCAGGTGTGTGTTGCTCTCGTGGTGGCTTCCTGGATTATGGGAGTTATGCATTCAATGAGTCAGGTCATATTTGCCCTCACGTTACCATTCTGTGGTCCCTATGAGGTAGACAGCTTTTTCTGTGACCTTCCTGTGGTGTTCCAGTTGGCTTGTGTGGATACTTATGTTCTGGGCCTCTTTATGATCTCAACAAGTGGCATAATTGCGTTGTCCTGTTTTATTGTTTTATTTAATTCATATGTTATTGTCCTGGTTACTGTGAAGCATCATTCTTCCAGAGGATCATCTAAGGCCCTTTCTACTTGTACAGCTCATTTCATTGTTGTCTTCTTGTTCTTTGGGCCATGCATCTTCATCTACATGTGGCCACTAAGCAGCTTTCTCACAGACAAGATTCTGTCTGTGTTTTATACCATCTTTACTCCCACTCTGAACCCAATAATCTATACTTTGAGGAATCAAGAAGTAAAGATAGCCATGAGGAAACTGAAAAATAGGTTTCTAAATTTTAATAAGGCAATGCCTTCATAGTTTTTGTGACACAGAACATTAGACACAATGCTGTGTTAGGCTTTTCTTTCTAGAGGGTTCTTACCAAATTGTAATTGCCAAGAATTTGTGAGGGCTCAAGTTCAGTGCATTTTGAAACTATTCTCATGAATGTGAATGTGTTCAAAATACATTTGAAATTTCAGAAAAGCAAGTTAAAAGAAATAAAGACTATAAAAATGTCAGGAGTGACAGTTCCAGTTAGGACATTCAATATCAATAATCAATTTATTGGAAAAGAGGACCAAGGAATGAGGAGAAGAAATATAGATTAAAGCAGAACTAGGAGATAATGACAATTACCCACAGTGAGCAACTGAGTCACTTAGTGAGATGCTCCTAAAGTATGACAAGCTAGCAAGATTCCTATAATCCTTAGGAACTCCATACTGCTGTAGGATCTTAGCCTCTGACAGAGAAGCAATGATTTTCCACATACGTTCCCAAGCCACTCCTACTTAACATTTAAACCAATTTGTGATCTCTTCTATTAAAGAAAACTCTAGATATATTTTATTTCGAATGTTAATGACGTCCATAAAATTGCCGTAAGTGTAGCAATCTTTACCAACCACTTTTAGTTCATCATCAAAGCAATACAGTCATGATATTTCTTTCTGATAATGCGGAATGAGTAGGGAGGCTGGAGAATTCTGCAAATCAGAAAATATGAAATGAGTTGCAGATCAGTACACTTTGTTTTGTGCAGACACGATGGTTGCTTAGTTCCTAAGAAGTTAAAACTAGAATTGAGAGACACAGTTTATAACAGTTGAATTTATGGGGAGTCCATGCTTTCATTTTAAAGTGTTATATTGCTTTCCATTTTGGTTATTTTTTTCTTGAAATATTTGGATGTAAAAATAATGAATCTGCATTTAGTAATACATTGTCAATGTAATAAGTATGTTTTTGTACACAAATAGGTTTTATTACTGTTATAAATAAATCTGGTAGGTTCAATATTAGCTTTAATGTATACAAAGTATTACTACCACCTGCTGGTACTAACTGGAATTGCAAGTATTGAAAGAGGAAAAATAATTGTGTATACCCTACTTTGCAAATCATCTTTAAATGATGGCAAACATTCATGAGTTAACTCTTATTTAGAATTTTCTAAATGATATTGATAAAATATAGTGTCTTATATATGATCCAACATGTATCCACAAAGGGAAAGATATGTTGCAACCACAGTATTTGATAATATCAAGTTGTTATTTTCTGGTATGATTGAGTAAATGGAGAAAACAAATGAAATGCATTAATTATCATTTATGAAAGATAATTAAAACAGAAAATCCTTAGATGTTCATATTAAACCAAGTTATAAAAGGAATTTATTTTTTCTTCATCAGTTTGTGTTTTATTTCTTCATTAATGTACTAAGCAAATAAGGAAAAAACTTACAGCTTGAAAGTCTGTGATACTGTGTTTAAAGCCTGAGCAGTTTTGAAATTATTAGATAATAACGTCTACAGTATTAACATAAAATAAAACATGCTTCTGTAAGCACAAGATTAGCATAATTCTATTTTAAATAGGGATACAAATAGGCCAATTTAGGTTTTGAGTGTGAACTTTCTCTTGGTTGCAGTTATATGTACAAATATGTTCATATTCAAGGACTTCGTTTATGTAGAATGTTTTAGCTGGTGCTTAAAAATGCTAGAAATAATTCTTTTACTTGACATATTTCTTTGTCCAGGGAATATTTTCAAAACTGTGCTGCTTTTTGCAATATAAAACTGTGGAATCTTTTGGAAGAGACGCTATTGATTTTCTGTGCTTTTGTGGAGAATTCTAAAACTCAAGAACATTTGCCAAAATACCCTCAAAGGTGTAGCTGATCAGCAGACAACTCTATAAGGCAAGTCAATAATGAGATTAAGTAGTTGGATTGATAGTAAAATTCTGTGGCTGATAATAAAAAGGATTACAGAAAGCCTTTGGAGGGCTTACATATATAAATGGAACTATCACATTTCTCGGTGGCTTAGTGTGAGGAGTCAATATTCATGGTACCTCTGCATGTTATATAAACACTTAAAAATCTTAGTTAGGACTTTAGGACTCATGGTGGTTGGTTTTATCGATATATCTCTTAGACAAGATGCTGACACTCTTTCACCAAGGATAACTGCAGTGACATGGCCATGGACTCGTTAAGCAATAGTAAGGATGGTGCCAGCTGCCACCAGAGTTTCCAGAGACAGAGATAATGTTCTGCAGAGAATACAAGATAAGCAGGCAAGTATAATTTTAAGTGATCTGCACTATCTGCAATAACACAACTGAGGGAGTTCTGGAGCATTTATAAGAAGAGTGTGTTGACAAGCAACTTCATCTTCCTCTACGTGTTTAGGAAGCTGTGAAGCTTGACAACAATTGAATGCAGATGGAAAAACTGTTAAAAATCAGGTATAGATAAAAACAGATAAAGTGTAAATTTTAATATGTGAAGGAACTGGATATATGTAATAGCAATAAAAACTACAAATTATGTTTGTTTCTAAAAATGCTTAAGAAAACTTTTAGAATACTATATGGTATAATGATGGTGGATTTACCATAAAGCTTGTAAAGCTTAGGTTTTATAACTCCTCCTTTGCATGGATTTCCTCGAAGGCCCTAGAATGGAAACTAACAACCTTTTATTAGTTATTTCGATTTTTTTTTCCTGAAACAGGTGTCCTCAAACTGTATAAGCTTTAAGCCTAGCTTGTCCAACCCATGACCTGCAGGTTGCATGCGGCTCAGGAGATGGCTTTAAATTCAGCCCAACACAAATTCATAAGCTTTCTTGAAACATTATAAGATTTTCTTGTGATTTTTTTGTAAAGCTCATCAGCTATCTTTAGTATCAGTGTATTTTATGTGTGGCCCAACACAATTCTTCTTCCAATGTGGCCCAGAGAAGCCAAAACTTTGGACACCCCTGCATTAAAAGGCTCTGCAGAATCTGAAGTCTAATGTGTAGTTTTAAAAGTCTTAGACTCTGGTATCTTTTTTTTTTTTAAACAGTGTTTAATACTACTTCTACTACTAGTGGTGTAAACTTAAGCTAAGTACTTAATACCTCTTAGCCTCAGTTTCTACATATGTTAAAGGAGATAATAGTGGTCTCTACACCACAGAGTTATTTGAGGCATAAAAGAAGCAAATAATATGAAGCATATGGTTGTCAATAAATGTTAGTCATTGTATCATTCTGGGTGATAACCTCTGGATATCTTTGTTTATGGGACTTGATAGTCTCTTGAGCTAACACTTGACTTGTTTAATTTAAAAGGTAAATTTTCATTTATATGTTTTAAATATTCATGTCTGTATATGTGTGTCAGTATTAATTTGAAAAATTAAAAGTAACTTCCACTAGAAAATTACACTGGTTCTTACATTAATTAAAGCTTCTGGAAACTTGTTTTTCTGTCTGTTCACAACTGTCATTAATCAAGAGAAGTATCAAGTTGTTGCTTAATCATTATGCTATTGCTTCTTTACAATGAATAAATATTAAATTGGTTTATTGATTTTAGGATGAATTCACATTACAATTGTTGTCAGAATAAGAATGATGTTTGACTCATATTATTAAGGTGAAGAGATAGGCAGATGGATAGATTAGTAGATAGATGAAGTTTTGTATTATATGAGCTGTCTTATGTGAAGTATTTTTCTGCATTGATAAGGGTTTAGGATAATGTGATCACTGGATTATGCTGCTATATAGAAGTTCTTGGTAAAATGCTGTTATTTGTGCATATCCAGACTCCTTATGAAAGTATTTTCAAATTTAAAAAACTACCAGTGAATCTATTCTCTACATGTGAGTTTTTAAACAACTCAGTTATAGCAAAATTTGTTGAGAGAGTTGGAGTAATCCTCCTATTTCCCTATTCTTTCCCTGATATTATTTTGCATGATTTTTGGATGTATATGTCAATTGAAAAACGGGGAGAAGAAAACAGCCAGGGAAATCTAATTCATGTGAACTTCTTGCATGTACTCTCAGATGCCAATGAAATCCGCTAAGCAACTTGATAGTTTTTTGGTTTATAAGTTTCTGTTGTGCTTTGTTGTTTGGAATTATTTTTAATGCTCTTGGTTACACCATGAGGTAAATATGCACAAATTATTCTGGAGCGTGTAGGACCAACACTCAAATGAGACTGGAAATGTGACTGGGATCATTGATTCATGTATTCTGTCTCTATTGTTGCTAATATAACTCAATTGACATGTTATTTTTTCTCTTTGATTTTTGTAAAACAAACAAATAAATTCCAATATCTAGTATGCACTAAAATACTATAGTTTCATTTTTATTTTTTACTCTGATAATTTACACTGCCAATATAAGGAGATGAATACCTATTTTTTAAATTAAAAAATGTTCTCGGGCTGGAGGCTCCAGGTTTTTTTCCCCCATTAGCCTTTTTATGACTACTAAATGCAAGACCACTGTTAATTCGCCTTTTTTCTTTGTGTTTTAACTGTACTAGGAATCTGAAGCCATCAACAAAAGCCAGATTTTTCTCCCTTTGCTCACTTGCCACCTGTTAAAGAAAATTTAAAGGAGAGATTTTTTTTTTTAGTTTGAGACTAGAAATAGCAATTTAATTAGTAATTTGTTTTTATATAATAATATATTTATATCAATTTTTTCTTCTTGTTTGAGTGTACTTATATTGGTTGTCCTACAGTTAAGAAAACGGAAACCATTGGGTAAATTAAGCAGATTTAATACAATGTATTAAATGCTTGTGAATAATTCAAAGACTTACAGGAACATGCATTGGAGGCTGCAACTGGAGCTATTGTGTTCCAGAGCACATTACCCCAGTAATGTGATGTAAGGGCAAAAGGCAAAAAGCCTTGGTGTCATTGCCACTCCTTCATCACCCTCAGCACTCTTGAAGGTGGTGAATAGTCACTGGACACAGGTATGGCTGCCACAGTTGCTTTCCCTCACATCTCATCATCATCTTGCTCACCAGCGGCAATTATATCAGTAGATCCCTCTGCCTCACTTGTGCTTTCTAAAGCTCATTTGGTGCATCTAATTGGTGGAATCTATTTTGCACAGAGAAACTTGGCTTCAAAAATCAATTTGTAGATTTCAAGATTCTTATGCAACAGAAAACATGCTAATAGAGGGTGGATTGGAGGGAGACTCCGTCAATCAATCAATATCCATTACTTTAATTTTTTTATTATAACCTTTTTATTGCAGTGTAAAAGCAAGGTAAAGAAAAATACACAAACATGTTTAGCTTAATGAAATATTACAAGGCAAACACCATTATAATCACATTTCAAGTCACAAAATAGAACTTCGCCAGCCACCCCTGAAGTCCTCAAGTTTGTTCATCTCGATGACAACTCTCTCCTCCAAAATTAACCATTACCCTGACTTAATAAATTATTTGCATTTCTTTTCAGTTTCATGAATACATATATACTCAAATATACATCCATACACACTCAAACTTGGCCTCACCAACTTTGTTTCCTTTTCTTGTAGCCTACAAGTCTCACTATCACTATCTCTTCAATTTCTGTATAATTTATCTTTCTTTTTCTTTTTTTTTTCTTTTTTTTTTTTTTTTGAGACGGAGTCTTGCTCTGTCGCCCAGGCTGGAGTGCAGTAGCGTGATCTCCGCTCATTGCAAACTCTGCCTTCCGGATTCACGCCATTCTCCTGCCTCAGCCTCCTGAGTAGCTGGGACTACAGGCGCCCGCCACCACGCCCAGCTAATTTTTTGTATTTTTAGTAGAGAAGGGGTTATAATTTATCTTTTGAAAAACCTGAGTTATTTACCATCTAGGGTCTCCCAGAGTCTGAAATATGCTGATTGCATGCTCATGGTACAGTTCAACATGGACTTCTGTCACTGCATTTTCTGCAAATTGCCTATCCAGCAGCTTAATCATATTTAGTTTGATACTTTTTGCAAGACAAATGACAGATGATGTTATATTTTTTCATCCAAAAGATCTTGATGTCTTGCTTTATCTCTTTGGGAATGATAGTGCTGTTGTTGCTGTAGTAGTTGATATCTCTAACCATTTTTGTTGGCTGAAGCTTATTCTCTACTATATTCCTCAGGAAGTCTTCTTGAAGACCCTATTCTCTGAATTCTGGCGTGTTGGCAAGTTTCTTTGAAACATTTATGTACTGTAATTTCATTGGCTATTCCTTTATTTTCTTGATTATCTTAAATTGAAATAATGACTCTCTTTGTAAGCACTTTGTCTGGAGTCTGCAAAGCCTGTATTTTTCTTCACTCACCCTAGCATACCATATAATTAGAAGTTTGGAACTGATCTTTTAATTTTTGGAGGGAGGTATTAATAATCCTTCTGATATTTATATTAGTAGTTAAATAATTAAATAGTAGTTAAAGTAATTAAATAGGACTCTATTGCACTCAAGAGATTTTAAAACGTTTAAATTTCTAAATTTCCTTTAAGTATATTAAAATGTACCTAAATAAAATTGTTCTTCAAGAGTAACATGTAATTGAATCATCAACATCTTTATATAACTTTTCCAATTTTTTAAAGAAAGATACCTCTCTTGCAGCTCAATTGCTTTTTAAATAAAATAAATTTGAATCCCTGTTTGTACCTGGAGACCGTTTTGATCTGCCCTCCTCACCTCACATTTCACACATGGAGAAAAAAAGTCTGCACTTATAAAGCAATTATGCTACAAAACATGAAATGACTTCTTATCCTAAAGGAAAAGAACAAATTATGAATATATTGTAAAGTAGCTCAAATAAGATTGAGGCTGGTCTTTCTGTGTGTCTGTTTCACTTAAAACTCATGTAACATTTACAAAAACACATTAACATGTAGGCCATAACGTCTTGATAAATACCAGAAAGTCGGTAATTACGGAAGACATTATCTAATCACAAAGCAATGAAAATAATGAAATGATAAATAGTCCTTCCTTACCCACCCACTGCACCCCAAAAATAAACCCTATACCTTTGGAAATTTTAAAAAAATGCTTTGCAAGTAAGTCCATCAGTCAAAAAGATAATTCGACAAAATATGTCACTCTTGTAATCCCAGTACTTTGGGAGGCCGAGGCGGGCAGATCACGAGGTCAGGAGATCGAGATCATCCTAGCCAACAAGGTAAAACCCTGTTTCTACCAAAAATACAAAAATTAGCTGGGCATGGTGGCGCGTACCTGTAATCCCAGCTACTCAGGAGGCTGAGGCAGGAGAATCGCTTGAACCAGGGAGTCGGAGGTTGCAGTGAGCCGAGATCATGCCACTGCACTCCAGCCTGGCAGCAGAGCGAGACTCTGTTTCAAAAAAATATATATATATGGTGCAGTGCATATTGCTCAGGTGATAGGTGCACCAGGCTCTCACAAATCTCTACTGAAGAACTTACTCATGTAACAAAATACCACCTGTGCCCCAATAACTTATGGAAAAATAAAATTTAAAAATAACATTTCGAACTGAGTAATACAAATAGACTTAATATCAACACTTGTGAAGCAAATGTCTATTCATAAATGTGCAAGTTAAAACATAAGAGAAAAAACAGTAAGCTTAGTGTTCTATATACGAAATTAGAAAAAATTACTAAACAGGAATAAGGGAAGAGAAGGAGAAAAATCATAAACATAAAGCAGAATATAATGACATTTTCTCCAGCTGTCTTTATGGGCGTAGCTTAAGCTTAATGTCAAAACCCTGTGAAGATGCTAGAATAAGGAGAGTTTTTAGACAATTTTGTTTTTGAATGTAGTACACGTATCTGTTAGGATTTGATTAGGAAAGCTGAACCACTAAGGGTGACACGTAATAAAGAATTGATTATACGGATTAGACATTACACAATAATAAGAATCAGTGGAGAACTCTAGGCAAAGCTGTTGCTTCTGAAGCTGGTGGTGTACCTGAAGTTGCTTATAGGTTAGCAAGGTAGTGGCTGAAAGAAAAACTAGATATGAAATCTGAAGTTTATCTAGTTGATATTTTCTAGTGAACAAGTCTAATTTCTTTCTTGGTTTTTAACTGTAATTTTTTGAGTTATTTTGTTTTGTGGCAGCTCCAGGGATCACAACCTGCATGCTGACTTATCACAATTTACTTCATATTAATACTAATTTAGTCCCAGTAAAATATAGAAACTTTGTTTCAGTATACCTTCATTTCCTCCCACTTCTTTGTGCTGGTATTGTCACACACATTACATCTCATATTTATAAGTAGAAAATAAAGCTTTATAATTATTTTATACAATTGATTTTCAAATCAGGTTGTAGAAAAAAAGAAAAAAGCCCATTTATATAGGATTTAATATTTACCTACATAGTTCGCTTTACTTGTGCACTTTAATTCTTTATATTGAATGAGGTTACTCCCTGGTGTCTTTTTATTTCAGCTTGAAGAATTTCCTTTCATATTCCTTGTAGAGAAGATCTAGTAATTGCTTATCATTCTCTTTGTTTGAATCCAGGACTATCTTTATTTCACCTTTATTTTTGAAGGATTTTTTTCTTTGTTGCTATTTTTCTTTCAGTAATTTCAATATGCTATCTTACTGTTTTTCAACCTCCATTGTCTTTTCCAGTGAAAAGTCACTTGTTAATTTTAATGAGGTTTCCTTATCCTATGTGTTGGCTTTCTCTTACTGACTTCAGAATTTTCTCTCTGTCTTCCAACAGTTTGAGTATGATAGTCTATAATAGGTATGGATCTTTTTGTGTTTATCTTCTTTAAAGTTTGTTAAGGTTTTCGGATCTGAAAATTAAGGTTCATCAATTTTGGGATGTCTTCAGGTATGTTTTTCAGGTATCACATGTTTTTCTGCACCTTTCTCTTTGGTCCTTCTGGGACTTCCATTTTGGTCATTTTGCTATAATTTTATTGTGTCCTGCAAGTCTGTGAAGCTCTGTTCATTATTCTTCATACTTTTTTTCTTGTTTTTTTCAGATTTCATAATTTCTATTGATCTATCTTCAGGTTTGCTGATTCTTTCTTATGGCACCTAAAATTTGGTATCAAATCCCTCTAGTGAATTTTCATTTTACATATTTTATTTTTTCTCTTTAGAATTTCTATTGTTTCTTATTTATAATTTATATTTCTTTATTTTCATTCTCTTTTTGGTGAATATTGTTATTATTCTTTCCTTTTAATTATTGTTTTCTGATCCAGTCATGTCTTTCTTCTTTTTATTTTTTTTTCCAATTTTTAAAATATTTTTATTATAGATTCAGGGGGTACATGTGCTTGTTTGTTACATAGGTATTACATGTGTAATGGTGGGGTTTGTGCTTCTAGTGTACCCATTACCCATATATTGGAAATTTTCAAACCTACCCCCTGCATGCCCCCATTTGGAATTCTGAGAGTCTATTTTCCCCATCTTTATGTCCATGTGTACCCTTTCTTTAGTCCCAACTTATAAGTGAGAACATGCAATATTATTTTATGCTTCTGTGTTAGTTTACTTAGGATAATGGCCTCCAGCTTCATCCATGTTACCGCAAATGACATTTTATTCTTTTTTTATGGCTATGTAGTAATCCATGGTGTATATATATCACATTTTCTTTATCCAGTCAGCTGTTGGTAGACACTTAGTTTGGTTCTGTGACTTTGTTGTTGTAAACAGTGCTTCCATAAATATATGAATGCAAATATATTTTTGATATAATGATTTATTTTCTTTTGGGTAGACAGCTGGTAGCTGGATTGCAGGGTTGAATGGTAGTTCTACTTTCATTTCTTTGAGATATCTCCATATTGTATTCCACAGAGATTGAAATTACATTCACACCAACAGTGTATGAGCATTCCCTTTTCTCTGCATCCACACCAACATCTGTTTTATGACTTTTAATGAAAGCCATTCTGACTAGTGTAAGATGGTATCTCTTGTGGCTTTAATTTGCATTTCTCTGATAATTGGTGTTGGGCATTTTTTCATGTGTTTGTTGGCTACTTGTGTTTCTTCTTTTGAGAATTGTTTATTCCTGTCTTTTGCCCAGTTTTTGATAAGGTTGTTTGCTTTTTTCTTGTTGAGGTGCTTGAGTTCCTGGTAGATTCTAGATATAAATCTCTGGTTAGAGGCATAATTTGTAAATATATTTTTCCCATTCTGTGGGTTGTCTGTTTATTCTGTTGATTATTTCTTTTGCTGTGCAGAAGCTTTTTAGTTTGTTTAAGTCCCATTTGCCTATTTTTGTCTTTATTGCAATTGCTTTTGGGTCTTCATCACAAACTCTTTGCTTAGGCCAATATTAAAAAGAGTTTTTCTAGGTTTTCTTCTAATATTTGTATAGTTTCAGGTCTTACATGTAGGTCTTTAATCCGTCTTGGGGTAATTTTTGTATATGGTGGGAGGTAGGGGTCTAGTTTTGTTCTTTCATATATGGCTAGCCAGTTTTCCAAGCACCATTTATTGAATATTTATTGATTAGAGTGTCCTTTCTCCATTGCTTGTCTTTGTTGACTTTACTAAAGAACAGCTGGTTACAGGTACGTGGCTTTGTTTTTGGGTTCTGTATTCTGTTCTATTGTCTATCTTTGTATCAGTACCACGCTTCTTTAGTTATTATATCCTCGTAGTATAATTTGAAGTCAGACAATGTAATACCTCCAAATTAGAACTTTTTGCTTAGGATTGCTTTGGCTCTTTGGGATTTTTTGTTTTTGTTTTTGTTTTTGTTTTTGGGTCCATATGAACTTTAGGACTTTTTTTTTCTAAATCTGTGAAAAATGACATTGGTAGTTTGATAGGAATTGCATTGAATATGTAGATTGCTTTGGTTGGATAATGAGGTCATTTTAATGATAGTTATTCTTCTAATTCATGAGCATGGAAAGTTTTTCCATTTTTTGTGGGTCATCTTCAATTTCTTTCATCAGTGTTTTGTAGTTCTCCTTGTAAAGATATTTCACCACCTTGATTAAGTGTATTTCTAGGTATTTTATTTTTGTGTGTGGCTATTGTAAATGTAATTGAGTTATTAATTTGGTTCTCAGCTTGAAGATTATTGGTGTATAGAAATGGTACTAGTTTTTGTACATTGATTTTGTATCCTGAGACTCTTCTGAAGTTGCTTATCAAGTCTAGGAATCTTCTAGAGGAGTCTTTAGGGTTTTCTAAGTATACAATCATGTTGTCAGCAAACAGAGACAATTTAACTTCCTCTTTTCCAATTTGAATGCCTTTATTTCTTTTTCTTCCCTGATAGCTCTGGAGAGGACTGCCAGTGCTATGTTGAATAAGAGTGTATGTTTATATGCATTAATTCCTTTCTTCTAGGTTTCTAGTTTGTGTGCATAGAGGTGTTCATAGTAGTCTCTTATTTTTTGTATTTCTTTGGTGTCAGTTGTAATGTCATTTTTATCATTTCTGATTGTACTTATTTGAATTTTCTCTTTTTTTCTTAGTCTAGCTAGTGGTCTGTCAATTTTGTTTATTCTTTCAAAGAAACAATTTTTTGTTGCATTGATTACACTGTGTTTTTTTGTCTCAATTTCACTTATTTCTGCTTGGATTTCAGGTATGTATTTTATTCTACTAACTTTGGGTTTGGTTTTTTATTGTTTTTTCTAGTTCCTTCAGGTGCAACATTATATTGTGAACTTTAGATATTTCCATCTTTTTGATGTAAGCATTTAACACTGTAAACTTTCCTTCTAGCACTGCCTTTGTTGTATCCCAGAGACTTTAGTATGTTGTGTTTCTATTTCATTTATTTTAAAGAATTTTTACAATTTCTGTCCTGATTTCGTTTTTTACCCAAAAGTTGTTCAGGAGCAAGTTTTTAGTTTCCATGTACTGGTGTAGTTTTGAGAGTATTTTTGGTATTAATTTCTAATTTTATTCCAGTGTGGTCCAGAAGGTACTGGATATAATCTCAGTTTTTAAAAATGTATTGAGACTTGCCTTATGCCTGAGCATATGCTTGATTTTGAAGGGTAGTCTTTGTGCAGATAAGAGAAATGTATATTCTGCAGTTGTTGGGTAAAATGTTCTGTAGATGTCTATTAGGTCCATTTGGTATATTTTTCAGTTTAAGTCCAGAGTTTCTTTGTTGATTCTCTTCTTCAATGATCTATTTAGTGATTTCAGTGAGGTATTAAAGTCCCCCACTATTATTATTATTATTTTATTATTATTATTATTTTGAGACAGAGTCTTCCTCTGTCACCCAGGCTGGAGTGCAATGGTGCGATCTTGGCTCACTGCAACCTTTGCCTCCTGGGTTCAAGTGATTTGTGTACCTCAGCCTCCTGAGTAGCTGGGATTACAGGTGCACACCACCATGCTCGGCTAGTTTTTTGTATTCTTAGTAGAGATGGGGTTTCACCATGTTGGCCAGGCTGGTCTTGAACCCCTGGCCTCAAGTGATCCACCCACCTCAGCTTCCTAAAGTTCTGGGATTACAGGCATGAGCCACTGCACCTAGCTCCCCACTATTATTTTATTTTATTTTTGAGACAGAGTCTTGCTTTGTTGCCCAGGCTGGAGTGTAGTGGAATGATCATGGCTCATTGCAGCCTTACCCTCCTGGGCTCAAACAATCCTCCCACCTCAGCCTCCCAAGTAGCCAGAACTATAGGCGTAACCACCATGCCCAGCTAATTTCTTTTTTTATGTGTAGAGGTGAGGTATTAGTTCATTCTTGCATTGCTATAAAGAAATATCTGATACTGTGTAATTTATCAAGAAAAGAGGTTTAATTGTCTCAAGATTCTGCAAGCTGTACAGACAGCATGATGCTGGCATCTGCTAAGCTTCTTGGGAGGCCTCAGGAATTTTACAATAATGGCAGAAGGCTAAAAGGGAGGTTGCATGTCACATGGCAAAAGCAGGAGCAAGAGAGAAAAGAAGGGAAGCGCTACACCCTTTTAAATAATCAGATCTCATGAAAACTCACTATCATGAGGCCAGTACCAAGAGGAATGGTGCTAAGCCATTAATGAGAAATTCACCCCCATGATCCAATCACCTCCCACCAGGCCTCACCTCTAACATTGAGAATTAGATTTCAATATGAGATTTGTGTGGGGACATACATCCAAACTATGTTATATCAAATCTCACTATGTTGCCTAGGCTGGTGTCAAACTCCTGGACTCAAGCAATCTCCCACCTTCGCCTCCTAAAGTGCTGGAATTACAGGCAAGAGGCACTGTGCCTGCCCCTTCCAACCCCCAACTATTATTGTTTTGCTATCAATTTATTTTCTTAGGCCTAATAGTATTTGTTTCATGAATCTGAGTGTTCCAGTGTTGGGTGCATATATATTTAGGATAGTTAAATCTTCTGGTTTTCAATCTTTTTCTTATAATCAATAATGCCTTTTTTTGTTACCTGTTTTTAAACTTTTTTTTTTGGTGTAAAGTGTCTTTTGTCTGATATGAGAATGGATTTTTCTGCTTGCTTTTCTTTTCCATTTGTGCAAAATATATTTTTTCCATCCTTTTAGTTTAAGGTTGAATGTGTCTTTAGTTGGTAAGTGGGTTTCTTTTATATAGAAGATGGTTGAGTTGTCTTTTTAAAATCTGATTTGTCACCATGTATCTTTTAAGCAGGGCCTTTAGGCCATTTATATTCAAGGTTAATATTGATATGTGAGATTTTGATCCTGACATAGTATTGTTAGCTAACTGTTTTGGAGTTTCAATTGTATAGTTGCTTTCTAGGATCTGGGAGCTTTGTATTTATATATCCTTTTTCTGATTATTAGTATCATCCTTTTGTTTCCATATTTAGAGCTCTTCTGAGCATTTCTTCTAAGACCAGTCTAGTGGTGACAAATTATCTTAGCTAATGCTTGTCTGGGAAAGACTTTATTTCTCCTTCATTTATGAAGTTTAGTGGCATGATATAAAATTCTTGGATAATTTTTTTTCTTTATGGAGGCTAAAAATAGGTCCTTAATATGTTTTGGCTTGTAGGGCTTCTGCTGAGAAATTTGCTTTTAGTATGATCAGTTTTTCCTTGAAGGTAACTTGTTCCTTTTTCCTAGCTGCCTTTAAGATTTGTTCTTTAGCATTGACCTTGGATAGTCTAGTGACTATATGCCTTGGTGATGTTCATTTTATATGGTATTTTGCAAGTGTTCTCTGTATTTCTTTTCTTTTCTTTTTTTCTTTTTCTTTCCTTCTTTCTTTCTTTTTTTTTTTTTTTTTTGACAGAGTCTTACTCTGTCACCCAGGCTGGAGTGCAGTGGTGCAATCTCGGCTCACTGTTACCTCCATCTCCTGGGTTCAAGCAATTCTCCTGCCTCAGTCTCCCAAGTAGCTGGGATTACAGGCACACACCACCATGCCCAGCTAATTTTTGTATTTTAGTGCAGATGGGGTTTCACCATGTTGACCAGGCTGACCTCGAACTCCTGACCTCAAGTGATCTGCCTGCCTCGGCCTCCCAAAGTGCTGGGATTACAGGCATGAGCCACTGCATCCAGCCTCTCTGTATTTCGTTATCTGGATGTCTACCTCTTTAGCAAGATTAGGACATTTTCTTAAATTATTTCTTCAAATATGTTTTCCACATTGTTTACTTTTTCTTCTTCTCTCTCAGGAAGGCCAATAATTTGTAGGCTTGGTCACTTTACATAATCCCATATTTCTTGAAGGCTTTGTTCATTTTTCTAAATTTCTTTTTCTTTATTGTTGTCTGACAGAGTTAGTTCAAAAGATCAGTCTTTATACCCTAAAATTCTTTCTTCTGCTTGGTCTAGTCTATTGATAAAGCTTTTACTTGTATTTTGCAATTCCTTTAGTGTTTTTTTTAACTCCACTAGTTCTGGTTAATTTTTTTAAAAATTCTTATCCTTTTTTTAATTTCCTGGATTGCTTTAGTATTTGGTTAGTGTTGATTTTCAACCTTTTCTTGGATCTTTTTAAGTTTCCTTGTAATTCATACTTTGAATTCTTTATCTGTCATTTCTGAGTATCCATTTTCATTAGGGCCCATTGCTGGAGAGCTATTGTGGTCCCTTGGTGGTGTCACAACATTCAGATTTTTTATGGTGCCAGAATTTTTACACTGGTTCCTTCTCATCAGGAGAGACTGCCACTTCTGATTTTTAAATTTATTTTCATATAGATAAGATTTTTTTTCTTGCCCTATTTTTCTCTCTCTCCTTTCCCCCCACCTCCCTGCAGGGTGAGACTGTAGAATATGTTGTGTGAGGTCTTTTGGCTTTGCTTCTATAGCCCTATGCACTTCTGTTGGCTCATTTTATATTGGGTTGTGCAGTTTGACCTATAGGAGCTTACAGGTAAGAGACAGCTGTGGCACAAACAAAAGAGTACATATTTATGTTAGTCCATTTTCACATTACTATAAATAACTATCATAGACAGAGTAACTTATGAAGAAAAGAGGTTTAATTGACTCACAGTTCTGCAGGCTTAACAGGAAGAATGGGAGATCTCAGGAAACTTACAATCATGACAGAAGGCAAAGGGGAAGCAAGGACCTTCTTCATATGGTAGCAGGTGAGAGACAGAGAAAGAGAGAGAGAGAGGAGGGATATGCTGTAACCAACCAATGGGTTCATGTTGCCTGCTGCCTAGACACAGCCAATTTCTGAAGACAGGGGAATTGCAATAGAGAAGGAGTAATTCATGCAGAGTTAGTTGTGTGGGAGACTGGAGTTTTATTATTACTCAAATCAGTCTCCCCAGGCATTCAGGGAGCAGAGTTTTTAAGGGCAACTTAGTGGATTGAGGGGAGTCAGTGATCCAGGAGTGCTGACCCGTTCAGTATAAAATCATAGTGAGTCGAAGCTGTCTTCTTACACTGAGTCAGTTCCTGGGTGAGGGCCACAAGATCAGATGAGCCAGTTTATCAATCCAGGTGGTGCCAGCTGATCTATCAAGTGCAGGGTCTGCAAAATATCTCAAGCAATGACCTTAGGAACAGTTTAGGGAGGGTCAGAAACTTGTAGCCTCCAGCTGCATAACTCCTAAACCTCCAATTTTTAATCTTGTGTCCTACAAAGGCAATCTAGTCCCCGGCCAAGAAGGTCTAATCTGGGAGAGGACTGTTATCATCTTTGTTTTAAACTATAAACTGCAAACTAGTTTCTCCAAAAGTTAGCTCTGCCTATGCCCAGGAATGAACAAGGACATTTTGGAGGTTAGAAGCAAGATGCAGTCAGTTAAGTTAGATCTCTTTCACTGTCTAAGTCACAATTTTGCAATGGCAGTTTCAATGCCACACTTTTAAACCATCAGATCTTGTGAGAACTCACTCACTATCATGAGAACAACATGGGGGAAATCTGCCCCCATGATTGAATCACCTCCCACCTGGTCCCTCCCCTGACACATGGGGATTATAATTTGACATGAGATTTGGGTGGGGACACAGAGCAAAACCACATCAGTACTTGATCTTCATTTATTGTGAGGTGCTCTGTGTTGTTTCTAGTGACAGGCTAGACAGTGGAGGGCTAGGCACCCTGAGCTTTCTTTTCCATGGGGTCAGGGGCCACACCTTGGCAGAGCTGGACCCCCCTGCTTGCCCACAAATACACCAATGGCAATTATGGGCACCAGCCCTGGTGAAGGTGGCTGAGGGGAGCTTCTGATAAAATGCTCTGTCTGTGTGGGGGCTGAGGGGGATTGCACCATCTCCATGTCCTAGATAGAAGGAACATTATCTGTTTCCCTATCATGCCCTTTCCTGGGGCTTGTGATTCCCAGTTCAGATGCACACTGTAGTCTATCCCCAGAATACAATGTGGTGGAGAGCCATGGGAAATACCTATCTTGTAACTCTCTATGGGAGTGGTTTGGGGGTGGAACTTCTTCACTCTGCCCAATACAGATAGCTTTATGGCTCACCTGTTCTCTTATATAGTAATGCTGCTGCTTCATGGGGATGGGGCAGGGCTCCACCTTTGGGCACATGTGGGTGGGTGTTGGTTGTGGTGATGTTGACTGGTTGGATCAGCCTGACCTCAGACCCTGGGGAAATGGTCAGGTGCCAGTAGTGTTGGAATGGGCTAAGTAATTCCCTAGTTCCCAGGCCTCTAGGTGGCCCACTGGATAGTGTGTACGAGTCCTGAAGGGGCTGGACCTAAGTCAGGTTAACCCAGAGTTCAGGTGCTGGCTGTGATGGGGAGAGGCAGGCTAGTCCCTTGATCACTGGCAGAACTCTCAGGTGAGGGCAGGTGGAACCTTTAGGCAGTGGAAGCCCAAGGGAAGATCATGTGCCTGTGGGGTTGGGTTTTCTGAAGTGATCTGGGCCACAGCTGAAATGCTCAGGAGGGGTGGGCATCTGTGCTGTGGGCATTTCACTGGTGAGGGCAGGATTCTTCAGCTGGGACAATGGAGATCGGCAGCTGTGGGGAGCATGGCACACTTGCATTTTCCTCTCACACAAGTGGCACTGGATTTCACTGTTAGGGACAAGCAAAAGTGCCAAACCTCCTTGATCCCATGCTGGCCTAGGGGTGGAAGAGGTGGAGGCAGTGGTAGGGGTGAAGGCAGTGGTAGTGACAACTGTGAAAAGCTTGTTGCTGACCTCAGAGGAACTGAGGGCTTTCAGAGGAACTGAGATGTGGCCTTAGTGTTCAGGTGGGGGCAGGGTGGGTGTGTTGGGGGCTGGAAGCCAGTGAGTCCTATTCTCCAGGGAGCAGCAGAGGCAGGGGTTTATGGACCATGCAGCAGCCCACTGCTCATCCATATCTCAGCTGTGCTGTTCATGCTGGAGGTGTAGGAAGGTACTCTGCTTCCTTGTTCCCTCCTTGACCTGGGGTTGGTAGAGACAGAGGCAGTAGTGATCACAAAAGGCCTGCCAACCACCTGTGAGAACTCCTGTGGGAGTTATGTAATCAGGAACAGAGAGCTGTGGCTACAGTGATCAGGTGTGGGTGGGGTGGGTGTGCTGGAGGCTGGAAGGTGGAAACCCCATTTGGCAGAGAGCAGTGGAGGCAGCAAGTTGTTGGGGCATAGTATGCCCACTGCTTCTTTACATCTCCATTATGGTGTCTAGTGCTAGAGGTCTGCAAATGTGCCCTACCTCCTTGATCCCCCCATAGGGGGTGGGGAAAGTGCCAGCAGAGATTGTAAAAGGCTTGTCAGCTACCTCTGGGAGTTTTGCTCCCAGAGGAATGCAGAGATGTGACCACAGTGTTCAAGTGGGGGCGGGGCAGCTGTGCTGGGGGCCTAAACCTGTGAGCACCCCCTGGTGAGAAGCAGTGGAGGGGAAGTGTCACATGGTATGCAGTCTCGCTGCTCCTCAGTACCTGGGCTATAACATCTATCCAATGGACATGCAAAAGTACCTTGCTTCCCTTCTTGGCAGGGCAGTGGCAGCTGGCACCAGGCTGTTCAGGGATCAAAGGCCAGTGAAATTCCATGTGGGCTTGAGCAGTGACTCTGCATAGACTCCAGGTGGCTCTCTGTGTTGGTCTGGAGGGTGGGGTAAGGGTGTATAGGGGACTTTCCTGTGCTCAGGATTACAAATGTCAATGGCAGAAGTGTGGATCCCCAGGGGACTCTCACTCACTCACTCTTTTCCTTTGTTAGGGAGATTCCCCCAGCTCTGCATGGTCCTGGGTGGGCAGTTACTTGGCTTCATGGCTTCACTCCTCTCTGTTCTCCATGTGTCCACTTGCTTCTCTGGTGAATCTCAGCAAGATCTCTTAGGTGATCCTAAGACTTAGTATTCACTTGCCACTTTGTTTATTCTCCATGAGATGGAATGCACTAGGTGCTTCTAGTCAGCCATCTTGAACCAGAACCTCCTTTAATTCCAAAACACGTTTTTCTTTAGTTATTTCAATATATTTTAGTATTTACTTTGAAGTGTTTGTTTGATAAATCTGTCATTTGTGACATTTTATCAATAATTTCTATCGATTATTTTTCTTCCTGTGTCTGAGTCAGTTTCCTTTTTTGGGCGGGTGGGACATTGTGGAGGCCTGTCCTGCAGATCTTGACTCAGTGATGGATGAATAACGTACACTGGCACAGATATTCTGCTTTGCCAGTCCGGCTGAGTGTCCGGGCCACTTACAGACTCCAAGAAGAGTGCTGTAAAGAGTCAGCAGCCAGCAAGACTTGCATTTATTTAGTAAAGATTAATTGACAAAGGCTTGAGTCAACACCACTAGAGGGTAATTGACATTGCAGACTTCTCAAGTAGAAAGGAATTAAGCACCCATGGTAGAACAAGTGTTAGTCTTAGGACCACATGAGTAAACAAGCTAGTTAGACAAAATCCCCCACATTCCCTTGTATTTACTTTTGTTTATCTAATTAAAGGTAAAGGGACTAGGCTGCCTTCAGCCAGATCTGTTACCAAAGTTTTGCAAACTCTCAGACCTTTCAAGAGGGTTTGTAGCTATTATAACTAAAATTTTTCCCACCAGCCTGACTGAATCCTCACAGGACATCTCTTTTTTGTTGTTTAAAGTTATACATTTTAGACAATATATTATAGCAACTCCTGATTCTTTTCTCTTTCTCTCTGAGAAGTTATTGTTGCTGCTATTACTGTTTGTATTATTTTTATTTGTTTAGTGACCTAACAAGGCTAATTCTGTAAAATCTGTTTCCCTGAAATATACGGCTGCCAGTGACTCTGTTAGGGTTTTTCTTGTTGCTAGTTCTTCTTCTTATATTTAATCTTGGTGTACTAGAGGTCACTTCTGGTTGAACATGGTTAATGGTCACTCAATGATTAGAGAGGTTATGCTGCATTATCTTGAGCCACTCAGTTTTTCATCTTTTGTCAATGACAGGCAGTTTAGAAGTTGTTCCAGCTTTTACTTTCATCCACACATCCTTGTGTCTATGCTGCTTATGTGCAAGGCTTTGTATTCATCCAGGGACAAGTAGATACTTATGGGTTTCCCTGACTTCTGAGCATTCATGCAGTCTTGTGCATGTGCATAACTGTTTGAACTTTCAGGGATATGTGGAAACTTATCAAGGCTCAGCATCACTATTTCATTTCTCCAACCTCTCTAGTAAATATCTCATAAGTGTGCCAGTTTCCTGCTTGTTCTATCCAATATGTCAATATTAGGCTAACCCCAATGCTGAATTTCATGACATTTTGACACTAAGATCATTATTATTTTAGACAATACCCCAGGCATGTGCTTTTCTGTTTCCAGCTCTAAATTACATCAGCCACCTCTGGCAGAAAAGCAGCTGACTTCCACCACTTTCCCCACCCTGCTGGAACTATTATGCTGAAGGAGTTTGTTGGGGTAGTGATAATGCAAGAAGCCATAGGCTAAGATAAGATACTGCTGTTCTTATCTGATATTCATTAGGTTTTCACAAATACAGGTTTCCCTTTCTTTTTGTCTTAATGTCAATTTGGACAGCCATCACAAAGTAGCATAGACTAGGTGGTTTATAAGCAACAGAAATTATTTCTCATAGTTTTGAAGGCTGGAAGCCTGAGATCAGACTGCCAGTCTGGATGGGTTCTGGTGAGTGCCCTCTTTCAGGTTGCAAGCCATCAACTTCTCCTTATATCCTCATGTGGCAGAAAGAGAGCTAGAAATCTCTCTAAAGTATTTTTTACAAAGGCACTGATCCCATCCATGAGGGGTCCACCCTCATGACCTGATTTATCTCCAAAAGTCTCCATTTCCTAATACCACCTCATTGGAGGTTAGGATTTCAACATATAGATTGTAGGTTGGTAGGGGGGACACAAACATTCAGTTCCTAACAGTCAATATCCAGGATTCTGAAATAGTTGTTTCCAACCACTTTTTTTTTCCAGTTTATTATTACTTTTGTTAGGAAAGACTTGATTGAATTCCTTACTCTTTCATTTCAAAATTAGGTCTTGCCTTTCTATAAATTATGTACACTCCAGATGGAGGCACACTTCAAAGATAAAAATCTTAAAATGGTACTTCCTTTAATAATGCAATGTTTCTCCCTCTGGATGGCTTTCTCTATTATTAAGATAAATTCCAAATTATGTAATTTTTTTTTTTTAAGATTTTAACCTTTTTTTTTCTCTTTTTTTTTTAATTATACTTTAAGTTTTAGGGTACATGTGCACATTGTGCAGGTTAGTTACCTATGTATACATGTGCCATGCTGGTGCGCTGCACCCACTAACTCATCATCTAGCATTAGGTATATCTCCCGATGCTATCCCTCCCCCCTCCCCCCACCCCACAACAGTCCCCAGAGTGTGATATTCCCCTTCTTGTGTCCATGTGATCTCATTGTTCAATTCCCACCTATGAGTGAGAATATGCGGTGTTTGGTTTTTTGTTCTTGCGATAGTTTACTGAGAATGATGATTTCCAATTTCATCCATGTCCCTATAAAGGACATGAACTCATCATTTTTTATGGCTGCATAGTATTCCATGGTGTATATGTGCCACATTTTCTTAATCCAGTCTATCATTGTTGGACATTTGGGTTGGTTCCAAGTCTTTGCTATTGTGAATAATGCCGCAATAAACATACGTGTGCATGTGTCTTTATAGCAACATGATTTATAGTCCTTTGGGTATATATGTAATATTTTTAAGCTAGATAAATCTTATGTACTCTAGATTTAAGCTATATTTGTTCTAGTTTTTAAACTTTGCACCTCTCACCAAATAACTTTTACCTCTTGACATACAGATACTGTTTTTTTTTTTCCCTCTGCTTAAAACTTCCTTGTCTAGAAACATAATCATACATTTAACCTGGCTAAATCTGACTCTCTTTATGTATAAGCAGAGACCTTCCACACATTTTTAAAATATAATAAAACCTTCCATACCACCCTCTACTTCCCCTATGAAAAAAAACAAGTATAATTTTACTTTAATTATTTGTCAAGGTATGTGCTTTCTGCCTTAGAATATAAATTCTATAAAGTCAGGACCTGCTATCTTGTACCTCAATGAATTTCCAACTCCTAGTTTAGTATATGTAAACTAGAGTTCCTTGATCATTCAATGAAGAAATGCAGTTATGTGCTGTTACAAAGTGATTTCAAATTAACCAGGCATTGAACACAAAAAGCTTGTAACAGGACAAGTAAGCCATGACAGAAGGCATAATTGTAGTTAAGAATAAAAGTTATTTTTTAAGCTTCCTAATTTGAACGTTTAAAATATATACAAAAGATGATAATGTGCTCACATGCTCCCATCTGTGTATTTATACCCAGGTTTCATAGTTATCAACATATGTCTAGTCTTTTCTTTTTTCCTATGGTTTCAAGTAAAATTGCTAAGTACAAGGGTCAATTGCACACATATTTTGTAGACATTGCCAAATACACTTCCTTTTTATTGCATTCTCATTTATATGAGAGTACCTCATATATATGAGTACCTCATAGACTTCTCAAGAGAGTACATTGAAATTTTAGATTTTTGTCAATGTAATATATGAAAAATTATATTTCAGTGTAGTTCTACTTTTAAACCAGAAGTTCTTAAAATTCCCCATCAAAACCCTCACAAAATTGCTCTTGGTTCCTGAGAAGAATGAGTAAGAGGATTGGCATGGTGAAGAAAGACTCTCTGTTCAGGCTTTCCTGTGCATTTTGCTGCTAAAGCATGGCTTTCTCAAAACACTGTTATAATAAACAGATGTTACCATTCTTTGCCCCCCCCCCTCAGAAAGTCAACAAACAAAATTCCTTGAGAATCCAAAAATTCTGTTGCCATAACCTTTGTTTTTGACTGGACAACTTTGATTGTACCAATACTATCTCTTGGTAGTCATTCTTTTGATTGTGCTGTGTCTTTGGGATCATACTGGTAAAGCCATGTTTCATGTTCTGTTACAATTCTTCAAAGAAATATTTCAGGATCTTGATCCCACTTGATATAGTTTGGATGTTTGTCCCCTCCAAATCTCATGTCTAAATGTGATTTCCAATGTTGGAGGTAGGGCTTGGTTGGAGGTGATTGAATCAGGAGGTGAGTCCCTCATGAATGTCTTAGTAGCATCCCCTTGATGATAAGTGAGTTTTCGTTCAGTGAGATCTGGTTGTTTAAGAATCTGAGACTCCTCTTTCTCTTTCTTGCTCCTGTTTTTGCCATGTGATGCACTTTCTCCCCACTTGTCCTCTGTCATGATTGTAAGCTCCTGAGGCCCTCATCAGAAGCAGATGCTGGCACCATTCTTCCTACCAGTTAAGGAACTGTGATCAATTAAGCCCCTTTTCTTTATAAATTACCCAGTCTCAGGTATTTCCTTATAGCAATTCAAGAATGACCTAATACAAAATTGGTAATGAGGAGTGGGACGTTGCTATAAGGATACTTGAAAATGTAGAAGTAGCTTTGGAACTGGATAATGGGCAAAGTTTGAAAAAGTTTGGAGGGCTCTGAAGAAGACAGGAAGATGAAGGAAAGTTTGGAACTTCTTAGAGACTGGTTAAATAGTTGTGACCAAGATACTAATAGAAATATGGACAGTGAAGACCACACTGATGAGGTCTCAGATAGAAATGAGAGTTTTGGGGAACTGGAGTAAAGGTCACTCATGTTACACCATAGCAAAGAACTTGTTTGCATTGTGTTCATGTTCTAGGGATCTGTGGAAGTTTTAACTTAAGAGTGATTACTTAGGGTATCTAATGGAAGAAATTTCTAAGTAGTAAAACATTCAAGATGTGGCCTGGTTGCTTATAACAGCCTATGGTCAGATATGAGAAAAAAGAAATAAATTTAGATGTATTTAAAAGGGAAGCAGAGTGTAAAACTCTGAAATATTTTTAGCCTGGACATGTGGCAGAGAAAGAATCCAATCCAAGCAGGCTGTAGGGCAATCACTTGCTAGAGAGACTAGCATGACTAAAGGGCAGCCAAGTGCCAATACTCAAGACAATGGGAAAAAGGCTCCAAATGTATTTATTTCAGAGATCTTGGAGACAGCCCCTCCCATCATAGGGACAGAGGCTTAGGAGGAAAGAACGATTTCAGGGGCCAGGCCCAAGATGGCACTGCTCTGCTCAGCCTCAAGACACTGCTCCCACATTCCGGCTGCTTCAGTTCCAGCCGCAGTTCAAAGGGTCCCAGGTACAGCTTGGGCTGCTCCTTCACAGGGTGCAAGCTGTAATCCTTGGTGCCTTCTATGTGGTGTTAATCCTGCATGTACACAGAAGAATACTGTGGCAAGGGTGAAAAAGGTTTGGCAGCTTCCACCTGTGTTTCAGGGGGTATATGAGGAAGCCTCTATTCCCAGGCAGAAGCTTGCCACAGGGGAGGAGACTTCACAGGGAACCTTTACCGGGGCAATGCTGAGGGGGCAATGTGGGGTTGGAGTCCCCACACAGAGTCCCCACTGGGGCACTGCCTAGTGGAGCTGTGGGAGGGGGGACACCACTCTCTAGACCCCAGAATGGTCAATTCACCTGCAGCTTGCACACTGTGCCTGGAAAAACCACAGGCACTTAACTCCAACTTGTGAGAGCAGCCATGGGGACTGCAACCTGCAAGGCTACATAGGCAGAGTTTCTCAAGGCCTTAAGAGTCCACCCTTTGCATCAATATGTTCTGGATGTGGGAAATGGAGTCAAAGGAGATTATTTTGGAGCTTTCATATTTAATGACTGCCCTGCTGGTTTTCAGACTTGCATGGGACCTATTATCCTTTTCTTTTAGCCAATTTTTCTCTTTCAGAATAGTAATGTTTACCTAATGCTTGTACTACTATTAGAGCTTGGGAGTAAATAACTTCTTTTGATTTTAGAGGCTCATAGGTGAAAGGAGATGAGTCTCAGATGAGACTTAAGACTTTGGATTTGATATTGGAACGAGTTAAGACGTTGGGGGACTGTTAGTAAGAGATGATTATTTTGTGATGTGAAAAAGACATGAGATTGGGAGGGCCAGGGGTAGAATGATATGGTTTACATATTTTTCCCCCCCAGATCTCATGTCGAAATGTGATCCCCAGTGTCGGAGGTGGTGCTTGGTGGGAGGTGTTTAGATCATGGGGGCGGGTCCCTTATGCATGGCTTTAGCACCATCCATTTGGTAATGAGTCGGTTCCCACGAGAACTGGTTGTTCAAAAGCATGTGGCATCTTCCTGCTCCCCTTGCTTCTGCTCTCACAATGCGATGTGCCTGCTTCCCCTTTACCTTTTGCCGTGGTTGTAAGCTTCCTGAAGTTCTTACTAGAAGCTGAGCAGATGCTTATGCTATGTTTGTACAGCCTGCAGAACCATGAGCCAATTAAACTTCTTTTTAAAATTAATTACCCAGTCTCAGGTATTGCTTTACAGTAATGCAATAACCTACTAATATATACTTGTTTAAAATTGCCATTGAAAGCTCTGCTCTCATCTGCAGCTGATCTGGGCACAATGGTTTTGACACCCATTGGGCAATATGATTGCTCAACTTTAATTTTTCAGTCGGAGTTGTGTAAGCTGAACCACTTGAGATGCTTACAGTGTTGACTATTGTTTGTGCGGTTAATAATCAGTCCACTTCAATTAGGGCTGAACAACATGAATTTTTTGCTCACAAATTGATATGGATGGTCTGCCATTGCGGGCGTCTTCTTCAACATCATCTAATTCCTTCTTGAAACAAGTTATCCATTTGCAAATACTTGATTTCTTTGGGCCATTGTACCTATAAGTTTTTAGTAAAGTTTCAATTATTTCACCATTCTTCCATTTTAGCTTCATCATAAATTTGATGTGTATTTTTGCTTCAATTTTAGCAGAATTCTTGTTGCTCTCATAGGACTTCTTTTCAAATTGATGTCTTATCCTTCTTAGTGCCTCAAACTAGATCCTGTTCAGATATATTATAAAAAAGTTATTATTAATTTATTTTGGTGCAAAAATTTGAAATACATCCATAGTCATTTTATATTTATTTTACATGAATCTTTTGAAGACCCTTCATATACATACAATGAAATACTATTCATCCTTAAAAAAGAAGAAAATACTGTCATTTGAAAAAACATGGATGAAACTGGAGGGCATTATGTTAAGTAAAATAAAGTAGGCACAAAATGACAAACACTGCATGATTTCACTTATATATGAACTGTAAAATTTGAACTCAGAGTAACGAAGTAAAATGGTGGTCACCAGAGGATGGGGGGGTGGGACAATTGGGGAGATGTTGGTCAAAGAACATAAAATTTAACTAGACAGGAGGACTATATTTAAGAGATCCATTATACTTCATAGTGACTACCGTTAATGACAGTATATTGCATATTTGAAAATTTCTAAGAAAGTAGATTTTAAGTGGTACTCATCATAGAAAACAAATGCTAAGTATGTGAGGTAATGCCCGTGATAAATAGCTTGATTTAGCCATTATGCATTGTACACAAATATCAAAACATCATGTTGTACAATAAAAATATATAGAATTTTTATTTGTCAATTAAAAAATAAGTTCTTGAAATAAAAAAACACAAATAATCTAGTGCAGCTCCTTGTGAAATCAAAAATATGGCTCTTGGAAAAGCAAAAATAACAGAAGAATAAGAAAAAAGAAAAGATCAGTACTGATGAAAATTAAAGTTAAAAAGAGACTGTACAATTAATTATTATAGATCAGAAAAGTGTTCATAAATTTATATGTTTAGGAAGCTAAACAACTTAAATAATGTAAAAGCATAAGACAACATTCATTGACATGAATTTTTAATTTTTTCAGAAATCATACATTGTCAAATTTTCTAAGGAGGAGAAAATTCAAGCTGTAATCATCATGGATTACATTAAAAGAAGCTAAAAGTATCATCCTATAAAACTCACAAGCTCTCAAAGACTTGGAACCAACCCAAATGTCCATCAATGATAGACTGGATTAAGAAAATGTGGCACATATACACCATGGAATACTATGCAGCCATAATAAAGGATGAGTTCATGTCCTTTGTAGGGACATGGATGAAGCTGGAAACCATTATTCTCAGCAAACTATTGCAAGGACAAAAAACCAAACATCACATGTTCCCACTCATAGGTGGGAATTGAACGAGAACACTTGGACACAGGAAGGGGAACATCACACACGGAGGCCTGTTGTGAGGTGGGGGGAGGGGGGAGGGATAGCATTAGGAGATATACCTAATGTAAATGATGAGTTAATGGGTGCAGCACACCAACATGGCACATGTATACATATGTAACAAACTTGCACGTTGTGCACATGTACCCTAGAACTTAAAGTATAATAATAATAATTAAAAAAAACTCGCAAGCTACATTCATGTTTATGTACAATCTTTCCCAAACCATCAAAGTACAGATAATGCTAGGATATAGAAACACTTTTCTGAGCAACCCCACTAATTTTGTGAGCCTATCATTGTCTTACTACCAAAATAGGAAGTGGATAGCCCAACAAGTTAAAACTACTATAATTGTAAACCTATACGAAAAATCCTAAATAAATAATTAGCACATCAAACCAAAGTTATAATATTCTCATATAACACACCATAATTAAGTGGAGTGTATGCTAAGAATACAAATATGTTTCTATGGGATATCCTATCAATAATTTTTAACATTTAAAATTAAAACAGGAATTCATTTAACATTCGTATTGCAGTGCATCAGCTGTTCTTTGCTGAGTTTCTTCTCACTGATGTGTGGAATATCACTGAAGATTCAGTTCAATTCAATTCTTCGTATAGTGTCGCAGAAATCTCTCCATGTAAAACTCTTCCTAAATCTATTAGAAACATAGTGCGTGTAATTGGTTATAAGTAAGACAAGGGAAAGAGCTCTGGAGTTGAAAGAAAGTTGAAAGTGGTTTGGCTGTCTGGACTTGAACCCTTTTCCCTATTCAACAAGCCAGCAAATATTTAATGGCAAGGAATCATCATGGGACACATTCATACTCCCGTGGTTCCTGTTCAATCCCAAGTCCTAAATGAAATAGATAAATGATAAAATGGGAAAAGGGTGAAATAGAGTGTCAAGAAGAGGAGGTTTACCTAAGTCAATATTTATGATAGTTATAACACCTTAACTCTAAAGTATGTGCACATTTGGTGCAGGTCCCCTTCAAGAACATTTGATCTGAAAGAAGCCAAAACTTGTTTGAACTTTCTCAAAATCTGTAGATAATTGAATCAGGTAAGTCTTTTTTTAAAAAAAAATTTATGTCGACAACTTGCTTGATCCAATTGCTTGAGATTTTTTTTTTGGAAAATGGAAGTAAGACCTTTAACTAGAGAATGAAACTTGGAGCAATGGCTTATGATTCTTGGACTTACAGTTTTGTGCAAAGTCCTTTGACTCAACCACAAAATAATTATATCAATTTTAGTCCAGAGCATAAAATTTGAATTTGGGTATGATAGAAAATGACTTAAAGATCAATTTCTGTAATATTTGAGGGTTTTTTTGGTTCTATGGGTCTTTTTCTGAAATATTGAATAGAAAAGACTCTACAGAAGCATATTAACATCATTCTATACTCATCTCAGTTCAAACCAGCCCACTCTGACATCTAGACAAAAGTGGCATTCAGTAGAGGATATGGTGCCATTCTCTATGAGGATTTCTGGCATTTTTCAAATCTTCATTTTACGGCTATCATCACCTTATCTACTAATATTCTGTACTGACATGTGTACCATTTCAGTTTACATATTCTCATATAGTAAAATGTTAACTGCAAGGGAATTTACCTCAAACCCAAACCATTAACGTAACTTCAGAGACAATATGGATTAAGATTATCCATGATTTCCTTCATGAACCCAAGACTATCTCCTTTGAGGGCTGCATGGCCCAGATATTCTTGTTCCATGTCTTTGCTGGTGGTGAGATGGTGCTCCTTGTAGCCATGGCATATGACATATATGTAGCCATATGCAAACCTCTCCATTATGCAACCATCATGAACTTGTGCACATGTACAGGCCTAGTGGTAGGATCTTGGGTCACTGGAGTTATGCACTCCCTGAGCCAGTTAGCTTTCACTGTAAGTTTGCCCTTCTGTGGCCCAAACATAGTGGACAGTTATTATTGTGACCTTACTTTGGTCATCAAACTTGCCTGTACAGATACTTATATCCCTGAAGCGTTGATGCTTTTGGACAGTGGTCTTATGGGGGTGACTTCATTTTGCTTTTGCTGATCTCCTACACGGTCATTCTGATTACTGTGCAGCGACCTTCCTCAGCAGGTATGGCCAAGGCTCGCAGCACTCTGACTGCCCACGTGACTGTGGTGACCCTGTTCTTTGGGCCTTGTATCTTCATCTATGCCTGGCCTTTCAGCAACTTACCAGTGGATAACCTTTTGTCTGTATTCTCTACAGTTTTCACACCTATATTAAACCCCCTTATCTACACACTGAGAAACAAAGAGGTAAAATCAGCAATTCATAACCTGAAGACCCAGTATGTAACTTCCAGGCTGTCTTCCCAGCTCTCTCTCATAGGACCAGATTTGTTGAATTGAGTAGACAAGTGGGAACTTGAGACACAGACTTTGCCTTTTTCTTCTCACCATCAATGTTTTTAACAGTTAATTTGTTTGCTTGAAATTATAAATGTGTGCTCTTTGTTAAATACTTGTAAAGAAGCCTATACACAATTATGCATTCTTCAATCATACTTGCTATAGTTTTGTAGTTAATTTGCTTATATTTGCTAACTGAAATCAATGACAGAGTGTTTCACAAACTATTGCACAATTTAAAATATTTTGATAAGATAGGAAATTGTTTGATAAAAATTTAGGTGCATATTCATACTTGCTAAACTAAAAATGCTATGTTTCAATTATGGTTAAGATATTCTAAGTAATTTGTGAGATTTACCTTTAGCAGTAAAAACTAATTCCATTAACATTCTTTTCTTCATACATTCATTGTACATCAAAAAGTTCATGCTGTGTATTAAAAAGATCCATAGATTAATTAAGCATGTAAAAACTAATTTTACAAAAATTTAAGATAACACTTTTCAAATCTACTTTTATTTTGTTTTTTCCTCCTCACATACAAAATTTGAGGGATGTAAGAGATCACATTTTTTTTGAAGCTATATAAAATCACTTGATGTTACCAAGGTACCATTTATTCTTATCATTTTGTCACCAAAATTGTGTTAACATCAAAATATGACAGTTAACCAGTTTTAAGTCCATTCAACAGTTACATAACATAGCATATAAAGCTTTAGACACTTGGCAATAAAACCACATACAAAATAGAACAAGAAGCAAAAACAGTTCCTTCAGAACAATAAACACTATAATCTAAAAGCACATTATGATGCTGCCCCAGAGCTGTGGGCTGAATCTTTATGTCCCCCACCCCCTGTAGTGCTATAGTCTGAACATTTTATGTCCTTTTCACATATTGAAATTCTTACCACCAAGTTGATGGTATCAGGAAGTAAAACCTTTGAGAAGTGATTAGGTATTTAGGATGGAGCTCTCATGAATGTCATTAGTGGCCTCAGAGAGCTCCTTCTTTTTGGCATGTGAAGTTAGAGCAACTGCTGTCTGTGATCTAGGTAGTGGGTACTTACAGGCCACTTAATTTACCAATTTCTTTATCTTGAACTTCCTAGCCTCCAGAACTGAATTCCTATTGTTTATAAGCCACTCAGTTTGTGGCATTTTGTTATAACAGCCAGTATGAACTAAGACATCCAGTGTTAGGTAACACCCCAACTTCCTTCAAGGTGATTTCACTCTATTATATACTGTCCAGTCCCTTTGACACAAAATAAAAACAAAAAACATTTATCCAGTGGAGCTACCCTATTCATGTTATGCATTCACTGTGCTTTTAAACACATTGGTTTTATAAGTTGGGTGATTCATCAAACCATTGTAGTGTTGCTTCTTGCCTGGTATCAGCATTATGATCAAAGATTACTTAGAACTGCTATAGATACTCCACATGCATATTTTTTTCCATAATGTGCTAAATATTTTCAGTCTATAAATCCATGGTGAGAGGTTATCAGACTTATCTTGTGTTTTTTTAAACCCATTAACCTTGGTTCCACTTGAGGATTTAATCTAATTACTCTGCTAATTTTTACAAGAATAAAATGGTTTCCTTTGAAACCACAAATATCAGGATCCTCCATACCACTGCATGCTTAAAGTAAGGTAGCAGGAAATTTACACGCGTTATAAACTAGTCCCTTCTTTCAAAAAGTACTTCATCAGGATGGATTGTGAGATTCTTCTCTTCATCTAATACAGCTTTAGAAAATTATTAAAATCTACAAAGTACCTATTCTAGGAAGCTGAATCAGACATACTGAATACATATTTTAATGCCATCACTGACTCTGGAGAAATTTTAAGTCCTGAACTAGGAAGCTGCTGTTTTGGAACCCTATCTTTCAGCACCTGAAGCATAGTCCACATTGTGAACAAGAAGAGTGCAGCTAGGAACCCACAGAAGACTAGGTAGAAGAGCAGGAGCAAACCTCTTTTCCTCTCTCTCACTAGTGGTCCATGAAGTACTGTCTCCTGCTTGGTGACAGGTCAGTGTGCCTCTGCTGCTGCCGCCAACACTCATGTCACTAACATTCATCTATAGCCCTCTCTTCTATAGACAATCACTATGGGATGGAGAGTCTCACTTCCCAGAACATTTACTAAGTCATGACTCAGAATGGGAACAGGCGATTCTAAGAAAATGGCACCTCAGGGCCCCTCTGGCACTTGGTGATGTGCCCCAAATGTTCTTCACTGGCCAGGAGGTCAAGGAACTTCCACTCAGCCTGATTTGGGTTGAAGAATTTCTCCTTCTTTGTTATAGTGGGTGTGGGGAAAATGAGATGACTGGTGGCAGCAGCAATTCATGGGCAGTTACCCAGGGGATGGAGGTTTCAAGGATTGTGGAGGCCATGGCCCTGCTCAGGCAACAGCAGCTGAGAGTGGGAAACAGGCCAAGGATGCCTGATCTCTCCAGCACACACTCAGTCAACTGCAGATGCTTGGATATCATATTGTAAATATACTCATGTATTTTATGTGTCATATCATAAATATTTTCTTAAATACTAAAAATGCCTAATAATGAATTTGTATCATTGAGCATAAAATTTTAATCTGCTAATTTAATGAGAAAATAAATATAAATAAAACCATTGTTTTATTTTGTGTTACCTTAGTTTCTCATGAAGCTTAAAAAATATATTTTGTCAATTGCCCTAACACTTCATTCTCTATTACAGCGTTAATACTGTTTTAATTACCGTTTGTACTTTTGCCAGGTCGAAGAAGAGTAAAGCTGTTTCTATATTTGTGATTATCCTTAAACATATTTTAGGGTAAAATTCACTTTTAGTTCTGTATATTTCTATGGGTTTTGATATGGGTTTTGAAATGCATAGAGTTATATGTCCACCACTGCAGTTCCACACAGAATAGTTCCATCACCCAAACTTTCCTGGTGCTAGTCCCATATAGACAACTTCTTACCACCTCCTACACCTCTGGAAACCATGGATTTCTTTTTTTCTCTGTAGTTTTGCTTTTTTTCAGATATTCATATAATCCTGCAGTGTGTAGCTTTTTGGAATCTGGTTTCCTGCTGGCACTTTAGCAAAAGGCATGTGAAATTTATCCATGTTGTTTTGAGAGTCATCGTTTATTCCATTTATTGATGAAGAATGTATGGGTGGTTTGGAAATTAATAGTGAAGTTGCTACAGACGTCTCTGTATAAGGTTTTGTGTGAACCTAAGTTTTCATTTCTTGTGAGTAGATAGCTAGGAATGAGACGATTGAGTCGCATGGTAGTCATGTTTTTTTAAGATGGCTTTATTAAGGTATAATTGATATGCAATAAGCTGAATGTATTACAGAGCACAATTTGATGTTTTGATGTATGCCCATAAAACTATCTCTACAATCAAACTAATGAATGTATCCATGGTCCCCAAAATTTTCTCCCACCTCTCCCCAATCCACTACTTGTTCTATTGTTTTTCCTTGGTCTGGCTTCTTTAACTCAGTATATTTATTTGAATTTATCCATTTTTATATATGTATCAATATTATGTTCCCTTTATATTGCTTAGAAGTAGTTCATTGTATGGGAATACTACAGTTTATTGATTCGTTCACTGTTGATAGACATTTTTATTGTGCCTCTGTTTTGCCTATTACCAATATAGTTGCTTATTTGTATATAAGTCTTTATATGGCTATATATTTTATTTTTCCATTTTTAGGCAAATAATAAATTGGAATGTCTGCATCATATTGTAGGTGTACGTTTAACTTTTTAAAAGAAACTGAGAGACCCTTTTTTAAGTGCTTACATTATTTTATGTTCCTATATTCCCATGAAAATTTCACTTCCTCTACATATTTGCTAAACTTGTTATTATTTGTCATTTTAATTTTAGCTTCCTCACAAGTGTGGAGTTGCAACTAATTGTATTTTAAATTTACATTTCCCTAATGACTAATTATATTGAACATATCAGACATAATTTAAGTGAGACTATATTGCTAAAGGAAATGTTTTCCAGGATTATACTATCTTCCTAAACTTGTGCAATCCTAACGTCAGCCTCAAAATGTATAAGGTGCAAAATTACAAGGAACAAGAGAGAAACTTCATGACCATCATTAAAGATTTCAATAAAATCTTCACTTCATTCAGTGCTTGTAGAAATATGTAGCAGTCTGTGTCCAGTCAGGAGACAGAAACCATACAACAGATTAAATAGTTTGGTATAAAGAATGAACTATAATGGAAAAGTAACTATAAGATATAAGGAAACTCTACGTGGTGCCCTATAGCAAAAAGAAAGTACCCAAGGAACCACAATCTTAACAGAGGTTGTTAAGTTTCATTGGGAAATGAATGGTTCATCTCATTGGTGAGTAAAAAAGCTCACTGATTTGGCTAGGTCAGAGCTGGTCTCCCAACCACTGGGCAACTAATAGCCCACCTCTTATGCAAGCTGGGGAGGAGGTGATCAGAAACCAGTGGACTGGATGCACAAAGGAAATCAAGGTGCTGGTATGGGTAGAAACTCTTCCAAGTTGTGGGGGGACCCCGGTTTCTGTGTGAAAAGACTCCTGAAAGGTTATCACAAGACCACTGCCTTGAGGTTGTAGAGAGATCAGGTTTCAGGCCTGTGGCTGGGGCTGTCTCCATTCGTTTTCCTCACACCTGTGTTGCTGACCCCAGCGGAGGCCTGAACTGGTAAGAGGGATTCTTCCTCCTGCAATGTGCTTCTAGCACCTTTCTCTGAGAAAGCTAAATATTGTTCTCACTTTAAAGGGAGAAATACTTAAAGAAGACCAAAGGTAGATAAAACCACAAAGATGAGGAAAAAACAGAGAAGAAAAACTGGAAATTCTAAAAATCAGAGCACCTCTCCTCCTCCAAAGGAACACAGCTCCTCACCAGCAACGGAACAAAGCTGGATGGAGAATGACTTTGATGACTTGAGAGAAGAAGGCTTCAGACGATCAAACTACTCCGAGCTAAAGGAGGAAGTTCGAACCAATGGCAAAGAAGTTAAAAACCTTGGAAAAAAACTAGATGAATGGCTAACTGGAATAACCAATGCAGAGAAGTCCTTAAAGGACCTGATGGAGCTGAAAACCATGACACTAGAACTATGTGATGAATGCACAAGCCTCAGTAGCTGATTCAATCAACTGGAAGAAAGGGATCAGTGATTGAAGATCAAATGAATGAAATGAAGCGAGAAGAGAAGTTTAGAGAAAAAAGAATAAAAAGAAAGAAACAAAGCCTCCAAGAAATATGGGACTATGGGAAAAGACCAAATCTACGTCTGATTGGTGTACCTGGAAGTGACGGGGAGAATGGAACCAAGTTGGAAAACACTCTGCAGGATATTATGCAGGAGAACTTCCCCAACCTAGCAAGACGGGCCAATATTCAAATTCAGGAAATACAGAGAACACCGCAAAGATACTACTCGAGAAGAGCAACTCCAAGACACATAATTGTCAGATTCAACAAAGTTGAAATGAAGGAAAAAATGTTAAGGGCAGCCAGAGAGAAAGCTCGGGTTACCCACAAAGGGAAGCCCATCAGACTAACAGCGGATCTCTCAGCAGAAACTCTACAAGCCAGAAGAGAGTGAGGGCCAATATTCAACATTCTTAAAGAAAATAATTTTCAACCCAGAATTTCATATCCAGACAAACTAAGCTTCATAAGTGAAGGAGAAATAAAATACTTTACAGACAAGCAAATGCTGAGAGATTTTGTCACCACCAGGCCTGCCCTAAAAGAGCTCCTGAAGGAAGCACTAAACATGGAAAGGAAAAACCAGTACCAGGCACTGCAAAAACATGCCACATTGTAAAGACCGTCAAGGCTAGGAAGAAACTGCATCAACTAACAAGCAAAATAACCAGCTAACATCATAATGACAGGATCAAATTCACACATAATAATAGTAACCTTAAATGTAAATGGGCTAAATGCTCCAATTAAAAGACACAGACTGGCAAATTATCAACAGAATATACTTTCTTTTCAGCACCACACCACACCTATTCCAAAATTGACCACATACTTGGAAGTAAAGCACTCCTCAGCAAATGTAAAAGAACAGAAATTATAACAAACTGTCTCTCAGACCACAGTGCAATCAAACTAGAACTCAGGATTAAGAAACTCACTCAAAACTGCTCAACTACATGGAAACTGAACAACCTGCTACTGAATGACTACTGGGTACATAATGAAATGAAGACAGAAATAAAGATATTCTTTGAAACCAACAAGAACAAAGACACAACATACCAGAATCTCTGGGACACATTCAAAGCAGTGTGTAGAGGGAAATTTATAGCACTAAATGCCCACAAGAGAAAGCAGGAAAGATCTAAAATTGACACCCTAACATCACAATTAAAAGAACTAGAGAAGCAAGAGCAAACACATTCAAAAGCTAGCAGAAGGCAAGAAATAACTAAGATCAGAGCAGAACTGAAGGAAATAGAGACACAAAAAATCCTTCAAAAAATCAATGAATCCAGGAGCTAGTTTTTTGAAAAGATCAATAAAGTTGATAGTCTGCTAGCAAGACTAATAAAGAAGAAAAGAGAGAAGAATCAAATAGACGCAGTAAAAAATGCTAAAGGGGATATCACCACCGATCCCACAGAAATACAAACTACCATCGGAGAATATTATAAACACCTCTATGCAAGTAAACTAGAAAATCTAGAAGAAATGGATAAATTCCTCAACACATACACCCTCCCAAGACTAAACCAGGAAGAAGCTGATTCTTTGAATAGACCAATAACAGGCTCTGAAATTGAGGCAATAATTAATAGATTACCAACCAATAAAAGTCCAGGACCCGATGGATTCACAGCCAAATTCTACCAGAGGTACAAGGAGAAGCTGGTACCATTCCTTCTGAAACTATTCCAATCAATAGAAAAAGAGGGAATCCTCCCTAACTCATTTTATGAGGCCAGGATCATCCTGATACCAAAGCCGGGCAGAGACACAACCAAAAAAGAGAATTTTAGACCAATATCCCTGATGAACATCGATGCAAAAATCCTCAATAAAATACTGGCAAACCGAACCTAGCAGCACATCAAAAAGCTTATCCACCATGATCAAGTGGGCTTCCTCCCTGGGATGCAAGGCTGGTTCAGCATACACAAATAAATAAACATAATCCAGCATATAAACAGAACCAAAGACAAAAACCACATGATTATCTCAATAGATGCAGAAAAGGCCTTTGACAAAATTCAACAACGCTTCATGCTAAAAACTCTCAATAAATTAGGTATTGATGGGACGTATCTCAAAATAATAAGAGTTATCTATGACAAACCCACAGCCAATATCATACTGAATGGGCAAAAACTGGAAGCATTCCCTTTGAAAACTGGCACAAGACAGGGATGCCCTCTCTCAACCACTCCTATTCAACATAGTGTTGGAAGTTCTGGCAAGGGTAATCAGGCAGGAGAAAGAAATAAAGGGTATTCAATTAGGAAAAGAGGAAGTCAAATTGTCCCTGCTTGCCATGATTGTATATCTAGAAAACCCCATCAACTCAGCCCAAAATCTCCTTAAGTTGATAGGCAACTTCAGCAAAATCTCAGGATACAAAATCAATGTACAAAAATCACAAGCATTCATTCTTATACACCAATAACAGACAAACAGAGAGCCAAATCATGAGTGAACTCCCATTCACAATTGCTTCAAAGAGAATAAACTACCTAGGAATCCAACTTACAAGGGATGTGAAGGACCTCTTCAAGGAGAACTACAAACCACTGCTCAATGAAATAAAAGAGGATACAAACAAATGGAAGAACATTCCATGCTCATGGGTAGGAAGAATCAATATCGTGAAAAAGGCCATACTGCCCAAGGTGATTTATAGATTGAATGTCATCCCCATCAAGCTACCAATGACTTTCTTCACAGAATTGGAAAAAACTACTTTAAAGTTCACATGGAACCAAAAAAGAGCCCACATTGCCAAGTCAATGCTAAGCCAAAAGAACAAAGCTGGAGGCATCACGCTACCTGACTTCAAACTATACTACAAGCCTACAGTAACCAAAACAGCATGATACTGGTACCAAAACAGAGATATAGACCAATGAAACAGAACAGAGCCCTCAGAAATAATGCCGCATATCTACCTTGCTTGAATGAGAATATCTGGTGAAACATATTAATTTCCATTGGAAGATGAACCTTGGCTATTTAATACTAAATCTTAAAAGCTGCAATTGGTCACTTAGATAAATTCATGGTACTCTTACAATTTGACAAAAGAAAAAGGTACTAACCACCTGTACCCTGATAACTTATGGAAAAAATAAATAATTAATTTAAAAAAGATTAGGATGTTCATGTGTCTGTGTCTGAGCGTGCTAGGGATAACTTGTGAGAAATTATGTACAGAGATGAAGTATACTTGGGGAGACACTTGGGAAAATTATGAAAAACTCTGACTGCACCTAGGAAAATCCATCATGACACTCTTACCTATTACCTAAAGAAATTAAATAGGCATGCAAATCAAGGCTATATATTACTTTGTAGAGTAAAACTACACAAAAAAGTTATGAGAATGTTAAATACAAAACTCATGTTATAGGTCTGTAGTTATAGTATAATCCATAATTTATTTTTATTTGCACTTAAAGTATATAACAGGATTTATTTAACCCTACACAATAAAATGCAAATTTATTCTTCTTAAAGCATCTCGTTATTTCTATAACTTTAAAAAGTTGGTAACTAAAGTATGGTTTACTTCCAATATAACAGATAAACTATTTTCTCTATGCTTCAACTCAAACCAGTTATGTCATTCTTTTTGCATTAGCTGGTTGATTGTTGGCACTTGTTTTTATTACTTAATTAGGACATTGTATTACCAATTAGATGAAATATTTTTGCTCCATGTAAAGATGGAGTTTATGTAGGTGGTATATGGTTTGCAGAGTTCTAGGCCATTCACTGGGAAGGAGTCTATGCACAGGAAAGTAAGAAGGTAAAACTATTCAGTGAAAGACAAATACAGGGTGAAATATATTTCCATTAATACTATAACACATTTATGGACAAAGTACTTTTGGCATGTCTCTCTACCAAATCCTGTGAATCATTCATAAGGAGCACAATAATTCAAGAAGTTTCAGTGTGGAAGAGAAATAATAGAGTTAGCTATCATAATAATATTTCTCTTCCACACTGGGAGTCTTACCTTATGTTTTGAGAGTCCCCAGCTAAATTGGGGTTCCATACCAGAGTGGCTAGCAATCCTGTCCTAATGAGAAATGAAAATGAGCTTGTTCTGGGTGTTTCCAGTGTGTCTTTATGGGATATGTCTTTTACCTGGTGAAAGGCTTAATGCCTAGTTGTCATGACCAGGGAGTTCCTCACACAGGAAATTTTATACTGGCAGATGCCCCTGCAGCTTTTGTCTGACCTATGTCTAGCTGATGTCTACCAGACCAGCACTCTGGAGGCTGGAAGCCTGATCTTGTGTTCTCCCAAGCATTCCAGGGAAAACTCAGCCTGGGCCAGCCCCTGATTCTTCAGGTGGGTGATGCAAATTCAATACATCACTGCAATAGAAAAAAAGTTCAATGATTTTTATTTAGCGATCAGGCAGGGAGAGTGCAATAAGTTGGGAGGGCAGTCCTTCATCTCAGTGTCATGTAGGACAGGAATGAAGAGTCAAGCAAAGGGATGGTGAGAAAGCCTGGCATTTAGCAGTACACCTGAGGGAACAGGGTATGGGTTACTTTAAGTTCACCAGAAAATGACTGAAGGGTCCATTTAAAGAAAGCTACAGGAAAGCAGGGAGCCCAGTTGGCCAGGTGGGAGAGATGCCTCTAGTTTTTATCTCTGGCCAACAGCTTGAACCATTTGAATGTACTGTAGAACTGGAAACTGTGTCAAGGGTAACTGAGCTCGGCTTCTGGTATGAGAAAGTGGAATTTGTATTCAAAATGTATGCCAAGCCAACATAATTCACTATACCTTGGGAGAAGATATAACGCATATGCAAGCAAAGTGCTACAGAAACATTAGGACATAGAAATTTCAACTTAAGCCTCTAGGAAGGCTTTTAGAGGTGGTAACATTTGTGTTGGAATAGACATCTGTGAAGGACACGAAAAAATGGATAAGGAATTGTTTATCAGCTTAATAAATGTTGAGTAGTCTGTTATTTTTTGCTAGAGAGCAGTGTATGGCATAGGTAAAAGCAGGTTCTATATTCTTGGCTCTCATGCTAAGGACATTCAATTTTATATATATATATGTGTGTATATATATATGTGTATATATATGTGTGTATATATGTGTATATATATGTGTGTATATATATGTATATATATGTGTGTATATATATGTGTATATATATGTGTGTATATATATATGTATATATATATGTGTGTGTATATATATGTATATATATATGTGTGTGTATATATATGTATATATATATATATATATATATGCTTAAGGAATGATAAGATGTTTCAAGTGGAAGAGTGAGGTCCAGGAGAAAGGTAGGTTTTCCCTTACAGTTAATTCAGACAAGTTTGAAGGAAAAGAGTTGAGTTGAGTTGGGAAATTGTGAGAGCTGAGCTTTGAGATGGCTATGTATAGTCACATTCAAAAACTGTCAGAAACAGATTGGAATATTGGAATGTGGGGGCGGCGGGGGGAACAGTACTGCAAAATTAGAGATCATAATACAGAGGAAATGACTGATGCCAAGGAGATGAATGGAATGCCGAAGAAAGGGAGATAACAAGGAGCAGAAATAGATTAATAAGGACATAAAGAGATAAAGAAGAGTTCAAGAAATGCAGAGGGAAAAGGAAAAAAAATTGGAATGCCAGAGGCTAAGACCTCTTGGAATCTACTTTTAAGGGGCAGTAGCATGGATAAAGGAAGCTAACATTAAAAATTATGAAAGGAAAACCAAGAGGCATTCTGTTTAAGAATTAGCTATCATTACCAGGTCTTTGGGGACATTTGATAAAGTAGTTTTCCTGACTGTGGCAGCAAAAGGCATAGTTAAGCATGTTAAAAGTCTGAGTAGTAAAAAAGATTTGGAGAGAAACATGTAGACACTACTACACAAAATTTCTTTTTTTAAAAAAAAGAAAAATTAAGAGAAAAAACAATCAAAGATAATAGAAGAGTTTAGGAGAGTTCTTTTTCTTATTTCTTTGATGAGTGAATCCGAGCAACTGTCAGTAGATGAAAAGATTAAATGAAAAGTTAAATGAAACAGGGAGAGACTAAAAAGGCAAGCCAAAGACAACTTAACACAGTAGCACAGTGGTTCTCAACTGGGAGTCATTTTTCACCTCCTCAAGTGGACATTTTGTAATGTTTGGAGACATTTTTGTTGGCATAACTGGGGGGAAAGTGTAGCTGGCATCTAATGGGTAATGCCAGAGATGCTCCTGAACACCCTACAGTAGTCACATGACAGTCTGTTTCAACAAAGTAATTCAACCCCAAATGTCAATAATGCCAAAGTTGGGAAACTCTGGCTCAACTGATGAATGAATGCCTCATAGCAGGTGAAAAGATTAGAATCATGAGCATATATTGAGGGAATTTCCAGTTGTAACATAGTGTCAATGGCATGAGTTTTATATTCAGATCTGAAACAGGATGTTGTAATGTGGCAAGACCTGGCCTTGGAGTCAAATACCAGGGTTCAGATTCTAGTTTAATGGCTCTCCAGCTATGGAACTTCAGGGAAACTGCTTATCATCTCCGTATCTCTGACTTCTTATTGTAAGATAGAATTAGTAAGTGCATTTACCATGCAGTGTTATGGGAAGATTCAATTACTATACATTAAGAGCTCAGAACAGTGCCTAACACTTTGATGCTTAGTAAATGTTAAATATTATTTTTATTATCTGATTTCAAATCCCCACTGAGATGTTCTGACCCTTACTAGATGTCTGACCACAGATTAGTAAACATGTCTAATCTTTGTTTTTCTCTTCTGCAGTTTAGTAACCCCTTTTCCAAAGGTCTGTTGTAAAGATCACCTGATAAAACATGTATACACAGTAGATGCTATCTAGCAGCGTCTGAACAAATGCAAGCTCTCTTTGCCCTTCATTTGTAAATTTTAAAATTATGATTCATCATTCACTATATTTAAATCTGCCTCAATTTTTAGCTTAATACATTACATTCATACAATAAACATTTTCGTTAGGTAGAGTTAATCATTTTATGTAATAAATACATGAACTTGAGCAAGGACACTTTTATTTTAGAAATGGGGGAACAAAATGAGTCACACATGGCATAAAGTGATTACATCATATTTCAGAATCCTCTTAGTTATTGCCTTCTTGTATATTATAGACACTGATTTGTTGTTACTAATGCTTTAAACAATTATAATGAGTCATCTTTTTGTTTGCCGTAGTTCCAGAGTTTACAATAATGTATATCCAAAATGTGGCCCAGTGGAATGCTTCTCTGAACCTTCTTCCAATAGAGTACACAATATGATTGTTTACTGTGGGGCTTCCCGGTGTGGATTGCAACTGCATTCATCTAAATGAGAGACTAGGTCTGTAGCCTAGAGACAAAGGAAAGACTCTGGCTTCTTGTATGAAATAAATTAGCAGAAAAAGATGTTCATGTTCTCACATGGGACTAGAATTAGATCATTACTCTCTCAGGCCTCTTACTATGACTGTTGTCAACAGTTAATTGTCAGAACTAATATGGTTTCCTAAAACAGCACTTCTTTAAAGTTTTTCCAGTTCAACTGAACTAGATTTATACAGTAGGGGTATGTCTTTACAGGGTGAAAAACATACGATGCAAATTTTTAGATATTTTCAAGAGCATGAGAGGTTTATAATCATTTTTACTTCTCTATCCAGAAATTTTTTTTAAACTTCATTTTCCAGCATTAATTATAAAGATGTTTTAAGAAGATCATGGAGAACTCTAGCAGGGAGAATGTAAGTGGGCTGAAATCTAATTCTGATAGGCAAAGAAAATGAAAAATTTAGGTTCCACTCTTGGATAATCAACAGAAAATAGGATTTAGATAATTCAGGTAAGCCATAATATGTGTTTTAAGAAATTATTGGATAACTAATTGACAAACTCAGTTGGAACTATAGGCCAGTATAATATACATTCAATAGTATCTGTTTAGCAGGAATTGCCTAATTGTAAATGACTCCTGCAGGAGCACGAAGGTAAATTTCTATTAATATAGGGTGTTTAATGTATTAAGATCATATGTTGCAATACAATTACTTTGATGGTAGAATGTCATGAGTTATTCTGCTTAAACTCTAAAGTTTTCTGTAAAGTAGGTATTTTTATACCTCCCATCTTTTTTAAGGTGTGGAATTAAAGCTCAGATAAAATAATTGGCCAAAAGTTAATCTGTGTGACTTTACATCATGTAATAATAATCAAGCCATGAATATCTCTTCAAAAGTTAAGAATGTTGTATAATTGATGATGTAAGATGACCACAAGACAAGCAAATGTAAACACTTTTTGTCAACCTATGAGGCTTGTGGAGCTGGACTCTAGGTCACTCCTCTAGTCTTGTTGTCATGAGTCAGCTCCTGGGTAAGCTCATTTCCTACTGTATAAAAGACAAGGACTATCCAAAAACTCAAGGGGTTCTAATTATACTGATTAAATTATTAAGCATTATTTAGACATTTACATAAGTTCTTTCCTATTATCCACCTATCCAGACATACTATTATGGCCTCTTCAAAATTTTTGCATTCAGCAAATGCACATTATATCTGAGATCTCAGAATCCCTCACCTTAAAAGTATTCTTAATTCAAATTCTGATTCCTTTCTATTTATCCTCCTTTAGAGTTGTTTCAGAACAAGTTTGCAGCTTGGAACCATGGATAAGTCCAATTCTTCAGTGGTGTCTGAATTTGTACTGTTGGGACTCTGTAGTTCTCAAAAACTCCAGCTTTTCTATTTTTGTTTCTTCTCTGTGTTGTATACAGTCATTGTGCTGGGAAATCTTCTCATTATCCTCACAGTGACTTCTGATACCAGCCTGCACTCCCCTATGTACTTTCTCTTGGGAAACCTTTCCTTTGTTGACATTTGTCAGGCTTCTTTTGCTACCCCTAAAATGATTGCAGATTTTCTGAGTGCACACGAGACCATATCTTTCAGTGGCTGCATAGCCCAAATTTTCTTTATTCACCTTTTTACTGGAGGGGAGATGGTGCTACTTGTTTCGATGGCCTATGACAGGTATGTAGCCATATGCAAACCCTTATACTATGTGGTCATCATGAGCCGAAGGACATGCACTGTCTTGGTAATGATCTCCTGGGCTGTGAGCTTGGTGCACACATTAAGCCAGTTATCATTTACTGTGAACCTGCCTTTTTGTGGACCTAATGTAGTAGACAGCTTTTTTTGTGATCTTCCTCGAGTCACCAAACTTGCCTGCCTGGACTCTTACATCATTGAAATACTAATTGTGGTCAATAGTGGAATTCTTTCCCTAAGCACTTTCTCTCTCTTGGTCAGCTCCTACATCATTATTCTTGTTACAGTTTGGCTCAAGTCTTCAGCTGCAATGGCAAAGGCATTTTCTACGCTGGCTTCCCATATTGCAGTAGTAATATTATTCTTTGGACCTTGCATCTTCATCTATGTGTGGCCCTTTACCATCTCTCCTTTGGATAAATTTCTTGCCATATTTTACACTGTTTTCACCCCCGTCCTAAACCCCATTATTTATACACTAAGGAATAGGGATATGAAGGCTGCCGTAAGGAAAATTGTGAACCATTACCTGAGGCCAAGGAGAATTTCTGAAATGTCACTAGTAGTGAGAACTTCCTTTCATTAAGACAAAACTCCTTCAAATTCCTCAGGTCAATACACTGTTTAATATTTTAATGTATTTTTGTGGTGTATCTCAATTGTGGGGAAAGTAGTGAAGAAGATAATATAGAGAACATTTAATGAATATTAACAAGTCTTTTTCTAGGTATCAAGTGAAAGTTAAATATAAAAACATGGAAAAATCTCTGTTTAGATTACTGGTTCTAGAAATAAAATATGGGCACTAGATGGATAATATGTATGCATTTACTGCTTTTGTTACGGGGTAAATGTAAATATCAAGAAAAAAATCAATGAGAACCTAATTCTCTGGTGGGCATACATTCAAACATTTGTCAGGTTTTAAGAGTTTTCTTAACAACATGCCTAAAACTTCTATGTGGATGAATAGTATTTAAGAATCTGAAACTGAATTTTGCCAACTTCAGGGAATAGCCAAACTACAATTTAATATAACTGCTTAAGTTCAAGTGGAGATTATTAGGTTATGAGACTCCCCCCCCCAAAAATCAATTATGCCTATCCCATACGGTTTTCAAATAGCTAAAATGCTTTAAAATATGGAATGATACATACTCAGAAGCTTCCATTTTAAACCTTTCATTTAAAGGGCTGCCTCTGATTGGCTAGATAATTCCAATTTCCTTTTAGATTATGAGTTGCAGAAAAGAGAGGAGAATCTAGAAAGCTGAACTATTTCAACACCAAGATTTTCGTTTGTGCCACTTCTCTTCTTGTTCCTACAGTGCAGCTGCCAGTGGCTTATGTTCAGGCACCCAGTGGTACTCATCCTCCAGCAAGTTTTATTGCCAGCCTTGGCCTTAAATTCTCTGATCCCCATCTTCACTTCACCTTCTGTGGACTAGATCTGGTCCAGTGCAACCCAGAGAACCTCTCTCCATCTAGGGGGCCTCACTCATATTCTCTCCAAAGAGTTCTGAAACTCAACCTTGGGCAGGGCATCACCCTTCCACATTTATTTCTTCTTTGGTTTCTCTCCTTTAGGCCTATGGTATTTTTTTTTTTCAAAGTAAACTGAAGACGATTCAGATTCAGATTTAATCAGTTTTTACATGTACTCTTTTTTTTTTTACTATTGCTTTATAGTATTATGAAATATCATTGCATAAATAGATTCATGTAGTCACAACAGCCACAATAAGGACATAGACCTCTTCCGTCACTTCAAAGAAACTTTCCTGTGCTGTCTCCCCTGTGATCTTAACCCTGGCAACCAATGATCTGTTCCCCATCACTCTATTTTATTTTTTCATTTCAAGAGTGTTGTAAAATTTATCAGCTGTTCAAATGGCCTTTGTAATAATTTTTAGAAAATTTAATGTGGTTGGATTTGTGAATCATTTTTGGTATCTTTTTTTGTGTGTATGTGTCTGATTTAAGAAATCCTTCTCTCTGTCAAGATCATAAAGACATTATTTAGATTTTCTTCTGTAAATTAAAACATATATTGCTTTTTATACTTAAGAATTTCATCGCTTTGTAACTCATTTTGTACATTTTGGGAGCTAGGCATCTATTTTTATATATTTGTAAATATGTAGAAATCAGACTTGGTGTCATTTATTTAATTGTTCATTATTTCCCTCAATTTGCAATACTACCTCTCTTACATTTTCAGCTTCAGTGTATGTATGGATTTGTTACTAGACTCTATTCTGTTTCGTTAATGCATGTGTTTAGCCCTGCACCCATATTACGCTGTTTTAATTTACTACAGTTTTAAAATAAATCTTGATGTCTGATAGATTAAGTTCTCTCATCTCTTATTTTTCAGTGTCTTTGTTAGTTTATCCCCTTTATGTTCTATAAACATTTTACAACCAGCTCGTCAGATTTCTTAAAATATTATTTCAGGATTTTGTTGTAATTGCATTGGATTCATGTGTTAATTGACATACAAAGATATTTATTATATTCATTGTATATAACATATTTATTAACTTATAGAGAATGACATCTTTTACAAATAAATGTTGAAAAAGAAAAAATATGTCAACAAAAAATTACAATTATTTATGTAAAAAATGTAACTTGCAAAACAACAAATACTCTAAGCTTATGTACAAATTTAAAGATGTGCATTTAGAGAAAATTATAAAATTTAACAAAAGGTAGTAATGAAGAGTGTATTAGTAAATCAAACTTAAATAAGTGAAGATAGACACTATATTAATAAATAGAAAAACAGTATGGTAAAAGATGTCAGTTCTCTCTTAGGGTATTTTTTTAGAGTTACTTTTTATTCTCCTTGTAGTAGCTAATTCCTATTACCAGTTGCTAATTCTTTATATTAAGTATTCTCTGTTCAAATTACTCATGTGGGTTCTGTCTCCTGACTAGACTCTGACAGATACAGATACTTTTAAGTATTTTGAAGGTATCGAAAAATCAGAAGCATCTCATCAAATATGTTAATGAGAGAAATCAGGAGCCAGTTGAATAAAAAAAAGTCAGTAGCTTCATCTATTTATGCACTAAAGTGAAATTCATCTATGACATGCTTGAAAATATAAAAAATGATAGGGCTGGGTGCGGTGGCTCACGCCTGTAATCCTAGCACTTTGGGAGGCCGAAGTGGGCGGATAACCTGAGGTCAGGAATTCAAGACCAGCCTGACCAACATAGAGAAAACCCCTCTCTACTAAAAATACAAAATTAGCCGGGCATGGTGGCACATGCCTATAGTCCCAGCTACTCGGGAGGCTGAGGCAGGAGAATCGCTTGAACTTGGGAGGCGGAGGTTGTGGTGAGCCGAGATCGCGCCATTGCACTCCAGCCTGGGCAACAAGAGCAAAACTCCGTATCAAAAAAAAAAAAAAAAAAAAAAAAAAAGATAGCATTTATAAAGTGAATGCTATCATTTGGTAAACTCAAATTTATTTCTTGACTTTTTAATAATCGCCATCCTGACTGGTGTGAGATGGTATTTCATTGTGGTTTTGATTTGCATTAGATGCTGGTGAAACTGTGGAGAAATAGGAATGCTTTTACACTGTTGGTGAGAGTGTAAATTAGTTCAATCATCGTGGAAGACGGTGTAGCTATTCCTCAAAGATCTAGAGCCAGAAATACCATTTGACCCAGCAAACCCATTACTGGTTATATACCCAAAGGAATATAAATCATTCTATTCTAAAGACACATGCACATGTATGTTTATTGCAGCACTATTTCCACAAATTTTTCAAATTACTCTAGTTCCAATAAAAACAAGGGACATTCCTAATGCTAAGAGCAATGAATTTCTAATTTAATTAATTCTTATTTAAGGGAAACTATTAAAGGCACATAGCATCGTATTTCGGTTAGGATTGTGATATTATGTACTGTAGAATCCCACCTTAAATTTTGTTTAAAATATAAAAAATAGAAAAATAAATAAAAAAATAAAGCAACTATTAATATAACTTGGTAATCAACTTTTTAATACACACATTTCAAAGTAATAGGATAGTATTAAAAATTCTTTTTTTTTCCTCTGGTTTACAGATCCTATAGACTTTCCCTGCACTGCTGACAAATTGACAGAGAAATATCATTAACTGAATAAAATGGCAGAAGAAGTGAACATTTTAGTAAATGTGGAAATAACTCTAGTCAATTGAAAAAGTGTAAAGGAAAGTGTCTTGAGTTGGCTGTCAAAAACTGGGATTTGAACATTGATTATATTACTATTTTTGACATTGAACAGATTACTTAGCTTTTGATCAAGTCACCAATCTCTTCAGTCTTTTAATTTTCAGCTATTTCTCTCAGAATAAAGAAAAGAAAAAAAAAACTACCTTTTTGGTTCACACAGGCTCTGTATTATATGGCTTCTTCTTCACGATAACCCATACAATGAGTTAATTAACATATTTCTCCCTGGCTAAGCCAAACTCTACCTTATTAGGGGATTTGTTTATGGTAGATGAATATATTCCTAAATTGCTTTTGATAATCTGAATATTTTAAAAAGTAAGAAGGGATGCTACCAAACCCAGGGCAGACTTTTATTTGTTTCCTGAGATCTCACAATTTAAGCTACTTCTGCTATGCTTATGAACTAAGTTGATGAGCAGTCCTTCTGACAAGGAACAGTCCTTCAGACAATGCCCAGCACAGAAGCTGTTCGAAAGAGCTGATGTGATGCCTCAGACTTTACAGAGAGACGGTGTCATGGCTCGTGGGGAGAGTACCCCAAAAGGCCAACGGGATAAAGGATGAAGAAGCTTTAGTTCCATTGACTAAATAGAGACAACTGGCAATAGTATGAGTCAAGTTAGTCACAGGACAAGGAGGAAAGTATCAGAGGTACACTTTCCAGGAATGCAGAGTAACAGAGTCCTCCAGGAAAAAACAGAGTAGGTGATTGCAAAGGCACTTCAGGGTGGTCTTTAGAGGAACATAAAGGTGGGGTGTGGGTGGAATGGATCTGTCAGCAGAGCCAAGATCCAGTATTTCACCATAGGTGTTTTACTTTTTAAACAAATCTACATTTCATCATAAATACTTTTCCATGGAGAAGATCCTTGCCATATTATATGTTGTATTTGCAATATCTTGAAATTCAAATAGATTTAACCTCATATTGAGTACATGAAGGATATAATAAAACTACCAACATGTCAACAAAAAGTTGTAGAAAACCTCTCGTCTTTGTCTTGTGATGGAGTTCTCACCCTTAAAAAGTCACATTTCTTACACCATAACTTTCTGAACATTTATAGTTTGTTCAGCTTTTTCAAACTCTTTTACTCTCTGTCATAATATTGTCCTGAGGGAACTTAATGGTCATGATAATCTATAGAACATCATTTTAGTCACACATTGAAGGCATGCACTGATTAGACCTGTGAGTAGGAAGTGACATACAAGAAGGTTAGCAATAACCCTTAGATATTTTCAGAATTCTGCTAAATCATTTAGGTGTTGAGTCCAATACGCTAGGGCAGGCTAGACTATCCTCTCATTACATAAAATACACATTATTTTGTTTTATATTCTTTACCACTGAGAAAGAGGCACAGTTCTCTCAAGATCATTGAATGTTATAGGCAGCATAAAAACTGCTTCATAAATACTACTTTAGATCAATTTTAGGTTGATTCATAGTATTTCCAGTTTTCAGTGGGTCCCCGTACTAACTCTGGTCTTCAGTGCAAACTGCCCAGCCATTCAGGCTATGTCGACCAGAAATCCAATGAAATGGAGATATCCATGATAAATAAGGACATTGTGTAGATTATTTACAAAAGTCAATTAGATAAATAACAATACTTTTAGGATTCCAGAAAAAAAGCTCTGCAGAAGCCAACTGCTTACTATTTAAAAATAGATCTTAGTATGCTGTTGGGTCTTATCAGGGACTAAGTACCTGACCATTGATTTCCAAGTGACTGCCTACATGAAAAGCACTGCTCATCATGAACTGTTATCAGATTTATTAAATCATAATTTCTAGCTGCCACAGCAGCAAGCCATCACACATTGGAAATGGCATGTGTAGGACCACGCTGAAGCAGGTATAAAGGCACTAGGAATTGGTATGAACAGATAGTCTAAATCCCTTATCAAGTATTTCTGTGGCATTAATATATTTTCTTAAGCTCAATATTATGGCCTCATGAGAGAGTTTCTACGGATGACTTCATTCTATGCCTTGGTGCAAGCCAAAAAATGGGACTGCTGCTGCATTACTACTCACTCAGATGACCTTCATGGACACTCAGGAGGAAGAATTCTCTCATTGGCCAGAGCCATAAACATTGCACTTAGTTATCAGATTTAGATGGAGAATTGGTCATAAGTAAAAATAAACATGAATTTGTGGGCTTTGAAAAATGGCTTTGCTAGCTTGTTAGGGGTCTTGAAGATCAAAATTGAAAATTGGAGGAAAGTAGTCTGGGAGGGAAGAATGAGGATGAACGTATGTGAGTGGGCTCTAAGTGTGTAGATTTTTGTACTTTACAACAATGCCTATCAGGGACCAAAAACATGGACTCTCTTTTATCAAGGTTAGTCTCATACCACTGCTACAGCTCCTGAATGCTTGGTCTGTTGGCAGAAGGGAGTCATGCTGCAACCTTGTTATGGTGCCATTCTGCAGAAAGACCACATCCATTTGGTGGCAAATCAACTGTATCACACCCCTTCCTCTGAAGGGGGGGTAGTGATTTGTCTTTATTGGAATTCATTCCTATTCCTGATGTGAGTTTTCCCTCTCTACCTGTAGTCCTTCTCCCCAGACACAATTCCAGGGCACACAGAGTGTTTGACATATGGATATAGGATTCCACAGAGATTGTCTCTGGAATTATAGACAAAAGTATTTACAGTGAAGAAACTGGAATTTATTGAATTTACAGTGAAGAGGTGTGACAATAGAGACATATCATGGATCCATTTTTCTGGGAAGCTTCCAGCCACAAACAAGATTGGAATGACCTTTAAAAGCCTCAGATAAAAGTCTGTTGTTGAGATTATACTCACATTTTTTGAGATGGTGAACTCCAAAATGTAATATATTTGTTGAAATGACAGTTAATTTGCAATTTTGTGTCACCAGTAGCTAAAATACTCACAATCAGATAACAAGGAATAGACAAGGCATAGATTGGACTCTCTCTGCATCATTCCCATTGATCCACTTATGGATTTTGTGGTTCCTGTCCCAACAATTCTAGGATTTACTATGATCTTGCTTATTTATTTATTTTATTTATTTATTTATTTATTGCTAGTGGTTTATTGAATGTCTTGCTTCTATGGCTAGAACTATACTTCAGTTATGGAAAGCTTTTAGCCAGGATCTCTTCAGCTATTGTTTTAGTCTTGTGCTCTCTTCTTCTGTGACTTCAATTATGTTTATCTTTCTCCAATGTGTCGCTAATTCATGTCTTGTCTTTGCCACCTTTGCCAATTTAACTGACAATAGAAAGCTTTTTTTTAAAATTCCTATTTGTTTATTTTACATTTCTCTAAATAATAAATAGGGTTTTTATTTTTAATTGGGCATATTTTTTGCCTCTTAAATTAAAATGTTACCTGTTTTCTACTTTAAGTATGTTTACTAAGTATAAAATGTATGTTTCTATTTAGATTTTCATTGACAAATAATTAACATATTTTCTCCCCAAATTACTCCAAATTATGTTGACATTTTTTCAATCTGTAAGGTAAAGATGTCTTATTATTGTCATAGAGTTGCAGAGTATTTCTGTTCTTTTGAACTCCTTGTGCATCTGCTCATTTTTCTACTTATTGATATTTCTTTATTTTAATTACTAATAATATTTTGATTTACAAGGAATTAGTCTCATTGGTCATATATGTTGCACATATTTTATAGTTTGCTTTTTTATTTAATGTTGATTGTGGGTTTTTTTGATATATCAAATCTAAAAATGATTAAGTCAATCAATTCTATCCATTACATAGCCATATATTTATGGCTTCTTTAACATCATGCTTTAGAGGCCTTACCAACTCCAAGATTATAAAAAAATCTTCACGTGCTTTTTTCTAATTTTTAAAACTTAATCTTTGATCCAATTAAAATTTATTTTGCTTTTATAACTGTATGCAGATAGAAATTTACTTTTTCCCATGAATTTCATTTATATAGTAATCTACATTTCTTTAAATTATTATAAATATTATTATATAGTTTATACATATATATTTGGTTATATTTCTGGATACTATTCTGTTTCATTTATTTTTTATATATAGATATATATAATTAAAATAATATAATATGTGCATTTTATACATATCACACTCTGTGTGTGTGTGTGTGTGTGTGTGTGTGTGTGTGTGTGTGTGTGTGCGTATGGGGGGAGAGAGAGAGAGACAGAGACAGAGAGCATGGACCAAAATATTTCACCTTGGAGCTTTTCTTATTTTTTTTGGTAAAGTTACTTCTGGTTATTTTTCTCTTGCAAATATTTCTTGTCTACTGTCACACAATTTATCTCCTAGTAATCTTTGTAGGCTATTTTAATAATGGTTATTTTATGCAATCAAAAGAAATGATTTCTAATCATCCTGAGCAAAATGGAATTATTAGGAGGATTTGGCATTATCTGCATATTTGATAGTACATTTAGAGAAGCAGCCTCATAAAATGAGCAGAACCATTAGAAGCCAGACAGCACGAAAAACAGTCAAGATTATGCTTGTCTGGTAAAAACAAATGCTTGTTGACACTGGGTCTTCCCTGAATCATTGCTGCTGAAATCTAACATTATTTTACTATTGTGATAGTCCCTTAACTGTCTGTTTGTCATTGTATATCTCCCTTAAGATGCTAAATTAGGCTTTATGCTTTTGAATTTTTCTTTGTAGTCTGGATATTTTAAAACTTTAATTCATAAGTGTGTCCATTGATTTGGTTTATAAAAGTTCGAACATAATTTTACAATCTTTAACTTTTTTTCCCTCAACATTATGTTTTTAACCATACATATTCATGTACAAAATATTATTTAACAATTTTAATTATTGAATGTATTTCATCACACTAAAATATTATATTTCCCCACTCTCAAATTTATATATATATATGTACTTAGGTTTTTTCCAGTATCTCTCCTTCAGCCAGTGCTGCAATATGTGCCATTGTGCTCAAATGCTTATATATGTGAATGTTTTACTAAGGTGTACACATGCACACAGGATAGATAGGAAGATAGAAACACTAAGTAATAGGGAATCTTACCTTCAATTTTTTTACTTAAAGATGACCACTTGAAACTTACATCAGAACCTGTGGAGATCTAGAAAACTTATATAAAATATAGTTGAAAAAGACTGTTGATGTATTTTGGGAAAGAAATTTATATAGGGAATAAATGAGAGCCTCTTTAAATATTTGAAGAAACATAATACTGAAGTGCTAATAGATTTACTCTTTAAATTACAAATGGTAGAAACAGTGGAGCACAGACTGAACTGTCTTATGAAGCAGTGGGCTCCTTGTGATTGGAGGAAACACCCTGAGGCGAGGTGATAATTTTTAAGATTGTGTGATTGTTTTATTAACAGAGAGTTAGGAGTTGAATACCTGAATACTTCCTTTGCTGACTGATACTCAGTTAAAATCAAGTAATCTTTTGCTTTCATATGTATACACTAGTTGGCGAACAAACAAACAAACCTTTTTTTCTTTTCCATTTCTGGAAAATTATTTTGTAAAACATAATTACTCCCACTGGAAAGTGACCTCAGATCTCTAAAGGGTGTTTTCTTGCTTCACCAATGAAATCAGTTTTCTAGAATGAGGTTGAAAGGCTTTATATTGTATTGCCTTAAGTTATTGTAATTGCTCGGTTGAGTGCAAGGTGATCAGAGCCCTCACTACATCAGGACAGGACCTGAGGACCTGAGAGGCTTCCTTCCATACGGCATAGTGTAGGGAACCAAGTTAAAATGCATCAAGTTAAGATTATATTACAAATATTTTCAGTATGAAGACTCATAGCAGAAAGTGGGAAATGGAAACAAACCAGAGGACACCAAACTGGGAAAATAAGGAAGAAGTGAAAGACTTGGACAACTTTTTCAAAGTGTAAGTATTATACATTCATTGTGAACATATTGTTGCACTGGAGAAATAATTAATGAGATCTCTTATAGATGCAAAAACAGCAACTAGAAGATAGCAAAGTGGAAGTTATTGCTGTCTCAGACAAATTGAAAACTCCCTCTGGAAGAAGAATATTCCTGTTCTCCACTTCTCTGTCTATATCATTCTTCCACTGCACTGCTTCTGGGCAACCCTGGTAAGAAGAGGATCAGAATCTGATAAACAGAGGAACATATGTTACAACCATTATCTGTCCCTTCTCTGACCCATTTATGCTTTCTGTTCAGTGACTCTGTAGCCATTAGTTTAACAAATGTTTATTGACTACCAAAATTTGCCTCAAATGAAGAAAAGTGTAGCTATACACAGTAGAGTAATGGTCAGTAGTATATCCTTTATTGTTTGCTTCTAGGCTTATAGGTAATCAAGTATTATACATTAAAATAAAAACAAGAAAAAATTATTCATGCTTATGATTTCAGAGTTCCATTGACACATTGTATAGTAGATATTAATGCAACAGCAACCCTTTCATATCCAACTTGGCTTTACACCAAGAATAGGGAAATTTTCTTATGGTGTATTTTGGGATCTGAAAACACTCCTATCTCTGAGGTATAGTGGCAATGACAGAATGAATGATTCAATAATGAAGAAGCTTCTGGGTGCTCTGTGGACTGCTGAAGGAATGCTAACTTTTATAAACTCCATGTGTTTCCATAACTGCCTCTGCACTTAGAATTTTAGAGATGAAACTAGCTTTAGAGATAATCCAGTTCTATCTTTTAAGTTCAGTCACACAGCCAGCAAGTAGCAAATGTTATTTGTCTATACTATTGGGTAACTACCTTAATTATTAAGAAGAAAATGAGATATAATGTTGAACCTGATCTGTTCTACTTGCATTTAAAAAATCATAGGAAGTTAGTTTGGAGAGGAATTTCTAGTTGTTTCCTATATTTTGAAAAATTAAGACTAAAAACCTTATCATTTATTAGATATTGAAAAGATATAATTTGTGGGAAATTTGGATATTTTCAAAAGTATATTTTTCAAAGATAAGATGATTTTTGAAAAAGGAATAATTCCACTAACATTATTTAACAATTTTTTGTTAATCATGTTTCATTCTCTTTCTTCTTCCTTCTCCTTCTCCTTTTCCTTTTTTCTTCCTCCTCCTCCTCCTCCTCCTCTTGCTCCTTCTCTTCTCCCTCTTTCTCCCCCTTTGTCTTCTTGAGCACCCTTTTTCATCTCTTTCAATCTCCACTCCCGTGTAAATGCCTATTACGTTCCACTCTGAAATGTAACAAGTGACATCGCCATTTCACATGTTAGAAAAGGAGTTGAGAAAAGTCAAGGAACTGTTCATTCCATTAGAAATTTTAGGAGCTGAGACTAAATCCAAGACTGTCCCACTTTAGAGCCCCACCACTGTTCTATCACTCATAAGATTTAGCTTTGTTTGTCCAAAAGCATCTCCTAGTCTACTGTAGGAGTCATTACTACAAGTATACAACTTACTAGTAGTATAAACTTGGGCAATTTACTTAGCCTAAGCTTCTCTGTGCCTGAGTTCCTTCAATTATAAAATGCATATTTGAATGGTAGCTACTTTGTAAGATTATTTTGAGCATTAAATGAGTACAAATGCATGCCATATGCTTAGGGGACTGCTTAAAACATAGAAAAATGTCATTTGTGATAAGATTTGCCACTTAAATGAATCACACAGTATTTTGCACATACATCTATTATAGCAAATATTAGAAAATGTGCTTTATATAAAAATAATAATATTTATAACACTTATAAATATATATTTATAGCACTTATAAATATTATTATTTTTATATAAAGCATGTATTCTAATATTTGCTGTAATAGATGTATGTACAAAATACTGTGTGATTCATTTAAGTGGCAAATCTTATCACAAATGACATTTCAATTATGGAGTTTTTTTACTGTAATTATAATGGTTCATTATTATTACAGTATAATGAACTGGTATATATTCTATACCAATAGAAGTATAATCTAAATTTATTTGCATGCTCTGTGTAAAGGATTTTTTTTTTGCTTAATAACCTATGAAAATAAATAATTTTTTATTCCATTAAATAACTGCATTTAATAGGCTTTCCACAATGAGTCAAATGCTATAAGCAGTTCCTCATGGTGTCAAATTTTATCTTTTTAAATTCATAACTATAGCTCTTTAGGAATTTTTTTACTCTTAGGAATGGGAATATCTTTCTTTTTCAATGTTTCTTTGCTTCCTCGTTTCCCCTGCTCATGTACACACATGATTAGAGATGCCAGCATTGCCCCAAATCTTCCACATGGAAATGAGATCCCATCATGGAAACTTGTAGTTAGGTCAGTTCATGCCTCGTTGATCTGTTTACATTCTTGAGTAACTTAGGTTTCTGCATTCTTTTTTTTTTGAGATGGAGTCTCACTCCATCACCCAGGCTGGAGTGCAGTGGAATGATCTTGGCTCACTGCAACCTCCACCCCTCAGGTTCAAGCGATTCTCCTGCCTCAGCCTCCCGAGTAGCTGGGACTACAAGTGTGTGCCACCACACTAATTTTGTATTTTTAGTAGAGACGGGGTTTCACCATGATTGCCAGGCAGGTCTTGAACTCCTGACCTCGTGATCTGCCCACCTCGGCCTCCCAAAGTGCTGGGATTACAGGCATGAGCCACCATGCCCGGCCTGCATTCTTCTTAAAACCAATTCAATTCTTCATAACCAATGCAAACACGGAAAGCCCTGAAAGTGTAGGATATAGTGCTCCAACATCCAGGTTAAAACTACATAATGAAAGCTTGAAAACAGTTTAAACACTTTTTAATTTGGTTTACCATTACCTATACAATTTTAACTTTTAAAATATAAAATATTTATTATTTTGGTCATGTCTAAATAACCTGGTTCTAACAAACCACTGAAGAACATGGAGGGGTGCAGAGCTTCAGTTAGTATAAGGACAAATAAATATCTGTTGTGTACTGTTGGATACACAGAGCTAAGGTCAAAAATGTTTCCTGAACCACTTCAGGAAGGGTGTGTAGGGTTTTCTCTGTGACCAAGTGGCCACATGTATTAAGCAAAATGTCAAAAAACATTTAAGAGCAAATTTACTTACTAGTTAACTTTTCTGAGAATGTCTTATGCCTTTGAAATGAACTATATGAGATATTTCTTAAAGGACCATTCCTGAAAGGTGTTAGAGATTTTGACAAATTCAAGTTTGTCAGGTGTGTATAGAAAGATAAAACACAGTCAGAAGAAAGAGACTGAAAACATGTTGTTGGTTATTGTTTCATTTATTGTTAATTGCTTTCTATGTGACAGAAGGTGAACTTTGATTAACTATTTGTTAAAAGGTTGAAAGGAAGTGTTCTTGACCTTCAGAGAAATTTTCAGAGTGTAACCATTGGCTCTTCCTTCTCTATTATAGCAAATTGTTTCTATCATTTTCTTTTCTTTTTTCTTCTTTTAACATTTTTTTTTTTTGAGACAGAGTTTCACTCTTGTTGCCCAGGCAGGAGTGCAGTGGTGTGATCTCGGCTCACTGCAACCTCCGCCTCCCAGGTTCAAGCAATTCTCCTGCCTCAGCCTCCCAAGTAGGGGGGAATACAGGTGCCCACCACCACGCCCGGCTAATTTTTTTGTATTTTTAGTAGAGACGGGGTTTCACCATGTTGGTCAGGCTGATCTTGAACTCCTGACCTCAGGTGATCCACCTGCCTTGGCCTCTCAAAGTGCTGGGATTACAGGCATGACCCACCGTGCCTGGCCGCTTCTTTTGTTTCTTAAAATACTTCCAAGAACATTATGACTCTCAGTTCCATTTAGTCTTGTGCTTAAGGCTAATTGCATTCACGATTTGCTCCTGATCTACCATTCGTTAATTTAATTTTTATTGTTTCTTAGCACACTCTCCAGCCAGGCCACTCAACTAACAGTTTCCTGAATGAAGTACATCTTTATATTTTTACCTTTGATTCTTTATTCATGTTATTCATTTCACTTGAAATAAAAGACTTTTCCTTCACTTTTGGCTAGCAAATTTCAAACTTTAGAGAAGTTTTAGCACAAATAGAAATTATTCGAGCTAAAACTTATCTTACCACTTTGGCATAATCTCTTTAATCTTATTAACATTTATACTATTCATGTATTTCACTTATACTTTCCTGTTTCTGATTTTATATTTTCATTTCTTTAGTATGTGTAGTTTTTTCTAATTATGACAGGGATTCATATCTAATCCTCTTTTTCACACTCTTTCAACTTTCATAGCAGTCATGGATGTTAAATATTAGTCAACTGAGTATTTACATACGTAAATATATGTAACCTAATTAAATTGACTATTTCTTTTGTTTAGAATTGACTATATTTCTTTTGTTTATAAACTAGAGGTATTGTAATGCCAATCATTGTGACATTTTTCTGATTTCTTTTTTTTAGGTAACTGAATATTGGATACATGGCTCACACAAATGAATCGATGGTGTCTGAGTTTGTACTTTTGGGACTCTCTAATTCCTGGGGACTTCAACTTTTCTTTTTTGCCATCTTCTCTATAGTCTATGTGACATCAGTGCTAGGCAATGTCTTAATTATTGTCATTATTTCTTTTGACTCCCATTTGAACTCTCCTATGTACTTCTTGCTCAGTAATCTTTCTTTCATTGATATCTGTCAGTCTAACTTTGCCACCCCCAAGATGCTTGTAGACTTTTTTATTGAGCGCAAGACTATCTCCTTTGAGGGTTGCATGGCCCAGATATTCGTTCTTCACAGTTTTGTTGGGAGTGAGATGATGTTGCTTGTAGCTATGGCATATGACAGATTTATAGCCATATGTAAGCCTCTGCACTACAGTACAATTATGAACCGGAGGCTCTGTGTAATTTTTGTGTCTATTTCCTGGGCGGTGGGCGTTCTTCATTCTGTGAGCCACTTGGCTTTTACAGTGGACCTGCCATTCTGTGGTCCCAATGAGGTGGATAGCTTCTTTTGTGACCTTCCCTTGGTGATAGAGCTGGCTTGCATGGATACATATGAAATGGAAATTATGACCCTAACGAACAGTGGCCTGATATCATTGAGCTGTTTCCTGGCTTTAATTATTTCCTACACCATCATTTTGATCGGTGTCCGATGCAGGTCCTCCAGTGGGTCATCTAAGGCTCTTTCTACATTAACTGCCCACATCACAGTGGTCATTCTTTTCTTCGGGCCTTGCATTTATTTCTATATATGGCCTTTTAGCAGACTTCCTGTGGACAAATTTCTTTCTGTGTTCTACACTGTTTGTACTCCCTTGTTGAACCCCATCATCTACTCTCTGAGGAATGAAGATGTTAAAGCAGCCATGTGGAAGCTGAGAAACCGTCATGTGAACTCCTGGAAAAACTAGGGATCATTACGAAGGAGCATAATCCTGAATTAGAATGAAGACCCTCCAGTGTATCATAGTGTCATGCCAACCATCTTTGCCAGACATATGGGTTATTGAGTTACAGAATTGGCTTTTTGTTTTAAGTGCAAGGGAATTGCATCAAGTCAGTCTCTGGTTCTATTTAAATATAATGTTAACTATTTTTTCATTGTTTATAATTCAAAAGTACAAATTGTCTTGAAAATATTTAGTAATATTTTAAAATATTTTATAAAGATTTAGAGATTCCAATGTGCATAAAATGTTATTCATGTTACTAAGCTTGTGATTCTCTTCAATTGAATACATCATAAATTTAGACCTGACAATCAAAATGTACAGTCATACTGAATTTCTGATATCTTTACCCAATTTATTCATAACATTACAACATACATTGACATAGTAGAAAAAGTATCACATTTTACAACATGGATTTCACCTTACTGTTATATATTTTTAGCTTTTCTTTATCTTATGTATTATTTTAGTAATTTATAATTTGGTTATTATATATTTGTGTATTTATAGTTTTCCCTATTTACTATTTTATTCCTATTTTTTTCTGTTTTCCTTTAGATTATTTGACATAAATTTTTGCTTTTTACAAAATTTTCTAGGTATTTGGTGCCATCAACAACATATATATATATGTGTGTGTGTATATATATATATAAAATATATATAATATATATAAAAAATATATAATATATATAAAAATATATAATATATATTTGTCAGAAGCCTACTTATTTTTAAAGTAGAATAAATTGGCTATAATGAATTCCACATTATTCACAGAAAATTTCAAATATCTTTGAAACTGTTTGCAAATATGGCAGATGTTGAATATTTAAGTTCAAAGAAAAAGTAAAGTATCTAACGCATACAAATGTACAGAATGACACAAATCATTTGCTACTGAAAATCCAAAGTGAAATTTGTTCTTTCATATTTGTTTGAAAACAGAAGAGAGAAAAGTAAAATTTATGTACCTCTAATACTAGTGATTAAAAGCATCTGTTAAGTATTGTTTCATTTTCCAGCTAAAAGTTTTCTTATGTACTTCTCCCTGAGATTTGCATTACGAAAAGTCCTTGTAATAGGAAGACTAATTGTATTCTATAATAACAATGAGATAAAGAACTACTTAATGGAAAATATAAAGCCTGTGATTGTCATCACTCTAGATTCCTATTTTAATTATAAGAGTTATGTTAGTGGCTATGTGTACAGATATTAACTCTGCATGCTAAATCCTAGTGGAAGTAAAATTTTAGATATAGGCACACAGTCCTGTTAAATCATCATATTATTTAGCTGGTTTTTTATTTTTTTGAGCTTCAGATTATTTTTGGTTAACTTCATTTGTACACTGTCAAACATAATGACCTGTTAAACTTGACTACCTGTTATATTTTTTATATGGTGCCAAAACATTTTGGACACACAATAAACATGAAAGCATTGATGATATTTTTGGTAGTATTATTTTCTCCTCACTACAGTGGAAGTGAAAAGGTGTTGAATGTATACTTCACCAATGAGGTCATTTCACTGCTCTAATTCTCATATGTAAAATAAAGTTGTTAAAAATAGCTATTTTGCAGGAACTATGTGACACAAGAGGATATAATGGAAATAAAGGCACTTTATGAAGCATGAAACATACAAATAGCTTTAGTGTTATTACTTTTGAAAAGGTAATTCTGCAGGCACCTGGATGAGTATGAATTCTGTGAAGGCAGCCTTTTGCTCCTTCTGCCTGTCAGGTAAACAAAACTGATGATGCTTGGGCGCACTCTTTGTTTTCCCTTATTAAAATGTGCAAGTCTAAATTTAGAATTTTGCAGTGATCATTTATTAGCACCAACTTAGAAACCAAATTAAATATATTCAATAACAAATAAATGTATGCTGTGTACAAAATACACTATTAGAATTATACAAATATTAATCCTTTCCATCAAAATCTTAGCATCAGATACGGCAGAAATTAATTAAACATGAATAATTAAAATACAATCTAGGTTTTGATGAATGTCATAGTGGAGAAAATGTACTATGGAAATGAGAAAGAAAATTGATTTCTTACTCCCGAAGTAAAAAAGACATGGAAAGAATAGATTTGGATTTCAATGTTTGGATGTTGTATTAGTTTCCTAGGGCAGCCATAACAAATTTCTACAAAATGGGTGGCTAAAAAAAAGATTTATTATGTCACAATTCTGGAGACTATATATATCACAATTAAAATATATTTCCTTTAAGATTGAGAATGAGACAGAAAATGTTATTATCATGATTTCTATTCAATGTGCTGAAGATTCCAGACAATTTGAGACAAAATAGCAATAAAGTATGTGCTTAGAAAAAACATATTTTTAGAAAAATATTTTTTCTGTATATATGTAGAAAATATTTTAAGCTATTAAAGTTAACTAGTGCATTTAGCAATGTTGTTTGATAATGGTTAATTTTTCCCAAATTGATCCATAGATTTAATGCAATCTCAATCAAATTTCTAATAATATATTTGAGCAAATTGACATGCTGATTCTAAAATTTATATGGAAATACAAAGAGGCAAGAATATCCAAAGATATTTTGAAGGAAGACATACATTACGTATATCAAGACTTTCTTCAAATTTGAAAGAAGACACAAGAAGTCTTCATATATGGTAGAGTATGTCGTCCATTGAAACTTCCTTGACTATTCTTGCCTCTTTGCATTTCCAAAGACATGAAATTAACCTAGATGCCCATAAATGGCAGACTGGATGAAGAAAACATGGTACATATACACAATGGAATACAATGCAGCCATAAAAAGAATGAGATCATGCCCTTTTCAGCAACAGAGATGAAGCTGAAGGCCATTATCCTAAGCAAAGTAACACAGAAACAAAAAACCAAATACCACATGTAGTCACAAGTGGGAGCTAAACACTGAGTATGAATGGACACAAAAAAGAAAATAATAGACACTGGGGCCTACTACAGAGAGAAAGGTGGGAGAAGAGGGAAAATCCAAAAACCACCTGTTGAGTACTATGGTTATTACCTGGGTAACAGAATTATCTGTATAACAAACATCTGTGACATGTAATTTACCTATAAAACAAACCTGCACATATGCCCGTGAAATAAAAATAAAAGTTAAACAAAAGACTACATATTGAAATCTTGTATTGGTAAAGAAAAAAGAAACATGTTAGTGAAACACACTAGAGATTCTGGGAACAAAAAGCAAGTACATAGTCACCTGATCTATGAGAAATAGGATAATGAAGAGAAGAAACAAAAATATGAAGCTTGGCAATTGTACTCTTACCTTTAACAAACAACAACAAAAAAGCTTGGCTCTAAATTCACAAAAATAATTCAAAATAATATATATTTCTATATAAATAAAAATAAAGCTTTTAGAATATGATATAGGAGAATGTTTTCATGACTTTTATATATGCAAGGATTTCTTAAATATGACACAAATAACTTTAAACTTAACAGAGTCTATATTGGACATACAAAGACTTGAAATTAAAGCTCTTAAAAGCAGACATCTGGTAAATCTATGATTGGTAATAGTGCGTGTGTGTGTGTGAGTGTGTGTGGAGAGAGAGAGAGAAAGAGAGCAGAGGGAGAGTGCACGCACATACAACAGCTCTGTGGCTTGGATGGTCTGGGCACTTGGAGGATATACAAAGTATGAACCTACATTTTAAGAACCCTCTACCAAACTGGGAAACAAGACTCATGCAAAGAAACAATAAAGTAATACAAGAAAAAAAAGAAAAAATGACAAACTAGACTTCATTAAAATACACTATCAATCACCATTAAAGACGAGAGTGAAAATGCAGGTCCTCACAGACACCAGAAGCTGGAAATGGCAAGAAACAGATTTTTCTCCAGAGTTTCTAAAAGGAGTGTGGCTCTGTTAACATCTTGATTTTGATCCAGTGATACTGATTTTGAATTTCTGTCCTCCATAACTAAGAGAAAATAAACTTCTTTTCTTATGAGCCACCAATTGTGTAGTAATTTGTTACTATAGGAAAGAAATACATATGGTAATTCATCAATTCATCAAACTATACATTCACTTATGATTTGTGATTTTTTTATGTTTCTGTTACACCTCAGTAAAGAGTTTGCTAAACATTAAATGCATAAAGAACAGGCTTAAATGAGGTATGAATTTCTTCAACAAATATTAATAAAGTTTTTATTCTATCCAGAATTTCTGCTAACTACTGGGAATTTAATGATGAGAAAAATGAAAAATATCCCAGTCCTAGTGGAAAAGGCAGGTTAAACAAATAGCTATAGAGTCTAAATTGCTTTGATAAAGACTTAAGAGCAGGTAAGAAAAATCTGAGGTCTGAAGTATGTTAGTAGACAAAGAAGAAACGTGAAGTTCTCCCTAGTACAGAAATCTACTTACAAAGGCAACTATCTGCAAAGGATGATGAGATAACCACTACACTGGAGAAATTAAAAGCTCAGATTATAGGAGACAGGGTAAATTAAAGGGAACTAAGTATCCATCAATTTTCTTACTTCCTTTTCTAGAGTTTAGAGCTGTTACTGGAAAACAGCTCCCCTTCCGGAACTATAATTCTTAGTTACCTTTCTTCTAAGTAAGTCCATATGTCCTATTCTTACCAATAAAATATCATATTCTTACCACAAAAAGAAATAATTTGACTAAGTTCGTAATAATTAAGTCTGCCTTAACTCTTTAGTCCTTTGTCTGCCAAGAGGATGCAGAAGACTCTGGGATCCTAAAGAAATCTTAAATCAAGAAGATGCAAGAGGAAGCGACGCCAACAATATAGCTGACTAGAAGTGCCTAACACTCAACCTCCTCCCCGGCCACCACACAAAAGGACCAAAACAACAAACAAATAACCACTTTTCAACTAAAATATATGAAGGAGAGCCCTGGAGTAAAACAGGGAAATGGCAGAGACCCTGTGGATCATGGAGACTCAGGATGGCCATATAAAAAAGGGAATGGAACACTCTGCCTTTACCATCTTGTCTCTCCTAGTGGGATGAGGTCAGAGCCAGGGCGGACTCTCCTTACAGAGAAAAGGTATGCAGGAGGCCCTCAGCAATACAAATTAAAATGTGGACACCCACAATCTTTGCTCATGGAGATCACTGTAGTCCTCACAGGTCCTAGGCCCAGCCTGAGGAGTTGCCTGGAGTTCACATGACTATGTTACTCCAAACAAGGAGCCCACATTGTGTCTCCTCCTGCCCTATTATCCAAGCTGCTGCTGTGTAATGGCATCTTGAGACTGAAGCCACTGCTAGGGTGCCTTCTCATTTGGGGGTCTATAGCCACTGTATCTTCCCATACCCTAGGCTTCACTGCCACTACACCACACCTACTAATGGCAGCACACCATTCTGCAGCTGAGCAGCTACAACTTCTAACCCCATGGAAACAAACTGCCAAGGAGGCACTCCATCTTTCCATCCCAGTGACTGCAGTATCTTGGCTCTGTCTACTCAGAGCCTAGGACCAACAGAACAGCTGTAACCTTAGTACCTGAGCCCATGTGGCACCCTGTTCCCCAAGGAACAGGCACTCATGCCCAGTGATTGTACCCAAGCTAACAGAGCAGCATCACAAACTCCTGCAGCCTAAGACATTTTCTTATGAGGAAATCCCCCCGTATGGGACATCATGGCTGTATCTTGCTGCTTTAGACTATCAGCATATTTCTCAGCATATTTCTTAACCTTGCAGGCCAGGAGAGAATGGAACAATATACTCAAAGTGCCGAGAGAAAAAAATAAAACTTCTAGTCAAGAACAGTATACTCATCAAAGTTATTCTTTTTTTTAAATTTTATTATTATTATACTTTAAGTTTTAGGGTACCAGAATCTACAACGAACTCAAATTTACAAGAAAAAAGCAAAAAACCCCATCAAAGAGTGGGCGAAGGATATGAACAGACACTTCTCAAAAGTTATTCTTTAAATATGAAGGAGAAGTAAAGTCTTTCCCAGACAAGCAAAAGCTGAGGGAATTCATCACCACTAGAACAGCCGTACAAGAAATGCTTAAAAGACGGTTTCAAAGGATGTTAATTGCCACCATGAGGTGAAAGGATGTTAATTACTACCATGAAAGTATTTAAACTCACGGGTAGAAGTAAACTCATAATTAAATTCAGAGTGCTACATTATTGTAGTGGTGTATACAGTATGAAGGTTAAAAGTCAAAATGGTCAACAATAACCATAGCTACAATAAGTTTTTAAGAAATAAGCCATACAAAAGATGTGAATTAAGACAACAAAATTATAAATTGGGTTGGAGGGTCAAAGTCTAGAATATTTGCAGGCAATCAAAGTTAAATTGTTATTAGCTTAAAATAAACCTTTAGAACTATAAGATTTTTTATGTAAGCCCCAGAGTAACAACAAAGAAAAAAGTTACAGCATATATGCAAATGAAAAAAAGAATGGAATAAAACCATGAAACCACAAAAGTAAACACAAGAGAGGAAGAAAGAAACAAAGACCTACAAAATAACCAGAAAACAATGAACAAAATGGCAATAGTAAATCCGTACCTATCAATATAACTTTCAATATAAATGTATTAAATTCTGTAATTAAAAGATGGCTGAATGCATTTTAAAAACATACAACTATATCTGCTTACAGGAGACTCACTTCACCTGTAAGGACACATACTGACTAAAAATAAAGAAGAAAAAATTATATGCCATGCAAATGGAAGTCAAAAGAGAGCAAGAGTAGCTATACTTAGATCAGATAAAATGGACTTTAAGTCAAAAACTGTAAAATGAGACAAAGATGGTCATGATATAATGATGAAGGGGTCAATTCAGTAAGGGGATATACAACTACAAATATATATGAATCTCAAACCAGAATACCCAGACATATAAAGCAAATACTATTAGATGTAAAGGGAGAGATAGACTCCAATGCAATAATAATAGAGGACTTCAATATCTCACTTTCGGCAAAGGACAGATCATCTAGACAAAAATTCAGCCAAAAAAACAACAAATACAAAGCGCACTCTAGATCATGTGGACCTACCAGATAGTCACAGAACATCCCACTCAACAGCTGAAGAGTATGCATTCTCCTCATCAGCACATGGAAGTGTCTTCAGGGTAGATCAGATGTTAGGCCACAAAACAAACCTCAGCAAATCTGCAAAAATCAAAATCAAGTATCTCTTTTGACCATGATGGAATAAAACTAGAAATCACTAACAGTAAAACTTTAGAAACCATTTAAATACATGTAAATTTAACAACATGCTCCTGTATAACAAATGGATTAATGAATAAGTTAAAAAGAAAATTCAAACACTTCATGAGACAAATGAAATTGGAAACACAGTATATGAAAACTTATGGAATACAGCAAAAGCAGTTCCAAGAGGGAAGTTTATAGCAATAAACACCTACACCATAAAAGACAAAAAATCTCAAATAAACAGTATAACATCATACCTCAAGGAACTAGAACAACAAGAACAAACACAAAATTAGTAGAAAAAAGAAATAAATGAGAGTGGATATAAGTGGAATAGTGACTAAAACAATACAGAAATCCTTGAACAGAAACAAACCTTTAGTTAGATTAACTTAGAAAAATGGAGGGAAAGTTCAAATAAAATCAGACATAAAAAAGTATACATTAAAACTGATGTAACAGCAATACAAAGGATTATAAGAGACTATTATGAACAACTACATGCCAACGTATACATATACAACCTACCAAAATTGAATTATGAAAAAGTAGAAAATCTGAAGAGACCAATAGTGAGTAACAACATAGAATCTATAATAAAAAGTCTCCCATCAAAGAAAACCTCCAGATATGATGGCTTCACTGCTGAAATCTACCAAACATTTAAAAGATGTTATCAATACTTTTCAAACTATTTCAAAATAATTGAAGATGAGAGAATTTGTCCAATCTCATTCTACAATGCTGGCATAACTCTGATACAAAAACCAGTCAAGGACACAACAAAATATGAACTACGGGACAATATCTCTGATAAAAATAGATGCAAAAATCCTTAAGAAAATACTAGCAAACCAAATTCAACAGCACATTAAAAAGAGCATTCACCATGATCAAATGGGATTCATTCTAGATAATACAACCTACATTATACAATAAATGTGATATATCACATTAACAGGATCAAGGACAAAAGCTAATCTATCACTTTGATAAACAGAAAAAGTATTTGACAATATTCAATGCTGTTTGATTAAAACTCTCAACAAAATGTACCTCAACACAATAAAGGCCAAAAATGACAAATTACGCTAACTGGAGAAAAGTTGAAAGCTTTTCCTCTAAGATCTGAAACAAGACACAGATGCCAATTTTCACCACTTTTATTCAACATAGTACTAAATTCCTAGCCAGAGAAAGTAGGCAAGAGAAATAAATAAAAGGGATCTAAATTGGAAAGAAGGAAGTCAAATTGTTTCTATTTGCAGTTGACATGATTTTATACATAGATTTTATATAAAGGTTCAACCAAAAAGCTCTAAGAAGTGATAAATAAATTCAGTAAAGTTGCAGGATACAGCATCAACCAAAAATATCGGTAGCATTTCTTTTTTTTAGTAACTTTTATTTTAAGCTCAGAGGTACATGTGCAAGTTTGTTACATAGATAAACTTGTGTCATGGGAGTTTATTGCACAAAATAATTTCATCACCCAAGTACTTATTTGTTCTATTGGCTGCAGGGTGACTATAGTTAATATTGCATATCTCAAAATAATTAGAGGAGAGGATTTTAAAAGTCCTTACCACAAACTAATGATCAATGTTTTAGATAATGAATATGCTGAATACCCTGATTCTATCATCACTGAATATATGCATGTATTGAAACATCACATTGTGCCCCATAAATATGTGCAATTATGTGACAATTAAAAGCAAAATAAAACTTCAAAAATAAAGATGGAAGAAACCTGGGTTGCTCAATCTCTGACAGGTGACCAGTCACCAACCATAACACTACTGAGCATAGTTACATGAGCAGATATATCATTTCATGTGGCTAAGTACCTAAAATTTTATGATATTTTGTTACATTAGCTAGAATTACTCAAACCAATCACAAAGAGAGTGAGATATAAGCCTGGGTAGAAAAATCAATTTTAGAATGATGTTGTAAGTCTTACTAAGAAATCTCAACTTTGCTAAAAGGACAATGGAAAGATTGAGGTATTTTAGGAGGTTTAATGTTATATATTTAGACTAAGCAATTTGATAGGTTACAGAAAATGCATTACAGATAAAAAATCTTAAAGATAATGAGATAAGTTGATGACACCTACTGCATCAATCCAGTGTGTAATGAGTATCATAATAAAACAGAATTGAACAGACTCAGAAATATTTAAAGTTTATACAGATAATGCCTATTACTTGACTACATTTGACGGTAAGGGAGAAACAAAATTGGTGCAAAATTTTCTTGCTTGAGGAGCTAGCAAGACAATACACAACTCCAGGAGTTCATTCATTTAAAAAATGTCTTTATTATTTGTCATATAAGGGAAAGATAAGTTGACTATTGTCCATAATGAATTTGAAGTGTGTATATAAAAACAAGTGGAGATTCTCAGTAGGTAATTGAATATATAGAAAAATATACAGAAAAAAACATGCTATTTAAAAAAATAACTACCTTTAGCACCTTCTCACAGGAGAATGACAAAATTCCCCCTAAAACCAGAAGCCATTTATTTAGTGAAATAGCTTGGTAGGTCACATTTTTGTAAGTGTTGAGCAAGAAGCGGATCCATTACAATGGGTCAAGAAGTGTATTAGCCAAGGTCACCGAAGAAAACACAAAACATATTTGGCAAAGATTTTCAATATAATATGAGAATCAACTATCCATAAAAATCTTGGCAGGATTAAATGAGGCATCCTAACACCAGAACCAGCAGGAAGCTTTATTACTCTTGGCCTGAAGAGACAAGAAGAGGGTTAGAAATTGTTGAGAGCTAGAGCCATAAAGGGACCTACAAGGTATAAATACTCAGGGATAGATTACTAGAAGAATTCTAGCGAAGTGGCAGGGAGGAGAAACAGAAGTAAAATCCAGACCTTTCTCTCCTTTTTCCCTCTAATCTCCTGCCAGCTCCTTTTATTCTCCAATCTCAATAAAGGCTAGAGGCAGAAAAGCCCAGATAATGTAGCCATGCTAGTGAGCCAACAGGGGCCTAGAATAGAAAAGGGTGGAGAATGAAACAAACAACTAAAGAAAACTTCAAGAGAAATCAATAGGAAATGATGACCTGGGGACAACTGACATGATGTAATAGCTGATTTCAAGAATTTAGGGTACAAATGGGAAGAGATGAGTTTATAGTTGGGAGATGATGTGTTAAGAAAGTTAGATACGGCCGGGCGCGGTGGCTCACGCCTGTAATCCCAGCACTTTGAGAGGCCGAGGCGGGCGGATCACGAGGTCAGGAGATCGAGACCATCCCGGCTAAAACGGTGAAACCCCGTCTCTACTAAAAATACAAAAAATTAGCCGGGCGTAGTGGCGGGCGCCTGTAGTCCTAGCTACTTGGGAGGCTGAGCCAGGAGAATGGCGTGAACCCAGGAGGCGGAGCTTGCAGTGAGCCGAGATCCCGCCACTGCACTCCAGCCTGGGCGACAGAGCGAGACTCCGTCTCAAAAAAAAAAAAAAAAAAAAAAAGAAAGTTAGATACTTAAGAGAGAAAGTTGAAGGAATTCATACTAATGGTAATGGATTTGGTTTACAAAGTAGGAAATGAGTTTATAGAGTACATATATACATATGCTAAGAGCCCATGTAAAGAAGAAAATCCAAATATCTTGTTCTAGGGTGTGAGAATGATGATCAAGGCTGTCTTCTGTGCTTTCTTTCCCTTATCATTACATAGGACCATAATGGTTAAATCTCTTCACTGTCCAACTGTACAAGAAGGGACCTAATTCTGAGCGGTCTATTTCAGTTCATTTATATGCAAATTATCCGGCATTAAAATTCAATTTAAAAAATTAGCTCAGCTCCTATTGTGCCACCAGGATGATTTAAATTCTGTCTTTTCTTAAAAGAAAAGGAGCAGAATATCTCTAAATCTTTGTGTTTCAAATATTTGGTTTCGGTTTTGGGTCTGGTTCTCAACACTGACCACTAGTGTTAACATACAGTTTATTACAGGAAACTTGTGTGAAATGTTCTATAACAATTGTCATAACAACACATAATGAAAAGAAAAAAATGCAACATCAACTAGGATGGGATGCCAATGTCAACAGTTCATTTTTACTCCTGGTATTACAACCCATATTTTCATTGTTTAAAAAAAAAATTCATGTTCCACATGAACCTAGCAGTACACTAGCAATATGACAACAATGTAGCCACTTATCTCAGCAAAACAAAAATTTTACTACTTTTCATGTGCCGTGCAGACTCATTTTTTTCAGAAACTGCTTATCATTTGTTTATTTATAATATTCAAGATACCCATTGGTGATAAGGAATGAAATGATAGCCAATTGTATTCATTAGATTTTGCTCCATATTAAGCCACCTCAAAATTTATTGAATTAAACTAGGAACCATTTTATATTTGTTCACAAACCAGGCGAGTACCTTTTCTGGTCTGGGCCAATACGTTTGACCTCTACTAGGATGTCTGGTAAGTCTGGGTGAGCTGGACAATCTATACTGACCACACTCATATGTCTGGTAGTTGCCAGGTTAGCAACATGAGCTGGTTTACTGTCAGCCAGGCCCCAAATTCTCTCCACATGGTTTCTCATCTGTCATCAGCTGGAGCTGACTTATACCTGAATGAGAGCTTGTTTTATATTATCAGGGGTTTTGTGAGGTAGTTATTATACACTTGGTGGCTTGAAATCTGCCATAGTGGGAGTATTTTTACCACAGACATTGGAAAATACTACAAATCAGAGCCTTCTCTTCCCCCTTTACCCCATGAACCAGCTCCTAAACATTTACCAGGACATCATTGCTTCTTGTCTTCCAAAAGACTGGCTTAGGCTCGATTCCATGGTGGCCTCAGTATTCCCATAGTAACAATAGAGGGCAGTCCCAATGCAAAATTCTCTTGTGCTATTATTCCTTTCGGCAGAACAAGACACATGGCCAAGTCCAGAGTCAGTGCAGAATACCACTCATCAATTTAAAAGAACCAACTATTGATTCACAGAGTAACTGGGGTGAATCTCAAAGGCATTATGTTGAGTAAAAGAAGCCAGTGTCAGTAAAAACATATGTATGACCCCATTATAACATTCTCATTTTTTAAAAAAAGAGTTTTATGGTATTTTTGAAAAGTAAAAAGTAACCACCACATGGCCACTTGTACACTCATTTATTCAGTGAATCAATAATATTCTGTGGGTATCTACTATTTGCTAGGTTCTGGGCCAGGTGTTGGGGAGATGATAGTGATCCTAAGACACTCAGTTTTTACCCACATGAGTCCCACAGTCTTGGAGTGGAGATGCAGAAAGGAGAGAGAAACAAAGACATGTAAGAAAATCAAATGAGCAAATTAAAAGTTTAATGAGTGTTATGAAGGTAGTAAATAATGTTGCGAGATGAGAAAAAACAAAGGAGTGAAGAGGGGGGAATGGTACTCAGAAAAAGCCTCTCTGTGCTCTGTGTAATGAATAACCTTCTATTTAGTTTCTGTGGGAAGGATATACAATAGAAGAGCCAAAAGAAACAATATTCAAGCAGACAAAAGAGAAATGGAAACTCCCTAAAGTGGAAAGGGATTGTGTGTTCCAGAAAATGAAAGCAGGAATTTAGTGAATGACCAATGAGTGAGACGAAATGAAGCTGAAGGTTAATATGTAAAATACAGGATAGGAAGGGCTCATTATGGATATTGGATTATATTTCTAGAGCAATGGGGACTATGATGGTCCCTTGGTGTCTACGGGGAATTGGTTCCAAGACCCCCGCAGATACCAAAACCCATGGATGCTTCAGTCCCTTGTATAAAGTGGTGTAGCATTTGCATATAACCTATGCACATTCTCCCGTATACTTTTAAATCATCTCTAAATTACTTATAATATCTAATACGATGTCTACATATCACTTCTTTTAAGTGAATTCAATGTAGTACTTGATGTGTTGCAAATTTCAGTTTTGATTTTGAAGATCTGTGGAATTGTTTTTTTCTAAATACTTTTGATCCGTGATTGATTGAATCCATAGACACAGAACCCACATATACAGAGGAATGACTGCATGTTTATCATTTTAAAGTTGTTTGACTTATTTATCTTATTTTTAAAGATTTATCTTATTTTTAAAGACTGCTCTGAGCATTCAGGAGAAATTGACTGGAAAAAAAAATCAGTGCAGAGAGTTGGAGATTATTAGAAGGCCTTTGAAACATTTAAGGAGAAAGAAAGGGATGGTTTAGACAAGGGAAATTGTAATAGAAAGCTTTGATGGATTGGGCATATTTTAGAGAAAGGTACAGCAGGACTGGAAGTGGGAGTGAGAAAATAGAAGAAGTGAAGTTTCTGGCTGAAACCACTGGGGCAATAGAAATGCCATTACCTGGGTTAAGGGAGACTAAAGGAGGACTAGATTTGGAAACAGAAGAATTGAAATGACTGTGAAAATTAAAGAGAAGATGTGAAGAAGAAACGTGATCTATCAGTCTGGGCTGATGACTGGGCTCCTCTCCTCAATTAAGCTCATCAAACTTCCTGGGCACTCACTCTGTGTCACAACATTTACTTTTGTCTTTGTCCCCTGCTCTTCTCTGTAGATTTCCTAAGTCCTTCTACAGCTCTAATGGGATATGTTTCCACAATATCCAAAAGCAAGCTATTTTTATATCTGGGCAGTTTTACCCACTTATGTCTAAGATTCTTTTCTGATTCTGTTATATGGTCAAGTACTGTGTAGTGATAATTAAAATATTGGATAATTTTGGCAAAATATTGTGTGGTATGGAATTTGAAAACCTTTGACATAAAAATTTTCAAGAAAAGGAAGAAATATAAGATTAGAGAAAGCAAAATTCTAATTTTCTTAGACCCATTGCCAGATTTATATTTCTTTGGATCTAATTTTCTTTAGGCCCTGTGCATGTGTGCTAGTGCTTACTGGCACAGTCACTTTAGATAAGGACAAAGAAAGCACATGGATAGAGGCAGAACATTAAATGAGGGCAAATATAGTTGTTGCAAACTTTGAGGTCACTACATTTCTCTCTCATGACATATGTTCTCATTTGCAATTATAGGCAAACAATTTAAAAGTTCTTACCATCTTGATATGGGGGAGAAGCAACCAAAATATTGTTAATAACTCCCATAGCAAGATGAATTCACTTAACAAAGTTCATTTTTTAATTGGCTTTCGCAATTCATGGGATTGGTTATCTGAGACTTTTGGGAGTGTCATGATATTTAAATAGTTCCTTTATAGGCTCCTGTGATTCTCTTTTTAAAATTATTTTTTAAAAAGTTTTGGAAGCATCTTCTCTTCACCCTGTTGTTACTTTCCTGAGATTTATCTCAAAATTGGTATGTGGAATTTAATCGCATCAAGCTTAAAAGCAACTGTACATGTTGCCATTCAGAGAGATAAAGGGATTCTGGGCTAAAGTTATTACCACAGTCAAGGCAACCTGTGTTTTTGAGCATGAGGACTTGGGGTTTGGGCGTGAGAGCCTAATATAAAACAAAACAGCGAATTATTGCTGTTTTGACTGATTATTGTCACTGCTAACACAAGCATGGGATTGAAGTAGCAAGATAAAAGTGAGCATGTTGATGTATAGTTCAGAAAGAGCAGAGAATATAATTGGGCACTACTTTGTTATCTTAGAGGTGGGAGGATCACTTGAGGCCAGGAGGTCCAGGCTGCCGTGAGCCATGATCACATAGTTGCACTACAGCCTGAGTGACAGCGCAAGACCCTGTCTCTTAAAATAATAATAATACTGATAAATTATTTTAGTGACCAGGTAGACATCCTTAGATAGATGTTTTCAGTAATCAGATCCTTAATTGAGCAATATGTAGCAGTTAAACATATGTTCTTTGCACATTCAAATCTTCAGACTACCAGTGTGCCTTGTGACACTAACTTTAGCACTAAATTGTAGCTGCTTCTAACACAAAGTTAGGATTATAGTAATATTTACTTTATAGCATTGTAAGGATAATAAGGTAATTATTGGTCACATATCACTGTAAGATAACTAAATCAATCTCGTCATACCCAAAAGCCTTTATTCAACTTAATTATCTACATAGTAAGAAGCCGGTTTCTTCCCATAAATGATTATCTTCATTACCAAACTATCTTCTTTCTCTTCTACAACTTTGATTGATTCTTTTCATGTCTGACATCTGTACCACTAAGACCTTTACATGTACCTATTTGTTAATCTGGGCTGTGCAATCTAGAGTTTGAGCCACAGAAGATTCTACAATTTGACCTCTTGCCTTATAACCTTTGCTTCTTCCTTCCTGTTTGACCAGAATGCTTTTAGTTAAAGCTCCTTGCTCAAATTAATTTCTGAGTCCAGAAAGTACTTCATACAAATTTCACATTTCTCCTTTAAATGGAAGTTTTATTTCACATTCGGTTTATCATTACCTTAGGCAGAGACCTGCAATTAATTTCCAAATCAGGTACTAAGGATGGGGTGTTAATCCCATTAGAGAAGTTTATTTCCAGTATAACCTGATGTCCAAGACAAGGCATTATTTAACTCTGTATTTGAAATCTGAAGTAGAGTTAATAATGAAACATCAAAGAATGTCTTCCCCTATTTCACAATGATATCCATTTGTAACCTAATTCTAGCTCTAGTTTACTGCATTTACTTTTTTTAAATAAGTTAGAGGTGAAGAATGCTAAAGGTTGGAAGTAGCTAACTGGTGAATGGAGAATTGTAAAGAACGCTATGTGGTTTTTCTTCAGTGTCTACTTTCCTTTTTGTCAGATTTGTATTCCAATGTTTTAATAAATGATAGGTTTATTCTAGAAAATAATGACTTTATTCTAATATTTCATTTTAATCTTATTTGGTCTTTTAAAGTCTCTTAGTTTGTTAATCTTCTCAGAAGCAAATATTTTTCTATTCAGATTGGCTTTACTTGTAAGAAAGTAAAACTATATTATGTAATTTTCAATTAGAATATACTTTATAGTTTACACAGCTCTTTGAAATGTGCACTATCACAAATAAGGACTCAAAAGTTTAGAGAATTCCAGTAAATTGCACAAGGACATTAATCCTATCTGTTTTGGGCATCATTATCTCTCTGGGCCTGCAGAGTTTTTGGCCCATAATCACCAAAGGTACTCAAGAAGTTGGAATGAATGAACAAACACTATCACAGAGTAAGTAGTGAAGCCAGAAATTAAACCCAGATCTGATCTCAAATTCTGTGTTCTTATATTAAGGCATCTTGAGGAAATTCACACTCTGCCTTTCCAAGAAGACTGACTAATCCACAACTGTTAATATGGAATATGATCATCTCTTACTATGGAAAAATATTTTTAGAATGATTTTAGAGAAATTCTGCCTGTACTTGTAGAACCAAGTTGCAGACAAACTGAAATGGTTTTAGACAATTTTGACTCAACACACATCAGTTTGCACATTTTTGTCAGGCTTTGTATACATATATCAGATACTTTAAAAGGCATCTGATTCTGTGAGGTAATACCAAAAAATCAATTACTAATTTTTATAGTTTTAATGATCTCAATATTTGAAAGTCATTCCATGAGTATCTGTCTCAACTAACTATTGACTATGACTGTAGACACACAGGGAGCTCCATGTAGCTTCGGGGATCTGGCTATGAATTTCATTTTCAAGGGCTCTTTTTTGAGAAAACAGATTGTTTCAATTTTATTTTGAATACAATTAGATAAAATTAGCATCATGCACTTAAAATTATAAAATTGTTTTCAAATTCTGTACATGGACATATATACATATGGATACAAATGTCAATACATAATTTGAAAAACAATTTTATATCCATATTTCGTTCTAGAAAAAAAACGAAAATGTTAGTATGTATCTATATGTTGAGACTAAATTTATGGTTCCCTAAAATTACAAACATGCCTAAGCCTATGAAGAGAATATTATTCAAAAAAGCCAATTTTGCATGTCAAGTCCATAATAAGGTTAAAAACTAAATTTTCATTTAATTAATTTCTAATAAACTTGCAAAATTACAATGATGTTTCCCAAGGGAATGTTTATTTTTCACAAATAAGGTATTGCATATACTTGCTATGTTATTGGTCTGAAGTGGAATTCCTCAAGGCTTGCTCCTCATTTTTCTTTAGTCTTTCTGAAATGTAACCTGCCTAGTGAGGCTGTTACTGATCACCTGGTTATAGTCCATATTCCTTTGTTCTGCTTTATTTGCTCCATGGCACTATTCCATAAATATTTTCCTTTGACAAAGGTAGTTATCTTCATTACCAAACTATCTTTTTTTCTCTTTTTGCTGTCTCTCAACTTCTCCCCTCTTAATTCATAAATATATATATCATGTCAGTTAGATGTCACTAACTGATATAATACATATTTTACTTATTTATTTTTAATTGCTTGTGCCAACACCACCCACCCCCACAGCTTTAGGATGCAAGTTACATGAGGATGGGACAGTTTTTATTATTTTTTTCTCCCATTGCTTTGTCTCCAGGGTCTATAAAACTGTGTGGTGCAGAAAAGACAATCTATAATTATTTGTTGAATGAATTAATTACATCAGAGATGCTATTCAATAGGCCTTGGAAAACTCTTCTGTTATTGTGATATTAGCTCAATTACAGAAAGAAGAGGCTGTGAAATCATTAGCAAAGGTAAGTAGTTCAAATATAAATTTAATTAGAAAATCTATTATGCTATCTGAAATTGCATTTAGTGTTGTGGGAAGTCAGCAACCCCAAACGGAGGGACTGGCTGAAGCCATGGCAGAAGAACGTGGATTGTGAAGATTTCATGGACATTTATTAGTTCCCCAAATTAATACTTTTATAATTTCTTATGCCTGTCTTTACTGCAATCTCTAAACATAAATTGTGAAGATTTCATGGACACTTATCACTTCCACAATCAATACCCTTGTGATTTCCTATGCCTGTCTTTACTTTAATCTCTTAATCCTGTCATCTCGTAAGCCGAGGAGGATGTATGTCGCCTCAGGACCCTGTGATAATTGCATTAACTGCACAAATCATAGAGCATGTGTGTTTGAACAATATGAAATCTGGGCACCTTGAAAAAATAACAGGATAACAGCAATGTTTAGGGAATAAGAGAGATAACCTTAAACTCTGACCGCCGGTGAGCCAGGGGGAACAGAGCCATATTTCTCTTCTTTCAAAAGCAAATGGGAGAAATATCGCTGAATTTTTTTTTTCAGCAAGGAACATCCCTGGGAAAGAGAATACGCCCCTGAGGGTGGGTCTCTGAAATGGCCCCCATGGGTGTGGCTGTTTTCTATGGTTGAAACTGTAGGGATGAAATAAACCCCAGTCTCCCATAGCACTCCCAGGCTTATTAGGAAGCGGAAATTCCTGCCTAATAAATTGTGGTCAGACCAGTTGCTCTCAAACCCTGTCTCCTGATAAGATGTTATCAATGACAATGGTGCCCGAAACTTCATTAGCAATTTTAATTTCACCCCAGTCCTGTCGTCCTGTGATCTCGCCCTGCCTCCATTTGCCTTGTGATATTCTATTACCTTGTGAAGTACGTGATCTCTGTGACCCACACCTATTCACACTCTCCCTCCCCTTTTGAAAGTCCCTAATAAAAACTTGCTGGTTTTGTGGTTTGTGGGGCATCACATAGCCTACCGACATGTGATGTCTCCCCCGGACACCCAGCTTTAAAATTTCTGTCTTTTGTACTCTGTCCCTTTATTTCTCAAACCGGTCAATGCTTAGGGAATATAGAAAAAGAACCTACGTGACTATCGGGGCAGGTTCTCAGATAATTTAGTCCCATCTTTGAAGAGCAGGTAGCCAATCATATTAAATAATATTAAATTTAGCTTCTGTAAAAGAGGAATCATATGGTAAGGGTAAAGAGTACAACTGTGATACTAAAAGAATCACTTTTGATTAAAGAGGATGTATGCTTCTGAGATTCTAGGAAGATACATCTGTCATTGCTAAATTATTTAACTCACTGTTGTATACTTTACATTTTTTGATACAGAAAAGCAAATGCAATATCTCACTCACACTAGTTCAATTGTTACAAATTAATTTCAATCTATTCTTATTGCTGCAGACACCTCAAATACATGGCCTCATGCCATTCCTTTATTTGTTGTCATTTATCAAAGTAACTGGACTGATTTCCATATCTTTACACCTGGCCTAAATTGCCTGTCCCTTCAAGATTCTGTAAATGGTGCTAGACTCCTCATTTTCAACTATTAATAATCTGAATGTGTAAGTACAGTATGTATGATTTTCAAAGTTCTATTAAGGTATTGCACATTTCTACAAAAACATTTTAGAATTCAATGGCAAATATTGCTGTCTCTCAATTTCTCTCTTTCTATATAGGTTTATCTGTTAGATAAAAACTCTCTCTCTCTCTGTCTCTCTCTCTCTCTCTCTCTATCCATCTATCTATCTTGCAAAGCATAAAGGCAAAAGTAAATAATAATTCATATAATTATCTAAGTGAGCCCAGGGAAAATATTAATTCCTAACAATCATGTGAATACTCTTTGTCTTATAGCCTCACCATTTTATTTTTATATTAGAATCAAAGCATCTATTTGATTTGCAAAATGGTAAAAAGCTTATTCTTAATCCATCTTAATTATCTTTTCTTCCCTCTAGATAACTTCAGCAGCTCAGATTCAGTTAATGGATGGAGTAATAAATCAGTGGTTACTGAATTCAATTTGTTGGGGCTGTCTAGCTCTTGGGAACTCCAAGTCTTCTTTTTCTTTATCTTCTCTGTGTTTTATGGAGCTGCAGTGTTGGGAAACATCCTTATCATCATCACAGTAATTATAGACTCTCATTTGCATTCCCCAATGTACTTTCTTCTTAGCAATCTCTCTTCCATCGATGTGTGTCAGGCTACATTTGCCACTCCCAAGATGATTGCAGACTTCCTCAACGAACACAAGACCACCACTTTCCAGGGATGCATGTCACAAATCTTTTTCTTGCATGTTTTTGGGGGTAGTGAGATGGTGCTTCTTGTTGCCATGGCCTATGATAGATACATTGCTATATGCAAACCTCTGCACTACATGACCATCATGAACCGGAGGGTGTGAACTGTTCTGGTGGGGGTTTCCTGGGCCATTGGCATCTCACACTCAGCCACCCACCTGGCATTCAAAGTCAATCTGCCTTTCTGTGGACCCAACAGGGTAGACAATTTTTTCTGTGACCTCCTCCTAGTGATCAAGCTTGCCTGCTTAGACACCTATGGTTTTGAGATACTGGTGCTCACTAACAGTGGTCTGCTCTCACTTATGTGTTTCCTCCTTTTGCTCATTTCTGACACTATCATCCTTGCTACTGTGCATCGCCAAGCCTCTGATGGGATGTCCAAGGCCCTTTCCACTCTGTCTGCCCACATTACTGTTGTGCTTCTCTTCTTTGGCCCATTAATATTCATCTATATTTGGCCCTTTGAAAGCTTCCCAATTGATAAATTTATCTCTGTGTTTTTTTACTGTCTTCACTCCTCTCCTTAACCCCATGATTTATACTCTGAGGAATAAAGATATAAAGGAAGCCATGAGGAAGCTAAGGAGATGACATGTGGGTTCCAAGCAGGGTTTTTAGACAACTACAAAGAAGTAATACAAATTCCTACTTTTGGGCTTTGAAATTAACATATGTGATTATTATTATTGTGTTTGTATCACAAATAGTTTTTTTACTAGACTAAATTAGAGGGCCTGAATATGGTGATCTGGAGTTGGCAAACACAGTGCAGAATCTTATGATGCCAGTTCCTATATTCTGTGTCTCACATCATCCTCCCTAAAGCTGCATCTACAAGTATTAAAACCCATAAGCAGTTTTTCCTCTTAAACAGGCACCATAAAAAATTATCTCTGAGAGGTAGAGGTAAGAGGATCACTCAAGCCCAGGAGGTCGAGGCTGCAGTGAGCCGAGATTGTGCCACTGTACTCCAGCCTGGGCAACACAGTGAGACCCTGTCAAAAAAAAATCTCTTGCAACATTTAAAAATCAGCTCTATATTAAAGAAGATTAGCTAGTTCATGTGATTCACTCTGGGTAACATAGAGAATAATTTAGCATTATTTGAGTTAAAACAGAATTTGCTTTGAAATAAAAGGCGATATGAAGATTCTAAAAAGTGCTGCTTTACCTCATCAGTTACAGTTCATAATTATTCTGGCTAATACCTTATTGTTATAAAGGTAAAATTTTATATTCACAAATAAGGCATTAATGCTTATCAAACATGTCTTTTGTCATACTTATTATTTGTGCTAGAATTTAAATATATAAAATGCTACAGTATCAATTACAGGACTATAAATATAACCAAGTTCATAGTTAAAATTACAAGACTACTCTTACACTCTCTGGAAGAAAGAGCAATTACAAACCTCATTATATCACTAATAATAACCTGTCATCAATTGACAATGACTGCAAGGTATCTGAATAGCCAGTGATTTTCTTTAGTTAATTTCATTTGGGAGTGTAATTTTCAAAGTAGTTGCAGAAAATATATATATTGCTAATTAGAAAATATATCACATGCTTCTCTTCTTCTCAAACTTTAATTGAAACTTCAGAAATTGCTCATCAAACGTTGGAAAGAATAAGAGAAAGAGGGTCATCGCATGATTGATTCAGTCTTTTATCAGCCACAGAATCTGGCACTGTCATCACTGCACCATATAATTCGAGCTTGAAGAGTTTATTCTGTTTATGATAGCTTTCAATTCAAACTTGTAATTTTTGAACTAAAGATGTGATTATGTGTTTTATTTTTATTACTTAAAATAGATTGTGAGTCCCTAAGGCAAATATTGTCCTATATTTTACCATAGTTGTTAATGTATCAAAAGTTTAACATGCAAGCACATGCAGCAAGTGTCATAAAAAGGATATGCTACCCAGAGCAATTGATATTCAGGTGATTTCTACACTTGGCTTTTTACAAATGTGGCATTTGGAGTGATGAGGTTGGAAGCCAGTGAAAAACTAGATTGTCCATCTCTAAGTCTTAGCTTATGTGGGTCATTGCACTCTGTAACAATCTGATCTTGTTTTTGCATTTAGTTTTCCACATGTGGAATTACTTCATTGGGTGCTACTTTACTAAACTGACATCGATTAAAGGTCTCTGTCAATAGAATTATAATGGGCAGTACCAGCTATCTAAGTAAAGAGGCAAAAGTCATAGGCCCTTGTTCCATAAAAGCTTTTAAGCTTATCAGGACAGCAATAAAATGTTTATTAACAGATAATAAAAGCAAGTAGAACATATAATAAAACACACACTGAATTTTTAGGTTAGTGCAAAAGTAATTGCAGTTTTCACAACTAAAAGTAGTTGCAAAAACCTCAATTTGTTTGCACCAACCTAATAATCCCAGTGTGTTAATGCTCAGTTTTGTCCAAAGCAACTCAATGCATGTGAGCAATTTTTAAAATTTAACTTATATCAGAATATGTGTACACATAAAAGAGATGAAGAAAGACCTTTGGCCTTGTAGAAGTGATTGTATATTAAAGAGCAGAAAATCACAGAAATGTATAATGAAAAAGGACTTGATCTTTATAAGGGTTGCAGAATTACATGGCCAGGAGAAGACATTTACTGGCAAACCACCAGAAAATCAGATAAGTGACATTAACTTAATGAATTGTGCCAGTTTAAGTTTTGACCCCATACTTACAGTCATACTAGAAACCCCAAATTGTTAATTGCAAGAAATTTGAAGAAGAAATTTGTCAAATTACATTAAAAAATGTTTGTGAAATTAATTAACCAAAGCATCATGATTAGAACAGAAGTCAGATTACTTGGGAGTGGTTTGATAAATCTGTGTTAAATTGAAAAGTTTTGGTTATTTGATTGGCATGTGTGAGATTACCAGACTCTGAAAGCTTGTTAGAAAAATATCTACCTTGGCCGGGCGCGGTGGCTCACGCCTGTAATCCCAGCACTTTGGGAGGCCGAGGCGGGTGGATCATGAAGTCAGGAGATCGAGACCATCCTGGCTAACAAGGTGAAACCCTGTCTCTACTAAAAATACAAAAAATTAGCCGGGTGCGGTGGCGGGCGCCTGTAGTCCCAGCTACTCGGGAGGCTGAGGCAGGAGAATGGCGTGAACCCGGGAAGCGGAGCTTGCAGTGAGCCGAGATTGCGCCACTGCAGTCCGCAGTCCGGCCTGGGCGACAGAGCGAGACTCCGTCTCAAAAAAAAAAAAAAAAAAAAAAAAAAGAAAAATATCTACCTTAACAATGTTGAGATAGTCACTGTTATCCATTATCTTAATTACTCCCACTGTTATTTATCCATGTAATTGGGGCTGAATATAGTCTTTCTTTAAGTGTGTTAATATCTCTTAACAGGTTAAAATCAAGACACATAGCCAAGACTCATACCAAGAGAACATTCGCATATGTTCTCTTACTCATTATATGTTTTTAGAATTTAACCTTCTCTCTCAGACTTATTTTATTACTTATAAAGTTTTGTGAGTCAAATGTTATGAGTAGAATATTTTTTAAAGATATACAAATAGAAAACAAAAGTAGCCAAAAATTTATCTAATAGATATAAAAATGGACCCCTATTAGATTAATAAAGAGTAAAACAAAAGGATATTACTGAATAAGATGGAAACTTTGAAAACATGGAAGCTCTATTTGGTCAAAAATTACTGAACAACTTTTAGAAAGCAATTTGCTGTATTTATCAAATTATGTCCATATTCATGAGCTGATAATTGTATTTCTAGGAGTCTATCTTGAATAATTTCTTCCCTAATTCTGTAATATAAAATTAAATGCATATATATATATGTATATTGGACATGATGAACTGTAGAAAATATAACCTCATGAAGAAATGGGTAAAGCAAGTCATAAGGAGAAAAGAAACTGTTGATTTTCTCAGTGCAAGAGTGTCATCTGAACACCTACTATCTACCCACAAAAATTGAAAATTAAAATTAAGAAATTAATAAAATGTCATCTGAAACAGACCGACATTGTTTCCTCTTTCTGAGAAAATGCTGCTCCACTCACATTAATGAGCTAGAATAATTCTGACTTCAAAATTTGAAAAGGGTCATATAAGAAGGAAAAATTATAGGCCAATCTCACTCAAAAACAAAAATACAAAATTCCTTTAAAAACAGAGCAATACAAATTCAGGAAAATGGAATAATAAAATAGTATCCATTTGAGATTACAAGCAATGCAATGTTTATGATGAACTGAATGAATGAACATTTGATTATAATTTAATACAATTCACTGTATTAACAGAATAAAAGAAAAACTGTATATATAATATATACATATATATATACAGTTACTTCAATAGGGGCAAAAATGTTTAAAAATAATAATTATTGTTGTAAAGAAAACTTTCATAAATGAGAATATAAAAAGTATATATGGCTGAAAAGTTTAATATCAGCCATGAGCACACAATGCTATCTAGGAATGACACTGTTATCTACTCCACTAATTTGAAATATCAACTCAGAAGGCAAAAATAATTTTAACATAAAAGCCAAAAATGTAAACATAAAGTAGAAGGAGGTGAGGTTCACAGCACATGAAGTGAGGAGGTGAGGTTCACAGCACATCTAATTCAAAAGGGCTTTAGAGGCCAACTAGTTGAGTGGTTATCAGATTTATCTGATCATCAAAATCCCTGGAAATTTTTTTTCTTTTCAACTTTTATTTTAGATACAGGGGATACATGTGTAGATTTGTTACAGGGGAATCTTGTGTGATGTTCACACATGTGATGAGATCCATACTCCAAACCTCACATACTGAGTATGGATCTCACAGGTAGTGAGCATAGTACCTGATAGGTGGTTTTTAAACCAAGCTTCCTTTTCACCCTCTAGTAGTCCACAGTGTCTACTGTTACCATATTTATATTTATATGAGCTCAATGTTTAACTCCTAGTTATAAGTAAGAACATGCAGTACTTGGTTTTCTGTTCCTGAGTTAATTTGCTTAGGATTATGGCCTTCAGCTCTATCCATGTTGCTGCAAACAACATGATTTTATTCTTTTTTATAGCTGCGAGGTATTCCATGGTGTATATTTACCATTTTTAAAAATCCAATCTATTATACCACTGATGGACACCTGGGTTGATTCCATGTCTTTGCTATTGTGAATAGGGCAGTGATGAACGTACAAGTCCATGTGTGTTTTTGTAGAATGATTTATTTTCTACTGAATATATATCCAGTAAAAGTGGTAAAAGAAAAAACACCCTACAAAATAGAGTGTTACGCCACCAAAAATGATAAAGTAAGGAGCTAAACTAAAATCTCTCTTCCATAAAGAAATGAAAAATTGACAAAAATGTACAGAGCCACTGTTTCCATGTCCTGGAGATTAAAGAAAGGCTTACAGCAACCCAGGGAACATTTATTAAAGAAAAGTAGTTTGGTTGTTAACAGTAAATACTAAAAAGAGCCCGTTAGGTTGAAGTAAAAGTCCTGGACAGGAACTTGAATACATATGAAGAAATAAAGAGGACTAATAAAGGTAAAGGCATATATAAATGTAAAATACATAAATATGGCCATTTTCACGATATTAATTCTTCCTACCCATGAGCATGGAATGTTCTTCCATTTGTTTGTATCCTCTTTTATTTCATTGAGCAGTGGTTTGTAGTTCTCCTTGAAGAGGTCCTTCACGTCCCTTGTAAGCTGGATTCCTAAGTAGTTGATTCTCTTTGAAGCAATTGTGAATGGGAGTTCACTCATGATTTGGCTCTCTGTCTGTCTGTTGTTGGTGTATTAGATTCAATGCCATCCCCATCAAGCTACCAATGACTTTCTTCACAGAATTGGAAAAAACTACTTTAAAGTTCATATGGAACCAAAAAAGAGCCCGCATCACCAAGTCAATCCTAAGCCAAAAGAACAAAGCTGGAGGCATCACACTACCTGACTTCAAACTATACTACAAGGCTACAGTAACCAAAACAGCATGGTACTGGTACCAAAACAGAGATAGAGATCAATGGAACAGAACAGAGCCCTCAGAAACAATGCCGCATATCTACAACTATCTGATCTTTGACAAACCTGATAAAAACAAGAAATGGGGAAAGGATTCCCTATTTAATAAATGCTGCTGGGAAGACTGGCTAGCCATACGTAGAAAGCTGAAACTGGATCCCTTCCTTACACCTTATACAAAAATTAATTCAAGATGGATTAAAGACTTAAATATTAGACCTAAAACCATAAAAACCCTAGAAGAAAACCTAGGCATTACCATTCAGGACATAGGCACGGGCAAGGACTTCATGTCTAAAACACCAAAAGCAATGGCAACAAAAGCCAAAATTGACAAATGGGATCTAATTAAATTCAAGAACTTCTGCACAGCAAAAGAAACTACCATCAGAGAGAACAGGCAACCTACAAAATGGGAGAAAATTTTCACAACCTACTCATCTGACAAAGGGCTAATATCCAGAATCTACGATGAACTCAAACAAATTTACAAGAAAAAAACAAACAACCCCATCAAAAAGTGGGCAAAGGATATGAACAGACATTTCTCAAAAGAAGACATTTATGCAGCCAAAAGACACATGAAAAAATGCTCACCATCACTGGCCATCAGAGAAATGCAAATCAAAACCACAATGAGATACCATCTCACACCAGTTAGAATGGCAATCATTAAAAAGTCAGGAAACAACAGGTGCTGGAGAGGATGTGGAGAAACAGGAACACTTTTACACTGTTGGTGGGACTGTAAACTAGTTCAACCATTGTGGAAGTCAGTGTGGTGATTCCTCAGGGATCTAGAACTAGAAATACCATTTGACCCAGCCATCCCATTACTGGGTATATACCCAAAGGACTATAAATCATGCTGCTATAAAGACACATGCACACGTATGTTTATTGCGGCACTATTCACAATAACAAAGACTTGGAACCAACCCAAATGTCCAACAATGATAGACTGGATTAAGAAAATGTGGCACATACACACCATGGAATACTCTGCAGCCATAAAAAATGATGAGTTCATGTCCTTTGTAGGGACATGGATGAAATTGGAAATCATCATTCTCAGTAAACTATCGCAAGGACAAAAAACCAAACACCACATGTTCTCACTCATAGGTGGGAATTGAAAAATGAGAACACATGGACACAGGAAGGGGAACATCACACTCTGGGGACTGTTGTGGGGTGGGGGTAGGGGGAGGGATAGCATTAGGAGATATACCTAATGCTAAATGATGAGTCAATGGGTGTGGCACACCAGCATGGCACATGTATACATATGTAACTAACCTGCACATTGTGCACATGTACCCTAAATCTTAAATTATAATAATAATAATAAAATAAAAATAAAAAGTCTTATAAAAAAATACATAAATATATATATTTTATTTGTAATACTTTTTTCTCTTACCTGATTTAGAAGATAACTTCAGAAAGAAACACCTACAAATCCACTTGTTGTTCAGCACAACATGTATAAAGATGTAATTTGTGTGATAATAACAGCCTGGAGAAAGGGGAAAAACAGAGCTATATGGAAGCAAAGTTTTAAAAATATTATTGAAATTAAATAGATATTAATCCAAACTTGATTGTTGTAAGTTAAGGTGATAATTGTAAGCCCCAGGGAAACCACTAATATGAGATAATTAAAACGGTATACCAGCAAACATATGTTTAACATGAAAGGAGACTATAATAAGAAATAGAGAAACATAAAAGATACAAGACATATAGAAACAAATAACAGAGTAGCAGATGCCCTACCTTATTATTAATGACTAAATGTAAATAGATTAAATACTTCAATTAAAAGGCAGATATAAGCAGAATGGATTGAAAGCTTGACTTATCTATATGATGCCTATAAAAAACTCACTTTTGATTCAAACATACAAATTGGTTGTCAGACGATTCATGAAAAAAATATATAGTATCCCAACAGCCATAAGCAAAAGAGTTGGAGTGTATATATCAACATCAGATAAAATGGACTTCATAACAAAACATCTTTATATATATATTTTTTATTATACTTTAAGTTTTAGGGTACATGTGCACAACGTACAGGTTAGTTACATATGTATACATGTGCCATGTTGGTGTGCTGCACCCATTAACTTGTCATTTAACATTAGGTATATCTCCTAATGCTATCCCTCCCCGCTTCCCCCACCCCACAACAGGCCCCGGTGTGTGATGTTCCCCACCCTGTGTCCAAGCGTTCTCATTGTTCAATTCCCACCTATGAGTGAGAACATGTGGTGTTTGGTTTTTTGTCCTTGCGATAGTTTAATAGAGAGAGAAGGACATTGTGTAATGATACAAGCATAAACCTATCAAGAAGATTAAACAATTTTGTACACATATGTTTATGTGTTTATTTATTTCATCAAATGGCAACAGAGTCCTAAAATACATAAAGAAAAACTTACGTAACTCAAGGGAGAAATAGAGAGTTTGACAGTAATAGACAAAAATTTTAATACTTTTTTTTTATTATACTTTAAGTTTTAGGGTACATGTGCACAATGTGCAGGTTAGTTACATATGTATACATGTGAAATTCTGGTGCGCTGCACCCACTAACTCGTCATCTAGCATTAGGTATATCTCCCAATGCTATCCCTCCCCCCTCCCCCCACCCCACAACAGTCCCCAGAGTGTGATGTTCCCCTTCCTGTGTCCATGTGTTCTCATTGTTCAATTCCCACCTATGAGTGAGAATATGCGGTGTTTGGTTTTTTCTTCTTGCGATAGTTTACTGAGAATGATGATTTCCAATTTCATCCATGTCCCTACAAAGGACATCAACTCACCAAAAAAATGTTAATACTTTTAAGTAGAGCACTAAGATAGAAGATCAGCAAGGAAATAAAAGACTTGAAAAACTCTGTAAGTCGCCTAGACTTAATGTATTTATAAAACACTCCACCAAACAACAATAGAATACATAGTTTCCTCAAGTGCACATAGAACATTCTCTAGGATAAACGATATATTAGGCCCTAAACCAAGTCTCACTAAATTTAAAAGGATTAAAATCATGCAAACTATGTTTTCTGATTACAATGGAATGAAATTAGAGATCAGTAACACAATAAAACTTGAAAAATAAACAAATAGTGGAAGTTCAACAACATATTCCTAATATCCATAGGACCAAAGAAAGAATTACAAGGGAAATTATAAAATGCTTTAAGATGAAAATGAAAATACAGCATACCAAAACATACCTAAATCTTTGTGACTTCGGATTAGGCAATAATTTCTCTGATTTGACACCTAAAACACAAGTAACCAAAGAAAAATAGATATTTAATTTTATCAAAATTAAAAACTGTTGAGGTTTAAGTGACACAATCTAGAAAGTTCAAAGAAAACTCACCAAATGAAAAAAATTGTGAACTTATGTCTGACATGGGTCTTGTATCCAGAATATGTAAAGAACTCTCAAAAATAACAACTAAAAAGACAAATAACCCACTTAAAAATGGGCAATGGATTTGAATAGACTTTTCTCCAAACAAGACATGCACATAACCGTAACCACATAATATTGCTCAACACCATTAGTCGTTAATAAAATGGAAATTTAAACTACAATGATATACCAATTCACAACCATTAGGATAGCTGAAAGTAATTTAAAAAATGGAAGATAACAAATGCTGTCAAAATTGTCAAGAAATTAAATTGCTTATCTATTGCTTGTAAGAATGTAAATTGGTGTAGCCACTCTGGAAATCTGTTTGGTAGTTCCCCAAAAAGTGAAACATATGCCCCAGAAATTCCAATTCTAGTCAGCGTTCATAGGTTTTTATTTCATTTCAGAGATATAAGATGTTTATCCAAAAACTTGTACACAAGTGTTCACAGCAGCAGTACTATTGACAATCAAAACTGGAAACAACCCAAATTCCCATCAACTGATGAATGAATAAACAAAATTTCTATATCCTTACAATGGAATATTACATAGCTATAAGAGGGAATACAGTATTGATACATGTCATAACATGGATGAAACTTAAAAACAATATGCCAAGTTAAGGAAGCCAGACACATTATTATTATGTCATATCACTTATTAGAAATGTCCCGAATAGACAATTCCAAAGAGTCAGAAAATAGTTTAATGGTATCCAAGGGCTGCATTTAGGGAGAATGGGAAGTAAATGCTAATGGTTATGGGGTTTCTTTTGGGGTTGTGGAAAATGTTTCAGAGATAGACAGTGGTGATAGCTGCATAACCTTGTTAACATGATAAAATTTACTGAATTGTACACTTTAAAAGGATAAATTTCAGGTAAATGAATTATAAATCATTTTAAAAGAGAAGTAAACAGTATTCATGAATTTTTTATTTAAAAAAACAGTATGAACTTCCACTTCCAGCCATGAGGTACTACTGGATTTAATTTCGCTTCATAATCAATAGGAAAACTGGATAAAATATATCACTACATTGTGTTTAAGCATTAGTCTACATGCAACACAAGACTAAGATCCTTGAGAGAATAAAACATAAGATTAATATTATGATCAACACATTTTCCTCCATGGAGGTACTTTCCACATCTCAGGGCAGCAAAGGTAATTCAAAGCAGAGCACAGTTGACTTCATGAGTTAGAATCCAGAAAACGGAGTTCAGAGAGTTGGCACTTAGAATCCAGAAAATGGAGTTCAGAGAGTTGGCGATGGCCAAAATCTACATCCAGGACAACAACAACAACAACAGAAAAATTACATAGAAAAAAACTCTCCAGAAGTTTCTATGGGGCCCACTTGAGTTGTTACTGAATAGTAAGCTGAGTACACAAAGGCTAAAGCGCGGTGGCTCATGCCTATAATCCTAGCACTTTGGGAGGCCGAGGCGGGTGGATCACCTGAGATCGGGAGTTTGAGACCAGCCTGACCAACATAAAGAAACCCCGTCTCTACTAAAAATACAAAATTAGCCAGGCTTGGTGGCAGTTGCCTGTAATCCCAGCTACGTGGGAGGCTGAAGCAGGAGAATGGGTTGAACCTGGGAGGCGAAGATTGCAGTGAGCCGAGATCACGCCATTGCACTCCAGCCTGGGCAACAAGAGTGAAAACTCCATCTCAATAAATAAATAAAATGAAATAAACCCAAGAACTTAGTCGATCCTGGGCAATGCCTTAAATATCAGATAATTCCTTAATACTAAGGCTAAAGTAGCTTAGAGAAGCCTACTCTAAACCCATCCTAAAATATTTAAAAATAAAATGACATAATTAGCCTAGCCCACAAGTAACTTTGCGACTGAACGAAGACTACTACTTTTGAATAGGAAAAGAAAGAATCCAGCACTCAGAAATATTTTTAGTGTCCATTAATAAATGTAATAAAGCATAAAAATATACATCATAATGAGTAGAATTGGAAACTGATTCAAATAAGCTCAGAAATTACCAAGATGTGGAAATTAGAATAAAATAACTTTAAGAGAGCTGTCATAAGTATGCTCAAGTATATAAATAAAAAATATAAACAGAATGAAGAGAGGAATGGAATATATTAACAACATCAAGATTTCATGAGGTGAAAAATGTTAGACACCACAAAGGAAATTATCAGTAAACTAGAAGACACAGCAATAGAAAATCTCTAAACCAAAGTACAGAGACAAAAATGTGAAAGGAAAAACTGAACAGTGTCACAGCAATATGCAAGAGAATGCCAACTGGCCTAACACGTATGTAACTGGAGTTCCAGAGGAAAGGATAAAATGGGGAACAAAATGTTCTGAATTTGATTGAAAGTTATAATAAAAAAAGTCAAGAAGTTCTACCAACCTCAAGCGAGATAAATCAAAAGAAAATCACAAGAAGACATATCACAATTCATATGGGAAACTTGTCATACAGAAAATATCTTACGGTAGCCATGGATAAAAGAACAACCATATACTGAAAAACCAGGATTTGGATAACTGAGTACTTATTATAAAACAGGATTAGAATTGTTAAAAAAAAAACAGAATGAAAACAACAGAGTCCACACAATCATTTAAGTATGAAAAATATCCTTCAAAATGAAAGTGAAATGAAGACTTTGTAAGTCAAACAAAAGCAAGACATATCATGGTTGATATAATTCTACTACAAAAATGGAAAGTAAAGGAAGTCCCAAATTAAAAAAAAGTAGCAAGGTAGTAGACATAAACCCAACATATCATTTACATTATATGTAAATAGTATAAGAAGTCTACTAAAAGGCAGACATTGCTAGAATGAACAATACAAGCAACAGCCAACTATTTGCTGCCTACCTTGAATCCACTTTAAATATAAAGACACAGACTACTTAAACATAAAAAGATGAACAAAGATATACAATACAATGCAAATAGTAATTATAAAGGAGCTAAAGCAGTCATATCAATATCTGACTCTGTAGATTTCAGAAGAAAAAATATAATCAAAAGTAAAGAGAAGCATGTCATATGATAACGGGCTTAATCAATCATGAATACATACCAATCCTAATCTTTTTGCACCTAATCTCAGAGTTTAAAATAGATAAAATCAAATATTTCTTCTTATCAAATCATATCTTCCACCTGACTTGAAAAATAACATAAACATAAAAACCTACAAAAAATGTTTATAGCAGTTTTATTCATAATCACCAAAAACAGAGAAAAAGCAACCAAGAGGTCCTTCAATATACAAATGGATACACAAACTGTGGTAGAAATACAATGGGATACTATTCCACATAAAAAAGAATGAGCTATTAATCCATGCAACAAGAAGAATGAATCTTGAATGTATATTGCTAAATGAAAGAAGACAGTTGAAAAGGCTACGTATTGTACAATTTCATTTGTCTCATGTTCCGGAAAAGGCACATCTGTAGGCATGGAAAACAGATGAATGGTTTCCAGGTGTTTGAGGAGGGGAAGTGGTTATCTGTAAAGGGGTGCACAGGGGAGTTTTGATCATGACACATCTAGACTGTATGGTACTAGAGTCTTGAGTTTTGTGTTATGAACCTAGAGTCCCACTAATGCTCAAATTCTTTATTTGAACTCAGAAGTATAAATGTTTGCAAAATTATTTGGAGTCTCTTTACTAGAATCTATAGATACAGCATTTCTATTGTATTAATAAAGCAGCTTTCACTTTTTTACTCTAGAATCCTTGCCCTAGAAACCAAGCACATGGCTTTTGTGAAGCTGTCAAAATGCCAAGGTGTTTGCCATGTAATATGCACAGTCACATGATGACTCCCCATCAATTTTTGACACTCCCAATAGTGCTTTTCTAAAGCTCTTCGGAAGCACAAAGAAGTAGCTAACAAAATTACTCATTGCTTTTTAAAAAAAGTGTTACATCTCTTACAGAACAAAGCATTTCCATTAGGCCTGCTGCTTCTTCCATTTGTGAGATCCTCAAGGTGATGCACTATAATTCTTGTGGGCAAACAAATTGTCTCACGTAATTATCCGTGATTAAGGTGATTTCTGCTATCACAATTCTCCTCTGGGTCTCTTGGTCACTACAGTCCAGTGATGTCAAATTCCTAATTAGCTTGTAATAATCGTGATGGCTTTTCTTGTATCAGTGTGCTGAGTATACTGATACTTCAGAGTGTAAAGGGTGAAGACTGAAGTCTGGAAAGACATGGATTCTCTATCTTTGTCCCTCATCCAATGGCTCCCGGTGAATTTTGTTTTCCTGGGTAGGTGCTGATATTTTAAGGCCAAGGACAGAGATTGAGTCAGAACACAGAACAGAGACCAGAGACAGTCAATTATCCTCCATATTGTTTTAAATTAATCTTTGAATATTCTGTGCCCATTTTACCTATTTACTGTTGTCCCAATACCTAACTCTGAAGAGCAATTGCTGCATTACTTTACTAAAACCAGGAGTTTTACCCTTTTGATTGGATATACTTTAATTTCAATATAATATTGTATAATTATTCTTATCTTTGAATTGACTTACTCATTTTGGATCATGTTTTTCAAAAACCGGAGACTGCATTTGGGAGAGGGAATTCTACTCTTTTTTGAGGAAACACAGAGCACCTGGGAGGGTATGTAATTTGCTTACAATTATAAAGTTATTTAGTGAAAGATAGAATTGGAAAATATATTTTCTATATCCTAGGCTAATATGTGTATTTAATTTTTAAAAATTACATATTCTTTTATCTCAATAACTTTTAGGATACAAGAGGTTTTTGGTTACATTGATAAATTATATAGTAGTGAAGTATAACATTTTTAATGTACCTATCACCCACAAACACAAGTAGTGTACATTGTACTCAATATGGCTAATACATTTTTGATAGTCCATAATGTCTTTGGACAGCTTCTATTGATTTGAACTTCAGGTTTTTAAAGCTTATAGTTTAGAATGGTCCTTGTTAATCTATGACTAGAAAGTAATAATATAAACCACTAATGAAATTCAACATTTCTTGCTGGATATATATTCTATTTGTGAACAAAAGCATATCCCATGTATAATTCCTTAAAATATACTTTAAAATATTACTACTATTATGGTAAATTCATTATATCACTACTGCACAAGATGTTTGATTTAGTTACATAATGATTATATGTATATATATATTACATCTGTGAGAAGCAAGTAAAAAGTCACCTACACTTTGAATCAAGGGAAAGTCAGATGAAAGGAAGAAAACCCAAAATTTTCCCTGATGAAATTTTTGATAAAATGATGCAATATTCCTACTACTTCAGAGTCTTTACAGATCCCAAATCATATAAAAATCACTATTATTGATGGTACTTCCTAAAACATTCTCCAGTTTTATAGATCCAGTGAGGCTGAATCCTTTGCAAAATTGTGAAGCAGAAGGTTTTGTTTTCAGCATTTCTTCTTTTCAGTCTACTCTTTTTCTCCTTTCAGATTTCTGACTGCTCCAAATGCTCCTCTAGTTGCCTAAGACTTAGATTAAGATACAGCATCCAGACCTGTCTCACCTCCTTGAAGACAACTCAGCTACAGAAACCCTGAATCCACTTCTGTCTTATTTAGAAGTAAATTCTTTACGACTTATCTCCTGAGGGATTGTTCTGTTTTCTTAGGAGATGTGGAAGTAACAACAAAATTATTCCCAAGCATTAATGCCTATAGATTACAGGATAGCTCCACACTTTCCATTTCACCTTAGGTAAGTGAAAGTGTTTTTTCAGCATCCTTCTGAAGACCATGAACCAGCATTTGTCTCCAATATAGTCTATAATAGAGAGACTGCTATTCCTCTGATCCACATTTGGAGTGGGAGGGTCAGAGGAACAGCAATATCAGCAAGTTTGTGAAAGATATCTATTTGAACTGGTAGAGTTTGGTGGCCCCTGTAAACGATACCTATTTATTTCACTTCATCTATAGTCATAATATCTGAGATAGAAATATTGAGGCAAGATTCATTTGACAGAATTTAAAATAGGAGGGAACTGAGGTTTGCCAAGCACAGCCCTGTATACATGCATTAATCCATCTTCAAATTTTCAAGAATTTTTTTTTAAAAAAAGGTCTTTACATAAACACATCTACTTATTGGAAACTCATTATTGTGTGAGTCAGACCACATAATGTAAAATTATGAGAAAATATTTACTTCTTCTGATCTAAAATAATACATTACTAAGAATGCATACATATACTTAGTCACTACAGTTGGTTAAAGAATTTTCATTTACATAATCTTTTAATAAATATTTTTAGTGTCTCTTTAAGGTTAATAGTCTCAAGATTTAATATTTGATGATAATAGTCCCTGAATGGCTAAAGGAACTGCTCAGTGTCACACAGTTACCCAATGATACAACATAGAACATTTTAAAATAATAGCTTTGTTTTCACTACAGTACAGTGATTTTATTGGGAACAAAAAGACAGTCCGTTTTATCTAATAGGGAATGTACTGGGGGTAAAGGGAAGTGAATTCATCAGCTTGTCTAAATAACAAAGGGTTATTAATATTAGCAAATGATTTTTAGGGAGATAAGTTATAAACCTAACTGCCTCATCACCAGTGCATAGCACAGTGTCTGGGGAAAAGCAGGTATTTAAATTTATATAAAGTAAATGAACTAAACATGAATGGATTTAGGTAAGAAACAGGTTCAGAGTTCATGTGTTCCACCAGTTTCATCTTATATACTAAGAAAGTTCTTGATTGAATCAATTTGCCCAATGTTTTTCTCCATGAAAAACAGGGTCTTTTCTTTTCTGAGCACCTGAAGAAGCCGATGAAAATGGAACAACAGAGTTCTGCAGAAGAGTCAGAAAAGCTATTGGGAGGATGATTCTTATGACTGTCTTTCACACAGTTGGATTATGTGTCTTAGCCTAAAGACACCAGGAAGTTTCTGTGCTCAGAAATGCCTCCTGATGCCCCTCTCTGCTGCAGCACCGGAGGGTCTCCGTAGGACACTCATTCCTTGTGCTTATGGCTTTGCTCTTTCTGATGGAGTACCTATGAACTCCTATTCACTGATTTTGTTAGATTTTACTTCCATTCATGCCTTAGGGATTCAATGCAGTATTTATGTCACAGGATTGAAGGGTCAGGACTTCTGGGAAGTGAGAAGAAAGAGAGATTTGTATAATTTTTTTCGGTAGCCTGCTTTACCTTCAAGCTCCACTTGTTAAACTCTTCCAAAAAGCCTAGAGCCATAGTTTTGATATAATCTGTGATAATACAAGAGTCCTCCCTTATCCATGGTTTTGTTTTCAGCAGTTTCAGTTACCTCAGGTCAACTGTGGTCCAAAAATATTAACCTATTTTGAGAGCGAGAGAAAGAAAAAAAAGAAACACATTCACATAAATGCTATTTCAGTATATTGTTATACTTTTTTATTTTATTGTTAGTTATTACTGTTCATCTCTCTCTGTGCCTAATTTATAAATTAAACTTTATCTTAGGTATGCATGTATAGGAAAAATATAGCTTATATAGGGTTCAGTACTATCAGTGGTTTCAAGCATCCACTGGGGTTCTTGGAACACATTATCTGCAAATAAGGGAGAAAATTTGTATTTTTGGGGGGAGAATTGGAGATTTGAAATACAGAGGTGACTCCAAATTTGGTTTCTGAGAGTTAAAATTATTTATCACGTGTTCTGTTCTTATAAATAAACCCTCCAATCTAACCCAAAGAGAGACTAAGCAATTTGCAGCTATGATCTAAGAAGACATTAATATCAAAAGTTGCAAGTGGTTAGAAATGATTAAAATAAAAGACATCCTCTCCCAAGACCTGATTAAGATGTAGAGAAAGATTCTTCAAAATCAGATAATGTAATGCTCCTTTAAAATTCACATTTTATTTTTTCCTATTTTCCATAAAACTTTTATAAGTTCTAAATAGCTTCTACAAATAAAAATAACAAAAGGAAGAAAGCTCTGATAACATAGAATATAGAGTAACTGAATAGAAAAGAAAAATCATTTTTTTCCTGGTCTGAATTCCTTAGTAATAAGTAATATAACTTATTAGTTATATTAGTATTTATAGTAAGCAATATAACTTATAAGTTTTTAAGCCACATCACATCAAATGAAATATCAATCATAGCTCAATAAAATGTCTATGGTTAGTAACACCAATGGCTAAGTTTAAAGAAGCTTCATACCTTCAGGGATTAATTGAAAGGAACCAGTGTGCTAGATTTCATGATAAAGTAGAACTCCATGAAGAGCTGAATCATAAAAGAGTTCCAATAATATTGGGGCCTTTCAATTTTGCCAGGGTTCTGTACTTTAGTTTATATAATTTTTAACTGTAGAGAAGAAATAAGGTATAATCACTTAAGGCAATGATTTCTCCTGTGAGCTCTCTTATGCAAATCTAATGCTGTCTCTCTTTCTCTCTTGTTTTAATTTTCATAATTATGCAACTTATGTATACAAAAGTGAAAAAAGCAAAAGTTCATATTTCAGTAAGTTTTCATAAAGTAAATACTCCCATGTAACTATCAACCACATCAAGAAAGAATATTACCAGCACTTCAGAAGCCCCTCCCATGACCACTTCCTGTCCCTTAAGGATAACTGCTAGGAGGTTTTTCTACACCTTAGTTTGCCATTTTTGAACTTCATTTAAATAGACCAATACAGTGTATACTCTTCCGTATCTAACTTTTTAAGTCATCAAGTTTGTGAAATTATCTTCCTCTGTGGCAGATGTTCAAAAAATTTTTATATCATTTACTTTAGAAAAAATTGGTTTAGATTTTGTCTCCGTAGATTTTTAGACTGATTTCTGTAGTGTCACAAAAACTTCAGATGCTCAAATTCATTTTTAGATTGTTGATTTTATTTCTTAAATTAATGTATTTAGATATCCCAGTTGGTTGAACATCTCCTTGACAACCCTCCCCTTTAACGCAATCTTCCATACTTAGCTGTACTAGCTGTATAACTTGTAATAACTCATGAAAACCCAGACACATACATAGCAATAGGAATTGGAATTCTGAAAAGTTTAAGTGTAATTGGAAAATCAAACCCATGCTCACTTCATTAACTGATCTCTGTTTCTCTCCTATTCAGGTAGCTGAAATTAAGTCCCTTCCAAAATCGATGAATGAGACAAATCATTCTCGGGTGACAGAATTTGTGTTGCTGGGACTGTCTAGTTCAAGGGAGCTCCAACCTTTCTTGTTTCTTACATTTTCACTACTTTATCTAGCAATTCTGTTGGGCAACTTTCTCATCATCCTCACTGTGACCTCAGATTCCCGCCTTCACACCCCCATGTACTTTCTGCTTGCAAACCTGTCATTTATAGACGTATGTGTTGCCTCTTTTGCTACCCCTAAAATGATTGCAGACTTTCTGGTTGAGCGCAAGACTATTTCTTTTGATGCCTGCCTGGCCCAGATTTTCTTTGTTCATCTCTTCACTGGCAGTGAAATGGTGCTCCTAGTTTCCATGGCCTATGACCGTTATGTTGCTATATGCAAACCTCTCCACTACATGACAGTCATGAGCCGTCGTGTATGTGTTGTGCTCGTCCTCATTTCATGGTTTGTGGGCTTCATCCATACTACCAGCCAGTTGGCATTCACTGTTAATCTGCCATTTTGTGGTCCTAATAAGGTAGACAGTTTTTTCTGTGACCTTCCTCTAGTGACCAAGTTAGCCTGCATAGACACTTATGTTGTCAGCTTACTAATAGTTGCAGATAGTGGCTTTCTTTCTCTGAGTTCCTTTCTCCTCTTGGTTGTCTCCTACACTGTAATACTTGTTACAGTTAGGAATCGCTCCTCTGCAAGCATGGCGAAGGCCCGCTCCACATTGACTGCTCACATCACTGTGGTCACTTTATTCTTTGGACCATGCATTTTCATCTATGTGTGGCCCTTCAGCAGTTACTCAGTTGACAAAGTCCTTGCTGTATTCTACACCATCTTCACGCTTATTTTAAACCCTGTAATCTACACGCTAAGAAACAAAGAAGTGAAGGCAGCTATGTCAAAACTGAAGAGTCGGTATCTGAAGCCTAGTCAGGTTTCTGTAGTCATAAGAAATGTTCTTTTCCTAGAAACAAAGTAAACTTATGAGACTGTTACCACTTTAGCCCTGTCTCCATACACTTACAAGTGGATTCACTGTAATCTTAAAGCAAATCAACTTGGCCTGTGGGAAAGCTCAGTTGATCGATTTGAAGCAAACTGTAATGATAATAAAAACTCATGAAATAAACTTTAGTGATTTTAAATATTCTTTCTCCATTGTATATTTTTTAATATCCTACTTTGTATTCTTTATTTTAAAATTTCTTAAGATACAGACTTTGATGACATTGAGAAAATGACATTACCTTATAAATGGTTAATATACTGTTGTCTCTCCCTTTGAAAACAGTACTACTCACACCAACTTTGGAGTAATGATAGGTGCATATCTCCAAGCCACAGATATAATAGATCTATTTATAAGTATATGATATGTGATATACAGTATGTGATAGATCTAGATACGAATGCATTTTATACTGCACTATATATCTGACAGCACATGAAGACACGTCTATGAATGGTGTGAAAGATACAGTAAAATGTAAAAGGGCATGACTACCCAGCAGAAGGCATTTACATTTCACACTTTCACAAAGCCTTCATCACAGTGGCTGTTTAATATATGTTGTTCATGAAAAACAACCACCTGAACAAATTTATTTACTGGTATGTTTTATATTGGCCTATGTCCACTTCTGTTTAGTACTGATAAAATAATCTGGGGGACCAGAGACGAGTTATAATTCTCTACCACTTATCTTCATGATAGTAGGAGTCTGAATCTTAGTATAAAATATTTTCCCCCTAGATTTTTATGATCTTATCTTCTTAGAGTATTTTTATATTAGTATTTGGTAGATATTATAACTTTTCTATGTGGACTTTTTAATTCAGTTGATATTTCATTTTTAAATTGCCCAGTGTAGGCTCTGAAAATGACAGAACCCTATTTCAAGACCTTAGAGTTCATCATAAATTTACCCCTCCTTGATCACTTACAAGACCAAGATTTTTGGGGATTCACCACTACAGGCTATTTTAGGCTTTTCCTCTTTTATAGCATTCAAGGCTATTTCTATATTTTTTTTACTGGGTTCTAGTCATAGTCTGATATAATGTTAACCGATTGTTTTCCAGACTCAGTCTTTACAGTCTCCTAAAGGGATTTAATAAGTCCTATTAGTGAAGGGAAAAAAAAGTTTCTGAGCCAAAGGATTCCGAGTTATTTAAGAAATAACAAAATGAAAATAAAACAAATGTGCATTAACATTTAAATATAAGAAAAAAATTAAATACAAAAAAGTGTAAGTAAAAAAAGTAAGTATAAAAAAGTAGTAAAACTTTTTACAATAATACAACACTTCCAAAATTTTACAATATTTTTGCATATTCTAATTTTATGCATAAAACAAATGATATATTGTGGTACCAGTACTAATTACAACTGAGTTAACATTGTACAACAAGAAATGTAGTAATAGTTTTACATCTTTTTAAGCTTTAAAATATCTCTAGGATATATTTATTCCTTTCATTTTACATATGATAAAAATAAGGTAAAGAAGCATTAAGAATATGGTGCAATATTATAAAGCTAGAAAATAGCAGAATGGATTTCCTACGCAGGTTTTGTGGTGTTTTGTTTTGTTTTTTTTTTGGTTTCTTTGACCCAGATGGCACACTTTTTAAGTGTATTGCTGCTTATAGTAATACATTTACTGTGTATTATAGTTGGAGTACAGTGTGCCCTGTCCAGAAAATATGATTTTCTGGTTATCCTCTCACACACATTTTCCTATTCCTAGTATGCAAAAAAGTTTCAGAATATTATGTTTTTCACTAAAGACGGTACCCAAGTTCCTTGCGAAGTTACTCAAACAACAAGAGCTCAGGCTGACTGGTACAGTTTTTCTGTAAACTGGACATTAAAATAAAAGCACAACGGGTTTTTCTTAAAGCACTAACCTGTTCTTTAACAAAAATTATAAAGGCTTAAAAAGAGTCTATAAAAATCTTACCTTATGGTCAGACATTAAAATTGGATAAATACACCTACAAGGTTTTATTAAAATTGAGTTTAACATTAATGGCACACATTAATATAATATAATATAATATAACATAACATTAATATAAAGGTGAAATTTAGCCTATCTGGTATAAAATCATACAGGAAGCATTGTCAAATATAAAGTGGTGTTTGGCTTTCTTTGGTCTAAAACCTAATAAAAATAGGTGCTAAAGAGAATTCAGAAGGAAAATGGATATTGCTAGACCAGAGAGAAATGTTATCCAAGTCCCTTATAAGGGAGATCTTGTTCCAACTGCATCAAGGGACCCATTGTGGGCCCCAAGCCATGTGTGACGCAGTCCTCAGAGTTTATGGGTGCATAGGAATTTATACCCTGGCCAAACAGGTTACAGACAGTTGCTTAGTAAAAGATTACCCCTTGGGGGAAGAAGTCCAGGCTTAAGGCCATTCCAAAGTATCCAGAATGATTACACACAGATGCCTCCAATTGGTCGTCTAAAATATTTATTAGTAATAGTAGATCACCTTACTCATTGGGTAGAAGCTATTCCCTTTTCAAGTACAACTGCTAATAATGTAGTCAAGGCATTAGTTGAAAATATTATACCCAGGTTTAAATTAATAGAAAACATTAATTCAGATAATGGGACTCATTTCACGGCACATGTCATTAAGAAATTATCCCAGGTACTGGATGTAACATGGGATTATCATACTCCCTGGCACCCATCTTCATTAGGGAAAGTAGAAAGGCCTATTACCCTGTTAAGAGTCTGAACTGCTCCCTGAAAAGACATAGGCCTATCCCCTTAAGAGATGCTTTATGGATCACCTTATCTACATTCTACTACTGATCTTCCTACATTTGAAACAAAAGATCAGTTTCTCAGAAATTATATACTTGGTTTATCTTCCATTTTATCTTCCCTCAGAACTAAAGGTCTTTTAGCACAGGTGCCACCTCTAGAGTTTCCAGTACACCAACATCAGCCTGGGGACCACGTCCCCATCAAAATTTGGAGAGAAGGAAAAGCTGGAACTGGCCTGGGAAGGACCTTACCTCATGCTCCTAACTACTGAAACTGCAGGCTGAATAGCAGAAAAAGGATGGGCCCATTACACCCGAGTCAAGAAAGCACCACCCCCTCCAGAGTCATGGGCCATAGTCCCAGGGGAAAACCCTACCAAACTAAAGCTAAGAAAAATTTAACTTTCTTTCATCTATTCTATGATTCCTTCTTTCCTCACTCTATTGCTGACCACCTAGTTATTAATGTAACCAAGTCCATTTCACCTCAAACTATTACATTTGATGCTTGCCTTGTTACATCCTGTGGAGACTTTTTAAGTCAAAGACAGATCTCCAGTTCAGAAAAGTACCTCTGCCCTTCCTGGCTTTTCTCAGACTGGACATTAGTGAATTGGGATCATTTAGTCTGGGAAGATTTCAACGAGGGCCCCAGCATCAGCTGGGAGTCTTGCCCCCCATAGACTGAGTTTTTATGCTGCAGTTGGTCCAACGTTCTGTGGACCACTAAAGAGAAAGAATGGGCTGCCTCAACCAGTAGTTGTAATTTCCTAAAGCCATACATTCATTTTACTAAAGGAACAGCTTCACCTAGCTGTCAGCTAAACCAGTGCAATCCAATACAGGTTATTATCCCAAACCCTCAAAGCTCTTCCCCTTCTCTAAGTCAGTTCTCTTCTTTAAGCCAGTTTTTATGGTATGGGGGATGAGGTTTCAGGAACAGACCCTTTCAGATACTTTGAAATATGTTTCATTGATCCCCCACCACCTACACCTTCCCCTAAGCCTTCTTCCAAAACCTCTCATAATGAAACGGTTGTTCCTCCTCCATCTAATGATAGGACCAAAGTAGACATTGTAGAAGTAAATGCTTAAAAACAAACTTTAGCAATAGAGACAGGATATCAAGATGCAAATGCCTGGTTTGAATGGATCAAATATTCCATCCGCAGGTTAAACAAAAGCAATTGTTATGCTTGAGCACACGGCAGGCCTAGATTGACCCCTTTCCACTAGGGTGGTCCTCCAGTGGGCCAGGCATGGGCTGCATGGTAGCTCTTTTCCAGGATTACACAGCCTGGGGTAACAAGCCATGTCAAGTTCTCTCTCTGCTGTATCCCGAAGTTCAACACTCTGCAGGTCAACCCCCGAAGGCCATCCAGCTTCCACCTACCCACATTAATTTCACTTCTTGTCTCTCATGACAGGGGGGAAACTTAGCATTTCTTGGAGACCTGAAAGGATGCAGTGAGCTTAAGACTTTCCAAGAGCTTACCAATCAGTCAGCCCTTGTTCATCCCCGAGCAGATGTATGGAGGTATTGTGGTGGACTCTCTGCCAAGTAACTGGAGTGGCACTTGTGCTCTAGTCCAGTTGGCTATCCCTTTCACCCTGGCATTTCATCAACTAGAAAGAGGAAAAATACAACATCGTAAAACAAGGGAAGCCCTTTATGGGTCTTCTGACTCTCACACTTATTTAGATGTAATTGGGGTCCCATGAGGAGTACCAGATAAATTTAAAGCCAGAGATCAAATAGCTGCAGGATTTGAGTCAATATTTTGGTGGGTGAAAATGAATAAAAACATAGATTGGATAAATTACATTTATTACAACCAACAGCGGTCTATTAACTGCACTAGAGATGCTGTTAAAGGAATAGCTGAGCAATTAGGGCCTACTAGCCAGATGGCTTGGGGAAATAGAATAGCCTTTGACATAATATTAGCAGAAAGAGGAGGAGTTTGCATCATGATTAAAACTCAATGTTGTACCTTCATCCCAAACAACACCACCCCTGATGGAAGTACAACAAAGGCATTGCAAGATCTAACTGCCCTGTCCAATGAGTTAGCCAAAAACTCAGGAGTGAATTATCCCTTCACAGGTGGCTAGAAAAAAGGTTCAGTAAATGGAAAGGAATCATAGCCTCAATTCTTACTTCTCTTGCAGCTGTAGTAGGTGTACTCATTCTTGTCAAGTGTTGTGTCATACCATGCATCCGTGGGCTAGTGCAAAGACTTATAGAAGCAGCATTTACTAAAACCTCCCTTAGCTCTCCTTCACCTTATTCAGATCAGCTTTTTCTTTTAGAGGATTAAGTCGAGCAGCAAAGCCAAGATATGTTAAAAAAAAAAAAAAAAAAAGTTTGAAGAGGAAATACTATGAAAACTGAAAGGGGGAAAATTGTAGGATATCATAAATTCCTCCTCAAAGGTTTTAGCCTGTAAATTGTTAAGTACAATGAGTTCTGAGACCCTCTCCAAAGAACCAATGTATCAATATGTTCAGCTCCCCATTCTTTCCTCTTCATTTTAAAGTTGAATTTCCTTGTTCTTTATGTCTCCTTGCCCCTAGTTTCAGTAAACAACCTCCTCCTACCCTCTATCACCTGCTCTGACCTTAGTCACCCTTGTTCACCTGCTCTGATCTTCATCATCCTTGGTCACCTGCTCTGTTCGGTCTTAGTCATCCTGAGTCACCTGTTCTGTAACTGTTCCCGCCAAACTACTCATCCTGCCACTCTGGCTCGTACCTCTGTTCTCTTTAAAATAGCCAATCTGAATTAGCTTAGATGTGCAGTCCAACCCTAGTCAATAGTGGAATGACACAGCAGCAGGGGCTACCTGTGTCAGGGATAAGAACCCCTTCCCCTCCCTTGTTCAGGTGTGCTCTCACCATTGCTCCATCCATGAGACACACCCTTCTATGGAAGTAAAATTGCCTTGCTGAGAAAATTCATGTTCAAGTGCTATTTCTTTTGCAGCACCAAAAATTTATTTCCAACACTCTCTTCTAGCTATTTTGTAATATACAGGCTACCACATATATGTGAATAGAATAGGAGATAATTGATCATATAGAATAGAGATTGGCAAATTTCTTCTGTAACAGGCCAGATATTAAATATTTAGACTTTATGAGGTGCATATAGTCTCTGTTGCATATTGTTCCTTACTGTTGCATTTTTTTCTTTTTTACATCCCTTTAAAAATATAAAAACTCTTCTTAGCTTGTGGGCCATACATACACAGACTATGACTGAGATTTGGCCCATGGAGCCATAATTTGCCAACCCTGGCTATAGATAATCAATTATAGTAGGGGACACAGAAAGCAAGTAAACAAGCAAGCAAACAATAAGTAAGTGTTAAACTAACATGAAAACATCACTACCTATAACATATAAATCACTCCCAAGGGATCCCCTGTAATACTATGGTGATCCTATCTACCCTCCTCCTCCCAGAGAACCACTGGCCTACTTTTTGTCACTTTAGATTAGTTTGAATTTTGTAGAGTTTTAGAAAATTGAAATCATACACTAAATACTAATTTTTAATCTGTTTTTCACCCTGTCTAATCATTTTTTCAATTCATACATGGTCGTTACAGGAAAGGTGTCTGGATCCAGGCTCCAAGAGAGGGTTCTTGGACCTCATGCAAGAGAGAATTCAGAGTACATAGAGTAAAGGGAAAGCAAGCTTATTAAGAAAGTAGAGGAATAAAAGAATGGCTACTCCATAGACATAGCCACCCCGAGGGCTGCTGGTTGCCCATTTTTATGGTTATTTCTTGAGTATATGCTAAACAAGGGGTGGATTATTCATGCCTCCCCTTTTTAGACCATATAAGGTAACCTCCTGATGTTGCCATGGCATTTGTAAAGTGTCATGGTGCTGGCAGAAGTGTAGTAGTGAGGACAACCAGAGGTCACTCTTGTCACCATCTTGATTTTGACGGGTTTTGGCTGACTTCTTTGCTGCAAACTGTTTTATCAGCAAGGTCTTTATGACTTGTATCTTGTGCCAACTTCCTATCTCATCCTGTGACTTAGAATGCCTTAACCTTCTGGAAATGCAGTCCAGTAGATCACAGCCTTATTTTACCTAGCTCCTGTTTAAGATGGAATTGCCCTGGTTCAAACACCTCTGACATTTCCCCCTCACTTTTATAAGAGAATCCTTAATACTAAGGGCTGCAAAGGGATGAAGATCCATCTTCTGAAACTTCTTCAGGCTGAATAGGGGTAATGATATTCCTGCCTAATTATTAGGGTCCCCTGTATTTGGGGTAGAGAGGGGCTCAGTCAGAAAGAATCAGTGTGGTGAGGGCCATTCCTAACTCTGAGTTCTGACAAAAGGTGATAACTGGGAGATTAATAAGTGTTTAATTTAAGGAAACATTGAATAAATTTATCCTACATTCCTACACAGAGAGTACAACAGCAATATATTCCACAAGAGTAAAGCAAAACAAGTAAAAATATCCAAAGTAAACTAAATTAGAAGGCTTTCCATGAACTGGGCAATTGTTGGAACCAAGCTAATATGAGATTACTAGCCAATTCCAATATGTGCCCAGAATTAGAAATATTGATTCAGATTTTTACATTATCCATCCCTCTTGCTTCTTCTGAACAGCAGTCAGAGATCACTGGTTGGCTTAGGAGGATTCTTGTTAAAGGCTGGCCAAGAACTTAGCTATCAAAGGTTGGCAATAAAAAAATGAATTTGATTTCAAGGTTGCAGGGATTCTTACCAAACTGACTTAACAGGATTTTTCACTGAAGCCTGGCTAGATAAGTCAAGAGAGTAGGGTGTTGTGTCAAAAGAGAACACGGGTGGCTATACTAATATCAGAAAAATTCGGCTTTAAATAAAAATGTTTGCAAGAGACATAGAAGGACATGATATACTGATGAAAGGTTAAATATAGTAAGAAGATACAACAATCATAAACACTTACAAACCATCAAAATATTTGAAGCAAAAACTGACATAATGGAAGGGAGAAATAAGCAATTCTACAATAACAGTTTAAGACTTCAATACCCTACTTTCAATATGGATAAAACAACCAGATAGAAGATAGGTAAGGAAAATAGAGGACTTAGAATAAACCAAATAGTTCTAACATATACAGAATATTTACTCAACAACAGCATACACATTCTTCTCAAGTGTATATGGGATATTTTCCAAGATAGAAAATATGTTAGGCCCAAATTAGGTCTCAGGAGATTTAAAAGATAGCTATCACAGAAAATATCTTTTCTGAACACAACTAAAGTTAGAAATCAATAACAGAAGTAAAACTGGAAAACTGACAAAATTGTGGAAATTAAATACACTCTTAAACCATCAATTAATTAAAGAAGAAACCACAGTGGAAATTAGAAAATATTTAGAGACTAATGAAAATGACAACACAACATACCAAAACTAATGGGATACAGCAAAAGCAGCACTAAGGAGAAAATTTATAGTGATAAATGTATACATTCTAAAAACAAAATGGTTTCTTTTTCAAGCTGATTAGGGAAATTACATGCCAGCTCTTCTCAGAAAGATCAAAGTTACCAGTGAATGAACAAGTTTTGAATGGAAAGTATAGAGAAGTGAGGACCTGTTGGAGTGCCCACGGGAAGAAGCTGCAGCACAGAAGAAGAATGCAGCAAGACTCTGGCTGATATCAACCTCTGAGCAACTCAGAGCTCAGCCAAAAGAGTAGGTGGAAGTTGCTTCTTTCTACACCCCTCTGAAGACCTGCCAAGTGCTAAACGGTTGGGGAGCCCCTTTGCTCTTGCTAGCCAGGGCAACACAATCAGTGATGATTAGAGAATTTCCTGAGAACACAGAACCAGTGGCCAGCTCACAAAGCCATACCCACTCTCGCCTTGGACCTGAACTGAGATGATGGGCACCATACGGGTTGTGCACCAGTGTGTCACTTTCCTTCCCAAGGATCCTCTGCCATTAAGTCACTGCACCACCAGACCACCTGAAAATATACTCCACAACCTGCTCTGACTTTGGCAAGCACAGGGGACCAGTGGGTGCCTGGGGTATTGTAGGTTCTCTGGAGATCTTACTCTCAGCACGGAGCCACCCTTTAAGGAGCCTGGGAGCACAGCCTGCCAAAGTACTCCCTGGGACAAAGGAAATACAGATGTGGCACCAACTGAGGAACGAGACAGCATCAATATGCAGGAATAATTATGAAGAAGAGGATCGTCTCCCACCTTTCATCCACTGTACACTGTTATGAATGCAGCAGCAGTTCTTCCTGCAAGAGCTGGTGAGTGTGCACTGAAAGAAAGTGATTCTTTGTGCTTTCAGCAGGTGTGGTGGATCCACCCCTGCTGAAAATGAGACTGTGTATGCTCTGGCTTTCACAAGGGGTGGGGTCCAACTCCCCCTTCCAACACAGAGTGGCAGCACCCTGACAACAGAGGATAGACTACAAAGTTGTGTGTCCTGTACTGGAGGAAGAGGTTCTACCCTGACCCTCATTATAGTGGTAGCCATCAGAGAGGCAGATCCATGGCCCACAAAGGCACTGTGCTCGGAACTAAAGGATGAAGATTTTACAAACAAGGTCATGAGACCTGTGACAGGGATATGATAGGGAAGTAGACTGCATTTCTGCTAGTTCAGGATGAAGAGCTGGTGCACCCCTCCATCTCTTTCCTGGAGGCTTCAGGGCACTCCATCATGATCTCTTCCTGCTACCCTCATCAGTGAAAATTCATCCACCATCCACTGGGCAGCAGCTTACCTGCCATATCATACTCCTAAGTGCTATATACTGGACTACAGACTGAACTGCACCATCAAATAAAAAATACATGGCTATACCAAACAATATCTGATAAAGCCACCACACAAAACGTATCCACAACCAACATGTAGAGCCTTGTCCCCCAAGAAAAGCATTCAGAAACTAAGCCAAAAGATAATACATAACATCCACCACAGTTACACCCTCAAAGGAAAAAAAATAAAGAGCCCCATCCAAACAATGCAAATTCAAAAATAAGAAGCAACACTTTCCTCAGATGAGAAAAATCAGCATAAGAACTCCAGCAGCACAAAAAATCACAGTGTTTCAACATCTCCAAAGGATTGTACTAGCTCCTTAGCACTGAAACCTAACCAGATTGAAATGTCTGAAATGACAGATTAAAAATTCTAAGTATGGGTTGTAAGGAAACTCAAGATTCAAGAGGATGTTGAAATCCAATAGAAAAAGAAAACAGTAAAATGATTCAGTATATGAAAGATGACATAGGTATATTAACAAAAACCCAAACAGAACTTCTGAAATTGGAAAATTTACTACAGGAATTTCAAAATACAATCAGAAGACTTAATTGCAGACTAGACAAGCAGAATAGAGAAAGCCAGAGCTCAAAGACCATGTTTCAAATTAACTCAGTCAGACAAAAATAGAGGGAAAGAATTTAAAAAATGAACAAAGTCTTCAAGAAGTATTATATGATATTATGTTAAACAACAAAAACCTATGACTTACTGGCATTCCTGAGAAAGAAGAAGAAAGAGTAAGCAAATTGGAAAACATATTTCAGGAAATAATTAAATAAAATTTCCCCAATCTTGTTAGAGACATTGCCATCCAGATATAAGAAATTATATATAAGAAATAAAAACTACTGAGAGATACTAAACAATATGACCATTCCCAAGGCAAATAGTCATCAGACTATTCATGATTCATGTGAAATAAAAAAAAAATCTCAAAGGAAGCTAGAGAAAAGGGCCAAATTACCCATAAAGGGAATACCATCAGACTAATGGTGGACATCTCAGCAGAAACCTTATAAGCCAGAAGAGATTGGGGGTCTATTTTTAACATTTTGAAAGAAAACATAAATGCCAACCAAGAATTATACATCCCACCAAACTAAACTTTATAAACAAAGAAGAACTAATGTCTTTTCTAGACAAGCAAATGCTAAGGGAATTTGTTACCACCAAATCAGTCCTACAAAAATTTTTAAAAGAGTTCTAAAAATGGAAATGAAAGAATGATACTTGTTATCATAAAAGCACACATAAGTATAAAGCTAACAGACCCTATAAAGCAACTACACAATCAAGATTACAAAGAAACTACCTAACGACACTACAACAGAACAAACTCTTACATAAAAATATTAACCTTGAATGTAAACAGCTTAATTGCTGAATTTAAAAGATAGAGTGGCAAATCGGATAAGAAAACAAGACACAACCTTCTGTTGCCTTCAAAAGACCCATCACACATGTAATGACACCAGTAGGCTCAAAGTAAAGTGATGAAGAAAGATCTATCACCCAAATGGAAAAAGGGCAGATGTCACTATTCTTTTTTTTTTTTTCTTTTTTCTGAGATGGAGTTTCACTCTTGTTGCATAGGCTGGAGTACAATGGCGCGATCTCAGCTCACTGCAACCTCCGCCTCCAGGGTTCAAGTGATTCTCCTGCCGTAGGCTCCCAAGTGGCTGGGATTACAGGTGCCCACCACCACACCCAGCTAATATTTTTGTGTGTTTTTAGTAGAGATGGGGTTTCACCATGTTGGCCAGGCTGGTCTCAAACTCCTGACTTCAGGTGATCCACTCACCTTGGCCTCCCAAAGTGCTGAGATTACAGGCATGAGCCACCGTGCCCGGCCATGTCACTATTCTTGTATCACATAAAACAGACTTTAAACCAATAATAGTAACAGAGACAAAGAAGGGCATTATATAATAATAAAGGACTCAATTCAATAAGAAGATTTAAGTATCCTGCATACATATGCATCCAACATCAGAGCACCCAGATTTATTAAAAAACTACTACTAGATGTAAGAAAAGATACAGATAGCCATGCAATAATGGTGGAGGACTTCCACAGACCACTGACAATATTAGACATACCATCAAGGCAGAAAACTCACAAAGAAATTCTTGACTTAAACTGTACACTTGACCAAATGGACTGAATAGACATCTACAGATACTTCACCCCAAAACCACAGAGTATGCATTCTTCTCATCTATGCAGGGAACATTCTTTAAGATTGGCCACATGCTCAGTTATAAAGTAAGTCTTAATAAATTCAAAAAAAAATCAAAATCATGCAAAGCATCTTCTCAGACAACAATGGAATAAAATTAGAAATCAATACCAAGAGAAAATCTCAAAACCACACAAATACATGGAAACTAAACAACCTGCTCCTGAATGACTGTCAGATAAACTAGGAAATTAAGGTAGAAATCAAAAAGTTCTTTGAAATAAATAAAATTTGAGACACAACATACTAAAACCTCTAAGGAGTAGTGAAAGCAGTGATACAAGGAAAGTTTATAGTGGTAAACTTCTACCATCAAGAAGACAGAGGCCGGGCACAGTAGCTCATGCCTGTAATCCTAGCACTTTGGGAGGCTGAGGCAGACAGATCACCTGAAGTTAAGAGTTCCAGAGCAGCTTGGTCAACATGGTGAAACCCCATCTCTACTAAAAAAAAAAATACACAAAGTAGCCTGGCATGGTGGCGGGCACCTGTAATCCCAGCTACTCAGGAGGCTGAAGCTGGAGAATCACTTGAACCCAGGAGGTGGAGGTTGCAGTGAGCAGAGATCGCACCATTGCATTCCAGCCTGGGTGAGAAGGGTAAAACTCCGTCTCAAAAAAAAAAAAAATAGAAGATAGAAAGATCACAAATAAATAACCTTTCCTTGCCTCTAAAGGGACTAGAAAAATATGAGCAAGCTAAACAAAGTTAGCAGAAAAAAAAACTAAGATCAGAACAGAAGTCAATAAAATTCAGACCACAGGAAAATACAAAGAATCAATAAAACAAAAAGTTGGTTATTTGAAAGGCTAAACAAGAATGATAGAGGATTAGCTAGGTTAATAAAGAAAAGAGAGAGAAGATCCAAATAAGCAAAATCAGAAATGACAAAGATGACATTACAACTGATACTACAGAAATACAAAGGATCCCCAGAGATTACTATGAACATCTTTATGTGCACAAATTAGAAAATCTAGAGGAAATTGATACATTCCTGGAAATACACAGTGTTATAAGATTGAACCAAGAAGAAATGGAAACCCATAACAGACCAATAATGAGTTACAAAATTGAATCAGAAAAAAAAAAAAATCCCTACCAACCAAGAAAATCTCTGGACCAGATGGATTCACAGCCAAATTCTACCAGACATAAAAAGAAGAGATGGTACTAATCCTAATAAAACTATTATCCCAAATTGAGGAGGAGATATTCCTACCTAACTCCTTCTATGAAACCAATATTATTCTGATACCAAAATCTGGCAAGGACACAACAAAAAAAAAAGGAAAAGAAAACTATAGACCAATGTCCCTGATGAACACAGATGCAAAACTGCTCAACAAAATGCTAGCAAACTGAATATAGCAGCACATCAAAAAGATAATTTATTATGATCAGCTGGGCTTTATTCCTGGAATATAAGGAGAGTTCAACATATGAAAATCAATAGAGGTGATTTACCATATAAAAAGAATTAAAAACAAAAACCATACGATCATCCTAATAGACACAAATAAAGCACTTGATAACATTCAACATCCTTTCATGCTAAAAATCCTCAACAAACTAGGCATCAAAGAAATGTAATAAGAGCTGCCTATCAGAAAAGGAGAGCCAACATTATATTGAACAGGCAAAAGTTGAAAGAATTTTCCCAAAACTTGAAATAAGACAAGGATTTCCACTCTCATGATTCCTATTTAGTAGAGTACTAAAAGCCCTAACCAGAACAAACAGGAAAGAGAAAGAAATGAAAGTCATCCAAATTAGAAAAAAAAAGTCAAATTATCTTTGTTCGCTGATTACAATTCTACACCTAGAAAACACTGAAGATTTCTCCAAAATAATCCTAGATCTGATAAACAACTTTAGTAAAGTTCAGTCAACATACAAAAATAAGTAGCATTTATAAACACCAATAACATTCAAGCTGAGAAACAAAGCAAGAACATAATTTCATTTACTATAAGAAAAAATAAAATACCTAGGAATATATTTAATCAAAGAGATGAAAGATTTTTGCAAGGAGAACTTCCAAACACTGATGAAAGAAATTATAATTGACACAAACAAATGGAAAAACATTGCGTGCTCATAAATTGGAAGAATCAATATAATTTAAATAGCCATACTGCCCAAAGCAATCAACAGATTTAACACAATTCCTATCAAATTAACAACATCATTTTTTTCAGAATTAGAAAAAACAATCTTAAAATTCATACAGAATCAAAAAGAGCCCAAATAGCCAATGCAATTCTAAGCAAAAAAACAAGGCTGAAGACATCACATTACCTGACTTTAAACTGTAATACAAGGCTCTAGTAACCAATACAGCCTGGTATTGGTAAAAAATAGACATGTAGATCATGAGAACAAAAGAGAGAACCCAGAAATAAAGCCTCACACCTATAACCAACTGATATTCATCAAACTTGACAAAAATTAACAATGGGGAAAGGACACCCTATTCAATAAATTGTGCTGAAATAACAGGCTAACCATATACAGAAGAATGAACCAGGACGAGTACCTCTAACAATATACAAAAATCAACTCAATGTGGATTAAATACTTAAATGTAAGACCTCAAAGTATAAAAATTCTAGGAGAAAGCCTAGGAAAATATCTTTGGGATATTGGCCTAGGCAAATAATTTATAACTCAGACCTCAAAAGCATATGCAACAAAAATAAAAATTGGCATCCCAGCACTTTGGGAGGCCAAGGCTGGTGGATCATCTGAGGTCACGAGTTCAAGACCAGCCTGGCCAACATAGTGAAACCCCATCTCTACTAAAAATACAAAAGTTAGCCAGGTGTGGTGGTGGCCGCCTATAGTCCCAGCTACCCAGGAGGCCGAGGCAGGAGAATCGCTTGAACTTGGGGTCGGAGGTTGCAGTGAGCCAAGATCAGGCCACTGCACTCCAGCCTGGACAACAAGAGCAAAACTCTGTCTCTAAATAAATAAACAAATGGCAATTGTGACTTAATTATACTAAAGAGCTTCTGTACAGCAAAAGAAACTATCAAGAGTAAAAAGAAAGTATACAAAATTGGATAAAATATTTGCAAACTATTCATCCAACAAAGGACTAATATGTAGAATCTATAAGGAAATTAAACAAATCAACAAGAAAAAAACAAAACCCATTAAAAACTGGGCAAATAAAGAGACATTTCTCAAAAAGAGGAATACAAGTAGTCAACAAACATGAAAAATGCTGAACACCATGAATCACCAGAGAAATACAGTACAAAACCACAATGAGATTTCATCTCACACCAGTCACAATTGCTATTATTAAAAAGTCAAGAAACAACAGGTGTTGGCAAGAATGCAAACGAAAGGGAGCACTTATACAATGTTGGTGGGAATGTAAATTAGTTCAGCCGCTGTGAAAAGCAGCATGTAGATTTCTCAAAGAACTAAAAACAGAAATATCATTTGACCCAGCATTAGATATCATTATTGGGTATCTACTCAAAAGAAAAGATACTGTTCTACCAAAAAGACACTTGCATTCCTATGTTTATCACAGCACTATTCACAACAGTAAAGTCAGAAAAGTCATAGTGTCACCCTAGGTGCCCATCAATGGTAGACTGGATAAAGAAGATGTACACATACACCACCGAATATTATGTAGCCATGAAAAAGAATAAAATCCTGCCCTTTGCTGCAACATGTGTATTAGTCCATTTTCATACTGCTGTAATGAATTACCTGAGACTGGGTAATTTATAAACAAAAGAGGTTTAATTGACTCACAGTTTCACATACCCTCAGGAGACTTACAATTATGGTGGAAGGTGAAGGAGAAGTAAGCCACATTTTACATGGCATCAGGAGAGAGAAAGACGGAGAGGGAAATTACCAAACACTTTTAAACCATCAGATCTCGCAAGAACTCACTCACTATCACAAGAACAGCATGGGGGAAACTTCCCCCATGAACACATCACCTCCCACCAGGCTTTCCCTTGACATGTGGGGATTACAATTCAAGATGTGATTTGGGTGAATCAGCAAAGTCATGGTATCAACCTAAGTGCCCATCAATGGTAGATTGAATAAAGAAAATGTTTATTGTCACTGAATATTATATAACCAAAAAAAGAATAAAATTATGCTCTTTGCTGCAACATGGATGCAGCTGGAGGTCATTATCCTAAGCTCATTAATACAGAAACAGAAAATTAAATACCACATGTTCTTACATATAAGTGAGAGATAAAAAATGGCCACACACAGAGATAAAGATGGAAATAATAGACACTGCATTCTCCAAAATGGAGAAAGGAGGGAGAGGAGCAGGATCGAAAAACTACCTATTGGATATTCAGCAATCTCATTACTATGTGTTTACCCTGTATTAGTCCATTCTCACACTGCTATGGAAGAAATACTTGAGAAATACCCGGGTAATTTATAAAGAAAAGAGATTTAATTGACTCACAGTTCTACATGGGGAGGCTTTAGAAAACTTACAATCATGGCGGAAGGCACTTCTTCACAGGGCAGAAGGAGAGAGAGTGAGTGCCAGCAGGGCAAATGCCAGATGCTTATCAAACCATCAGATATTGTGAGAACTCACTCATTATCACGAGAATAGTAGGGGGAAAACTGCTCCCATGATTCAATCGCTTCCCACCAGGTCCCTTCCATGACACATGGGGATTAGGGGAACTATAATTCAAGATGAGATTTGGGTAGGGACACAGCCAAACAATATCATTCTGCCCCTGGCCCCTCCCAAATCTCAGGTCCTTTTTACATTTCAAAACCAGTCATGACTTTCTAACAGTCTCCCAAAGTCTTAGCTCATTCCAGCATTAACTAGAAAGGCCAAGTCCAAAGTCTCATCTGAGACAAAGCAAATTCCTTTTACCTATGAGCCTGTAAAATCAAAAGCAAGTTAGTTACTTCCTAGATACAATGGGGGTACAGGCATTGGGTAAACAAACCCATTCAAAATGGGAGAAATTGGCCGACACAAAGGGGCTACAGGCCCCATGAAAGTCCAAAATCCAATAGTGCAGTCATTAAACCTTAAAGTTTCAAAATCATCTCCTTTGACTCCATGTCTCACATCCAGGTCATGCTGATGCAATAGGTGGGCTTCCGTGGTCTTGGGTAGCTCTGCCCCTGTGGCTTTGCAGGGTACAGACTTCCTCCCAGCTGCTTTCATGGTTTGGCGTTGAGTGTCTGTAACTTCCAGGTGCATGGTGCAAACTGTCAGTGGAGTTACCATCCTGGGGTCTGGAGGATGGTGGCCCTCTTCTCACAGCTCCATTAGGCAGTGACACAGTGGGGTCTCTGTGTGGGTGCTCCCACCTCACATTTCCCTTCTGCATTGTCCTAGCAGAGGTTCTCTGTGAGGGCCCCACCCCTGCAGCAAACTTAGGCCTGGACATTCAGGTATTTCCATACATCCTCTGAAATCTAGGGGGAGGTGCCCAAACCTTAGTTCTTGACTTCTGTGCACCCACAGGCTCAACACCACATGGAAGCCACCCAGGCTTGAGGCTTATACCCTCTGAACCAATAGCCTGAGCTGTACCTTGGACCCTTTTAGCCACAGCTGGAGCTGAAGCAGCTGGAATGCAGGACACCATGTCCTGAGGCTGCATAGAGCAGGGAGGCCCTGGGCCCAGCTCACAAAACAATTTTTCCCTGGTAGGCCTCTGGGCCTGTGGTGGGAGAGTCTTCTGGGAAGGTCTCTGACATGCCCTGGAGACATTTTCCCCATTGTCTTGGTGATTAACATTCAGCTCATCATAACTTATCCAAATTTATGCAGCTGAGTTGAATTTCTCTCCTATCACATAATCAGGCTGCAAATTTTCCAAACTTTTATGCTCTGCTTTTTCTTGAACATCTTGCTGCTTAGAAATTTCTTCAGCCAGATACCTTAAATAATCTCTCTCTAGTTCAATGTTTCGCAGATCTCTAGGGCAAGGATGAAGTGCCACCAGTCTCTTTGCTAAAGCATAGCAGGAGTCACCTTTATTCCACCTCCCAAAAAATTCCTAATCTCTATCTGAGACCACCTCAGCCTGGCTTTCATTGTCCGTATCACTATCAGCATGTTGGTCAAAGCCATTCAATATGTCTCTAATGTGAAAGGAAAATAAATCTTGGGGCCCCAAAATCACTAAGCTAAAGGAAAAAGTCAAGCTGGGAACTGCTTAGGGACAACCTGCCTCCCATTCTGTTTAAAGTCACCCCTCTGCTCACTGAAATAAATGCATATCTGATTGCCTCCTTTGGAGAGGCTAATCAGAAACTCAAAAGAATGCAACCATTTGTCTCTTATCTACCTATGACCTGGAAGCCCCCTCCCCATTTCCAGTCTTCTTGCCCTTACTTCGAGTTGTCCCACCTTTCCAGAACAAACCGATGTTCATTTTGTATATTTTGATTAATGTCTCATGTCTCCCTAAAATGTATAAAACCAAACTGTGCCCTGACCACCTTGGGCACATGTTGTTAGGACCTACTGACACACGGGCACACATCCTCAACTTTGGCAAAATAAACTTTCTAAATTAACTGGGACTTGTCTCAGACTTTTGGGGTTCATACTAGGAAGTTCCAAACTTTACCACATCTTCCTGTCTTCTGAGCCCTCCAAGGCTCTAGAAAGTTCCATACTTTCCAATATTTTTCTCTTTTCTTCTGAGCCCTCCAAACTCTTCCAACCTCTGCCTGTTACCTAGTTCCAAAGTTGCTTCCACATTTTTGGGTATTTTTATAGAAGCACTCCATGCCTGGTACCAATTTACTATATTAGTTCATTTTCACGGTGCTATGAAGAAATAACCAAGACTGGGTAATTTATAAAGAAAAGAGGTTTAATTGACTCACAGTTCCACATGGCTGGGGAGACCTCAGGAAAACAGTCATGGTGGAAGGCACCTACCTCTTCACAGGGTGGCAGGAGAGAGAATGAGTACCAGTAGGGGAAATGTTAGATGCTTAGAAAACCATGAGATCTCAGGAGAACTCACTCACAGTCATGAGAACAGCATGGGGAAAACCGTTCCCATGATTCAATCACTCCCCACTGGGTCTCTTCCATGACACATGGGGGTTATGGGAACTCTAATTCAAGATGTGATTTGTTTGAGGACCCAGCCAAACCATATCATACCCAAAAGAATATAAATCATTCTACAATAAAGGCACATGCAAACATATGTTCATCACAGCATTATTCACAGCAAGGACATGGAATCAACCTAGATGTCCATCAATGGTGGATTGAAAGAAGGAAATGGGGTACATATGCACCATTGAAAACTATAAAGCCATAAGAAAGAATGAAGTCATGTCCTTTGCAGCAACATGGATGGAGCTTGAAGCCATTATCCTAAATGAATTAATGTAGGAACAGAAAGCCAAAATCTGCACATTCTCACCTATAAATAGGAGCTAAACATTGAGTACACATGGACACACAGAACAGAAATATAGACACTGGGCTTTACTTGAAGGTGGAGGGTGGGAGGAGAATGAGGATTAAAAAACTGCCTATATGGTTCTATACTCATTACCTGGGTGACAAAATAATCAGTCTACTGAACCCCCATGACATCCAATTTACCCATGTAATAAAGATGCACATATAACCCCAAACCCAAAATAAATGTTGGAAGGAAATTAAAACTACCTATTGGAGATTATGTTTACTATTTGGGTGGTGGTTTTTACAGAAGCCCAAACCCCAGCATTACACAATATATCCATGTAACAAACCTGTATATGTACTCCTTGAATCTAAAATTTAAAAATATTACATTAAAAAATAAAAGCTAGAAAGTTTTCAAATCAACAACTTAACTTTACAACTTAAAGAACTTGAAAAAAATAAAACAAACTACACCTGAACCTAGCAGGAAGCAGGAAATAATAAAAAGTAGAGATAACTGAAATAGAGAACATAAAACAATAGAAAAATTCAATGGAATCAAAAGTTGGTTATTTGAAAAGACAACAAAATTGGCAAACTTTAGCTAGATGAACTAACAAAAACAGAGAGAAATCTCAAATTACTAAAACCAGACATAAAAATGAGAACAGTACATTACTACCAACTCTAGGGAAACAAAAAGGATTATAAAAGAGTACTATGAATAATTGCATGCCAATAAAATGAATAACCTAGACAAAATGTACAAATTTCTAGGAGTACAAGACCCAGGAAGACTTAATAATGAAAAAATAAAAACTACGAAAATATCTATAACTAGTAAGGAGATTGAATTAGTGATCAAAGTCTCCCAACAAAGAGAAGACTGGACATTGTGGCTTCACTAGTGAATTTTACTAACATTTAAGGAAGAATTATTTTGCACCCATTCTCTTCAAAATTTTTTCAAAACATTTAAGAGGAGGGAATACTTCCTCCTCTTATTCTATGAGACCAGTATCACCTTGATACCAAAGCCAGACAAAAAAAACTACAGGAAAAGAAAACAATAGGCCAATGTCACTTCTGAACATTGTTGCAAAATTCTCAACAAAATACTAGCAAACTGAACTCAATAGCACATTAAAAAGATTATATACTATGACCAAGTGGTATTTATTCCTACGATACAAAGATGTTTTAACACAAAAAAAATCAATGTAATATATCACATTGCATTAACAGATGAAGGGGGAAAACAATTGATACAGAAAATCATCTGAAAAAATTCAACATCTTTTCATGACAAAAGCACTTAACACTAGGAATAGAAGGAAACTACCTCAATACCAATTAACAGGATACAAAAGTTATCACATAACAATTGTATTTCTATACACTAACAATGAACAGCCAAAAAAGAAAATTAAGAATATATATTATATATCTCTTTATATAGAGAGACAGAGAAAGAGAGAGGGAGATGAGAAAGATGAGAGAGAGAGAGAGAGGGAGAGAGAGGGAGAGAGAGAGGAGATGTATTAGGGGAAATTGGCTCACTGATTATGAAAGCTGAGAATTCCTCCACCTGGACCCTCAGCTTCTTGGAAGGTACCTGTTCACATTGAGGGAGGATATTCCCTACTCAGTCCCCTGACTCTCACAGCAATCTCCTACATAAACTCCTTTACAGACACACCTTGGGCAGCCCAATCATTCTAGTCAAGTGCCAAACCATCTGGATTTCCATTCCAGCAGAAGGAGGACAGGTTCAGTGCCTACTGAAGCATTGAGAATAACTAATACAATGATTGAGACTAAATAATGCTTTATCAAATATCTGGGTATAGAAATACAACTGTATTAATTGTGGTTAATTTGCATACCCTTGATAAGTAATGATGCTGAACTTCATTAGTGATATCATTTAGTAAACAGAAGTTCTTAATTTTCATGAAGCCTAGTGTGGTAGTTGATTTTTAGTTACAAATGGACTGCATGAGAACTTCTGTTTACTAAATGATATCACTAACAAAGTGAAAAGGTAAGCCGCAGATAATATTAGATAATTGTAATACATATATCAACAAAGGAGTTGTTTATATCATATATAACAGATTCCTATAGTTCAGTAAGAAAATGCAAGTGACTCAACAATTGAGAAAACAAATTGAATGGACACCTCATGAAAAAGATTTTCAAATAGAAAATAAACATATGAGATGTTCAGCATCATTACTTATCAAGGATATGCAAATTAACCACAATTAGTACCCAGCAGAGTAACTAAATTATTTTTCTTTTTAAAGGTAGATGTTGAGGAGAATATGGAGCGATGTAAACTCTGTTACAACAGTGGTGGTATTGTAAATTGATACAACTGTATCTGAAGAATGTTTTATAGTTTCTTATCAAATTAGATATACATCTACTTTAGGATTGAAAAGTTACACTCCTAGTGTACATCCATCAGAAATGAATACAATGTCCATCAAAATATGTACAGGAATGTTCATAAAAGCTTTTTTTGTATTAGCCAAAAATGAGAAACTACCCAAATATCCAGCAACAGTACAATGTATAAACAGTCGTATGCTTAAATAATGGAAGAAATAATAAAGATTGTTAGTAATAAAAATGTATAATGACACACGCAATAACTAGAATAAATTTCAGTCATAATGTCAAATCAAAGTAATCAACACACATAGAAAGGGTATATATTTTATAATCCCATTTATACAAAGTTCAAACACAGGCAAAATTAATCAAAGGCGATAGAGGTTATAAAAGAGGTTAGCTTTAGGCGTTTTGTTGGGAGGAGTGAGGAAGTCATCTGAGGCATTGTTAATGTTCTGTCTCCATCTGGTTGGAAGTTTACATAAGCAAAAATTCAATCAGCTGTAAATTTAGGTTTGCAATAAATGTTTCAAACATTTGTATTGTTTAATATTTTTGAAGTCTAGAGAACTTTCATACATTAATAAAGAAAATATGATAAACATTCAGAAATTAAAGTGATGAACATGCAATTTTTAGAATTAAAATATGTGTGACTAATAAAAATCTGAAAAGATGTTCATCCACAGTGCTGCTGAGGCAAATGCAAACTAAAATGTACTATCATTATTATACATCATATTTGAAAAATTATCATTAAAATTGAAGAATGATATTATCTAGTGTAGGAAAGAATATGAAAATAGCATCACATACATGGCTCATGGAAGTATACATTACTACAGTTTTTTGGGGGAGAAATACCTGTCCACATTTGTCTCAGAAATTTTACTTTCAGCCTCTGTCTCTTACATATACTGAATAGCAGTCTGAAGAAATATGAACAAATTGTTCACTGTAGAATCTTTTATTATAATGATAAAATAGATGATCTACAACCCCATTGATAGAATATTTTATTATAACATACCATATTTGATGGTTTTATTATCATATATCAGTTAAAAATAATTAGAACTATAGCCAGGAGTGGTGGCATGGGCCTGTAATCCCAGCTACTCAGGAGGCTGAGGCAGGAGAATTGCTTGAACCTGGGAGGTGGAGGTTGCAGTGAGCCAAGATGGGGCCACTGCACTCCAGCCTGGGGGACAGAGAAAGACTCCATCTAAAAAAAATTAGTAATAATAATTAGAGCTGAATATAGCACACGAAATCACATCCACGGTATATTACTGTATTGAGGAAAGCCTTTCTCGCTCTTTCTCTTCCCTCTCTTCCCCTCTCAGTGGTATAGAGGCAGAAAAAGAACAAAGTGGAAACTTTTATATTTACTTAAGACATTTTTGTAATATTAAACAAAATTAAATTAAATCTAACGTCAATAATTCTGATTAGAAAAGGTACTCCAGATAAAGCAGTACAAGCAAAGGTGTACTGGTAGAAGAAATGCAAGGCCCTTCAAGCCAAATTTTCCTTAATGTTTCATCACCCTTTCCACTAACCTCAGCCATGTGGGCCAGGGGGACCCTTACCTCTCTATAAAATCCAGCTGACATTATTACAACTCTCAGATCTTCTTTTCCTCTTCTATTAATTGCTTTCTACCCTCACATCCCATATATTTTTATGTTTCATAATTTCTGAAAAAGGATTGATTAAAAATTTTTAATGATTTCCTTTGTGATTTGACTGTGAGTAGCTGAATCTTGAAATCCCTAAACATCAAAATTTCGTAATGGTGGCCAGTGTAACCAGGGGTTTTCATCTTAATTCATTAATTTTCTTGGTCTATAATATCTAGGATGGTTGTATACTGTTAATGTGCCAGGAGTCCATGACTGCAGGACCTAAGAATTTACAGACAAGAAGGTATGTAATTTGACTTAAAATCTATTATACTGACAGCCTTTCTTCATGCTCCTGTCATCAGGGCCTACCTGCAGAAGTAGTATTCAATGCTAATTGTGCTCTTTTTCAATATAATATTGTCTATGCAATGTTATATTGTGTAAATCAAACAATGCATTTTTAAAAGGTTTTAAGAGTATATGGCTAGCAAAATTAACAATCTTTGCTTCTGAGAATTGGGAAGATAATTATTTTCTTCATGTTTTTCATGATTCTGAAAGTGAGATTATTTGATGTTATATCTAGACAACTTTTACTCTCAAAACAAGTTAAATGGATTATAATTAAGAGAAATTATTACCTGAAATGTTAAGTAATAATTAAGTTGCAGAAAGAGAAAAAATCCATTTTTTGGATTTTTGTATATAAGAATAAAATGTCATAAACCCTACAGATATGCATAGGAACTCTCAGTAGGTAAGAAGAAAGTCTCAATTGTTAAGGTGAATTTTTATAAATATTTTATTGCCTTTACATGTAGTCTAGTGTCTTATATAATTTAACTTTTCTGTATATATAGATTGTATCATATTTTAAGTATAGTTTTGTGTCCTGTTTTTTCTTTTATTATGTGACCATTTTCTAAAGTTAATAAATATTTTTTAAACACCAGTTCAACAAACTAATATTTAAATTTGGAAGTTTTACCTCATAGTGTCTTGATATTTTTAACTCTTACATATAATTGATGTAATCTTTATATTTACATCATTGCCTTAAATAAGGAATATGTAAATTTTATTATTTTTAAGCTAACTTTTGTTTAGTTTAAAATTATTTTTTTAATATTTTTATCCTCGTCGATTTGCCTAAATGAAAGTATACCGTTTATAGATTTAACAGTGGCATAAACTAAAATAAGGTGAATAAAATTCAATATTTAAACTATAAATTGCTATCTAACTATTATGTCTTAAGTCTTCAAAATGTTGCTCTGTGTATGGCACAACTTAACTATAGAATTTGAGTGAATAACAGCTATCACAAAACACCAAAAACACCCCTCCCCGCAGTTCTCCGTGGACCATCACCCATTTCAACTCATACAGTAGCATGTTCCAGCTATTGTTTATGTAAATGGAAAAAATATACACAACATACAAATTGCTATTTTTATCTCAGAGAAATAGTTGATTTTTATTTGATTTGATAGACTAGTCAAAGGAGAGTCATTTCAATGCATGAATAACCATTTTATAATTATATTTAGATCATTATAAGCATAATGTGTACCTATATGCCCACAGGTATGATTTAAGATAAGAAATATATCATTTACAATAATAAACTGGAAATAAGTGTATTATAGAATATGGTAAGCTGAAGAGGCATATCAAAGAAAATATACTAAGAGGTCATTGAACTAGCAATAATCCCAAGTGGAATGTGATCTTTCCTGTAGCTATGTGCACAGGTTAGAGTCCTACAAGAGTTTTCTTGATGGCAAAGGGTACAGGGATTCCCTTTTCTCAAATAAAAGCTCTACAGATCTAATGTCCATTTACTGGAATCTGAAATTCTACCTTTGATTTTATTTTTTCCCCAAATATTCTTATTAAAAAAAAATTTCAGAAAAATATAACATTTCTTGAGACTGAATGTGGAAAAGGAGAGAGAAGTAATGTGTTGAATGTTGGAAGACAGAAATGCATCATGTGGAAGTTAGTAGCTTGGAGCCAGGTAACTTCATGTTCTAATCAACCTTGGCCATGTCATCAGTGTCTTGAGGTTGCAGCTGGTGAAATAATATACATTTATATTAGGTAAGGAGAAAATAATTTCTTCCAGCTAATTAATCAGGATGTATCTTAGAGGATGAAAAATCTCTCTTTTGAAATGAGCAGAGTCTTGTATTTGATATGAATTACCTCATTCATTTTAAATGTCACTAATGCCCTATTGTTTAATCTCTTTGATCTAGGTAGAGCCAGATCAAATGGATAAAAACCAAACAGAAGTGATGAGAGAATTTTTCTTGTCAGGGTTCTCACAGACACCATCTATTGAAGCAGGGCTATTTGTACTATTTCTTTTCTTCTATATGTCCATTTGGGTTGGCAATGTCCTCATCATGGTCACAGTAGCATCTGATAAATACCTGAATTCATCACCCATGTATTTCCTTCTTGGCAACCTCTCATTTCTGGACCTATGTTATTCAACAGTAACGACCCCTAAGCTTCTGGCTGACTTCTTTAATCATGAAAAACTCATTTCCTATGACCAATGCATTGTGCAACTCTTCTTCCTGCATTTTGTAGGGGCAGCTGAGATGTTCCTGCTCACAGTGATGGCGTACGATCGCTATGTTGCAATCTGTCGCCCGCTGCACTACACCACTGTCATGAGTCGGGGGTTATGCTGTGTGTTGGTTGCTGCCTCCTGGATGGGAGGATTTGTGCACTCCACTGTCCAGACCATTCTCACTGTCCATCTACCCTTTTGTGGGCCAAATCAGGTGGAAAACTTTTTTTTGTGATGTTCCCCCTGTCATCAAACTTGCTTGTGCTGACACTTTTGTCATTGAATTGCTCATGGTATCTAACAGTGGGTTGATCTCCACCATCTCCTTTGTGGTGCTGATTTCCTCCTACACCACTATCCTAGTCAAGATTCGCTCCAAGGAAGGAAGGCGAAAGGCACTCTCCACGTGTGCCTCTCACCTCATGGTGGTAACACTGTTTTTTGGACCCTGTATTTTCATCTACGCTCGTCCTTTCTCTACATTTTCTGTGGACAAGATGGTGTCTGTACTCTACAATGTTATTACCCCAATGCTAAACCCCCTCATCTACACACTTCGGAACAAAGAGGTAAAGTCAGCCATGCAGAAGCTCTGGGTCAGAAATGGGCTTACTTGGAAAAAGCAGGAGACATGAGACATTGATATGAATTTTTGAAAGTAGAAAATCTGAGGTTAAAATAATAACTTTTCAAATAATGAGTTAGAAGGTGGTTGCCTAGTTTTTAAATTTATTTCATTAAATCAAAATAGCCCTATTATTGACTTTATCATTCAACTGTACACTATAACTAATCTGTTTACTTTTTTATTCAATCAAATCTGATTTTTCTATCAGATTGTCTTTTTCCTCTTATGTATTCACCTCATCAAATTTTATTCCATCCAGTATTTCCATTTAGTTTGTCATTTGGCACTGGTACAAACCACTTTTTCTAAGCCTTCACTGCCTTCTCTACCTTGCTTTATTTGTTTTTCTTCAATTTTAACTTATTACAACTACAGATGGTCCCTGAGTTATGATGATTCACCTTATAATTTTTTGTCTTTAAGATGGTGTACAAACCATACTTTGATTACTCATGTAACCATTTTGTTTTTCACTTTCCGCACAGCATTCCATAAATTACATTCAACTCTTTATTATTATAAAATTTGCTTTGTGTTAGATGATTTTGTCTAACTGTAGACCAGTGTCAATGTTCTGGGCATGTTTGAGGGAGGCTAGGCTAAGCTATCATGTTCAGTAGGTTAGGTTTATTAAATACATTCTTGACTTACAGTATTTTCAACTTACGGTGGGTTTATTCAGACATAAGCCCATCATAAGTTGAGGAGCATCTGTAGATATCTGCAGTCAATTTACAGGTATTTCTTTCTGTACATATTTAAGAGATATCAGTTAGATGTATTAGAGTGAATTCAATTTATGACTATATAACAACAAGCTAATGGAATATATTAGTTTCATCACCTTATCACATGTAGTAGAGAAAGCAGTTGCCTAATATTGTGGGTTCAAATATCCCTCTTTGAATCACAATTCATGTAAACCTCAAAATTTTTTTACGCCTTGAAGCCCGCATTTCCTCATACATAGCATGCATAAAATGATGTGTACCTCTCAGTGCTGATGTGAAGACGAAAAATGAAAACAGACATGAATATGTCTACTATGGTGCCTGCCTCATACATAACACAGTTCAAAAATAATTTATTCATTAAAGATGATTTTTTCAATGATATAGGGTATAGAAGGTTAAGTTCTACACTGGCTGACTTACCACATTGCAACAACAGTTTGATCTGCCAGTTTGTGCAGGATACTCGAAAGTGTATATAAATGAGTTCATGACATTTTCACATTTGTCAATTATTGGAAAGTTTATTTTATATTACTGTCATCATCATCAACAATAAACCCCTCGACATTAGTTGTATCCTTAAGTTGTATTAAGACAAATTCATAGGCCTGTTTACTGTTTACCAAATCTTTATAACTAAAGATAAAAAATTAAATCGACATTCAAGTTTACAACAAACTGAACAAAAATAAAATATAAAATACAAATGAACCGTGAAGTATTTTCATTCTTACAGCTTTTTTAGTCTTTGGATTTTAAAGCAATCATAGTAACAAATCTGTGTGACAAAGACAGAAGCCAAAGAGGTTTGGTAAATTTATTACTGACTGAGCTTTTATCTTTATTATCTTTATACTCCCCAAACTAACTTAAATACCTAAAATAAATAAAATGGGACAAAAATGTGTTAAATAAATGCAGGAGGCTTCTATATTTTTTCTCATCAATGTGGCATTGACAACAAAAGAAATATTTTAGAGAGGTTTTCTTATTTCATACTTAGTAAAAATAACTTGTAAAATTTTCATTGAGACATAGAAACACTTTCAGAGATGTTAAAGATGCAAGAATTCATCAAACTTGTATTTTATTTTATAAATTATTGGATATATGTGCAGAACGTGCAGGTTTGTTACACAGGTATACATGTGCCATGGTGTTTTGTTGCACCTATCAACCCATCATCTAGGTTTTAAGCCCCGCAGGCATTAGGTATTTGTCCTAATGCACTCCTTCCCCTTTCCCCTCACCCCCCGACAGGCCCTGGTGTGTGGTTTTCTCCTCCCTGTGTCCATGTGTTCTCACTGTTCAGCTCCCACTTATAAGTGGGAACATGTGGTGTTTGGTTTTCTGTTCCTGACTTAGTTAGCTGAGGATAATGGTTTCTGGCTCCATCCATGTCCCTGCAAAGAACATGATCTCGTTCCTTTTTATGGCTGCATAGTATTCCATAGTGTATATGCAACACATTTTCTTTGTCCAGTCTATCATTGATTGGCATTTGGGTTCATTCCATGTCTTTGCTATTGTGAATAGTGCTGCAATGAACATATGTGTGCATGTATCTTTATAATAGAATGACTTGTATTTTGGGGGGTATATACCCAGTAATGGGATTGCTGGGTCAAATGGTATTTCTGGTTCTAGGTCTTTGAGGAATCACTGCACTATCTTCCACAATGGTTGAACTAAACAAATTTTAAAAATGTATAGGAACACATCTAATGATTGATACATTTACATCTAAAATCCAATATACAATGTTCCTGTTCAAATAAAACATGAAGCTCAGATTTTTTAAAAAAAAAAATTACTAATTTTGACAGTGTGGGGTCAGCTTATAATGAAATAACAATCCCTAAAATATTATTCACTTAACACAACAAATATTTATTTTATATTCATGCAACAATAATAACATGGGATGCATGTCAGTCATTGATCTCTGCTTATTGTAGTCACCAACAGATTCATGCTGATGAAGGATTTACCTCAACATGTAATTTCATTACTGCTTGGGTAGGAAAACAGCCACATGGTGAATCTCACCCTGGCTCTTGAATCTTCTCATATTGCATTGACCAAATGTATTATACCAATAAGTTTAATAATTTGAAAAACATGGAAAAACTTCTTTAAAATATGACTATTCAAGGCACTCTGCAGAAGACTTGGAAAATCTATAATGGGCTGGGATTTATTAAAAATATATTAAATCTGTTCTTAAATTCCTTCCCACAAAGAAAACTCACATTAGCGAATTCTTTAAACACACAAGAAAAACATAGCACCAATGTTGTACAAACTCTTCCTGTAAGTAAATAAATAGAGAATACTTTTTATTTCTTTTTGTCACCAGCATGTCTTAAATTTCAAAATCTGACCATAATGTCATAATAATAATAAATTAATTATAAATTAATATCACCTATGAACATAAATGTAATGATCATTTAAATAATTAGCAAATTGTATCTATTGATATGTAGAAAGATAATACAATATGAACCACTTGTCTTACTCCAGATTTGTAAGACTAGTTGAAAATTAAAAAATCAATCCATGTAATTAACTATGTTTACAAATTGATAGATGTAGTAAATTATTGCAAAGTTCAATACCAATTTATTAAAAAAGATATCAAATTTGTAAACTACTAATCACAAGTAAACTTATGCTAGGGAATCCTTAATCTGATAAAGAGTATCCACAAAATAATTCTAAAATAAATATTATGCTCACTGTTGAAATATTAAAGACTTTCACCTTGAAACTAAGAAACAAATAATACTTGATATTGTCACCATAATTCAACATTATTCTGGAGGCTTAGGCAGTGTAATGAGACAAGAAAAAAAATAGAATGGTATAAGAAATGGAGAGGAAGGAATCACATATTCATTATTAACAAATGTCACAGTATGTGTATATAGATAATTGAAGAGAATGTACAGAAAGTCAAATTAATAAATGAAGTTAGCATAATCACTGAATATGACAAAGTCAATAGTCTGAAAATAAATTGTAGACTCCCAGTTCTGGGGTAAAATGGAATAGATATACTTTCCCCTATTCATGCTACTATGCACAACCAAAAACTCTGGATATTATATAATGCAAACATTAAAAAAAAGAAGAAACTCTGAAAGATCGAGGCAGCAAATTAGGTAGAAACTTCAAGACCCAATACATGGCATGATAATTTCCCTTTTTGCAATTTTTATTTCTTTTAATTTGCCTCATATAAGTCCAATTGGGTGTTGGAGAAACCAGCAGCCCAGAAACACCAACAGATGCAGACATAAATAGCCCCCCAAGCCCCCCAGCCAAAAAAAAAAAAGCCCACTATCTTTAACCAGAGGACAAGAAAAGGAGAAGCCTGGAAAGATAGAAAACTTCAAGACAATAACTGCTCTCCATCCACAAAAGGCCACAAATAAATGATGGCCTATCTTCCCCCAAAATAAAGTAAGGAGTCCAGATTTCTAACCTTTCTGGTAGTAATAACCTTCTTCCCATTGGTGTCATTAGAGACCACGTGAAGAGCCGGTAATTCTACTCCATCAAGTGAGGTAAATTTCTCCTCACTGCCAAGGTGATATCAAAGAAGGTTGAGTTGGAAGCCAAGCTGCCAAAACCTTCCAGCAGTAAAGAGTACCCCCTCACCACAGTGTCAGTTGAGGTCATACAGGGAGTAATAAGAAGATGACCTTTTCCCTGACAGCCAGCAGAGACCTAGTAAGGAGATTGGACCCTCACCTCTGCCCAGCAGTAATGAAGCACCCTGCTGGGCCTTCTCTATAGAATCAACAGAGGCCAAGAAGGGAATCTAATTTCTACTTCCATTTTGCAGATGGCACAGTGCCAGATGAAGCCTGCTGAAACAAAAGATTTAAATAGTATCCAGAGTCTCATTACATTGAAATATCTAAGATTAATTTAAAAAACAGAAACAGAAACTCTCACCATACAAACCAGAAAAATCTCAGCTCGAATGAAAAAATAGTGAATAGATGCCAATTCTAAGATAAAACAGATACTAAAATTATCATAAAATTCTTCAATGAGAAATTACAAGCATGTTTGAAGAAAATACAAAATAAAAAGTCTCAGGAAATAAATAGAAGACATAAAAAAGAAACAAATGGAAGTGGAGGTTTTATTATAGAACTGAAAAATGCCATAACAGAAAGAAAGAAAAAGAGAGGGAGACAGAAGGAAGGGAGGTAGGGAGGGAGGAAAAGAAGGAAGGAGGGAGGGAGGGAGGGAGGGAGGGAGGAAGGGAGGGAGGGAGGGAGGGAGGAAGGAAGGAAGGGAGGGAGGGAGGGAGGGAGGGAGGAAGGGAGGGAGGGAGGGAGGGAGGGAGGAAGGGAGGGAGGGAGGGAGGGAGGAAAAGAAGGAAGGAAGGAGGGAGGGAGGGAGGGAGGGAGGGAGGGAGGGAGGGAAGGAGGGAGGAAAGGAGGGAGGGAGGGAGGGAGGGAGGGAGGAATGGAGGGAAGGAAAAAGGAAGAAGAAATACAGAACAGCAAGGAAGAAGGACACCTCAATGAATGGAATTAAAAGCATACTTGGGAGGACAGAGGGAAGAAGCAGTAAACTTGAAGACAAAACAATAAACATTAAAAATGTTGAGAATCCTAGAACACCAAAAGAAAAAAAAATAAAAAGAAAAATATGTGTAAATACAATAGCCTTTATTTCTCCTGAGTTTTCCAAATTGAATTTGACAGTTAAAGCAAACATTATTGCATTGTTTATTGTTGTACCCAATGTACATAAATAGTTAAGACAATTTTGTATTTAAAGTATGGGAGGATAAAGAGACTGAAAGAATAAGATTTCTATACTATACTTGAACTGGTAAACTGGTTACATAATGTAATACCTAGAATGACCACCAAGAAACCTGTAGAAAGAGATACACCAAAAACTCTATAGATAGATCAAAATAAAATTCTAAAAAAATATTACAGTCACCCACAGGATAGTAGGGAAAATAGAACAAATTAAAAATGAGGGAAGAAACCAAAATCAAAAATAAAATAGGTGACTTAATCCTAACATATCAATATTACTTTAGATATAAATGGTTTAAATTCACCAATTTCAAGACAGAGATTCGCAAAGTAGAAAAAATTGACCTTTTACATGCTATCTATAAGAAACTCAATTCAAATATAACGACACAAGTGTGTGAAAATAAAAAGATGAAATACGATGCACCATGCAGACATTAATCAAAAAGATGTTAGAGTAACTGTTTTAATATCAGGTATATTCAGAGCAAAGAAAATTACCAGGGACAGAGTAAGATATAACACAATGATAAAAGGGACAAGCCATAGCAATTCTAAATATGAATGTACCAAACAAGTGAGTTACAAATTATGTGAAATGAAAACTGATAAGACTGAAAGAATAGACAAATCTACAATTATAATTAGATACTTCAACATGCCTCTTTACACAATTAATAGAAATAGTTCCTTAAGTATATAGAAGAATTCAACAACACTAACAACCAACATGACCTAATTGACATTTGTAGGACACTCCATCAATGACATGAGAATGCACATCCCTTTCAAACACCCACAGAACCTTTATCAAGATAGGTTATATCCTGAAACATAACACAACAACCTAAATGTCCATTAATGATAGACTGGATAAAGAAATGTGGTACATGTACACCATGGAATACTATGTAGCCATAAAAAAGTAAGAGATCATGTCCTTTGCAGGGACATGGATGGAGCTGGAGGCCATTATCCTTGGCAAATACAGTTACAGAAAACCAAATACCACATGTTCTCTAAGTGGAAGCTAAATGAAGAGAACAAGTGGACACATAAAGAGGAACAACAGACATTGGGTCCTATGGGAGGATGAAGGGTAGGAAGAGTGAGGGGATCAGGAAAAATAACTAATGGGTACTAGGATTAATACCTGTGTGATGAAATAATCTATACAACAAACCCCCTTGACACAAGTTTACCTATGTAACAAACCTGCACATGTACCCCTGAACTTAAAATAAAAGTAAAAAACAATATTAAAATTGTATGACATTTGCCACAAGCCATCAAAATAAAACTGTACAGCTTTGAAAACAAACTAAAAAAATGTAAAATAATTGAAATCATATGGAAGATGTTCTCTAGCTGTGATTCATTCAGACAACAAAGCAAGAATAGAAAGATAAGAAAATCTCCAAACACTTGGAAACAATCCAAATCACTTATAAATAAGACATGGTCATAGAAACAAAATTCAAATGAAATAAAAAATACATTGAACTGAATTAAAATGAAAATATAATATACCAAAATTCAGAGGACAAAGCAAAAGGAATACTGAGAGGAAAATTTATACCACTAAGTGCTGATATTATTATTCTTTTTTGATATTGTTCCATGTATCATTGTTTTAGTGCTTTTCTTTTGGTTACATTTCATTTTTGCATTTCCAGTGTATAGAAATACAATTGACTTTCAAAAGCTTTTTATTTTAAAACATCGAGCCACAGAATGTTGCAAAATATAACGTAGGCATACCATTCCTAGATAGAACATCAGATTCTAGATATTGGAAACTGGGAAGAAAAGGTTGCTAAAATGAAATCTTAGAGTTGCAGAAGTTAGTCACCACCTTGTGCATGATCCACAGGTCACTCATGATGGTGGGAGTCACAAAAGCCAATGTTTGGGGATACATTTTCTTTAAAAGTCTCTTTGACTTCATCCTCTTCAAACTGCATCTGAGTTCAAACAGGAAGAGATAAAAGTGAAAAAATAGTTTGCCCGTTTATAGGAAAGACATTTTACTTCATATGAAAACCCTTAGGCCGAGTGCCCTGGCTCACGCCTGTAATTCCAGCACTTTGGGAGGCTGAGTCGGGCGGATCACGAGGTCAGGAGATCGAGACCATCCTGGGTAACACGGTGAAACCCCATCTCTACCCAAAAATACAAAACAATTAGCCGGGCATGGTGGTGGGCGCCTGTAGTCCCAGCTACTTGGGAGGCTGAGGCAGGAGAATGGCATGAACCCGGAAGGTGGAGCTTGCAGAAAGCCGAGATCATGCCACACTGCACTCCAGCCTGGGTGACAGAACAAGACTCTGTCTCAAAAAAAAAAGAAAAGAAAAGAAAAGAAAACCCTTAAATTTGGAGCTCTCCTATGAAAATTTAGCATTTAAAATGACTTACATTAGTAAGAGTCTTCAGACAAAATAATTTGATTTTAACATTGTTTTAATATTCATGTTGAAGAAAAGCATGAATATATCAAAGAGAATTAGGAGAGGAAGCAGCAAATATCTTAATGATTGCAGTTAGAGACAAGGAGGGATATTTAAGATTCCTTCAATTTCACAGAAACTTATCATTGACCTCGTCTTATAACCATCAATAATGTATTTTAGGAGGTTGCGTTTTTTAAAAATCAGTATATCCTAATGATGTATTTCTAGGATGATTAATTATGAAAATGCATCCTGGTCCACTAATAAGAGTCTTATATGTTAAGAAAACCTTTCCAACCTTTCCTTAATAGCATTTACTCCTGCAGATAACATCAGCAATTATTCAGTGGTTCTAAGTCATAACAGTGAATGAGAATCACCTGAGGCAGTTTATAGTAAATAGCAGATTTCTGGGATTGGTTCCTAAAGTTCAAATTCAGCGGGCCAATTATGGAACCACATTATTTGCATTTTAAAACATTCACTGTAATACGTATTTAACTTACCTCATTTCAAAATCAGAAAATGAGTTTTGTAAATGCTTCCTCAAAATTCAGGAAGGTTCCTCTAATTTGAAATCTGTGGCTTCCTACGAACTGACGGTGACAAGTTCTCTGCAAATGCACATTGTTTATGAAAAACAAAAATTGGTGACTTCTCTCAAATTTCACTAACCTATCAATAGCCATGTTTACACAGTCCAGACTACTAGTTAAACCCCAGGAATGTCTGCGCTTAGAGAGTGCAGTGATCCACATTTATCTTTATGGATCTGGACAAAGCAATGTGGAGAGTTGAGCAGAGATTAGGAATGGAGCATGAGCCATTGGATAGTTCTGAGAAGTCAGAAACACCTTATGGGATCTGGTGTATATTTGGGCATTTACAAGATGACGATTCCTATGCTAAACACACACACGCTGACTGTATATATATATTTATATATGCATACACACAGTATATATACATACTATATATCATATATATTTATAGTGCATAAAACATATACACACTATATATTATAGATATATTTTAATATATAATTATATATATATAATTTAATAAGAAAGAATCCTAGAAAATCAGAGAAAAGTTGAAGGAATAAAGGCTTCCTAACAATCAGGATTGGATTAGGTTTCTCTTTGATGGGCCCTGGGAGGATATCCTGTTTATTTCTATCATAGTTTTCATTTTGCCTCATATTTTGTGATTGTCTGTATACTTGTCTTTATTTCACTAATTGAAAAGATCCAAGTGTCTGGTAATGTATGTTCTTAAATGCTCTATCTTCACTCCTAGATCATTGTCCGGAATCTGAAATGTAGGTACTTGAAAAGCATATAATAATTGAATAAATAAATATATAGATAGTATTTGTTATATTTTGATTAAAAAATTATGTCCAAAGTCTGCAACAAGTCAGTGATCAGTATTACATCAATAACAACAAAGAAAATTAATTCTAAGGCAGATGTTGATTTCTCTTTAAGCTTTTGTTAATGTTCACATATATAGGTGTAATTGATTGTAAAAATTGAGTATGTTCAAAGTCTATAAAATAAAAAAAAGAGTACTATAATAGGCAAGGGGACTTTATCTTAAGGCAGAAATTGTTTTTCTTCTATGTTGTTTTATATTTATGCATATGTTTGGATTGCAATTACGGGGCAAGTCGTAAGTACCCAGAAGCATGCCTTCCTGGATTGAATATAATATCCAAAGTCATTGGAAGCTCCATTCAATTGCTTAACTAACTCAGTCATTACCCAATTTTCTCCTTTGGTTTGATATCTCAGAGGCAACCTAGGAGAAAATTGCTTGAGTTCCCTGCACATTAATTTAGTAAAAATCAAATTTAACTCTTGTTTATAATTGTCTTCTTAAGATCCATGGACATGTAAAAATTCAGCATAACATCTGAATCTGTGGCATTCAAACGCACACTTCCTAATAAATGATGCCCCAGGAGACAGAATCAAATCAGAAAGAGATGCAGTGTTTATTGAAAATCTACGTTGGGTGAAAATGTGTTAATTTAATAATCCAATACATATTAAATGTAACACAATAGTTTATGTTTACATTATAAAATATTGAGCCGTAAAATATGGATTTTTCGATGTTAAAATGAATTTCTGTAATGAAAATCACTGGAATGTATTCATTTTTTAAATAAAAGCGTTCAGTATAATACACATCTACTAGGAAAAGCATATTTTTAAAATCAATAGGATCTTGAAATGGTGCTGTCTTTTTCCTCCTTTCAAGCTTCCAAAATTAGGACAAATATTTGCTGGGCATTATTTAATTCCAGGCTTGCCTCCCTGTGCCAAATGTCTCCTGCTTTGAATGATGCAATTTCCAGTATTGAGCTATGATTAGAAAATAAAAATTCCTTTTCATATTAACTTTTGGGGCAGAATAAACTAGTAAGATAAATCTGGTTTTAGAAAATGCAGAGTTCATTCCAAAATATATGTGTGGAGTTGAAGATACATATACATACGTGTGTATGTGTGTGCGTGTGTATATACACACATATATACATCTTCACAGATATATATACCATTTTATCTTATTTTACAAACATAATCATACACAGATACATACATTACATATATACATATGTACATACATGTATGTATATATATTTGTAATAAAATACATGTATGTATATATAAAATACATAATATACATACATATATGTATGTATATATTTGTAATATAAAATAAAATGATATACTTTTGTTGAAATTAACTATTTCTCTGTATAAATGATATATATATCATTTCTCTGAATATATAATAATATATCGTTTCTCTGAATAAATAAATGACATGTATATCATTTTATTTTACATTACATATATACATGTATGTACGTATATATATTTTAAGCTTTGTATATATATACAAAAATATATATACATATATACTTACATGTATATATATTTGTAATATAAATACATACATTATGTATATATGTAATACATTATATATACATATTTGTAGTATAAAATAAAATGATATATTTTTTCTTGAAATAAACTGTTTCTCTGTAATATAACACATTACAAATTATATCAATGTAGTGTCAGAATGAAATCTTTGAGCAGAATTATATTAAAGAAATTATATCTGCTGAATGAATAGAAACATCTAACACTATGGAAGGCTGGATTTCATTGAAAAGTCACCCGTCGGTTTTGCAGTTTCTTCATAGCTGCTTTCATCTCCTCATTTCTCAATGTGTAGATAATGGGGTTCAGGAGTGGAGTAAAAATGGTATAAAACACAGACAGCAGCTTGTCCACAGAGAACCTACTGAAAGGCCGCACATAAACAAAAATGCAAGGGCCAAAGAACAGCGTCACTACCATGATATGTGCAGAGCAAGTGGAGAGTGCTTTGGATGTGCTACCGGCAGCACGCTGTCTGATAGCGAGGAGGATCACGGTGTAGGAGATCAGGAGGAGCAGAAAACAGCTCAAGGAAAGCAACCCACTGTCTGAGATCATAATTATACCCAAGACATAGGTGTCCATGCAGGCAAGTTTGATCACCAGAGGGAGGTCACAGAAGAAGCTGTCTACCTCATTGGGGCCACAGTAAGGCAAATTTACAGTGAAAGCCACTTGACTGATGGAGTGCACAAATCCAACGACCCATGAAGCCAGCACCAGCCTGATGCAAGTCTGCCAACTCATCAAAGTCATGTAATGCAAGGGTTTGCATATGGCCACATATCTGTCATAGGCCATGGAAACCAGGAGCACCATCTCAGCCCCACCAGTAAAGTGCAAGAAGAAGATTTGAGCCATACATCCTCCAAAGGAGATGAGTTTTTGATCACTAAGGAAATCCCTGATCATCTTGGGAGTGGCAAATGAGGCCAGCCACATGTCCAGGAAAGCTAGGTTCCCCAGCAGGAAGTACATAGGGGAGGAGTGCAGGCAGGGATCAGAAATTACAGTGACCAAAATGAGAAGGTTACCCAGCATAATGGCCACATAGACCCCAAAGAAAAATATAAAGAAAAAATTTTGAAGATGTCGTGAAGTGCAGAGTCCATGCAACACAAATTCTGACACCAAGGAATAGTTCTGTGGGTCCATTGCCTCAGGTTTCAGACTTTGTTTGTAATCTAAATAAAGAAAAAAATCCTGTCATTTGCAGCAACACCTCAAGGACATTGTATTAAGTGAAATAAGCCAGGCACAGAAAGACAAATATCAAATGATGTCACTTAATATGTGGAATCTAAAAAAGTCAAACTTACAGAAATAGAAAGTAAAATGGTGGTTACCAGAGGCTGGGAAGGAGAAGGGTGAGGGATAAGTTCGTCAAAGAACAAAGTTTCAATTAGACAGAAGGAAAAAATTCAAGTGATCTATTGTACATCATTGCGATTATAGCTAATAGCAATATATTATACACTTGAAAATCACTAAGAGAGTAGGTTTTGCATTGTCATCACAGAAAATAAGTATGTGATTTAGCCATTCCACAATGTTTACATATATGAAAACATCATGTTGTACATTATAAACATATATAATTTTCATTTATCAATTAGAAAGAAAGAGAGAGGGAGGGGAAGGAAGAAAAGAAGTAAGTGAAAATGCCTGTCAACTGCCTGGCACATGAAAGTGATCAACTAAGTGTTATCTATGTATAATTTTTAACTTGCAAGTGATACTCTAAAATATAGACTGTTATATACTAACAAGCATGTATATTTGCCTTTTTCAAACTTCAGTGATTCCTGAGGGGCAGTTAGACATTCTGGAAGACTTCTGCATAGGTGAGAGTTGTAGGAACTTTTTTTTTCCTTCTTTCCATGGCCTTTGTCCATATAAAAACATGGATCAATCAAGTGCAGTAGGTGAACCAAAATTCCTTAGGAGGATTGAGAATATGAAGATTTTTTCAGGGATTCTATCTTCTCACCATCTCTGTCGATATCATTGCCCAATGGGTAATTAATTATTGTTAAGCACTAAATATTGAAATTAAAGCTTCACTTAAAAATAATGTCAACACGTAAGACATGGGAAACTGAATGTACATTATTAAGTGTCTCTTCCTCTTCCTCTCTCTCCATTTACACACACAAACACAAAACTAAACCTAGCAAAGGCATGTTGATAGGTAGATGTATCTATGTATATAAATATGATTAACGTGTCTTTCTCCTGAATCCAAGAGAAGGAAATTTTGTTCCTCAATGACAAAATTTAAAGGAGAAAAATTACTTTAAGCTAAAACGCATGTTTTGGATATAACGACTATGGGCGGGGGGTGATGTATAAATACAGATGAGCTCCCAAATCATGTACCCAACTTATGTATGTTGCTTAGTAATTTTATAAAAGTCTCATTTATTGTGTTATATGTGGGTTGTAGAATGGCTTTTCTGATATTCTCAGATAATATCTCTGAGGAAAATTTGATCTAAATAATGGCTCGTTTACATAAAGTTTTAATCTAAAGTGTTAATCTGTGCTATCAGGGAGGACAGCCTATAATTGCAAAACGTGGGACTCTTTCCTCTTTCTTGCCCTTCATCAATAACCTGGATATGTATAATTTGCAAGTTTACAGATAGCACAAATCTGACACGATTTACTTACAGACTTATAGAATATTTCAATATGCTGGAAATATGGGCCGTAATCAGCAAACTAGAGAGAAAAGGTGAAAGGAGGAAGAGAGAAGAGTGTAGACTGATAATCAGCCTAACAGAGACATAGAGTATTATATTATTAATATATTTCTTCATAATCACGCTTTTAATTTGTTGTAATTATAATTCATTTTTTCTTAAAAAATGAATAAAAATATTTATGGTAAAATGTGTTGTAATGCTTTTGATTAAATGAGCGAAAAAGTAGATCTTCTTCAAGGCATTTGCATCTTATTTTCCAGTTAAATTTCAACTCAAGAAATTGCTTCCTATAGAGCCATAATGTTGAGATTTCTTCCATATTTAATCTGCTTGGAATATTTCCTTTTTTTTCCCAACCACTTTATTAAGGTACAATTTATATAATATAAAATCATCTATTTAAAATATTTAGTCAATCATTTTTTAATTATTTTACCAACTTGGTTATCTCCATAATACTTCCTTTGGAATTTTGAAAATCTCAGTCCCTTCCAGGACCTCTCTTGGCAGTAGTCAGGCTATCTTCTTCCTTATTCATTTACTCACTTACACACTCACTCATTCAGACTGTATCTATAAGACACTAACACAGTTCTTCATCTCACTTTATTTGGTATAAAAACCAATCAATACAAGAAGAAATAAATCACTTAACCTAGGTTTTATTTAGTTTCTTCACCCCACAGATTTTTATTTTTGCTCTTATCATTTTTAAATTAATTGTATTTGGGATAAAAAGCCTATTTGATTAGATACATAAATCTATCTATAAATGAATTAGATCATTTATAGATTTATTATTTATAAACTTTCTCCGAGATGATTTAGAATGACTTTCTTTTAAAAATATTTTAAATTATTATGTGGAAGCTGAGCAAAATAAACTGATGGAGATAGTATAAAAATGGTTACTAGACAATGGGAAGGGTAGTGGGGAGAGTGGGAAAATAAAGGGAGGATGATTAATGAGTAAGAAAATGCAGTTAGGATGACTTTCACTGAAAAAGATATTTCCAAGACCTCTCAACAAAGACCAGAGCATAAAACCTATGCAATCATTTTTGAGGGTGTTTTCACCATTACACATGATTGACTAATAAGTTCATCACGTTATTTTAAAACGTAGCTCTGAGTTTTCAGATGAAATGGAACAGGATGCATAGGTCCCATAATTAGTTTTTTTTATGAGCAATAAACTGGAGTCTCACTCTCCTCACTGAGAGGAAAATATTGTATAAAGCTTTTAATAAGGGGTATCACATAGAATCCTTCATGAGAAATTACAAAAAAGATGCAGGACTCTCCTTCATTTAATGTTGTTCCTTTATAAAATTGAAGAATGTAACATAAAAGAAGAGTCTTGTAAGGCTTCTACAGGGAAATAAAGTAACTTATTCTAGTTGTGAAATAGTCTAATAATGAGAATTTGATATAGTAATAGATTTTTAGAATCTAAAGGGATTAATAATTACCATATCTTCTTTAGTCCACCCAAATAGCACCCATCTCAACCAGACTGTTGTCAAGATAATGAAAATTCAAAATTGCTTTGCTTCTCCTTGAATTTCTATAAAAACATTACATTAAATCATTTAATTGCAACACTTTTTTTGACAATTAGATGCTACCCATCTTTAGTCTGAAATTTTAAGTCTGAAGCCAAAATCCCCAACGGGTAGAAGGGACATAATCACAAAGCAATAATTCTTAGGAAGTTTAGTCAGATTCCTCTGACACCCATTCTAGCACATATATCACAGGTCATAGAGCTATACTTTTATTGATATTCTTTTCCTTTTTATGTCCCTGAAAAATTTCGCTTGTAAATCTAAAACATAATTGTATTTAATATACTTTTTAATAAAGATTAAGTGAACAGAAAGTTGAAATAATCAGATGGAAAACTCGGGAAACAAACATAAAGGAACTCAATTTGCTATTGAATCAAAGTTGTTCTACAGTTAGATACTGGTGATAGTTGTACAACTCTGTAAATACACTAAAAACCATTGAATTGAACATGTAAAATGAGTGAACTTTATGATATATAAATTATACCTCAACAATGTTTTTAAAATGGATATTAAAAGATGTTGTAATAAATAATCTCGATTAAAGTTCTAATTTCTGAGAACTCTTTATGATGTGTAAATCATCTAAAAGCAAATAAATACTAAGTTTGTAATCAGAAAAAAATGACATTGATTTTGTATACAAACCAATGGTGTTTTTAAATTAAAATATAAATCCAAATAATAATGAAAAAATTTAACTTCAACTTGCAAGTTATTATGATGTAATCCAACGATTTAATATATAAAATAATATAACAATTAGTCTGTATTTGACTTATATCTCATGCATGTTCATATTTATTACAAAAGTTCTTTACTAACCTGGAGTTAAGATGCTCAGTGCTGATACTGCAGCTCACCCAATTTATATTTTACATCTATTATACTTGAATGGAGCTATTGAAAACACATATTTTATCCCAGAGATGATTTAATCATCTTCTTCTGCATCTTAAAAACAATTCAGGAAAAGCATTATTTTAAAGTTAGAGAACTTCAGATTTGAGTCTTCCTTGGAGTTAAGTTATAAATATACCCTGTCACCCACCAATTAAGAATCCTTTAATTATGGGCCATTTGTGACCAATGACCATAACAAAGGCTTGGGAATAAATCATCTGAGGGTGGAAATTTGCAGTAATGAATCACGTTCATTTCTCCAGGTGACAAAAGAAAAATAATTATGGATCTGCCAGATTATATTAGCATAGCTGCATTTATTTTAGTAATTCAAGCAGAATTATATATACCATTATCCAGTTAATCAAGTATAAAATGACAAATTTATCTCTAAATAATCAAATTAACAAGTTACACTCTAAAATTATGCTGAAAATTTGCCAACTCTGCACATTATATAACTTTGATCAAGCATTACACTTTGAAAAAGATTTACTCATACAAGGAGCATCAGATTTATATGTGCCAAAATATTTGCCTTCTCTAGATTGGTACGGTCAGGCATGATGAAATCTCCAGGTGTGTGGGTTACTTTGTTCATCATTTATTATTGATAGCCTACTTACTTCCCCAAATCATTCAAGGTTAATGCAGGATTCTTCTACTAATGGGTCCACGCTGAAGACAAATATTCCAAAACATTCTGATAAATGGTCATCACATTTACAACTATTCACATGACATTTACTTCCATATTAGGTATATAAGTTCTACCAAATTTATGAGAAATTTGACTACCAAGGCAGCCTCTGAGTATAGTAAAAAGTCTCAAGTGGCACATTGGCATTAGATAATTGCGTTTCACTTAAAATGAGTTGCAAAATCTAAGTTCTGTTTCTGTCTTTTAAACACACAGATAATGATTACTAAAGAAAGTCTGCAGAAGCAGTCTATTAGCTTCAGTGTGATTTGTTTCTGAAATGCAGTCATTAGGTGGTACAGATATATTGTGTAAAATAAAGAATTATAGAGAAGTTTTTGACAACCAGATTAAGTGAATACTGGATTTGGAGGTAAGGAAAGATTTACTAAATGTGGTGGCTTTATTTATGATACAACATAGAGGGCATTTTTGGATAACATTAACATTTAAAATGGTGAGCCTTGAGTAAAGTGGACTGCTCTCCATAATGCGGGCGGAGCTCCTCCAGTAAGTTGAAGGCCTGCATAGAACAAAAGGACCAGCCTTTCAAAGCAAGGGAGAATTCCCCATCAGACCACCAGACTGCCTCAGACCTTCATCTGTGTCATCAGCTCTCCTGGGTCTCCAGCCGGCAGGCCTACACTGCAGATTTGGGAAAACTTTTTGATAGACACTTTGGAAACATAGACCAGGCCCATTAAAAAATGCTAGTAGATCTTGACCTAGTCATTTCTATGTTAAAATATGTCCATAATAACATTACAGATTAATAGATCAAGAATTATTAAGCAATTTACTGATTTATAGATCAAGAATTATTAAGCAATTTACTGATTTATAGATCAAGAATTATTAAGCAATTTAAATTTGCCAGAATAATTAAAATCAATTAAAGTATATCTGTGTGATAGAAGATAATAACACATGAAAAAGTGTGTTTTCAACAAACGAAGAAGGGTTCATGGTGTTTTGTTACGGCCAAAAAAAGAGGACAGCTAACTATACATACAGTATAAATCCTTAGGTTGCATCAATGAATAAAATAGGTAAGAATTACTTTCCTCTTGACACTTACAATCTAGCAGAAAACACAAACACATAAATACAAATAAATGACTCATCTATGATAAGCACTAAGGAAAAAAAGTAAGCAGAGTAAGGCATATTGAGAATGCCAGAAGAAGGATTGCTTCAATTGCCTACAGTGGCAAATTGTTTGGTAATGTGCTGTTTATTGGTTCTCTTCTTCCCTTGTCCCACTTCCTCACTCTACCAGAAAACTACCAGATTTTCTTAGGATCGCTTTTGCCCAGTAAAAGTATTTGCACTCCATTCCTGATCTCAGAGACTTCTGGATGAATACAAGGTAGGACAGTTAATACTAGACCTGCTTCTGTAGAACAGATTCTCAGAATGAGATTTTGAAATTAAATCGCTCACTAGCCCAATGCAACAGTCCCTCATTGTTGATGGTAGGTAAGATCATGAGAATCTCTGGCACACTGTATATCACAACTACTAGACTCTCACTTGTGATGATTTAAGTTGGGTTAGAGACCTAGATTTGATAGCAGGACAATGCTACTTTATAAAAATAAGGAGTTGGCTGGTTATTTCTAATTGGCATCGAAGTGCTTGCAGAAGAAAATAACAGGCTAAGGTCAGTCAACTATCAACTCAGGCCACAGTATAAAAATATAGAAGGCCCCATGACAGTACACAAAGTGATCTCTATTGTCTAGAGTCTAGGGGCAGCCAGTGCTGTAAATCAGGATGGATACTAATTGTGAGAATAGTGAAGTTACAAAGAAAGCTGAATTCACAACTCTGGAAACTCTTTTATGCTAAGGTCTAATAAGAAAAATGTTAGAATCTAATATCTGATATAAGAATATCTTCCTTTGAACATGTTGGGCCAGCAGAAGTGGCTTCCTCCTTCTTACTGGAAAGTAGCACGTTCACTTTCCCTGGAAAAAAGTCAAAGGCTCTAACTAAGGTGTATGTGCTGCAAAATAATACACCTTCATCTTAAGATCAGTCCCACCTACCTTCACTGCTTCCAGGTAAATAACTAGAGTATAGGTACATAATGTGAGACTGGGGAAATACTAACCCTACTCTCAGATAAAAGAGAAATAACCAACAGGACTTCATGAACTGACTAATATGCACTGGAAGAATGAATGAATGTTGAAGTTTGGAACAATGTGTGGGGGCAGAGTGTGGGATAGATAAGGGAGAATTTATTGACATGGAAGTACTTTTCTATAAGTCAGGATTTTATACCTTTGAAACTTGGACAGAATGATGATCCATTCTATCCAAGGTAGAAATGCTGGAACTGCCTTGGCATATCTTAAATGAAAGGCTCAAAAGTCTAAGTAAGCTTGGCAAAATCAAATGGATTTAGCTTATAATACTAGTGCACCGACCGACTGACAAGGTTACAAGGGAAGGTCTAGAGGGTCTTTCACTAAAGCTTAAAGCATGGACTCCCTACTGTCAGTCACAACAGTAGGAGCCTGGAATTTAAGAGGATGGGTAGCAGTCATTAGCCATCAGAGGCAACTATAGTAATTTTGACAGTGTGCAACAAGTATGTAACAAAAAGCTTAGATCTTAACCCGCAGGTGTCTGTTATGATAACTAGATGGAGCAAGAGCTGTAGGCACCCAACAGAATTATTTCTTGACTCACATCACCCAAGGAGGAAAAAGGAAATCAAGAAGTGGTAAGCAAAATATTGGTAAAAGCCACCATAATGGAATAAAAACAATCTATTACCCAGTTTCTAAAAACGAGTGAGTAATCAGATCTAGCATCGATCAATTCAAGAAGAGGCCAGGTCCACTTGAAGAAGAGCTCCACGCTACAGTAAATGTATACAAAAACAATTCCCCCAATCATTCTTCAGAATTATGCCCATTTACTAGAGTAACTGAACAGCAGATAAAGGGAAATATTCAGATATTTGAGGTCTAGAGTCTGAGACAGTACTCATATCTGGGAAACAAAAATCCCATTATGGTCCCTGTTAGAGTAAATCATACAGATACTAGGTGATGAATGAAGTCTGCTCCAGTGGGTCTATTTGTGTAATTTCCCTGGCTCCTGATGCATAATTAGAATGGATATACTAAGTAGCTGATAGAATTTTCACATTGGTTCCTTGGCCTATAGAATATGAGCATTAAAATAGAAAACACTAAGCAGAAGTCTCTGAAACTGCAACACCTACAACCATAAGACTAATTAGAAGTAATATGACATCCCTGATAGAAGGACAGATTATTGCCATTTTAGAAAGCTTTAGTTTACCAGTCTGATATTGCAAAAAGGAAAGCAAACAACCAAGCAACAAAGAAGAAAAAACAGAGGTGAGAGGAAGGGGAGAATGAAGGAAGGAAAGAAAAGAAAATTTTTTAAAAAATATGTCAAAAAATGGAGTAAGGTAAATATAACCAGTTGGTAGTTCCAAATGCAACGATTGTGCTGAATATAGTATATTTACTAGAATTCACTGATACAGGCTCTAGTAATTGTGTAGCCATTAATCTGACAAATGTGTTCTCAATTCTTATCAGGGAAAACAGTCATAAGTAATTTTAACTCACTTTGAAATGACAGCACTATACATGCATGATCTTATCCCAGTAGAATGTTAATTCTCCTGTCATAATACTGTCGGAAGAGATTTTGACCATCTGGACATCTCGCCAAATGCCAAACTTTTCTACTGTATTGATGACTTATTAATGGTAATAGTGGGGAGTAGTAACTAGACGTTACTACTGATTAGTAGTCACTAATGTTTCCTGATAAGACACCTGCATCCAGGGGAGATATTAATGTGTCTCCCACATTAATGGCATTTTTAGGCATCCAGTTGTCTGAGTACTCCAAAACATAGCCTTGGGAATTCTCCTCCAACCAGTTTATCAGGTAACACAGAAGGTTGCCTTTTTTTTTTTCAAACAACTGTATTGAGATATATTTAACCTATCACAAAATCATCCATTTCAAGTAAACAACTCAATGATTATTAGTAACTGTACTGAGTGATGCCACTACCACCAAACCTCAGTTTTAGAATATTTTCATCTCCCAAGTAAGATCCTTCAAGCTCATAATAGTTAATGCCTACTCTCTATCTGGCTCAAAACAACCACTAGTTTACTTTCTGTCTCTATAAATTTGCAATTTTTAGATATTTAATATAATATAAATTATATAATATCAGATCTCTCAGTGGCTTTTTTTCACTTAGAATAGTGTATTAGAGGTTCATCCATGAGGTAGCATGTGTCAATACTTTATTTCTTTTTATTGCTGAATACCACTTTTTGTCTATCCATAAGCAATTGATGGACATTTAGGTTGTTTTCAGGTTGGGGCTATAATGAATAATGCTGTTATGAGCATATGTGCCCAAGTATTTATGATGACATATATTTTCATTTATCTTCTGTGAAATTGATGGTTCATATGACAGTTTTACTTTTAACTTTTTGAGAAAGTGACAAATTGTTTTCCAAAGTGACTGTATCATTTTACATTCCCAGCAGCAATTCATGAGAATTGTAACTTCCCTATATTCTTACCAGCATTTGTTATTGTCTATCTTATTTTGAACAGTCATTGTAGAAAGTATGAAATGGTATCTTATTGTGGTTTTAATTTTCATTTTCCTAATAAATAATGATGTTGAAAATCTTTTTATGTGCTAACTTACATGTTTTCCTTGGTGAAATATTTGTTCAATACATTTTTTAAAAATTATTTTTAATTGACAAATAATTTGTATGAGACTTTATCTATATATACATTGTATATATAGATGTATATATAAATCTATATATATGTATGTATGTAAAGAGCCAATCAAGTTAATTAATATATGTACCACCTCACAGACTTATCCTTTTTTTGTGATGAGACATTAAAAATCTATTCTTTTAGCAATTTTAAAACATAGGATACAAAGCCAGGTGTGGTGGCTTGTAACTGTAATCAGCTACCTGGGAGGCTGAGGCAGGAGGATAGCTTAATGTCAGGAGCTTGAGGCCAGCCTGGACAAGGAGTCTCTAAATTTTCTTTTTTCTAATCAAGCAGTTGTAGTGTTGCACACCAATAGTCCCAGCTACCCAGGAGGCTGAAGTAGGAGAATTGCTTAGGGCCAGGAGATCCAGGATGCCTGGGCAACAGAGCAAGATCCCATCTCTCCCTCTCTCTCCCTCCTCTCTCTCTAGATACATATATCTAGGAATGTGTATATACCTTCAATACATTATTATTAAATGTGGTCACCATACATTGCAATAGATCACTAAAAGTTGCTCCTCCAGTCTGAGATTTTGTACCCTTTGATCAATATCTTTCCTTTCTCCATCCCTCCAACTACCCCCAACCTCTGGTAACCACCTTTCTAACACTCTGTTTCTATGAGGTCAACTTTTTCAGATTCCACAGATAAGTGAGGTCATACAGTATTTTTCTGTGGCTGACTTATTTCACTTGGCATGTTGTTCTCCAGTTTCATTCATGTTGTCTCAATGGAAAGAATTTCCTCCTCTTTTAAAGGCTATGTAGTATTCTGTTGTGTATATATATACATATACACGCACAAACATATGTAAATGTATGTATATATATATCACTTTTTATTGTTTTGGAACATACTTATATTTTTATATTTATTATTGTATAATACTTGTACATTTTTTGGGGTACATGTTACATTTTGATACGTGTATATAATGTGTAGTGATCAAATCAGGGTGATTGGGATATCCATCACCTCAAACATTTTTCTTTTCCTTGTTTTGGGAACATGACAATTCTCTTCTAGCTATTTGAAAATATATGATATTATTGTAAACTATAATTTTCCTGCTGTACTATAGAATGTTAGAGCTTATTCCTTTTGTCAAACTATATTTTTGTCCATTAACCAATTCCTCTTTATTCTCTCTTCCCTCTTCCCTTCCCAGCCTTTTTAAAATTATTTAATATTTATTTATTTTTAAAAAAATTATTCTTTAAGTTATATGGTACATGTGCACAACATGCAGGTTTGTTGCATATGCACACATGTGCCATCTTGGCTTGCGGCACCCATCAACTAGTCATTTACATTAGGTATTTCTCCTAATGCTATCCCTCCCCAAGACCCCCACCCCCTGACAGGCCCCAGTGTGTGATACTCCCCACCCTGTGTCCATGTGTTCTCATTGTTCAATTCCCACCTATGAGTGAGAACATGTGGTGTTTGGTTTTCTGTCCTTGTGATAGTTTGCTGAGAATGATGGTTTCCAGCTTCATCCATGTCCCTGCAAAGGACATGAACTCATCCTTTTTTATGGCTGCATAGTATTTCATGGTGTATATGTAACGTATTTTCTTAATCCTGTCTATCATTGATGGGCATTTGGTTTGGTTCCAAGTCCTTGCTATTGTAAATAGTGCAGTAAACATGTGTGTGTATGTGTCTTTATAGTAGAATGATGCATAATCTTTTGGGTGTATACCCAGTAATGGGGTTGCTGGGTCAAATGGTATTTCTAGTTCTCTCAGAGTAACTATTCAGGAGAGGAATTTCCTAGCAGTATTGTATGCATATATTTATTTTAATTAAATAATTCCAAATTTCTTTCCAAACTGGTTTGCCTCCTATCAACTGTATGAGAAGTCATGTATTTCCACTTTCTTGCCATCAATTTGCATCGTCTAACTCGCTACTTTTTGTCAAATTTATGGCTCACATTTAGATTTAGCTGTAATTATATTATAATAGAAGAAATCAGCTTTGTCTGTTGCATTAGTTTTCTAGGGCTGCCATCACAAATTACCACAAACATTGTGGCTTAAAACAACAAAAATGTATTCTCTCACAGATCTACAGAACAGAAGTCTGAAATTAAGGTGTCAGCAGGCCCATCCTCCCTCTGAAGGCTTTAGGGATGAAACCTTCCCTGCCTCCTCCAGCCTCTGAAAGCCCAGGTGTTCCTTGGTTTGTGGCAGCACAACTCCAATCTCTGGAGTTGTGCTTTATCTCTGGGCCTTTTCCTCTGTGTGTGTGTCCTTTCCTGTCTCTTTTAGACACTCATTGCAGTTTGTGTCCACACTAATTAGTATGATCTCATTTTGGTCCTTACCTTAATTATTTCTGCAAAACTCTATTTTATTTTATTTTTTTTTTGAGACAGAGTCTCGCTCTGTCACCCAGGCTGGAGTGCAGTGGTGCGATCTGGGCTCACTGTAAGCTCTGCCTCCCAGGTTCACGCCATTCTCCTGCCTCAGCCTCCCGAATAGCTGGGACTGCAGGTGCACGCCACCACGCCCAGCTAATTTTTTTGTATTTTTAGTAGAGAAGGGGTTTCACTGTATTAGCTAGGATGGTCTCAATCTCCTGACCTTGTGATCTGCCTGCCTTGGCCTCCGAAAGTGCTGGGATTACAGGCGTGAGCCACCGCGCCTGACCTGAAAAACTCTATTTCTAAATTAGGTCATATTCTGAGATTTTTGTTAGATGTGAATTTTGGGAGCCACTATTACCCGCTATATTTCCATTTAGATTTTCTATGGATGTGCTTGTATATTATGTACTGTTTTGTGTTTGTGTTTTGTGTTTGAGTCCTTTCAATCAATGCTATTTGCTAATTTTATCACATGGATGCATGTAATCATTTTCAAAACCCCACTAGGTGTGAGAAGGTGAATTTTACAGTTGTAGGAATGTACATTCCTTTTCTTTGTCTTGAGTTTATAAGAGCAATAAATTAGTCTTTGCATATTCACCCAGGGATTCTTCTCCACAAACTCTTACATTGCATGCTGTTTCTAGATTTGGGGAAGAAGGTTATTTACAAATGTGGTGTCCAGAACCTACTGTTTGAGGTAGCATAGTGTTATGAAAAGGTGCGTAGACTACAAAAACAGACTGGATTTCAATTTCACTTCTTTTGCTTGCTAATTATGGAAACTTGGGTAAGTTAGGAACCATTCCCCTATACCCTAGTTCTCTTATACATAACATGGGATTAAGACTGAGATGCTCAAAGACTGCAATTACAGTCTATTTGCTTAGTTTTTCATCAGATTCTTCATTTTTTATAAAAAGAACAACATTTTGGGTGCAGACTGAAGAATTGCTTTTGACTACTCTTTCTTTGGTAGCCTGAAACACAGTTTCTATTTTTCTCTAGACATTTCAATCTATCTGACCAATTATGCTTAATGTAAAATCTCTTGGAAGAATAACTCTGAGCAAATTGTTACACTTTGCAAATTAGATTGTAAGAGGTATTATACATTTTTAGTTCCTCCTGAAATTTGGAAGAATAACTTATACTTTTAGTGAAGTTAAAGACTTTGAATTTTGAATCTATGGTAGGCAATACATTTTAAACTATGAACAATTGTTTTGATATCCAGGTCATTTCTTGTTACTATCTGCCTTGCCACTTTCAGAAGAATTTAATTTCTAATGGTGACTTAATGGGTTGTGATGTCCACTGGAATTCTGAACTTGGCTGATGGGTTCCAGTGGAAGGAAATATCTCAAAGTAATGTTCAAATTTGCCTGTGAAAAAGGCTATTTTGGGTAATGGTGAGAGAGTTACCAGCTTGACCGCCTCTTTGGAAGCTGTAAGATTTAAGTCTGCCTTTAGCTTGCTCTTAGAAGACTGGAAAGACTCCAGCCCATTTTAGTAAATTTTCCATCTTCCTAACTCTTGGTTTCTTGTTTAAAGCAAAGCAAAAAAACACAGTATTCACTAGGTGGTAGCTAAGTTCCTTGTAAACTTTACTTGTTTCAGTTTTGGCTGGAAGTTGTAACTTTCAACTGCAGTTTCACTTTCTTAGATTTTATACCAATTAAAGATTTACATCTACCTGTTAGAAATGTTGACAATACCTCCACCAAAATTAATAAATTTGTCCATAGCAAATAAGCCAAGTGCAAAGTAAAGTTTTCATCATTCCAAATATATTTATTTTTGTTAAAAAAGTCAAATGTCAAATATTTACCATATTTAAAAAACATATTAAAATCAGGAATTATCCATGCTGGAGGACTGTCTCAGAACTTTTATGTCATATCTCCATATCATTTACTTTTCAGGAAAAAATATCAGAAGAAAATACTAAGTCCTAGACATGTCATAAGCTAAAATATGAAATAAGACATTAAAAGGTAATAGGAAAACATAGCATATGAGACATTATATAGTAGGCCCAAGAAAATCAACTAAAATTTGAATTAGAGAGTTTAGTATAGTGGCTAGTTACAAATAAAGAAACATATATATATATATGCATATACATATATATGATTATCAACATTTGAGAAATAACAAAAAATACAATTGAAAAATTACTTCATCAAAATTAAAATAAAATAATTCATAAGTTTTGTAACTTTCAGTATATAATGAAAAAAGTTATAAAACATTACTGAAGTCACAAAAGAAGACCCAAATAAGTTAAAAATTAAACCACGTTCTAGGATAGGAAAGTCAAATGTGGTCAATACCAATATATATTTATCCCTGAAACAATGTTTTGGTTAATGCAGTTATAAAGATATAGTGTTCATATTATTTGGTAAAATCACACTAGTTAACGTAAATGAAGAATCGAATGACACAAACGAAGATAGTTTGAGGAAGAATAGTAACGGGAGTACTTATATGGGTAGATATTAAAATGTAATATAGGCCAGGCACAGTGGCTCACAGTGCCTGTAATCCCAGCATTTTGGGAGCCTGAGGTGGGTGGACCACTTGAGGTCAGGAGTTCGAGACCAGCCTGGCCAATATGACAAAACTTTGTCTCTACCAAAAATACAAAAATTAGCCAGGAATGGTGGCACACACCTGCAATCCCAGCTACTTGGGAGGCTGAGGCAGGAGAATTGCTTGAACTGGGGAGGTGGAGGTTGCAGTGAGCCAAAATTGAGCCACTGCACTACAGCCTGGGTGACAGGGCAAGACTCCATCTCAAAAAAACAAATAAAATAAAATAATAAAATGTAATATAGATTTACATTAATTAAATCAGCTTGCTACTGAACTAATCTCAGAAGACATTGCGCCAAGTGAAAAAAGCCACCCTCAACAGGCTATTTGCTGTATGATTCTACCTATATGACAATCTTGAAAAAGCAAACTCTAAGAGCACAGTCAGATGGCTACTGTCAAGGACAGGAAATGGGAAGGAGGAGGTGACTACTGTGGGGGACAGGAGCATTTTTGGGTTGATGAAACTGTTCTATCTCTGAGATTTGATAATTATATAACTATGGGCATTTGTCAACAATCCAGCCAATTACCCTGAATTGTTCATTATACATTCTTTGCTTGCATCAAAACATCTCCAGTACCTCATAAATATGTGCAACTATTATATATTCATAATAATTAAAAATAAATTTTAAAAAATTAAAATAATAAAAAATAAATTGCTATAAAAGCTCACAAAACCATACACTAAAGAGTCATTTTTTCTATATGTAAACTGTACTTGAAAAATGAAACAAAAAGCTTAATATTTGTACTATGAATTGATTGTAGGGTTCTCTGAAGTGTCAATCTTCCCTTCTCCCTTGTGAGTCCTGAACAAATTCATAGGTAGAATTGTGAATAGGAAGAGACAAATATCAGTATTATTACTGGTAAAGTTGCACTGGACTTAAAACCCCAAGAGTCTTCCTACTACTTTCCCTTAATTTTAACCCTGGGATCCCCTTAAATAGAGAGTTTGCAGAACAAACATTTAGCTGGGCAGAGACAAGGATAATTCTAAAGTGCACATTCTGGCTAGGCACAGTGGCTCACGCCTGTAATCCCAGCACTTTGGGAGGCCAACGTGAGTGGATTACCTAATGTCAGGAGTTCGAGACTACCCTGGCCAACATGCCCAAACCCTGTCTCTACTAAAAATACAAAAATGAGCCAGGCGCAGTGGTGGGCGCCTGTAATCCCAGCTACTCAGGGGGCTGAGAGAGGAGAATCACTTGAACTCGGGAGGCGGAGGTTGCGGTGAGCAGAGATTGCGCCACTGCACTCCAGCCTGGGCAACAGAGTGATACTCCGTCTCAAATAAATAAATAAATAAAATAAATTACACATTCCTCCAAGAGCAGAGGACCCTGACAGGAAGACAGTTTGAGGTGTTAACAAATTTGCCCATGGAAAACAGGTGCTACCCCTTAACTGGGGTTTAGAACTGTGTGCCTCGGCTCCTCTGAAACAGCAATACTGTAAAACGCCGAGAACCTCATGCTCAGTCTCGTTTCCAAATTTCAGTCATCTATAAATCACATCACGTGCTTAGAAGGAGAGCAAGTGAATGGCAGGCAGAAGGAGGGCGGTGCCTCTACTGGCTGTCAGGGTGAGGGTTTCTGTATTATATGCTTGATAGTAGCTAGCATGTTGGGAGAGGGAAAAAATAACTCCTTCTAATAAAGACAGTTCACAAATTTCACATAACAAGGGGACAGGGTAGATTATTTTTCAAATAATACTGTTTTGAAAATTAGCTAAATTATTTGGGAAAAATATTGAGTAGTTAGTAGCTTTCTCTGGCATAAGAAATACATAATAGTAGTTGGTAGCTTTTTTCTTGACATAAGAAATACATAAATAACTTACAAATAATTTATATCACAAATTCGTGACAATTTGCTCAACAAATTGTCAGTCACATCAACCAATCAATAATAGCCTTTTAAAAACAAAACTCTAGATTATATTAAACCTATGGGTATTTTCATAGTATGTGTTCAGAAAAGAGCTATTTCTAGTTAGATATAATATAACCAGCTTAAAATATAACCAGCTGAAGTCTCCCCCGCCTCCCCCCACCCCGAGCCCCCAACACACCCACCCATGCCCACCTCCCCGCTCAGAGGCTGAAAACAAGTGCAGCAAGGTGTGGTAAAAGGAAAGCAATTTTATTCAAATGCAAGCAGGTGGGGGATGGCCAGGCTCATGCCTTTAACAGACCATTCCCCGTTTGGGGGCTAAGTAAAGGAGTTTAAGACGGAAAAGATATGGGAAATATGTGGGAATAGTGCAGGAACGTGCAGGTCTGCGTGTTTTGTTCTGAAGGTTATCTTGAGTGATGGTCTGTCCTGAGGCCTGATTTGCCTTTTCCTGACTTTGGCCTGGTAGTGGTGGGTTAACTGTAAGTAATTCCCCTCTCAAGGGAGGATTCTGCAGCCAGGTTTCCCTGCCTTGTTTGTTTCAAAATCGGCCCCTAGGATTTCTAAGCAAGTCCTTAATTAGATAAGAAACACTGTGTATGAATGTACCTGGTGGGAAAGGGAGACAAAGTCTTACAACACAAGGCTACATTCTGAGATTCAGAAAGAAAGAAAAAAAAAGTTTGAAAATGCATTTTGAGGCTGGGATCCTTGGTCACAATAATTCAACTTGTACACAAAATGTTTTCTCCATAAAATTGGTTGCTCAGTATGAAACAACTAAGGCTGATGTGACTGTGCCCTTTATGTAACAAATGATCTAAAAAATAACATGTTAGAGACCTAGTACTCAATGTTTTATCTTCTGTCTCTGGAATGGCTTTTCTGGATACTAGGTATAATATATCCAATAAAAGGCATAAAGTTCTTTTTGGATTTATGCTGAAGTTGAAAGACAGTAGACATCTTCTCCCATACCCAGTTGCCTTAAATTTGCTTTAGCCTTCAAGTCAGTTACAGGCCTAGTTGCCTAGATTGCAAAGAGAAATATGAACAGAGCTAAGAAGGGGGAGATAAACTTGGAATAGAAGCAGTACAATGTACAAGTTGGGACAGGAATGGTCTATGCTTACTTTTTTTCCTTCCTGTCTCTCTTTTAAATTTCAGCATGACACAGTTTTGAATTCCAAAGAGTGTCCTATATTTTCTATTATATGATCAGACTACATTTGACCTACCTCTCTATCTCATCTCTCAACATCATAGCCCATGACCCAGCTCAATGAAATTATGTATAGGTTCTCCACTGTGTCATGCTTCTATGCATTCTCAACATACTATTTCTTTCTCGTGGAATGTCTTTCTTTTCCATCTAGCTGATGCTAACTATAAGTGGAAACCTTCCTGCCCTGCCCTGATTGAGATGCCATTCCTGCACTCTCAAAGCACCCTGTCCATCATGTAACAGTGCTGTTCGTGCCATGGAACAACTGCCAATTTAGTTTGCTCGATCTATCCATAGGCTGTAAGTTCCTTGAAGGCCTGGCTATATCTTCTGGCATTCTGTAGGCTCACAAAATATGTGAAGAATGGTGAACACACTGTGTTTATGGAAAACAACTTAGTATAATTTAATACACACTAATCAGGGATTACCCAGAACATGCAGTTTTCTAGCCTGTAAGGCACTTGGATAAATAACCGTGATGAGATGTCATCTGTGTGCTTTCTCTAAACATAGATTACCAATAACAACAACAAAAAACCTAACAATAATAATGTGTTTTCTGAGGTTTAAGAGCATGCTAAAATAATAATGAAAGATGCATATAAACAAGGTTGTATAGACGAAAAAACTAAATCACAGGGAACTTATTTATTTTCTTCAAATTTGCACCAGAGAAACTGATAAAGGTGGGATTTAAATGTATACAAGCCAAACTGTAGATATTATGTGTTTGACCATAAAAGATCACAAAAAGGTGTTTGCTTTTTAACAATTACATCTACTATTTCCTCATATGGAACTTGAACTGTTAGCTGGTACACAAGTTATAGTGGTTTTTGCCATTACTTTAATTTTGTCATTTACTTTAATGGCAAAAACCGCAATGACTTTTGCACGAACCTGATACATTAAAAACGAGTTTCTTAAATGTTCAAACAAACAAGAGAGTGTCTCTTCAAAAGTCTCATCTAAAAAGTATGCTTTAAATTTATATGCAGAGTCTTTTTTTAATGGCTGCTTTTACCTCTTGATTTCTTAATGTATAAATAATAGGATTTAAGAGAGGTGTGAAAATTGTGTAAAACACAGAAAGAATTTTATCTACCGAGTATCTGCTGAAGGGCCAGACGTAGATAAAGACACACGGAGCAAAGAACAGAGTCACAACTGTGATGTGAGCTGAGAGAGTGGAGAAAGCCTTAGAGGATCGACTAGCAGCACGGTACCTAACTGAGAATATTATGACTCCATAGGAGACAAGCAAGAGGAGGAAGCAGACCAGTGACAGGAGCCCACTGTCAGCAATGACCAGGAGCTGTAGGATGTAGGTGTCCTTGCAGGCAAGTTTAATCACAAGGGGAAGGTCACAGAAAAAGCTGTCTATAACATTGGGACCACAGAAGGGCAAAGTCAACATGAAAGCCATTTGACTAGATGAGTGCACAAATCCAACTGCATAGGAGGATAACAGTAGCCCAGTGAGCACCCGTGGGCTCATGATGGTCATGTAATGGAGGGGTTTGCATATGGCAACATACCTGTCTATTGCCATGGCTACAAGCAACATCATCTCACTCCCACCCAGGAGGTGCATAAAGAACATCTGGGAATAACATCCCCACCATGAGATGGTCTTACGTTCTCGGAGGAAATCTACAATCATCTTAGGGGTAGCAAAAGAAGCCAGGATCATATCAATGCAGGAGAGGTTGCTAAGCAGAAAATACATTGGTGTGTGAAGGAGCGAATCAAAGGTCACAGTCACCAAGATGAGCAGGTTTCCTAACACAATCCCCACGAAGACCACAGAGAATCCCAAGAAGAATAAAATCTGAAGATTTTGAGATTTGGAAAGTCCCAACAAAATAAATTCCGATACCACTGAATGGTTTGCTCTTTCCATATCGTCAACTTTATCCCATAATGATCAAAATAAGTGAGAATAAGGGGTAGGGAAATGATGCATATTGGAAAGAAATGTTCATGTTGATGTCCACATTTGGTACTCAGTCAAGGCACTTGAACTTACAAGGACCCTTACTTTTGTGGAATTTTGTCAGTCAGTGATTTTACTAATGGCCCAGAGAAGTATCCCAAATAGTCAGTAGAATTCAGAATATAAGTTTCTGGAAGACAAAAATAAAAACATTAATAGTACATGAAACCACAAAACTATAGGTCATGAATTAGAATCAGAAGACCTCTACAGGACACCTGGGTAAGCTGCTCACTGGGTGACACAGGACAAGTAACTCTCCTTTTGAGGGTTTTCTTCTCAGTGAAAAAAAGAATTTGGACTATATGGTATCGAATGCCTCTTTCTGCTATAAAGATCTCTATGAATAAGATAATGATTCTGGTGAGTTTTATAGTCACAGAATAATATTGAGTTTTATTAATGTGGAAAGGATATCAAAAATACATCCAGGATTCTCAAGAACCATGTTTTGAAATGGACTCTGGTAAAGAAATATGAATTAGGTCCTGAGAAACTTACCTTATTTCCTCCATGCTCCATTCTTGCATGAATCCCTCACAGATCAGTATTAGCAGTAGTCACTACACACTTTTGAAGTGTCAAGTATATGTATAGTATATATATATTAAACATGTATATTACATACATTTCATATATTTATATATATTTATATAATTCGTTCATTCAACATTTCATATTATTCACATCAAATACCTCCTCTAGATGGTTAGACAATGTGTACAAACAACCCACAGTCAAATGTAATTGACTAATTTCACTTTCAGCTTGCATTCATTTATTCATTTACCTGGTTATTGCTATGTAGTGGTTAGCTGGTTGGCCTGTGTATGGTTGTCATAGGTTTCAAAATGACTTAGCTTGATGTAACATTTATGTTGGTAAAAGAAATACAGTTCTTTCAGTATAATCTAAATTTATGACAAAATTTGTCATCGGCTCATGCTTATTACAAACTGGTTCTATTGGTTCAGCTTTTAAAAAAATTGCCTCCGTTGCTAATAGTTTTAAATTAATCTAGGTCTTACAAAACACCTTCAGTAAATAAAGTATTTGTAGTCATCTTTTTGTGCTGTTATTACTTACAAGACAGGGGAAAAAAACTTTCGTGATGGCGTCGTACGTGAATCCCAGGAATGGCCTTTTATCTCCTTTTCCTGTATCCCCATCAGTTATCTGCAATTTACTCTTCCAATCATCAGAAACAGAAAAAATAGAGACCATAGTGCTATATGTTTCTATGAGATAATCCCATAGGAACACTTATCCAACTAGGGATGTATTTTTTTCCCTATGTAAACATATCTGTTGGCCAATTTCCCACTCTGAGAAACTTTGATGCAAAATATTAAATTTCATCAAATATGTAATTAGAGCCATTCATTTATATGTCTATAAAGGTAATAGCTCTCTTCAGTTTTATGACTAATATTTAAGAATTCCTACTAATGCTTCTTTTTGAAACCCAATTTTTGAAGCTGCATTTAAACAGAAGAGAACAATTTTCAAATACATACAAAGAAGTTTATAAATCCTCCACATCTGGAATAGTGCATATCAAAAACACTAAGTGAATATCTGTTGAATGAATAAACTATGTAGTGCATATTCAGGATCTAGATTAAGTCAGCTGACTTAATCCACAGAAAAATCCACAACATTAGGAATTTTAACAATATTTATTTTTAAATGTCAAATTGAATGTTGAAGTATTTTAAAATCAGAAATAGAACAGCCATTCTTAAAAAGCTGGTTAAAATATGTTTTTTTCTTTTAATTATCTTTTAAAAAAAAAGGTAGTTTATGCCAATGTGAAAAAAGCACATCACAGATAACAGAAAGACTGACTGAACATTTTAAGAGCTTCTTAGATAACTTTCCAGAAAAATAATACACACTTCAGTACAGTGTGTGTGTGTTAGTGTTACAGGTATTTATATTTATATCATTTTATTAAGACTGCAGATTATATATTATATGTATAGCTATTTTTCTTGAGTTTTTAACTTATTACATTTAAATATGTTTATATTAACATATAGAAACATAACTTTTTAATAGGTGTATAGAATTCCACTTTGTAGATGTTGCATAATGTAATCTCCCCACAAATACAGTTTATTCTTAGAATGAATTTAACATTACCTATAAAAATTATTTTTCATCATATCACTCTCTTCTTTATAAACCTGTGATAACTACCTTATCAATCCCTAACTTCTCCTGGATATTCATAATCAACTCCTCACCCACCCTAAAAATCCAATATTATTTTCTTTTTTTTTCTTTTTTTTTTTTTAATTATTATACTTTAAGATTTAGGGTACATGTGCACAATGTGCAGGTTAGTTACATATGTATACAAGTGCCCTGCTGGTGTGCTGTACCCACTAACTCGTCATCTAGCATTAGGTATCTCTCCCAATGCTATCCCTCCCCCCTTCCCCCACCCCACAACAGTCCCCAGAGTGTGACATTCCCCTTCCTGTGTCCATGTGTTCTCATTGTTCAATTCCCACCTATGAGTGAGAATATGCGGTGTTTGGTTTTTTGTTCTTGCGATAATTTACTGAGAATGATGATTTCCAATTTCATCCATGTCCCTACAAAGGACATGAACTCATCATTTTTTATGGCTGCATAGTATTCCATGGTGTATATGTGCCACATTTTCTTAATCCAGTCTATCATTGTTGGACATTTGGGTTGGTTCCAAGTCTTTGCTATTGTGAATAATGCCGCAATAAACATACGTGTGCATGTGTCTTTCTAGTAGCATGATTTATAGTCCTTTGGGTATAAACCCAGTAATGGGATGGCTGGGTCAAATGGTATTTCTAGTTCTAGATCCCTGAGGAATCGCCACACTGACTTCCACAATGGTTGAACTAGTTTACAGTCCCACCAACAGTGTAAAAGTATTCCTATTTCTCCAGATCCTCTCCAGCACCTGTTGTTTCCTGATTTTTTAATGATTGCCATTCTAACTGGTGTGAGGTGATATCTCATTGTGGTTTTGATTTGCATTTGTCTGATGGCCAGAGATGGTGAGCATTTTTTCATGTGTTTTTTGGCTGCATAAATGTCTTCTTTTGAGAAGTGTCTGTTCGTGTCCTTTGCCCACTTTTTGATGGGGTTTCTTGTTTTTTTCTTGTAAATTTGTTTGAGATCATTGTAGATTCTGGATATTAGCCCTTTGTCAGATGAGTAGGTTGTGAAAATTTTCTCCCATTCTGTGGGTTGCCTGTTCACTCTGATGGTAGTTTCTTTTGCTGTGCAGAAGCTCTTTAGTTTAATTAGATCCCATTTGTCAATTTTGGCTTTTGTTGCCATTGCTTTTGGTGTTTTAGACATGAAGTCCTTACCCATGCCTATGTCCTGAATGGTGATGCCTAGGTTTTCTTCTAGGGTTTTTTATGGTTTTAGGTCTAACGTTTAAGTCTTTAATCCATCTTGAATTAATTTTTGTATAAGGTGTAAGGAAGGGATCCAGTTTCAGCTTTCTCCATATGGCTAGCCAGTTTTCCCAGCACCATTTATTAAATAGGGAATCCTTTCCCCATTGCTTGTTTTTCTCAGGTTTGTCAAAGATCAGATAGTTGTAGATATGCGGCGTTATTTCTGAGGGCTCTGTTCTGCTCCATTGATCTATATCTCTGTTTTGGTACCAGTACCATGCTGTTTTGGTTACTGTAGCCTTGTAGTATAGTTTGAAGTCAGGTAGCATGATGCCTCCAACTTTGTTCTTTTGGCTTAGGATTGACTTGGCGATGCGGGCTCTTTTTTCGTTCCATACGAACTTTAAAGTAGTTTTTTCCAATTCTGTGAAGAAAGTCATTGGTAGCTTGATGGGGATGGCATTGAATTTATACATTACCTTGGGCAGTATGGCCATTTTCATGATATTGATTCTTCCTACCCATGAGCATGGAATGTTCTTCCATTTCTTTATATCCTCTTTTATTTCACTGAGCAGTGGTTTGTAGTTTTCCTTGAAGAGGTCCTTCACGTCCCTTGTAAGGTGGATTCCTAGGTATTTTATTCTCTTTGAAGCAATTGTAAATGGGAGTTCACTCATGATTTGGCTCTCTGTTTGACTGTTGTTGGTGTATGAGAATGCTTGTGAGTTTTGTACATTGATTTTGTATCCTGAGACTTTGCTGAAGTTGCTTATCAGCTTAAGGAGATTTTGGGCTGAGACAATGGGGTTTTCTAGATATACAATCATGTCATCTGCAAACAGGGACAATTTGACTTCCTCTTTTCCTAATTGAATACCCTCTATTTCCTTCTCCTGCCTAATTGCCCTGGCCAGAACTTCCAACACTATGTTGAATAAGAGTGGTGAGAGAGGGCATCCCTGTCTTGTGCCAGTTTTCAAAGGGAATGCTTCCAGTTTTTGCCCATTCAGTATGATATTGGCTGTGGGTTTGTCATAGATAGCTCTTATTATTTTGAAATACGTCACATCAATACCTAATTTATTGAGAGTTTTTAGCATGAAAGGTTGTTGAATTTTGTCAAAGGCCTTTTCTGCATCTATTGAGATAATTATGTGGTTTTTGTCTTTGGTTCTGTTTATATGCTGGATTACATTTATTGATTTGCATATATTGAACCAGCCTTGCATCCCAGGGATGAAGCCCACTTGATCATGGTGGATAAGCTTTTTGATATGCTGCTGGATTCGGTTTGCCAGTATTTTATTGAGGATTTTTGCATCGATGTTCATCAAGGATATTGGTCTAAAATTCTCTTTTTTTGTTGTGTCTCTGCCTGGCTTTGGTATCAGGATGATGCTGGCCTCATAAAATGAGTTAGGGAGGATTCCTTCTTTTTCTATTGATTGGAATAGTTTCAGAAGGAATGGTACCAGTTCGCCCTTGTACCTCTGGTAGAATTTGGGTGTGAATCCATCTGGTCCTGGACTCTTTTTGGTTGGTAAGCTATTGATTATTGCCACAATTTCAGCTCCTGTTATTGGTCTATGCAGAGATTCAACTTCTTCCTGGTTTAGTCTTGGGAGAGTGTATGTGTCGAGGAATTTATCCATTTCTTCTGGATTTTCTAGCTTATTTGCGTAGAGGTGTTTGTAGGATTCTCTGATGGTAGTTTGTATTTCTGTGGGATCCGTGGTGATATCCCCTTTATCATTTTTTATTGCGTCTATTTGATTCTTCTCTCTTTTTTCTGTATTAGTCTTGCTAGCAGTCTATCAATTTTGTTGATCCTTTCAAAAAACCAGCTCCTGGATTCATTAATTTTTTGAAGGGTTTTTTGTGTCTCTATTCCCTTCAGTTCTGCTCTGATTTTAGTTATTTCTTGCCTTCTGCTAGCTTTTGAATGTGTTTGCTCTTGCTTTTCTAGTTCTTTTAATTGTGATGTTAGGGTGTCAATTTTGGATTTTTCCTGCTTTCTCTTGTGGGCATTTAGTGCTATAAATTTCCATCTACACACTGCTTTGAATGCATCCCAGAGATTCTGGTATGTTGTGTCTTTGTTCTCATTGGTTTCAAAGAACATCTTTATTTCTGCATTCATTTCGTTATATACCCAGTAGTCATTCAGGAGCAGGTTGTTCAGTTTCCATGTAGTTGAGTGGTTTTGAGTGAGTTTCTTAATCCTGAGTTCTAGTTTGATTGCACTGTGGTCTGAGAGATAGTTTGTGATAATTTCTGTTCTTTTACATTTGCTGAGGAGAGCTTTACTTCCAAGTATGTGGTCAATTTTGGAATAGGTGTGGTGTGGTGCTGAAAGAAATGTATATTCTGTTGATTTGGTGTGGAGAGTTCTGTAGATGTCTATTAGGTCTGCTTGGTGCAGAGCTGAGTTCAATTCCTGGGTATCCTTGTTAACTTTCTGTCTCGTTGATCTGTCTAATGTTGACTGTGGGGTGTTAAAGTCTCCCATTATTAATGTGTTAGAGTCTAAGTCTCTTTGTATGTCACTAAGGACTTGCTTTATGAATCTGGGGGTTCCTGTATTGGGTGCATATATATTTAGGATAGTTACCTCTTCTTGTTGAATTGATCCCTTTACCATTATGTAATGGCCTTCTTTGTCTCTTTTGATCTGTGTTGGTTTAAAGTCTGTTTTATCAGAGACTAGGATTGCAACCCCTGCCTTTTTTTGTTTTCCATTTGCTTGGTAGATCTTCCTCCATCCTTTTATTTTGAGCCTATGTGTGTCTCTGCACGTGAGATGGGTTTCCTGAATACAGCACACTGATGGGTCTTGACTCTTTATCCAATTTGCCAGTCTGTGTCTTTTAATTGGAGCATTTAGTCCATTTACATTTAAAGTTAATATTGTTATGTGTGAATTTGATCCTGTCATTATGATGTTAGCTGGTTATTTTGCTCATTAGTTGATGCAGTTTCTTCCTAGTCTCAATGGTCTTTACATTTTGGCATGATTTTGCAGCAGCTGGTACCAGTTTTTCCTTTCCATGTTTAGTGCTTCCTTCAGGAGCTCTTTTAGGGCAGGCCTGGTGGTGAAAAAAATCTCTCAGCATTCGCTTGTCTATAAAGTATTTTATTTCTCCTTCACTTATGAAGCTTAGTTTGGCTAGATATGAAATTCTGGATTGAAAATTCTTTTCTTTAAGAATGTTGAATATTGGCCCCCACTCTCTTCTGGCTTGTAGAGTTTCTGCCGAGAGATCTGCTGTTAGTCTGATGGGCTTCCCTTTGTGGGTAACCCAACCTTTCTCTCTGGCTGCCCTTAACATTTTTTCCTTCATTTCAACTTTGATGAATCTGACAATTATGTGTCTTGGAGTTGCTCTTCTCGAGGAGTATCTTTGTGGCGTTCTCTGTATTTCCTGAATCTGAACGTTGGCCTGCCTTGCTAGATTTGGGAAGTTCTCTTGGACAATATCCTGCAGAGTGTTTTCAACTTGGTTCCATTCTCCCCATCACTTTCAGGTACACCAATCAGACGTAGATTTGGTCTTTTTACATAGTCCCATATTTCTTGGAGGCTTTGTTTGTTTCTTTCTATTCTTTTTTCTCTAAACTTGTCTTCTCGCTTCATTTCATTCATTTGATCTTCAATCACTGACACCCTTTCTTCCAGTTGATCGAATCAGCTACTGATTCCTCAGGGATCTAGAACTAGAAATACCATTTGACCCAGCCATCTCATTACTGGGTATATACCCAAAGGACTATAAATCATGCTGCTATAAAGCCACATGCACAGGTATGTTTATTGTGGCACTATTCAGAATAGCAAAGACTTTGAACCAACCCAAATGTCCAACAATGATAGACTGGATTAAGAAAATGTGGCACATATACACCATGGAATACTATGCAGCCATAAAAATGATGAGTTCATGTCCTTTGTAGGGACATGGATGAAATTGGAAATCATCACTCTCAGTAAACTATCACAAGGACAAAAAACCAAACACCGCATGTTCTCACTCATAGGCGGTAATTGAACAATGAGAACATATGGACACAGGAAGGGGAACATCACACTCCGGGGACTGTTGTGGGGTGGGGGAAGGGGGGAGGGATAGCATTAGGAGATATACCTAATGCTAAATGACGAGTTAGTGGGTGCAGCACACCAGCATGGCACATATGTACATATGTAACTAACCTGCACATTGTGCACGTGTACCCTAAAACTTAAAGTATAATAATAATAAAATTAAAAAAAACATATTTAAATCTACTTTGTGTCTTTTCTATTAGTAAGGTCTCTTTGGCAGGGCACTGTGGCTGACACCTATAATCCCAACACTTTCAGAGGCCAAGCTGGGAGGCTGTCTTGAAGCCGGAAGTTCAAAACAAGCCTTGGAAACAAAATGAGACATCTTGTCTTGATATAAAAAAAAAAAATTAGCCAAAGTGGTGGCGTGCACCTTAGTCCCAGCTACTCTGGAGGCTGAGGTGGGAGGATTGCTTGAGCCGAGGATTCCAAGGCTGTGGTGAGCTATGATCACACCACTGTACTTCAGCCTGGGTGAGACAGCGAGACTCTGTCTCAAATAAATAAATAAAAATAAGGTTTCCAGTCAGATATAAACTATTTCATCTTTTTCTGGTTATTTTAGCTCTCATTTAAAAAATACTGTATTATTATGTCTTAGCTAGCTTCTTTCAAAATTTTTGGCTACCATTATTTATATTTCAATGGGTATCGTTTCACATGGGTCTGCTTCACCTATCTAGAACAACATGGAGGTGTTCCCTGTCAATCACTTTTTTTTTAAACCAGAGTTCTGCACTTTATAATATCGTTATAAATGGTATGGATAGTTTAAGAGATCTGTTTGGACATTAAGCTGCTTGTCAGAGAAAGTAAGTGAGGCAGAGGGAAGCCAGCAATAAATGTTCATTATGCTATCTCTGAGCACTATACTCCCCAATCTACTAATTCACGTGCTCCATGGGAGGAAACTCAAATACTGGACCCTTCTTTCAATCTCAGGAAAATTGAGGCCACCTCAAGTTGCACAACCATAGATTCACATGTATCAAGGATTCATTCTGTTTATCATCTCTGCTTATCTTACTTTCAGCAGCAACTACAGAAGTGACTCCTAGTATGTTCATGTTCCATATTCCATCTTATCAATTTCATTTTTCTTGATCCTTCTCAATTAAAAAACCATTTGCCTCCTCTTTCACTTGCATGTTCCTCATGATTTTTGAGTGTAGAAAGAGATTTGAAGAGGGACAGGCCCTCTTCTTTGCCTATGGAGGACCAATAAATCTGTTCCTCCAATTCTGAAGAGGTGGCAGGAAACTTCCATACCTCCTTACCAACTGGGTTATTCACCTTTCTCAAGATTGATGTAGATATGAGTTACATATTGATGGCTTCAAATTTATTCAAACATATTGGCAGTTATTCATAATTTTTGCTGAGAAATTATGTCTACTCTTTTTTTAATATTGGATTCATTTTTCTTCAATACTTTTGATTCTTTTTGCACATTTCAGTGAATTTTAGAAGCAGTGTTAAGTGCATATGTATTTCATTTCTCATATCTCTCAGAATTTAATTTTTATTTTGTTTTAGGTCATATATGCCAACAGACAAACAAATGGAAAAACAAAATCAGTCCATGGTGCCTGAATTTATTTTGTTGGGATTCAAAAATCTCATGAGCTACAGATTTTCTTTATCTTATTTTTCCATTCTCTACATATCCATAATTAAGTAACCTAATCATTATCTTTGTAGTGAAACTGGATCCTCAATTGCATTCTCCCATGTACTTCCTACTGGCCAACCTGTCATCTACTGATATGCCCCTGGCCTCCTTTGCTACTCCTAAGAAAATCGATAATGTAATTAGTGAATATAGGACCATCTCCTATGAAGGCTGCATGACATAGAGATTTTTCCTTCACTTTTTAAGTGGAAGTGAGATGGTTTTACTCTTAGCCATGGCAATCGATAGATAATTTGCCATATGCAAACCCCTCCATTACAAGTCCATTGCATCGGACTTGCTCCTCGCTCCTGGACTATGGATTTCATGCACACCATGAGCCAAATTGTTCTCACAGTGACTTTGCCATTCTGTGGTCTCAGTGTTGTGGATATTTTTGTGTGTGTGTGATCTGCCTTGTGATAAAACTTGCCTGTACAGACACTTACATCTTGGAGCTATGAGTCATTGCAGACAGTGGACTACTTTCTTTGCTGTGTTTCATGTTTCTGTTAATCTCCTATAGCACCGTCCTGATTATTATTTGACATCATTCCTCCAGGGGGTCTTCCAAAACTCTGTCCACGCTTTCAGCCCACATTATGGTGGTGGTACTGTTCTTTGGAGCTTGCATCTTTACCTGTGAAAGACCATTCAGCACTGTCTCCATTGATGTCTGTGTTTTAAACTATTTTTGCTCCCCTTTTAAATCCAATCATCTACACATTCAGGAATAACGACATGAAGAAAGCATTAAGAAAAATGAAGATTAACTTTGTGAGTTCTAGATCAACTTGATAACTAAAATATTATAATCACTAAAAGCATCATCATTATTGTTGTCATCATCATGATCCAAAGACACTGAAGTGGAGGATTTTTGTACCAAACGTAAGCCATATTTTGGGATATAATAATCGATCCCCATGTAAGTGTACATGTAATATAATATTCTGATTTTTCCTCCAAGTACAAACTATTCCAATATGTTATTTGCTTATGTTGTAATTTTATGTTGCCTATTGATTAAATTATATTTTTAAATGTAATTTATTGAGTGCTATTCATGTATGAGGCACTTTCCATAAATTTTCTCCTATTTCACAACAAGGAAAATAGAGAATATTATTTACATATTATCAATAGGTAACAAAACTGAGCATTATAAAACGTAATGAAATTGCCACAGAAATATAAGTACTAGATCCAGTATCATATCCTATACCTAACTATAAAATCTATGTTTTTCTAACTAAAAATGCTTTCCTATCTACATTTTAATAACATAATTTTTTTGTTTTCTGAACACTTCTTTACAGATCATAGTCCTCAATAAATAAATCTTTGCAAAAAGAAAATATGTGGTATTTTATTAACCTGAAAGTAAATACTGTCACTAATACCAAGACATTTGAATCTTCTTCCCCTCCAGTTTTTTTTTTTTCTGTTTGTGTGTGTTTGCTCATTTGTTTTGAGACAGGGTCTCGCTCTGTCACCCAGGCTAGAGTGCGGTGCCCCTATATCAGCTCACTCCAGCCTCTGCCTCCCAGGTTCAAGTGATTCTCCAACTTCAGCCTCCCAAGTAGCTGAGACTACAGGCACGAGCCACCAATGCCCAGCTAATTTTTGTATTTCTTGTAGAGATGGGGTTTCACCATGCTGCCCAGGCTGGTCCTGAACTCCTGAGCTCAAAGCAATCCTCTTGCCTTGGCATCCCAAAGTGCTGGGATTACAGGCATGACCTACCACACCCATCCCAGACATTTAAGTATTCTTTCACCTCTAATTAAAAAGAGAAGAGCTTATTAAACCAGCCAAGTTGACTCACTCCAATTATCAATGCATACTAGAATTGCTGTTGTACAGTTGGGTAGGGAAGCCCATGTCTGAAACCCAAGTGATTTGCTGTTGTACCTCATATTATTTGCATATCAAGTAGTAAAAATAAGTGAACATTACATCACCTAGGAAAAATAAAATTTTTATTCATTCCACCACGTAAAGAATCACCATCACTGGAGATCTGAATGCATACAAAGAGGAATAAAATAGGCAGTAAAAGAAGGTAGCCGTGAACATTAATTGTCTCACAATTTGTTAGTAAAATGATGATTTTAGAAGCTACAAATTTTTTATATAAATTGCATTTGTTCACAAATTCCTGGTTCCTTTTTTCCTTTTTATTTTTTCTTATCAAGGAGACTAATTTACAATTTAGTCTCTAGGTTACAGAATATTAATGTGGGATTATGAATGAATTCGAAAAGATGGCAACACCGTACAGAAATGGATATAGTAACCAATGAGGATTTTTGGTTTTCAGTTAGAGAAAGGAGGCCAGAGTGTCTTAATTTGTTTGCAGGATAGATGCATCTTTAGACTGAAGCTATTGTCATTCTTTGGAAGTTTAAATAAATGTAGAATGATGTGTATTGATACTGAGTAACCAAAGGGGAGCATTCTGAATGTTTGTCTGTTGACCTTCAACCCCATGTCAGCTCTATAGTCTTCTCTCTACAGTAGGGAGTTACAAGCCTGAAAACTGCATTTCCCAGACTCTCTTGTAAACTTATTCCTGTGAGTTTCTGCCAGTAGAAGACATTCATATGATACTGAAAGGTGAAAAAAAATGAAAAAATGGAGAAGCCTTAGATTTCTCTTCTGTCTTTCTCAGTAACTGTAGCAGGCAACTGTGGACTGTAGAAGTCTTGGTGGGTCCCAGCAGCATCAGCAATATTGAAGGCTCTTGAAGCTTCCTTAAGTATATGAGCTCTTAATTTTTAATACAGGATAGAGGTTCCAACAGCAGCAATGATGCCACTGTGCCAACAGGAATTGTGGGCTCTGTATAATATTGCTTCCTTTTTTTTCTCATCTAGCCTTTAGAGTGGTAGTTGCTTTCTGCAGTAACCTAAATGTTGATAATATCATCTAACCTTTTTTGTTCCTCATTTCTGAGCTACTCACACATTTTTATTTTCAACTTCCTACTATACCCTTCCCCAGCTATCTTGAAGGCATCTCAAGCCCAAATGCAAAAAATTAAATTACCTAACTTCCAAAGCCTGTTATTTTTTCTGCACTCCCTATTTGAAGTAATATGATCATTATCAGGCTAACATCCAATCTAGAAGCCAAAGTTGACATTTCATAACATATGTAGGTGCTCTTACTAGTGTTCCACATTCTCTGAGGCTCTATTTATTTTTCCTTATTTTTATCCCTCTCTGTTGAGATCGCATAATTGCTACAGATATGTTTCCAAGTTAACTGGTGCCAGCTCAAATCTACTGATGAGTTCCTTTATTGATTTCTTCATTTGAGTTATTATACATTTCAACTTCTGAATTTCCATTTGGTCCTTTTTTTTATAATTTCTATATCTTTATTGATATTCTTTATTTGCTAAGACATGGACTTCATATATTCCTTTAATTCTTTAGACATGGCTTTCTTTACTTCTCAAAATATATTTATAATAACTGTTTTGAAGTTGCTTTCTACTAGGTGCAATATCTTGGTTCCCATAAAAGCAGTTTCTATTGGCTTTTTTCATGTAAATGTCACACTTTTGTGTATCTTTGCATTTCTCATCATTTTTCACTTGAACATTGGACATTTTATTGTAGTAACTCTGATTACTGACCACCACTCCCATCCACTGATGATTTTCTTGTTATTGTTTGTTTAGTTGTTTATTTAATGACTTGGCTTAAACCTGTGAAGTCGATTTCCCCTGCAGTGTGCAGTGTCTGATGTCTCTACTCCAAATGTATCCCTTTTTAAAATTCTCCTAGCCTGGTACTTGTGGATTATGTCAAGGACAGCACAAGCTACTTATGGAACAAAGATTTTGCTTAAGTATCCTTCCTGACCAATTAGATTTTTATCCTTTATCACTAGACGTAGGTGTGGCTAGGAGGCTTCTATCAAACTCAAGAAACTTACATTTTTGCCCCACATTTATTTAGGGACTAGAATGTTCCCTCTCCAATCACTCCTGAGAATTACACACATGTGGACATTCACTCAGTCCTCCAGACTGCCAGGAATCTGTGTGATTGTATTTGTAAGCATAGCTTCCTAAGAAGTTGCTCTTGGTTCAGTGTAGTTTGTTATTTAGCTAGTGTTTGCTTAGAGGTTTTGCTTAAGCTTCTTGTGCCAGTAAGCCTTCAACCCTTTGTCAATGGAATTGTGTGTGGCTTTAAGAATGTTTTCATTTCTGCCCCATACCTTCCTCTGATTTTCTTCTAAGTGGATGCAGCCAGTACATATCCACAGCGTCTCCTATTCCCAGGACTATCTATGATTCCAGTAGGGCTCTTATCTGTCTCTTGCCTGATCCTCTTTGATAAACATGTTGACTCTGCCATGTGACATGTTGATACCAGAAACATGGTGCTATCAGCAACTTCTTAATTGTTCTCCATCAGCATCTCTGTGGTTTCTGACAATGCCTATAGACATGGAACTCTTGAAGCTCTGTTCCAAATAAAGGTAGGCCCCTCAGGTGGAGCTGCAGAGTTTTCATCCTTATGGCATGCCTTTCTTCCTGGGCAGAACTTCTGTGCCAGTGCACAAGAGCAGGGACAGCAGCCCACTTCTCCCAAGATGATATGCCTGCTCTCTGAGTGGGCACTGAGAAGAGTCGAGTCTCTGGTCATCTTGGCTTGCCTTTTCTGGCACAAACGACTGCTGTACAAGCAAGCTAAAAGACAGAGGTGATAAGAGGGCGCTAGTATTCTCAGCCTGTTCCTGCTCACTCTACAAGTAGATGCTAGGTAGGGAAAGATAGCCTCATCCTCTCCTCAGAGTCTACTAGGAACAAAGCTTCTGCAATACTTAAGTCCTAACGCTCCCAGGGTGAAACCTGAAACCATAGCCCTCCACCTAAAAGTGAGGGAAGATGGAGTCCTGCCTTTTTTCCCACACCTGCTTGGAGTACAGCATCCAGAGGAGGGCTTCTATATTACAGGACTGGGAGAGAAATAGGAGAGGAGGTAGCAGTAGCGGCGTGAAACCCCAGACTTGCTGTTCTTACAGAGATTTGGAAGACTCTCTTAAGAGTATTTCTCCATTTTCTGTATGCCCTAGGACAATTTCCTGAGGCTTTAAATTATTGTCTTTTAGAAGTTTCTCTATCAAATGTTTGTTTTGTTAGGGAAAGACTCCACCAGGCTCCTTACTCTGTCACTCCAAAAGTCTCCAATTTTTATTACAAAAGCATCTGATTCTGATGCAAATATCTGCAGACAATATTTTGGAACTCCACATTCTACTCCATATGCACTGTCATCAGTGATGCAGTTCTGTTATCTCATCTTCACAATTCCATCTGATAATTTAACCATACCCTCCTCCTCATCACTTTCTACAGCCTCAGGTCAGGCTTTCACCATTTCTTACTTGGATTGTTAAAATGACACAGTAATTACTTCTCAGAACCACTACCATAGCCTTCTAAAAAGTCAATTTTCTTCATAGCCTCTAATTTACCACTTCCATAGTTGCCAACTAACTATAATATATATTCCATATTGCTTTGATTGATATCTCAGATCTTTGAAAATTCTTATCTGACTTTTCTGTCCTTACTGAAAACTCTCCCTTCTTCACGACTCCACGAATCTATGGTATATTTCAAACATACTAGATATTTTCTGTTCACTTCTATGTCACAATATTTTAGGCTCCCATAAATTCCTACATATAATTATTTCTGCCTAGAATTTTCTTCTGGTTTCTCTTAGCAGTTTCTATTGCCTTTAAAGTCTCTATTTATCATTAAAGGCAAAACTGTTCGTGAAAGAGGGGTCTCTTTTATAAGAAAATTTGCAAACTCCACAAAACAGAGTTTGACTCATGCCATATCTGTATTACTACGCTCAGCATTTTATTATTTGGGGTCAGCCTCCAATGATAAAGCTCCCTGAGGACAAGTTCCTGACATACAGTTTAGGCTCAATAAAGCTTTGAGCTTTGCTGAGTTCAATACTTAGCTTCAAGGCCTTATTTTAGTCCCTTGTGAACTACTTGTGGATAATTTCCTTATTTCTTGGAACAAGATCTACACTATAAGTACTTATGCCACCAGAAAACAAATTTGAAATTAGAACAGCTTAATTTGTCATCCAGTAAAATCTTCAAAGAAAATCAAAAGAGAATACATACAACATCAGAGAGTTGAAGGACATCAGTGAAGAAGCAGCAAATTTATTAAATCCACCAAAAATAAGACGTTAAACTAGGGGTAGAGATGTTTGATAAATACAATACCTGCTACCAGTGAATATACGGTAAAGGGAATATAAATTGAAAGTATTAAGTACTTGAGACAGGGAAGGAATATTTCAAGAATCACAGAATTTTATTTTAGTCAATAAGTTAGGCTAAACATTTAATCAACCAATAAAAACAAGAAAACTATGAGTCTGGGAAGTACAGGACCTGGAGGAATATTTAATTGGGTCAGAATCCACATTTGATCCAAAAAAGAAGACTGAGTTAGCCAGTTATTTAAACTTATTTTCCCAAGGCACGGTGAATACATTTAAAGCTGCCTGCAGACAAGCAAGTAACAAAATAAATATAAGAATATCTGTTTATCTCTTTTAATTTGAAAAGATAAATTTTTAGAAAGCTTTACTAATATTTAATAGACATTATTTTTGGTGCCCTAGCTGAATCTGTATTTTATCTGGTCATGTGTTATACATGATGTTTAACGTTTTCTAAGGAAAGTACAAGTCAACCAAAAGGCAGAGGGGTTGAAAGCAGTTCCCTTCTCATTCATTTGCTTTGAGCATATTGTTATATATTGCAACTTTGGTGTGCCCAATTAAGGGGAAGAGAGAGATTAAAGATTATTTTATATTATTTTAGCTCAATTTGTTCTCCAAAAATTTATAAGGGGCTTATAAAAATATTTTTGCACTTTAACTTTGGATTGAAGATAATTCTAATGATTAAAACTCGCATGAACAATTATAAAATGACTGTGATAATAATTCTACACATAGTAGGAATTCACTCTGTCAGCTACATTACAAAGTAAAACAACAAAATTTAACTATCTGAACTGATAATAAGCAAGCTAAAAACATTCTGTTATTAAGAAATATTATCTTACAATATGGATTTACTTTTGTTATTAATATTGAACTTGACAATCTGTACTGTGCCTTGATTTATTAGCTAGTGATATTATGAAGTCATCATGATCAGCAAAACATTTAAAAAGTAAATATGTACAACAAAATAAATGTATATAATTTTCTTTGTAATATCTCTAGTTATGGAGGACTTTACATTTTTAGCTAAATGTAATAAAAAGTGTTTAAATTTTTCTTACCAAATAGCAAAATAACAAAAGTAATATTTCACTGAGAAAATACTTATGTTCTCTGCCACTGTATAAATGGTTATAATGAGCAACATGATATAAATAAATGCACTCCTTGTTAGCAAATGCTATCAAACATGGTAGAAGTATGGGTGGCCGGGTGAGGTAGCTCACGCCTGTAATCCGGCACTTTGGGAGGCCGAGGGGGGTGGATCACCCGAGGTCATGAGTTTGAGACCAGCCTGGCCAACATGGTGAAATCCCATCTCTACTAAAAATACAAAACTTAGCCGGGCATGGTGGCATGTGCCTGTAATCCCAGCTACTTGGGAGGCTGAGGCAGGAGAATTGCTTGAACCAGGAAGGCAGAGGTTGCAGTGAGCTGAGATCATGAAACTGCACTCCAGTCTAGGCGACAAGAGCAAAACTCTGTCTCAAAAAAAAACAACAAAAAAACAAAACAAAACAAAACAAAAAAAATGTATGGGTGATTCTAACATTTATAATAAAAAAAATTTAAATTAACTGTTATGACTCCTTCAATAAAAGAGTCTATGAGAAAAATCTAGATTAAGCCATAGGTTAAGTGGTGAATTTAACAGGGACTAAGCAAAGACTTCGAAATAGTGACAAATGTCAATTAATTTGAATTTATTCACAACATCCCTTGATAGCAAGTTATTCAAATAAACTATGAAGCCTGAGATATGTGGTGTACCAGAATCATCAATATGATTAATTTTGTAAAAGCAACATCTTGTAAAACAAATATTTATTGTATATTGTATAGTAAAATGGCAATAATTATGAAACTCTTTTTTGCTACAGATAGATATTCTCTGAATATCTCAAAGCAAGGTACCTAATCAAAAAATAATTGTTTATATTTTGGTGAACACAAAACAATTGTATCATTTCTAATGTCAAACTTTAAATTATTCAACACAACTTACTTTCAAATTTCTACTTCTTTAGTATGCTTTCTTTATACATATTATTCACTTTTAATAGTACATTTATAACATATGCATGTAAATTATTTATATTGAAGAACTATGTGCAGAAAAGTTTGAAGATTATCCTTCTTAAGAATTACCCACAAAGTTCCTAGAGGGAAGATAAGAGGAGAGCTTGAGAGTCATGTGAGGGAAAGGAAGTTCCATTAAATCAAAGCTGTCTACTCTATACTTACTATATCACAGCCAATCAACCAACACTTCCATGGCTATTTTAATCAAGCTACCACTCAGAGAGAGCCACAGCATCTTATAGGGCCAGAAATCAGATGTAAACATCTCTCCCAGTCATACTAGGGCAGAAGCCTCAGTGGTTTAACAAGTTCCACTGAAATTTGGATTCCCAGAGCTCCAGCAAATCTGCCCCCAAAGTGGTTCACATCTTTTTTAAAAAGACAGAAAGTAGAATGCAGAATCATATATGGGGCATCACAGAGAATAAAAAGATTTTTAATTTTGAATAACCTCTTGAGCAACTTGTTCCTCATACTGTGCCTTTAAAACAGGTAAGTAAAAATATTGTAGCGAGCTGATTTATTAGAACTTCAATATACTGAGGACGATATTTTAATTAGTTTTGTTTTGGCTGGAAGGAAAAGGCTTTGGCATGTAAGGTATTAGATCCTCTTTAATTGGGAGGTCACATAATAGTATCTCAGAAAGAGCTGAAATTAACAATTTATATGAAAATTGAAAGAAAATATGCCCTCAAAATGATACTGGAGAGTAAAATTGGGCCGTAGATGGTAAGTGATTAAGTATGATGAATAAACAAAAAAAAGGTAAATTCTGATCATTAAGAAAAACTCGTACTATCATTGAAAATAATAGAAAAGCTAGCAACTCTTTTTTGCAAGTAGGGAATATTTTTTCTTTTCGTAAACTTTCAGGTGTTGACAGAACATGCAAATAAACATACCATGTTGACAATTGAAGAAGGAACTGCAGAGAGACAGAATTAGTGATCATAATTAGATATTAGGAAAATCTCCATGTAAAACTTACCATTAAACAATAATACAACGGAGATCTTACAGAAATGAGGAAGAAGTCCTTAGAAGATGTCCATAGCCAAGGGAATAAAGAAAATGTAAATAATTTAGAAAATTCAATATGAGTATTCTAAACAGTAGAGAAAGCAGAATAGCAAGCTTCCAAATCCAGATGGCAGCTAAAAATATAAATTCAAATAGAGGAATTTTAAAACTAGATTAAATTTTAAAACTAGATTAAAACTAGAAATTTTAAATTTTAAGTTTTAAATTTTAAAACTTAAGTTTTTAAGAAATTTTAAAACTAGATTAAATTGGATTTGCTATATGTCCTTGATTATTTCAGAGTGAAATATATTTGAGTTCAAGAAGCTGGACAGTACTAGAAAACTGTATTTAAAAATACTAAATTAAATTATTTAAGAGAATTGTAACTTTAGGGAGAAAACAAAAAAGTGTAAAATAGTTGAATTTTTATTGCATATAATTCATATACTAAAAAATTCACCCATTTTAAGTAGACATTTCAATTATTATTATATTTGCATAGTTGTGCAACCATCACCACAATCTTATCAATCCATTTTCATCACCACAAAAAGAAACATCATGCCCATTTACAGCAAGCTTTGGCCAAAAGCTAGCACTAATATCCTTTCTGTCTCTATAGATTTGCCTTTACTGGACATTTTCTTTTTTTTTTTAATTTTATTATTATTATACTTAAGTTTTAGGGTACATGTGCTTTTCTATAAGTAGAATTATATAGCCTGTGGTCTTTTGTGTCAGACTTATTTTACTAAGCATAATGGTTTTGAGATTCATCTGTTTTAGTATAATTAGGTATAATTTTTTTAAAATAATAAAATCAGTCAAAATTGAAATTATTTTCTTCAAATGGCTAGAAGAAAAAGAAAAGCAAATATTTACTTTAGCAAATTATTTTTATATTAAGTAATACGTATCATATATGCATGGGCAAGAGCAGAAATGTTTATATTCAACTACTTAATAAAATGAGTCTCGGTTAATTCCTTTCATAAGAGGGGTTTATACGAAAAATTCCCAGGATTGTAATCTTGGATTTACACAAATGACATAGATTCAACACATACCCCCTCAGTGCCAATCTTCTGCCTTGCCAGGAGTTTATACCCACACCATCTCACCTAATACTCATGACCTCTTGGGGGTGGTTCTGCCTCTATGACCTGGGAAGATTTACTTAATTATGTGGATCTTGATTTTTCATTTACTAAACAAGATGTGTAGAATAATAGATTACGAAGTTCCCTCTCAGCCCTAATATATTATTCTACTTTCAATTTCCTTCAGAGCATATCATAAATTATTTAGTAAAAGTAATTATTATAAAATGTACAATTGATTATTCAATGGAAAGAAAATTGTTCTCATTAATAGAATTATCTAAGCCATATGATAATTTATTTTCATTAATCTACATAGCTTTTGTACACTCAAGTATAATAATAGGTATACTGTATTAAGTGTAGACTAGAGAAACAGTTTTAGAAAGCATGCTTACAAAGGGAGAAGAGTAATAAGAGAAGCAAATGCTGAGAAAGCCATCAACATAAATTAATGCCAGCTTTTCCTCTGAAATAAAAGGCCAAAATAAAGCTTTTTAAATCAACTTATGTTTAATTGTATTGATTTCTTACCCAAGTTTTTCTGTTGTCACTGTATCACAGGGCATAAAATCCCATGTAGCAAAGCTATTCACCCTCAAATTACAGCTGTTATCTTCATTCTGTCTAGCAATTGTCAACTCTTGTTGTTTTCCCAAGTATATCTAGTTATTGTTACTGCTGTTATAAAAGTCTCAAAAGCAAAATTCTTGCTCCTTTACATGACAAGCATGCAACACAACCCTGTAAAGCAGGTGTGGCCACCCATGCAGCCTCCTCCAGGGCCACAGCCTGTCATTGAGTACCCATTCAGTGTGTTCCTACAGGTTGACCTACAGGAACCTTACATCATCTTTATTTTCTCTAATTTGTTACCATTATCCATTTCTCAAAAATATCTAAGATATGAAAACAATAGAGGCAGTTACGTTTGGATGATGATAATACAATATTTTGACAGAAAACTGAGGAAGAATGCAAACAAGGAGAGAATTACAGGTCATTGGAGAAAAGAAACCAGTCACTTCCTATTCATCGAAATATCTTAATCCAGTCTCCTTTCTAAACATGTCACTCTTGATATGCACTGCTCATCTAAATATCTTAATCTAGTCTCCTTTCTAAACATATCACTCTTGATATGCACTGCTCTTCATTCTTTTCCTTTTATAGATGCTCACACATTTTCTACTCCTCATTCTTTTTTGTTTGCTTACCATAAAACTTGGTTTTTACAAGTGTTTTGAAGATAATACAACCAAGCCTGAAGTCATATCTAAAAGTGTCACTTGAAATTGATCTCTGTTTTTCTGAACCTCTTAAGACATTTTGCATATACCTTGTACCAAATTACATGTGTTCTCACATGGCTCATTTGCTATTTTTTGTTTGATAATCATGTCTCTCTAGATTGTAAACTCTCTAGATATAGGGCATTCATTCTGTATGAGAAAATAATGCAGTTAATTGTAACATAGAGGGATGATCCCAACATACTTGTTGAATCATATCCCCAAACCCACTCATATGGACCATACAAATTCAATCAATAATTAATACTTTGGCTGTAAATATATAGCAATTTAATTTTTGAGACAATACGGTGTATTGGTATAAGCCCAGGTTCTGGTGTCAAACTAACTCAGCTTGAATACTAGCTCTCATCCATGTTAGCTGTGTAACCATGAATACGTCATTAACTATTTGAATGTCACAGTTTCCTTACATGCAACATGAAGAAAAAAATAGCACTTACATCATGGTATGAGCATTAAAAAAATTAATGTATATGAAACACTTAGAATGGAGCCTGGCACATACTAATCACTTAATTGTTGTTGACCACTTTCGATCACTCTAGATTCTATGAACATTGTCTAAAAAACTGAGTAACAATGATTTAGTGTTAAACTTTACATCCAAACAGAAGTAATACATTGGACTAAATCACTTTACTATTTACTTCTAAACCACCACATCTGTACACATATACACAATGCACAAGCTCCTCACTGTGAACAATGGTAACACAGAGGATTTGAAAAAACAAGCGCAAACCATCTGAAGCTGAGTCCATGTTTCTTGTAATTCTCAGTACAGGGATACCTGAGAGATATTGCTGGTTTGGTTCCAGACCACTACAATAAAGTGAATTTCACAATAAAGTGAGTCACAATTTTTTTGGTTTCCTAGTACATATAAAAGTTATGTTTATACTTTACTGTGGTCTATTAAGTATGTAATAGCGTTATGGATAAAAAACACACATACCCTAATTTTTAAAAGTGTTAACGGTTATCTGAGCCTTTAACAAGATGTAATCTTTTTGCCACTGGACAGTCTTGCCTCAATGTTGATGAGTGCTGACTGATCAGGGAATTGGTTGCTGACAGTTGCAATGAATGTGGCAATTTCTTAAAATAAGACAATAATAAAATTTGCCACATCAATTGACTCCTTATTTCACAAACTATTTATTTGTAGTATATGATGCTATTCGACAGCATACAACCCAAATTAGAACTTATTTCAAAATTGGAGCCAATCATCTTAAACCTTGCTGCTACTTTATCACCTACACTTATGGAATATTCTAAATCCTTTGTTGTCATTTCAACAGTGTTCACAGCATCCTCACCAGGAGGAGGTTCCATTCCCACCACCCCCCAAAGAAAACAGTTTATTTGCTCATTCATAAGAAACAACTTCTCATGTTTTAAAGTTTTGTCATGATATTGCAGCAATTCAGTCACATCTTCAGGACTCTCTTCTAATTCAAGATCTCTTGCTATTTCTACCACATTTGCAATTACCTTCTCCGTGGAAAGCCTTCTTCATGGGAAGTCTTCTCCATGTAAGTCTTGAACTCTTCAAAGTAATCCATGAGGACTGGAATCAGCTTCTTCCAAACTCCTGTTAATGTTGAGGTTTTGATCTCCTCCCATGAATCATAAATGTTCTTAGTGGCATCTAAAATGGCGAATTATTTCCTGCAAGTTTTAAGTTTACTTTGCCCAAATCCATCAGAGAAATCATTGTCCCTATGGCAGCTATAGCCTTATAAAATTTCTTAAATAATAAGATTGAAAATGAAAATTACTCCTTGCTCCATGGGCTGCAGAATGGATGTTAAATCAGCACACACGAAAGCAGCATTAATTGGATTGCACATCTCTGGCAGAGCTCTTGCATAACTAGGTTCATTGCCAATGAGCAGTAATGTTTTCAAATGAATCTTTTTTTTCTGAGCAGCAATTCTCAGCAGTGGTCTTCAAATATCCAGTAAACCATGCTGTAGACAAATGTGCTGTCATGCAAGCTTTGCTGTTCCATTTACAGAGCACAGGCAGAGTAGATTTATCGTAATTCATAAAGGCCTTGGATTTTTGGAATGGTAAATGAGCATTAGCCTCAACTTAAAATCAACAGCTACATTAGCCTTTAACAGAAGAATCAGCCTGTTTTTTGAAGTTTTGAAATCAGACATTGGTTTCTCCTCTCTAGCTATCAAAATCCTAGACAGCGTCTTCTTCCAACAGAAAGCTGTTTCATCTATATTGAAAATCTGTTGTTTAGCATAGCCATCTTTATCAATGATCTTAGTCAGATATTCTGGATAACTTTCGGCAGCTTCTATATCAGCACTTGCTGCTTCACCTTGTAGTTTTATGTAATAAGAATGGCTTCTTTCTTTCAACCTCATGAACTAACCTCTGCTAGCTTCAAACTTTTATTCTGCAACTTTCTCTCCTCTCCCAGATTTCACAGAATTGAAGAGAGTTAGGGTCTTGCCCTGGATTAGGCTTTGGCTTAAGGGAATGTTGTAGCTGATTTGAACTTTTATCCAGATCCCTAAAACTTTCTCCATATCAGCAATAAAGATGGTTCACTTTGTTATCATTCATGAGTTCACTGGAGTAGCACTTTTAATTTCCTTTGAGAACTTTTTCTTTGCATTCACAATTGACTAATTGTTTGGTGCAAGAGGACTAGCTTTCAGCCTGTCTCAGCTTTAGACATACTTTCCTCACTAAGCTTAATCACTTCTGGCTTAAAAAACTTTTTTACAGACTTTATTGTTTGGGGCAGTTTTAAGTTCACAGCAAAATTGAGCAGGAAGTACAAGAGTTCCCGTGTGCCCTCTGATGCCACATACAGTCTCCCCCACCCTTAACAACCTGAACCAGAGTGGTACATTCGTTACCGCTGGTGAGCCTACATTGCACATTATTATCTCCCCAAATTTGTAGTTTACATTAGGATTTACTCTTGATGTTATACATGCTATGGGTTTTGACAAATGTGTTATGTATTTCTAAGTATAGTAGATAAGAATTGTTTCAATACCCTGCAAATTCTCCGTACTTCTCTTATTTCTTCATTTCTCCTTCTTCATTCAAACCCCTGGAAACCACTGAACGTTTAACTGTCTCCAGTTTTTTCTTAGTTTATTTCAAATAAAAGACATGCAACTTTTCCTTTTACTTGAACACTTAGAGGCTATTGCAAAGCTATTAATTGGCCTAAATCCAATATTGTTGTATCTCAAAGAATAGAGAGGCCTGAAGAGAAGGAGAGAGATGAGGGAAGAGTAGGTTGGTGGAGCCGTTAGAAACAACATTTATCAATTGTCTGCCATTCTACATGGGCACGGCTTGTGGTGCCCAAAAATAATGAAAATAGTAACATAAAAGATTACTGGTCACAGATCAAATAACGTGTAATAATAATAATAAAGTTTGAAATAAATATTTTGGGAATTACCAAAATGTGACACAGAGACATAAAGTGAGCACATGCTGTTGGAAAAATGGTGCCAATAGACTTGCTGGATCCAGGGTTGTCACAAACCCTCAGTTTATAAAACATTAAATAACTGCAAAGGACAATAAAGTGAAACACAATAAAAGAGGTATACATGTATATTAAAAAGAAAAATTATTTTAAATAAATTTATATACTTTCATCCATGTATAATTTGCTCCTGATTTGTGTGTGTGTGTGTGTGTGCTTTTTGTTTGTTTGTTTGCTTATTTAGTTTAGAACCATAGAAAAACCTTCATAAATTACTTCAGAGATGTAGAACAATGTAATTCTTCATTTTCTAAATCTTGTATTCCTTATATATTGGGATAACATAATCTCAAGAAGTGCAGGTACAGAATACTATAATAATAAAAGGCAAAATAAAAAGTAATTAATTAGTATCTAATCTTTATATGTGAACAAATGAGTAAGAAAGTCAAGATCCATTGATAAGAGTATGATTTTATGGAATAAACAATAGAAAATGGAACTTCTACTTCTTCAAATGATTTGTAATTACTGCAGAGTAATTGTTTCAAAGTGATATAATATTTAAGCTAATCTCTGTGTTGATATATTTAAAATTATATGATCTCATATCATCAACTATTATCACCAACTAATAGAAATAAGAAAATATTGGTGTTAACTGTGACTTATTTTTTAATTCTCTTTGTATATAAAGAACTTCTGGAACCTTTCTGAGTTGAGTAAATGGATCTTAAAAATGGATCTCTAGTGACCGAGTTTATTTTACTAGGATTTTTTGGACGATGGGAACTTCAAATTTTCTTCTTTGTGACATTTTCCCTGATCTACGGTGCTACTGTGATGGGAAACATTCTCATTATGGTCACAGTGACATGTAGGTCAACCCTTCATTCTCCCTTGTACTTTCTCCTTGGAAATCTCTCTTTTTTGGACATGTGTCTCTCCACTGCCACAACACCCAAGATGATCATAGATTTGCTCACTGACCACAAGACCATCTCTGTGTGGGGCTGCGTGACCCAGATGTTCTTCATGCACTTCTTTGGGGGTGCTGAGATGACTCTTCTGATAATCATGGCCTTTGACAGGTATGTAGCCATATGTAAACCCCTGCACTATAGGACAATCATGAGCCACAAGCTGCTAAAGGGGTTTGCGATACTTTCATGGATAATTGGTTTTTTACACTCCATAAGCCAGATAGTTTTAACAATGAACTTGCCTTTCTGTGGCCACAATGTCATAAACAACATATTTTGTGATCTTCCCCTTGTGATCAAGCTTGCTTGCATTGAAACATACACCCTGGAATTATTTGTCATTGCTGACAGCGGGCTGCTCTCTTTCACCTGTTTCATCCTCTTGCTTGTTTCTTACATTGTCATCCTGGTCAGTGTACCAAAAAAATCATCACATGGGCTCTCCAAGGCGCTGTCCACATTGTCTGCCCACATCATTGTGGTCACTCTGTTCTTTGGACCTTGTATTTTTATCTATGTTTGGCCATTCAGTAGTTTGGCAAGCAATAAAACTCTTGCCGTATTTTATACAGTTATCACACCCTTACTGAATCCGAGTATTTATACCCTGAGAAATAAGAAAATGCAAGAGGCCATAAGAAAATTACGGTTCCAATATGTTAGTTCTGCACAGAATTTCTAGATGTTAGCACTATATAATTAACTTTTAAATGCTACGATAAGATAGTTTGAATAGATTATGTATAATGCATCATTTCACTTTTCTTATGTTATAATAATAACGCATAAAGACAATACTAAATTACTTTAAATTTTACATTTAAGACTTTTATAAACATAAGGATAGAGATCTGCAGCAAAATAGACATAAAAATAGACATAAATAAACATAAAAAGATTATTGAGGATTTTTATCATATACATTCAATATATTCATTAATAAAGAAACAACTGTAAATGAATACATGAAGATATGAATATTATTAGAGGTTATTTTAATATATATTGATAATGTTATTCATAAATTTATACTATTATTAAATGAGGTATCATGAACAAGTCATGAATTAAATAATGTTAACAGAAAAAGCAATTCTAGTTTCTTGAATCAATGGAGGCAAAAAGTAAGAATGAGTCCACAAATTCAACAGCACAGTGACTATAAGATGCCAGAGAAAAATGCCAATGGAACGACAATTTTAGTAGAACTACAAACGAACAGCCCTTTTTGAAACCAAATGCTCTGAGGAATATAAGTAAACACAGCTGACTTTCAAACTTCAATAAATAAAAATAAAAACAAAATCCTTTTTATTTTGTGTAATATACCATGTAGCTTTACCTTTTTAAGGGCTTTACATAAAATTACAGCTAAATTTTCCTCTGGTAGGATTCCAACCTTTACTGATTTATAAGCTAAATCTGATGTTTGTGCATGTTGGAGAGGGAAGTGAGAAGTGCATTCAAAATTTGAAATAGTATGCATTGATAATTAAGCTTATTTTCTCTTAATTAAAGACACCATCATTTCTTGCTTATGCTAGGTGAGCTTTGTAATTAATCCTAAATCAGTTACATAAATCCTTTCTTCCATTCAATGCATTCTCTATAAGCAGCCAGAGTTAGGTCATAAAAATGTAACTCTCAATGTCATTTTCTGGATTAAAACTATTTTATGGCATGAAGACTTAGGTTCAAATTCTCAACTGGCCTTCATAATATGGCTTGCTTCTGGAATTTTGCTCCAATCTATCCTTTTCCATAATAGTAGAGTTACACTGGCCTTCTTTCAAGTTGTTCAAAACACCAGACATCTTGTTAACTGACTTTTTCTAAACTCTTCCCTTTAGGTAAAAGAATCTTTCATCTCCTCTTCACCAAGGTAATAACCTCTCAGAAGACCCAGATGAAATATTATATTTTAGATCACTTTTCCTACATGTTCTTTGCCAGTTTAGATTTCTTTATTTTACTCATTTATGGCATGCTACAATTTCCATCCTTCTCATATATTATGGTAATAATTGCTTGTGTAATTATATGTTAATATCTGCTTTGTCTTAGCCTATGAATTCTATAGATCTCTAATATCTAGCACAGATATTGATACATAGTAGTTCATACCTAATGAATAAAGAAAAGATGAAATAACCATATTCTAGAATAATAATATTCAATTTAACCTACTACTATGGAGAACATGTATTCTTACTGTGAGATGTGATGTGTTAAAAATATTAGAAGTACACAAGGCATATGGTGCTCGTATACTTCAATAATGGAACTACAGGGATTAGAGCTCTGTAACTAAATCCAAAGAGAATCAAATACATAATAAATTTAAAGCAAATGGGAGAAGAAATACTGCAAGTTTAGAATACTTGCTATTACAAACTACATTGGACTCTTTGCTACATAGTAAACTGCAACAACAAGAAACTTCACAGTCATACATTATAGCACCACCCATATTAAGGAAATTTCAATCATTTAAAAGGTAAAATATGCATCCGCTGGTAGATAAGATTATTTTCTAGTTGATAAAATACTGTGTAAGATTTTTGTATCTGTCAGTATAGCACACTCAGGATCCTAAAACTTTTTAGTTACAAAACATCTATGTTTGCTAAGATTATTTAAAACATCTTTTAAATCACTTAAAGCTATTGAAAAAAAATTAAAGTAAATCACACCTGAGGCCCAGTATAAAACTTGAATTCCATTCCAGGAAGGTAAAGCAGCACTGAACCATTGCTCTCTCTGAGAACATCTACACATCCATTGCCTAGATAGAAGTTTGAAATTGGGAAAGCACTGTGCATTGGACTTTGAGGCTGAACAGGGAGGGAATAGATTGCAGGCAATGCTGAGGGCTCAGACTCTGAAAAAAAAGTGTAAGAAAGCCAGCCTACCAAAAGCAGACACCAAGAAAAAAAAAGTCTGTCTCAACCTTGATTCATGAAGATTAAAGTAAATGCTTTTCTAAGAAGTGTATGGCGGAAGAAAAGACAAATCCTCACTGAAAATAAAGTACCTTCATAGAGATTGATCTTTGAGCCTCAGCCACATAACTCAAGAATCTGACTTGGAGTGACATTAGCCAGATAACACAATGACAACCCACTCATATCCTCCCATAAGAATTCTGAACCCATTCACAGAAAAAAGTCTCTTAGAAGGAGCCTTTGGGTTCAGGCAGAAGGTTGTGGAACACCAATAGATCCCAAAACCTAGGACAGCCATTTTGAGGGAGCAGACCCACATCCAGGTGGCAGAACTGCTAATCATTTTCCTGGGTTCAAACCTGGAAATGGCCACATTTTCTGAAGGGATTGGCTACAGCCCCAAGTGGCTTTGAGCCCACAACCAAAACTATCTGCCAAAGGGGCCAGGAGGAATCACAAGCACCAGTGTGCCTCAGTGGATAGGCTCTTATCACTGAAATCAGTGTCAGCAGTAGACCTGAAAGTTAACCTGTAACTCAGTTCCAGCCCCATTAGTGTTGGTCCTAGCATAGTGCAACTCACACAAGGACCCAGAGGGAGGCACACCCTATTGAACCACTGGGATAGATGAGCTTGCTGGCCTCTGTCCCACAGCAAACTCTAAAGGGGATGTAGGGTTCCGGTACCTCTCTGCTACAGCCTGGGAATACCCTCCCACAGACATACACTCTGGACCACCAGGGTGGGTTTGCTTGCCTCTGTCCAACAGTGGATTCTGCAGGAGCCTTGGCTTCAGCCTTTCTCTGTGGCAGCCAAAGAGCTGCCCCACTGTCATCTGAGCCATTGGTACAGGCTTGCCAGCCTTTGACCAACAACAGATCCTGAAGGGGTCCTGTCCCAGCTTCACCTTTTTTTTTTTTTTTTTTTTTGCCATAGTCAGAGAACTATCCTACCTGTGCAGGGAATTACTGGGTGACACACCTATCTAAGCCATTTGGACAGGTTTACTGGCTTCCCACCCACAGAAGATCCTGAAGGGGCCTTTTCTTGGCCTCAGCCCTTCTCTGCTGCAGCACCAGAGTTATTCTGCTTGTGCAGATAACTCCTGGGAGATATACCTGGGCAGGATTGCCAGCCACCATGCCACAGAAGTTTCAGAAAGAACCATGAATGCCAGTTCCAGCCCCCCTCAACTGTACTATGCAAGCAATACTGCCCACATAGGGCACTTCTGAGAATCTTGCCCATTGGTGTTACTGGACTGGGTTTGCCAACAGTCTCACAGCAGATTCTGAATTACCCTGAAGGTTAGTTTTAGTCCCTCCCAGCTGTGGTCTGGAAGAAGTTCTACTCAGTCAAGCTCCTGCCAAGAGATACACTAAGCTGAGCCCCTGTGCTTGCCAGCCTCTTCCTTCAACAGTTCCTCAAACATCCCTAGATCTTAGTCCTGGCTCCTCTTATCTATAGACTAACAACACCTCTGCCTGCCTGGAGACTTGGAGAGAGGAAAGTTCAATAGCGTTTTTGCAGTGTTATGCCCTGCTTTTGATCACATTGTGAATCTTCAAAGAGCCCTATAAATTGATTTCATTTCTTCTTAACTGCAGTCTGAGAGCAGGCCTGCTCACCCTGTAACTCCCTGGGAGACATGGCTGTCCGTGACTATGAAGACAGGTCTAAAGATCTCAGTCTCAACTCTAGGCTTGAAACAACCCTGTGTTTATTTCCAGCTCATTGTAGCCATTTGTAGTATGGCCAACCCAAAGACTCATCAAATGATGTAGTGAAAGGCCTCTCAGAAACTCGGAGAAAGCCAAACCTGTCAGCATTGCAGGTAACAGGGCTGCTGTCTGAGAATCCAGAAGCAAACCTTCACCTTACCTCCAACTCTTCATGGGACTCCAGCTTGGGCAACAGCAGCCACTATGGACCTTGTGGTTTCTAAGCCTGTAACAGCTGAAGTCATTGCAGTGCTGACAATGACTTCAACAGTCACAGGCTTAGGAACCACAACAGTCTTCTCAATATTCCTGAACATGCCTACTGTAGAAGGGCAATCACAGAAAAGCAAGACTGCAAAGATTGCAATACATTCCTATGTCATCCAATGCACAGATATTGAAACATGACCACAAGGACCAAGAACAACCAGAGAAACTGACATCACTGGCATAAAATAAGATGCAAACTGCTGACCCTAAAGAGATGGAGATCTATGATCTGCCTGACAAATAACTCAAACTACCTGTTTTTAAGGAAGCTCAGTTAACTTAAAGAAAATTGAGAGACAGTTTTTAAATTTTTCAGAGAAATTTAACATAGAGATTAAAATAATAAAAAATCAAACAGTAACTTTGGATCTGTAACATACAGGGAATGAAATAAATGCAACTGAAAGCATCAGTAGCAAAAATAGGTAAAGCAGAAAAAAGAATCAGTGAGTTAGGAAGACAGGCTATTTAAAAATATACGATCTGAGATGAAAAAACAAAACAGAATTAAAAGGAACAAAGAAAGTTTGTCAGATTTATGGGACAACATTAAAAGAGCAGATATTTGGGTTACTGGGGTTTAGAAGGGAGTAGAAAAAGACAAAGAGTTAGAAAACTTATTTTAAAAATAACAGACAACTTACAAACCTAGAGAAAGATGTAACTACTCAGGCACAAAAGACACCAAGTCAGATGCAATCCCAATAATAGTATCAAAAGATATAGTATAATTAAACTGTATAAGATGAAAGACAAAGAGGGGATCCTGAAAGAAACAAGAGAAAAGAAACAAATAACATACAAAAGAGCTCCAATATGCCTGGCAGCACGCTTCTCAAAACAAAAACAAAAAAAAGTCTTATAGGCAAGGAGGAGTTGGGATGATATATTTAAATATTAAGAAAAAAGCCTAGCAGCCAAGAATACTGTATCCAGCAAAGCAATACTTGAGTGTTGAAGGATACGTAAAGACTTTCCCAGACGAATGAAAGTTGAGAAAGTTTATTAATACAGACCTATTTTGCAAATGCTAAAAGGAACTCTTCAAAATGAAAGACAAGGAAACTACTAAGTAGTATAAAAAATCTGAAGGTATAAAACTCACTGGTAAAAATAAATATACAGTCTAACTCAATATATTTGAATAATCAAGCTGTATAAACTACCTATATATTTAGCATGGCCATTAAAAAATAGAACTCTCAGGAGGCTGAATGCAAGGACTGCTTGAGCCCAGGATTTTGAGGCTTTGGTGAGCTATCATTATGCCACTGCACTCCATCCTGGACGATGGAATAAGACCTTGTCTCATAAAAAATTAATTCACAAATTCTGAAATTGAATCCATAATACAGAAATCTACCAATCAGAAAAAGCCCTGGACCAGATGGTTTCACAGCCAAATTCTACCAGATTTAAAAAAAAGAGCTAGTACCAGTCCTACTGAAATTATTCCAAAATATCAAAAAGGAAAGACTCCTCCCTAACTTAATGTATGAGGCCAGCATTATTTCAAAACCTGGCAGAAACAAAACAAAGAAAGAAAATTTCATGCCAATATCCTTGATGAACATAGATATACAAATCATCAACAAAGTATGAGGAAATCAAATCTAGTGGAATATCAAAGAGCTAATACACCACAATCAAGTAGGTTTTATTCCTGCAATGCAAGGCTGGTTCAACATATGCAGATCAATAAATGTGATTCATCACATAAACAGAACTAAAAACAGAACCCACATGATCATATAAACAGACACAGAAAAAGATTTTGATAAAATTCAACATCCTTTCATGTTAAAAAAAATTCAACGAACAAGCCATCAAAGAAACATACCTCAAAATAATAAGAGCCATATATGCAAACTGACAGCCAACATCATACTGAATGGGAAAAAGCTGGAAGCATTCCTTCTGAGAAATGGAACAAGATAAGAATGCTCACTCTCATCACTTATATTCAACATAGTACTGGAAGTCCTATCCAGAGTAATCAGGCGAGAGAGAGAAATAAATATAACAAAAGAGAAAGTCAAACTATTTCTCCTCATAAATAATATGATTCTATACCTAGAAAACCTGCAGTCTCTGCCCAAAGACTTCTAGATCTGAAAATCAGCTTCAGTAAAGTTTCGGGATACAAAATCAATGTACAAAAATTATTAGCATTTCTATACACCAATAATGTCCAAGCTGAGACCCCAATCAAGAATGCAGTTTCATTCACAGAAGCCACAAAAAGAGTAAAATACCTAGAAATATGGCTAAACAGGGAGGTGAAAGATCTCTGAAATGAGAATTACAAAACATTGCTGAAATATATCAGAGATGACACAAATGCAAAGAAATCCTATGCCCATAGATTAGAAGAATCAGTATCATTAAAATAGCCATTAAATAGCTGCCCAAAGCAATTTACAGATTAAATACTATTTCTATTAAACTATCAATTTTATGTTTCACAGAATTAGAAAAAAAGTATTCTACAATTCAAATGAAACCCCAAAAGGAGCCCAAATAGCTAAATCAATTCTGATCAAAAAGAACAAAGCAAGAGGCATCACACTACCCAACTACAAGCTATATATGAGACTACAGTAAACAAAACAGCATGGTACTTGTACAAAAACAGACACATAGGCCAATGAAACAGAACAGAAAACCCAAAAATAAAGCCACACACTTACAACCATCTGATCCTCAACAAAGTTGACAATAACATGCAGTGGAAAAAAGACTACGTATTCAATAAATGGCATTGCAATAACTGGCTAGCCATATGCAGTAGAATGAGACTGGATCTCTTCCTTTCATCTTATACAAAAATCAACTCAATGTGCATTAAAGACTTAAATGTAAGACCTAAAACTATAAAAACCCTGGAAACAAACATAGGACATACCGTTCAGGACTTAGGCAATGGCAAAGATTTTATGACTAGGTCTCTGAAATTAAAGGTTAACAAAAAAAAATCAGATCTAATTACTTCTGCACAGCAAAAGAAACAATTGACAGCATAAACAGACAACCTACAGAATGGGAGAAAATATATGCAAACTATGCATCTGATAAAATTCTAATATCCAGAATCTATAATGAACTTAAGTAAACAAGAAAAAAACAAACAACCATATTAAAAAGTGGCCAAAAGACAAGAGCAGATACTTCTCAAAAGAAGACACATATGTGGCCACAAACATATGAAAAAATATTCCACATCACTAGTCATTAGAGAAATGCAAATCAAAACCACAATGAAATGCCACATCTCACAAAAGTCAGAATGGCTATTACAAAAAATAAAAAATAAATTTTAAAAAGCAGATATTGGTGAGGTTGCAGAGAAAAGGGAACTCTTACACACTGCTGGTGAGAACGTAATTATTTCAGCCACTGTGGAATGCATTTTAAAGATTTCTCAAAAAACTTAAAACAGAACTACCACTTGACCCAGCAATCTCATTACTAGGGTATACATACAAATGAATACAGAGAATTCTACCAAAAAGGCACCCAATCTTGTATATTCACTGAAGCACTGTTCACAATAGCAAAGACATGGAATCAACCTAGATGCCCATTAGCAGTGGACTGAATTAAAAAAAAAAAGTGGTACATATACACTATGGAATACAATGCAGCCATAAAAAGAATGAAATACTGTCCTTTGAAGCAACATGGATGTAGCTGGAGGCCATTACCTAAGTGAATTAATACAGAAAGAGAAAACCAAATACTGCACATTCTCATTTACAAGTGGAAGATAAACATTGAGTACACATGGATACAAAGAGGGAAACAATAAATACTGGGGCCTGCTTGATAGTGTAGGGTGGGAAGAGAATGAGGGTCAAACAACTACCTATTGAATACTCCACTCACTACCGGGGTGATGAAATCATTTGTACACCAAACCTCATTGACATGCAATTCACCCATGTTATAAACCTGTACATGTACCCACTAAACCTAAAATAAAAGTTGAAAAAAAAATATATATATAGGCATTTTTCTCTAATAACAAGTATATTAAATTAGAAAAATAAAAATAATAATAACTGCAATAATCTGTTAGGGATATGCAATGTATAAAGGTGTAAATTTTGACATCCAAAATTTTTAATATGGGAGGGAGAGGAGTTAGCACATACAGTTTTTTTTTTTAATGTGATCAAAGTTATCTGTTTAAAATAACCTGTAAATGATAGGTCCAATAGAGCCATGATTATTGGTCAACACTTACAACTTGGATTCAGATATGTTATAAGATAATTCTTTGATTAAACTCTGTATATACCTTCAGATAGCACCCTGTAAATGTAGAATGCAACCCTATGCCTTCTGTATATATCTTCCCATGAAGATGAGTCATTGTCTCATCTAGAATAAAATGGGTAATAACATCAACTTGTCCCAGTGGCTGGTTATTCTGTCTACAAGATGGTACCAGATTAGGGGGTTCAGGTTAGTTTTGTTGATGACATTTATTGCACCACAGCAAGTGTGATCTTGGTGAGTAGGAAGCCAAGCAGTGGGTCCATACACAACCTCCTTTTCTACTATTATGACTACTTCAATAATAGCAAGTAGTTTATATCAACTGGATGAGCCATTATGTCATCTTGTTTATTTCATGCCTTTTTTTGATGCTGTCTAGTGAATATTAATATCAAATAATCAAGTTTTTTTGTAGATAGCTCTGCTTCTATAGTCAACATAAGTTCCATAATCACATGTTTCATCCTTATTAGAATAGAGTGAAATCTAGGAGCTGATTTAAAATTCATGTATTTCCAGTTTTGCTACAGATGCTATGGTTCAAGCTACATGACCTTAGGAATCTACATTGTTATTCTTCTACTAGGGTTTGCCAAAACCTACAAATGCTGTATTTCTCCAGCACAGACAATTGTAGTGCCACAGACTTTACCTGGATATGTGGTTCGAGTAGTATGACTACTTGATACTAGATCTAGTATACACACTGTATGCTAGATGTGCTAATATTCCTTTCTTATACTGGACTCCACCAAAAGCTAGAAGTCTGTATGTCAATAAAAAATGAGTCAAAGCAATCATCCCAAGTATTGGAATATAGTGCCTTCAGAACTGAAATAGGATCACCAGACAATATGCAATCTCCTTAAAAGTTTAGTGATTAAAGTACAAGGTGCAATATTTGTCCATTACTTTTAAGGTGATCTTTCACCATGACCATAACAAATAAAAACGCTAAAACCTTCACTGAAATATTAGGATTACCTTCTTAAATAATGAGGATTTGTCCTCACACTTGATCTTCACGGTGAACAAATGTTCAAAGAGAAAATATTTTTCTAATGTTCCATCTTAGGAATATTGAAAGTTTTACTTGCATGCTCTTTGGGTAACTCTACCTCACAGATGTCTGGTCAGAATTATATTTGTATCTGTCAGTCTGCTAGTAATCAACTAGACTATAGTGTTATAAATAAATCAGACGAAAGTTTATTTTCCTTGTAAAACCAATTGATAGAATATTACCTCACTGTTGGTATGCCAGCTTCACAAAATCAGGAAGTATGAAACTTCCTGTTTATTTTTTGCTTTAGATTAATATTCTGACCTCAATGTCACAAACTATCTGTAGAAACTCCACACATCACATTTACATTCTAGACATAAAGAAAACTAAAAGGATGTGAGCTCGTGAGCTCGTTTTTCTTCCGATGCAAAGTTTTCATTTTTTTTTAGTTTTGCTTTGTATTATACAGAGGCCTATTGATTAAGAATGCATTTCCAAGTTTCTATGTCACCTAGATTCCTGATAGTCACAAATAACAAATAAAAGTGACAGGTAGATTAATGGAGAGTCATTGGTAGATTAATAGGAAGGGATACAGAAGCCCACTTCACCCCTCAACCTCTCACTGCACCCAGCACACTGCCTATGCCTACATCTCTACAAGTAGTTGTATCAAGTTCATGGCTCCTGCTCTCCTGGTAGAAAAAACAGTCATATTTCTTTTTTTTTTTTTGGACAGAGTTTCACTCTGTTGCCCAAGCTAGAGTGCAGTTGCGCCATCTCGGCTCACTGCAGCCTCCGCCTCCCAGGTTCAAGTGATTCTCCTGCCTCAGCCTCCTGAGTAGCTGGGATTATAGGCACTTGCCACCATGCCCAGCTAATTTTTGTATTTTTAGTAGAGATTGGGTTTTGCCATATTGGCCAGGCTGGTCTCGGACTCCTGACCTCAGGTAGTCTGCCCTCTTTGGCCTCCCAAAGTGCTGGGATTACATGCGTGAGCCACCGCACCCTGCCAAGAACCACCATATTTCTAACTTTTGACCATAAGCTATTGAAAGCAGAATAATGGTCTCCCAATGAAGTCCAGACCCTAATCCCAAAACTTGTGAGTATGATACATTACAGTGCAAAAAAAAAAAAAAAAAAAAAAACAGAGAGAAAAAAAAAGAAAAACCACCAACAACAACAAACTTCGCTTATGTGATTTAGTTCACAAACTTTGATATGAGAAGATTTCCTGGAATATTTGAATGTGTCCAGTGTAATAACATGAATTTCTAAAAGTGATAAAGCTTTCCTGTCAGTATAGAAAAAGAGAGTCATGGCAGAAGAGAAGGCCTTTTTTTTTTTTTTTTTTTTTGAGACAGAGTCTTGGCAGTGGCACGATCTTGGCTCACTGCAACCTCCACCTCCCAGGTTCAAGCACCTGCCTCAGCCTCCTGAGTAGCTGGGATTACAGGCGCCCACCACCACATGGGCTAATTTTTTGTATTTTTAGTAGAAACGGGGTTTCACCGTGTTAGCCAGAATGGTCTCAATCTCCTGGCCTCCTGATCCACCCGCCTCAGCCTCCCAAAGTGCTGGGATTATAGGCACGAGCCACCGTGCCCGGCTGGGGATGAGCCTTTCAAAGGGTCCCGTCCACTGTTAATGGCTTAAAAGAGGAAGGGGATCATGACAAAGGAAGATCAGATAGTATCTAAATATTAAGGATAACCCTTGAATGGCAACCAGCAAAGAAATGGAGATGTCAGTCCTACAATCACACAGAGTGAAATCCTGCCCACAACCTGTCCACAGTCCTGGAAATGAATTCCCCCAAAGTCTCTAGAAAAAAATTTAATCCTGTTGATGCCTTGATTTTAGCCTAGTGAGATTCATATTTAACTTCAACCTACTGGACTGTAAAATGATGAATTTGTGTTGCTTGAAGCAAATAAATTTGTATAATTTGCTAGGAAAGAAATAGAAAACTAACACGACCCCACACTTGGCCTGTGGTGAGAGTGCCTCTTCTCTTGTTCCTACAGCTTAGATGTGATAGTGGCTTCCATTTGATAGTCATCTTTGGTTTCTCTGAACATATCCTGTTCAACATCTTAGCTATTCCATCGCTTGAGTAGCTAAATAACCTGTTTGAAATACTCAGAGTTATTTTTCTTTTCTCAATTAGACCCCAGAAATTACAGAGTTGGGCAGAGGCAAAGGGCATAACTCTCTACTGAGTCAGCTCCAATACAAATTTCATCAAAGAGCTACCCAATAATATAGGGGTTTTTTTGGAATTTGCTCCTTCTAAGTTTAAGGTAGACTGTATAGTATACTCTAACTGAATTTAGGTGTCTCTTACCAAGGAAGAATAAGAGAATGACCTTTCAGAGGACACTACTAGTCTCTGGGACACAGTTAATGCTCATTGCTAAACTAGTCTCTGGTGAGTGAAGTGAAAGCACTTTGATTGTCCTAGACAGATGTCTTATGAAAAAGATTTGATCCTCCATGGAAGCACATAGTCAGCCTATCCCAGAGAATATATGGTTTCAATTACCAAGAAAGAAGAAAGAATCATTACTGGGAAACCAACGAGTTCTACCATAGCCAGTTATCACCATTGGTATTCAATATTGCTCAAAAATTTCAAGTTAATGAAATAAGGTAATAAAATAATAGTAGAGAAATATTTTAATGTGAATATTATCTATCTTATCAATAATACAAAAAATAGAAGAGAACCAATTAGAAAAATATTGAACATGAGATTTGATTCCATTTACCACTTAAATATATATATATATAAAACATTTACAGATAACAATAGCAATAAGATGAATTAATATAAAGAGAAAAATCATATTAAGTATAGCATCAAAGTAGGAAATACGCAAATTTTATTTAACCACAAATATGTTACAAAAACATTGCTGACAAAATGAAGATGACAAAACTTTTCTGTGAGCCATAAAAGAAGACAAAAATTTTAAGAACACAAAAACAATGACAAAAATGAATAGATCTAAAAAGTAGCCAGACTTATCTCCAATTTAAATAAATATAAAGGGAGCATTATCCGTTTTCTTTCTTTTTTATTTATTTATTTATTTTTTTTGACAGAGTTTCACTCTTGTTGCCCAGGCTGGAGTGTAATGGTGCAATGGTGCCATCTCAGCTTACTGCAACCTCTGCCTCCCGGGTTCAAGCGATTCTCCTGCCTTGGCCTCCCCAGTAGCTGGGATTACAGGTACCTGCCACCACGCCTGGCTAATTTTTTGTATTTTGAGTTGAGATGGGGTTTCACCATGTTGGCCAGGCTGGTCTCGAACTCCACATGCCTCAGCCTCCTAAAGTGCTGGGATTACAGGCATGAGCCACCGCACCTGGCCAGAGCATTATACATTCTTAATAAAATGAATTATTTAATTGTAATAATAAAAACTCATATCCTATCATTTATTAATTTCAGACAAGTTAGAATTAAACGTGAAAAATTTATCATAATAAATTTTATAATTAATGTAATCTAGAATGAGTGACATCGCCAAGATGAAGGAGTAGGAGATACCAGTATTTATCCTCCCCACAGAAAAACAAACATAGACAGCTATGCACAAACCAAAATAGTTCTGAGAAAGCTTAAGGGCCCACTAAATAATCTACAGAAATATAATGGAGCAAAAAGTCAAGAATATCCTCACAGAAAAGATTTCTGGTGAGATCAGCAAACTTAAGACATGAAGAGATGGCAAAGGACAAAAAAAAGGCAGAGGTTATCACTGTCAGCCATGCAGCAAGAACTATGGTCCCAAAGGCCTTCTCTTCAGAAAACATTGGCATCTTTTGCCACTGAGGCAACCAACAGCCATTCTTGCTGGGAAACTCTAAAGAGTTAGATGCAGCCACACACCTTAACCCCCTCAAGACACAGTCATTGTTGTGCCCCTTCAGATGGGACTCATCATCTCTCCCTATATCCTGTCAATACTGTGCATACCTATGCTTCTGTTCTTTGTACCTTGTTTGCTTCACAAGCACCTGTGCCTTACATGTTGTTATGAACATGACAATGAGGGCATGTGCACCCTGGGTACCACTGCCTATACCACCCTACACCCCAGAGCCATAGTCCCTCTACATGTGCTCATGCTTCAGGCCTCAGCTCCACAGTCACTTCATGGTTAGCACTCATCAGAAACTGGTGCCACTGTCCCTGGAGTGGGCCCACAAATTGGACACAGTGTCAAGGGGGATCCCTTCAGCCACAACTTTCCCAGTAGGAGATACAGACATTGGAAGGACCTTAGCAGCAATTGCCAATGAAGACCACATCAGTCATTCAATGGTACTGTGAACATGTACAGTATTGCCTGTCAAGAATCCTTGTGATCTTCATTAATACTGACCACAACTAATAGAGATGCCCTGGAATTCACAGCTGCTTCTTCACTGGTGTTAGAACCAGTGCCCTTGCACCCTTCTCTTCATAGGGGAAGGTTTTTCCACACCAAAATGAACTCATAAAGTCAAAAAGAGGTGACTGTTTTACCAAATGTGTAGACCTCAATGCAAGGCATCAATAAACATAAAAAGCCAAGGAGACATATAACCACCAAAAAAGAAATTCAATAATTTTCCTGGAGCTGATGCCCCAAAATGGGGATATATGAATGGCTTGACAAAGATTTTATAATTGTATTTATGAGGGAGCTAAGAGAATGTCAAGAAAATACAGAGGAAAGTTGATTAAAAATCAGGAAACAAACAAAATTAGAAACTTAACTGAGAGATTAAAAATACAAAAAAAAAAACCTAGAAATTCTGAAGCCAAAAAATATAGCTAATGAATGTAAAATGCAACAGAGAACATTAAGAGCAGAGTTAAGCAAAATAATCTATGAACCTGAAGATAGTGTATTTGAAAATATATAGTCAGAAGAGACAAAATTTCAAAAATCAAAAAATAAAGAAAGGTTATGGGATTTAAGGGATCACATCAAGAAGGCAACTATTTGAATTGTAGGAGATAAAGAAGGAGAAAAGAGTGGCAAAGGGACAGAAAGCTTATTTGAAGAAATAGTACCTAAAAGCTTTCCAAATCTAGGGAAAATAGAAGCATTCAGGTTTGGATACTCAAATGTCTTCCAAAACATTCAGTCCAAAACGAGACTATACCAAGACATGTTATAATCAAACTTTCAAAAACGAATTATGAAGAGACAATCCTGAAAGCAACAAGAGAAAACAAACATATCACACGTAAGGAAGTTTCAGTGAGGCTAACAGATTTCTCTGCAGATACCTTGTAGGCCAGAAGAGAATAGGATGATATATTTAAAGTGCTGAATGAAAGAAACTTTCAAATGAAGAATAGTTCACCCAGCAAAACTTTCCCTCAGACACGAAGAAGAGATAAAGACTATCCCAGAAAAACAAGAGCTAAGGAATTTCATTACCACCAAATCTTTTTTATAAGAAACATGAATGGGAGTTCTTTGAGCATAAGAAAGGACAGCTTTTAGTAACATGAAAACATATTAAAGAAGAAACCTCATTGTTAAAACTAGGTACACAGTCAAATTTAGAACTCTAACACTGTAATGCTAGTGTGTAAATCACTTATTTAGTATGAAGGTTAAAAGATTTAAAAAATCAAAATAATACGTACAATAATTTTTAAGGCATATACATACAAAATATGTAAACTGTGACATCAGAAACAGAAAATGTGTTGTGGAGAGGAAGAGTAAAATTGTAGAGGTTCTTTATGCAAACAAAGTACAATTGTTAGCGTAAAATAGGCCATTATAACTATAAGATGTTTTATGTAAGCCTTATGGTTACCACAAAACAAAAACTCTTAATAGATACACACACGCAAAAAAGTAAGGATTCAAAGCATATCACTATGCTTTATATATATAATAGATCTTATATATTGTATTATGTCTTAATATATGTCATAGTATATAAAATCTTACATTATATATATATTACATATATTATGCACATATTTATATATATAGAGAGAAATCTAATTATAAATAAAGACAGCAAGGGAGGAAAAAAAGGAAAATAAGATCAACAAAATAACCAGAAAATGATGAACAAAACGGCAATAATACATCCTTATTTATTCATATTAACCATAAATTTAAATAAATAAAATTCTTTAATCAAAAGACAAAGTAGCAGAATGGATTTAAAAAACAAACTAGTCCCAACTATTTGTTGCCTACAAGATATTGACTTCAACTTTAAGAACACACATAGACTGAAAACAAAGGAATTGGAAAAGATATTCTATGCCAATGCAAATCAAAGAGAGAAGGAGTAGCTATTCTTACATGATGTAAGATAGCCTTTTAGTCAAAAACTATAAAATGAGACAAAATCTGTGTAATGATAAAGATATCAGTGTACCCAGAAGACATAAGAACTGTAAGTATATATGCACCCATTAGCAGAGCACCTAAACATATAAAGCAAATATTAGTAGGTCTGAAGAGAAAGATAGACTGCAATGCAATAATAATAGGGAAGTGTAGTACCCAACTTTAAACAATGGATAAATCATTCAGACAGAAAATCAATAAGAAAACATTACGGTTGAGCTACACCTTAAAGAAAATGGACCTAACAGACACATACAGAATAGGCTATGTGTCTCAGAGTCTCGTCAGAAATGCCCAGCATGTGCTCAGTCATACCCTAAATGGAGGCAGCTGCCCACTGTTACACAAGTGATAACAGGGCGAGTGACCTTGACCAGGTGGTAAGTAGACTACATCGGGCCGCTGCCAAAATTGCAAGGGTATACAACAACAACAGAATATACAGCAACAGAATGTACGTTTTTCTCCAGCATGCCCAGAACATTCTCCAAAATAGATGACATGTTAGGCCACAAAATAAGTCTGAAAAAATCTTTAAATTTTGAAATCATATTAAGTAAGTATCTTTTTCTAACACAATAAGTCTAGAAATCAATAATAGGATGAATTTGAGAAAATTCACAAATATATGGAATATAAACCACAACCTTATAAATAGACAAAAGGTCAAAGAAGCAATGAAATAGAAATTTTTTAAAAAATCTTGAAACAAATAAAAATTGAAAAACAACAAAATGTATAGGAAAAGCAGTTCTAAGAGGGAAGAATGTAGCAATAAACACATCAAAAAAGAAGAAAGATTGCAAATAAAAAATGTACTGTTACACCTTGAGGAACTAGAGTAAGAACAACAAAATAAGCTAAAATTTACTGGAAGGAAGAAATAATAAATAACAAAATAGCTATAAATAAAATAGAGACTAGAAAACAATAGAAAAGTTCAACAGAATGAAAAGCAGGTTTTTTTTGAAAATATAAACAAATCTGGCAAATCTTTTAATGTAGCTAAATGAGAACAATAAAGGACAGAGTCAAATAAATAAAAATAAGAAAATGAACATCACATCTGATACCACAGAAGTACAAAATATTATGAGTCCATTATGGACAATTATTTGCCATCAAATTGGAAGACCCAGAAAAATAGATAAATTCCAAGATGCACACAACCTATCAACATTGAATCATGAAAAAATAGAAAACATGAAAAAATCAATAAAGAATAAGGGGATTGAGTCATTAATAAAAAAGTTTCTGATCAGAGAAAAGTCCAGAACCTGATTGTTTAATTGCTAAGTTCTATGAGATATTTACAGAACTGATATCAATCCCTTTCAAACATATCCAAAAATTAAAGAAAAATGAATACTTCCCAACTCTTTTTTAGACAGAGTTTCGCTCTTGTCACCCAGGCTGGAGTGCAATGACGCAATCTTGGCTCACTGCAACCTCTGCCTCCTGGGTTCAAGAGATTCTCCTGCCTCAGCCTCCCAAGTAGCTGGGATTATAGGCGCCTGCCACCACTCCCAGCTAAGTTTTGTAATTTTAGTAGAGACGGAGTTTCACCATGCTGGCCAGGCTGAACTCAAACTCCTGACTTCAGGTGATCTGCCCGACTTGGCTTCCCAAAGTGCTGGGATTACAGGCGTGAGCCACTGTGCACGGTCCCAAATTTTTTTTTTTTTTTTGAGACAGAGTTCCACTCTTGTCACCCAGGCTGGAGTGCAATGGTGCGATCTTGGCTCACTGCAACCTCCACCTCCTGGGTTCAAGAGATTCTCCTGCCTCAGCCTCCCAAGTAGCTAGGATTACAAGGCGCCTGCCACCACGCCCAGCTAGGTTTTGTAATTTTAGTAGAGACGGGGTTTCACCATGCTGGCCAGGCTGAACTCAAACTCCTGACTTCAGGTGATCGGCCCGCCTCAGCTTCCCAAAGCGCTGGGATTACAGGCGTGAGCCACTGCACACAGTCCCAAATTCTTTTTTTTTTTTTTTTTTTGAGACAGAGTTTCACTCTTGTCACCCAGTTTGGAGTGCAATGGTGCGATCTCGGCTCACTGCAACCTCCACCTCCCAGGTTTAAGAGATTCTCCTGCCTCAGCCTCCCGAGTAGCTGGAACTACAGGCCACGCCACCATGCCCAGTTAATTTTTGTATTTTTAGTAGAGACGGGGTTTCACTATATTGGCCAGGATGGTCTTGATCTCTTGACCTCGTGATCCACCTGCCTCAGCCTCACAAAGTGCTGGGATTACAGGCATCAGCCACCATGCCCCAGCCCCCAAACTAATTTTATAAGGCCACCATTACTCTGACACCAAAGCTAGATAGGGATACTGAAAATAAAACTATAGGCCAATATTCCTTGGAAGGATCAATATCATTAACATTGCCACACTGCCCAAAGAAATACACCATGGAATACTATGCAGCCATAAAAAATGATGAGTTCATGTCCTTTGTAGGAACATGGATGAAATTGGAAATCATCATTCTCAGTAAACTATCGCAAGAACAAAAAACCAAACACCGCATGTTCTCACTCATAGGTGGGAATTGAACAATGAGAACACATGGACACAGGAAGGGGAACATCACACTCTGGGGACTGTTGTGGGGTGGGGGGAGGGGGGAGAGATAGCATTAGGAGATACACCTAATGCTAAATGACGAGTTAATGGTGCAGCACACCAGCATGGCACATGTATACATATGTAACTAACCTGCACATTGTGTACATGTACTCTAAAACTTAAAGTATAATAATAATAAAATAAAAAAAAGAAATCTACAGATTTAAAGCTATTCCTATCAAACTAGCAATGTCGTTTTTCATAGAATTAGAAAAAAACTATTTTAAAATCCATAAGGGATTTTAATAGAGGCCAAGTAGTCAAACCAATCATCAGTAAAAGGAATAAAATCCTAGGCATCACATTACCTGAATTCAAACCATACTATAAGGCTACAGTAATCAGGACATCATGATAATGGTACATAAACAGACACGTAGACCAATGAAACAGAATACAGAACCCAGAAATAAAGTTGCACACCTACAACTATCTGCTCTTTGACAAAGTCAACAAAAATAAGCAATGATGTAAGACTCCCTATTCAACAAATGGTGCTTGGATTACTGGCTGGGCATATTCAGAAGAATGAAACTAAGCCCCTATCTTTCACCATATACAAAAGGTAACTCAAAAAGATGTAAAAGTAAGACCTCAAACTATAAGAATCTTAGAAGAAAACCTGGGAAATGGCATTCTGGACATTGGCCTTGGAAAAGAATTTATGGCTAAGTCCTCAAAAGCAATTGCAACAAAAACAAAAATTGGCAAGTAGAACTTCATTAAAGTAAACAGCTCTGCACAGCAAAAGAAACTATCAATGTAAACAGAAAACCTACAGAATAGGAGAAAATAATTTCAAACTATGCATCCAACAAGTGTAATATCCAGAATCTGTAAGAAACTTAAACAATGCAGCATGCAAAAAACAAATAATTCCATTAAAAAGTAAACAAAAGACATGAATAGACACTTCTCAAAAGAAGAAACAAATGAAACAATGTTCAACATCAGTAATCATCAGAGAAACGCAAATCAAAACTGCAATGAGATGCCATCTCACACCATCCAGAGTGACTCTGACATCAAAAAGTCACAAAATAAAAGATGCTGGTGAGGCCGCAGAGAAAAGAGAATGCTTATAAGCTGTTGGTGAGAATGTAAATTAGTGTAACCACTGTGAAAACCAGTTTGGAGATTTCTCAAAGAACTTAAAGCAGAACTACCATTAGACTCAGCAATCTCATTACTGGGTATATACTAAAAGAAAATAAATCATTCTGCTAAGAAGACACATACATGTGCATGTTCATTGCAGCACTATTCACAATAGCAAAGACATGGAACCAACCTAGGCACCCATTAATGGTGGACTGAATAAAGAAAATGTGGTACATATACATCATGGAATACTAGACAGCCATAAAAAGAATGAAATTATGTAATTTGCCACAATATGAATGTAGCTGAAGGCCATTATCCTAAGCAAAGCAATTCAGGAACAGAAAACTAAATACCGTATGTTTTCACTTGTAAGTGAGAGTTAACCACTGGGTACTCATTGACATAAACACGGGAACAATAGACAATGCAGACTACTAGAGGTGTAAGGGAGGGAGAAAGGAAGATAAGGATTGAAAAACTATTAGGTATCACACTCACTACCTGGGTGATGGGATCAATTGTATGCCAAATCTCAACATCACATAATGTACTCATGTAACAAACCTGCATGTTTGTAACAAATCTGTACCTCATGAATCTAAAATAAATATTGAAAAATCAGAAAAGTAAAATACAGGCTAATATTCCTGATAAACATTGATGCACACATTCTTAACAAAATATTTGCAGATCAAATTCAATAACATATTAAAAAGATCATTCACCATGATCACATGGAATATATCCCAGTGATGCAAGGATGATTCAACATACGCAAATAAATAAATAAATGTGGTACACCACATTAAGAATGAAAGACAAAAACCATATGATCATCTTAATAGATGCAGAAAAGGGATTTGACAAAATGTATCATCTTTGTATGCTAAAAAATTCTCTGGACATCTTCCCAACTATAATAAATAATACTGCATTTATGTTTCAAAATTGCTGAGAGTAAATTTTAAATGTTTTCATCACAAAAAATAAGCATGTGAGGCAACAGATTTGGTAATTATCCTGATTTAATAAATTTACATTGTAAACATGCATTGAAATACCCCCCACCCCATAAATATATACATTTATTAGTTGTCAACTATCAATAATTTTTTTAAATGTTTAAAATCTTTCCATGAATTATATAAAAAAGGAATGTACATTAACATAATAGAGGCCGTATGTGACAAGCTCACAGCTAACATCATAATCAATGATGAAAGTTCAAAATTTTTCCTCTAAGATTGGGAACAAGACAAGTGTGCACCATTCTAGCCATTCAGGACTGAAAATCTGAGCCTGAGCAATTGGCAAGAAAAAAATATATAAAAGGTACCTTAATCATAAAAAAAGTTAAATAGTCTCTGTTTGTAGATGACATAATCTTATATGTGCCCTAAAGGAAGCAATAGATAGATAGATGATAGATAGATAGATAGATAGATAGATAGATAGATAGATAGATAGATAGACAGATGACATCTGTATGTGCTGAGTGTGTGTGTATATATGTTTCTTATATATAACTCTAAAGATTCCACGACAAAACTGTTAGAGCTAATAAACAAATTCATTAATCTTGAAGGATACAAAATTGACACACAAGAATCAGTGGCTTTTCTATACACTAATAATGTAATACACTAATAATGTAAAAAGATATCAAGAGAATAGTTCTATTTACAATAGCTACAAAAATACTTAGGAATGAATTTAATCAGAGGTAATATATCTGCACGCTGAACATTTTTTATTATTATACTTTAAGTTTTAGGGTACATGTACACAATGTGCAGGTTAGTTACATATGTATACATGTGCCATGCTGGTGTGCTGCACCCATTAACTCGTCATTTAGCATTAGGTGTATCTCCTAATGCTATCCCTCCCCACTCCCCCAACCCCACAACAGTCCCCCTTCCTGTGTCCATGTATTCTCATTGTTCAATTCCCACCTATGAGTGAGAACATGTTGTGCTTGGTTTTTTGTCCTTGCGATAGTTTACTGAGAATGATGATTTCCAATTTCATCCATGTCCCTACAAAGGACATGAACTCATCATTTTTTATGGCTGCATAGTATTCCATGGTGTATATGTGCCACATTTTCTAATCCAGTCTATCATTGTTGGACATCTGGGTTGGTTCCAAGTCTTTGCTATTGTGAATAGTGCCACAATAAACATACGTGTGCATGTGTCTTTATAGCAGCCTGATTTATAGTCCTTTTGGTATATAACCAGTAATGGGATGGCTGGGTCAAATGGTATTTCTAGTTCTAGATCCCTGAGGAATCGAAGGACATGAACAGACACTTCTCAAAAGAAGACATTTATGCAGCCAAAAAACACATGAAAAAATCGTCACCATCACTGGCCATCAGAGAAATGTAAATCAAAACCACAATGAGATACCATCTCACACCAGTTAGAATGGCAATCATTAAAAAGTCAGGAAACAACAGGTACTGGAGAGGATGTGGAGAAATAGGAACAGTTTTACACTGTTGGTGTGACTGTAAACTAGTTCAACCATTGTGGAAGTCACGCTGAACATTATAAACATTGATAAAAGAAATTGAAGAAGACACAGATAAATGAAAAGATATCTTGTGTTAATGGATTGGAAAAATTAATATGTTTGAATTTTTTATAATCCAAAGGGATGTATAGATTCAATGTAATCACTATCAAAATTGAAATAAACATTTTTCACAGAAATAGAAAAAACACTATAAAATTTATATGAATCCACAAAAGAACCTGAATAGCCAAAGCAATCTTGAACAAATAGAACAAAACTGGAAGTATGAGCGTACTTGATTTTTAAATATATTACAAAGCTATATAGTTATCAAAACAGCATGGTACTGGCATAAAAACAAACACACAGACAAGTGGAATAGAATGAGGAGCCAGAAATAAATCCACACATTTCTGGTAAATTGATTTTTGACAAAGGTTTCAAGAATACACAACAGAGGAAGGAAAACCTTTTCAGTAAATGGTGCTGGAACGACAGGATATCCAAACGCAGAAAAAATGAAATTCTACACTCATTTCATACTGTATGCAAAAGTCAACTCAATTTAAAGACTTAAGCATAAGAGCTGAAGTTATAAAATATCTAGAAGAAAATGCAGGAGAAAATCTTCATGATATTGATCTGGGCAACAATTTCTTGGATATGACCCTAAATGCACAGGCAACAAAAGCAAAAATACGTAAATAGATTGCATCAAAATAAGAAGCTTCTGCACAGCCAAGGAAACAACACAGTAAAAAGACAACCTACAAAATGGGAGAAACTATTTGCAAAGCATGCACCTAATAAGGAATTAACATCCAACATATGTAAGAATCTCACACAGCTCAATAGCAAGAAAACATATAATTGTTTAAAAAATTAGCAGAGGTCTTGAATAGGCATTTTTCAAAAGAACACATATAAACGTTCAAAAGGAATATGAAAAATGCTCCACATAACTAATCAATCATCCAGGAAATGCAAATTAAAATCACAACATACCACTTCATCCTTGATGGAATGCCTATTATCCAAAAGATGAAAGTTAACAAGTATTAGCCAGGTTGTGAAGAAAAGGGAACACTTATATGCTGTTGGTAGGGATGTAAGTTGGTTCAGTCATACGGAAAACAGTGTGGAGGTTCCACAAATATTAAAACTAGAACTACCATATGATCCAGCAATCCTATTACTGGGCATACATTCAAAGGATATGATATAAGTATGTCAAAGACATGTATGCACTCCCATGTTTATTGCAGAATTATTTGCAGCATCCAAGACACGGAAACAACCTAAGTGTCTATCAAGTGATGAATGGATAAAGAAAATGTGGTATATATGCAAGCAAAACAATATTCAGGCTTAGAAAAGAAGGAAATCCTAAAATTTGTAACAACATCTATGACCCTGTGTGGGGAAAAGAAAGAGAGATCAGATTGTTACTGTGTCCGTGTAGAAAGAAGTAGACATAGGAGACTCCATTTTGTTCTGTACTAAGAAAAATTCTTCTGCCTTGAGATGCTGTTAATCTGTAACCTTACCCCCAACCCCGTGCTCTCTGAAACATGTGCTGTGTCAACTCAGGGTTAAATGGATTAAGGGCTGTGCAAAACGCGCTTTGTTAAACAGATGCTTGAAGGCAGCATGCTCCTTAAGAGTCATCACCACTCCCTAATCTCAAGTACCCAGAGACACAATACACTGCGGAAGGCCGCAGGGACCTCTGCCTAGGAAAGCCAGGTATCGTCCAAGGTTTCTTCCCATGTGATAGTCTGAAATATGGCCTCATGGGAAGGGAAAGACCTGACCATCCCCCAGCCCGACACCCATGAAGGGTCTGTGCTGAGGAGGATTAGCATAAGAGGAAGGAACACCTCTTTGCAGTTGAGACAAGAGGAAGGCATCTGTCTCCTGCCCGTCCCTGGGCAATGGAATGTCTCGGTATAAAAGCCCATTGTATGTTCCATCTACTGAAATAGGGGAAAACCACCTTAGGGCTGGAGGTGGGACATGTAGGCAGCAATACTGCTCTGTAAGGCATTGAGATGTTTATGTGTATGCATATCTAAAGCACAGCACTTAATTCTTTACCTTGTTCATGAGGCAGAGACCTTTGTTCACTTGTTTATCTGCTGACCTTCTCTCCACTATTATCCTATGACCCTGCCACATCCCCCTCTCCGAGAAACACCCAAGAATGATCAATAAATACTAAAGGAACTCAGAGGCCAGCGGGATCCTCCATATTGCTGAACGCTGGTCCCCTGGGCCCCCTTATTTCTTTCTCTATACTTTGTCTCTGTGTCTTTTTCTTTTCCAAGTCTCTCATTTCACCTAACAAGAAACACCCCCAGCTGTGGAGGGGCAACCCACCCCTTCACCCTGGAAGACATTAAGTTAAGTGAAACAAGCCAGGCACAGAAAGACAAACATCCCATGATCTCACTTATATGTGGAATCTAAAACAAAATTTAAACTCATAGAAACAGACAGTAGAATAGTGGCTCAACCAGAGACTGGGTTGTGGGATTATTTGGGAGATTTTGGTCAAAGAACATGAAGTTTCAGTTAGATAGAAGGAATAAGTTCAAGAGATCCATTGTACATTATGATGACTATAGTTGACAACAATATATTGTATTCTTGAAAATTTATCAGTGAGTAAATTTTACGTGTTCTTACCGCACCTAAAAACATGATAATTATATGAGGTAATAAATATGTTGATTAGCTTGATTTAGCCATTCCACGGTGTATACATATATTAAAATATGTTGCACATAATAAATGCATACATTTTTATTTGTCCATATAAAATAAGATTACTAACACAGAATAAATATTAATATTTTGCATGAATAGAATAGTTATCAGTGTTTATTGTGGAAAATAATTTCAGCAATAGTATGTATGACTATCACACAAAAATCTCATAATTCATCTCTAGTTCTCTTTCTATACCCTCCTGAGTACTGACTGTTGCCTTTAAAATGTCACCAATTTGATAGGTAAAATACAGTGTTACATTTTCCATAATGGCATAAAGGATATTTTAATAATCCCCATTGACTGTGTACTGCCAGTCTCTGAGGAATGTAATAACAATGAAATTAGTTTTCTCCTTTATGCCTCTGTGCCTTTCTTTTTTTTTTTTTTTTTTTATTATACTCTAAGTTTTAGGGTACATGTGCACATTGTGCAGGTTAGTTACATATGTATACATGTGCCATGCTGGTGCGCTGCACCCACTAATGTGTCATCTAGCATTAGGTATATCTCCCAATGCTATCCCTCCCCCCTCCCCCGACCCCACCACAGTCCCCGCCTCTGTGCCTTTCAAACCCAGAGCAGAACATAAAATCACTAGATGGTGAAGATTAAGTATCCAGGATTTCATAATGGTGTTACTTCTTAAAGGTAACTGTAAACTGGTAGGTTACATAATCCTGATATATTAATTACTCTACATACATAATATGTCTATCACACTATTGGCATTTACAATATTATATAGGATCATAAGTAATAAAACACAAATCCCAAAATCATAACTAAAGAAAGGGCTAAAAAGGGGAAAATTTAATTGCAAAGAATTATATTTTATTGCAATTAATAAAAAAGAAAACTTGTAATTTTGTATTTGGAGTTAAGAAAATAATCTAGCAATCTAGGCCAAATAAGACATTCTTAGAGAACGAGGGTCTTAGTATGTTTAAATTTTTTGGCTTCACTGATCATATTGAATTTTATTCTTTCAATTATTGCTAAATATGAAGAAATTCACATAGCTGCTTAGGGATGGAATTATTTTTAAAGAGGGATAAATAACAGGACTACAAGGATAAAATGCCTCATCCTTAGTTTCATTCTTTCTTTTTTTGTTGTTATTATTATACTTTAAGTTTTAGGGTACATGTGCACAATGTGCAGATTAGTTACATACGTATACATGTGCCATGCTGGTGTGCTGCACCCATCAACTTGTCATTTAGCATTAGGTATATCTCCTAATGCCATCCCTCCCCCCTCCCCCCACCCCACAACAGTCCCCAGAGTGTGACGTTCCCCTTCCTGTGTCCATGTGTTCTCATTGTTCAATTCCCACCTATGAGTGAGAATATGCGGTGTTTGGTTTTTTGTCCTTGTGATAGTTTACTGAGAATGATGATTTCCAATTTCATCCATGTCCCTACAAAGGACATGAACTCAACATTTTTTATGGCTGCATAGTATTCCATGGTGTATATGTGCCACATTTTCTTAATCCAGTCTATCATTGTTGGACATCTGGGTTGGTTCCAAGTCTTTGCTATTGTGAATAGTGCCGCAATAAACATACGTGTGCATGTGTCTTTATAGCAGCATGATTTTAGTCCTTTGGTTATATACCCAGTAATGGGATGGCTGGATCAAATGGTATTTCTAGTTCTAGACCTCTGAGGAATCGCCACACTGACTTCCACAATGGTTGAACTAGTTTACAGTCCCACCAACAGTGTAAAAGTGTTCCCATTTCTCCACATCTTCTCCAGCACCTGTTGTTTCCTGACTTTTTAATGATTGCCATTCTAACTGGTGTGAGATAGTATCTCATTGTGGTTTTGATTTGCATTTCTCTGATGGCCAGAGATGGTGAGCATTTTTTCATGTGTTTTTTGGCTGCATAAATGTCTTCTTTTGAGAAGTGTCTGTTCATGTCCTTCGCCCACTTTTTGATGGGGTTGTTTGTTTTTTTCTTCTTTTTACTCTGTGTTCTCAATAGGCTAATAATCCTTAGTAGAGTATACAAAATTTGTTTAGAAAGCAAAACTTCAAACATTTCTTGGGTACCACAATGGTTTTGTAAGAATTCAACATCAATTGAAATATTAAAACCAGCCAGGAACCGTGGCTCACTCCTGTAATCCCAGCACTTTGGGAGGCCGAGGCGGGCAGATCACGAGGTCAGGAGATCGAGACTATCGTGGCTAACACAGTGAAACCTCGTCTCTACTAAAAATACAAAAAAATTAGCCAGGTGTGGTGTTGGGTGCCTGTAGTCCCAGCTACTCAGGAGGCTGAGGCAGGAGAATGGTGTGAACCCAGGAGGCGGACTTGCAGTGAGCCGAGATTGTGGCACTGCACTCCAGCCTGGGCAACAGAGCAAGACTCCGTCTCAAAAAAAAAAAAAAAACCAATAGTGAAAGTCTCATCACCACTCTTTCTCTCTCTACAGTCCAATATTTAGTAAAAGGAGATTATCTATGTTAAGAATTAGTCAATATTCTATGAATTTCTCCATGAGCCTTGCTCAGTGTAGACATTGTTTATTTTGATTTACTTTAGTAAAAACATTTAATCATCACATTAATTATAAATGTTAACATTCATGTAATCAAATGAAAATAATTTAAATTGCTTTAAGTGTCATCTATCATAGTTTCATTTTCTAAAAGTGAGTTTGCCCAAAAACACCCAAACTATGAGTTAGGACTTCCAAAGAAAGCCCATTCTAGAGAAAGTTCAAAGGGCTGATGTACTTGATGAATTCACTGTCTGCTTAAACAATGAGAGAATTAGTCCTTGCTCTGACCTCTAGGGGAAGCAGGTATGTTTGTTTTAATAACTCCATCTTGGTGTTTATCACCAGCCTGCATCTTATGTATCTATTTCCTGTCTCCTTCTTTTTTTAAAATCTGCAAATTATTGCCATGCATTTTTACTGGAAGTAAAAAAGATAACCAATATACATTCAGAATCTCACTGTTTCTACATGTCTTTGAAGAAGCCACTAGTCAGCCAAAACTGGCAGGTTTAAATAGCAGTGCTGATAACAAATTATAATATATACATTGATTAAAAATAAAACATTTTATGTAAAACATAACTAAATGAAAATCATATTATTCTGATCATGAGGGAAATAGTAATATATAATTTTGGTCAACTAGCATCTGAAAATGTGTATCTAGTTACAGTAAGAAGCAGAAGAGCCACTGTTCTGCTTCGGTTCTACAAATTGAACTTGTTTTTAAAATATAAACTTGGATTAGTTTAATCCACAGGGGATAAAAGAGAAAATAATTTATAACATGGTAAAGTAATGAAAATTATGTTATTCCTTTGCTAAATTTAGCATCTGTGATTAGTCTGACATTTAATCTAATAATGACTTATTAGAAAGTAAAAAAATAACAGATTTTGGTGAGGTTGTGGAGAAAAAGGAAATGCTTATACATTGTTGATGAGAATGTAAATTAGTTCAGCCACTGTGGAAAGCAGTTTGGATATTTCTCAAATACCTTAGAACAGAACTACCATTCACCCAGCACTCTCATTACTGGGTATATACTCAAAAGAAAATAAATTGTTTTACCAAAAATATATGCATTTGCATTTAATCACAGCACTATTCACAACAGCAAAGACATATAATCAACCTAGGTGCCTGTTAACAGTGGACCAGAAAAAGAAAATATGGTTCATATAAACCATAGAATAGTATGCAGCCATAAGAAAGAATGAAATCATTTCCTCTGCAGCAACATGCATGTAGCTGGAAGCCATTATCCTAAGTGAATTAATGCAGGAACAGAAAAACCATATACTGCATGTTCTCACTTATATGTGGGAGCTAAACATTGAGTACACACAGACGGAAACAACAGACTCTGGGATGGGAATAATAGACACTGGAGACATATAGAGGGAGGATGATGGGCAATGGGTAAGGGTTGAAAGATTACCTATTGTGTAGTATGCTAACTACCTAGGTGATAAGATCATCTGTACCCCAAATATCAGCAACACACAATTTATCCATGTAATAAATCTGCACATGTACCTCCTGAAACTAAAAGTTGAAAAAAAAGAAAATGAGAATCACTGAGTTATTTTAATATTTAATTTGCTTACTTATATTTTAATTTTCATAGTTTGAGTATTTGTTTTAATTCAGAAAACATTTAGGGATAGTCTACGACTATATCACCCTGAATGCAGCTGATTTTAGAAGCTAAGCAAGGTCAGGCCTGGTTAGTACTTGGATGGGAGAAAACAGTTGTGAATGACCAAATGAGATAAATGGCTAAATCAATTGATTCTTTTTTATTTCCCTTTACTCTCCACTTGTATTCTTGACTGAACACATATAACCTCTTAGTTAATGGAATTGTCTAGCCATACTGCTAATATATTCACTTTTTATAATTTTGCCACCCAAGTACTATCCCTTATTTTCTAAACCCACTAGCGCTTTTTAACCTACATCTAAAAGGGTTCTTTTTCTATTTTATTAACTTGATAAATATATCAGAACAAAGTTTTCTTGCACTTATAATGTTGAGAATATTTCTATTGAATATACAAGTGTATTACAATATTTATAGTGGTTATTTTGGCAGCAAATATAATTTTTTGCTTTCCAAACATTTTTCTTGGTGATAAGTGAACATTATCCATAGATTAATCCATATATGGCTTAACACTTTCATGAAAAGGAAACATAACAAAAACTTATGACCAATAGAAGCCATGCAGCCCTTGTTGTTATAAAAATAACTGTCAGTTATACCTTTCCACATATGCCAACTACTATTTTAGTGCTTTTGTAGAAATGTATTACTTGTTACCAAACATATGCCCACAGTACTGGACATCCTATTCTTTTCATTCTTAAATAAGCAACGAGTTAAAAGAAGTGTAGTAATGCTACATCTTTTAGCCACCTGAAAGGCACTGAAAGAGCTAGGTCCTCCAGTCATAAGCCATTCATCCCATTCTCAGACTGGGATGAAAATGCTAGAGAGTTACAAATGCTATTTGATCCAGAGAGAGAGAGAAATAAAATGCTATTTGATCCAATTTAATTCAGTTATTTTGTATTCCTTTTTAGTAAACTGTTAATTGTATAACATGTAATACTCAAAAATTAAAATTTTTTATTTGAAGTTTAACTGTGCCTTAAGGAGATCTGTTTTCTTTTGCTTTGTTTAACTTATTTTTAGCACTGATTTTAAAATGAACATTTTTTAAAATATTTAATCTTTGGCCATGTACACAAATTGTCATAATGAATGATTTTATCCATAACAATGTATTTTAATCCATTTAAATATAGACTTAGCTGGATATTTTTAAAAATATGCTTACAAAAATTCAAAAAAGCCTAAACAGTAATAAATATAATTTTATGGTCTTAATTTTCTTATTTTACATATTAAACTAAAAAAAATTACTGTGTGAGACTCCTCAAGAATTTCTCCTGTTAGTATTTGGAGATTAAAGGTGCATAATTTTGAAAAACAATTTCATACCTACTATGCAGATTCAATTACTGCCTGAAAGCAGATGCTAAAGATGATAATTTTAATCTTTTATAAAGTAGTCAACTACACAGTTCTACCAATTATATTTAATAGAGAAAAATAATTTCATTGACACTAAGTCTTCTTTACCATTCTTCCAAAGTAAAGTTCTGTGGTCCATATTGGTTTGGGTAACTTTATAGTTACCAGAAAATGGGGTAATTCTAAAGAATAGAATTTCATTAATGAACATGCATAGCACCTGTATGTATACGATTAAATGCATAAATATATTTCATATATGTTACCCTTTAGAACCTCCTACCAATCTGTGAGGTTAAAGATTGGGTATTATTTTATTTTTACAGGAAAAAATCCATGTTCAAAAGAGTTAGGAGTGTATTTCCCTATTAAATGCTGAGGCCAGGACTAGAATTTAAATGTTGGCATTTCAGGTTTTCCTTTTAACTTAGATATTTAAGCCAAATAATGTATTCTGAATATCTGATGAGCTATTAAGCCATGAAATTGAAATATAGAATAGATTTTCTTTTTTCTCTTCTGGTGCTCCAGAACTAGAATGTGGTATAAATATGTTCATTTGCATCTGTGTACGTCTCTTTTCTCTCTCTCTCTCTCCCCCTCTCTCTATGTGTGTGTGTGTATGTATGTGATGTTTACTAATAATTGTCATAAAAATAAAAGAGAAGGAAAAGGAAGCTAGGATTAAATTTCTGAATCAAATCTAAACGGAAGATATTAGGTTGGTGCAAAACCGCAATTACTTTTGCACCAACCTAGTGGAAGTGAGCCGAAAGTGTCAGCTCAATGTGGGAAGACATATAGAATACAAGTGTCAAGGATGTAAGAGCCAGTAAAATAGTCAGGAGGCAGTTTGCATGTGTGTGAAATATCAGAGGAAAGCACTGGGTACAGGAAGATATGCATTTAAAAGCCAAGGAAACACAAACATAAAGGATTGTTGGTTGCTCAGAGACTGTCTACAAAACACAGATTGCAAAGGGACAAGAAAGAAAGCACTCCAGCCAGGAGCCCAACAACATGAGATTCAGGAAAATAAGCAAGAGGTCTGCACAGTAATGGTAGGAGTTTTGTACAGTAACCAAATTATGACACAAAATACTACACTAAAAGAAAAAAAAATACATCTGGACCCTGGGAAACATTTTTGATTTTATCTAGAAACTTTCTAGAAAGTTAACATTTTAAAATAATTATAAAAGCATGGGGTGAACAGTAAGAACATATGCCAGACTGCAGCCAGCTTAAAGCTTCAGAAATAAGTGAAATCATTGGTATATCATTTGGGGATAAAAGAGAGAGGTAAGAGTATAGTATAGCAGATAGAAGAAAGTGCCATAAAATAATGTGTTAAACTGGGTGTATTAGTAAACTCACTTGCACATGTATGAATGCTTCAAATTAGAGAGAGGGAAAAGAATGAATACTAGGCACCAAAAAGCTAAGCAACTTTGCTCTTATCCACTCTTGGACTAACTCATTTGGCTAATAGTTATTTGACTAATTTTACTCATGGACCTATTGAACTCATGCATCAAGAACTCATGAACTCATCATAGAGACAATAAATGCACGTGGAGACAAAAATCTATGTCTGCAAACCATAATTACAGAATTTTATAATATATTTCTCATCTTTTGTGCCTTTCTGATTGAAGAAAATACAATAATGTCAATGACACTTGAATTAATTAAATTGTATTTTTCATATATGTTCATCTTCTCTCTTTCTGTAGGAATCAAATACTTTCTATATGTCCATATCTTCAAAATGGTCACAGGTAAAATTATAACTTTTTTCAGACTATCTTTATTTCAAATAGCTTTTGAAAACTACCAGATGGATATAAGAAACAGCTCAATAATAATCTGAGTTTGTTTTGTTAGAATTCATCAGCACTTGGGAACTTGAAATTTTGTTTCTTAAATATTTTTGTTGGCCTATGCAGCAATCATGGCAGGAAACCTCACTGCAATCGCTGTAACCTCCAATCCTCCCCTTTGCTCAACACCTATGTACTTCCTCCTTGGAAATCTCTCCTTTCTCAGTATGTTTATTTCCACAGTCACAATCTCTAAGATGGTCCAGACGTTCTCAGGGAGAATAAAACCACTTCCTCATGGGGCTGTATGGCTCAGATCTCCACTTCTTAGGAGGCAGTGAGATGACTCTTCTCATATTTATGGCTGTTGATCAGCACATTGCAATATGCAGACCTCTTCACTGCAGAACCATCACGAACTGCAGGGTACTCATGGCCACTCATGGGCTCTGTGCTGCTATCACGGGCTGTTGGTTTTGTGCATACTATAAGCCAGATTGTTTTTATTATCACCTTGCCCTTCTGTGGCCCCAGTGTGGTGGACAATTTATTTTGAGACCTTCCTCTAGTTCTGAAGCTTGCCTGCACTGAGACTTATGATCTGGAGTTGCTGGTAATTGCTAAAAGTGGACAGTTGTCTTTCATCTGCTTCATAGTCTTGCTCATTTTCTACACTATTATTCTGGTAACTGTGCAGCATCGATCCTCTGATGCACTCTCCAAGGCTCTGTCCACACTGTCTGCTCATATCACTGCAGTCACTCTATTTTTATGAGCCATGTGTCTACATTTACACTTGGCCATTTAGGAGCTTTTCAGTGGATACATTTCTTTCTGTGTTTTATTCAGTTACACCCTTACTGAACCCCATTACTTACAGTCTGAGATGAAAGCATCTATACATCAACTGAGGACCCAACACATCATCTCCAGACAAACCTTCTCTAATCAGCAATCATGAGGACAGGATATTAGTTCAGAACCCATATAAATTACGTTTCAGAATATGTTGATATTAATTTTATTTGTTGATTTCTATAAATAATATTGCATATATTGAAATTATCAAATATAATTTTTCATTATTATATTTCTATGGCATGTGTGGTTTTGTTGAAAATATAATTATCAGCCTGGGAACTCCATTACTGGGTATATACCCAAAGGAATATAAGCCATTCTATTATAAAGATACATGCATGCATATGTTCATTGCAGCACTATTGACAATAACAAAGACATGGAGTCAACCTAATTTCCCATCAATGAGAGACTGGGATTTAAAAAATGTGGTATATATACACCATAGGATACTATAGAGCCATAAAAAAGCAATGAGATCATGTCCTTTGTAAGGACATGGATGGAGATGGAGGCCATTATCCTTAGCAAACTAACACAGGAACAGAAAACCAAACACTGCATGTTCTCACTTAAAAGCAAAAGAGAACACATGGACACATAGAGGGGAACAACACACACTGGGCCTTTTGGAGGGTGGAGGGTGGGAGGAGGGAGAAAATCAGGAAACAAAACTAATGAGTACTAGGCTTAATACCTGAGTGATGGAATAATCTGTACAACAAACCCCCATGACATAAGTTCACCTATGAAACAAACCTGCACTTGTACCCCGACCTTAAAATATTTTTGAAAAAAAAAGCATAGTTATTTTCATTAACTTTCAATTCAAATTTGGGTTAATAAATTACTTTCAAAATATAATAAAAAGTTAACTAGAAAAACTGGCTTCTTAACTATATTTAGAGACTCCATGTATCTAAGACTTTCCTTAAATAAGAGAAATCAAATATAAATTTGTCTACTTTTAACTAGTAATCTTTCAGCCAAATTCTCTAAATGACCAAATGTAAACAAAGTTGTGTGAACTCTTATAAACCCACAAGCATGAACACACACACTTACATTTTTGTGCCCCTAATATGTGAAAGGATTATTATTTTTTAACAAGGCAGACAGGCTAGTTTTTATGAGTATATAGATGCATATAGTTACTGTAATCCACTGACATGAAGCATACACTTCTTCACTCTAAAGAGAAATTTCACCTGACAAAAAATTACACATAGAACATTTTAATCTTTCATGTTTTTGTTCATATTTTCTCTCATATATCTCTCCAGAAACAAGTAAGAACATTATTATTCTGCCAATTCACATGAGTAAAGAATAAATTAAGAAGCCTATATATTTTCCAGGCATTCCCTTCACAACAAAACAAAGTTTTCAATCTGATTAAGTTGCATAAAGAAAGCTTTAAAGTGTACTAAATTATAAAGTTAGATCTACGGTCCATGGACATTAGAATAAATACACATTCTATGACCTGTTTGGCATCAAATTCAAAATGCTCTGCTTTTACCCAAACATCTACTGACCCCTTAGAGGATTCTACCCGGTATTTCCTCACTGTCTCCTAAGTAATATGTATGCTATGTTAACTAGAGCTAAAAGGTGCCTTAAAGATGTATTCATAGCCATATGTGTATGGTATATTTTAAATTAAATGTTTTTTAAAAAATCATTGAGACACATTGGTACTGGGTCCCTTGGAATCACTGGACATATTTATATCTATTTCTTATCAACTATTTAAATTATAAGGTTAAATGTAGATACTGACATAACACATAATTTTTTGAATTTTTAAACATTTTGACACATTTGTATCAGATTCTCTTTTACCACCAAAGTGGATTATTAGAGATAATAAAGAACCTAAGCAACCCTCCATATTCAATTATTTTATCTTGGCAAAGATAACCACTATCATCAGCTCCATGGCATCATTTACTTTTATGTTTTTAAAATTATTATTATTTTGAGACGGAGTCTGGCTCTGTCGCCAAGGCTAGAGTGCAGTGGCACAATCTCGACTCACTGCAACCTCAGCCTGCCAGATTCAAGCAATTCTCCTGTCTCAGCCTCTCGAGTAGCTGGGATTACAGGCATGCACCACCACACCCAGCTAATTTTTGTATTTTTAGTAGAGACAAGGTTTCACCATGTTGGCCAGGCTTGTCTTGAACTCCTGACCTCAAATGATCCGCCTGCCTCTGCCTCCCAAAATGCTGAAATTACAGGTGTGAGCCACCACGACCAGCCTAAAATTATTTTTCTGATGTATGCATGCATTGTGCATAAAATGTTATGTCACATATTTTTGAACTTGATTTAACTGAAATCTAGATAAATGCTTTTATCTAAAAATTTATTTTCACTTAATCTTATGTTTAAAATATTTATCTGTTCAGAAATGTGCCATTCTGCTTCGTTCATTTTAGCAGCTATAGGGTCTTGTATGGATATGCTAAAATGTGATTAAGTCTCCTCTTTTTTGGAGACATTTATAATCTTTATAATTGTTTAGCCTAATAAATACGGTTTAGTTGAACATACTTATATATGTTTCTTTGGGTACACACGTGATAATTTCTCTAGGGTATGTACTTAGAACTGGAAATGCTGAATTATATTTTATCTTTAAATGTAAATGTGTAATATAAATATTTACATTTTAATTTTATTAGAAATTGCCAAATTTCCATACAAAGTTGTAGATATGCATACTCTTGAGGAGTCCTAATTTTTCCATGACCTTCTTATTGTGATTGCAGGATTTTTAAGTTACCCCCTTAATTTCACTAAATGCTACTGAGTGTCTCCAGAACGACTTAACCAGTCTACTTGCAATTGCAGAGCAATAGTTCCCATCACTTTATAAAATTTAGCTTTCATCATTTTTCTAAATTTTGTTTTGCCGTGTAAATAATACTTTGTTGCTTTAATTTGTTTTATTGTTGTTGTTGTTGTTTGTTGGTTTAGATTACCAGTGAGTTTGGAACCTGTCTCTCATATCTATTAGCTATTCGAGCTTCAGTTCTGTGATTTGTTCTTTCATGACCTTCATCACTTAAAATGTGTTTTCTGTACTTTTCTTGTTATTTGAATCCTGTAGATCTGCACTGTCCAATATGGTATCTATTATCATATGTGGCCATTTAGATGGTAATTTAAATACATATTTAAAAAGTAAAATTGACATTTTAGTTCACTAACATTAGCCTCTTTTCAAGTGTTCAGTAGCCATAGAGGCTACTATGAGATAAGACCAATTTAGAACATTCCCATCCTTGTAGAAATTCTTTTTGACAAATAATCTTGTCAATTTATTACATTTTTTTTAATCTACTACTGTTTGTTAATTTTGCCCCTAGTATTCGTCTTTGGATAGAATGTTTATAGTGTCATTATTTATTAAAATGTTTCTTTTTATTCATTTTTAAAAGATTTGTTTATAGATGTTCTTCTCTTAACTTAGGTTGCAAAGATATTTTATTCTATTATTATTCTATTATATTTTTGCATTTTGTTGTTAAATGTTTCTAAATACACATTTGTATACAAGGAAGGTAGCAACCTAACTTTATCTCCTTTTAGTAAACCACTATTTCCAACAACATCACCAATTTGATCTTGATCGCTTTGATTGGTCATCATATATCATATATGTCTGTGTGTGTATCTCAGCTAAGATATGTGTACATAATCATATATGACCTGTGTTTTCTATTCAGTGCCATTTATATGTCTTCTGTTTTATTATTATATTATTTTTATTACTATCACTTTGTAGGTGATTTAATATTTAGCTGATATGTTCATCTTTTTCATTATTCTACTCAAAGTTGACATAGCAAAGAATGTATCTTTAAATATGTTCGTTTTACTATAATTTTTTAAAAGGTAGATAAATTGTTATTAGTATATACATTTGGGGTAATATTGGCATCATTGCCATGCTATGCCATCTCATATACCAGCATGAGCATGAGCATATTCTTCCATTTATTCAAATAACAATTTATATCCTCTAACAGAGTTTCAAAAGTTTCTCCTTAATATTCCCCCTTTATTTTCAACTTGCAAATATTATTTTGCTTTAAGTTTGCCTGTTATAGGTAATTAATGGGACTTCTATTTTGCTATAATATAAATATTATTTAATATGAGTTTTATATGTTTACATAAAGATATATAATACAGATATACATTTATGATATTCATATATATGTGGCTGTATACACAGCATATAAAATTGTATTTCTATACATATTATATTGTTAATTTCATGTATCCACTTGGCTGTCCCATGATGCCCAGGTATTTGGTCAAACATTACTCTGGATATTTCCGTGAGGATGTCTTTTGGAGGACATTAACATTTAAATTAATTGACTTTGAATAAAGCAGACGACTCTCCATAATTTGAGTGGCCCTCATCCAAACAGTTAAAGGCCTTATTAGAACAAAGACTGACCTTCCCTGAGAATCCTGCCTTTACATTCAAACCACAGCTCTTCCCTCAGTTGCCAACCTGCAGACCTAGCCCATCAGATTTTGGACTCATGGAGTCTCCACAATCACATGAGCCAGTGAGTCAATTCCTCAGATATCTCTCTGTGTCCGTCTGTCTGTCTGTCTCTCTTTGTATACACCACATACACATATATAATTTTATGTCAGAACTGTGAGAGTAACTTAAACACATGATGCCCTTTTACCCCTTCCTCAGTGTGTATTGCCTAAAACTCTGTAACTTTTTAAATCAGAAAATTTACATTAATATTTTAAATGAATATCTAATCTATAGCCCTTATTAAATTGAGAGGTGTCAGCATGCTGGCAGCCCTTGCTCGCTCTCGGTGCCTCCTCGGCCTCGGCGCCCACTCTGGCCGTGCTTGAGGAGCCCTTCAGCCCGCCTCTGCACTGTGGGAGCCCCTGTCTGGGCTGGCCAATGCCAGAGCTGGCTCCCTCAGCTTGTGGGGAGGTGTGGAGGGAGACGGGGCGGGGGGAGGGTGGGAGGGAACCGGGGCTGTGCCCTACGCTCGCGGGCCAGAGTGACTTCTGGGTGGGCATGGGCTTGGCGGGCCCTGCACTCAGAGTGGCCAGCCCGCACCGCCGCCCCGGGCAGTGAGGGGCTTCGCACCTGGGCCAGCAGCTGCAGCAGGTGCTCCAGGTCCCCCAGCAGTGCTGGCCCACCGTTGCTGTGCTCTAATTCTCGCCAGGCCTCAGCTGCCTCCCCATGGGGCAGGGCTCGGGACCTGCAGCCTGCCATGCCTAAGCCTCCCCGAGCCCCCCACACCATTCCCCCCACTCCCCCCACTCACCCGCTCCCCTGCTCCTGCTCCACGGCACACAGTCCCATCGACCGCCCAAGGGCTGAGGAGTGCGGGCGCACAGCGTGGGACTGGCGGGCAGCTCCACCTGCAGCTGGGTGCGGGATCCACTAGGTGAAGCCAGCTGGGCTCCTGAGTCTAGTGGGGACTTGGAGAACCTTTATGTCTAGCTCAGGGTTTGTAAATACACCAATCAGCACTCTGTGTCTAGCTCAAGATTTGTAAATGCACCAATCAGCATTCTGTACCTAGCTAATCTAGTGGGGACTTGGAGAACCTTTATGTCTAGCTCAGGGATTGTAAACGCACCAATCAGCACCTTGTCAAAACAGACTAATCGGCTCTGTAAAATGCACCAATCAGCAGGATATGGGTGGGGCCAGATAAAGGAATAAAAGCATGCTGCCCAAGCCAGCAGTGGCAACCTGCTGGGGTCCCCTTCCACACAGCGGGAGCTTTGTTCTTTTGCTCTTTGCAATAAATCTTGCTGCTGCTCACTCTTTGGGTCCGCACTGCTTTTATGAGCTGTAACACCGAGAAGGTCTGCAGCTTCACTCCTGAGCCAGAGAGACCACGAACCCACCAGAAGGAAGAAACTCCAGACACACTGCCTTTAAGAACTGTAACACTCACCGCAAGGGTCTGCGGCTTCATTCTTGAAGTCAGTGAGAAAAAGAACCCACCAATTCCGGACACAAAATGTTGTTGTCAATTACATAAATAAAACCCTTTTAAAAAAGAAAAAATATCTGGTCCAGGTTCACAAATTACATTTCATTGCCATATCTCTTTATTATACGTTAATATTCAACAATTCCTCGATTTTTCCTTAACACTTATGACATTGACATTTTTTATAAGTGCAGACAATGGAATTTGTAGAATCTGTACATTTGAGTTTGTCAGTGTTCCTTCATGATTAGATTCAAACTTTTCATCTGGGGTAGTTTCTGGTGACGTGTTCTTCTCAGGGGTTTATATCAGGAGTATATGATGTTGATTTGTCCCATTGCTTGTAGTAACAAGTTTGATAACTTCAGTAAGGTGTTTTCTGCCAGGTATCACCCTTAAAGTTACTATTTTTCCTTTGTAATTCACAAGTGCTATTCAGCTAAATATTTTGAGACTGTATAAATACTATGTTCCTTATAAAAATTGTATTCACTAGTTTTAGTAGCCATGGATGGTTCCTGCTTGAATTAATTATTAAAATGATGATTTCCAAATGGTTCTTTTCTAATTCCATAATTTGATTTATATTTATCAGTTATTACTCTACAAAGAAAGAGTTTTAATTTTATCGTATTTATTTATTTACTCATATATCCATTTATATCTGCATGGACTTTTTCCTGTTTTTCTACAGTTCAGAATCTGTTACCAAAATTATTACAATGCTCAAATTGTTCTATATTTGGATAGTAGGTTCCCATTCAAGTTGGCATGTCAAAAGTCTCCCCTTGTTGAACCAAAGTTACTTAACTGCACAAAAAGACGTTCCAGACTTATTTTGTACTTTCCCCACCCCAGTCCTGAAGTTAGCTATGTCTCTAAGGAATACTAGTTTCTTGCAGTGGATAATGTTTATTTGAAACCAAGGTTCTGGAACTTGAGATCATTGCTACTGTGATGTCACTTCTTCTAGATCCACTTAGAGGAGAGAGTTAAAAAAAAATATGAGTGTTTGTATGTGTGTGTGTATATATATGTGTGTGTGTGTATACACATATTTTTTCCTAATTTATATATATATTTGAATGCATATAAAATATATAAATAAAAGTATAATTTATATATAACCGGTCACCCACATTGATAACTCCAGTTCCAATTCAAGAACACAGGTTTTATTATAACCTCCCTCTTCGACATCTGCAATTCCCTTTTCCAGCACTGAAAAAGTGAAACCCTTTATTCACTATACCCTTCCTATTTGCTAAATTCCAGACTACACAGAATGTTATAGAATCTACATTCTTGTGATATATAGTCAAAATACTTCAGTCAAAAGTTATTTGGGTTAATTCAACACTATTCTTTTTCAGTGTGGTTATGTTATCCATTTGAAATACAATTAGGTTTATTTGATTCTCTTAATTTTTCATTTTAGGGTATTTCTCTTTGTTGAATATATATGTAGCATATATATTCAACAAAGGATATATATATATATTTATTTATACACAAAATAACACATATATTATATGTGTGTGTGCCTGTGAAGTATTAATATGGTTTCAAAAGTCAAAATTTCAGCAAAATGTATACTCATAGCAAAAACACTACTCTCCTCACAGCAATAACACTACCCTCCTATACTTTTTAAAGCATTCCAGTTCCCAGTCCTTTCCATCCCATTGCCACTTACCACTCGTAAGCAATCAGTCTCATTATTTTGTGTTTTGTTTTCTGAGTTTTGTTTTGAACAAATGTCCAGATATATGGCTTTCCCCTTTTGTCTTATACTAAACTAGCTTACTGTAATTATCTTGCTCTTTTTGTTTAACAGTGTTTCCTGGAAATATCAGGTCATGTGAACTTCATACAGGTCATAGAGATCTTCATTCTTCATTACAGCTGCATGTATCAAATATTATTTTAAAAATAATATGAAAGATAAATTAAAAAAGAACACACTTCAAATGCTCTCTGGATTTTATTACAAAAACTTGGTAAATGTTCTTTCCATGTCTAATCACTGTTTCTATCTGCTTCAGCAAGATGGTCTCATACATCTTGTTCTAGTTGCTCAGATCATTCACCTTCTCATTTCTGCATCTTTGCTTGGTTGGGTTTCAGTTAAAGAGCCTTATACCCTCATCACTTGCTAGCAACTTGGCGGAAGAAAATCAGTCAGTTCTTGTTATTTTTCATAGATTAAGTTATGAGTATTTTATATAATTAATTTCTCACTACTCTGGTGGTGAGGCTTTACTCTGTAATTGATTAAAAATACAAACACTGAAAACTGCTTCCCATCTGTCCCATTCTTTCTTAGGAAGATTGGACAAAGAGAGGTTGGACCACATTCAACTTTCATGCACATAACCTGATCACATCTTATGAAATGTTTCTTTTACATGTCAAGTCATTGGTAATGATCGTATATGTAGAGATGTCCATCTTTTATGGCTTCTTTAAAAGCTTTTGAACATCGTCTTTATATTTTGATAATCCTACTAGAGTAACCCTGCCTCGTCAATAAAAAATAATAATGGTAATAAAATATTGTATTTCCCATTCATCCTCATTAGTGAAGTGTAGATATATGACAGCTTCATATACCATCAGATATATATACCTGTCAGAGACTTTTATTTCAAAGGGAGCCATGTAAGTGATAAGTCTGAGAGTGCAAATTCATTTTGCTAGCACCACTAGCAGCCCAAAGCCTGCATAATTGGAGGTTTGGCATTGTCAGTGGCATTTTTGCCTATCATGGCAGAGACAGAGTGAATATGGGGTCAGCAGTGAGAGGAGCTTTGCAATGAAGTTTGGGGCCATGTTCCATCAGCTTAGGTCTGGTTGTCTAGTACTTTTTAGAATTGCCACCACCCTTAAAATTTCTGCAAATTTTTTAAAGATCCCCTTTAATCCTTCCTTATAAAATGAGGTATATTAGATTCTGTGGACTGCAAGCAAAAATAATATGGTAAAACAGGGCACAATTTAAAAATTTACTTGGTAGTTGTATGCTTCTATTCTCTACATCCCCATTATTAAAGCTATACAAACTACCCCTCGTGAATAAAATAGATTTTTTGTTGTTCCAGGTGGTTTCCTTGAGGAAAACTGCTATTATATGTTCAGAAGAAGGAACACTGTCATATGGCAAATAATGAGAGTCTCTTGCAACCTAGTTTCCTAAAAAGTTTTTGAGGGTGTCCTAAAAATGGGAACACTTACACTTTTGTGTACACTTGAAATGTTTTTGCAACAATGAGCATATTGTACTTTACTGTTCATAAAATGGATATAGAGACATGGTGTGAAACAGAGGCTTAAAGACATTGTCTTTTGTAACAGAACAATGAAGAGTCTAATACATGGCTTCTTATTTGTCCTCTGACAGGAAACATTACTTTGGAGCATTGTGTTCTTCAAATTAATGTAGTTACAAAAGAGATATACAGCCAAGATGGCCGAATAGGAACAGCTCCAGTCTACAGCTCCCAGCGTGAGTGACGCAGAAGACGGGTGATTTCTGCATTTCCATCTGAGGTACCGGGTTCATCTCACTAGGGAGTACAAGACAGTGGGCACAGGAGAGTGGGTGCAGTGCACCATGTGCGAGCTGAAGCAGGGCGAGGCATTGCCTCACTTGGGAAGCACAAGGGGTCACAGAGTTCCCTTTCCTTGTCAAAGAAAGGGGTGACAGACGGCACTTGGAAAATCGGGTCACTCCCACCCTAATACTGCACTTTTCCGATGGGCTTAAAAAACAGCGCACCAGGAGATTATATCCTGCACCTAACTTAGATGGTCCTATGCCCACAGAGTCTCGCTGATTGCTAGCACAGCAGTCTGAGATCAAACTGCAAGGTGGCAGTGAGGCTGGGGGAGGGGCGCCGGCCATTGCCCAGGCTTGCTTAGGTAAACAAAGCAGCCCAGAAGCTCCAACTGGGTGGAGCCCACCACAGCTCAAGGAGGCCTGCCTGCCTCTGTAGGCTCCACCTCTGGAGGCAGGGCACAGACAAACAAAAAGACAGCAGTAACCTCGGCAGACTTAAATGCCCCTGTCTGACAGCTTTGAAGAGAGTAGTGGTTCTCCCAGCACGCAGCTGGAGATCTGAGAACGGGCAGACTGCCTCCTCAAGTGGGTCCCTGACCCCTGACCCCTGAGCAGCCTAAATGGGAGGCACCCCCCAGTAGGGGCAGACTGACACCTCACACGGCCGGGTACTCCTCTGAGACAAAATTTCCAGAGGAACGATCACAGAGCAGCATTTGCGGTTCACGAAAATCTGCTATTCTGCAGCCACCGCTGCTGTTACCCAGGTAAACAGCGTCTGGAGTGGACCTCTAGCAAACTCCAACAGACCTACAGCTGAGGGTCCTGTCTGTTAGAAGGAAAATGAACAAACAGAAAGGACATCCACAACAAAAACCCATCTGTACATCACCATCATCAAAGACCAAAAGTAGATAAAACCACAAAGATGGGGAAAAAACAGAGCAGAAAAACTGGAAACTCTAAAAAGCAGAGCACCTCTCCTCCTCCAAAGGAATGCAGTTCCTCACCAGCAACGGAACAAAGCTGGATGGAGAATGACTTTGATGAGTTAAGAGAAGAAGGCTTCTGATGATCAAACTACTCCGAGCTACAGGAGGAAATTCTAACCAAAGGCAAAGAAGTTAAAAACTTTGAAAAAAATTTAGAAGAATATATAACTAGAATAACCAATACAGAGAAGTGCTTAAAGGAGCTGATGGAGCTGAAAGCCAAGGCTTGAGAACGATGTGAAGAATGCAGGAGCCTCAGGAGCTGATGCAATCAACTGGAAGAAAGGGTATCAGTGATGGAAGACGAAATGAATGAAATGAAGCAAGAAGGGAAGTTTAGAGAAAAAAAGAATAAAAAGAAACAAACAAATCCTCCAAGAAATATGGGACTATGTGAAAACACCAAACCTACGTATGATAGGTATACCCAAAAGTGACAGGGAGAATGGAACCAAGTTGGAAAACACTCTGCAGGATATTATCCAGGAGAACTTCCCCAATCTAGCAAGGCAGGCCAACATTCAGATTCAGGAAATACAGAGAACACCACAAAGATACTCCTCGAGAAGAGCAACTCCAAGACACATAATTGTCAGATTCACCAAAGTTGAAATGAAGGAAAAAATGTTAAGGGCAACCAGAGAGAAAGGTTGGGTTACCCACAAAGAGAAGCCCATCAGACTAACAGCGGATCTCTCGGCAGAAACTCTACAAGCCAGAAGAGAGTGGGGGCCAATATTCAACATTCTTAAAGAAAAGAATTTTCAACCCAGAATTTCATATCCAGCCAAACTAAGCTTCATAAGTGAAGGAGAAATAAAATACTTTACAGACAAGCAAATGCTAAGAGATGTTGTCACCATCAGGCCTGCCCTACAAGAGCTCCTGAAGGAAGCACTAAACATGGAAAGGAACAAACGGTACCAGCCACTGCAAAATCATGCCAAATTATAAAGACCATCGAGACTAGGAAGAAACTGCATCAACTAACGAGCAAAATAACCAGCCAACATCATAATGACAGGATCAAATTCACACATAACAATATTAACTTTAAATGTAAATGGACTAAATGCTCCAATTAAAAGACTACAGACTGGCAAATTGGATAAAGAGTCAAGACCCATCAGTGTGCTGTATTCAGGAAACTCATCTCATGTGCAGAGACACACATAGGCTCAAAATAAAAGGATGGAGGAAGATCTACCAAGCAAATGGAAAACAAAAAAAGGCAGGGGTTGCAATCTTAGTCTCTGATAAAACAGACTTTAAACCAACAAAGATCAAAAGAGACAAAGAAAGCCATTACATAATGGTAAAGAGATCAATTCAACAAGAAGAGCTAACTATCCTAAATATATATGCACCCAATACAGGAGCACCCAGATTCATAAAGCAAGTCCTGAGTGACCTACAAAGAGACTTAGACTCCCACACATTAATAATGGGAGACTTTAACACCCCACTGCCAACATTAGACAGATCAACAAGACAGAAAGTTAACAAGGATACCCAGGAATTGAACTCAGCTCTGCACCAAGCGGACCTAATAGACATCTACAGAACTCTCCACCCCAAATCAACAGAATATACATTTTTTTCAGCACCACACCACACCTATTCCAAAACTGACCACATAGTTGGAAGTAAAGCTCTCCTCAGCAAATGTAAAAGAACAGAAATTATAACAAGCTGTCTGTCAGACCACAGTGCAATCAAACGAGAACGCAGGATTAAGAAACTCACTCAAAACCAGTCAACTACATGGAAACTGAACAACCTGCTCCTGAATGACTACTGGGTACATAACGAAATGAAGGCAGAAATAAAGATGTTCTTTGAAACCAACGAGAACAAAGACACAACAGACCAGAATCTCTGGGACACATTCAAAGCAGTGTGTAGAGGGAAATTGATAGCACTAAATGCCCACAAGAGAAAGCAGGAAAGATCCAAAATTGACACCCTAACATCACAATTAAAAGAACTAGAAAAGCAAGAACAAACACATTCAAAAGCTAGCAGAAAGCAAGAAATAACTAAAATCAGAGCAGAACTGAAGGAAATAGAGACACAAAATCCCCACAAATAATTAATGAATCCAGTAGCTGGTTTTTTGAAAGGATCAACAAAATTGATAGACCACTAGCAAGACTCATAAAGAAGAAAAGAGAGAAGAAACAAATAGATGCAATAAAAAATATTAAAGGGGATATCACCACCGATCCCACAGAAATACAAACTACCATCAGAGAATACTACAAACACCTCTACACAAATAAACTAGAAAATCTAAAAGAAATGGATAAATTCCTCGACACATACACCCTCCCAAGACTAAACCAGGAAGAAGTTGAATCTCTGAATAGACCAATAACAGGCTCTGAAATTGTGGCAATAATCAATAGCTTACCAAAAAAAAAGACTCCAGGACCAGATGGATTCACAGCCGAATTCTACCAGAGGTACAAGGAGGAACTGGTACCATTCCTTTTGAAACTATTCCAATCAATAGAAAAAGAGGGAATCCTCCCTAACTCATTTTATGAGGCCAGCATCATCCTGATACCAAAGCCGGGCAGAGACACAACCAAAAAAGAGAATTTTAGACCAATATCCTTGATGAACATTGATGCAAAAATCCTCAATAAAATACTGGCAGGCTGAATCCAGCAGCACATGAAAAAGCTTATCCACCATGATCAAGTGGGCTTCATCCCTGGGATGCAAGGCTGGTTCAATATACGCAAATCAATAAATGTAATCCAGCATATAAACAGAACCAAAGACAAAAACCACATGATTATCTCAATAGATGCAGAAAAGGCCTTTGACAAAATTCAACAACCCTTCATGCTAAAAACTCTCAATAAATTAGGTATTGATGGGTCGTATCTCAAAATAATCAGAGCTGTCTATGACAAACCCACAGCCAATATCATACTGAATGGGCAAAAACTGGAAGCATTCCCTTTGAAAACTGGCACAAGACAGGGATGCCCTCTCTCACCACTCGTATTCAACATAGTGTTGGAAGTTCTGGCCAGGGCAATTAGGCAGGAGAAGGAAATAAAGGGTATTCAATTAGGAAAAGAGGAAGTCAAATTGTCCCTGTTTGCAGATGACATGATTGTATATCTAGAAAACCCCATTGTCTCAGCCCAAAATCTCCTTAAGCTGATAAGCAACTTCAGCAAAGTCTCAGGATACAAAATCAATGTACAAAAATCACAAGCATTCTTATACACCAAGAACAGACAAACAGAGAGCCAAATCATGAGTGAACTCCCATTCACCGTTGCTTCAAAGAGAATAAAATACCTGGGAATCCAACTTACAAGGGATGTGAAGGACCTCTTCAAGGAGAACTACAAACCACTGCTCAGTGAAATGAAAGAGGATACAAACAAATGGAAGAACATTCCATGCTCATGGGTAGGAAGAATCAATATCGTGAAAATGGCCACACTGCCCAAGGTAATTTATAGATTCAATGTCATCCCCATCAAGCTACCAATGACTTTCTTCACAGAATTGGAAAAAATGACTTTAAAGTTAATATGGAACCAAAAAAGAGCCCGCATCGCCAAGTCAATCCTAAGCCAAAAGAACAAAGCTGGAGGCATCACACTACCTGACTTCAAACTATACTACAAGGCTACAGTAACCAAAACAGCATGGTACTGGTACCAAAACAGAGTTATAGATCAATGGAACAGAACAGAGCCCTCAGAAATAACGCCGCATATCTACAACTATCTGATCTTTGACAAACCTGAGAAAAACAAGCAATGGGGAAAGGATTCCCTATTTAATATATCGTGTTGGGAAAACTGGCTAGCCATATGTAGAAAGCTGAAACTGGATCCCTTCCTTACACCTTATGCAAAAATTAATTCAAGATGGATTAAAGACTTAAACGTTAGACCTAAAACCATAAAAACCCTAGAAGAAAACCTAGGCATTACCATTCAGGACATAGGCATGGACAAGGACTTCATGTCTAAAACACCAAAAGCAATGGCAACAAAAGACAAAATTGACAAATGAGATCTAATTAAACTAAAGAACTTCTGCACAGCAAAAGAAACTACCATCAGAGTGAACAGACAACCTACAAAATGGGAGAAAATTTTCACAATCTACTCATCTGACAAAGAGCTAATATCCAGAATCTACAATGAACTCCAACAAATTTACAAGAAAAAAACAAACAACCCCATCAAAAAGTGGGCAAAGGACATGAACAGACACTTCTCAAAAGAAGACATTTATGCAGCCAAAAAACACATCAAAAAATGCTCACCATCACTGGCCATCAGAGAAATGCAAATCAAAACCATAACGAGATACCATCTCACACCAGTTAGAATGGCAATCATTAAAAAGTCAGGAAACTACAGGTGCTGGAGAGGATGTGGAGAAATAGGAACACTTTTACACTGTTGGTGGGACTGTAAGCTAGTTCAACCATTGTGGAAGTCAGTGTGGCGATTCCTCAGGGATATAGTACTAGAAATACATTTGACCCAGCCATCCCATTACGGGGTATATACCCAAAGGACTATAAATCATGCTGCTATAAAGACACATGCACACATATGTTTATTGTGGCACTATTCACAATAGCAAAGACTTGGAACCAACCCAAATGTCCAACAATGATAGACTGGATTAAGAAAATGTGACACATATGCACCATGGAATACTATGCAGCCAAAAAAAATGATGAGTTCATGTCCTTTGTAGGGACATGGATGAATTTGGAAATCATCATTCTCAGTAAACTATCACCAGGACAAAAAACCAAACACTGCATGTTCTCACTCATAGGTGGGAACTGAACAATGAGAACACATGGACACAGGAAGGGGAACATCACACTCTGGGGACTGTTGTGGGGTGGGGGGAGGGGGGAGGGATAGCATTAGGAGATATACCTAATGCTAAATGACGAATTGATGGGTGCAGCACACCAGCATGGCACATGTATACATATGTAACTAACCTGCACATTGTGCACATGTACCCTAAAACTTAAAGTATAATAATAATGAAATTAAAAATACAAAAAAACTTTACAAATTAAAAAAAAAGTTACAAAAACAATGCTTATAATAATTCAATTATCAATCAAATAATTCAACTGTATAAATAGTAATTATTATATTAATAAATAAATTTCTATTCATTCTATGTAAATACATAAGAAAGGAAGTATATTGTAAGTTTAACCCCATGCCTAGTATATAGGAAACTATGTATGAACTGGCTATTTTTATTATCACTAGTCTATAAGCTTCTGGGGGGCTAGGAGTGTGTTCCTGTATTTATAGCCCTATAATTAGCCAAATGCCTAACATATAGTGTAGCTCAACTATTGTTCCCTTTAAGAGATAGGCTATTAATTACTGAGCAAGTGAATGAAACTAATGAATGCTTGAAGCATCAGAGAAGTGGTTTGGCTTATATTTGCAATGTCATAATTAAGCTCCAAACCCGCACATGCCTTTCTTCATAAGGTTCATTGTCTGTTTCATTACACCTCTCTTATGCCCTTTCTACCTTTCTATAGGTTTACCCGTATATCTTCCTCTCCTCATTATAACCCACCTCAACCACTGCTTTTATATCACCTAGTGATAGAGGTGGCATTTATCTTACCAGAGGATAGTCCTAAGGGCCCACCTCAGCATCCTTTTCTCCCCTTGTGCCCCTACATTAAGCTTAATCTCATTACTTTACAACCAGGAATCAAAATTAAATGGTCCCACAGCCAGCTGAGACAAAATAAAGAAGAAAGCAGGACACTAGCTCCAAAACCTCTCCAATCACCCTAGTGAAATTAACTTCATCTGTCACATTTAAACTATCATTGATTACGTAATATACTCTGTGGCCCTGAAGCATTATTCCCTCAGCAGACAGAATCACCGTTAGAATCATCTATAGAGGATTCCCAGAGTTTTCCAGCACTTATTAGGCACTACCTAATTCTAAGAGAGACGGTATTAGGAACTCCCCTGATTGGAGTCTAGATACTTTAGTGACTTGTTTCTTCTATGGAACTATAAGTTGAGAAGGTGCATGCCCTTCTCGATATTGTCCCCTCTGAACCCATGGCCCTGACTTCTTCTGAACTGGTAAGCAGAAGACATTGCTGACATTATAAAGCCAATGTATTTGCCTGTCACAGTTCACACAAGATAGCAATTGTTAAATGAACTTGTTATAATCAGTCATGAAAAAGCATAGTCTCAGGTTTGAGAAAATGCTCAAGACATTCTGGAAAATGTACCAAAAAGAAAATTAAACTCAGACTTACGAAGACTAAATGAGATGATATATGTGAAGTTCCTAGTACAGAGTCCAGCAAACAGCAGAACCTCAATAAATGATTGAATTTATTATCATTTGGAAAATGACACTGAGGCTTAAGTATATGCTAGGAACTTTACCAGGTGTTAAGATGGCAAACTAAAATAGTTCACAAACTTGGGAGGAAGACAGAAGTATATATAAATAACTATATTATAGGTTATAAGGGTAGTACTATGAGGGTACAGAGGAGAGAATCATCGACTGAGTCAGTTTCTTAGGAAAGTTTCCACTGAGAATGTATTGATTTGGACATTAACAGTGAACAGAACGAGTCAGAAAACAAGAGTATTCATGATTTGGTTGTATGTATTTCTTCTTGGCATGGACTTACATTTCCTGAAACTATCTTTCTAGAGGCTCTTGCAGAGAGAACTAGGCTGCTCCTAAATTAAAGTCATTAAAATGACCACATCTCAAAAACCCTTGCTAATTTAAGAGCATGTAAGCATTTTTATCCCCAGTCATCAGCTCTATTTGGAGTTTTGCTTTGGTGTTATTGTCGTTAATTAGGCTTCTACAATTTCCAGGAAAGAAATTGCTACAACTAAAACTGCTATATTTGAGTTCTTGCTAAAAGGCTGAGATGAATAAAGAAGAGCTTAGAAACTATAAGTATATGCCAAACAAAAAAGTAGAGAACTGTCCTATACACCTGTTAAGAGCCCATATACAGCCAGAAATTAGAAGATTACTAGGATTCAGCTTTACTCCAATGACCCATCCATAATCACCTCCAATTCTATGTGCCTTAGCTACTTTTTTGTGTGTGATTTGCTCAGCAGCCACATCCAGTTTCTTCCTGCAGTGGAAAGAGCAATCCAAGATCCACTTTCTCTTCATGGTAAATCGGCTTGGAGAACAAATGAAATAAATGGAGTCCTGGAGGGCTGGATAGGTCAAAGTCAGGAAAAGAAGTTTGGAACTTGTCATTTATTCAGAGGAGTAAGGAAAACAGTGGGAGGTAAGGTGTCATAAAAAGAGACATAATATTTTGTTGGGGAGATGAGAGGAGGGGAAATCCCAGTGAGAAAGGGAACTGAGGAATGAAAGCTGACAGTGAATTTCAGAAATTAAATATTAGTTTCTCGCTAGAGCATATAATATTAAGATTTAAGCAGCTCCAGGGTCATCTAAATTGGCCAGAATCTGACAGCACAGTCAATATCTTGGCCTCACACAGATATCCAGGAAAGACATTTGATCAGGGAAGTAGACTCCTCCTTAACAAGGAAAGGGTACATCGATTAATCTCTCTGCTTTGGAAAACTCATTTCTGTCCCGCAGTTAACAGAGGACTGAGACACATTCAAAAGGCAGGTAAGCAAAATGGAGTCAGTGTTCCATCCCTGTTACTAATCAGCACAAAGTGGGTGTTCAGAGTCACATGGTGATGATAGGTTTGGAAACCAGGAAAGCCCCAGTGCTGCAAGATAACACAAACTAGTTAGGTGAAGCCACAGTACCCAGACTGGCAACTAAAGTAAATGTGGTGGTCAGTGACCTAAATTCAAAGAAGACCAGAGCACCAGCTCAAGTCCTTGAACCTGATATACATGTTTTCCTCAGAGAAGGTTTACAATACATCTGTCGAGGTGAGACACGGCAGGCAGGAGTAAGTGAGTTTGTTGTTCCGGAGTGAGAATTATATAAAAATCGAGAGGCAAAATCATGTTAGATTTTTCCCTGAATTTCAAATTATTTCAGATAATATACAAATGTATGCAAATTTCTAAGGCCATGGCTGAAAATATGAATCCTGTGAAATAATGATGAAAAATAATTAAACTTGTATTATGCAAAATGCTGTAGGCATCCAAGTGTTCTCAATTGCTGCCCAATAGTAATCTGGTAAACTATGAAGATCAGATCACTATTAAAGTCTATTTTTGACACAGCTATTGATACAATTTGTCATAGTGAAGGCTAAGGTACTATGTTTTAGAGTAGAACATAACTTGTGAGTAAGGAGGAATGAAATATGGCATTACAGCAATCCCATGCCAAAAAAAATTATGTTTTAATTAGGTCATGCAATAATTTGCCTCAGGGCAGCAGACAGTTCTACTCAAATAGCAACAAAATATGAAAAATAAATCAATGTCTAAGTGTGATAATAGTGCAATTAATTCAATCATCCAACATTTTCTTTTTTATACATATTTACCTATTTATTCTAATAATTGTATTATCAACAATTATAGTTATTCAAAAACTTGCAGTGATAAGGCTAAAGTTCAGCCTTACTCTGGGGTCATGGACCCTTAATTTGGTGTCATGAAGTCCTGAATTTGAATCCCATGATTTTATCTGTGTGAATTTTAGCCAGTTAGTAGTAAGAATAGTAGCAATAACTCACATTTATTGTGTGCCAACTATATGCTAGATGCTGTACTATGTGCTTTTTACACACTATTTTAATTTAAATACTCAATTTGTCTAAGTTGTATTATTTGTTAATTTCTGTGATATAACATACATACTTATAAGAGTTTCTAACATAAAAAGTAATGACCAGTGGACTATAATGGTACAGAAAACCTTGAGTACAGTTTTCTTCTCATTGCCTAACATTGTCTTCCAGCCAACCCTGCTTGGAGTGACTATATCATAATGGCCTTCCTTCAGTTCCTTTATACTTTGTGTTGCTCCATTAATAGGCTGTGAATAGAAATTTGACTGAAGCCAGTCGTATAGCTCTTGTGAACATAAATATAAACAAGAGAAAAATACATAATTTTTTATATCAGATAGAGAATTTTCTCTATTTTCAAACAAGTGAGATCCCTAAATGTAAGTTCCTAAGCCCATTTGTGAATATCCATTTGTTCATAAGTAAAAGAAGTACTATAGCAAGCAAGTGTAAAATCCTACAATTGAAAATGTGCAGAGTTGATGCAGCTTGGTTGGAGAACATAGCTCTGTCTCTGTTTCTATGAATGACTGTAAACCAAATGGCTATTCTACAAAGGATACATTCTTTTTACAAACATTTTAATTAAAATATTGGTACTCTCAGGTTAGAGGCAGGTAGGGACTTTATGTCACCCTCACACATGGATGGTATGGTAAAAATGAAAGAAAGTTGCAGAACTATTCTGTATCTCGTGTGTAATTTATTATATTTTTCCATGGATCATGTTTTTTGGAGGTGTGTCTAAAAAGTATTTGCCTAAATCAAATTCATGCATATTTTCTCCCTTCTCCTCTTCCCAGGAAATTTAGTTTTACATATTGCATTTAGGTTTATGATCCAATTTGGAGTTAATTTTTGTAGAGGTTGTGAGGTATAGGTTGATCTTAATTTTTTACCCATTGTTTGGCATATCCAATTTTTCTAGTATGATTTGTTAAAAAGAACTTGTTGCATTTTTAAGATCTTTTGACTATTTTATATCAATATAAAACGTATTTAAATCTTCGCCATTCCAGGAAGATCAGTCTTAATTCTGTTTCCATTCTGTCTGCTATGTTATCAAGCCTGTGTCTTTACCCTGAAATTTCTTAAAATGAATTTCCCACCCATTACCTCAATTTCTTGATTTCACACTGATTTGGTTTCCCAAGTCCTCATTCACTGAAGTAATTTGCCTAAAGACAGAGTGTGACTGAATGGTTCAGTTCCAGGGATCACTCCACCTGATCAGTTAGTGAGAACTGCTTCCACCACTCATCACTATCACAGCTATCTTTAAGTAACGTCTTGCCTATGTTTTCCTATTATAAAGCATTGTATCTAATTCTAAGTTATCTTATATATTTACAAATAAATACTACTTGATTTCAAAAGCTAGAATAAAATAGGGTTAATAAAAACTCTCCTATAATTAATCTATTTAAACAAGCCACTGTCAAGCTTAAACAAGAACTTCTGAGGCCCTCATCTTGTAATTACTATAGCCAAACCACTGATTGCTTACAGGACTTTCTTGCATAGTCTTGGGCATATTATTCACCAAATTATGAATGACTGTAAGAACTTGGAAATAAACTAGATTAAATAATAAAAAGCAAACTTGCCTGTTTTGTTTCACTTTCTTTGTTTACAGACATCTTCTGAACACTCTCTTACTCCAAAAATACATATCTGAGCACAAGTGTTTTCAGGTCCTGGCATTTTTATGAAGGAATATTTCCAGCATGAAGTTCTTTTGGGACTAGACACATCACCATAGCAAAAATAATCTCTTTGTTAATAGTTGTGGCATTATTCAATATTTTAAGAAATATATAAATTTTGTATGTATATGCTTATACAATGTTTACAAAATGGGTTCATACTGTTTTTAACTTAAAATAATGTAAATATTTTCATGTTATTATATAGTTTTCTCAAGTATCATTTCATTAAAGATGCAATATTACATCCTATAATTTTCTATAATCCAGAAATAATAAGAAAGTAAGCCTCAATTTAGAACATTTGGAATGTTTCAACTTTTGTGTATCTACAGTACTGTTACCATGAAGATTTTATAGCACACTCATAATCCTTATGATAAATTCTGAGAGGTGAAAGATCTCAAAGGGTCTATATATTTTAAACTTTCTGAAGCATACATAGTAAATAAATATATTAGGGCTTAAAGTTAATGTTAACTATATTAATATTAATTTGGGGGAGGACTAGCATAGTAAAGTGACCAAGTGACATGAGCTCTAGGGAGCAAAATGGGGTCATATGGCCCTGGAGCAAAGATAATGTCACAATTTTTAAAAACTTACTAAGAAAGGAGATAAAGATATATCACAGACAAATTTTAGACAACTATTTTTCACACAGCTATACCTGATATTTGTATTTGAGTTGATTCAAAGTTAAAATCAAATTAGCTAACAAGTAATAAAACTCTGAAATGGGGATAGAATAATAGATTCATAAAAGATAATAATAGGCACATTAAAAACAGGCCTATGAAGTATTGGGCCTGAGAAGGAACTCAGGGTTTGAACGCAACCACTTGGTTTTACCAATCGTGAAACTGAGACCCAGAGGGAAAGATAAGGCAGCTGTTGGAGACAAAGGTGGCTCTCAGTCCCAGTCTGCCATCTTCATTTGAATGTTCTCTCCAAATAGCCTACTGATTCTTCTCACATTGTAACTCACAGAAGCACAGAATACATGACTTTCAATCTGACCTATCTTTTTTATGAGATTAATTATTCTGCTTCTTAATCAGAATTTTCTGCATAATCTGTCTCACACACACACAGAGACACACACAGACACACACACATACATTATATTATTTTCCAGATTGGAACATAGTGATCTACTAGTTTTAGCCATATAGTAGTTACAGTCATATCCTCAGCCTGAAGGCTCCAGTATGGGGGCTGTTGCCACTCATCACCAGATCAGTGTTATGTAAATAAATGTGAATGGAGTTCTAGTGAAGACTAGGGTTCAGGTATAAATTGTTAAACCTGGTTTGCTCAAGGTATACAATTTTATAAATAAAGGGGATGTGATATGTGAACTGGAAGCAAGAATCAAGACATTAGATGTCACAAGTAATGCCACTTTTGTTCACGGTGTCTTTCTTGCTTCCTCTGTAATATGTGGCTCTTGTTAGAATGTGACAAGGCCACATAGCCCCAGAGTATTCATCCGTGTTGCTTAATCTCAGCCTCCTTTGGCCTTATAGAAATTATTTAGAAATATGGGTTTCAGCCACAGGAGGCCATGAGTAGTAGCAGTCACATCAGAAAAAAATAATATTTGCCAAAAAGACTTTCTAAGAGAGTTACAAGACTAGAAGCCCACTGGTGGAAGATAAGGAGGAAAAACACAGCAGTATGCATTACTTGCAACCTCGCTAACTCACTTATCTAGAGCAGCTTTAAATCTGCTGAGTCAGAGTCCCTTCAAAACTCTGGGGATGATTCAGAACTAAAACAGAATTTCTTAAGGTCATTATGGGAAAATAACAACTCCAATATTCACTCAAATTTAAAATTTTGAGTTTGAAAGAGTAGAGGTTGTGCTGAAACCCTTTGTTCTCCAAGGAATTCAGACTAAACCATCTTTCAACCCAGAAAGTCACAGATTTCCTGAAGATGGTTCTATCTCTTTTGTCCTATGAAGATACACTTATATGCTCCAGAGCTTGTGGTTTGCTTCTGGGAAACCAACAGCATCAATAGGTCATTGCTCTTTTATGGAAGTGGACAGCTCAGACTATACGTCTCCTTTTTCAGACTTAATAGATACTGACACTAAATTTCAAGGTCCGTTTATTGAAAGATCCAAAGGAATGCATAAGTTTGGTTTTTCATATGGCTCTTTATTTTTCACTCATACTCCATGGTATGAGTGATCTTTTCTTTCTCTCTACAGGTCATCCAAGAGCGAGCTGTAGGATGGAGGCCATGAAACTATTAAATCAATCTCAAGTGTCAGAATTCATTTTGCTGGGACTGACCAGCTCCCAGGATGTAGAGTTTCTTCTCTTTGCCCTCTTCTCGGTTATCTATGTGGTCACAGTTTTGGGTAACCTTCTTATTATAGTCACAGTGTTTAACACCCCTAACCTGAATACTCCCATGTATTTTCTCCTTGGTAATCTCTCTTTTGTAGATATGACCCTTGCTTCTTTTGCCACCCCTAAGGTGATTCTGAACTTGTTAAAAAAGCAGAAGGTAATTTCTTTTGCTGGGTGCTTCACTCAGATATTTCTCCTTCACTTACTGGGTGGGGTTGAAATGGTACTGTTGGTCTCCATGGCTTTTGACAGATATGTGGCCATTTGTAAGCCCCTACACTACATGACCATCATGAACAAGAAGGTATGTGTTTTGCTTGTAGTGACCTCATGGCTCTTGGGTCTCCTTCACTCAGGGTTTCAGATACCATTTGCTGTGAACTTGCCCTTTTGTGGTCCCAATGTGGTAGACAGCATTTTTTGTGACCTCCCTTTGGTTACTAAGCTTGCCTGTATAGACATATATTTTGTACAGGTAGTCATTGTTGCCAACAGTGGCATAATCTCCCTGAGCTGTTTCATTATTTTGCTTATCTCCTACAGTCTGATCCTCATAACCATTAAGAACCACTCTCCTACTGGGCAATCTAAAGCCCGTTCCACTTTGACTGCTCACATCACAGTGGTGATTCTCTTCTTTGGCCCATGCATCTTTATCTACATTTGGCCCTTCGGCAACCACTCTGTAGATAAGTTCCTTGCTGTGTTTTATACCATCATCACTCCTATCTTGAATCCAATTATCTATACTCTGAGAAACAAAGAAATGAAGATATCCATGAAAAAACTCTGGAGAGCTTTTGTGAATTCTAGAGAAGATACTTAGATTAAAAATATAATGGTAGAGGCCGGGCATGGTGGCTGATGCCTGTAATCCCCACACTTTGGGAGGAATATCAGGGGAACCAGCCCCCAATATTTCAACATAGGTTCTTTTCTATTTTCCCTAAGTGTTGACTGGTCTGAGAAATAAAGGGAAAGAATACAAAAGAGAGAAATTTTAAAGCTGGGTGTCCAGGGGAGACATCACATGTCAGCGGGTTCCGTGATGCCCCCCAAGCTGCAAAACCAGCAAGTTTTTATTATGGATTTCAAAAGGGAGGCAGTGTACGAATAGGGTGTGGGTCACAGAGATCACATGCATCACAAGGCAATAAAATATCACAAGGCAAATGGGGACAGAGCAAGATCACAGGACCAGGGTGAAATTAACATTGCTAATGAAGTTTTATGCCCCACTGGGCACTCATTGCCATTGATAACATCTTATCAGGAGACAGGGTTTGAGAGCGGACAACCGGTCTGACTAAAATTTACTAGGCAGGAATTTCCTCACCCTAATAGGCCTGGGGACACTACAGGAGACTGGGGCTTATTTCATCCCTTATCTACAGCCGTGTAAGACAGACATTGCCAGAGCGGCCATTTTAGAGACCTCCCCCTAGGAATGCATTCTCCTTCTCAGGGTTATTCCTTGCTGAGAAAAAGAATTCAGCGATATTTCTCCTATTCACTTTTGTAAGAAGAGAAATATGACTCTGTTCCACCCAGCTCCCAGGCAGTCAGACCTAATGGTTATCTCTCTTGTTCCCTGAACATCGCTGTTATCCTGTTCTTTTTTCAAAGTGCCCAGATTTCATATTGTTTAAACACACATGCTTTATGAACAATTTGTGCCATTAACATAATCATCACAGGGTCCTGAGGCAACATACATCCTCAGCTTAAGAAGATGATGGGATTAAGAGATTAAAGTAAAGACAGGCATAGGAAATCACAAGAGTATTGATTGGGGAAGTGATAAATGTCCATGAAATTTTCACAATTTATGTTCAGAGATTGTAGTAAAGACAGGCATGAGAAATTATACAAATATTAATTTGGGGAACTAATAAATGTCCATGAAATCTTCAAAATTTATGTTCTTCTGTCACGGCTTCAGCAGGTCCCTCTGTTCGGGGTCCCTGACTTCCCGCAACAGAGCCAAGGCAGGTTGCCTTGGCTGACTTGAGGTCAGGAGTTTGAGACCAGCCTGGCCAACATGGCGAAACCCTGCCTCTACCAAAAATACAAAAATTAGCCAGGCGTGGTGGTGCATCCCTGCAATCCCAGCTATTCAGGAGGCTGAGGCAGGAGAATTGCTTGAACCCAGGAGGCAGAGGCTTCAGTGAGCTGAGTTTGTGTCACTGCCCTCCAGCCTGGGTGACAGAGTGAGAGTCCATCTTAAAATAATAATAATAATAGTAGCAGAGAAACAATAATTTTTTATATTTTTAAAGGTTTCTCTTAAGTATAGAGTTATTAGCTACACTGAGATGAAGGCAAGTAAAATGCAGTAAGATTACAGTAGTCAGTCAAGATTATTTTTAATGCAGCACCAAAAATAATAAATTATTGATTTTTAAAATGTTGACTGAGTTATAAAAGGTGTCAGAGACTCACTTGTCCTTCAGAGGAGCTTGATAGATATGTACTTTGTTTAGTTGTTACAATGGCTTTTGATGTAAATGAAATAAAGTGAATCCTCAAAATGTCTGTCACATTTTTACTGTATAATTGAGTTAAATGATTTGGCACTCACTGTGAGATCATGTTTGGTTCTCTGTCTTCTTTACAATATTAATGTCTAAGTCAGCACTCATATGCAGTGTCTCCTAAGAAACCAGTAATTCAGACTTTCCATATCTACCTACACTCATTTTTCTTGTAGCTTCCAAAATAAGAATTCATGAAGATACCTTTATGGTTGTTAATATTATAAAATCTCACTTTCACCTCCTTGTCCCCATGTATTTCAATTCAAAAAAACTGTGTGTCTGACTCCAAAAAGAAAATTATACATTCTAGGTAAATGAACTCTAGTCCTAGAACCAAGATGGTTTTCTTGTGTGACTGTGTGCTGAGCACCGGCTCAGCCACCATAGAGAATTAGTTTCTACCTCAAACTCAGAGCCACTGCAACTCTGCACTTACCCATACTTCCGTCACAAGGTCCCCAGCTATTTCAAAAGCACCTGCACCTTGCATACCATTATAGTTTGGGCAGTGGAATTCCTGGGCCCAGATACTGCTGCCATTACTATCCCAAACCACAGATCTATAGTACCTCCATTCATACCTGCGCTTATGGCTCCAGATCCATGGCTTCCCCTAGGGTACCCCTCGTCAGACATTTATGCCAAAACCACCACAAGCAGTTTCTCAAGCTGGACCCAGTGCCAAGAGGGATTCCTCCAGCCACAACATCCCCAGTGGGAGAAAAAGAGATAGAAAGGACTTTAGCAGCCCTAGCCACCAAAGACCACAACAATTTTTGTCACCACTTCAAACATCTACATCATTGGCTGCTGAAGTTCCCTACAATCTTCATCAATGCCAACCTCAGCTGGAGGAGCTACACAAACACGACACTGCTGCACCTTCACAATAGTCAGAGCAGTTGTGTTTTACTCAACCAATCCCCTCACACCTCCATACAGGGGAAGTTCTTTCTGTACTGAAACCAGCCTGTGAAGTCTGGAAGAGATGACTGCTCCAACAAATGCACAGAAATCTGCTTAAGACAACAAGAAACACCAAAAACCAAAAGGGAGTATCACCATGAAAGGAACACAATAATTTTCCAGTATCTGTCTCCAAAGAAACAGAGACCTATGAACTCCCAGACAAAGACTTCACAATAATTGTCTTAAGGAAGTGCAGTAAAGTCCAAGAACATACAGGGAAATAATTCAACAAAATCAAGCAAACAACAAACAAAAAAATGGGGAAATTTGATGAAGAGATTGAAATAGTTTTTAAAATTCCAGAAATTTGTTTAAAAATAAATAACATAAAAATATGTAAATTGTGACAGTAAAAACATAAAATGTGTGGGGGAGGTAGAATAAAAGTGTAGACTTTTTAAATGCAATCAAAGTTAGGTATTTATTCACTTAAAATAGTCTATGATAACCATAAGATGTGTTATGTAAGCCTTATGGTAACTACAAATGAAAAACCTATAGAGCATTTACAAAAACAAAAAAAATAAAAAATCAAAGCATATGCTGGAGAAAATAAACTATGAATAAATGAAGACGAAAGAGAAAGATGAAGCAAAAGAAAAGGAAGGGAACAAAGAGTGTAAAAAATAACCAGAAAACAATTAATAAAATGGAGGTACTAAGCACAGTCAGTTTTCTGGCATATCCATAGGTTTTACATTCACAGACTCAATCAACCACAGATCAAAACTATCAAAAATAAATAAATAAATAACAGCACAACAATAAAAATAATACAAAATTTTAAAACAAGTATAACAACTATTTACATTTTATTTGATATTATAAGTTATCTAGAGTTGGTATAAATCATACAACAGAATGCATGTAAGTTTTATGCAAATACTGTGACATTTTGTATAAGGGACTTAAGCATCTATAGATTTTGATAATCACAGGGAGGTCTTGGAGTCTGTTGCCTAAAGTCACTGAGGGATGACTCTACTTACCTACCAACAATTATCTGGAATGTGAATGAATTAAATTATCTGAACAAAAGACACAGAGTGGCTAAATGAATAAAAAGATAAAACCCAACTACATACTGCCTCCAAGAGATTTTCTTCATATTTAAGGACATAAATAGACTGAAAGTGAAGGGATAGAAAATGATATTCCATGCAAATGAAAACCAAAGACAGCAGGGATAGCCATATTTAAAGAGATAAAATGTAAGTAAAACTATAAAAAGAGGCAGAGGATGTCATTATGTAATGATTAAAGGGATGTTTCATCAGGAGAATATAAAAATCTTAAATATATACACACTAAACATAAGAGCAAATATTTTTAAAATTTATTATTTTATTTTATTGACAAATAATGTTTACCTATATCCATGGGTATATAGTGATGTTTTTGGTATGTACAATGTATGATGACCATATCTGGATAACTTGTGTATCCATCATCTAAAACATTTGTCATTTATTTTTATTGGGAATGTTCAATATCCTTCTTCCAGCAATTTGAAATTATATGATATATCACTGTGGCATAGAACACTAAAAAGTGTTCCTATGGTTGTAATTTTGTATCTTTTAACAAATCTCCACCTCTCTCTTCTTTTTCATTACCTTCCTCAGCCTCTCATATCCTGTTATACTTTTTACTTCTATGAGATCAACTTTTCTTAGCTTCCACATATAAGTAAGAATAATATATGTTTAACTTCCTGTTTCAGGCATATTTCACTTAACATAATGTGCTTCAGTCCTATGTTATCGTGAATAACAGGATTTTATTCTTTTTTATGGCTGAATAGTATTTCATGGTGTATATATACCACATTTTCTTTATCTATTCGTCTGTTGTTGACACCTAGGTTGATTCTATATCTTGGCTATTGTGGATAGTGCTGTAATAAACATGGGGGTGCAGCTGTCTCTCAGACTTCGAAAACACAGGCAACAAAAGCAAAAGTAAACAAGTGGGATTATATCAAACTAAAAGTTCTCTGCCCAGTAAAGGAAAAAATTCAACAGTGCAAAAGACAACCTATAGAATGGGAGAAACTATTTTCAAAGTATTTATCTCACAAGGGATTAACATCCAGAATACACAAGGTACTGAACATCTTAACAGCAAAAATAATATAATCTGAGTTTAAAATGGGCTAACAATCTGAACAGACATTTCTTAAAAGAAGACATACAAATGGCTGACAAATATATGAAAAGATACTCAACACCACTATTCATCAGAGAAATATATATCACAATCATAATGCAGTATCATATCACCCCAGTTAAGATGACTATTACCAAATATAACAAAAGTAGCAAATGCTGGCAAGGATGAAGAGAAAAGGGAATTCTTTTACACTGTTGGTAGGGAAAGCAAATGTTCTTAAATGAGAGATAGACTGCAATACAAAAATACAAAAGTGGGGCTTGTCAAGGCCACACTTTCAACAACAGACAGATCACCCAGAAAGAAAATCAGTAAGGAAATACTGGACTTCAACTATACTTTAGACCAAAAGGACCTAACAAACATATACAGAACGTTTCATCCAAGAGCAGTAGAATAGACATTCTTCTCAAGTGCACACAGATCATTTTCCTATATAAAACATGTTAGCCCATAGAACAAGTCTTATCAAATTTATAAGACTGAAATAATATAAAATATCTATTCTCATCACAATGACAGTAAACTAGAAATCAATAACAGAGGAATTTTGAATAATTCATAATTGCATGGAAATTAAATAATATGCCCTTAAATAACTAATGAGTCAATGAAAAAATTAGAAGGGAAATTTTAAAATATCTTGAAACAAGGAAAAATGGACACACGATAAAATAAAACTTATGACATGCAGAAAATACAATTCTAAGAGAAGTTTATGACAATAAACAGCTGCATCAAAAAAGAAAGAAGATTTCAAATAACCTAACATAACACTTCAAGAAACTAGGGGGAAAAGACCAAATTAAGCCTAAAATAGTAGAGAGGAGAAAATTTACAAAGATCAGAGCAAAAATAAATTAAATAGAGACCAGAAAAACAATAGAGATCAACAAAACTAAGAGTTGGTTTTTGGAAAAGATGAGCAAAATCAATAAACCTTTAGCTAGACTAAGAAAACAAAAATTAAGACTACCAAAATAAAGTTAGAAGTTAAAGAGGAAACCTTAACAACTGATACCACAGAAATACAAAGGATTGAAAGACCCTATTATAAATAATTATTTACCAACAAATTGGATAACCTAGAAGAAATGAATAAATTCATAGAAAAAAAGAGTTTACCAAGAGTGAATCAGGAAGAAATAGAAAACCTGAACAGACTAATCAAGATTAAGGAGATTGAATTAGTAATAAAAAGCATCTCACCAAAGAAAAGTCCAAGAACTGATGGCTATGCTGTTGAATTCTACCAAACATTTAAAAAAAGAAATAACACCATTTTCCCCAAACTAATCTAAAAAATTGATAAGGAGAATTTCCAAAATCATTTTATGAGGCCAGCATTACACTGATACTAAAGCCAGACAAAAACACAAAAGAAAAGAAAAGAAAAGAACAAGCCATTATCCTTAAGGAAGGCAAAATCCTCAACAAAATACTAGAAAATTAAATTCAACAACACGTTAAAAGGATTATTCACCATGATCAAGTGAGATTTATCCTGGGGATGCAAGGATGGTTCAACATATGGAAATCTATAAATAGGATATACCACATAGATGGAATGAAGATAAAAACAATATGATCATCCCAATAAATGCATAAAAACCATTTAACAACATTCAACATCCTTTCATAATATAAACTCTCAAAAAATTAATTGTAGAATAAATATAGCTTAACACAATAAAGGTCATATATGACAAGCCCACAAGTAACATCATTCTCAAGATGAAAAGCTGAAAGGCTTTTCCTCTAAGATCGAGAGCAAGACAAAGATGTACAGTCTCACTACATTTTTTCAACATAGAAGTCCTAGCCAGAGCATTTAGGCAAGAGAAATGAAAGGCATCCAAATTGGAAACAAAGAAGTCAAATTGTCTCTGTTTGCAAATCATGTCAACTTGTATCTAAAAGTCCCTAATAACTCCACCAGAAAACTGTTATAACTGTTAGAACTAATAAACAAATTCAGTAAAGTTAAAGGATAAAAAATCAATATACAACAATTGGTAGTGTTTCTATACATTAGCAACAAACTATCTGAAAAAGAATCAGGAAACATCTCATTTACAATAGCTATAATACATAAAATACTTAGGAATAAATTTTACCAAGGAGGTGAAAGATCTTATCGCTCATTTAACATTTAACATTGTTAAATGTAACTGAAGAAGATACAAATAAATGAAAAGATATCTTGCATTCATGGATTGTAAGAATTATTATTTGCACGTTTATCAGCAACATACCTATTTCCAATACCATTAGTATTATATTTCAAATCTTTGTGAATTTGATAGGCAAAAATATTATCCCTTTGGTGTTTAAATTTTCATTGTCATTTCAGTGAAATAAAGCATTTTTCATGTTTATTAAACAACTGTATTTATTTCATTGTGTATTTCTTTTTTGTTAATTATATTTTAGAAACATCTTATGTTTCCCTAAACAATCTGCTTGTATTTATAGCTGTATATAATTATCTTTTATAAATATATCATGCTTTCTAATTAATTTAACTCTTAATTGATTTGGAGTTTGCTAGGTGTCTATGACAATCATTTTTACTTCACCTTTCCTGTTTTTTTAATCTCACTTTAATTGTTTTATTTCTTTGGCCATAATTCTAAAACAATATTAAACAATCCTAACAGAGGTAGGTAATTTATTTTAATACAAATTAATCACCAGCTGTGGTGACATGTGCCTGCAATCCCATCTACTGGGGAGCCTGAGGTGGGAAGATTGCTTGAGCCCGGGAATTAGAGACCAGCTTGGGCAATATAGTGAGATGCCTAACTCAAAAATAAAATAAGAAATTTATCTTTTTCAGTATTTTATGGCTCAATATGTGTTAGCTATAAGCAGAGATAGACATTTTTATAAGATTAATAAAGTTTGAAAGGATTTTATAAGAAGTGAGAGATGAATGGGTTATGTATTATTATTTATATATTTTTTCTATTGTAATATGCTATCAATACAATGTATTAATATATTTCTAAAATTTGATTCACATCTGTATTCTTTAATTAATGCTTATAGATCATGGTGCAGTGTTTTTGAGAGGTTGCTAAATTCTTACATTATGTAGGATTTGCACATCTATATTCACAAGTGAGATTTTTTTCTGTAAGGTTTGGTGGTTGCCTTTGTTTGTGGGTTTGATTTGTTTGTTTCTGCTAGACTTGGTATCAGAATAATACCTTCATAAAATAAATTTTGAAAATACAAAAAGGATTGCTAAAATGTCTGTATTACTCAAAGAAATTTATAGATTCAATGCAATCCTTATCAAAATTCCAATGACATTTTCCACAGAAATAGAAAAAAATTAGGAAATTTGTAGGGATCCACAAAGGACTCCAGATAGCAAAAACAATCTTAGGTAAAAAGAACAAAGCTGGTGGCATCACACTACCTGTCTTCAAAATATACTGCAAAGCTATAGTTATTATAATAGCATGGTATTGGCATAACAGATGCAAAGACAAGTGAAACAGAATGAAGAGCCCAAAAATAATTCCATGCATTTAGGGTCAACTATTTTTTGACAAAAATTCCAAGAACAGACAATTGGGAGAGGACAGTTTTTTTAATAAAATAATAATAATTATAAAAGAAAGGAAAAATACATATAATGTTAACATAAATCAAAAGAAAACTTCAAGGGCTATTTTAATTACATGCAAAGTATGTTTCAGAACAAAGGACATTACCACAGATAAAGAAGGCCATATTTTACAGAGAAAGGGGTCAATTAACCATCATGATATAACAACTGTGTACCTCCCCAATAATAAAGATTTAAAATATATGAAACAAAAATTGATAGAACTACAAGGAGAAAAGGCACACACAAATTTATAATTAAATACTTTAATACCCTCTCTCAATAACTGATAAACCAATTTAATATAATTGATACAGAACACTTTGACCAAAATGTCAGAAAACTCCTTCTTTTCAAAGTACACACACATTTTAGATAATACACATAGAAAACATAACACAGGCAAATTAGATCATCCTCTAAGCCATGAAAAAGTCTCAATCAATGATTAAACTATTCAAGTCACACAGAGATATGTACACAAATGTTCATGGTAGCTGTATTTGTAGTAGCCAAAACTGGAGACAACCCAAATGTCCTTCAGCAGATTAATCAATACCAAATTGTGGTATGGAATACTACTCAGAAATAAAAAGGGAATACTCTACTGATACACACAACAATAAGATAAATACCAAAAGTATGATGAGTGAAAGAAGCCAGAATGAAAAAATACATACTATTTTATTTCATTTATATAAAACTCTAGAGTATACAAAGTTATAAATAACAATAGAACACAAAGGAAAGAAGCCAGACTAAAAAAATAGATCCTGCTTTATTTCATTTACATAAAAATGTAGTGTATACAAACTTATAAATAATAATAGTTGAACACAAATTTCTGGTTGGTCAGAGAGGAAGGATATATGGAAGGACTTGAAAGAGAAGCTATTAAAGGACAAGGGAAATTTGGGGTTGAGGAATATGTTCACAATCTCGATTGTGATGATCTTTTCTTTTTTTTATTTTTTTAAAATTTATTATTATACTTTAAGTTTTAGGGTACATGTGCACATTGTGCAGGTTTGTTACATATGTATGCATGTGCCTTGTTGGTGTGCTGCACCCACTAACTCATCATCTAGCATTAGGTATATCTCCCAATGCTATCCCTCCCCCCTCTCCCCACCCCACAACAGTCCCCAGAGTGTGATGTTCCCCTTCCTGTGTCCATGTGTTCTCATTGTTCAACTCCCACCTATGAGTGAGAATATGCAGTGTTTGGTTTTTTGTTCTTGCAATAGTTTACTGAGAATGATGATTTCCAGTTTCATCCATGTCCCTACAAAGGACATGAACTCATCATTTCTTATGGCTGCATAGTATTCCATGGTGTATATGTGCCACATTTTCTAAATCCAGTCTATCATTGTTGGACATTTGGGTTGGTTCCAAGTGTTTGCTATTGTGAATAATGCCACAATAAACATACGTGTGCATGTGTCTTTATAGCAGCATGATTTATAGTCCTTTGGGTATATACCCAGTAATGGGATGGCTGGGTCAAATGGTATTTCTAGTTCTAGATCCCTGAGGAATCGCCACACTGACTTCCAAAATGGTTGAACTAATTTACAGTCCCACCAACAGTGCAAAAGTGTTCCTATTTCTCCACATCCTCTCCAGCACCTGTTGTTTCCTGACTTTTTAATGATTGCCATTCTAACTGGTGTGAGATGGTATCTCGTTATGGTTTTGATTTGCATTTCTCTGATGGCCAGTGATGGTGAGCATTTTTTCATGTGTTTTTTGGCTGCATAAATGTCTTCTTTTGAGAAGTGTCTGTTCATGTCCTTTGCCCACTTTTTGATGGGGTTGTTTGTTTTTTTCTTGTAAATTTGTTGGAGTTCATTGTAGATTCTGGATATTAGCCCTTTGTCAGATGAGTAGGTTGTGAAAATTTTCTCCCATTTTGTAGGTTGCCTGTTCACTCTGATGGTAGTTTCTTTTGCTGTGCAGAAGTTCTTTAGTTTAATTAGATTCTATTTGTCAATTTTGTCTTTTGTTGTCATTGCTTTTGGTGTTTTAGACATGAAGTCCTTGTCCATGCCTATGTCCTGAATGGTAATGCCTAGGTTTTCTTCTAGGGTTTTTATGGTTTTAGGTCTAACGTTTAAGATTTTAATCCATCTTGAATTGATTTTTGTATAAGGTGTAAGGAAGGGATCCGGTTTCAGCTTTCTACATATGGCTAGCCAGTTTTCCCAGCACCATTTATTAAATAGGGAATCCTTTCCCCATTGCTTGTTTTTGTCAGGTTTGTCAAAATCAGATAGTTGTAGATATGCGGCGTTATTTCTGAGGGCTCTGTTCTGTTCCATTGATCTATAACTCTGTTTTGGTACCAGTACCATGCTGTTTTGGTTACTGTTGCCTTGTAGTATAGTTTGAAGTCAGGTAGTGTGATGCCTCCAGCTTTGTTCTTTTGGCTTAGGATTGACTTGGCGATGCGGGCTCTTTTTTGGTTCCATATGTACTTTAGAGTAGTTTTTTCCAATTCTGTGAAGAAAGTCATTGGTAGCTTGATGGGGATGGCATTGAATCTATAAATTACCTTGGGCAGTATGGCCATTTTCACGATATTGATTCTTCCTACCCATGAGCATGGAATGTTCTCCCATTTGTTTTTATCCTTTTTTATTTCATTGAGCAGTGGTTTGTAGTTCTCCTTGAAGAGGTCCTTCACATCCCTTGTAAGTTGGATTCCTAGGTATTTTATTCTCTTTGAAGCAATTGTGAATGGGAGTTCACTCATGATTTGGCTCTCTGTTTGTCTGTTCTTGGTGTATAAGAATGCTTGTGATTTTTGTACATTGATTTTGTATCCTGAGACTTTGCTGAAGTTGCTTATCAGCTTAAGGAGATTTTGAGCTGAGACAATGGGGTTTTCTAGATATACAATCATGTCATCTGCAAACAGGGACAATTTGACTTCCTCTTTTCCTAATTGAATACTCTTTATTTCCTTCTCCTGCCTAATTGCCCTGAATAGAACTTCCAACACTGTGTTGAATAGAAGTGGTGAGAGAGGGCATCCCTGTCTTGTGCCAGTTTTCAAAGGGAATGCTTCCAGTTTTTGCCCATTCAGTATGATATTGGCTGTGGGTTTGTCATAGATAGCTCTTATTATTTTGAGATACGTCCCATCAATACGTAATTTATTGAGAGTTTTTAGCATGAAAGGTTGTTGAATTTTGTCAAAGGCCTTTTCTGCATCTATTGAGATAATCATGTGGTTTTTATCTTTGGTTCTGTTTATATGCTGGATTACATTTATTGATTTGCATATATTGAACCAACGTTGCATCTCAGGGATGAAGCCCACTTGATCATGGTGGATAAGCTTTTTGATGTGCTGCTGGGTTCGTTTTGCCAGTATTTTATTGAGCATTTTTGCATCAATGTTCGTCAAGGATATTGGTCTAAAATTCTCTTTTTTTTGGTTGTGTCTCTGCCCGGCTTTGGTATCAGGAAGATGCTGGCCTCATAAAATGAGTTAGGGAGGATTCCCTCTTTTTCTATTGATTGGAATAGTTTCAGAAGGAATGGTACCAGTTCCTCCTTGTACCTCTGGTAGAATTCAGCTGTGAATCCATCTGGTCCTGGACTCTTTTTGGTTGGTAAGCTATTGATTATTGCCACAATTTCAGATCCTGTTATTGATCTATTCAGAGATTCAACTTCTTCCTGGTTTAGTCTTGGGAGAGTGTATGTGTCAAGGAATTTATCCATTTCTTCTAGATTTTCTAGCTTATTTGCGTAGAGGTGTTTGTAGTATTTTCTGATGGTAGTTTGTATTTCTGTGGGATCGGTGGTGATATCCCCTTTATAATTTTTTATTGTGTCTATTTGATTCTTCTCTCTTTTTTTGTTTATTAGTCTTGCTAGTGGTCTATCAATTTTGTTGATCCTTTCAAAACACCAGCTCCTGGATTCATTAATTTTTTGAAGGGTTTTTTGTGTCTCTATTTCCTTCGGTTCTGCTCTGATTTTAATTATTTCTTGCTTTCTGCTAGCTTTTGAATGTGTTTGCTCTTGCTTTTCTGGTTCTTTTAATTGTGATGTCAGGGTGTCAATTTTGGATCTTTCCTGCTTTCTCTTGTGGGCATTTAGTGCTATCAATTTCCCTCTACACACTGCTTTGAATGTGTCCCAGAGATTCTGGCATGTTGTGTCTTTGTTCTCGTTGGTTTCAAAGAACATCTTTATTTCTGCCTTCATTTCGTTATGTACCCAGTAGTCATTCAGGAGCAGGTTGTTCAGTTTCCATGTAGTTGAGCAGTTTTGAGTTTCTTAATCCTAAGTTCTAGTTTGATTGCACTGTGGTCTGAGAGACAGTTTGTTATAATTTCTGTCTTTTACATTTTCTGAGGAGAGCTTTACTTCCCAGTATGTGGTCAATTTTGGAATAGGTGTGGTTAACTCTTAGTCTGTCTTTGTCTATGTGTATCAACTTTCCAGTTTAAACTGAGGAACACAGTCATCACAGAGATAGGTCCTTTCATATGAATACATGTAGCTATAGTCTTCTTATCAGGCCAGGTAGTGTGTTCAGCATTTGAGAGAAACTCTGCCATAATTTCATTATGAATGAATAAAAATGAGTGAATAATAAAAATAACAGAGGTTCTATTTGTCTGAAGATATTCTAACTATTCATGGAGAACTAAGTTTGCCCCTCATGGTCCAGTGTGGAATAATAGTAGACATAGCTGTTTTTCTTTCTTCATTTTTTGTTATAGGTTCAGAGGGTATATGTGCAGTGTTATTACATGGATATATTGTGTGATACTGAGATTAGGGGTATGACTGATCCCGGTACTCATGTAGTGAACATAGTACCCAATAGGTATTAGGATGGTGCAAAAGTAATTGTGGTTTTGTCATTTAATAGTTTATCAACTCTCAACCCTTTCCCACTGTCCCAACTCTATTAATTCCCAGCATCCTTTGTTCCCATCTTTATATCCATGCGCACCCAATGTTTAGCTCCCAATTGTAAGTGAGAACACATGATATTTGGTTTTCTGTTCCTGCATTAATTTCCTTTAGGATAATGACCACCAGCTGCATCCATGTTTCTGTAAAGGGCACCGTTTCATTCCTTTTATAGCTGGATAGTATTCCATGGTGTATATGTATGACATTTTCTTTGTCCAGTCCATTGTTGATGGGCATTTTGTTGATTCCATGTCTTTGCTATTGTCAACAGTGCAGTGATGAACATATGAATGCATGTGTCTTTTTGGTATAGTAATCTATTTTCCTTCAGGTATATAACCAATAATGGGATTGCTGGGTTGAATGGGGAGTTCTTTGAGAAATCTCCAAAGTGCTTTCCAAAGGAGCTGAACTAATTTGCATTCCCTTCAATAGTGTATAAGTGTTCTCTTTTTTCTGTAGTCTCATCAATATCTGTTGTTTTCTGAACTTTTAATAATAGCCATTTTGGTGGTGTGAGATGGTATTTCATTGGGGTTTTGATTTGCATTTCTCTGATGATTAGTGATGTTGAGTACATTTTCATATGTTTGTTGGCTGCATGTATGTCTTCTTTTGAGAAGTATCTGTTCATATCCTTTGCCCACTTTTTTAATGAGGTTGTTTGGTTTTTGCTTGTTACGTTAAGTTTCTTATAGATTCTGGATATTATACCTTTGTCAAATGCATAGCTTGTGAATATTTTCTTCCATTCTGTAAGTTATTTGTTCTTGATATTTTCTTCTGCTGTAGAAGCTCTTTAGTTTAATTGGGTCTCACTTGCCAGTTTTTATTCTTATTGCAATTGCGTTGTGGATGTCATCATAAATTTTTCCTAAGATCAATGTCCAGAATAATATTTAATAGGTTTCCTTCTAGGATTGTAATAGTTTTAGGCCTTACATGTAAGTTTTTCCTTTATCTTGAGTTAATTTTTGTATATACTGAAAGGAAGGTGATGCGGTTTGACTGTGTCTCCACCCAAAACTCATCTTACGTTGTAGCTCCAATCAGAAATAGGAACGCTTTTACGCTGTTGGTGGGAGTGTAAATTAGTTCAACCATTGTGGAAGACAGTGTGATGATTCCTCAGGGATCTAGAACCAGAAATACTATTTGACCCAGCAATCCCATTACTGGGTATATACCCAAAGGATTACAAATCATTCTACTATAAAGACACATGTCCATGTATGTTTACTGCAGCACTATTTACAGTAACAAAGACTTGGAACCAACCCAAATGCCCATCAATGATAGACTGAAAGAAAATGTGGCACATATACACCATGGAATACCATGCAGCCATAAAAAGAATGAGTTCATGTCCTTTGCAGGGACATGGATGAAGCTGGAAACCATCATTCTCAGCAAACTAACACAAGAACAGAAAACCAAACACTGTATATTCTCACTCATAAGTGGGAGTTGAACAATGAGAATACATGGACACAGGGAGGGGAACATCACACACTGGGGCCTGTTGGGGGTTGGCAGGGAAGGGGAGAGAGAGCATTAGGACAAATGCCTAATTCATGCAGGGCTTAAAACATAGATGATGGGTTGATGAGTGCAGCAAACCACCGTGGCACTTGTATACCTGTGTAACAAACCTGCACATTCTGCACATGTATCCCAGAACTTAAAGTATAATAAATTTTAAAAAAAAACCTATAGAAAGCTTTTTTATGGGCCAGGCCTGGGAGCCTGGCCTGACTTCCCAGGCTCAGGTGATCCTCCTACCTCAGCCTACAAAGTAGCTGCACCACGGTGCCTGGTTAACTTTTTGTATTTTTAGTAGATATGAGGTTTAACCATGTTGCCCAGGCTAGACTCAAACTCCTGGGCTCAAGACATCCACCCAGCTCAGCCTCCCAAAGTGCTGGGATTACAAACATGAGGCACCGTGCCCGGCCCATAATAAATAAATAAATACATAAATACATAAATAAATAAATTGTAGCTCCCATCATTCCCATGTGTTAGAGGAGGGACTGGTGGAAGATAATTGAATCTTGGGGGTCGGTCTTTCCCATGCTTTTCTCATGATAGTGAATAAATCTCATGAGATCTGATGGTTTTATAAAGGAGAGTTCTCTTGTATACACTCTCTTGCCTGCTGCCATGTAAGACATGACTTTGCTCCTCTTTTGCCTTCTGCCATGATTGTGAAGCCTCGCAAGCCATGTGGAACTGAGTCAATTAAACCTCTTTTATTCATAAATTACCCAGCTTCAGGTATGTCTTTATTAGTAGAGTGAGAACAGACTAATACAGAAGGGGTCCAGTTTCAGTCTTCTGCAGATGGCTAGCCAGTTATCTCAGTACTGTTTGTTGAATAGGGAGTCCTCTTCCCACTGCTTGCTTTTGTCAACTTTGTCAAAAATCAGATGGTTGTATGTGTGAGGCTTTACTTCTGAGTTCTCTATCCTATTTCATTGGTCTATGTGTCTGTTTTTGCATAGTATCATGCCTTTTGGCTACTTTAGCCTTGTAGTATAGTAGTCAGGTAATGTGATGCCTCCAGCTTTGTTCTTTTTGCTTAGAATTGCTTTAGCTATTCAGGATCTTTTTTGTTCCATATCAATTTTAGGATTTTTTTCTAATTTTGTGTAGAATGGCATTGGTAATTTGATAGTAACAGCATTGAATCTGTACATTACTTTGAGCAGTATGACCATTTTAACAATATTGATTCTTCCAAACAATGAGCATGGAATGTTTTCCCAGTTGTTTCTGTAGGCTATGATTTCTTTCAATAGTGTTTTGTAGTTCCTTGTAGGGATATTTCACCTCCTTGGTTAGATATGCTTTTACATGTTGTTGGGTTGTGTGTGTGTGTGTGTGTGTGTGTGTGTGTGTGTGTGTGCAGAGCTATTGTAAATGAGATTGCATTCTTGATTTGTCTCTCAACCTGAATGTTAGTGCTGTATAGAAATGCTGCTGATTCTGGTATATTTATCATTTATCAGTCCTTGGAGCCTTTTAGTGGAGTTAGAGTTTTCTATGTTTAGTGTTATATAATCACCAAACAAAGGTAATTTGATATTTTATTTTTTTATTTGGATGTAATTTATTTCTTTCTCTTGCCTGATGGCTCTGGCTCAGTTTCCCAGCACTATGTTGAATAGGAATGATGAGAATAGACATCCTTGTCTTGTTCCATTTCTCAAGGGGAATGCTTCCAGCTTTTTCCCATTCAGTAAGATGTTGGCAGTGGGTATGACATAAATGGATCTTATTATTTTGAGGTATGTTCCTTCTATAAATGCCTAGTTTCTTGAGTGTTTTTCTCATGAACCAATGATGAACTGTATCAAAAGCTTTTTCTGTGTCATTAAGATGATTATACCATTTTTGTTTTTAATTCTGTTTATATGGTGAATCACAGTTATTGATTTGCCTATGTTGAACCCACCCTGCATCCCAAGAATATGCAAATAAGTATAGATGTTAGAGAACAGCCCATAGCTAGTCCTTTAATTTGTATTGCTGCCTCCAAATTAGCCAGTCAACCTGCCTGTAAAACAAAGATTCCCCCAATTCTCTAAGTTTTATCAATGTGATTTTAAATTTGGGTGGGTTTCTCCTCTACTTTTTTTTAAATTACTGATTACCATCTGTGTTCAATATCAGTAATTTACCATTAAATAAAATAAAATTTTTAATCAAACATCATGTTACACTATCAAGAACTGACTTGTCTGAAACACTGGAATCTATTTGGCACCTATTTGTGCCTTGTTTGCTATCCTGAGCAAAATATGACTGTTTGCTATTAGGTTTTGTAAACATTGATACAATTTATTTTTCAAAATAAACTAGTGATACTATTTCTTAAAGTACAAACTAAAATCTCATTTTACTAAAATTAATAACATGAAACATACAAAGAAGAAAATGAAAACCATCCCAGAGAAAGAGGTTTTCATTACCAGGATTTAGAGAGGTATTACCTATAAGGTTCTCACTGAGTAGCAATCTAGTTGCTGGAATGTCAACTCCACTGGCATGTCAAATCCCTGAGACCAAGGACCTTTAATAATCAGTCCCTAATTGCTTACCTATGTAGTAAGCTTTCCAAATGAAAAACACCCAAAACTTTTTGTAAAGTAAGGAAATACATTTTCAATTTTGTAGATGACAAAACATCATAGGACTGTCACTCATACATTTCTCCAGAAAATAATTAACTAGCATTTTTAAAATGGAAGTGGCACTGGGTCAAAACCTACAAATTTTTCAGGCAAGAAAATATAACTCAGTGGCTTTATGTCTGAGAAAACTGCCACTCAAATTAAAGGATTATAAACAAATATTTTTAATAGAATAGCTCAGCATGTATTTTTTTTCTAAAGAATCTCTTTGAATAAATTGAGAATAAACTAATTGTGGTAGGTGCAAAAAAAGTGGCCTCATTTCTACTTTTTAAAAATGCTTAACCATGCAAATATATTTCCTATGTGAAAATTAAATGTACCTTTAAAAAAGCATAGTTTTTTTCCAATCACCACCTTATCTTGTTTGGGTCTTCATAATGTTAATAAATTACACTTCCATACATAGCTATTTCATCTAAAATCTTAGGAGTTTTTAAGACATCGTGTCTATCAGCAAGTCTAAATGTCTCCACCATCAAAATACATGTCAAGTTCTCTGAATTCTTCTTACTACGGTCTCCTCCTCCCACTCTCCACCAGGCAAAGTTACCAACATCATCTTTTGTACTTGGTACTGCAACATCTTCAAACTGTTCTCCTTGCTCCTATACTTGCCTCCCTCAAACCCATTCTCCACACAATAGCCAGAACGACCTGAAGATTACAATTGTTGACATTATAATTACACACTGAGAATAACCTCCAAATGCCATGAGCTGGATAACATCTGCCTACCTCTCTAATGTTGCCTTATACTTTTCCTTCTTATGCTCACCATTTCCTCATCATGATGGTCTCCTTTCTGTGCCTTACTGTACCAGCTCAATCCTCTTCCACAGTCTCCATTCTCGTTCTTCACATTGCCTGAAATGCCCTACCCTAGTCATTCAAACCTCAGCTTAACTTTCAGCTCCTCAGGGATAACTTTTCTAACTACTCAATCTAAAATAACAGCACCACCCCCCGCCCTCATTCACCCTCCAACACATCCCTCTGTTATATTCTTTCATTCTCCCACATTTTACTGTCTTTTTTGTTGTTGTTGTTGTTCTTTGTCTGGCTCCCTCCACTGGAATGTCAAATCCCTGAGACCGAGGACCTTGTATATAATAACCAGTGCCTAATCACTTACCTATGTAATAAGTTTTCCAAATGATAAACACCTAAAACCTTTTGTAAAGTAAGGAAATATATTTTCAGTTTTTTAGATGACAAAACATCGGAGGAAGTTTTTGACATTTTCTCAAAAAACAGAACCATCATGGTTGGAACCAGGACTGCAAACTTGTCTTTTGAGCTCCAGTCTTGTGCTAGTTTCACCACATTTGGATGCCTTGTTTAGAAAGCTAGTTCAGGCCACTCTGAGATACATCTTTTAAAACACACAGACATTCACACAAACATACATCTTTCTTTTTAATAGTATAAAATTGCCTAAGATGAAAAAGCATTCTCAGCAGAGGGGAAAGGTCTATTTTGCACTAGTTAATATCTCAGTTAAAATATCTTCTTCTAACTAATTCTAAAGCATTGTTGTCAATATTGAGAAGTGACATCCCTGGGAAGTCCCTTAATTGCATAAAACAAAACTAAAGTGAAAAATAAAAAACAAAAACAAAACAAAATAATTTGCATTCTCAGAAATATCTTTACCACTCTATCTTTCTCTCTCCATCCATTCCCTTCTCTTATCCTGTCTTTTTTTTTTTCTAAACCTGTGTTTACGGCTTTGTGGTACAAGCATCTCTGTGGGCATTGTTTCTCTTTCTATCCATCTTTTCTCCTATTTTTTTGTGTATGCTTTTTCTCTTTTTTGCCTCTGTTCTCTCTCTTGCAATTATCTTGTATTTCTAACTTTGTATCTTTCTGGGACTGTATTATACTGCTATGCTTTCACCCAAGGAAAATGGTATATGTTAGAAGTTGCAGCACTGATCATAATAGGAAAGAAACCTGCTAAAATGTTATCTACCTCTCTTCATCTCTGTCCACTTTTAAACATCTCTGACTGCATCTCTGGCTGAGCTGGGCATAAACATGAATGAAAGCATACTTGACTGTGTATTGAATTTGCTTTATTAAATTTAAGTTTGGTATTTTAATTTTAATGTGACTCTGAGGAATGGCATCTTTCTTTATAATGTGTTACAAAAAAAACTTACATTGATTTTTTTCTTGTATGATTAGATATTTTTATGTTATATTATTTCATTAAAAACCAGAAAGCTCATTATCCTATAGCAGGGCTTAGGAACCATATATTCAAAAAAACCAATAATACAATAGAGTATTTCTTCTTTTACTTGAGGGGCACTCCCCTGGAGGAACTGGTCTACAAGATGCATAAAGTTCTTTTTATTTAAAGACAAACTTTGAAATGATAATAATTTAGATATACTGAGTTAAATGAAGCATTATTAACATTGAATTAATCATTAATCATTTTGCCTAATAAGTGTATGGGACATTCCATTATCACTGCCACTGATAAAATACCAAATTCAAAACCCTAACATGATTCAATGGGGTATTCACTGGCATGTGTTTTGAATATTTAATCTTTAAAATGTTCTTGTCTCTTTCTTTGTCTAATTCTAATTGGCAGTCTAATAATTCCCATTGGTAGAACTCTGCAGAATTCAGGTAGCGGTAAAACCCCAAAGTACATTCTCTATTGCATTAATTGTATTACAAATGAATAGAGATTTCAGAATTTATAATATTCCAACATGAGAATATATATTTAAGCACAAATTCTGAAATAATTAGCTAATCTCCCTTTTATCAGACAGAAAAGAATAGCCACTTGTTTGAGAGTAGCATTTGGCTCCCGGCAAGGTAAAATTTTTTATCATTCTTTATATTTAAATTAAATAGAGAAAAAGAAAAAAAAAGAAAAATTATACTATTTGTCTTGGTTATCTGCTGCCTTGAAATTTATGAGAACAGAATTCTGCTGCAGAAACAGAGTAAGGGTGAGTTGTAAATTCAGGTGTTCAGCACTTTTCTCAAATATACCTGTTTCTCAAATAAACCTCCTATTATCTAATACTTAGTACTATTTTAAAGGTGCTAAAATTTTTAATTCTACTATTGTTTTAAAAATAAAAATACCAATTGATTATGAAGATTCACCACCTGGATTTCAATTTGTATATAATACAAATGACTGATTTCATCTTTATCCTAAACCAAAGGTAAAGGGAGGAAGAGTGAAGGAATCACAATCAGTCAAAAAGGGCAGGCTGAGTCTCAGAGACAAACTTCATTGACTTCACAAGTTTGGAAACCTCTGGTTCCACACTCAGTTACATGTGTTTCCCCATCTGCACATGGTCCTTACATCCAGCAATATAAGGCTCAGAGTTAGCAATCCTAAAACAAGAAAGACATGATTCTCAAACATGTCTGAATTAGATAAGAAAACCTTTACTGAGACCCTTCCTAGAACCTCCACAGTTTCTTACTCTGAAATCCACTTAGATTCAAGCTGTTATCATATCCCTTGGAATTAATCCCAGGGCAGTGACAAAAGATCTATTGACATGGTATCCATTTTTTGCTAGAACGTATTTATCACTGAATGCTTCCTCTCTTCATTTACACAGATGTGGATTAGCTCCTAACCACCTAATTTGATCATCATATTCCCTCTACCCTGTGAAGTAAAAACAGCGAATATATTATTTCTCTTTAATAGATTCAAAATACAGATATTAAAAATTAAATGACTTGCCTAAGGTCATTAATTGTATTAAATAACTTGCCTAAGCTTCCTAAAATTGCAGATATGGTAACTCAGCAAGGTAAAATAATTCTCAAACCAGAGACCTATTTTAGAACACCAAAATAACTTGCCTCATTTTTATCAAGATGAGTTAAAAACAGACAAAACATGTGACAAAACCTGAAGTAATTAATGAGTGATTCAGACTCAGTAAATTTCAAAGAAGATAATATTCAGGAAGTAAGGCTTAGCACTGGGGAGCAAGGAAAGCACTTTAGGTCTGTAGAAAAAGTCATTGGAATGAAATACATAGGAAGCAACTAACTACTGTGCTCACTCTACCTTGGAACAGGTTAAGCAATTTATTATTTCAGAATCAGTAAAGGGTAGGCATTGAATATATTTAAGGAGAATATGTGTAAAGAACAAGGTGAAACTTACTTAAGACTGAAAGAATGTAGGCAAATGAGAGAAAGAAGAAAGAGAATGACAAGGAAGAGAGCAAAGAGGGAGGAAAAGCAAGGGATTAGGAAGATAAATTGCAAGAAAAAATTAAAAAGCAAGTAACAGGAAACAGAAGCTAAAAGAGAATGTAAAGAAATATTGTTGTAAATGAGTGTATGAAGACAGAATTAGCAGGAAGAGAATGGGGAAGGATGGGAAATAAGAAAGAAGCAAGATAAAGTGAATGAGGAAGGATAAGGGAGTGAGCTGCTAGGATGTTGATCAGGTCCCCAGACACTTGGCTTCAGGAGCTGGTCTGAAAACAGTCTGGAATTGAGATATGCACAGTGTTGCCTGCAGATGCTTACTGCTCTGCAGTCTGGAAGCTGTTGTGCGGGACAGTATGGGGACCCTCTCCACTTATGCATCTTCAGTGCCAAAGGAGTATGTATGTATGTACATATATGTATGTGTGTATATCTTTCTATCTATATCTATCTATCTATCTATACGTATATATATATCTGTTGAAATAATAAGGAAGGTTAGAGATGGTGACCATCATTTAGGTTTCTGTCTTGGCCTACACTGACAATGCCTCTTTGTCTTATCTGACTAGAACAAGAAGTTTGCCCCTGTGAGATCCATTGTTTGGTGCTTTTTTTTTTTCGGGAACTCATTTTGTACAGAGGAATGCCCATCTAATGCATATGTGTCCTCCATCTCTGTGACAAATACAATTTGAGAATCAACAGAACAAAAGGTACATAAATGAGGACAAAGGAAAGAAGAAAAGTGGATTAAAGATGTTGAGTAACATGGAATTTCATCTGTTAGTTAACAGAAAATAGACGGAAATAGTAGAAAATAAAAGCAAAGGAAGAGTGAGAGAGGCTGAAACTCTCAGGTGCTCCCTGTGTCTTGGAATCCTCAACCTGGAGAAGCATGAGATAACTAACTATAATTGAACATCTGGAATGAATAAAAGGTAGGACTAGGGGAGGGAGCTTCTGACTTAAGTTCTTAAGACCAGGTTTCTGTAGGCAGAGCAAGGTATAAATGTGGAAGCCAAGAGGTGTCTAAATGGGTAAAAAAGAAACAGAAATGCCTAAACTAATTTGAAGAACACCAAAATACTTTTTTCCTATTTCGGTTTTCTTAGATTCACTATGTGTGTGTTTATACAAGTGTGAATATGTATTTGGAATGCATAAATATGTACCCATGTGTTGTAAGTACTTATTCCATAGCATTTGCTGCTAGTTAACGAATGTTACTAGTCACATAAAACAAATGTTCTGATGTTTCCTAATAGTCGTGCTGTAAAATGCTAATATATTACCTACGTTTCCCCTGAATTTTCTTACGGATTTTTAAGGCTGATTTTTCTTTATTCTTTTTCTCCCTTCTCTCTTTCTAGTTCCTTTTTCTAGGGATGCCATTAGTAATTTCTGTCAAATTTCAATTAAGAATTTATCTCCTCCAGTCCTCCTCCCCTACATTCAGTAGCACTGCTTCAAAAAAAAAGTTATATTGAAATGTAATCAGCACATTATAAAATTCACCATTTAAAGTATACAAATTCAATGGTTTTAAGTATGTTTACAGAGTTTGTGCAAGCATCAACATGTTATAGCATGCATCAGTACTTCCTTTTTATTGTCACATTGCATGATATTGTATCCACAGCACTTTTGAAAATAAATATTGTATGTAGTCAAAAGTCAAGGGTAACATTTGTACATATCACATTATAGCATTTTGTTTTCATTAATAATATTTCATCTTTGAAATCATTCATTGCAATAGTGAAACATGCATGGTATCATCGTATGTGAGTATTTATTTATAAAACATTTTATAATAATCTCAACACGATCATTAAAATACAATCACAAATATATATATATATTTTTTTTTGAGATGGAGTCTCGCTCTGTTGCCCAGGCTGGAGTACAGTGGTGCGATCTCAGCTCACTGCAAGCTCCGCCTCCTGGGTTCACACCATTCTCCTGCCTCAGCCTCCTGAGTAGCTGGGACTACAAGCACCAGCCACCACACCCAGCTAATTTTGTTTTTGTATTTTTAGTAGAGATGGGGTTTCACCATGTTAGCCAGGATGGTCTCGATCTCCTGACCTTGTGATCTGCCCTCCTCGGTCTCCCAAAGTGCTGGGATTACAGGTGTGAACAAATACATTTTTAAAAACATAGCTTATAATAATATGCAGAGAAGTTCCATTATTTTTATGCATCCCAATGGATTATCTTGTGCACCTCCTTGGGTGAACACATCTAATTTTGGAGATTAGTATACAGACTAAACCTTAATTCCAGATTTCTCTGACATGAATAGAATACTTATTTAGACAAAGCTATGGCCAGAAAAGGGGGAATATTTAGACATGCAGCATCATATTTACTTAAGTGCCTAAATAAAATATTGCCAATTGATGAGACATAAATAATTCCCTAAAAAGTGTAAACTGAGGAATAAATACCTGCTTTCCTCTATCACTTGATAATGAGAGAAAAGAAAACTCATTGCAAGTTTAAAACTTCTCTGCAATTGCATTTTTTCAACTCTCAAATGAGTACATCAGATTATATGTTCTGTATGGCCAATTCCAGCTCTATTATATTTTAATTTTATTAGCCGAGATAGTCAAAATCTTTTACATATTCTGATAAATTTTGTATTATGCAAAAATGTTTGTGAAAAGAATATCATTTGGCTCTCACTCTGAGATCTGAAGAAGAAGTAGGTTATAGATATATAGAGAGCAGATGAAACTGAATTAGTATTAACTAGAACTTAAGAACAGGTTGTAGAGCAGATTCAGAGTGGTACTCAGCCAAGGCTTTAACTAGGGAATTCCTCTAAGTTAAGAGAAATATACAGATCTTGCTTGCTATCTTGGTGATCAGTTTGAAGTAAGAATACACAAGAGCACCAAAGCACAACAATGTGATGGGAATAAGCAAGGAACAAATTTAGAAACCAGTCATATAGGTAACAACCAGGAACCAAGAATTCCATAGGAACTGGTGGCAGAAGCAACTGTGAAAGCACTTTATTCTGTGACAGGAAGAAAGGGAACTAAAACCTAGCAACTAATCTAACATTTAGAGACAGTGGACCACCACTAACAGCAACAAAAACAAACAAAACAGACAAACTTGATCATGCTTAAGTTATGCTTTAATAAGACAACTTCTAATATTCTTCAAGCAAAGTAGCCTGGAATCCTACAGGAGTGAAGTTACCTAGAAGCCTGAGGTTAAATGGGCATGGAAATGTGGCTACCTAAAAACGTATTTTATTTTAGTGAGGAATAAAGAGGATGAAGAATAGAAGGGTTAACTCAGGATACAAGACATAAGTTGTCTTCAGCTACGGAACATTGGTTGGGACAAATAATGTTCTTATCTGGAGAGGAGATAGAAAACAGATGAAAAGGTGGTTATAACAGATAACAATTTGCCCTATTTTATTCTGCAGAGTGAGAAATTATGGAAACACAGAACCTCACAGTGGTGACAGAATTCATTCTTCTTGGTCTGACCCAGTCTCAAGATGCTCAACTTCTGGTCTTTGTGCTAGTCTTAATTTTCTACCTTATCATCCTCCCTGGAAATTTCCTCATCATTTTCACCATAAAGTCAGACCCTGGGCTCACAGCCCCCCTCTATTTCTTTCTGGGCAACTTGGCCTTACTGGATGCATCCTACTCCTTCATTGTGGTTCCCAGGATGTTGGTGGACTTCCTCTCTGAGAAGAAGGTAATCTCCTATAGAAGCTGCATCACTCAGCTCTTTTTCTTGCATTTTCTTGGAGCGGGAGAGATGTTCCTCCTCGTTGTGATGGCCTTTGACCGCTACATCGCCATCTGCCGGCCTTTACACTATTCAACCATCATGAACCCTAGAGCCTGCTATGCATTATCGTTGGTTCTGTGGCTTGGGGGCTTTATCCATTCCATTGTACAAGTAGCCCTTATCCTGCACTTGCCTTTCTGTGGCCCAAACCAGCTCGATAACTTCTTCTGTGATGTTCCACAGGTCATCAAGCTGGCCTGCACCAATACCTTTGTGGTGGAGCTTCTGATGGTCTCCAACAGTGGCCTGCTCAGCCTCCTGTGCTTCCTGGGCCTTCTGGCCTCCTATGCAGTCATCCTCTGTCGTATAAGGGAGCACTCCTCTGAAGGAAAGAGCAAGGCTATTTCCACATGCACCACCCATATTATCATTATATTTCTCATGTTTGGACCTGCTATTTTCATCTACACTTGCCCCTTCCAGGCTTTCCCAGCTGACAAGGTAGTTTCTCTTTTCCATACTGTCATCTTTCCTTTGATGAACCCTGTTATTTATACGCTTCGCAACCAGGAGGTGAAAGCTTCCATGAGGAAGTTGTTAAGTCAACATATGTTTTGCTGAATAGAAGAAAGAGAAAAGCAAGAACGGAGAAAGTCCAGTTGAATTTAGCTAAATCATTTCCTCATTCATGCATTGAATCAGTCAGTCATTTAGCAAGTATTATAATTATTAAGTACTTCCCATTTTCAGGCACTATTCCAGGCATATGAATGAGACAGGTAAGATTCCAGGTCTCCTAGATTTATATTCAAGGGGATAAATACAGGTTATTAGATTTATTCAAGGGGATAAATACAGTTTATTAAATTTGAAAAACAACTATAGTTTCAGAAAGAAACAGTGTTCTGTAGCAAGCAGAAAGTGGTATTATGCTAGAGATTAGCTGGGGAGGTGGTAATTACCTTACTTTTGGTTGTTAAGTGAGGCCTCAAGTGGTGTTTAGCTGAAACCAATATGATTCGAAAGAAACAACCATGCAAATATCTGGGGACAGAAATTCTAGGCAAAAAGGCTGACTAGTACAAGAATCCAAAGATCTTATGAGCTTGTTATATTTGATGACCATAAAAAGGAAGAGAACAGCTGTACTATATTTAGTGAATGTGAAAATGGCAAAAATTGAAGTCAAAGAATTTGGTAGGGGCAAAATTATGTAGAGCATTTTAGTCAATAAGAAGTTCAATTTATTCAGATTTCAAAAGGAGATTCTTGAAAGACAATAAGCAGGAGAGTAACTCTTTAATGTTTCCTATTTGACTTAAGGGAAGATCCTCAAGATTCTGATTACAGAACTATGAGTAGTAAAATATCATTAAGTGGAAAGTGCGTGCTGCTAAGTATTTTTTATTTATGTCAACACTTAAAAGGTCTAGTTACTTTTTCTAATTTGATAGAGAGAGAAAATTAAAACTGTTATATTTTATCAGAAACTGTGAAAAGACAATTTAGCTATATATTTCAAAGTTTTGCAGAGATTTCTGCTTATTCCTAATGGGTAATTTTTAAACATTAGATAAAAACTTGAGTTCACTTACAAATTATTTCACCCTGAATGCAATGATCAATAGTTATATGTAATACAAGTTATTATTTAGATAACTAAACCACTCTGATTATTTGAATAAGCATATATAAGGCATTAGATACTTACAAATCATTGAAGAACTATAAGACCAGGCTGTAGACCTGGCTTACTAAAATAAATTTCTAAACATTACCAATAAATTGGTCTATATAAGGAGTAACTGTCCCCACAGCGATTATGAATGTAGGGAACACAGAAATCATTTTTTAACTGCCAGTTCCACGATTACAGCATTTGAAGGCACAAAATACTCAGTATTGCTCTAGTCCTATTAGACACCCCTACACAAAATGGAAACCTTACATTTTGTAATCTCTATTACCACTTCCTTCATTTCATTTTTTAAATTTACTTTTAAAACTATTAGTATTATTATTAAAGCCTACATAACTCAGTGGTCTCTCATCCAAGTATTAACCAGACCCAATCCTGCTTAGCTTCTGAGATCAGACATGATCAGGCACATTCACTTCCTTCACTTCTAAATTTTAATCTTTCATAAGTGAATTAGAAGTCCTGAGAATATATCAGAGACTGATTTTAAACCTGGCAATCTACGAATGAGCCAGAGATTGACTGAGTCCTATGAAACCTGAAAATCAGCTTCAACTCCACAAAACCTTTATTTAAATTAAGGCGCGGCTTCTTAACTTCGGCACGATTGGCGTTTTGGACAAAATAATTATTTGTTGTAAGAGGCTGCCCCGTGCATTGTAGGTTGTTTAGTAGCATTCCTGACCTCTACTTACTAGGTGCCAGGAGCATTTTCTTAGTGTAACAACCAAAAATATTTCTACATATTGCCAAATGTTCCCTAAAAGGTAAATTTTTTTTTTAATTATACTTTAAGTTTTAGGGTACATGTGCACATTGTGCAGGTTAGTTACATATGTATACATGTGCCATGCTGGTGCGCTGCACCCACTAACTCGTCATCTAGCATTAGGTATATCTCCCAATGCTATCCCTCCCCCCTCCCCCCTCCCCACCACAGTCCCCAGAGTGTGATATTCCCCTTCCTGTGTCCATGTGATCTCATTGTTCAATTCCCACCTATGAGTGAGAATATGCGGTGTTTGGTTTTTTGTTCTTGCAATAGTTTACTGAGAATGATGGTAAATTTTTTACAATGAGAAACACAGCATTAAGGGGATTTACTTCTGTGTCCATCTTGTAATGAGGTGTGTGAACTTTCTTTGCAGGAAGTAACATGAACTGGAGCATATACAACCTATCATTTTTAATAAACAATATCCATAATTTAATAAAAATCATAAGAAACACCAGAAGAGTGAAAAATTTTTCGAAATAAAGAAAAAAAGATAAATAATTGGAATATAATCAGAGTCTACCCAGAGTATGAAAGTGAATAACCGTAACATTATAATCATCATGACTAGTATGTTCAAGACAGTAGAAGAAAAGGTGTAATAAATAGATAAAAGGATAGCAAATTTCACCAATTAAAATCCATAAAGAGAAGTAAATGAAAATTGTAGAACTAAAAAATTTTGAAATTAAAAATTCATTAGATGAGTTTAAAATCAGATTAAACACAGGAGAAGACTACAGAGTGTGCTGGAAGTTAAATCGATAAAAATACTAAAATTAAGAATGCAAATAGGAAAAATGGAAAAATACAAGAAAAAGTATTAGAGATGTGTCAGATGCAGTGAAATCTCATATATATATGTATTTCAATTACATATATATGTAATTATATATATAATTGAAGTCCAAGTGGATAGGCAAACAAGAGAATGAGAAAGGTGAAATATTTGAGGAAAGAATTACCAATAACTTTTAAAACCTGATAAAAGACAATAAGCCACAGGAAAAAAATACACGGTGAACCACAAGCAGAATAAACAACAATGAAAAAGACCTAAACACATCAACGTGTGACAATAAAAATTAAAAACAGAGAATCTTAGCAGCTGGGATGAGAGGCTGTCCTTTAGTTTAAAGGGAACTGATAAATTTCTTCATAAAAGAAACACAGAAGCCAGAGAAAAATGGAAAAACATCTTTAAATTGATGAAAGAAGATAATATCAACCTAAATGTCTATGTGAGATAAAGTAAATCATTTAAGTAAAGATGAGATAAAGCATCTTATGACAAAAATGAGAGAATCTGTTGCCTAAGAACTTCTAATAAATAAATATTAATAGCAGTTCTTCAAATAAAAGAATCCTGGAGAAAAACACTAAATTAAAGGAAAAAATAAAGAAGTAGACTGGCAAATAAGTTGGCATATGTAAATAAGTATACACTGAATATTGACTATACAAGCAATAGTATGATGTCTTACGTAATTTGCTATAGATAGATACATATATACACATATATAAGAATATTAGAAGTTTGTCTTTCTGTACCTGACTTATTTCACTTGGCATAATGACCTCCAATTCCATCTATGTTTTGGCAAATAATAGGATCTCATTCTCTTTTATGGCTGAATGGCACTCCATTGTGTATAGGTACCATATTTTCTTTATCCATTTGTCTGTTAATAGACACTTAGGTTGATTCCAAATATTGGCAACTGTGAATAGTACTGCAATAAATATGGGAGTGGAGATATCTTTTGATATACTGTTTTTTTTTCTCTAGGGTATATACTTAGGAGTGGGATTGCTGAATTGCAAGGTAACTCTATTTGTAGTTTTTTGAGGAACCTTCAAACTGTTCTCCCTAGAGGCTGTACTAATTTACATTCCCATCAAGTGTTCTCCACATCCCCACCAATATTTGTTATTTGATTTTCATCTCTCTGATGATCAATGATGTTGCATACCTTTTCATATACCTGTTTGCCATTTTTATGCCTTCTTTTGAGAAATGTCTATACAAATGTTTTGCCCATATTTTGATTGGATTAATAGATTTTTTCCTATAGAGTTGTTTGAGCTCCTTGTATATTCTGGTTTTTAATCCCTTGTCAGATGGGCACTTTGCATATATTTTCTCCCTTTCTCTGGTTCAATCTTGATAGGTTGTATGTGTCTAGGAATTTATTCATTTCTTCTAGATTTTCCAATTTATTAGCATATAGTTGCTCATAGTAGCCATTAATGATCCTTTGAATGTCTGTAGTATCAGTTATAATGTCTCCTTTTTCATCTCTAATTTGAATTATTTCAGTCTTCTCTTTGTTAATCTGGCTAAAGTTTTGTTGATTTTGTTTATCTTTTCAAAAAAGTCAACTTTTTGTTTCATTCATTTTTTGTATTGTTTTCTTCATTTCAATTTCATTTATTTCTGCTCTACTCTTTATTATTTCTTTTCTTTTGCTAATTTTGGTTTTGGCTTGCTCTTGCCTTTCTAGTTCTTTAAGATAAATCATTAGGTTGCTTATTTGAAGGTTTTTTTTCTTTTTAAAGGAAGCATTTGTAGTTATAAACTTCCCTCTTTGTTCTGCTTTTGCTATATCCCATAGGTTTTGGTAGGTTGTTTTTCATTTATCATTTGTTTTAAGGAATTTCTTGATTTCCTTCTTAATTTCTTCACTGACCCACTAGTCATTCAGGAGCATATTGTTTTATTTCTTCCAACTTGGAGCTCCACTCCATCTGTAGTGGCCATCTTCCTGAGTTGTCATGGCCAATCAGATGCTGAAGCAAATGCTTTTAAACTATCAGGGTTACATTGGTGCAGCCCTAGTTTTAAGGAGATTGAGAGTTTTTACTGGACCTCACCTCTACAGCATCTATCCTCATGAATAAACTGATAACTTGCCTCATCACCATGGATGCTTAGCAGCAAAGGCTGTATTTGAAGATATTCTAGGCCAGATATGGGAGAAGAGGAAGCAAAGAAGATGGTAAGTGAAGCCACTGCAGCTGGCTTCTTCAACAACCTGGGCTCTGGAAGCCACATTGATCTCAGCATTATAGGCAAGAGAAAGGTAGATTTTCTTGGCCGATTCACAGTGCCCAAAAAGAAGGGGACTAGATTTGGCAGGTACAGGTGTGAGAAAAGGGACCACTGCAGTCCTCACCAAAGAAGCCACTACTTTTTCGAGGCGTTGGAATAAAAGTCCAACCAATGGACACTTTCTGAATGGTGTCAGTGGGTGGCTGGCTATTGCTGTAGAAGATGGCAGCCATTGGAGGCCCTCCTGCAAGACATTTATTTGGCTATGTTTGCTGAATGAAACTCAATAAAAAATGAAAACAAAAGAAAAGAATGAATAAAACCTAGTATTTATTTTATAGCACAACAGGATAAATATAGAGCTTATCCACTGATGGTGGGAATGTAAATTAGTTCAGCGAATGTGAAAAGCACTTTGGCAATTTCTGAAAGTTAAAACAGAATTACCATTTGACCCAGCAATTCCATTATTGGGTATATACCCAAAGGAATATAAATTGTCCTACCATAATGACACATGCACGCATGTGTTCTTCACCTCACTATTCAAAATAGCAAAGACATGAAATCAACCTCATCTCCCATCAATGGTACAATAGACAAAGAAAATGTGGTACATATATACCATGGAATACTATGCAGCCATAAAAAGGAATGAGATCATGTCCTTTGCAGCAACCTGAATAGAGCTGGAGGCCATTATCCTAAGCAAACAAATGCAGGAACAGAAAACCAAATGCTTACAAGTGGAAATACAAATACTCACTTCTAAGTGGAAGCTAAATATTAAGTACATATGGACACAAAGAATGGAACAACAGACCTTGGGGTCTACTTGAGGATGGAGGGTGGGAGGAGGGTAAAAATAGAAAAACTACTTACCAGGTACTATGCTTATTACCTGGGTGATGAAATAATTTGCACACCAAATCCCCGTGTCATGCAATTTACCTACATAGCAAACCTGCACATGTACCCCTGAATCTAAAATAATAATAATTATACATTTTAAAATAACTAAAAAAGTATAATTGGATGTTTGTGACACAAAGAATAAGTTCTTGAGGAGATACATATGCCATTTTCCATGATGTGACTATTGCGTATTGCATGTATGTAACAAAGCATCTTATGTGCCACATTAATACATGCACCTACTATGTACCCACAAAAATTAAAAATAAAAAAGTTCTTAAAGTAAAATAAAATGAATTTTATAAAAATTAGGTGGAAAATATGAAAATCATTATATCAATGTGAATTGAGAGTCTGGATAATAATCCAACAATTTGGGCTGAATAAATCATTCTCAGAGAAGGGAGATCCAGGTATGCTTAAATTATTCTGCTATACTGATTGGACCAAATGATTTTATTTGAATGATCACATAACATAGAGAAAGTAGCTTAGTTCCTTTTACGGATGAAATTACTTTAAGAGGAATAAATAATAGGACTACAAAAATAAAATGCTAGATTCATGGCTTGGAACATAATAGTATGTTACCATATCAATGTTACCATTGCACTTGTTAAGAATTATAGGGAGGAAAATATGAGGAAATTTAAGTTCACTATGATAACAGTCCAAAAATGGTCAAATATTTGCACACTCATTAAGCAGTAAAGATCAGGAGAGAAATAGTTTTGCTGAGCACTGTATCTTTGCCAGATCCATGTGCAGTTGCAAATGAACTTACTTGCATACTTCACAGAAACACAAAAGACCCAGATGCTGAAGTTGAGATAGAGTAATTGTGTTATTGTAAGAGTATACAGCACAGTGAAGGAGTAGACTTACAGCTATGGATGAGAAGTATTAAGATTTCTATCTTCAAATTCTATTACCTTTTGAAAGAAACAGGTTTTCATGCTACTCTGAATAATGCTTTCAAATATAATGGTTAGAATATAAGGCACTTATGACTAAATGCTTATATTAGTGATATTAACTATGCATAGAAAAGTGCATGTAATTAAATCTTCACTATGATACTAGATATTATTTTTAAAATTTAAGCTGTCAATATCATACTGAATGGGCAAAAACTGGAAGCATTCCCTTTGAAAACTGGCACAAGACAGGGATGCCCTCTCTCACCACTCCTATTAAACATAGTGTTGGAAGTTCTGGCCAGGGCAATTAGGCAGGAGAAGGAAATAAAGGGTATTCAATTAGGAAAAGAGGAAGTCAAATTGTCCCTGTTTGCAGACGACATGATTGTATATCTAGAAAACCCCATTGTCTCAGCCCAAAATCTCCTTAAACTGATAAGCAACTTCAGCAAAGTCTCAGGATACAAAATCAATGTACAAAAATCACAAGCATTCTTATACACCAAGAACAGACAAACAGAGAGCCAAATCATGAGTGAATTCCCATTCACAATTGCTTCAAAGAGAATAAAATACCTAGGAATCCACCTTACAAGGAACGTGAAGGACCTCTTCAAGGAGAACTACAAACCACTCCTCAAGGAAATAAAAGAGGATAAAAACAAATGGAAGAACATTCCATGCTCATGGGTAGGAAGAATCAATATCGTGAAAATGGCCATACTGCCCAAGGTAATTTATAGATTCAATGCCATCCCCATCAAGCTACCAATGACTTTCTTTACAGAATTGGAAAAAACTAGTTTAAAGTTCATATGGAACCAAAAAAGAGCCCACATTGCCAAGTCAATCCTAAGCCAAAAGAACAAAGCTGGAGGCATCACACTACCTGACTTCAAACTATACTACAAGGCTACAGTAACCAAAACAGCATGGTACTGGTACCAAAACAGAGATACAGATCAATGGAACAGAACAGAGCCCTCAGATATAACGCCATATATCTACAACTATCAGATCTTTGACAAACCTGAGAAAAACAAGCAATGGGGAAAGGATTCCCTATTTAATAAATGGTGCTGGGAAAACTGGCTAGCCATATGGAGAAAGCTGAAACTGGATCCCTTCCTTACACCTTATACAAAAATCAATTCAAGATGGATTAAAGACCTAAACGTTAGACCTAAAACCATTAAAACCCTAGAAGAAAACCTAGGCATTACCATTCAGGACATAGGCATGGGCAAGGACTTCATGTCTAAAACACCAAAAGCAATGGCAACAAAAGACAAAATTGACAAATGGGATCTGATTAAACTAAAGAGCTTCTGCACAGCAAAAGAAACTACCATCAGAGTGAACAGGCAACCCACAAAATGGGAGAAAATTTTCGCAACCTACTCATCTGACAAAGCGTTAATATCCAGAAGCTACAATGAACTCAAACAAATTTACAAGAGAAAAACAAACAACCCCATCAAAAAGTGGGCAAAGGACATGAACAGACACTTCTCAAAAGAAGACATTTATGCAGCCAAAAAACACATCAAAAAATGCTCACCATCACTGGCCATCAGAGAAATGCAAATCAAAACCACAATGAGATACCATCTCACACCAGTTAGAATGGCAATCATTAAAAAGTCAGGAAACAACAGGTGCTGGAGAGGATGTGGAGAAATAGGAACACTTTTACACTGTTGGTGGGACTGTAAACTAGTTCAACCATTGTGGAAGTCAGTGTGGCGATTCCTCAGGGATCTAGAACTAGAAATACCATTTGACCCAGCCATCCCATTACTGGGTATATACCCAAAGGACTATAAATCATGCTGCTATAAAGACACATGCACATGTATGTTTATTGCGGCACTATTCACAATAGCAAAGACTTGGAACCAACCCAAATGTCCAACAATGATAGACTGGATTAAGAAAATGTGGCACATATACACCATGGAATACTGTGCAGCCATAAAAAATGATGAGTTCATGTCCTTTGTAGGGACATGGATGAAACTGGAAATCATCTTTCTCAGTAAACTATCGCAAGAACAAAAAACCAAACACCGCATATTCTCACTCATAGGTGGGAATTGAACAATGAGAACACGTGGACACAGGAAGGGGAACATCACACTCTGGGGACTGTTGTGGGGTGGCGGGAGGTGGGAGGGATAGCATTGGGAGATATATCTAATGCTAGATGACGAGTTAGTGGGTGCAGTGCACCAGTATGGCACATGTATACATATGTAACTAACCTGCACAATGTGCACATGTACCCTAAAACTTAAAGTATAATAATAAAAAAAAATAAAAAATAAATAAATAAATAAAATAAAATAATAAAATTTAAGCTGTGTGGTTAAAAGGTTAAAATGTACAGAAAATATCACATATATTTGATTTTTCCCAAGATAATTTATATTAGGTTTGAATCTAGGCTCTGATAAAGACAAGAAAAGACATGGTGAGTAGCAACACATCTGGAATGAGACTTGGAAAATAGAGCAACCATTAGCCAAACAGAGGAGGCACTGAACTAAGTACATTTATGTATATTGTGCACTGACCTTTTCCCTTGAAATATGTGTATATTTTCTTTTGATTTTATTCAGCTTCACTGAGTCCACGTCAGTCAGTAACACAGTATTTGTGGCTTATATCCATACTGGAAAAAGTCAAATGAACATTAAATAAAATTATTGTGAGGAAACTAGGTTTAAAGAAGACAAGTAACCCACAGACATTCCACTGGTCAAACAAAACATCACACTTTTTCTTTTTCTTTTTTTTTTTTAAGTTTGGATTAGCAAAGTAAAATGATTCACCTCATTCCTTACACCTCTTTGGGAGAGAAAAGTGAAACAATACTATAATGAATCCTAGTTTTAACAGGATCATTATACAAAGTGTATTTTAACCTGCATTTTTTTCACTTAGAAGAATGAGCATTTTCCACATTCTTAAACAGTTTTCTCAAACATCATTTTATTCATTGTGCAATATTACATCCTAGGATGTTCTATAATTTAAGAAAGTAAATGCAAATTGTAAATATTTAAACTGCTTCTTTTTTTAAATTTGTGTAACTTTTATATTTTATTTTTATTGATATATGATAGTTGTACATATTTATACCATACATGTGATATTTTGATTGCATACAATGTGTAATAACTAAAACAGGGTAATTTAGATATCCACTACCTCAAACATTTTTCATTTCTTTGTGTTGGAAACATTCCAAATCCTCTCTTCTGACTATTTGGAAAAATACTCTAAATTAATGTTAACTGTAGTTGCCCTAGAAATATACTATAAATTAATGTTAATTATAGAACTTATTCCTTCTATCTAACTGCATTTTTGTATCCATGAGTCAACGTCTCTTTACACCCCCTGCCCCACTATGCTTTCCACCCTATGGTAACCAGCATTCCACTCTCTACCTCCATGAAATCAACTTTTTTATCTCCCACTTATAAGTGAGAACTTATTATATTTATCTTTCTGTCCCTGGCCTATATCATCTAACATAATGACCTCCAGTTTCATCCATGTTGCTGCCAATGACAGGACCTTGTTATTTTTATGGCTGAATAATATTCCATTGTGTAGGTTTACCACATTTTCTTTATCCATTTTTATATACACAGTAATGTTACCATGAAGATTTTATAACACATGCATAATCATTTCCTTCTGATAGTTATGAGAGCTGAAAGATCTGTCTCAAAGGTTCTGCACATTTTAAAGTTATTTTTTCTTTTATTTAACTTTTAAGTTCAGGGGTACATCTGCAGGTTTGTTATATAGGTAAACTTGTGTCATGGAGGTTTGTTATATTGATTATTTCATCATCCAGGTATTAAGCTTAGAATCCATTACTTATTTTTCATGATCCTCTCCCTCGTCCCATCCTCCATCCTTTGATAAGCCCCATTGTCTGTTGTTCCCCTCTATGTCTGTGTCATTTAGCTGCCACTTACAAGTGAGAACATATGGTATGTAGTTTTCTGTTCCTGCATTAGTTTGCTAAGGATAATAGCCTCCAGCTCCATCCATATTTCTGCAAAGGAGTATTTATATTTCCACTCATAAGTATTGGTTTTCTATTCCTGTGTTAGTTTGCTTAGGATAATGGCCTCCAGCTCCATTCAGGTTGCTGCAAAGTATATGATCTCATTCTTTATTTTATGGCTGCATTGTATTTCATGGAGTATATGTACCACATTTTCTTTATCCAGTCTCCCATTGATGGCATTTAGGTTGAATCTATGTCTTTGCTATTGTGAATAGTGCTTCAATGAACATACGCGTGCATGTGCCTTTATGGTGGAACAATTTATATTCCTTTGGGTGTATACCCAGTAATGGGATTGCTGGGTTAAATGGTAGCTCTATTCTTACGTCTCTGAGGAATTGCCACAGTTTTCCATAAAGGTTGCACTAATTTACACTTCACTGGTACAAAAAAGGATGCATAGACCAATGGAACAGAATAGAGAGCCCAGAAATATGGCTGCATACCTACAATAATCTCATCTTTGATGAAGTTGACAAAAGTAATGGGGAAAGGATTCCTAATCAATAAATGGTGCTGGGATAACTTGCTAGCCATATGCAGAAGATTGAAACTGGACCTCTTCCTTACACCATATACAAAAATTAACTCAAGATGTATTAAAGACTCAAATGTAAAACCAAAAACTATAAAAACTCTGTAAGACAACCAGGCAATACCATTCAGGACATGGGAACAAATATTTCATGACAAAGACACCAAAAGCAAAAATTGACAAATGGGATCTAATAAAACTAAAGAGCTTCTGCACAGCAAAAGAAACTATCAAGAGAGTAAACAGCCAACCCACAGAATTGGAGAAAACTTTTACAAACTATATCTGACAAAGGTCTAATATCCACATCTATAAGAAATATAAACAAACTTACAAGAAAAAAATAACCCCATTAAAAATTGGGCAAATGACATGAACAGACACTTTTCAAAAGAAGACATACATGTGGCCAACAAATATATGAAAAAAAAAACTCAACTTCACTGATCATTAGAGAAATGCAAATCAAAACCACAATGAGATACCATCTCTCACCAGTCAGATGGCTATTATTAAAAAGTAAAAAAATAACAGATGCTGGCAAGGTTGTGGAGAAAAAGGAATGCTTATACAAAGTTTTTGAAAGACAGACAACTGAAAACATTTTAGAGCCTAAGATACTTTCAGAGGAGAGCAGGTACAAAAAGGTGACCAAGTGACATGAGCATTTGAGAGCAAACAGTGTGGCAGGCACCTAGAGTAAATAATATGTAATAAGAAAGAAAACACTACTTAAAAAGAGGTGAACTATTCTTCAGAGAGAAAGTTTTAGACAGCAATTTGTCAAATACACTGTATCTCATATTTATATTTGAGTTGATAAAAGTTAAAATCAAATTAGCTAATAAATAACAAAACCCTGAAATGGGGCTAGAATAATGGATCCATAAACAATGATGATAGATATATTAATAATAGATTCATTAAGTACTGGGCCTGAGAAACCACTGAGAGTTGGAGCTCAACCACCTTATTTTACCAATGAAGAAACTGAACCCAGAGGAAAAGATAAGGCAGCTATTGGAGATAAAGCTGGTTCCAGTATCAGTCTGCCATCTTCATTTCAACATTCTTTTCAAATATCATGCTGATCCTTTTTTAAAAAAAAAATTTATTTTAGGTTCAGGGGTACATGCACAGGTTCGTGATACAGGTAAACTTGGGGATTTGTTGTACAGACAATGTTGTGACCCAGGTACTAAGCCTAGTATCCAATAGTTATTTTTTCCTGCTCCTCTCCCTACTCCCACCCTACTACTACCCTCTGGTAGGCCCCAGTGTCTGCTGTTCCCCACTTTGTGTGCACATGTTTGCCTTAAGTTCATAGAATTCAGAGAAGGATAAAGATCATGACTATCCATATGACATCTCTTGGTTCATATTAACTAACTAGAGTGACATTTCTAGACTGTGGACTCCAATTATCACTAGATCAGTGTTATTTCCATGAATATGAATGTAGGTCTGTTGAAGACTATAGCTAATGTATGAATTACAAAACCAAGTTTACTCAAAGTATACAATTTTATAAAGACAAGTGAGATGCGACATGGGAGCTAAAAGCAGAAAGCAAGATATTTAGATGTCACGAGAAATGTCACTTGTACTCACAGTGTATTTCTTGCTTCCTCTAGAATATGCAGTCAAGGTTAGAATGTGATGGGGCTAGTCAGTGTCTCAAAATATTGATTCCTGCTACTTAAACACAGCTGCCTTTGCAACTTATGGGCCTTGTAAAAGCATTTCTAGAAATGTGGGTTTCTGCCACAGCAAGCCATGGGTAATGACAGTCACATTAGAGAACAGTCATCTCTGCCAGAAAGCTCTGGAAGTTCAGGAGGGAAACTACAGCAGTCTCTTTCACTGCAAACTTTACTGCATCACTTATCCAGACCAGTTTTATATCTGCTGGATCACAGCTCCTTCAAAACCCTGGGGCTGATTTGATATGGAAACACAATTTCTTAAGGTAGTAGTAGGAAGACAGTATCTCCAAGCTTCACTCAAATTTGAACTAGAAAGAGGTTGTGAGGAGCCCCTCTGTCATCCAAGGAATTCGGACTAAGGCATCTCACTGCCAACAAACAGTAACCTCCCAAAGATGATCAATTCTTCTTTGACCTACAAAGACAGAGCGTACATCTCTGAGCTCATGATTTGCAGGGGAACCTAGTGACATGAACATGTATTGCTTAAGAGTAGAACCATCCCAAATGTCCAACAATGATAGACTGGATTAAGAAAATGTGGCACGTATACACCATGGAATACTATGCAGCCATAAAAAATGATGACTTCATGTCCTTTGTAGGGACATGGATGAAGCTGGAAACCATCATTCTCAGCAAACTATCACAAGGACAAAAAACCAAACACCGTATGTTCTCACTCATAGGTGGGAATTGAACAATGAGAACACATGGACACAGGAAGGGGAACATCACACACTGGGGACTGTTGTGGGGTGGGGGGAGGGGGGAGGGATAGCATCAGGAGATATACCTAATGCTAAATGATGAGTTAATGGGTGCAGCACACCAACAAGGCACATGCATACATATGTAACAAACCTGCACGTTGTGCACATGTACCCTAAAACTTAAAGTATAATAATAAAAAAAAACTAAAAATTTTTGCACATCAAAAGACAATCAAGAAAGGCAAAAGATAACCCACAGATGGGAGAACATATTTATAAGTAATGTATCTTGATAAGTGTCTTGTAGCCGGTTGAATGGTACCCATCAAAAAGATATGTCCATGTCCTCACTTTCTAAACTGTGAATGTGACCTTGTTGAGAAAAATGATATTTGCAGATGTAATTAAGAATCTTTAGGTGATCATCCTGGAGAACTTGAGAGGGCTCTAAATCCAATGACAAGTGTCCTTATAAGAGAAAGAAGAGAAGACAATAATACAGAGAAGAAGGTCATGTACAGCTGGTGGCAGAAGTTGAATTTATGCAACCACAAGCCAAGGAATATCTGGACTCGCCAGAAGCTTCACGTGGCAAGGAAGAACTTTTCCAAGAACCTTTGAAGGGAGCCTGGCCCTGTCAACACCAGACTTCTAGCCTCCAGAAATGGGAAATAAGGAATTTCTGTTGTTTAAAGCCGCCAAGTTTGTGGCAATTTGTTATGGCACCCCTAGAAAACCAGCACAGGCTAATATGTAGACTATATAAAGAACCCTTACAATTCAACAATAAAAAGACAACCCATGAAAAATGAGCCAAATGTTTGAATAGAGATTTCTCTGAAAAAGATATACAAATTGCCAACTAAGAAGCACATGAAGAGATGTTCAACATCATTAGTCATATGGGAAACTTATATAAAAACCACAATGAGATGCCACTTTATATCCACTAATCGGCCATAATTAAAAATAAGAAATAATAAAATAAAATAAGTATTGGTGAGAGTGTGAAGAAATAGGAGTGCTACCTTACCTGCTGCAGGTAAGAATGTAACATTCTGCAGCCACTAAGGAAAACAGATTGGCAGTTCCTCATTTTTAAACATAAAGTTACTATATGATCCAGCAGTTCAACTAGTATGTATATACCCAAGAGAATTGAAAACAGGTGCTCAAAAAATTGTTCACATAAATATTTTTAGAACTATTCACAATAGCCAAAGGTAGAACATCAGCTGATAATTGGATAAACAAAAAGTGGTATATTCATATGATATAATACTATTAAGTCATAAAAAAATGAATGAAGTTCTGACACGCTACAATATGGATGAATCGTCAAAAGATTATGCTAAGTGAAAGAAACAAGACATGAAAAAGGCCACATATGATTCTATTTATGTAAAATGTCCAGGCAGAAAATGGACTAGTAGTATCACTCCACCTATTGAAGGATCTTGGTTGTTTCCAAGATCCAGTAATTATGAATGATGGATCATTCAAAATTGAATGATTTACACATTTGTATGCAGGTTTTTCTGTTGACACAAGTATTCAGCTCATTTAGGTGAATACCAAGGGGCATAACTGCTGGATCTTATTGTAAGAATATGTTTGGTTTAATGAGAAACTGCTGAACTGTCTTCCAAAGTGGTTGTACCATTTTGCATTTCCATCAGTAGCAAATGAGAGTTCTTATTGCTCTACATCCTTGCCAGCATTTGGTGCTGTCACTGTTATGTTCTGGCTGTTCTAATAGGTATGTAGTGGCATCTCTTAATTTGCAATCTGCTAATGATTTATATCTTCCAAAGTGGTTGTACCATTGTGCATTTCCATTTGTAGTGAATGAGAGTTTCTATTGTTCCACAACCTTGCCAGCATTTGGCTCTGTCACTCTTATGTGTTTTCATGTGTTTTGGCTATTCTAATAGATATGTAGTGGTATCTCTTAATTTGCAATTTCCAAATGATTTATGTTGTTGAGCATCTTCTCATATCCTTATTTACTATCTATATGTCTTCTTTAGTGAGTATTCTAGTCAGGTCAGGTCACTCATTTTCTCATTGTTGAGTTTTAGGAGGTTTAAGAGTTGTTTGCAAAAATTTTCTCCAATTCTGAAAGTTACATGTTTACTCTGCTCATAGTTTCTTTTGCTGTGTAGAAGTTCTTTAGTTTAATTAGATCCCATTTGTCAATTTTTGCTTTTGTTGCAATTGCTTTTGGCATCTCCATCATGAAATCTTTACCCGTTTCAATGTCCAGAATGGTATTACCTAGGTTGTCTTTCAGAGTTTTTATAGTTTTCGGTTTCAAAGTTTTAATATCCAGTATCTATAAGGAAATTAAACAAATTTAGAAGAAGAAGGGCAAACAAACCCATTAAAAATGAGCAAAGGACATGAACAGACACTTCTCAAAAGAAGACATACATGCGGCCAACAAGCATATGGGGAAAAAAAAAACCTCTACATCGCTGATCATTAGAGATATGCAAATCAAAATCACAATGAGTTACCATCTCACACCAGTCAGAATGGCTATCACTAAAAAGTCAAAAAATCACAGATGCTGGTGAGGATACAGAGAAAAAGGAACACTTATACGATGTTAGTGGGAGTGTAAATTAGTTCAACCATTGTGGAAAGCAGTCTGGAGATTCCTCAAAGACCTAAAAACAGAAATACCATTTCACTCAGCAATCCCATTACTGGGTATACATCCAAAGAAATGTAAATAATTCTATCATAAAGACACATGCACACTTATGTTCATTGCAACCTAATGCCTATCAACGGTAGACTGCAGAAAGAAAATATGGTACATATACACCATGAAATACTATGCAGGCATAAAAAAAACAAAATCATATCCTTTTTAGGAACATGGATGGTGCTGGAGGCCATTATTCTTAGCAACCTAACAAAGGAACAGAAAATCAAATACTGCATGTTCTCACTTATAAGTGGGAGCTAAATGATGAGAAGACAGGGATACATATAGGGAAACAACAAATGCTGAGATCTCCTGGGGTGTGGAGAGTGGGAGAGGGAGAGGATCTGGAAAAATAACTAATGGGTTTTAGGCTCAATACCTGGTACTAATTTGTACAACAAACCTTCATGTCAGGGGTTTACCTATATAGCAGACCTGCACATGTACCCAGGAACTTGTAATAAAATTTTTTTTAAAAGTTCATTGTATATAGTTCAATAGATATGTCTTTTTCAAATGTTATCTATTATAAATTTAAACCATTTGTAAATGGCATTGTGCTTTTAATTTCAAATTCTTCTTGTTTATTGCAGATATATAAGAAAGTGATGGACTATTGAATATTAACATTGTATCCTGCAACCTTACCATAATCACATATTACTTCCAGGAGTTTCCCACGTTTTTATTATCATTCAGGTTACAAATATTTCACTCCCATTGTGATTACTTCATTTTCTCATAGTGCTTTTTAGGGTGGAATATATATTCTCCAAACATTTGGTTATATTTTACTTAACTATGTTACTGGGTTCCAAATGAATCTTACAATGATCTGGAAACATTCACTGTATGATGTTGATTCTTTAAAACTTGCTTTTCTTAATCAGAATAGTATCTGTTTTGTTAAATGCTCTATGTACCTTTGCAAAAGAATGCATATTCTGAAGTTATTTCATGTGTGATTTTCTTTTAAAAATATATCAATTGATGTTAATCAACCATGTTGTATAAGACCCCTATAATCTTACTGATATTTTTATCTGATTGTTTTCTTACTCAGAGCAGTGAATTAATATCCACAGAGATTTTATTTTTATTTATCCTGCTGTATTAGTTTGTTCTCATGCTGCTCTGAAGAAATACCCAAGACTGGGTAGTTCATAAAAGAAAGAGGTTTAATTGACTCACAGTTCAGCATGGCTGGGGAAGCCTAAGGAAACTTACAATCATTGCTGAAGGCAAAGGAGAAACAAGCACCTTCTTCACAGGGTGGCAGGATGGAGTGAGGGCAAGCAGGGAAAATGCCAGATGCTTATAAAACCATCAGATCTCATGAGGCTCACTTACTATCATGAGAACAGCATGGGGGAAACTGCCCCCCATGATTCAATTACCCCCACCTGGTCCTACCCTTGACACATGGGGATTACAATTCAAGGTGAGATTTGGGTGGGGACACAGACTCAAACCATATCATTGCATCCCTGGCCACGCCCAAATCTCATGTACTCACATTTCAAAACACAATCATGCTGTTTCAACAGTTCCTCAAAGTCTTAACTCTTTCCAGCATTAACCCAAAAGTCTAAGCCCAAAGTCTCATTTCAGACAAGACAAGTCCCTTCTGCCTGTGAGCCTGTAAAATCAAAAGCAAGTTACTTCCTAGATACAATGGGGATACAGGCATTGAATAAATACAGCCATTCCAAATGGGAGAAATGGGAGAAATTGGCCAAAACAAAGGGGCTAGAGGCCCCATACAAGTCCAAAATCCAATAGGGCAGTCATTAAACCTTAAAGTTCCAAAATATATCTCCTTTGACTTCATGTCTCACATCCAGGTCACAGTGATGCAACAGGTGGGCTCCCAAAGCCTTGAGCACATCTGCCCCTGTTTTCTTTTTTTTGTTTTGTTGATCCTCTGTACTATTTTTTGGACTGCATTTTATTTAGCACTGCTCTGATCTTTGTAATTTCTTTCCTTCTACTAATGTTGCACTTGCTTTGTTCTTGTTTTTCCAATTCCTTGAGGTATGACAGGTTATTAATTTGTAATTTTACTACACTTTTATATAAGCATTTAATGCTATAAGTCCCTCTTACCACTGCTTTTGCTGTATCCAACAGGCTTTGGTATATTGTGTTTCCATTTTTATTGGTTTTATAATTTTAAAAACATCTCTGTCTTAATTTTTTTCATTGACCCAATTCAGGAGCATGTTGCCTAATCTTTCATGTATTTGTTTAGTTTCCAAAGTTTCTCTTAGTATTGACTTCTAGTTTCATTCAACCGTGATTGAATAAAATATTAAGAACATACTTTGATATTATTTAATATTTTAAAATTTGTTGAGACTTGTTTTGTGACCCAACACATGGTCTATCTTGGAGAATGTTCCATGTGCTGATGAGATGTATATTTTGCAGTTGTTGGATAGAATGTTCTGTAAAAGTAGTTAAGCTTATTTGGTCTAATGTCCAATTTAAGTCCAATACTTCCTTGTTGATTTTCTGTCTCAATTATCTGTCTAGTGCTATGAGCAGGGCATTGAAGTCCCCCACTATTAGTGTATTACTGTCTATGTCTTCCTTTGGGTCTAGTAATATTTGTTTTATAAATCTGGGTTCTCCAATGTCGGGTACATATATATTTAGGACTGTTATATCTTCTTATTGAATTGATCCCTTTTTCACTATATAATGACCTGTAGTCTGTAGTGTTGCCAACTTGATTCTTTTCTCTTTCTTTCTCCATTGTGTGATTTTTCTATAAGACCTGAGGGTTTTATACTCTGTGTTCTCATGATGAAAAGTATTGTGCTTTTGTTTCCAAGTTTAGAACTTCTTCAACAATTTCCTGTAGGTCCAGTCTAGTGACAGATTCCTTCACCATTTGCCTGACTGGGAAATAATTTATTTCTCCTTCATTTATGAAGCTTGATCTTGTTGTATATAGAATTCTTGGCTAGCATGTTTTTTTTTCCTTTCAGCACTTTAGTTATGCCATCTCATTCTCTTCTGACCTGTAAGGTTTCTGCTGAAAAAATTGTTGTTGGTCTAAAGTGGCTTCCTTTTTAAGTGACAAGAAGCTTTTCTATTGCTGATTTTATAATTCTTTCTTTCATTTTGAGTTTAGACGGTCTAATGATTATATCGCATGGTGACAGATTGTGTGTGTGTGTGTGTGTGTGTGTGTGTGTGTGTGTGATGTATTCACTGGGGTTTGTTGGTACTCTGGGATCTGGATGTCTAAATCTCTTGCTAGACTTAGGAAGTTTTCATCTATTATTTTATAAACTGTATTTTCTAAGGCTTCATATCTTTCTTCCTCCTAAAGAATACCAGTAATTTGTACATTAGATTACTTTATGTAGTCCCAAATGTCTCAAAGGCTTTGTTTATTCTTTTTCTTCATTTTTTATCTAACTAGATTATTTCAAGAGACCTATCTTTGTGTTCTAAAATTATTTATTCTGCTTAGTCTAGCCTATTGTTGAAGGTTTCAAGTGTATTTTGTATGTCCTTCAATGAAGTTTTTAGTGCTAAAATATCCTTTTTTAATATTTATCTTTTTAAATTTCTCATTCATTTCCTAAATACATTTTCTGATTTCTTTGTATTGGTTTTCAGATTTATCTTACATCTCACTGAGTTTATTTAAAATCAATATTTTGAATTCTTGATATGGTATTTCTAGAATTTCTCTTTGGCTAGAATCTATTGCTGGAGAATTATTGTGTTCCTTTGAGCGTGTCATATAACCTTGCTTTTTAAAGTTTCCTGCATCTTTACATTGATTTTTGCACATCTGGAGTGATAGTCACTTCTTATTTTCAAATTTACTTTCACTGGGGAGGGTCCTTTTACTCAAAGACATGACTATGATGTTGCTTGGTTAGGGGCATTTGGTTTAGCTTCTTGGTACATACAGTAGTGAATATTCTGTATAATTTCTTTGGCTATAAATAGCATTAGTGGTATGTGTGCTTTCCTTGGCTTAATATGGTGCAGTGATTTGCGGGGCTGTGGTGAAGGTGTGCTGGGGAGGGGAATGCCAGATGGCCCTATCTTCAGATTTCAATGGTAAAGGTGTTGGGCTAAGTGGGTCTATTCTTGTAATCTAGAACAGTGTTTCCTCATGTCTGCTTGGCAGTTGCAGGCAGGCTGATTCTTGAGCCTCTGGACGGCTTTCTTGAATGCCAGTTGCAGTAGCAGCGTATTGGGTGGGTGAGTGGGCTCTGGACTTCCTTGGCAGCCAATGTGGCATGGGCAATGGCAGTAGCAGTGGACACAAGATGCTCTTCAAGTTCTTGAGTTCTGTGTTCTTGTGTTAGCAGTGGTTGCAATGGGTTGTATGGACTGGCCTCCAGGCCAGTAGGTGACACTTTCAGTTAAAAGTCAGCTGTACGGTATTGGTAGGACTTTGATGTCCTACCTCTGTTCCCCAAGAAAGGTGCTTCAGTGTCCCGGGTAGCATACTGGGGTGTGGAACACCCAGGAATCTGAATCCCACAATCTGTCTCAAGGGTGGGTGGGGCAGTGCTGGGATTGGGGTTCCCATTTCAAGTGCCAGCAGCTGGAGACCACGCCATGCTCACTTCTCAGGCTGAGTTATGAAAGCTCATTCCCTTCTCAAGCCCTGATTCTGCAATCAACACCTGTTTTCCCTGTTGGCTAGGAATGAGATAAATGCTTCCAGGATCCTGCACAGTTTGTTAAGAGCTAGGGTCAAGAATGGCATCTTATGGTAGCCACTTAGGTTGCAAAAAGGTCATGTGACACTTCCTAAAGCAGTTTCTTCTTATAATCTCCTGGTTGCTCCCTAAGTTAGATTCGGGATTTGGGAGGGTCAAAATGCTCTCCCACGGCTAGATTGCATGATTACCTGGTAAGAAAATAGACCACAGAAAGGCACTCACTCACTCTTTCACTTATTGGGATTTACTCCAGCATAAACAGCTGGAGTCTTACGCCTGCTACGTGGTTGCTTGTTTTCTGTTTCCTAGATTTTAAAGTTTCAATTTCCTGTTGATCTCCCATGTTCCTCCTTGAATAATGTATTAAAAATATGATTGTCTGCAACCTATTTTGGTTCATTTAAGTGGATGAGGCATGCTGGAAATGCTTCTAGTCAGCATTTTGTGGGGAAAATTTTAAAACACAAGTTGTATATTTCTTAGAAATTTATCCATTTCTTCTGGACTCTCCAATTGGTTGGAATGTAACTGCACATAGCAGTCTCTCATGAGCCTTTGTATTTCTGTAGTATAAGTTGTAACGTTGCCTCTTTTGACTATAATTATATTTTTCAGAGTCATCTTGTTTTTCTTAGGTAGTGTAGCCAAAGGTTTCTCAACTTTGTTCATTTTTTTCAAAAAATCAACTCTTAATTTCATTTATTTTTTCTATTTTTTTCTTTTTTTCTATTTTTTCTTTCTAGTCTGTATTTCATTTAAATTAGCTTTCTACTAGTTTTAGGCACAGTGTGCTCTTTTTCTAGTTTCTTTGGGTATAATGTCAGGTTGTCTATTTGTATTCATATTTTTCCTAATGTAGTCATTTACTACTATACTTCTCTCTGACCCCAAATTTTATGTTATTGATGTCACAATTTACCTCTTTTTTAAATTGTGCAACCATTAACATATTGTGTAACTATAGTTATTTTTAATTATTTTATCTCTTAATTTATATACTATTGTCAAAATAGTTGTTTATCTGCATTACAATATTAGAGTCATCTGAAGTTGATTACATACTTACCTTTACCAGTGAGTTTCATACTTTAATGCTAATGTTACTAATTAGCATCCTTTGTTTAACTTTCTTATAAACAGAATCAAGTAGTGATAAACTTCCTCATATTATAAAAAAAATAATCAAACACTTCAATATACCTCCCTCATTAATTAATAGAAGTGGTAATCAAAAATTTATCAGACTTGTAGTTGACCTGAAGAACACTATGAACCAATTAGAAGTTAGTGACATTATAAAACACTTTCACAAATAAACATTGGAATACTCCTTCTTTTCAAGTTTATCAAGTTAGACCATATTCTGGGTCATAAAACAGGTGTCAACAAATTTAAAAGTATTTAAGTGACATAGAGTTCTGTACACAAACATAACAGTTTTATTTGTAGTAGCCAAAGATTGGAAACCACCCAAATGTCCCTCAGAGGATGAATCAATAACTCAATTGTAGTATATACATATGGAATACTACTGAGCAATAAAAGGAATGCACCATTCTAACACACAACAATATGATAAATATCAAAATAAGTATGCTGATTAAAAGAAGACAGAAAAAATAAGAGTACATAATACTAGATTTTACATGCTACAAAACTACAAAACATGCAAACTTGCAAACTAATAATTAGAACACATTTTAGTGTTTGTCTGGGAAGAAAGATGTGTGGAGGGATTATTAAAAGGGGTTATCAAGGAACAAGAGGATACTTCGGGGACTGAGGCATATCTCTATCTTGATTGCAATGATATTTTAATAGTTATATACATGTCAAAACATATTAAATTGCACACATTAAATATGGATAGTTTATTATATGTCAATTGGACTTCAAGAATGTTGTCTTAAAATCTAAGAGGGCAAAATAAATGTATTTTAAACTGACATCTATTTTCTTGTTTAAAGATCTAAATAGCGGTCCCCAACCTTTTAGGCAACAGGGACCAATTTCATGGAAGACAACTTTTCCACAGAATGGGAGTGAGGGTTGGTTTTGGGATGAAACAGTTTCACCTCAGATCATCAGGTGTTAGATTTTCATAAGGAGCACACAACCTAGATCCCTAGAATGTGAGGTTTACAATAGGGTTCATGCTTCTATGAGAATCTGACAGGAGGTGGAGCTCAGGCAGTAGTGCTTACTCTCCCAGTGGCTCACCTCTTGCTGTGTGGCCAGCCACAGAATAGCACCTGCCTGTGGCCCAGGGGTTAGGGACCCCTAGATGTAAAGATATCAATAATTTGACATTCAGTGCATAACTGTCAGAAACTCAAGCAACCATAGAACATATGGAAACACATCAGTCATCTGACCAAGATTATCTGCCTATTTAGAAAACATTTACATACAGTAGGGCATTCCATCCCTATAATAATTGTTTGTTGGTGGTCATGCATTACATTAGTGGGAATACAAATTCTGTTGCAACTGAAACAAAATCTTACTTGAATCTCATGGCATAGCTAGGGTTACATATAAGATTGTACAACACATTGCCTTAGTGCATATAGGTCAAATGAAGAATTTTTTTAAACTTTACTACTTTTTTCATTTTTAATTATTATGAATACATAACAGTTGTATGTATTTATGAGATACATGTGATATTTTTATATAACTATACTGTATGTAATCAAGCATTTATCATTTCTTTGTGTTAGGAGCATTCTAATTCCATTTTTTAGTTATGTGCAACTACATGGATGAAACTAGAAGACTTTATGTTAAATGAAATAAGCCAGGCAAAGAAAGATAAACATCACATTATGGCTAACATGTTGAAGCTTAAAAAAAAAAAAAAAACTTATGGAGATAGAGAGTTAAATAATGAAAACCAGAAGAGTTTTGGGAAGAGTGGTGGAGATGGGAGGATAAAGAGGAGGGAGATGGTTAATGGGTATAACTTTAAAAGTCTTTGAAATGACAAAAGTTTCCTAGGTAGCAGAGTGTAGGAATCACCTATAGTCCCAACCAAGACAAAGTTTTAACCATTTATTAATATTCTGCAATAATTTGCTGCTAATTTTTTTCTCCAGCAAATTCTTATCTTTAGAATTAAAGAAAATTTAGTCACAATCCATGTTCACTGAATATTAAAAATACTATTATAAACCGTTGAAAAACAATTATACACATCAGTTTTAATAACTCAATATTCCAGAGTAGGGATGGTGTAATTTTTGGCGATTTCAATAATGAGATACATTGTTGTTTTTTTTTTTCCTCCTCATAAATCCCTTTTATTAACAAGAGGACAAAGCACACCTTCTGCATAAAGCTTTGCCCACAATTAGGACAGGTAATTTGAAGCAGACCTTTGTGGCCAGATACAAAAGAGTGCATATTGGGTAATTCCTCTCATTTGAAGGTCAAAATAGGCAAACGAAATCTTTGTTCTTGAATATCTACACTGGGTGTGGTGGCTCATGCCTGCAATCCTAGTACTTTGGGAGGCCAAGGCAAGCAAATCACCTGAAGTCAGGAGTTCAAGACCAGCATGGCCAACATGGTGAAACCCCCTGTCTACTAAAAATACAAAAATGTAGCTGGGCATGGTGGCACACGCCTGTACTTCCAGCTACTCAGGAGGCTGAGGCAGGAGAATGGCATGAACCCCCGAGGCGGAGCTTGCAGTGAGTGGAGATTGCGCCTCTTCACTCCAGCCTGGGCGACAGAGAGAGACTCCGTCTCAAAAAAAAAAAAAAAAAAAAAAAAAAAAAAAAAAAAAAAAAAAAAACTAAAAACATTAATGTAAGGGTAGTAAACTAAATAAGGAATACATTTTTGTGACAATTGACAGCAGATTAGAATGACTATAGTTGACAACAATACATTGTACATTCCAAATTAGAAGAGAGGACTAGAGATAGAATCTTGCTCTGTTGCCGAGGCTGGAGTGCAATGGTGTAATCCTAGCTCACTTCAGCCTCCAATTCCTGGACCCAAGTGACCCTCTAGCCTCAGCCTCCTGAGTAGCTGAGACTACAGACATGTACCACCACACCTGTCTAATTTTTGTATTTTTTATAGAGGTGGGGTTTTGCCATGGTGCCCAGGCTGGCCTCTTAACTCCTTGGCTCCAGCAATCCACATGCCACAAGCCTGCCAAAGTGCTGAGACTATAGGCATGAGTCATCACACTGAGTGAGCCATAAGATATTTTTTGAACTCATGTGAAAGCACAGTTAAAAGCCCCACAATGGCAGGATCTGCAACAGTGAGAATTCAGATATAACACAACTGACAACTGGCTTCCACCCTCTGCAAGAGGTCAAGCCCAGAGACAGTAACAATTTTTCAACAATGTAAAATTGTGTTTCCTATGATTAAAATTTTTGGACCCCACATATAACCTAAAGACAGGTTATATAGCTTAAAGCAACATATAAGCTATAAGTCCCTTAATATATAAACTAGTGCCAGGCATGGTGCTGCATGCTTGTAATCCTAGCACTTTGAAAGGCCAAGTTGAGTGGATTACTTGAGCCCATTAGTTGATTTTTGAAAAAGGTTTTATGGCAAGTAAGCGGGGAAGGAATGGTCTTTTCAACAGATGCTGCTGGTACATCACATGCAAAATGATGACTTTAAACTCTTACCTCACAATATGTGCAAAAAATAACTCACAATGGATCTTACTCCTAAACAAGAGATAAAACTATAAATTTCAGGAAGAAAATCTAAGTCTAAACCTTTGTGACCTTAGGTTGGACAAAGATTCTTTAGATACAACACCAAGAGCGTAGTAATAAAAGAAAACTTGAAAAACTGAATTTCACCAAAGCAAAAGCTTTTGAGCTATAAAAGACATCACCAAGAAAATGAAACAACTAGCCAGACAGAAACAATATGTGCAGAATCGTATTTCTGATAAAAGACTTGTATCCAGAACATATCAAGAACTCCTATAACTCATAAAAGAAGAAAAACACAATTTTTAAATGGGCAGACACTTACATAGACATGTCACCAAAAAAAATAAATAAAAAGTAAAACAAAATAAAATCTTCATGCATTTGGGTTACGCAATGGTTTCTTAAATATGAAGTCAAGGCCGGATGCAGTGGCTCAAGCCTGTAATCCCAGCACTTTGGGAGGCCAAGGCAGGTGGATCACGGTGTCAGGAGATAGAGACCATCCTGGCTAATACAGTGAAACCCCGTCTCTACTAAAAATACAAAAACTTAGCCGGGTGTGGTGGCACGTGCCTGTAGTCCCAGCTACTCAGGAGGCTGAGGCAGGAGAATTGCTTGAACCCAGGAGGCGGAGCTTGCAGTGAGCCGAGGTCATGCCACTGCACTCCAGCCTGGGCAACAGAGTGAGACTCTGTCTCAAAAAAAAAAAAAAAAAAAAAAAAAAAAAAGTTAAGTGAAAGGCACAAGTCCCAAGAGAATAATCTGGTTTCTATCAAAATTAAAAATTTTTCTGCCTCAAAACAGTACTACCAAGCAAGGGAGAAGACAACTTATATATTAAGAATAATGTAGAATTATTAGAATTGGAGAAAATATTTCCAAATCCTACACCACAGCCTGCATGAAAGTGTGACATCCTGTCTCACACGCAATTTTTTTTTAATCATCAATCAATTAGGTACTTATATCGAGGCTATGTAAAAAACTCTTATGACTCAATAATAAAAAGACAAACCCAATTTTAAAATGTGAAGAGGATCTAAATAGACATTACTCCAAAAAACATATGTAAATGACCAATAAGCACATTGAAAGATAACACAAACCTGTAATCCAAGCACTTTGGGAAGCCTAGGCAGGTGGATTGCTTGAGCCCAGGAGTTTGACACCAGCCTGGGCAATGTGAGGAAACCCCATCTCTACAAAAAAAAAAAAAAAAATTCAAAAATTAGCCAGGTATGATGGTGCACACCTATAGTCCCAGCTACTCAAGACCTGAGGCAGGAGGATCACCTGAGCCAGAAAGGTTGAGGCTGCACTGAGCCCAGATCATGCCACTGGACTCTAACCTGAGTGACAGAGTGAGACTCTGTCTCAAAAAAAAAAAAGTGTAAGGTAAGAGAACATCAATAGTCACTAGAGAAATATAAAACAAAACAAAAAAAAAACCAAAATGAGATACCACTTCACACCGATTTACAATGGCTAACATCAAGAAGACAGTAAGTTGGCAGCAATGTGGAGAATTTGAACACTTATAATGTGCTGCTGGAATATAAAATGGTACAGCTACTTGGGAAAACAACTGGTCAGTTTCCTAAAAGTTCAGTGTAAATGTACCCTATTCCTAGTAATTATACTCCTAGGCATATATACAATGTATGAGATATTAAGGTATATGTCCAGACAAAAACTTGCTCAAGCATGGTCACTGTAGCATTACTCATAACAGCAAAAAATGAAAACAACAGAATCATCAAGTGATGATTAGACAAACAGGTGGTACGTTCATAGAATACTTAATGCTCAGCAGTAATAAGGAGCTACTGATACACACAACAAGCCCAATGAGCCTGAGGTGAATTATGCTCAGTGAAAAAAAACTAATTTCTATAGGAAATACATTATATATTCAATTTCTATATCATAATTCAGAGATGGGGTAATAAAAGCATCCTAAAATTAGATTGTGATGATGGTTGTAAAATCATTTTAAAAAAATTTTAAGACTGTAAATTTACTATCAGTGAATTAAATACTCAGACAGGTGAATTTTATGGTGCATCAATTATACCTCAATAAAGGTGCTAAAAATTAATCTTTTCACTACAATGAGAATAAAACAAAGATTAACAGAAAACAAAATGTGTGTGTTCATGTACGTATTATTTTCCCTTTTATCCCTACATTGTGAAGAGTATTCCAATGATATTGGTTATTTCCTTTCAAAAGTCTAAAAAAAATTGGCTCCAAAGGGTACCACTCTTTATCATTTTTTTCTCTTCAAATGAAATGGCTAAACTTCCCTAAAGGAAGTTGAAATCCTTCTCATTCTCCAAGGGCTCATCCAAATGCCCTCTCCCTCATGAAATTCTTCCTGAACTATAAAGGAATCCAACCCCTAATGAACATTCGCAGCACTTTCTCTGAACCATTCTTACAGCAGGGATGTGAGGCTCTTGCTATGGTCATTTTACAAACTTTTCTCCCTTCCATGAGACTCCGAGAACTCCAAAGCCATAATGCTTATACACAGTTGTGTATCCCCTCCCCACCTAATTCTGTGCCCAAAAATGCCATGCCTATTCAATGACATTAGGTCATTAATCCTACTCATAATGCTTGGAAGTGGGGGCAGATCTATGAACTTACATAGAAAACAAGTAGCTGATCTGAAAACAAAAAACAAGTCTCTACTTTTTCAGCTCAATGAACTTTTCTTGGATTATATAAATATCTAAGCAGCCCATCTGAAAATGTCTTACATCGTATTCTCAAAGAAAATAAAAGAGAAACCATTAAAGTGTATTAAAATCTAGCAAAACGGGATTAGGAAGCCAGCCAGCGATCAAGGAAGCAAAGCAATCACTAATCTAGATGCTTCTTTGGCTCTAAGAAAGATCTGCAATAAAACAAAACTAATAAAACATGAATACACAAAATTAATGACAGCATAAATTTAAATGAATTGCGCTAACCGAGAATTTTTAAAATATATTAACATAAGCTGAATATTCAAATTTATATGAATAAACCATCGATGGGCATGAAGGGAGAAAACAGCTCACCACTTAATAATAACTGAAACCCCGGCTATGTTCTCCAAAATCCATTTCAGGGTTGCAAGATCATAATTCTCAGGGTGTTTAAAGCAACACCTTCTGGAAGCCCCTGTACTATCAAAGCTGACTGGTCTTGTAGCATCTTCTCATATGGTACAGGTACCTCTGTGGGTTTTTGTAAAGCTTTCCCTGGGGGAGGTGAAAAGCAGATAAATGTCATTAAATTGTAAGATTAAAAAGCAAAATCATCACTACCTTATTGTGGCTTAATAAAGGCATACATGGTCTTTTGTAATATGTGATTTTAAAATGACTTAATACTACAGCACCCTATTCACATGTAAGAAGTTCTAAACCTGACACCAATCCAAAGGGCCACAATGAAAAGTATATTAAATATATGACTTTAAAAACTACACAAAAGGAGAGAAAAATGTCTGATTTCTTGCATTATTGTCTTTTTTTTAATTATACTTTAAGTTTTAGGGTACATGTGCACAACGTGCAGGTTTGTTACATAAGTATACATGTGCCATGTTGGTGTGCTGCACCCATTAACTCATCATTTAGCATTAGGTATATCTCCTAATGCTATCCCTCCCCCTTCCCCCCACCCCACAACAGTCCCCAGAGTGTGATGTTCCCCTTCCTGTGTTCATGTGTTCTCATTGTTCAATTCCCACCTATGAGTGAGAACATGTGGTGTTTGGTTTTTTGTCCTTGCAATAGTTTGCTGAGAATGATGGTTTCCAGCTACATCCATGTCTCTACAAAGGACATGGACTCATCATTTTTTATGGCTGCATAGTATTCCATGGTGTATATGTGCCACATTTTCTTAATCCAGTCTATCATTATTGGACATTTGGGTTGGTTCCAAGTCTTTGCTATTGTGAATAGTGCCACAGTAAACATTTATGCAGCCAAAAGACACATGAAAAAATGCTCATCATCACTGGCCATCAGAGAAATGCAAATCAAAACCACAGTGAGATACCATCTCACACCAGTTAGAATGGCGATCATTAAAAAGTCAGGAAACAACAGGTGCTGGAGAGGATGTGGAGAAAGAGGAACACTTTTACACTGTTGGTGGGACTGTAAACTAGTTCAACCATTGTGGAAGTCAGTGTGGTGATTCCTCAGGGATCTAGAACTAGAAATACCATTTGACCCAGCCATCCCATTATTGAGTATATACCCAAAGGATTATAAATCATGCTGCTATAAAGACACACGCACACGTATGTTTATTGCGGCACTATTCACAACCAGTATTTCTTAAGCTCTTACTGATCAGGCACTGGTCAAGGTACTCCATTTCATACAGTAATCTTTGCAACGGCCCTTAAGGCATAATTATGACCATTTTATAGTTAAGGAAACTAAGAAAGTATTAATTTCCTATGACTAGTAAAGAAAACTCTTGACTCTAAATCCAGGACTTTTTCTATCTTGTATAGCTGCCTACCACTTGTCCCAATCTGGAAAATTATCTTATCCTTACTTTTTAAAGTACTTTCTAGAAACAGATTGCCCAACATTACAGACGTGGCAGCCCCCTCACTGAACCTGCGCAAACAAAAAAGAGGAGGCAAGCGTGTTGTCATGAGACATCTCTGGGCTGGCTGAGGAGGGGGGTCAACCAAGTTGGGTGTCCAGACTTCTACTGTACTGAACTTTGGGGGAACATTAAAGTATCAGGGAAATGCCTTCTTATCACACTGCATGTGACACAGCTTGGCTCATTCAGTCATAGTCTATCTTCACCCCACTTTCTGGGGTTGACTAATTTAATGAGTAAACAGATTTTTTTAAGTAGTTTTTGTTGTTAATTAACTTGGTCCAAGCAGCCTGGGTACAAAAACACAGTGTTGTGCCCGTGTTCACATTGCCCTCTACAGCCAATGCAGGGTGAATCAGCTAGATTTTTTCTTTTTCTTTTGTTTTGTTTTTTTACTTTCTTTTCTTTTTCTTTTTTTTTTCAATCCAGCCGGGATTTCTGGCAGGTAAACATCATAGTTTCTTCTGCACAGAAGAGATGAGTAATAAAAGGTAAGTAACAATACAGTCTGGTTAAGACTGTTAGCTCAAAAGAACATAAAGCCATTCTGCAAAAGTATAGCCACCCAAAGTCATTCTGCCTTGAGGTGTTTCCAAACAGTGATTGGGAAAGGACGCAAAAAAATGTAAAGTTTTTTTCTTCTCTTCAAGTTTCCTGCTAAACCTATCTTAACATTGGATCGCTAATATCAGGTTCCACTGTTTATGTAACTAGAATGGTAACCAATGGATTTTGCAGACTCATATTCCCAATCCAGAAAATCAAAGACCTGTTTCAACAAGACAAAATTAAACCTGATTCTATTCCTCAGCTCCATCTACCCTTGATGGCTGGGGAACTCTTTTAACAGAAGTGAGAAGCAGCTACCTACTATTAATTTGAACATTTTACTCCTGAAATTGGTAAATTGCATTACCAAATAGCATGAATTAATGAGTTAGTTCACTATCTCAAAAGAGAAAAGTGATTTCAAATAGATCCAAGGGTCCTTTGTTCCACAGACACACAATCTGAGTCAGCCTTGCCCAAAATTATTGTGTGGATGTGATCCCTTTCTGGGAAATAAGAAAGTGTATTTATTCATTCATTTTATGGGTATTTATTGAAAGCTTTCTAAGTACAAAGCACTGTGCTAATGCCTAATCACCTCTGGTGAAGTAACTTCTCAAATTGACTTCAAGCCAGTGACAAAATTCTATTTGAAATTTGATGCTCAGGAAGATGCTGTTGAGTGAGCCAGTTCGAAGAATTTTCCCCTGGTAGAGAGAATTTTCATACACGAAAAGTAAAAGGTACAGTAAAGAATGTCTGGTTTAAATAATAAGATTGATAACAGAACTCATCTCGACAGTTAACGAACTTCCCAGAGAGGCTATAAATTACATCATGCCTTGAAATGTTCTCCTAAGCCACGCTTGAAGACAGTTTTATCACTTTTGCAAAATTTTCTCTTGAAAGCAAAACAGTTTTGATATAACTACTACTTTAAATAAAAGTACTACCAAGAAGAGAACTATCCACGGTAATATTACCAAAAGAAAAAAAAAAGAAAGAAATTGTTAAAATGCAATCTATATGTCATTCTCAAGCCTCTAGTAAATACAGACCTTAATGTTAGAGAAGGATATTGACAATGAGAACTCCAATATACTGCCAATGGTAGTGAAAAATAGTCCAATAATTACAGAAAACTTTAGCTTAATTTTCTACAGTTGAAGATACACACTTCCTATGATCCAGCTAATAGAAATGCATGTACATGTGAACCAGGAGAGAGAAACCATATGGTCATAGTGCAGCTGGAAATCAGAGACTGGAGAGACCAAGTGCAGTTCAGGAGGGTATATTTTAGGTGTACACCGGCTCAGCGGACATGCATCCTGAAAGTCTGAGCAGCAAACAAAGAAAACGAACGCGTTGGGCCGGGCGCTGTGGCTCGCGCCTGTAATCCCAGCACTTTGGGAGGCTGAGGTGGGTGGATCACGAAGTCAGGAGATCAAGACCATCCTGGCTAACACGGTGAAACCCCGTCTCTACTAAAAAAAAAACAAAAAAAACAAAAATACAAAAAAATTAGTGGGGTGTGGTGGTGGGCACCTGTAGTCCCAACTACTCGGGAGGCTGAGGCAGGAGAATGGTGTGAACCCAGGAGGCGGAGCTTGCAGTGAGCCGAGATCGCGCCACTGCACTCCAGCCTGGGCGACAGAGCAAGACTCCGTCTCAAAAAAAAAAAGAAAGAAAAGAAAAGAAAGAAAAAGAAAACTAACGCCTTTTATGCACCTTGAGGCGGGAATTACATGATGCAGGAAGCTGGCTTACTAAAGCGAGAACAAAGCAATTAATTATCAGGTGACATTCTTAGGACTCAGCTTATATCTTGGGAAAACATGTCTTGCAACTCATGCTTATCTATCTTGTGACCTTGCAGCTGCACAGCAAGAAAAACAGGAGCTTACAGAACTTAGAAAATATGTGGGGGAGAGATATGGTTAATGCTTCACAGACCTTACAGAGGAGCAGTTAATAATCTTTCTTAACTCTTACTTCTGGTAGGGGGCTACTTCATGCCTATTCTAGCTTAACCTTAAACTGTAGATTTAATTTCTTTTAAGTTTTCCACTTTAATAGTAACATTACCCCTAACAGCCCCAAACTGGAAGTAAACCAAAATGTTTATCTGTTGTAGAATGTTTAAGTAAGTGATGGTTCGAGTCAGGCGCAGTGGCTCAGGACTATAATCCCAACACTGTGGGAGGCCGAGGCAGGCAGTATCGCTTGAGCTCAGGAGTTCAAGACCAGCCTGGGCAACATGGCAAAACCCTGTCTCCACCAAAAAACAAACAACAGACAAAAAAATCCATAAAATTAGCCGGGCATGGTGGCACGAGCCTGTGGTCCTAGCTACTGAGGAGGCTGAGGCGGGAAGATTTCTTGAGCCGGGGCGGCAGAGGCTGCAGTGAGCGGAGATGGTGCACTGCACTCCAACCTGAGTGATAGCGACCCTATCTCAATCTTTTTAAGAAGTAATGGTTCATTCATACAGTGTACCAGTATAGAGCAGTAAAAAATTGTCAGAATACAGATATATGCAACAACATGACTTTCACAAACTTACTGTTGAATAAAGAAACCATCCAAACGTATAATAGTATGATTTCATTTATGCAAAGAACAAAAACAAGCAAAATTTAATACTGTACTATTGTTTAGAGGTGCATGCTGAGTTATTAAATTGTAAAGAAAAACAAGGAAGTGATGATCATAAAGAAGAAAGAGTGTTATGATTAGAGGGAGGGAGGGCCAGAGAGTGATGGCGATGGGGCATGTGAGGAGATTCTAGGATGCAATATTCTATTTCTTGACCTCAGTGGTAGTTACAATGATGTTTTTCCATTATGATCTTTTATTAAGATGTACATTTATGTATTATGCATGTTTCCATACAATTCACAATAAGGAAACTTCTGTGTTTATTCACTGATACTGACTTGTAGTATATTTTATAGACCAACAACTATTGTCCAAGTGGACAATATTTCAGGATTAGGCAAAAATAGTCACTATTGGCCAGGCACAGGTGGTTCAGGACGGTAATCTCAGCATTTTGGGAGGCCAAGGCATGAGGATTAATTCAGCCCAGAAGTTCAAGACCAGCCTGGGCAATATAGGAAGACTCCTCCTCTACAAATAATTTTGAAATTTTCTTGGTGTGGTGGCACATGCCACATAGTGGTCCCAGCTACCTAGGAGGCTGAGGCAGGATTGCCTGAGCTGGGGAGGTCAATGCTGCAGTGAGCCATGATTGTGCCACTGCACTCTAGCCTGGGCAACAGAGCGAGACCCTGAATCGTGTGTGTGTGTGTGTGTGTGTGTGTGTGTGTGTGTGTGTGTGTGTGTATATATAGAGAGAGAGAGAGAGTCACTGTTGATAGATGTGCTTATTGCATTCCCAGAGATGGCTTAAATATAAATGAGTTCCCTTCTATCTTTTCACTGCCATCCAGTAATTGCTCGTGATTTTACAGGTCACAGGCACATGAAAATCTTCAACACCCCCAGCAACTCCAGCACCTTCACTGGCTTCATCCTCCTGGGCTTCCCTTGCCCCAGGGAGGGACAGATCCTCCTCGTTGTGCTCTTCACTGTTGTTTACCTCCTGACCCTCATGGGCAATGGTTCCATCAACTGTGCTGTGCACTGGGTCAGAGACTCCATGCCCCCATGTACATCCTGCTCGCCAACTTCTCCTTCCTGGAGATCTGTTATGTCACCTCTACAGTCCCCAACGTGCTGGCCAACTTCCTCTCTGACACAAGATCATCTCGTTCTCTGGCTGCTTCCTCCAATTCTACTTTTTTTTCTCCTTGGGCTCTACAGAATGCTTTTTCCTGGGAGCTATGGCATTTGACCTATACCTTGCCATCTGCCGGCCTCTACGCTATCCAACCATTATGACCAGACGTCTCTGCAACATTCTTGTGGGCAGCTGCTGGGTACTTGGTTTCTTGTGGTTCCTGATTCCTATCAGTGTCATTTCTCAAATGACCTGTGGATCTAGGATTATTGACCACTTCCCATGTGACCCAGGTCCTCTGTTAGCCCTCACCTGTACCAGAGCCCCTCTACTAGAGTTGACTAGCTCCACCTTAAGTTCTCTACTTCTATTTATTCCCTTTCTCTTCATCGTGGGGTGCTATGCTCTGGTCCTGAGAGCTGTGTTGAGGGTTCCTTCAGCATCTGGAAGAAGAAAGGCTTTCTCTACCTGTGGCTCCCACCTGGCTGTAGTTTCACTGTTTATGGCTCAATGATGATCACGTATGTGAGCCCAACATCTGGGCATGAATTCGGAATGCAGAAGACTGTGACTCTGTTCTATTCTGTGGTCACTCCCCTTATTAATCCTGTCATATACAGTCTGAGGAACAAGGAAATGAAACATGCAATGAGGAACTACACTGTAATGTTTTATTTTCTAGAATTCATAGGGCTACAAGAGATGTCAAAGATGTATTCTATCTCTTTAATTTTCCAAATGATGGGCCTGTAAATTGAAAAAATTTGGTTGAGTTTGTTGGGGAAATATAATTAAAAACAAATCTCTTACCAACCCAGAAAACTTCTCCACAAAGGTATAAGAGAAAGAAAGTAGTTTTATTATTGAATAAGTATTAAACCAGAATGTGATACATGTCACAGACAATCCACTGAGAGACTGCAAGGACAGAAAGACATCTCACCCTTTTGTATAGCAAAGTAAATACAACCCAATACATGCATGTTCTCAAAATAAACAATAACTAGTCCTCAAGTCACACATAGTTCATCCTGGGTTCACCTGGTAATTGGAGTGGCCATTGGTATTTGTTCATTGACTTTATACAAAGGAAAAATAAATTCATATCTTTACGACAGGAAATAGTTTTGCAATTTAATGACTAGACTGCCAAAATTGGCTTCTACCCTTTCACAGAAACTGGGAGATGGGAGCACTAACTTCCTTTTTCGAGGTCCTTGAGAAAGATATTCCTGGGTCATAAAGCTAGCCAGAGGCTTTGTTTAGCTTTTGCAAAAATTTATAGGCCAGATGCAGTTGCTCACACCTCTAATACCAGCACTTTGGGAGCCTGAGGCAAAAGGATCACTTGAGGCCAGGAGTTCAAGACCAGCTTGGACTCAAACCAGCCTGGGCAACATAGTGAGATCCACTTCTACAAAATAATTGTTTTAATTAGCTGGGTGTGGCACACATTTGTAGCCTTAGCTACTCAGAAGGCTGAGGTGGGAAAATTGCTTGAGCCCAAAAGTTCAAGGCTGCAACAAGCTATGACCGCACCATTGCACTCCAGGCTGAGCAGGAGTGAGACCCAATCCCTAAGATAAGGAAAAAAAAATTTACATACATCTTTCCAAAAAAATTATAGGTTTTCTAAAGTAAATGCTCTATGCAAAGGAGAGAAGAAAGTCTCTTCCCTTATTTTCAACAGGGATCATTAAGCCTTTTATTTTTTTTATTTGTATTTGCCCTTACAAGTTACACATGGTCATAACCTTAGGGCAAAACCTAAAGTTTTCTATTTCCCTTTCAGCAACAATAAGTTCACTTTATTTCTTTAATTGAGCTTATATTTCTGTCTTCCAGAATATTCTTCATGGTAATATTATTATAGACAAAAGATTAGTATCTTTGATATGTCAATATATCTTCAGATCAATAAGAAAAATACCATTAGCACAACCATAAAAATTCTAGAAGATAACATCGGAAAATCCCTTCTAGACATTGGCTTAGGCAAAGACTTCATGACCATTAGCACAACAGGAAGAGTGTCAAATATCTGAAAAAAGCCAACAGTAAAAAGCTTTTAAGCAAGTAAAAAGACACTCTGTTTTATCATAAGGCAAGAAAAGCAAATAAAACTATAATAAATATACATGTTTTTCCCCAAAATTAACAAAGATCAAAAATGAAGTTGGAAAAAATGGCAGTTTTTGCCAGTAGAGCATACATTGGTACAACATCTATGGAGGACATCTTGCAATAATTATCAAAATTTAAAAGTCATTTCCTGTGATTCAACAACTCCAAAATCCTAGACGCTTATCTTACTGGTATACTCACACAAGAAAAATGACACATGTACAAGAATATTGACTACTGCTTCTAATAGCAAAAGATTGGATCTATCTAAATTCCCACTAAGAACTGATCAGGTAAATTAGTGTATAATCATAGGGTGGAATACTATGTAACTTTTTAAAATGAGGATCTGTATGTATCTTTTAATATGAATGTATCCTTATGCTATATTGTTAAAAAGCAAGGTGGAGGAATGCTCTATCTGCCTCTCTTTCATATGAAGAAGAAAGATTGTACAGATATGTACATATTTATGTTCATAAATACACAATATGTTTCTTGAAGAAGAAACTAGTAACAGTGATTGCTGTTAGTAAGGAGAATTGGGTTTCTGGGGGCAGAGAGAGGAATATTCCCCTTGACATGCCTTTGTATTTTTAAAATGTTGTTCTATGTGCATGTATTGCGTTTAAACAACATCTAACGTTAACATTAAAAAATAAATGTTAAAACTATCTCACCATAAAATTAGAAACAGGGAAACATTTCTTCATAACTATTTGATCCTTTAGGAAACTAGGAAGAGAGCTGATTATTGATGGAAAATGAAAAAAGAAGGCAATTGACACACTCTTAGTGACATCTCACTCAAATGCTTTGGCTTTGTTAGGAAGAAATAGGAAAGGTCCTCCTTCCTTGAGGACCTGTGAGAATAAATAAACCATGAAAAACTGAAGTTGGTCATTTTTTATCATTGTGTATCATCTTCATGGCCACTTTTTTATTTTAAAAATTAGACTCATTCAGTATTCTAGGCCCTGAGCTAGAGGGTGAATCATACACATAAGTGAACAAAACACAGTTCCTTCCCTTGTGGGGCCCATAAGCCAGTGGGAGGCCGGTAGCAGATGCCCCAAGATATGCTACCAACCAGGGCCATTATAAATTGCTATGGGAGCAAGTAGAAGAACAGCACAGATAAAAGCCAGGAGTATTAAGGGATGAGGGAACAGGTCAAGTTCTGAAAACTGCATATAGACATCCTCAGATTACTGTCTATTTAGAAGCATATCACAATATACAGAATGAAAGTGTTCTATGGATACGTGGAATAAGTATCCATACAGCATTTACTATCCATCATAATTTATAATTAGCCACACCTATTGACTTATTAATGGGCATCCTTAATCAAATAAGTATGGCTCAAAGATGTAATATAATTTACAATTCAACGAACAATTAAATAGAGACATATAGATAGATGAAAAGAAAAAGAGGGCAATAAATATGTCATTTGGGTATTGAAATATGAAAATCAGTATTCAAAACACATTAAAGTTCAAATATTATACTGATATTTAAAATATTACACTCAGAACTCGTTTTCCTTTGAGACAATCACATTATCTGGAGTGTACCTTGTGTATCTGACCTTCTTTTATGAATTCAGTATTTAGCTTTCTTTTTAACTCCAAGGGACACAGTGACATTTATTTCTATTCAAGAAAGACTTATTTAATGCAATGGATCTTTTTGTTCACAATAAGAAAAAATAGCTTACTCTTTTATCAATACATAAATAATACTCACTGTAATAATTATCAAACAGTATAATATAAAAAATATTTAGAAATCATCTAAAATCCCACCACTCTGAGTAATCACCATTGATTTTAGTGAACCTCTTCCATGTATGCTTTCATACACACATGCACACACACATACTCACAAGTGCAATTGGAAGTGCTGTAGATGCTGATTTTTTAGACTCCTCTGTTTTTTCCTTACTACTTCCCCCCACCACCACCACTTCTTCCCCAATCTGCTTTTCACTCTACCACCTTCCATCTATGCTAGATAAGCAGCATTAACAACCCAGTATATTCTTTCATACTATTCTCCATGCTTCTAATTCTATATAAATATTTATTATCATATATCAGGTTTTTTCATTATCTTACAAAAATCAAATTATACCACATAGTCTTCTCTATATCTTGCTTTTGCATTTAACCTTACAATATGCAAATCCCTCCAAAATAAGATTAGGTATACCAAGTATTTTTACTTCATATAGTAGGCCAGAAATAAATAATTAAGAAAACCAGGGTCCTTTGACAGGGCAGGAAGAACTGTTCCTGAGCTTTGGCTAATACTCATTCCATAAAAAAAAAACTGAAGATAGGTTTTAAGTTCATATTGAGTAAGGTGTAATTGACAAAGTTTAAAACTAGAGTCTTTATGGAGGATATCATTATGATATTGTGATTTGTCATCTTCATTTATACTAAATGGTCAGATATGAGATTCACACACATCATCATATGGTTTCACAGAACAGAGACACCACTATTAAGTGAGACCCACGGATAGAAAAGGCATTTTGATGGCTAGCTGCTGAAAGCAGCTGAAGCATAGCTCTTAGGATCAACGTATATGGTCCAGGGATGTACAAAATACTGAGAATGATAATAAGAAAATTTACATAGTGCATGTTCTGAGATGTGGCATCGGTGTAGGGAAAGGCTGTCAGCGGGCCCATGTGTTGTATAATGGATGTTATAATGTGCTGCCCAGAGCTTTCCTTCAGGCCTGAGGCATGCATTCCCCCAGCTGCCAGAAGTATAGTACGCTGATGACTAGATCATAGCTAAATCCCTTGCCAGAAGTTGCCCTAAGCCAAAGGGACTTGTCATTGATTTTCCCTCCTTCCAGGGGCAGCTCAAATCCAACAGTTGGTCAACGCTGGTGTACAAAGGCCTGACACTTGGTGACAAGTATAAATGGCCATCCCAGTTCCAGAGCTCCACATGGCATCAGCTGAGACTTTTGCTGCAACTTCATCACAATTCAACTTCTGCCCGATCCTACTTTCATCACTCCCTTATAGGTATTGTTCTCAAGAGAACTCCACAAGAAACCTTATGCATACAAATGATAGGATCTGTTTCCAGGGAACCCAACCTACAACATCGTGTCACTTAGAAAGAAAGTTTCAAAAGAAAAAAAAAGACACTTCATGGTGTGTCTCTCTTGGCTGGTCAATTTCCTTAAACATTCGATCTCTATTTTCATCAGTCATGAGGATAAGGTAGTGCAGTGGGTGGCAGATGGCCAAGTGCTGACCACTGTCCATGACAGAGTGAATTGTGATGAAGCCATGCTAGCAATATTTCAAAATGAAGATTGTTATCAATCACATTGTACAGTTTCTCCTGCCACATATTCCTGAGTAGAAGTATCCCTAAAAAGTTGTCAGATTGTTCCTATTTTGTTACTATTTAAATTGATTCATTTCACAAGTGTAAATGAACTGCTAGAATAAAGTGAGTAGGCTGTAAAATATAATACAAATAACAATTGATAATCCAGTCTACTAATTTAAATATAGATAGATGATTAGATAGATAGTTGAGATAGAGATCTGATATATACAAGCATATATACTTGAGAAAATACAAAAAATATTTCTCAAGAGATGTCACAAACTATAAATATACCACTGGAGAAGCTCTCACATTTTACTTCAGTGATAGAGTCTCATGAAATAGGTTTTGGGTTATGAAAGGACCTTTATATTTACAATATACATCTATTTCTATCTCAAGGTAAATGCCCTGTAGAGATCCAAAATTCTTATTTGTTAAATAATTTTATAAATTATCTTATCTGTGGCATCTTTTTAAATTTTTATTTTAAGTTCAGGGGTACATGCAGATTTATTACATATGTAAACTTGTGTCATGGGGGTTTGTTGTACATCACGCAGGTATTAAGCCTAGTACCCATTCATTATTTTTCCTGATCCTCTCCCTCCTCACACCCTCTACCCTTCAACAGGCCCCAGTGTATGTTGTTCCCTCTCCCATGCATGTGTCCATGTGTTCTCATTATTTAGCTCCCACTTATAAGTGAGACCATGCAGTATTTTGTTTTCTGTTCCTGTGTTAGTTTGCTAAAGATAATGGCCTCTAGCTCCATCCATGTCCCTGTAGAAGACACGATCTTGCTCTTTTTATGGCTGCATAGTATTCCATGGTGTATGTGCGACACATTTTCTTTATCAAATCTATCATTAATGGGCATTTAGATTGATTCTATGTCTTTGCTATTGTGAATAGTGCCATAATCAACATACTCATTGTTATGTCTTCATAATAGAATGATTTATATTCCTTTGGGCATATACGCAGTAATGAAATGACTGTGTTGAGTGGTATTTGTGTTTTTAGGTCTTTGTGGAATCACCACACTATCTTGCACAATGGTTGAACTAATTTTCACTCCTACCAGCAGTGTATAAGCATTGTTTTTCTCATGGCATCTTTTTAATATTTTTTTCTGGAATATTAGTGTTAATTTTCCCATGATAAATAAATGCCTTGTATATGAGGATAATCTTTTACAGATATTTGAATGTCTCTACTTTTCCAATTCTCATATTCATTCTCAACCCAGAAAACTGGTATATACATAGTAAATGTTAACTAGCTGCTGACCGATTTCTGGAAGTTGTATGCTTAGCCAGGCATAACCACAAAATATCTTCAGCAGAAAGCAGAATTCTGTCTACCTAGTTACAGGTCACTACAACTAAAATCATTCCATACAGTTTTGCCCACATTTTGCATTTTTCCTTCTTGACATCTTCACTAGGACCCAGTTAAATCATAAGGAAAATTGAATTTTTCTTTGCAAATGTTTAGAGAATGTTCTTTCAAATGTGACCTGGAGAACAAAAAAAAAGCATACTTGATAAGTACAGGTAATCTAATAATTTTTTGTAATTTTTTATTTTGAAATAATTTCAGATTTACAGAAAAGTTGCAAGAACTTCCATATTCCCTTTATCCAGATCCCAAACTGTTAACATTTTACCACAATTGTTTTATTTTTTCCTTTCAGCCCTTCTGTTGCTCTGTCTTTCTCTACATATATACCTTTTGAGAGCACATTACAGATACCTTGCTCTTCACCCTTAAGTGCTTCTGGTGTGTCTTTTCTAGATGCAAGACTTGAAAGATAGTGCAGTGCTATGTTGCCTTACTAATCAGGATATGGATTTTGAGATTTTTTTCAGTGGCCTTGGGAAACATTGAAGGTGCTTAAACGAAGTGAGATGTTTAAGATGAAAATTTCTAGGCTGGGTGTGGTGGCTCACACTTGTAATCCTAGCACCTTAGGAGGCTGAGGTGGGTGGATCACTTGAGGCCAGGAATTTGAGACAAGCCTGACCAACATGGTGAAACCCTGTCTCCACTAAAAATACAAAAATCAGCCAGGCATGGTGGCAGATGCCTGTGGTCTCAGCTACTCAGGAGACTGAGGCAGGAGGATCACTTGAACCTAGGAGTTGGAGGTTGCAGTGAGCCAAGATCGCACCACTGCACTCCAGCCTGGGTGACAGAGCAAGACTCTGTCTCAAAAAAAAAAAAAAGAAAAAAAAAGAGAAAGAAAAAAAAAGAAATCCTTCAAGGAGTAGAAAAGGACAGATAATGAGTTGTACTAAAAGACTTGCTCTTTTGTTGGGGATGAAGAAACCTTGAAGTCCAAACCCCAATTACAGCTTCTCTGCACACTGCTGCAGAATGGCCCTGCTATGGCTCCCTGACCAAGAGCACCTTGAGGCCTGGTGAATGTCCTATGAGAGGCAGTGCTCTTCAGTGAAACTGTTGTGACCCAGAAGCTCTAATTGAAAGAAGAGAGAGAAAGATCACTAAGGAGGCCATGGTTGTCCTGGGGAGAGAGTGATACCCGTTGAAATTCCACAGCCCCCTTGCCTAAGATCCATTACTCCCCCAGCCAGTCTACCCTTTCTCGTGGGAATGGGTGATCTGTCCTTAGAACCCACAATTGACATCAACTTATCAGAAGGCAAAATTAAACTCCTGCAATACAGATGTCTTACCCTGGGTGTCCAGACAAGAATGGGGGTGAGTAAGGGAATACCCAGTAGAGAGCTGTCTCCTAGCACTGTTCTTCTGCAGGCAGTAAATGAATCCTCAAGGAGCAAAGGACAGGCTCAACTTACAGTACCTGAATTCTACGACGAATACATTTGCTCATCTCCATCCCAACATATTTTCACACCTACTCTCCCAGCTGGTATTACAAAGACACCTGCCTCTGTCCTCGGGAAAGCCTACAAAAAGCTGACTAAGAAGCCCCCATGGAAATTCCCTTTCCTGCTTTCAGGAAAGAAGGTAATGTAGTGCTTAGATGAGAAGACATATTAAAATATAGCTGGAAAATCTACACCTCTGGGAAAAAAAAAAGAGTCTTCTGTTAACTCTGTGACAGTTTTAGATAAACAAATGGAAAAAACATTCCATGATCATGGAGTGGAAGAATCAATATCCTTCCACTAAAATGGCCATGCTGCCCAAAGCAATATACAGATTCAACGCTATTCCTAATAAATTACCAATGTCATTTTTCATAGCATTAAAAAAACTATTCCAAATTTATATAGACCCCAAAGAGCTCAAATAACCAGGGCAATCCTAAGCAAACAGAACAAAGCTGGTGGCATCATACTGATGGATTTCAAACTATACTATAAAACTACACTAACCGAAACATCATGATACTGATACGAGAACAGACATATAGGCCAACTGAACAGAATAGATAACTGAGAAATAAAGCCGCATACCTATAGACATCTGATCTTCAGTAAAGTCAACAAAAATAAGCAATGGGGAAAGGATTTCCTATTCAGTGGGGAAACCACTCCCTATTCAATTCAATACTGCAATAGTAAGCTAGCCATGTGCAAAAAATTGAAACTGGACCCTATCTTTCACCATATACAAAAGTTAGCTCAAAGAGTAGAACAAAGATTTAAATGTAAGACCTCAAACTATAAGAATCCTAGAAGAACCCCTCCAAAACAGTATTCTGTTCATGGACCTTAGGAAAGAATTTATGACTAAGTCCTCAAAAGCAACTGCAACAAAAACAAAAGTTGACAAGTGGGACCTAATTAAACTAAAGAGCTTCTACATCGCAAAAGTAACTATCAGCAGAGTAAACAGACAACCTACAGAATGGGAGAAAATATTCATAAACTATGCATCCAACAAAGGTATCATATCCAAATCTATAAGGAACTTAATTCAACAAGCAAAAAACAAACACCACCATTAAAAAGAGATCAGAAGACATGAACAAACTCTTCTCAAAAGAAGATAGGCTGGGCATGGTGGCTCACACCTGTAATCCCAGCAATTTGGGAGGCCAAGGTGGGTGCATCATCTGAGGTCAGGAGTTCGAGACCAGCCTGGCCAACATGGTGAAACCCCACCTCTACTAAAATTACAAAAATTATCTGGGCGTGGCATTGCACGCCTGTAATCCCAGCTACCTGGGAGGCTGGGGCAGGAGAATTGCTTGAACCTGGGAGGCAGAGGTTGCAGTGAGCTGAGATCGTGCCACTGTACTCCTGCCTGAGCAACAGAATGAGACTCCATCCCAAAAAAAAGAAGATATACAAGTGGCCAACAAACATAGTTTTAAAAATGCTCTCAACATCACTAATGATCAGAGAAATACAAATTAAAACCACAATGAGATATCCTCTCACACCAGTCAGAATGGCTGTGGGTAAGAAGTCAAAAAACAGTATGTATGGGTGAGACTACAGAGAAAAAGGGAATGCTTATACACTACTGGTGGAAATGTAAATTAGGTCAGCCCCTGTGGATAGCAGTTTGGAGATTTCTCAAAAAACTTAGAACTACCATTCTACCCAACAGTCCCATTATTGGATATATAACCAAAGGAAAATAAATCATTCTACCAAAACATACATGCACTCATATGTTCATCACAGAACTAGTCACAATAGCAAAGACATGGAATCAACCTAGGCGTCCATTAGCACTGGGTTGTACAAAGAAAATGTGATACATATACACCATGGAATAATATGCAACCATGAAAAACAATGAAATCATGTCCTGTTCAGCAACATGGGTGCAGCTGAAAATCATTATCCTAAGCAGATTAACACAGGAACAGAAAACCAAATATCACATGTTCTCACCTACAAGTGAGAGCTAAACAGAGGGTGCACATGGACATAAAGATGGCAACAATAGACACTGGAAACTACCAGATGAGGAGGGAAGGGATGAAGGGCTAAAAAGCTACCTACTAAGTACTATGCTTAGTAGGTACTACTAGGTACCTACTACCTGGGTGACAGGATCAATTACATCCCAAACCTCAGCATCACACAATATAACCATGTAACAAACCTGCACGTGTACTTCCTGAATCTAAAATAAAAGTTAAAATTTTAAAACATAATAATATGTTAGAGCTGAATCATAGGGGGTTTTATTTGCCAATTTTAGATCTAATGCTGTCAACAGAGAAAAAAAATCAAAGCTGCTGAAAGGAGGAAGTAAAATTAACTAAGTCTTTGAGATAAAACTTCTTCCATATTTGGAGATAGAAGGACAGCAAATGAGTTGTGCTGAAAGACCTGCACCTGCATCAGGGATGAGAAAGGCTTAGAGCCCAACTTCAGATGCAACTGCTGGGGAAGAGCTAGTGCCCTGCTCTGGCCTCTCCTGGGCCTGGCAAGTGTGCCCTGAGAAGCAACTGCTTGGGAGTCACAGACCTCAACCCCAAGCAAGAAAGGAAAAGGTCTATAAGAAAATCATGGTGGTCCTGAGAGGAGATGGATTCCTGCTGTCATTACACTGCCCTCTATGCCTGAGATCTCATCACAAATCCAGCCATCTCTTTTTTCTCAAAAAAATCAGAGGTAACTCTGTCCCCAAAACCCATAACTGACACCACTCACTAGAGGCCCAGTGAACAGCTTTCTGCATCACAGCCATAACACCCTGTGTTACTTTGGTAGACTTTCCCTTGGATACCTGGTAGGTGCTCTGAGTGAGCTTGAAGACTGATTATATCTCATACCATCCCTGACAATTTGGAGGCTGGAAAAGATATTTTCTTCTCTACTGGAAAACAAAGGCAGGAGGCACCAAGGATCTCCAGAGAACGGAGGCCCCAGAGGAAGGAAAGAACCAGCACAGAACAGTCTCCTGACACTGTTCCTCTAGCTGGTAAATTGATCCTCACTGAGCACAGGACCAGAGCTCACTCCCTGAGGGCTCTGTTCATAATGCCTCCATCCTCCAGCAAACACCAAGAGACCTTCTCCCTATTTCTGCTCCTTCATTCTTTGATGGCTAACATAGAAAAGGCTACCTCTCCTCTCCAGGACAATCAGACAGTCTCAGAGAAACTTCAGGTTTGTGATCCCCTTTTGTCCATGAAAGGAGATGATGCAATGGACAAAGTTTCCAGGATTGGTAAAGCCTAGGTTGTAATTCAAGTCCTAGGCTCCTTACTCAAATCCACTGTTTTTCTACTATGCCTGAGTTGCCTACCCCTTCTCATAAAGGGAAAAGCTGTTCTTATTTTCAAGGACTTTGCAGAAAGTAAATAGGTGTAATGATATGTAGTCAAAATCAAGTGAAGCAGATGGATGTGTGCTGCTGAGATCAGAACAATAATGCTTCCGATCCACACTGCCTTTTTGAGCTAGCCTTGGGGAAAAAGTAAAACATCAGAGAAATGCTTTTGTCTCATATTATGTATTATAGCACAGGAGCTGGCTAACTTAATGTGGGTCTAATCCAACATTTCTGAGATATAATGAGGGTGAAGCTGTTGTTTTCTTGTTTGGAAAGTTAATTGACCCAATCCAAGCATCCTGTACAGCATCCACAGCTTTAACACCACTGAACCTGTATTCACACTTGCTTCTGTAACCAACTCGGGGGAATCTGCCTGCCACTTTGGACAGCTCCAGTTTAGCCCTGTGCCAGGTAAACACTGCTGCTGCTCTCTGTACAGAGGAGCTAGGTAATAAAAGGTGAGTAACATTACACTCTTGTTAGAAATATCTTTTTTCTGTCACACGCTCTTGATCTACTTAAGTCAAGCGTCAAATGGTGACAGCACACAGAGAATCATTTTCACACCCTTCTTGTTTTCTAGGGCAGCTTTGTTAGACTCTCAAAGTCGAAAAATTGCCCTGAGGGGGAACTTGCCTGGAAATTTTGCCTTCGTGTATAAATGTCAAACTACCCAACTGGCATTTTTTTTTTTTTTTTTTTGAGACAGAGTTTCACTCTGTCACCCAAGCTGGAGTGCAGTGGCACGATCACGGCTCACCACAACCTCTGCCTCCCGGGTTCAGTTGATTCTCCTGCTTCAGCCTCCCAAGTAGCTGAGATTACTGGCACATATGACCATACCCGGCTAATTTTTGTAGTATTAGTAAAAACGAGGTTTCAACATGTTGGCCAGGTTGGTCTCAAACTCCCGACCTCAGGTGATCTCCTGCCTCGGCCTCCCAAATAGCTGGGATTACAGGTGTGAACCACCAAGCCCAGCCCCCAAATGGCATTTTCATCTGAGAGACAAATGCAACAAACATCACCTCTAGATCCATAAAGTCTTCATATCATGTATACATGTGGGATACTTGGAATAATAGTATTTCATAATGAAAAGGAATCAAAAATCATATAATCCAACTCCCATTTCATATAAAGAAAATGAAGCTTATACAGGTTAAAAGACTACTAGAACCCCTCCACAACTTTGTTGCAATACTGAAGCTAGAATTTCCCTCTAGCTCTGTCCTAATTCTATATCCAAAGCTGTGGAACAATAATTATCTTTAGCAGTCAGGAAGAAACTCTCTGGGATGGGACATGTTCTATCACCCAGAACATTCGATTTCCCATGGCTTCCTTTGAATGGAATTCCTCTCAAGTCTAGGACAACACTCTAGTAGCCTAGGGTAATTTGAAGTCTCTCTTATATATTTCATTTCCTCAAATTTCATCTCTCCTTCATTTTGAAGTTCAATGAAGTAATTGGTAAATATCTATCGATGTATTGTCTATCTATATCCTCTATAACAGTGTAGACAATCATTTTTTAACAAATATTTGAGAAATACCTATTATCTTCCTCAGACTATGTGGGGCACTGGCGATAAAGAGTGAACTTGAAGTACAAGAGCAAAAATCCTGAGTCCTGAAAGTACCCGGCTGTTTGTAAAAACTGAAAGAAGGCCAGTGTTATATTGCTGAAGTTTTGAGGAGGAAGGGTGTACATGTTATGTGTGTGCATGCATGTGTATAGAGAGGAGACAGTCAGAGAGGCAAATTCCAATGGCTTTGGAAACATAATTTAGCTGAAAGTTGGCCCAGAGGTCTGAGTTAGTTCAGCAGAACAGACTGATTCCAGCTTTCACCTCTAGAAGTCCCCTCTGTTTGTTTTTTGTTTTGTTTTGTTTGTTGTTTTGGTTTTTGTTTTGGGGGTTGTATTGAGGCAGAGTCTCACTTTGTTGCCAAGGCTGGAGTGCAGTGGTGCAATCTCAGCTCACTGCAACCTCTGCCTCCTGGGTTCAGGCAAATTCTTGTGCCTCAGCCTCTCGAGTAACTGGGATTACAGGTGGTGCGTGCCTCCAAGCCTGGCTAATTTGTGTGTTTTTAGTAGAGACGAAGTTTTGCCATGTTGGCCAGGCTGGTCTCGAACTCCTGAGCTCAAGTGATCCTCCTGCCTCGGCCTCCTAAAACACAGGGGTTACAAGTTCCTCTCTGTTTCTAACAAAGGTATTTGCCTCACCAAGGAGCTTCTGTTGTTCCACAGTCAAATGGATGTTCCTTGTTCTGTTTTCCCTATAAATGTGTACAGTAGGGGTTAGCAAACTATATCCAATGTGCCAAACCTGGCCTGCTGCCTATTTTTGTAGGGCCAGCAAGTTAACAATAGATTTTACATTTTTAATATGTTTAAAAATTGATAGAAAATGAGATTTTGTGACACATGAAAATTATATGAAATTCACATTTCAGTAGACATAATAGTTTTATAGCAACATAGGCACATACATTCACTTACATATTATGTATGGTTGCATTTGCAGTACACAGCAGAGCTGAGTAGTTTTGACAGAGACTATAGAGCCCATGAGACTAAACTATTTAAGAAAATGTTTGCTGACCCTGGTGTGAGTATCACAGAGATGGAATCCCTCGGTATGGAATTGTTGGCTAGTGTGTGTGTAGTCCAAACGTGCACACCCCTCAGTGGGAGCAGGAGAGCCCAGGGAATGATGTACACTCTGTTACCCTCTGCTTGCGAGTGTTTTCTCCAGTGAATCCTTATTTTATATTTGCAGCGCTTGTGTTAGTGGAGCATCTTTGTGCCTACTTTGTACAACAGAGTGTGTGTTTGTGTGTATGTGTGTGAGAGAGAGAAAGTTTGAATAATAGAATCATGAGATGATGTTGGAAATATTATGAAGGGTCAAACCAAAGATTACATTTTCAAAGTTTTATTTTATTCAAAGAGCATTGGGAAGCTAATTGAAATCTATGTGCAAGGAAAGGAACTGGTCTGATTTTCTTTCTTTAAGGAGTTACTCTGGCTGTGGCATGGAAAACAAGTTACAGACAGGCAAGAGTGGAAACAGGAAGCCAGTTAGAACAGCAGCATCACATGGTCCAGGGGAGAAAAGAGAATAGCTTGAACTAGGATGTTGGCAGTGGAGATGGGGAGAAGTGAGCAGACATGAGACTTATTTTTGAGACAAAACTAAAAGGAATTATTTGTGAATGAGATGTGAGGGTAGAGGAAAAGAAGGAGATACTACATTGAAATAAGTTCCATCAGAAAAAAATTGATTAAACATTTAATCCAAGAAGTCAAATTATTCGACTGTTGAGCAGATGCTTACCCCTAAAATAAAATTTTAGGAACACTAGCAAAAAAATCCTGGTCAAAAATGCCTAAGCATTATTAGTAAGAGTTGTTCTTAATTGATCATAATAAAGTTATATTCCTCTGAATTAGTACTAGTCATATACACTTAATCTTTTTTAGAAAACATGAAGGACCTTCACACATCATAGCAGAATTCTTTTTTGTGTGTTTTTATTCATTAGTAATTCATTAGTTTTATTCATTAGCCATGAATGGCTCGTGTGAAGCTAAGGTAACTTTTAAAACACCCTACAAAGGCAAAGGTGTGACATAGAAATGACTAAATGCTTAATGTCCTTAATCATGAGTGAAACTGGTGCAGAGTGACTTTATTTTAGAAAATAATTAGACCCGTCCACTGTCTGCTTTGAGTTCCCTTTATAAAAGATAAATATGCAGTCTCAGAAGTTTTCTGGGCCCCTAAACAAATGACTTTAAAAGTGGAGAAGCAGAAAAGAAAAAACTTATAGAAAATAGAAGTTTATGGTACAGTTACCAGAACCTATTCCACCCTATTCCCACCAAAAGCCAAGTACATTTAATCCTTATTTTGCTTATATATGTTAAAATAGAGTCTGACAGAAACTGTGGAGACTCTTTTGTCTCCAGGCATCCTCCATGTCACGGGAATTAGGGAATCCTGAGTTACAAATGACCTATAGGGTGTTTTAAAAAATTATGTGGCTGGGCGCAGTGGCTCATGCCTGTAATCCCAGCACTTTGGGAGGTCGAAGGGAGCAGATCACTGGAGGTCAGGAGTTCAAGACCAGCCTGGCCAACATGACATGAAACTTATCTATACTAAACATACAAAAATTAGCCGGGCTGGTGGCTTGTGCCTGTAATCCCAGCTACTCATAAGGCTGAGGCACGAGAATTGCTTGAACCCAGGAGGCGGACATTGCAGTGAGCTGCAATTGTGCCACTGCACTCCAGCCTGGGTGACAGAGCAAGGCTCCATCTCAATAAATAAATAAATCATTATGGATTGTGTTAAAATTTCTCCCTCAGTTCACCCCATCACCAACAAAACTGAATTCTTCCAACATAAACCTCTAAGTACTCACATCTGTACTTGAAAAGGATGTCAACTTGCTGCCGGCATCTTTTGTTTTTGGTCTTATAAGTTATACAGAATTTAAATATTCTGCTAAGAAATTAGTAGACTCTGCAGGGGAGGAAAAAATTTTTTTTCTCCTATCTAGGTTCTTCGGCTGGGGCCTTATAAGTAAGACTGACAAAACACAAATCAACAAGAGAAAAACAAACATAAGTTTATGAGCATACGCATCATAAATACACATGGGAGCACTGGGAGATGAGTAACTCAAAGGTGTGGTTAGAAGTTAGGCTTACATAGCATCTCAGCTAAAGAATAATAATTTTTTTAGAGAAGTGACAAGACAAAGAAAAAGGACTTTGCATTTCTAGGGTGGGAAACTGTGGGAAAATAAATATTATGGACAAACTAATGGAAGATACAGACTAAAGTTGGTAAAAATTGTTATATAGATTCCTCTGGTGCCATCTCCAGGCGGAAAGGGTTTACAGTTGTCTCTGGTAATTTTACCTCGTCCTCCCTGGTAGAGAGGAGAGGAAGGCTACCCTTGCAAAGTTATCCTGTTTCTATGCAAATAATAGGGGGAAGACAGAGAGCTTTTCTTGTATCTGCTTTTTCTCAATTGCCTTCAGCTGGAAATAATCTTATGCCAAAGTGGCATGTTTAGGGGCAGCAGATTCTGCTACCTTAAAACTTCCTGGGTCCCTGTGCCAACTTCAAAAAGCAAAATGTGGATCTAAACATAGAAGGAGGGACACAAACTTTCTTTAGTTTGCTCACTTATGCGCTTATTTAGAAAGGGCTCTAACTAATTCCAAGGCTTGATTACATGATTGTTTCACAAAGATATTCTAATTCATTTAAAACAAATGAAAGGCATCATGCAGATATTCAGCCTTCAAAAGCCACTCTGCCTTGAGATGTTCCTAAGTGGTTACTGGGAGATGGACCACAGCTTTAGTCTAATATCGCCTACAAACCCACTGTTATTTAGAATTGCATGTTATCAATTGTATCCATAATTTGTATTATTGGAATAGAATTATATCTTTAACTATAGTCTAGGCAAATTTATATATTCTTCACGGCAAGCACAGACGTGTTTCAGCATGGCCAGTTAATTCTTTCAGCCTGGTCTACTGAGGATGGCTAGGACTGCTGTCCTAACACAAAAGAAACTGACAACAGCTAATTTCCTCTAATTGATTTGACTGTGTTACTCATGAAACAAGTGAATGATATTATTAAGTTAATAAGTTAACCATTTAATTTAGAATAAGGCCAGTGTCAAAAGTGACATAAAAGAAGTAATTCAAACAGTTTTATGGTCTCATATTACATGGCTACACAGTTTCACTCAGTCTCTGCCACAAAAAGCTGCAATGATTTCACCGTCTGAAAATGAAATTCATTTGTGTAAGAATATATCCATAAATACATATTCTGTTATATATTTATACAAAGGCTCTTGAAGGAAAGTGTTGTAAACATGCCTGAAAATTATAATGGCTTTACACCTAGTAAAATGTAAATGACAGCTTATCAATTTTGGTCAAAAGTTTTCTTGAGCCTATGGTAAAAATGTGAACGCGAGCAAAGAATCAATCCAGATCAATACGTCAGTTTAAAAGAAAAAAAGTGACTATTGACATATCTGCATTCTGTTTTTTACTTTTTACTTTTATTTCAATAGTAAATTTATGCATTTTCTTTCCCAAAATGATTTAAATATAAATCTGATTCCCCATCTATGTTTGCACCGTCATTCAGTAATTGCTGGTGCTTTTACAATTCACAGGCACATGAAAATCTTCAACAGCCCCAGCAACTCCAGCACCTTCACTGGCTTCATCCTCCTGGGCTTCCCTTGCCCCAGGGAGGGGCAGATCCTCCTCTTTGTGCTCTTCACTGTTGTTTACCTCCTGACCCTCATGGGCAATGGTTCCATCATCTGTGCTGTGCACTGGGATCAGAGACTCCACGCCCCCATGTACATCCTGCTCGCCAACTTCTCCTTCTTGGAGATATGTTATGTCACCTCCACAGTCCCCAGCATGCTGGCCAACTTCCTCTCTGACACCAAGATCATCTCGTTCTCTGGCTGCTTCCTCCAGTTCTACTTTTTCTTCTCCTTGGGCTCTACAGAATGCTTTTTCCTGGCAGTTATGGCATTTGATCGATACCTTGCCATCTGTCGGCCTCTACGCTATCCAACCATTATGACCAGACGTCTCTGTACCAATCTTGTGGTCAATTGCTGGGTACTTGGTTTCATCTGGTTCTTGATTCCTATCGTCAACATCTCCCAAATGTCCTTCTGTGGATCTAGGATTATTGACCACTTCCTATGTGACCCAGCTCCTCTTCTAACTCTCACTTGCAAAAAAGGCCCTGTGATAGAGCTTGTCTTTTCTGTCTTAAGTCCTCTGCCTGTCTTTATGCTCTTTCTCTTCATTGTGGGGTCCTATGCTCTGGTCGTGAGAGCTGTGTTGAGGGTCCCTTCAGCAGCTGGGAGAAGAAAGGCTTTCTCCACCTGTGGGTCTCACCTGGCTGTGGTTTCACTGTTCTACGGCTCAGTACTGGTCATGTATGGGAGCCCACCATCTAAGAATGAAGCTGGAAAGCAGAAGACTGTGACTCTGTTTTATTCTGTTGTTACCCCACTGCTTAACCCTGTGATATATAGTCTTAGGAACAAAGATATGAGAAAAGCTCTGAAGAAATTTTGGGGAACATAAAATGTTAATCAAAAAGGTCCTTGCGTAATTAATCTTGTCTTTAATTTTGGGGTTTAAAAAAAAAACTGGTCTTGGCCAGGCGCGGTGGCTTACGCCTGTAATCCCAGCACTTTGGGAGCCCGAGGCGGGTGGATCACGAGGTCAGGAGATCAAGACCACCCTGGCTAACACGGTGAAACCCTGTCTCTACTAAAAAATACAAAAAATTAGCCGGGCGTGGTGGCGGACGCCTGTAGTCCCAGCTACTCGGGAGGCTGAGGCAGGAGAATGGCGTGAACCCGGGAGGCGGAGCTTGCAGTGAGCCGAGATCGCGCCACTGCACTCAAGCCTGGGCGACAGAGCGAGACTCTGTCTCAGGAAAAAAAAAAAAAAAAAACTGGTCTTATACAGTTAATTGTTCATCTTACTATTGGCCAAAGCTAAAATACCTGTGAGCATGTTTCTGTTATTTCTCCTTTCAGATCTTGATTATTTGCCCAGTTGTGTAACATGCCTCAATGTTTTTTAATTGACTGGTGGGCATTGTATTTTAAAAACTATAAAGACAATATATGCAGTAATGAAGGTTTTGTTCTAGCAAGTAGATGGAGTAGAGGCAGATCACATTGATTCTATTTAAGCACTACTTGTATGTGTTTTTAAAATGATCTGTGCTCGTTTTAGTTTTACTCTTAGGGTGTGGCTCTTACTGCAGGAACATAGCCTTTCTGAGACCTCAGGGACAAATCTGGACTGTTTAGAAGGTCCCTCCGCTTCAGCTGATCCTAGCCTCCTATTTCAGTACTTCTTGAACCCCATGACTCCTGAAACTTCCGCTTTGCTCTTTAGACTCTCAGCTTTTGTTTCTGCTAGCTATTTTGGGGTCTCACCGTGTACACACAGCTTAGAAATCCAAAAATGCCTTGAAGGGGAATTGCATCATATTTTTAGCCTAGCTTCTGTGGTCCTTCCCTCTCCAGGATTTCTCAAACGCCAGGTGCTTTGGCAACTTTCAAATTCTCTACCTTCTCAGTTCAGTAAAACTACTGCTTTCTGCTCAGTCCTTATTCCTCCTTTCCTCATACTCTCCCAACCCAGTAAATGGTCAAATATCCTCAGGGAAATACACATGGGGAATGTGAAACTCACCTCCCTTTTCTTCCCTTCATCTTGGACTGTAGCCCATGAAGGCTTGCCTATGTCAGTTGCTCTGAGTGCCTTCAAATGGTTGTTTTATGTATTTTGTCCAGATTTTACTGTTGATAGAAATTATTTTGGGTTTAGTACAAGTTTTTCAGTCATGACCAGAAAGTTTTTTCTATTCTATCTAGATTCCATACATTCTCACTTCTTCCTTCACTTTCAGGAGATTATCATGTAGCATGTGTCTTCAAAAGCCCACAAATCAGAGAGACAGGTGGATATAGAGGCTGGCATAAACACAAATCTGGGATGCACACCTGCTTTTCTTTTCATTGCAACCAGCAAAGAATCCCTGAGGACTCTTCCCCTGCAGGAAGCAGGGGAAAGGTTACCTATGGTAAAATAAATGATAAAATCAGGACCACAGATTTTGGCCTTTTTTTAATGGAAGGCACCCAGTAATTGTAGATCAGTAAAAATAGTCACCCAGAATTTGTATTAGAAGCTTGGGCTAGTTCTCCTTGAACTTTCCCCTAGGCCTGGAGTGAAAGGTCATGCTATGATTGAAGTGTCTTCACTAATCCAAATACCTGTTTTTCAGGTTAAATAAATAGGAATTGGGAATCAGGGAGCAATTTGCTGAGGATAATGACTTAATTCCAAAAAAAAAAAAAAAAAAAGTTCCTATCCACCACCCTTTTAACTAGCCCAAGTTCCCTTTGCTTTGAAAAGTAACCCTGAATTTCTCTTTAGGACTTCTCACTTATTTGCCAGTCATATCACAATAAGTTTGTTTCCTTAATATAAACGAAGCTCTGTAAAATAGTAAGAGAACAGAACAGTATCCCAGTAAGAAAATGAGCAAAAGGATATAAACGAATAACATCCAGAAAAAGATTCTTAAACATGGAAAGGGCACTAACTAATTCATAAAAAGGTAAAAGTAGAATAAGCCTATAAATATATCTCACTTTTTATCTATTAAATTGACAAAGATCAAGAAGTTTGATTACACATTGCGTGTCTGAGGATTGTGAAATGGGTTCTCTCACACTTAGCTGGTGGGCGTATCAGCTTTACAAACTCTATATAGGGTGACAAGGCAACCTCTATCAAAATTTAGAAGACACATATCCTTTAAAACAGCACCTCAACTTTTAAGTTGTTTAACCTACAGATATTTTTACACATGTGGGAAATGTTTACTGCAGCATTGTTGTAATAGCAAAATATTGAGAAAAACATCAGTTCCCATTAATAGAAGACTAGTAAAATGAGCTATGGTGAGTTATACCATGGAATATTATGTCTTCAATTTATAAACTATGAAGCAGTTCCATATGCAATGATATATAATATGTCCAAGACACACTGTTAAATGAAAAAAGCAAAGTGAATAGCAGAGTGTATTGTAGCTGCCTTCCATGGAAATGTGTATATCTCCTGAAAGAGCTCCAAAAAACTGATAACAATGGTTGCTTCAGGCAAGAAGAATTTTGTGTCTAAGGAACAAGATAGTAAAGGAGACTTTTTTTTCATAACTCCTTTTGTGCGTTCAAATTCTTTATCATGTGCCTATATTATGCATTGAAAAAATAATAAAACATATTTTGTAAAATTTTTTTATTTCCATAGGTTATTGGGGAACAGGTGATGTTTGGTTATATGAGTAAGTTCTTTAAACAAAGAACAATTTTCAATTTTTTTTTTTTTTTTTTTTTTTTGAGATGGAGTTTAGCTCCTGTTGCCCAGGCTGGAGTGCAATGGCGCCATCTCGGCTCACTGCAACCTCCACCTCCCACGTTCAAATGATTCTCCTGTCTCAGCCTCCTGAGTAGCTGGGATTACAGGTGCCCGCCACTACGCCTGGCTAATTTTTGGTATTTTTAGTAGAGATGGAGATTCACCATGTTGGCCAGGCTGGTCTCGAACTTCTGACCTCAGGTGATCCACCCACCTCGGCCTCCCAAAGTGCTGGGATTACAGGCGTGAGCCACTGCACCCGGCCAACAAAGAACAATTTTCTAGGAGAACTTTCTGATCATTAGATTTGGAAAATCATTTTTTCCCGCAATTCTAGGGTTCCTTAGGAGCCTGTTTATTGATAGAAATGTTGAAGCGAGGTCTTCAGAGCCCCTTAACATAATTTCACTCAGATAGTTTCGTACTTTAGAAAAAACCTGAGATACAGCTTCCTCATCTTAGGGCTTGTGTAAATATACTGTTATAAAACTTTAACGAGTTTTATCACAGTTATATTTAGACATCATCTCCCTTATTTTTCAATTACTGATTTTTATTGCCCTTGTTCGGCACCTGCAATGTACCAAACATTGAGCCAGGAAATAAATTTGAGACAAAGGTATATAAGACACATTTTCTTCCCTCATAGGATTCACAGTCTTGTGATCGAGAAAATTGGAAGGTTTTCTTTTTGTTAAGTAGCAAAAGTTCAGTGAGAGGGGAAGGCCTAATTACAGTGGAAGCTCACGAGAAGCTGCATGTATGTAAGTATGGAACTTGTGTGAAAGAGGTTGTAAGCACAGCACAGGCATTGTCTTTTTGCAAGTGCACCTCAGGTTACAGAATAGAAGTGCTTCTAGAAATTATTTTACACCATCGTATAATCAACCACTGCTAGTGGTTACTACTAAGGTCCCAGAGACAAAGCAAGTATGACCATAAAATATAATATAGGCTGGGCGTGGTGGCTATGCCTATAATCCGAGCACTTTGGGAGGCCGAGGTGGGTGGATCACCTGAGATCAGGAGTTCGAGACTAGCCTGGCCAACATGGTGAAACCCTGTCTCTACTAAAAATACAAAAAAAAAAATAGCCGGGTGTGGTGACGTATGCCTGTAATCCCAGCTACTTGGGAAGCTGAGGCGGGAGAATCCCTTGAACCCGGGAGGTGGAGCTTCCAGTGATCTGAGATCATGCCATTGTGCTCCAGCCTGGGCAACAAGAGTGAAACTTCATCTCAAAAAATAACAATAATAATAGTAATAATATAAATTGAATACAAAAGAGAGATATTATTTAAAATGTTAAGTAAATATAGATTTTAGTAATAGAATGTTGAATTGCTTCGATCTACCATCTTGCTGTGATCAAATAAAAATACTAAATTTAAAAAAAAACTTAAAAACATTGACAATCTGAAGAGAGAATAGAAAATGGCTAAGTCATTTTTTTATGAAAGCCTGAGAGGTGAGCACTAAGGCCATTCATGCTCAGAGAGCACTTGACTGTAGTTCATATCCTTATGCTTCAGGACAATTCCTGGCTGAGGAGATAGAAATAGGAACCTGGTGCTGGTGGGGAGGGGGTGGTCACAAAAAGCTGGTGCTCTAATGGTCTTCATCCTCAGGTAAGGATGAACCAGAGCTAGACCTGATGCCACTCAGAAGGGAATCACTCATCCCTGGAAGTTTGTGGCCATGGTTTAGCTCTCGTTTGAATTTTCTTCAATTTCCCCATTACACTAGCAATCTCTTCATCTTTTTTTTTTTTTTTTTTTTTTAGTTCAAAGGTGTTAGGCTTTCTTTTTGTTGTTGTTGTTTGCAGTTTGGGGGTTTTTTTAGATAGTATCTCACCCTGTCACCCATGCTGGAATACAGTGGTATGATCACAGCTAATTGCAGCCTCAACCTCTTGGGCTCAAGCAATCCTCCCACCTTAGCCTCTCAAGTAGCTGGGACCACAGGCACATGCCACCATGCCTGGCTAATTTTTTTTTTTTTTTTTTTAGAAATTGGGTCTCTCTATGTTGCCCAGGCTGTAGGCTTTCTATTAAAGACTTTGCCATCCTCTTTTTCCTTTGTTTCATTTTATGAATGGACACAACTCAAAATTTTTAAGTAAAATATTTTAATCCTCCAGCCTACATGAAATGTTAAGTCACAAAACAGCCTTAATCATTTTGAAAGATTAAAATCGTACCTATCTTTCTCAAATCACAATGGAATAAAACCGTAAATCAACAGCAAAAAGAAATATCCACAAATATGTGGATATTCAACAACACAATCTAAACCAAGCGATGAGTCAGAGAAGTCACAAGGGAAATTATAAAGTATCTTGAGACAAATAAAAATGAAAACACAACATACCAAAATTTACAAGATGAAAAGAAAGCAGCACTAAGAGAGAAATTTATAGCTATAAAGGCTTACATTATAAAAGAAGAAAAATCTCAACTCAAAAACCTAACTTTATGCCATAAGAAACTAGAAAAAGAAGAACAAACTAAATTCAAAGCTAGCAAATGGTAGGAAATAATGAAGATTACAGCAGGGATAAATGAAGTGAAAATATAAAACTGTAGAGAAAATGAACAAAACCAAAAGTTTGTTATTCAAAAAGATAAACTAAGTGGACAAGACTTTAGCTAGATTAAGAAAAAAAGAAGACTCAACAAAAATTAGAAATTAAATGAGGACATTACAACTGATTTTCTAGAAATTAGTTTTTATAACTTTTCCTATGAACAAAAAGAAGTTATCTCGAATTCCACACAGACGTCTCATCATTGCCTTTCAAAACATTCTTCTTGCCTTTGCTCTGGGGTCCAATTTGCCCTAAACTACATGAAAACTGTGGATGGAAGAAAGGATGCTATGCCAAGGACTCTTGAGGGAGTCATAAACCAGCCCAAGGGAAGACTGAAGTCATCACAATAATCTCCAAGACAAAACTTTAATTGCACCCCTGAATCACAGTGACACATTTCTTCATTCACCTGCACCCTCTTTCTGAAATCTCTTCATGAGGTTCATATGCCACTGCTTTTGTGGCACTATTCTGCCACAAAAGTAATTCATATATAAAACTCACCTGTTGACCTTTCTCTGCTGGATGAGACAATTGGAAGGTCTGGGTGCCCGGAGGTGACTGAGGTCCTTTATGTAGCCCTTGATGAAAATAACCACCCTGTCAGTCGAGGCCTAAACCTCAAGGGCTGACCATAGGAGGAGTGTGCTTCTTTCCTCTGGCTATAACTGTTACCCAAAGAATTACCTGTAAGTGTTCCTTTTGAGCACTTCAGGAAAGGAGAAAAGGGAGTTTCAACAGTTACCTTTATATATCCTAGGATTCTCTGGGTCAGGCTCCAGGTTTTGAGTCCACATAAGGCAAAGAGATGTATCAATGAGAAGGCACAGGCTCGGTTTGTATTCCTAGGACTCTATCATGAAGGGTAAGTAACTTTTTCCCCTGTCTAGGATTCACTTGACTTCTTCTAAGACATCTACACATGGATGCTAGCTCCAGTGAAATGCCTTTATAATATGAACATATTTTTGCAAAATTTTGTGAGTTTCTAGACGTGTGATTTCATGCACCGCATCTCCAGTATAAGTGTTGTAATGAACTGTTGACATCTGTGCCCAGCTACCCAGATCCTCCTCAGCTGAACACTTCCTTAAACGTTCTTGCCTAATTATTTGCAAAGGAATGCCTCATTATTTGGAAATTTGATAAATTACATAATTTGGTATTAGAAGTCATGCTTAATAACTCACTTTCTACAATGCCTCTGATTAAATATAACTTATTCCCATTACTTTTATGCACATCCCAGGAAATGTAATGCCCTTCCTTTAATACTTTATCTTCTGCCTTTTGAATTATTAATACTACTGTGTTTTTATGTCTTCTTTATGTTAGACCGACCTGTATGTTTCTAAGTGCCAGAATATACAAGAAGGTCGAAAAAATGAATCTGACCAACTAAAAGGAGCTGCCCATAGCTTCACTATGAGATAATATGAACATGAAATATTCATATTTGAATGACATATGACTTTTTAATCTAGTCATTCAGGTTCACTTAAATTCATTGGACGGGTGCAGTGGCTCACGCCTATAATCTCCGCACTTTGAGGGGCCAAAGGTTTGTAGAGAAAGCTTCTCATCATGTTCCCTAGGCTAGAGACATGATGAGAACATGTCTCTACAAAACATTTAATAATTAGCCTGGCATGGTGGCATACGTCTATCATCCCAGCTACTGAGGTTAAGGCAGTAGGATCGCTTGAGCTTGGGAGGTCAAGGCTGCAATGAACTATGATCCCGCGACTGCACTCCAGCATGGGTGATAGAGTAAGGCCCTGTCTCAAAAATAAACAAATAAATAAATAAAAATTAAAAATTAATTTATTGTTTTTCATTTAGGTTTTTAAATGATTCTGCTAAAAAATTATCCTAGTAACTTTGTAATTATATTTATTAGTAGTATTATTATGAACACTAACAGCTATGAATGTTGCAGGTCCTAATATATTCCAGGAACTGCACTAGGCACTACAACATGTACTAGGAAACTGTACTTCAACAATACTTTCACAAAAGCTCAGCAAAACAATGGTAACTTGCCTAGAGGCACATAGTATGCTGTACAGTATTTGAACCCAAGTCAATCTGATTTTATCATTTATTTTAAGTAAGTACCTTATATAACAGGATTACTTCATTAAGTATTACTGGAGTGAGTCTATATATATCTATATCTATGTATATCTATGTATATACATGTATATCTATGTATATATCTATATCTATGTATAGATCTATATCTATAGATATAGATATCTATGTATATCTATGTATATATCTATATCTATAGATATAGATATACACACACTTTGAGAAGGAAAATCAACAGGATTTGGAGATTGACAGCATATGGGAGGTGACAGAATTAAAAGGTTCCTTCAGTGCTTCTCAAGTTTCTGGCTTTAGCAAATGCTAACTGGATTGGTGAACGAAGAGTGGAGCCATTCGCTAAAAAGCAAGTACAAAGTGGGAGCTCTTACAAAGAAAAAGATGGAATAAAGATAAATACTGGGCAAAATGGTGACTACATGTTTAAAAATATAAATGACTAGAGAGGCCAATATTTAGAGTGGGATGCTCACAAATGACAGGGTCATAAGGCAAGGTGGAATTAGTGGATCACAAGGTTTAAATGTGATTTTGCTAAATGTGACCAAACTGACAAGTTACACAAGACTGCCCAGTGACGTTCAGACTGAGGACTCAGTGATGGTGATGTTCATAAACTCAGATTAGCTTTTTGGTGGCAGGGTTGGCAAGCCTGAAATTCACCCAACCATTAATTTATTCAACAAGTGCCTACTGTGTACCAGAAACTGAGTCATCTGAGAAATGAAAGATAAATTAAACATCATTTGTGAATTATAGACATTTTCAGTCTAGAGGGTAACACGAAACCATATGATTTGGTCGTTATGGTGCACGCTCTAGTAGAAAAATTTATAACATGCTACGTAAATATTAAACAGGAAATTTATCTTATATGTTACAGAGTTTTGTCTTGCTGACTTTAATATATGATAGGTATCAAAAGGATATCTAAAATCATCATCAAAATCTAAGACATCCTATATTGACAAGTGTAATTATTAATTTTTTAAATCTTGATAAGCTCAGGCTTTATGGGTCAAACTGTACTAAGATATACGTCCAAGAATATTAATCACAGTGGTGATTATAATAGAAAACATTGATAACAACCTGAATCTGTCATTAGAGGGTCGATTGAATGTATAGACAAGAAGAACAATGAAGCCATTGAGTTGATGATTCAGAGCTATATTTTTGACATGGAAAAAAGACAGATTAAGTTTAAAAACAAATTATAAAACAATTAATTTTGAAAATTTCCATTTTAATTATAAAGAAGAGAAGAACACACTCCTCCAAAGAGTTAAAATTTGTTTTCTCTGGGAGGTAGATTTTTTTTGTCTTTTTCTATACCTTTTATGTTTATAATTATAAAAAACAAGTACAGTATTTTGGTAAATTTTGAACAGTATAGCATTAATAAATTTAAATAACAAGACATAAGCATTTTAGATCATTTGAAATGCATTGAAAAACTTAACATTAATAAATATCCTTACATTTGGAAAAGGCTTACTGAATATTCTTTACATATATATTTTCTTTCATCACCAAGTGAAAGAAAATATTATGTGTTCAGCAAGAATTTACCATTAGCAACATTTAGAGCTATGTTTATTTATGTATGACTTTTTTAATTAACAAATAAAAAATTGTATATATTTATTATGTGTAACATGTTGTTTTGAAATATGTATACATTGTATAATGGCTACCTCCAGCTAATGAATATGCATTACCTCATATACTTACCACTTTTTTGTGGTGAGAACATTTAAAATCTACTGTCTTAGCAATTTTCAAGAAAAAAATACATTATTAACTATAGTTATCCATGTTATACAATAGAGCTCTTGAATTTATTTCTTCTATCTAACTGAAGTTTTGTATCCTTTGACCAACATCTCCCCAACCTCCCAGTTCCTGTAACCACCATTTTACTCTCTGCTGCTATAAATTCAACTTTTTTAGGTTCCACATATACATATAAGTGAAATCATACAGTATTTGTCTTCCTGAGCCTGGCTTTTTTCACTTAGCACCATGTCCCTGGGTTCATCCATGTTGTCACAAATGACAGGATTTCCTTCTTTTTTAAAAGCTGAATAGTATTCCATTGTGTGCGTATACTACACTTCCTTTACCTATTCATTCTGTTTGACTTTTGATCATTGACCTTCCAAACTTATCTAGATTCTGACTTTCTTGTAGGTGGGAAGTAGAGATTACAGTCGAGATGTCGAAACCTACAATCTGTAACATGTAACAGTACAAGAATGAATTCTTGTAGCAGAACAATATATTGTAACAAATTGTTTATTTTAATGAGAGAGATTTATGTTTAAATGATTCAAAACTCTGCATTTGTTTATGGTAGTAGAAATTCCATTTACAGGGAAGTTTAAAAGTGTGAAGTAAATTTAAGGAACAATCTCAGGTAACTATTAACTCTCTACTCTCCAGAAAAATATTGCCATGATATTTTCTCTTGGATTCTATGCTTAGACTTAAAATTCACTAATACAGAGTGAATAATGGCCACTCATAGCTCTCAAGTATCTGAGAAGTATGTCAAGTATTTTCCACCTTGGGAAAGATGTCAGAAAAAGTAGTTATTTTACTCCTAATTCTTGGTTTAAAAATTAAGTCAAACTAACAAGCTGCTTTATTAGAAATAATTAACTGTGGGTGGGAAAAAGAAATACAAACAGCCACTTTGCTGGCTTTCATAGAGGATAATGGTTCTGAGCTTTCAAAATTTCAAAGGGAAGGGAGAATTCTTAAAAATCACCCACTGATGAAAAATATCTGAATAATGTAGATTCTATTGTTATAACCCTAATTTTAAAGAAATCTGGGGCCAGGCACAGTGGCTCACTCCTGTAATCCCAGCACTTTGGGAGGCTGAGGCGGGTGGATCACCTGAGGTCAGGAGTTCGAGACCAGCTTGACCAACATGGAGAAACCCCGTCTCTACTAAAAATACAAAAGTAGCCGGGCATGGTGGTGCATGCTTGTAATCCCAGCTACTCGGGAGGCTGAGGCAGGAGAATCGCTTGAACCCAGGAGGCGGAGGTTGTGGTGAGCTGAGATTGGACCATTGCCCTCCAGCATGGGCAGCAAGAGCAAAACTCCGTCTCAAAAAAAAAAAAAAAAAAAGAAATTTGGGATCATTAGCATTGTTGATTTGTAGCTTCTGAATAAAAGTTAGGAGTCAGTGGATGGGTTATTGCAAACTAATTGCCAAATAGCCAACATATATAGCTTACACAGATTTACTACAAGTCTTTCAGAAAACAAAACTGTTTGTATAAATGGTGTTTTCTGTCATCTCTACAGCCCTGGAATTCACAAACAATTCAGAGACAAGCACTATGACGGAATTTGTTCTCCTTGGCTTTCCTGGTTGTCAGGAGATGCAAAGTTTCCTCTTCTCCCTGTTCTTTGTGATCTATGTATTTACCATAATAGGAAATGGGACCATTGTCTGTGCTGTGAGATTGGACAAACGGCTTCATACCCCAATGTATATTCTCCTAGGGAACTTTGCTTTCCTTGAAATCCGGTAAGTTACTTCCACTGTACCCAACATGCTAGTCAACTTCCTCTCAGAGACAAAAACCATCTCTTTTGTTGGCTGTTTCCTCCAGTTCTACTTTTTTACTTCCCTTGGTACAATAGAAGCATACTTCCTCTGCATCATGGCATATGATCGGTACCTTGCTATCTGCCGCCCATTGCACTACCCAACCATCATGACCCCACAACTCTGCTACATATTGATGTCTTTTTGCTGGGTGTTTGGATTCCTCAGTTACTCTGTCTCCACTGTGCAACTGTCTCAACTGCCTTTCTGTGGGCCCAACATCATCAATCACTTTTTGTGTGACATGGACCCACTGATGGCTCTGTCCTGTGCCTCAGCTCCTATCACTGAGATTATCTTCTATATCCTGAGCTCCCTCATTATCATTCTCACTCTTCTGTACATCTGTGGCTCCTATATGCTTTACTGATAGCTGTATTAAAAGTCCCTTCAGCAGCTGGCCAGCAGAAGGCCTTTTCCACCTGTGGATCTCATCTGACAGTGGTGTGTTTATTCTTTGGGGCCCTACTGGCAATGTATGTGAGCCCCACAACTGATAACCCAGCTGCAATTTAGAAGATTATAACTTTGTTCTATTCTGTGGTGACCCCCTTCTTAAACCCCCTGATTTACAGCTTACGAAACAAAGAGATGAAGGCTGCGTTGAAGAAAGTCCTGAGGATAGAATGAGAATAAAGTCATCTACATGAGACCAAGCAAACCATTGTTCAGACATAAAAGATTAACTAAGAAATACCTGATTTTCTGATTCTACTTCTCCAATACACCCTTTAAAGAAGATATTTTCTCAGCGAGGTCCCTCATTGTTTTATTTCTTAACTAACCTGGCAGAGCTAAACCATAGTTGATTCATATTCCATTCCAAATGAAACAATCATATTTTCAACACAGGTGACTCCAGTAGATGATATTTGAGGGTATTTTATCTGTCCTATTTCATACTGTATCGTTTTGATTACTGGAGACAGGGGTGGAAGATAGAAGAGCAGTTATGCTTAAGATATTTCTTAAGACTGTTCAATATTTTTAAAGTGAATGAAGAATCAAATTTAAATGTCTAATGAATACAGAACTAAAGGATTTAGTAACAGAGCAGTTTTCTTGCCCCCTTGGCTCTTGATGGCTGAAAGTCTTACAGACAAGGGACAGACTGAAAGTTTAATGCTTATGTAAGCAGCATGTGTTTTAACATCACATAAAATAGTAAAATCATGGTCATTCTTTCATTCAACAAATATTAATTGAATACCTGTTATGTTCTAGGCACTAGATATATACTATGATCAAAAGAATCAAAACCACTATCTACCTGGCATTTACACTCACATAAGGGAGAAACGGACGATAAAAAAATAAGTAAAATATATAGCATATCAGAGAGTAGTAAGCGCTATGCAAAAAGGACAAAGAGGACAGGAAATGTGGGAGAAAGAAAAGAGCTGCCATTGTTAAACACGATGATCAGAGAGGCTACACTGAGAAGGCAACATTTAAGCAAATGCTTGAAGCGGATGAGGGAATGAGCCATGTAGACAGTGAGAGAAGAGCATTCTAAAGAGAGGGAAGCAAATTATCTTAAAGATCTGGAGGCAGGATTGTATCCAAGTAGCAGCAAGGAGGTTGGTTTGACTGGAGTAAAGAATTTAAGTCTGGGAACAGTGGCTCACACCTGTAATCCCAGCACTTTGGGAAGCTGAGGAGGCTGGATCATGAGGTCAGGAATTTGAGACCAGCCTGGCCAATATGGTGCAACCCTGTCTCTACTAAAAATACAAAAATTAGCTGGGTGTGGTGGCACGAGCCTGTAATCCCAGCTACTCAGGAGGCTGAGGCAGGAGAATGGCATGAACCTAGGAGGCAGAGGTTGCAGTGAGCCGAGATCACACCACCGCACTCCAGCCTGGACGACAGAGCAGGACTCCATCTCAAAAAAAAAAAAAAATTTAAGGGGAAGAGTAATAGAGATGAAGTCAGGGAGTGAACAGCATTCCAAATTCTGTGGGACCTTGTAAACTATAGTAATAACTTTTTTAAAAATTATAAATTGACAAATTAGAGTTGTGTATATGTATGGGGAACAAAGTGATGTTATGATTTATGAATATAATGCAGAATAATTGAATCAGCTAACATATCCATCACCTCAAATATTTTCTGTAGTGAGAATATTTGAAATCTATGGCCGGGCACAGTGGCTCACGCCTGTAATCCCAGCACTTTGGGAGGCCGAGGCAGGCAGATCACCCGAGGCCAGGAGTTCAAGATTAGCCTGGCCAACATGGTAAAATCCCCTCCCTACTAAAAATACAAAAATTATTTGGGTGTGGTGGTGCATGCCTGTAATCCCAGCTACACAGGAAGCTGAGGCATAAGGATCACTTGAACTCGGGAGGCAGAGGTTGCAGTGAGCCATGACTGCGCCATTGTACAACAGCCTGTGATAGAGTGAGATTCTGTCTCAAAAAAAAAAAAAAACAAGAATATTTGAAATTTATCGCTCTCCCTCTCCCTCTCCCTCTCCCCACGGTCTCCCTCTCCCCAGGGTCTCCCTCTCTTTCCACGGTCTCCCTCTGATGCCCAGCCGAAGCTGGACTGTACTGCTGCCATCTGGGCTCACTGCAACCTCCCTGCCTGATTCTCCTGCCTCAGCCTGCCCAGTGCCTGCGATTGCAGGCGCGCGCCGCCACGCCTGACTGGTTTTCGTATTTTTTCGGTGGAGACGGGGTTTCGCTGTGTTGGCCGGGCTGGTCTCCAGCTCCTAATCACGAGTGATCCGCCAGCCTCGGCCTCCCGAGGTGCCGGGATTGCAGACGGAGTCTCGTTCACTCAGTGCTCAATGGTGCCCAGGCTGGAGTGCAGTGGCGTGATCTCGGCTCGCTACAACCTCTACCTCCCAGCCGCCTGCCTTGGCCTCCCAAAGTGCCGAGATTGCAGCCTCTGCCCGGCCGCGACCCTGTCTGGGAGGTGAGGAGCGTCTCTGCCCGGCCGCCCCATCTGAGAAGTGAGGAGACCCTCTGCCTGGCAGCCACCCCGTCTGGGAAGTGAGGAGCGTCTCCGCCCGACAGCCACCCCGTCCGGGAGGGAGGTGAGGGGGTCAGCCCCCCGCCCAGCCAGCCGCCCCGTCCAGGAGGGAGGTGAGGGGGTCAGTCCCCCCGCCCAGCCAGCCGCCCCGTCCGGGAGGGAGGTGGGGGGGTCAGTCCCCCGCCCGGCCAGCCGCCCCGTCCAGGAGGGAGGTGGGGGGGGTCAGTCCCCCCGCCCGGCCAGCCACCCCGTCCAGGAGGGAGGTGGGGGGGGTCAGTCCCCCCGCCCGGCCAGCCGCCCCGTCCGGGAGGGAGGTGGGGGGGTCAGTCCCCCCGCCCGGCCAGCCGCCCCGTCCAGGAGGGAGGTGGGGGGGTCAGTCCCCCCGCCCGGCCAGCAGCCCCGTCCAGGAGGGAGGTGGGGGGGGTCAGTCCCCCCGCCCGGCCAGCCGCCCCGTCCAGGAGGGAGGTGGGGGGGGTCAGTCCCCCCGCCCGGCCAGCCACCCTGTCCGGGAGGTGAGGGGCGCCTCTGCCCGGCCGCCCCTACTGGGAAGTGAGGAGCCCCTCTGCCCGGCCAGCTGCCCCGTCCGGGAGGGAGGTGGGGGGGGCAGCCCCCCCGCCCGGCCAGCCACCCCATCCGGGAGGTGAGGGGCGCCTCTGCCCGGCCACCACTACTGGGAAGTGAGGAGCCTCTCTGCCCGGCCACCACCCCGTCTGGGAGGTGTGCCCAGTGGCTCATTGAGAACGGGCCATGATGACAGTGGCAGTTTTGTGGAATAGAAAGGGGGGAAAGGTGGGGAAAAGACTGAGAAATCGGATGGTTGCCGTGTCTGTGTAGAAAGAAGTAGACATGGGAGACTTTTCATTTTGTTCTGTACTAAGAAAAATTATTCTGCCTTGGGAAAAAAAAAAAAAAAAGAAATTTATCATCTTAGCAATTTTAAAATTTATAACACATTATCATTTACTATGTTTACCACCCTGGGCAATATATCGCCAAAAAAAAAAAACAAAAAAAAACTGATTCCTCCTGCCAGAGGCTTTGCACCCTTTGTCCATCATTGCCTCACCATTATCCACACCCCACTTCCCTGGCCTGCTTCCTTGAGTTTGAAATTTGGAGATTCCACAAATAAGTGAGAACATGTGGTATATTTGTCTTTCTATGCTTGCCCTGTTTCACTTAGCATAATGTTCTCCATTTCCATCCATGTTGTCACAAATGACCAAATTTCCCTCTTTTTAAGGCTGAATAGTATTCCACTATGTACATACACCACATTTTCTTTATCCATTTATCTGTTGATGGACATTTAGGTTGATTCCATAACTCAGCTATTGTGAATAAGGCTGCAAGGAACATAGGAGAGCAGACATCTCTTTGACATACTGCTTTCAAATCATTTAGGCAAATACCCAAAACTGGGATTGCTAGATCATATAGTAATTCTATTTTTAGTTTTCTGAGGAAGCTCCATACAGTTTTTCATAATGACAGTACTAATTGACATTCTCACCAACTGTGTGAAAGGGCTCTCTTTTCTTCACATTCTCATCAACACCTGTTATCTTTTGTCTTTTATTATAACAGCCATTCTGATAGCTGTGAGGTGAAATCTCATTGTGGTTTTAATCTGCATTTTCCTAGTTATTAGCGATGGTGAGCAATTTTCATATACCTGTTGGCCATTTGTGTGTCTTTTTTTGAGAAATGTCTATTCAGGGCCACTGCCCATTTTTTAATCTGATTATTTGTTTTCTCTCTATAGAGTTGTTTGAGTTCTTTATGGATTTGGATATTAACCCCTATCAGATGTATGGCCTCAAATACTTTCTCCCAGTCTGTAGTTATCTCTCCATTCTATCAATTGTTTCCTTTGCAGATTAGAGCTATACTGACATGATCCTATTTGTTTATTTTTGCTTTTGTTGTCTGTATTTGGAGGTCAAATCTGTACAATCATTGCCCAAATCAATATTGGGTAGTGTTTCCCCTATGTTGCCTTCTCATTGCTTAGAGTTTCCGGTCTTATGTCCAAGTCTTTAATCCATTTTGACTTGATTTTTTTTATATAGAGTGAAATAAGAATCCAATTTCATTCTTGTACATATGAATATGCAGTTTTCCCAATACCATTATTAAAGAGACTGTCCTTTTCCCAATGTGTATTTTTGACACCTTTGTCAGAAATCAATTGACCATGCATAGGTTCACTTCTGAGCTCTCTATTCTTTTCTATTGGTTGATGAGTCTTTTTTACACTAATTTTAATTGACATGCTGTTTTAATTACTATTACTTTGTTGTATAGTTTGAAATCAGTGTGATGCCTCAGCTTCGTTCTTTCTGTTCATAACTGCCTTACTATTTGAGGGATTTTGTGATTCCATATGGATTTTAGGGCTGTGTTTTCTATTTCTCTGAAGGCTGTCATTGGTATGACAGGGATTAATAGGGATTACATTGACTCTGGAAATCACATTGGGTAGTCTGGACATTTTAACAATATTAATGCTTTTAATTCATGAACACAAGATATCTTTCTGTTTATTTGTGTCTTCTTCAATTTATTTTATTTATGTTTTATATGTAATTCTGCATAAGATGAGAAGCATTTGGGAGGTTTTGAGCAGGGAAGTAACATACTCTTATTTACATTATAAAAGAATTATCCCCCTGACTGTTTTGTTGGCAATACACTAGAGAGAGAAATGGGCATTTTAAAACTCTTATTTCTAATTGTCAAATTTAGAAAGTTTTGGTTTTTTATACTTTTTTTCAAGACAGTGTCTCATTCTGACTCCCAGGCTGGAATGCAGTGATGCAATCACAGCTAACTACAGCCTCAACCTTCCCAGGCTCACATGATGCTCCCAACTCAGCTGTCCGAGTAACTGGGACTACAGGCGTGTGCCTCCATGCCCAGCTAATTTTTGTATTTCTTTTTTTTTTTTTCTTTTGTAGAGACAGAGCTTCACCATGTTGGCCAGGCTGTTCTCAAATTCCTGGGCTCAAGTGATCCTCCTGCCTCAGCTTCCCAAAGTGCTGGAATTATAGATGCTCACCACTGCTCCCCGCTCGTTTCTTTTTAAAGGAATTTGTATCTGTAACCTATTTGAGGATATATATTTGGGGAGGGGAAAAGAGTCCTCTAGTTGCCCCAGAGGCATAGGAAGTCCTCTAGACCCTAAGAAATTCTAATTCTGGAATGGTTCCATGATATTAATTAAAAGACAATGCCTCTGGGGCTGTTTAATGACACTTAATCATAATTATAATTATATAGACATTTATAAAATATTTTCAAGTCTATTATCTCATTTAATCCTCTTATTAGCCCTATGAGTTACACAGGAAGGATAAACATGGCTTTAATATTTGAGGAAACCAGAGCACACCAAGCTCCTACAGCTAATAAGTGAAACTATTCAAACTAAGACTCATACTTTCTATGTCATGATTTTCTCTATATTTTCTCACTACCTTCTGTTTAAGTTCAACTCTGTTCCCACCCAAGTGCTCCCTGTTTTTAACCCAGGTCACCCCATTTCATACAATGCCTGAATAATCTTCTCCACCATTTTCTGCCTATCCCAAACCTCTTTCAAAAGCTCCTCTAGATGTTTAATCTAGTAACGCTTTTCTAAATACCTAAGTCTTAGCCTGACATAGAATATCACCTGCAACTTAGTTCCATGGGCCAGTTATCCCTTCAAATATCACTCTTAACCTTGTCTCCCAAACATGTTTAATTAATTCCCAGTTCTACGGAAATCCCTCCCACACTTAGAAGTGCTTTCAAACATTCCTAACCCGGACTCTAACGTTTTATGATCATCCGTAGTGGCTTTCAAGCTTCCACGTGCATTAGAAACACCTAGAGACCGGGCATGGCGGCTCATGCCTGTAATCCCAGAACTTTGGGAGGCCGAGGCATGTAGGGTCCAGCGCCACAGGGTCGGTGGGTCTCTCCCCGTGTGCGGAGATGAGAGTGTAGAAATAAAGACACAAGACAAAGAGATAAAAGAAAAGGCAGCTGGGCCCAGGGGACCACTACCACCAAGTCGCGGAGACCGATAGTGGCCCCGAATGCCAGGCTGCACTGATATTTATTGGATACAAGACAAAGGGGCAGGATAAGGAGAGTGAGCCATCTCCAATGACAGGTAAGGCCACGTGGGTCACATGTCCACTGGACAGGGGACCCTTCCCTGCCTGGTAGCCGAGGCAGAGAGAGAGAGGAGACAAAGAGAAAGATAGCTTATGCCATTATTTCTGCATATCAGAGACTTTTAGTACTTTCACTAATTTACTACTGCTATCTAGAAGGCAGAGCCAGGTGTACAGGATGGAACATGAAGGCGGACTAGGAGCATGACCACTGAAGCACAGCATCACAGGGAGACAGTTAGGCCTCCAGATAACTGCGGGCAAGCCTGACTGATGTCAGGCCCTCCACAAGAGGTGGAGGAGTAGAGTCTTCTCTAAACTCCCCCTGGGAAAGGGAGACTCCCTCTCCTGGTCTGCTAAGTAGCTGGTGTTTTTCCGTGACACTGAGGCTACCGCTAGACCACGGTCCGCCTGGCAACGGGTGTCTTCCCAGATGCTGGCGTTACCGCTAGACCAAGGAGCCCTCTGGTAGCCCTGTCTGGGCATAACAGAAGGCTCGCACTCTTGTCTTCTGGTCACTCCTCACTATGTCCCCTCAGCTCCTATCTCTGTACGGCCTGGCTTTTCCTAGGTTATGATTATAGAGCAAGGATTATTATAATATTGGAATAAAGAGTAATTGCTACCAACTAATGATTAATGATATTCATATATAATCATATCTAAGATCTGTATCTAGTATAACTATTCTTGTTTTATATTTTATTATACTGGAACAGCTTGTGTCCTCGGTCTCTTGCCTTGGCACCTGGGTGGCTTGCTGCCCACAGAGGCAGGTAGATCACCTGAGGTCAGGAGTTCAAGACCAGCCTGGCCAACATGGTGAAACCCCATCCCTACTAAAAATACAAAAAAAATTAGCCTGGCATGGGGGATCATGCCTGTAATCCCAGCTACTTGGGAGGCTGAGACAGGAGAATTGCTTGAACCTGAGAGGTGGAGGTTGCAGTTAGCCGAGACCATACCACTGCACACCAGCCTGGGCAACAAACTCCGTCTCAAAAAAAAAAAAAAAAAAGGAAGAAAGAAAGGAAAGTAAAAGAAACATCTAGAAAGTTTGTTAAGACAGACAACTGGGCTCCACATTCCAAGTTTTTGGCTCACTAAATCTAGGTAAGTACTGAGAACATGGATTTCTAACAGGTCTCAAGTGATAATAATACTGCTAGTACAGGGATTACATTTTCAAGAATCTGCTCTACACTTAAACAGCCTTACCCTTAAGCTCAGTCATGTTCTCTATTTGAGCTCTTGCAATGTTTATATTCATCTCAGGTTCTCATCTCAGTTTGTTTGTTCTCTTTCCCCTTATATCACTGAAAAAATTCATAACCATTTACAGTGCCAACTTTCATTTTCACTAATATTGTATCATGTCAGTCAACAGAATTACAAATCTGCCTTTACAGATAACTGAACTTTTTCAAACACCTATGTTCGAGCTATACTTAAAATTGATAAAGGAGATTTTTTTTTTTTGAGATGGAGTCTTGCTCTGTCATCAGGCTGGAGTGCAGTGACGCAACCTTGGCTCACTGCAACCTCCACCTCCCGGGTTCAAGCGATTCTCCTGCCTCAGCCTCCCGAGTAGCTGGACTACAGGCGTGCACCACCAAGCCCGGCAATTTTTTGTATTTTAGTAGAGACAGGTTTCACCATGTTGGCCAGGATGGTCTCAATCTCCTCACCTAGTGATGCGCCCACTTCGGCCTCCCAAAGTGCTGGGATTACAGGCGTGAGCCACCGCGCCCGGCCAGGAGATTCTTTATTTTATGTTCACTATAACAAAATTAAGCAAACAATATATAGATAAAAAAATTTTTAAGTGTTTGCAGGTTAGGCACCAAGTATGAAGCAAGTCTAGTTCCCTTATATAATAAAGATTTGCTTCATATCTTTTTATTTGAGCCCAAAACAAGTATGTAATCTCTGTGAAGTCTTGACCTTGTTGGCTCCTGTCTGTGTATACTCAATGTTTAACCCAGAGTCTGGCACATAGTAGGTGCATAGTTGATGCATAACTGACAAATGTTTGTTAATTATATGGAATTCTTTTAAAAAAAAATGAAGTTTATTCTGGAGAGAAAATCACACACAAATATACACAAATACATAAACTCAGATACACACATGTACACACATATTCTTTCTCCTCCTCCTCCATTAACCTCCCACCCCCATCCCCAGGTAGATCAGTTCCTTAAAGGGAGGATATCTCCACAAAGGGGAAAGTGTTTATGGTATCTTTTAGATAACTATCCTGACTTCTGTGTCTCACTAGTCAAACCATTGGGGAAAACATAAACTATAAACAGATATAGAAGGAATTTGATACATGCTCAGAAATACAGGCAAAGGAAGTAGGTGCCTGCCAGTGAACACAGGGGAACTATGGCTCCTATTCACAAGAGACTTGTAAACTCTTAATAATTGCTGATGTGAAAAACACATTTCATTTGGTTTGGAATACTAAAGGAAGCAAGTTTCTGGAACCACAAATAACACTCTCCAACCATGACTCAGCTTTTTGGTTGTGTAAATGACGAGATTCCTGCAGCTGGAGTTTGTCTCACATCTTCCTCTTGGAACCAAAAATGCCATTAGGTATGTAAGGAAAGTCTGCCTGCAGCGGTACACCACCGTTCCTGTGCATTCAGTGCTGCCAGATGCTAAGAATACGTGGTTCTTCTGCAAATCTGTGAATTCTTTGTTCCTTAGTTCTTTGCACGAACATTGGCCCCTCACTTCTCTTCTCCCAGCATACTCCTAAAGAATGCCCGGGTGATATATTCACATTAAGGGCTCACTCAGGTATCTCAGAGTTCCCACTATACAACTCAGTTAGGGAAAATAATGTTCAAAGTTCTTGCTTATTTGGGGGGACCATTAAATTCCCTTCAGTTAGAATGTACCGAGTCTTTTACCTCCTTGTTTGTAAATTAGTCACTGAAGTTTTTATTGACAGACTCTTCTTCAGCTGGAACAATTAAAGCAAGCTGTTATTTTTTTCAGAGTTGTTGGCAAGTGACAAATGGCAAGTGAAAACCTCTTGTGAAAGAAGTAGAACAGCAGACTCTCCTTTCCTTTGGATTCACCTACAGAGTAATTTTTAAAACATAAATACTTAAGAGAAGAGCCCCAGCACTTATAATTCTAAAAGTGCTCTTCCGTGGGCAAGTGTCTTAAATTCCCAGCAAGCGGATGGGGCTGGAGGAGGATGTAGCTCCCTTGTCGGTTCACATAGAATGTGTTGCCCAAGCGCTTTGTTCCTCCTCTTCTCTCCAATTGCCCATTTGTACTCTCACTTGAAGTGAATAGAAAGACAAAAGAGGTGAATTTAAACTTACTATTTGAGTTCCTAGTAAATGTACTTTGGTGATGGAGGCAATAGAAATGAATGCAGTGAGGTTTTTTTAATTATCTGTGAAGTTTAGTTATCCATCTTTCTCTGACCCTATATTCCATAGATAATTAAAATTTCACTGTGTTTGAAATAATGTCATCAAGGTCTTGAACATTACGAAGTCAAATAATGAGCAGGTGGGGACTGGGCACAGTGGCTCACACCTGAAATCTCAGCACTTTGGAAGGCCAAAGCAGGTGGATCACATGAGGTCAGGAGTTCAAGACCAGCCTCACCAACATGGCAAAACCCCGTCTCTACTAAAAATACAAAAATTAGCTGGGCGTGGTGGCAGGCGCCTGTAATCCCAGCTACTTGGGAGGCTGAGGCATGAGAATTGCTTGAACCCAGGAGGCAGAGGTTGCAGTGAGCTGAGATCATGCCACTGCACTCCAGCCTGGGGGATACAGTGAGACTCTGTCTCCAAAAAAAAAAAAATTAGCCGGGTGTGGTAGCCCAAGCCTGTAATGCCAGCTACTCAGGAGGCTGAGGCATGAGAATCCCTTGAACCCAGGAGGCGGAGGTTACAGTGATCACACAGTGCAGGGAGATCACGCCACTGCACTCCAGCCTGGACCACATAGCAAGACTCTGTCTCAAAAATAATTAATAATAATAAGCAGGAAGGAGTCAATTATGAGGTCCGGTTCCAGATCAATTATCATCAGTTGGAATTATATTTCTTTTCTCAGTACCAAAAATTTCCTGGCCTGTGAGTAGGATAAATTAATTCATGTCTCATTCTCTACCTACTGCCTTGAAAAGCCCAAAATATCTAATTATCTAATTTATGCCAAGCAAAATTTGTTATCATGTCCCCTGTACTACAAAGATTTATTCAAGTTATTTCTAACTGGAGTAAATATCTTTTTTCAGACCCACAGCATGCAGTTGGACGTGCTGCAAAAATACACAGCTCAAGGAACCCCCAGCCTATGCACATGACTGTGCAGATATAGGTTGTAATCTTGATAGTTTTTATAAAACCTGAGTTCCAAAAGGGGAGGAATTTTATTTTGTATATTCACCATTATAACCCCAGAACTCAACACACTGCTAGCAATATAATAAATGGTGAATAAACATGTGTTAAATTAAATTCTTGAATAAACAAATAAATACATGAAATGCTACGATTTAAATTTAACATCCAACCTTTTTTTATTTTTTATTTCTTTTGTTTTAGAAACTTTTTTTTTATACTTTTAAGTTTTAGGGTACATGTGCACAACATGCAGGTTTGTTACATATGTATACATGTGCCATGTTGGTGTGCTGCTCCCATTAACTCATCATTTAACATTAGGTATATCTCCTAATGCTATCCCTCCCCCCTCCCCCCACCCCACGACAGGTCCTGGTGTGTGATGTTCCCCTTCCTGTGTCCATGTGTTCTCATTGTTCAATTCCCACCTATGAGTGAGAACATGCAGTGTTTGGTTTTTTTCCTTGCCGTAGTTTGCTGAGAATGATGGTTTCCAGCTACATCCATGTCCCTACAAAGGACATGAACTCATCATTTTTTATGGCTGCATAGTACTCCATGGTGTATATGTGCCACATTTTCTTAATCCAGTCTATCATTGTTGGACATTTGGGTTGGTTCCAAGTCTTTGCTACTGTGAATAGTGCCGCAATAAACATACATGTGCATGTGTCTTTATAGCAGCATGATTTATAGTCCTTTGGGTATATACCCAGTAATGGGATGGCTGGGTCAAATGGTATTTCTAGTTCTAGATCCCTGAGGAATCGCCACACTGACTTCCACAAGGGTTGAACTAGTTTACAGTCCCACCAACAGTGTAAAAGTGTTCCTATTTCTCCACATCCTCTCCAGCACCTGTTGTTTCCTGACTTTTTAATGATCGCCATTCTAACTGCCAACCGTTTTTTTAAATTGCAAGCCCAGTAATTATATTTTCCAAGAATGACATAGCATGTAGTGTGGGAAATACAAGCAGTTATGGAGAGTATATTTGAGAGTAATTACAACTGTCCTAAAAATTCTGATGCATGTGATCATGATAATTATTATTCATTAAACTGAACTGCTTGGACAAAATTTACATTTTCCTAAAAATCATGTTTATTAGAGAAATTGTTGTATTATTCTTAAAATATTGTTAACATGAATATCCAAAGTTACCTCGGCAATAAAACATTTATGCTTTTGGGTTTGCTCCAGGTTTGATCAAGTACTGAAAGGCAGGCCTCTCGCTCTCTGTGGATCATATAAATGATGTAAAGATGGAATTTTGTGAGTATCTTAACAGTGACGCTAATAATACAATAAATTATCCTAATTTTAAAGTCATTATATTGCTAAATTTAAAATATTGATAGTGGCTTACCCAGCCAAATATTCTGAACTTTAACAAGGATATTTGAGGACACAGAAATAAGCCTGCTGGACCAATAGTTTCTAGAAAATTGTTAGCAAAATATCTAAGTTATTTATCTTGTCTCAACTCCTGATTTAGAAAATATCAGAAAGATCTTTCTGTTCTCTGCACATCCTGAGGTGACTCTTTTATTCATTATTTAATTTATGGAAAAGCAAGATAATGAAGGGACAAATTATAAAGTTTAGGACTTAATTTCTAGCAAAAATAAAGGCACATGGCTTTATTACTAGAGAAATTGATTTACCCAACAGCAAGCTCCCTCAAGAGCTAAGTCATGATGTAGAATAGTACAATTTGTTGGAGAAGGAGGCTGACAAGCAGGGAAAATGGTGGCCTGCCAAAGAAGTCATAGGTAAGGGACATAACAGCTGCCTTCAGTTATTTAAGACCTCACTACCACCATCATGGGAGAGGAATTAGACTTATTTTGTGTAGTTTCAACAAAGTCAAAGTTTACCTGCTGACTTGGGGAGTACCAAGATCAATGGGTAAAAGTAATAAAGGATACAAAGTTTGCTCACCATAAAGAAGGGCTTTGAGAGAACTAGAGCTCCTCACGAGAAAAAGGGGCTGGATTATTCAGCAAATCCAGATGCCACCAGGGAGAATGTGATCTGGGGGGAACTAGATTTGTAGCTTTCAGACCATTTTACAGATTCCTAAGGGTTCTGCAGCACCTCCCTGAGAGTAGCAAAAGGAAGGGAGCTGAAGACTCCCCAAAGTTTAATTCCTATCTGCTTTTTATTGGACTTCTACATATGAGGCTCTAAGAAGGCAATTTTAATATAGCAACTATTCTTGCTTCAGATTTATACTCAATTTTGCTTTAAAGTAAAAGAATATATCCAAAGTTTATATTTATATGTAGAGTATCTAAGGGGCAGTGATTTTACCATTAAAGATGAAACATTACTGAGACTCAGGGTTATAGAAAATTTGAAGTGAAACATGATTTGTTCCAAACCAATCTCCAAATAGGCCAGTGTATCTGGGCGTTACTGGCTTTGTACATATGTTTAAGTGAACCCTTCTAATCTCTTTGAACTTCAATTACCCTGTCTGTGAAAGAGAAGGGTAAAGAATACCTCCTCGCAGCTCAAAGAGTCATTAGGAAGACCAAATGAGATAATGTATGTAAAAATACTTAGTACATCATCCAGCATGAGTTAGCAAAATCTCCAAATGTTCTTTATTATTCATTCTTTGGTTACTTCTGTTTTTCTAACAGCTTTGGGACCCCAGAACAGAACAATGCATTTTGTGACTGAGTTTGTCCTCCTGGGTTTCCATGGTCAAAGGGAGATGCAGAGCTGCTTCTTCTCATTCATCCTGGTTCTCTATCTCCTGACACTGCTAGGGAATGGAGCTATTGTCTGTGCAGTGAAATTGGACAGGCGGCTCCACACACCCATGTACATCCTTCTGGGAAACTTTGCCTTTCTAGAGATCTGGTACATTTCCTCCACTGTCCCAAACATGCTAGTCAATATCCTCTCTGAGATTAAAACCATCTCCTTCTCTGGTTGCTTCCTGCAATTCTATTTCTTTTTTTCACTGGGTACAACAGAGTGTTTCTTTTTATCAGTTATGGCTTATGATCGGTACCTGGCCATCTGTCGTCCATTACACTACCCCTCCATCATGACTGGGAAGTTCTGTATAATTCTGGTCTGTGTATGCTGGGTAGGCGGATTTCTCTGCTATCCAGTCCCTATTGTTCTTATCTCCCAACTTCCCTTCTGTGGGCCCAACATCATTGACCACTTGGTGTGTGACCCAGGCCCATTGTTTGCACTGGCCTGCATCTCTGCTCCTTCCACTGAGCTTATCTGTTACACCTTCAACTCGATGATTATCTTTGGGCCCTTCCTCTCCATCTTGGGATCTTACACTCTGGTCATCAGAGCTGTGCTTTGTATTCCCTCTGGTGCTGGTCGAACTAAAGCTTTCTCCACATGTGGGTCCCACCTAATGGTGGTGTCTCTATTCTATGGAACCCTTATGGTGATGTATGTGAGCCCAACATCAGGGAACCCAGCAGGAATGCAGAAGATCATCACTCTGGTATACACAGCAATGACTCCATTCTTAAATCCCCTTATCTATAGTCTTCGAAACAAAGACATGAAAGATGCTCTAAAGAGAGTCCTGGGGTTAACAGTTAGCCAAAACTGAGATATCTTTGAAAAAGAAGCCAAATTGGCCACTTCTGACCTTAATTTTTTATAACTATAGAGAGTAGCTTCAGTAGTATGTTCTGGCTCACACTCAGGTAGACAGACTTATCTTTCACAGTTCCTTAGCAGTTAAATTCAGCTCATTAATGATAAATGCCAATGCTCAATAAAACATTTTAAACATATGTGGCCTCACTGAGTAGTTATGTGGTGGGTGGGTGTATATATACGTATATTATTTTTCTGTGATGTATCTTTGCTAGTTTTAATCTTAGCTGACAGAAGAAATCAATTGCATGTGTACTGAAACCTTTCAAAAGAGTGAGATCTGGCTGGGCACGGTGGCTCACGACTGTAATCCCAGCACTTTGGGAGGCCAAAGCGGGAGGATCACCTGAGATCAGGAATTCGAGACCAGCCTGGGCAATATGATGAAACCCTGTCTCTACTAAAAATACAAAAATTAGCTGGGCGTGATGGCACACACCTGTAATCCCAGCTACTCAGGAGGCTGAGGAATGAGAATTGCTTGAACCTGGGAGGCTAAGCTTGCAGTGAGCTGATATCACGCCACTGCCCCCTAGCCTGCATGATAGAGCAAGACTGCATCTTAAAAAAAAAAAAAAAAAAAAAAAAAAAAAAAGTGAGATATTTTCAATTCAGAAAATATACATATTTTTGTTTGTTTGTTTGTTTGTTTGTTTCTGAGACGAAGTTTCGCTCTTGTTGCCCAGGCTGGAGTGCAGTGGCACAGTCTTGGCTCACTGCAATCTCCGCCTCCCGGCTTCAAGTGATCCTCCTGCCTCAGCCTCCCAAGTAGCTGGGATTACAGGTGCCCACCGCCACACCTGGCTAATTGTATTTTTAGTAGAGATGGGGTCATTTTTGTATTTTTAGTAGAGATGGGGTTTCACCATGTTGGCCAAGCTGGTCTCGAACTCCTGACCTCAAGTGATCCACCCCCCTACCCTTGACCTCCTAAAGTGCTGGGATTACAGGCGTGAGCCACCACACCCGGCCAGAAAATAAATATTCTTAAAGAATATTTGTGTGTCAAGAGGCCACCAGAAAAAAACATAGTAATAGACATCTTCCATTATTTGAGGTTGTCTTTCACACCAAGAACAGAGTATGCTTTAAACCTCTATGCTTCATACCTCTATCCCTTAGACATAAAAACCAAACTCTTTGCCATTCAAGGCCTTCACTCAACACACTGCTCCCTTCAGTTTTCTCTCCTAGTGATCCACTGTACAAGTCTTGCATTTCATGATGATCAGTCCTCAAACATATTTAGTCCCAACTGGGTATCTTTACTCACAGTACTTCCTCTCTAAATTAGTCATGACAACCCCAATATTATTTATACTAGGAATGATGCCCTAAACATATTTTTATTTGTACCCAGCAGTTTTCATGTCAACCACAGAGCAACAGGTGCCTCTCAGAGGCTGTAGGGCAAAGTCTAAGTTAGAAAAATATTCAGAGAAAATTATGTCAAGAACAAATTTCATTTTAGTATCCAAACTCTAGGCTGAAACAAAAAGGCAATCAACTAAGAGTTGAATCTACTTAAAATGAAAACACACCTTTTAGTTATGGCTACCCCACAATGAAATCAGGTGGGGCAAGGAAGATGGGCCTGCCGGTGCTAGGTGATGTAATGCTCCCAAACCGTGTTTGTCAAATCTTTCCACCAAAGCATGTTTAGCAAGAGTGGTCAGAGAACATGGGGTATTGGGGGATAATATTTCTTTAAATTCAAAATTGTATCTCAAAAATTGTCATAAATTATACTTCCTAATTCATAGTACATACATATTTGGTGTGATATAAAATTATCTTTCTAGGTAAAATTGGCCCCTCAGGAAGACATTTAATCTGGGGCTTTTACGTATCCTATAGCACATGCTGTTTGAGCACAACTCAAGGAGACCATGGGGTTTCCTCAGAGTTAATATAACATGTTATTTTTAATAATCCCTACAGGAAATGTTAACAAAAATATCAATTAAACCCCCAGGCAAGATGTATGAAGATCCCTAGGGACAGCACAGAAAGTTACAGAATCACAAGAACATGAAGGGAGACCTGAGAATTCTCAACAGTGCCTCAAATGAGGCATAAATTAAGACCAACACATAGTTCAACACCCTCAGTGAGAAACAAGCCACTAGACTCTTAGGGTACAAGAGAAGTGAAATAAGCCACTGGTGAAGCTCTGACACAGGACTTCCATATTGGAGCCAGTGAAGGAGAGAATCCGTGTGGCCTCCCTGCAGGCTTTCTCAGGGATGACCTAGGAAAGCTTCCTGGTATGTAGGAGAGGTATTCTTCGTTGAGCGTTGCTGCTGTTATACACGACAGATGGACTACTCACCTATACATTTCTTCATTCAACATGCTTCAGAGATTGAGTATCAAAGAATATTGGTCTATCTTTCAGCTCAAAAACCAAAAGAAAAAAAATCCCTCAGAGTGTTGAGATCACCATGCAATTCACACTTTCCAAAAGAAGTACACTAATCATCCACAGGTCTTCTCCTTCTCAGGAAGTGCCTGAGGCACCAGGAATGCTATGACGTTTGTAGAGATTTTGAGCTTAACAGTATGGAACTAGCTTTATCCACTGGGACTAAAACCAAAAGAAAATTGGAATTTTTTTTAATCTTCTCTCTGTTTTCCTCTCTCTGTCCCTTTCATTACTCACTTTGCACCTTCAGGAGAAGTGACATTTAAAAAAAAAGAAAAGATAAAAATAAAATCAATGTTTTTGTGGACTAAGAACTCACATAGATTTAGTGGTGAATATATTAGGAACTGTTTCTTACAAATATGTTGGAAATTATCTGTGAAATTTATTTACCATGCTTTCCCTGTGGCTAATTGTTTTTCTGCAAGGTTTTTGTTTGTTTGTTGTTTTTAATGTCAATGAAAGTAGTCTAAGCTCAAAGAAGCAGCTCGGTCTTGTGCATTTTGATTTTGGGTCAAAGTCTGTGAATCTGAGTTCAAAAACATTGTTGCTCCTTCTCTGTTCCAAGCATAAGTGGCTGCTCCCTGCATCACTGCTTTCTCATCTTGTTGAGGAGAGAGGTTTCTTGCTCGGAAAGGAGAATGTATAGAGGACCCATAGTGGGGAGCCATTCTTTTATGATATCTTACAAAAATGACCATCGATGCAGGTTTAGTTTAGTTCTTCATAATCATCCTAGTTTAAAAAATTAAAAATCACTGATCCCCATCTTGCAGTTTCTTTCTCTTTTTGGCTTCTTGTCCACCAAACCACAACCTTTTGCAAAACCAGCTCTATGAAAAGGTCTATGTTTCCTTCTAGATGGGTAGATTCATAGTTCACCTTGTGCATTACTAACTGCAACAGCTGCATGATCATAAATATATTTCTTATTTAATATAACCTCACTGAATAGGAGGGTTTTTTCTATTTGATTATGTTCAGTGAGTACTGTAAATATATATGCATACAGACAAACACACTATGTATATATGTGTGTGTGTACATATATGTATATACCACCTTGATCAAATACTATATATGTGCTACTTTAATTGAAAAAAATATAAGGCAAATTATCCTCTTAACAATCAAAAAAGTTAAAGGTATCTTGTTAAAATTTTTCTGAAGAGTCCCATATGTTAAAGCTATCATTTACTCTTTTCTTGGAGTTGTATTTGATTCTTGAAAATATATCTTCTTTGGTGATGGTGTTCTAAAGGAAACAAACCAACTCTCGGAAAATGGGTAAATAATTATGTTTGAAATAACACCTTTGATTCTCTTGTATCTTGTTTTTTTGAATATTTGGAGGCTATTATTTTACATGGACTAAAGAAAGATCTTACAAACAGTGAATTTTAGAGAAAATTCTGGCAAAAGTAATAAGAGGAGCTTTAGAAGAAAATATCCCAGTAACTGTAGTTATCTTCGCTATCTTATATGTTATCTTTAATGAAATATTTCTTTTTAAAGGTATATGGAGCATGATAAATTATAATGTGAAATTAATCACCAGGAAATGAATAATTATGACATTTTATTGCTAAAAGCAAATGATTAAATACCAAATTGTAAATAAGCTGTAGTACAATATAAATGTCTCTAAATAGGAAAAAGCAAAATATATAAAGAATTTTATTATCTAAATATCCTTGTTGACTTTCTCCTGGTATCACTAAAAAAATTGGAAGAAAATAAATACTCTTAACAGAAATAGCTCCGGAAAGAAAGAATCTGAAATAATGTCAAAAGTACAAACTACTCAAAGCTGTAAAAAGTCTCAGACTTGAATATATTAAAAATGATGGCATATGTCTTCATAATTTGAAGTGAACAGCAATAAGTAATTGCTATATATGAACATCTTTCACTGAAAAACAAATTAGATATAAAACAAACCATTTTTGCCTCTATTTCAAGAATTTCTTTATATCAAAAGAAGATGAAATGTTGATTTTTGTCCATTGCCACAGAAAATTCAAACAACCTGAAGTTTACAAGAATCAGACCCACAGGACTCATTTGAGAAAGATAAACCAGGTGTGCTTAAGAATTCTTTTAGAATATCCAATATATTCACCTGCAAGAGTCAAACTCCTTATCCCAAAAAAAGCTTCAAGATGCTTCATCAGCAAAGCAAATTGTCATTGACCATCGGTGTTCTCTCCACAGTCTGGGAAGCATGAATAACTCACAGATATCTACTGTGACGCAGTTTGTGTTGTTGGGGTTTCCTGGTCCCTGGAAAATTCAGATCATCTTTTTCTCAATGATTTTGTTGGTCTACATCTTCACTCTGACTGGGAATATGGCCATCATCTGTGCAGTGAGGTGGGACCATCGACTCCATACCCCTATGTACGTGCTCCTAGCCAACTTCTCCTTCCTAGAGATCTGGTATGTGACCTGCACAGTCCCCAACATGCTGGTAAATTTTTTCTCCAAAACTAAGACCATATCATTCTCTGGATGTTTCACTCAGTTCCACTTCTTCTTTTCCCTGGGCACAACTGAATGCTTCTTCCTCTGTGTCATGGCTTATGATCGGTACCTGGCCATCTGCCACCCACTGCACTATCCCTCCATTATGACTGGCCAGCTCTGTGGCATCTTGGTGTCTCTTTGTTGGCTCATTGGTTTCCTTGGACATTCAATTTCCATTTTCTTCATTTTTCAACTACCTTTCTGTGGTCCCAACATCATTGATCATTTTCTGTGTGATGTAGACCCACTGATGGCATTGTCCTCTGCCCCTACTCACATCATAGGGCATGTGTTCCATTCTGTGAGCTCTCTTTTCATCAACCTCACCATGGTGTACATCCTTGGGTCCTATACCTTGGTGCTCAGAACTGTGCTTTAGGTTCCTTCTTCAGCTGGATGGCAAAAGGCCATCTCTACCTGTGGGTCACACTTGGTTGTTGTGTCTCTGTTCTATGGAGCCATAATGCTGATGTATGTGAGTCCCACACCTGGCAACTCAGTTGCTATGCATAAGCTCATCACACTGATATATTCTGTGGTAACACCTGTCTTAAACCCCCTCATCTACAGCCTACGCAACAAGGACATGAAATATGCCCTCCATCATGTCTTCTGTGGAATGAGAATTATCCAGAGATCATGAATAGGGTTTTTTATAACCCAATGACTCTTAATGCGATTGGAAGAATAATCCTCTTCTTTTAACACTAACTGACTTGATTTTATTCATGGTCATCGCCATCCTTTTGTACAAGCAAAACTCTTCATGTATCTGATCATATTTTGACGAGCTTCTAGTTTCAGAAATGTGCTCCATGGGAGCAGGTTGGCCCCAATATATGGTAAAAATAACACATAAAAATCTTAATATCTTCATCCATGTCCCTACAAAGGACATGAAGCCATCATTTTTATGGCTGCATAGTATTCCATGGTGTATATATGCCACATTTTCTTAATCCAGTCTATCATTGTTGGACATTTGGGTTGGTTCTAAGTCTTTGCTATCGTGAATAATGCCGCAATAAACATACGTGTGCATGTCTCTTTATAGCAGCATGATTTATAATCCTTTGGGTATATACCCAGTAATGGGGTGGCTGGGTCAAATGGTAATTCCAGTTCTAGATCCCTGAGGAATCGCCACACTGACTTCTACAATGGTTGAACTAGTTTACAGTCCCACCAACAGTGTAAAAGTGTTCCTATTTCTCCACATCCTCTCCAGCACCTGTTGTTTCTTGACTTTTTAATGATTGCCATTCTAACTGGTGTGAGATGGGATCTCATTTTGGTTTTGATTTGCATTTCTCTGATGGCCAGTGATGATGAGCATTTTTTCATGTGTCTTTTGGCTGCATAAATGTCTTCTTTTGAGAAGTGTCTGTTCATGTCCTTCACCCACTTTTTGATGGGGTTGTTTGTTTTTTTCTTGTAAATTTGTTTAAGTTCATTGTAGATTCTGGATATTAGCCCTTTGTCAGATGAGTAGGTTGCGAAAATTTTCTCCCATTTTGTAGGTTGCCTGTTCATTCTGAGGGTAGTTTCTTCTGCTGTGCAGGAGCTCTTTAGTTTAATTAGATCCCATTTGTCAATTTTGTCTTTTGTTGCCATTGCTTTTGGTGTTTTAGACATGAAGTCCTTGCCCATGCCTATGTCCTGAATGGTAATGCCTAGGTTTTCTTCTAGGGTTTTTATGGTTTTAGGTCTAACGTTTAAGTCTTTAATCCATCTTGAATTTATTTTTGTATAAGATGTAAGGAAGGGATCCAGTTTCAGCTTTCTCCATATGGCTACCCAGTTTTCCCAGCACCATTTATTAAATAGGGAATCCTTTCCCCATTGCTTGTTTTTCTCAGGTTTGTCAAAGATCAGATAGTTGTAGATATGCGGCGTTATTTCTGAGGGCTCTGTTCTGTTCCATTGATCTATATCCCTGTTTTGGTACCAGTACCATGCTGTTTTGGTTACTGTAGGCTTGTAGTATAGTTTGAGGTCAGGTAGTGTGATGCCTCCAGCTTTGTTCTTTTAGCTTAGGATTGACTTGGCAATGTGGGCTCTTTTTTGGTTCCACGTGAACTTTAAAGTAGTTTTTTCCAATTCTGTGAAGAAAGTCATTGGTATCTTGATGGGGATGGCATTGAATCTGTAAATTACCTTGGGCAGTATGGCCATTTTCACGATATTGATTCTTCCTATCCATAAGCATGGAATGTTCTTCCATTTGTTTCTATCCTCTTTTGTTTCATTGAGCAGTGGTTTCTTGTTCTCCTTGAAGAGGTCCTTCACGTCCCTTGTAAGGTGGATTCCTAGGTATTTTATTCTCTTAGCAGCAATTGTGAATGAGAGTTCACTCATGATTTGGCTCTCTGTTTGTCTGTTGTTGGTGTATAAGAATACTTGTGATTTTTGTACATTGATTTTGTATCCTGAGACTTTGCTGAAGTTGCTTATCAGCTTAAGGAGATTTTGGGCTGAGACAATGGGGTTTTCTAGATATACAGTCATGTTGTCTGCAAACAGGGACAATTTGACTTCCTCTTTTCCTAATTGAATACCCTTTATTTCCTTCTCCTGTGTAATTGCCCTGGCCAGAACTTTCAACACTATGTTAAACAGGAGTGGCGACAGAGGGCATCCCTGTCTTGTGCCAGTTTTCAAAGGGAATGCTTCCAGTTTTTGTCCATTCAGTATGATATTGGCTGTGGTTTTGTCATAGATAGCTCTTATTATTTTGAAATACGTCCCATCAATACCTAATTTATTGAGAGTTTTTAGCATGAAGTGTTGTTGAATTTTGTCAAAGGCTTTTTCTGCATCTATTGAGATAATCATGTGGTTTTTGTCTTTGGTTCTGTTTATATGCTGGATTACATTTATTGATTTGCATATATTGAACCAGCCTTGCATCCCAGAGATGAAGCCCACTTGATCATGGTGGATAAGCTTTTTGATGTGCTGCTGGATTTGTTTTGCCAGTATTTTATTGAGGATTTTTGCATCAATGTTCATCAAGGATATTGGTCTAAAATTCTCTTTTTTTGTTGTGTCTCTCCCTGGCTTTGGTATCAGAATGATGCTGGCCTCATAAAATGAGTTAGGGAGGATTCCCTCTTTTTCTATTGATTGGAATAGTTTCAGAAGGAATGGTACCAGTTCCTCCTTGTACCTCTGGTAGAATTCAGCTGTGAATCCATCTGGTCCTGGACTCTTTTTGGTTGGTAAGCTATTGATTATTGCCACAATTTCAGCTCCTGTTATTGGTCTATTCAGAGATTCAACTTCTTCCTGGTTTAGTCTTGGAAGAGTGTATGTGTCCAGGAATTTATCCATTTCTTCTAGATTTTCTAGCTTATTTGCGTAGAGGTGTTTGTAGTATTCTCTGATGGTAGTTTGTACTTCTGTGGGATCGGCGGTGATATCCCCTTTATCATTTTTTATTGCGTCTATTTGATTCTTCTCTCTTTTTTTCTTTATTAGTCTTGCTAGCGGTCTATCAATTTTGTTGATCCTTTCAAAAAACCAGCTCCTGGATTCATTAATTTTTTGAAGAGTTTTTTGTGTCTCTATTTCCTTCAGTTCTGCTCTGATTTTAGTTATTTCTTGCCTTCTGCTAGCTTTTGAATGTGTTTGCTCTTGCTTTTCTAGTTCTTTTAATTGTGATGTTAGGGTGTCAATTTTGGATCTTTCCTCCTTTTTCTTGTGGGCATTTAGTGCTGTAAATTTCCCTCTACACACTGCTTTGAATGCGTCCCAGAGATTCTGGTATGTTGTGTCTTTGTTCTCGTTGGTTTCAAAGAACATCTTTATTTCTGCCTTCATTTCGTTATGTACCCAGTAGTCATTCAGGAGCAGGTTGTTCAGTTTCCGTGTAGTTGAGCAGTTTTGAGTGAGATTCTTAATCCTGAGTTCTAGTTTGATTGCACTGTGGTCTGAGAGATAGTTTGTTATAATTTCTGTTCTTTTACATTTGCTGAGGAGAGCTTTATTTCCAAGTATGTGGTCAATTTTGGAATAGGTGTGGTGTGGTGCTGAAAAAAATGTATATTCTGTTGATTTGGGGTGGAGAGTTCTGTAGATGTCTATTAGGTCCGCTTGGTGCAGAGCTGAGTTCAATTCCTGGGTATCCTTGTTGACTTTCTGTCTCATTGATCTGTCTAATGTTGACAGTGGGGTGTTAAAGTCTCCCATTATTAATGTGTGGGAGTCTAAGTCTCTTTGTAGGTCACTCAGGACTTGCTTTATGAATCTTGGTGCTCCTGTATTGGGTGCATATATATTTAGGATAGTTAGCTCTTCTTGTTGAATTGATCCCTTTACCATTATGTAATGGCCTTCTTTGTCTCTTTTGATCTTTGTTGGTTTAAAGTCTGTTTTATCAGAGACTAGGATTGCAACCCCTGCCTTTTTTTGTTTTCCATTTGCTTGGTAGATCTTCCTCCATTCTTTTATTTTGAGCCTATGTGTGACTCTGCACGTGAGATGGGTTTCCTGAATACAGCACACTGATAGGTCTTGACTCTTTATCCAATTTGCCAGTCTGTGTCTTTTAATTGGAGCATTTAGTCCATTGACATTTAAAGTTAACATTGTTATGTGTGAATTTGATCCTGTCATTATGATGTTAGCTGGTTATTTTGCTCGTTAGTTGATGCAGTTTCTTCCTAGTCTCGATGGTCTTTACATTTTGGCATGATTTTGCAGCGGCTGGTACCAGTTGTTCCTTTCCATGTTTAGTGCTTCCTTCAGGAGCTCTTGTAAGGCAGGCCTGGTGGTGACAAAATCTCTCAGCATTTGCTTGTCTGTAAAGTATTTTATTTCTCCTTCACTCATGAAGCTTAGTTTGGCTGGATATGAAATTCTGGGTTGAAAATTATTTTCTTTAAGAATGTTGAATATTGGCCCCAACTCTCTTCTGCTTGTAGGGTTTCTGCCGAGAGATCTGCTGTTAGTCTGATGGGCTTCCCTTTGAGGGTAACCCGACCTTTCTCTCTGGCTGCCCTTAACATTTTTTCCTTCATTTCAACTTTGGTGAATCTGACAATTATGTGTCTTGGGGTTGCTCTTCTCGAGGAGTATCTTTGTGGTGTTCTCTGTATTTCCTGAATCTGAACGTTGGCCTGCCTTGCTAGATTGGGGAAGTTCTCCTGGATAATATCCTGCAGAGTGTTTTCCAACTTGGTTCCATTCTCCCCATCACTTTCAGGTACACCAATCAGACATAGATTTGGTCTTTTCACATAGTCCCATATTTCTTGGAGGCTTTGCTCATTTCTTTTTATTCTTTTTTCTCTAAACTTCCCTTCTCGCTTCATTTCATTCATTTCATCTTCCATCACTGATACCCTTTCTTCCAGTTGATCACATCGGCTCCTGAGGCTTCTGCATTCTTCACGTAGTTCTCGAGCCTTGGTTTTCAGCTCCATCAGCTCCTTTAAGCACTTCTCTGTATTGGTTATTCTAGTTATACATTCTTCTAAATTTTTTTCAAAGGTTTCAACTTCTTTGCCTTTGGTTTGAATGTCCTCCCGTAGCTCAGAGTAATTTGATCATCTGAAGCCTTCTTCTCTCAGCTCGTCAAAGTCATTCTCCATCCAGCTTTGTTCCGTTGCTGGTGAGGAACTGCATTCCTTTGGAGGAGGAGAGGCACTCTGCTTTTTAGAGTTTCCAGTTTTTCCATTCTGTTTTTTCCCCATCTTTGTGGTTTTATCTACTTTTGGTCTTTGATGATGGTGATGTACAGATGGGTTTTTGGTGTGGATGTCCTTTCTGTTTGTTTTCCTTCTAACAGAGAGGAACCTCAGCTGCAGGTCTGTTGGAATACCCTGCCGTGTGAGGTGTCAGTGTGCCCCTGCTGGGAGGTGCCTCCCAGTTAGGCTGCTCAGGGGTCAGGGGTCAGGGGTCAGGGACCCACTTAAAGAGGCAGTCTGCCCGTTCTCAGATCTCCAGCTCCGTGCTGGGAGAGCCACTGCTCTCTTCAAAGCTGTCAGACAGGGACATTTAAGTCTGCCGAGGTTACTGCTGTCTTTTTGTTTGTCTGTGCCCTGCCCCCAGAGGTGGAGCCTACAGAGGCAGGCAGGCCTCCTTGAGCTGTGGTGGGCTCCACCCAGTTCGAGCTTCCCGGCTGTTTTGTTTAGCTAAGCAAGCCTGGGCAATGGCGGGCGCCCCTCCCCCAGCCTCGCTGCCGCCTTGCAGTTTGATCACAGACTGCTGTGCTAGCAATCAGCGAGACACCGTGGGCGTAGGACCCTCCGAGCCAGGTGCGGGATATAATCTCGTGGTGTGCCATTTTTTAAGCCTGTCGGAAAAACGCAGTATTCGGGTGGGAGTGACCCAATTTTCCAGGTGCCGTCCGTCACCCCTTTCTTTGACTTAGGGAACTCCCTGACCCCTTGCGCTTTCCAAGTGAGGCAATGCCTCTCCCTGCTTCGGCTCACGCACGGTGCGCGCACCCACTGACCTGCACCCACTGTCTGGCACTCCCTAGTGAGATGAACCCGGTACCTCAGATGAAAATGCAGAAATGGCCCGTCTTCCGCGTCGCTCACGCTGGGAGCTCTAGACCGGAGCTGTTCCTATTCGGCCATCTTGGCTCCTCAAGCTATATATTTATATATTATATATAAATATATAGTATATATATTTATATATTATATATAAATATATAGTATATATATGAATATATAGTATATATATTATATATAATATATAGTATATATATTTATATATTATATATAAATATATAGTATATATATTATATATAAATATATAGTATATATATTTATATCTTATATATAAACATATAGTATATATATTTATATTATATAAATATATAGTATATATATTTATATATTATATATAAATATATAGTATATATATTTATATATTATATATAAATATATAGTATATATATTTATATCTTATATATAGTATATATATTTATATATTATATATAAATATATAGTATATATATTTATATCTTATATGTACTATATATATTTATATATTATATATACTATATATATTTATATATTATATAGTAAATATATTTATATATAATATATGGTATATATATTATATATTATATATAATATATATACCATATATTATATATAGCATATATAAATATATACCATATGTTACATTTGGCACATATAAAATATATACCATATATTACACATGGCACATATAAAATATATACCATATATTACACGTGGCACATATAAAATATATACCATATATTACACGTGGCACATATAAAATATATACCATATATTACACGTGGCACATATAAAATATATACCATATATTACACGTGGCACATATAAAATATATACCATATATTACACGTGGCACATATAAAATATCTACCATATATTACACGTGGCACATATAAAATATATACGATATATATCACGTGGCACATATAAAATATATACTATATATTTCACGTGGCACATATAAAATATATACTATATATTACATGTGGCACATATAAAATATGTACTATATATTACATGTGGCACATATAAAATATGTACTATATATTACATGTGGCACATATAAAATATGTACTATATATTATATGTGGCACATATAAAATATGTACTATATATTATATGTAGCATATAAAAAATATATACTATATATTATATACCACATATATAAAATATATACTACATATTATATATCGCATATATAAAATATATACTATATATTATACATATACTATATAGTATATATTCATATAGATATAAATATATCTATATATATTTTATATATTTATATTTATATTTATATACATATATTATATATATAATATATTTAAAATATATATATTATCAAATATATATAATATATTATATATAATATATATAAAGTATATAAAGATATATACTTTATAGTATATATCTTTAATATAAATATATATACTTTATAGTATATATCTTTAATATAAATATATATACTATATATACTATACATACTATATAGTATATATAGTATATATACTATTTATACTATATTATATATAGTATATATACTATATATATATATATACTATATATATACTATATATATAATATAGAATATATTATATATAATATAGAATATATTATATATAATATAGAATATATTATATATAATATAGAATATATTATATATAATATAGAATATATTATATATTACATATTATATATATAAATATATTACATATTATATATAATATATTATATATTATATATAATACGTATTATACATAATATATTATATATTATATATAATACATATTATATACATATTATATATATTATATATATTATATATAATATATATTATATATAAATATATACTATGTATATTTATATAGTATATATAATAGATGGTATATATATGCTACATAAATATATACTATATAAATATATAGTATAATTATCTAAATTATATAATTATAATTATATAATTATATAATTCTTAATTTATAATATATAAATTTATATATTTATATATAAATAAATATATAAATTTATATATTTATATATAAATAAATATATAATATATAATTATATATTCTATATAAATATAATATATAATTTATAAATATATAAAAATATAATTATATAAATATATAAATATATATACTATATAAATATATACTATGTATAACATACACTATATAGTATATAAATATATACTATATATAATATATAGTATATAATATTATATATAATATTACATTATATATATTTATTATAAATATATATTATATATATTACATATATTATATAAATTATATATATTTATTATATATTATATATAATCTATATATAGTATATATATTATATATAAATATATATACTATCTATTATATATAAATATATATATACTATCTATTGTATATATTATAGATGAGCCCCAGTGTTGGAAAGAGAACGCACTCCAGGGAAACTTGGGTAAGCCACTGAAACCATATGGGGAGAAACACAGGGCTTTACAGTAATCCCTGAGTGAAAACATAGATGTAATACTGATTCGCATGTTAAACCTCTCAGCAAATTCTGAGAAAAGCCTCTGGAGTCTCCAGGAATGAAGGCAGGGCAATAAACCACATATAATGCCCTCACCTGGAGTTTTCCTCAACAGAGCCAGTGAAGAGGAGATGCTTGATGCTGAGGTTATGCTCAATTCTGCCTCATTTCTGCCGTGCGCACCGCTGTCTCCAAACTGAGCCAGAAAAGCCATGATTGTAGGTAAGAAACCACTGCTATGATATGCTACAGAGTCTCTTTGACTTTATAAATCTGATTAGGCACTGTTTCTCTGCAAAGACTCAAAGGAGGCAGTATAATAGTATAGTATAAAAGTTCCATATGTGAATCCAGGACACATATTTATTGGGTAAAAAGTCATGCCCCTCTCTGAGCCTCATTTGTAAAATGAAGTTAGATCATTATACCATTTCTTCTAATTCTATGATTTTATGGTCATTAACAACCATCTTTCTGAAAACAATCTTACTTTCCAGGAATAATCAGGTGGTGTGTTCCTTCTCTCAGGACACCTGGGAAGACAATATACTAAGTGAGGGGCATTCAACAGAAGGCTATTAAATCAAGCTATCACACTTATGGTAGGTGGACTGGTGGGTTGATTGGTTGGTTGGTAGTTTCTTGTACTGGAAAGGAGTACAGTACATGAAAGAGCTGGTTTCGGCCGGGCGCGGTGGCTCATGCCTGTAATCCCACCACTTTGGGAGGCCGAGGCAGTCCGATCACGAGGTCAGGAGATCCAGACCATCCTGGCTAACACGGCGAAACCCCGTCTCTACTAAAAATACAAAAAATTAGCCGGGCGTGATGGCGGGCGCCTATAGTCCCAGCTACTCAGGAGGCTGAGGCAGAAGAATGGCGTGAACCCGGGAGGTGGAGCTTGCAGTGAGCCGAGATCGCGCCACTGCACTCCAGCCTCGGCGACAGAGCGAGACTGTCTCAGAAAAAAAAAAGAAAAAGAAAAAGAAAGAGCTGGTCTCCTAGGATTGTAGCTCAAATAATGATATATCTCAAAAATCAGGAGAAACAGTATGTTTGTGTCATAAAATAATGAAGATTCTATTCTAATTACCTAACTATTCCCAGACAGCGTTTTGGAGACTTTGGAGGGTGGTGTTATATAAAACTTTGTGGAAACAGTTTATTCCGTCAATGCGAAAACTCTGAAATTGATTACTCGGGTCTTTCTATTAAGCTCCCCAGCTTTTGATCATTCCATTACTTATCTACACTTCTCCAAAGGCTTCAGAAAAAACAATGTTGCTGCTAATAAAGCACTTGCAGAGTAGGGTAGTAGAAAAGACGAAGTGTAGTGTAAAGTTGTCAGTGTATAATGGAGAATGTCCTAAACTGTTATTCTCATCAAGCAGGCATTCAGAACAAAGGGCGGGAGGCTCAGATCTCACAATTCTGGTTCCCAATTTAAGTCTGAGCCTGGACTTGTTCTCTGACCTGTGTATAGCAGAGAAAGGGATGTATTTATGCTTCGTAAACAACAATCTGGAAATCACCTATTGAGCACCTTATTCAAGGAAGATGGTAAACAAATGCCTTTTAAATTCAGCATTGATTGGAAAGCTGGACAACTTTAGAACTCAGATGCTCCAAATTTCCCTTTTTATGCATCCTTAAAAACTACCAAAGAACTAGTGATGTTGAGATTCAAATCTTCGTTCCCAAGAATACCTGATCCTTCCTTCAACTTCTGTGTTCTTTGTTGCCTTTCACATTTTTCTTTTACATTTCTGACAAAGTTATGACTGGTGACCTGCAATAAACAAGACAAGAGATCTAAACTTAACAAGAAACTCAATATTGAAACTACCTTCTTTTTTTTTTTTTTTTGAGGTGGAGTCTCGCTCTGTCACCCAGGCTGGAGTGCAATGGTGTGATCTCGGCTCACTGCAACCTCCACCTCCTGAGTTCAAGCAATTCTTCTGCTTGGCCTCCCAAGTAGCTGGGATTACAGGCACGCACCACCACACCCAGCTAATTTTTGTATTTTTAGCAGACAAGGGTTTTCACCATGTTGGCCAAGCTGGTCTCAAACTCCTGACTTCAGCGATCTACCCACTTTGGCCTCTCAAATTGCTGGAACTATAGGCATAAGACATTACGCCCAGCCAAAACTACCACTTTTTTAAGACTTAATCAGCACATTTTAAGTATTAATCAAGTATAAGATTACTGTTGTTTAAACACATTTGTGTATTTTATTTAATTCTTAAATACATAAACTTGTTGCTACTGAAAAGTACATACCTAGTCAAATATTTGAAAATGTCCTTACCTTCCTTTCAGTAAACAAAATTCTAATACATAGGATTGCAGATGAAGCCCCATTTCATCTCAGATTCTTTTAGAAAATCCCTTTGTTTTCACCACCGAAAAAGCTCACTAAATAAACTAAATTTTTGTATAGAAAACATCATTTTCCTTATTTCATCTACATGGTATCTGATTACAAAAAGTAAGATAGTTCCTTTTTGTATAGTATGTGTAAAAAACATAAAAATAAACACTGCCGTTCGTTAGAGATGTTTTTAAAATATTATCATGGAGTTGTATCTCCATGCAGCAGTCAATCTATTTTGTTTTGTTCAAACATCTAAACCAATTTTATTTTTTTCAGTTATCCTCAAAATGTCTTTTCTAACAACTTGTGCTAAATAAGAGAAAATTGATGAACTTGTGCTAGAAAACCCATAATCAACATTGGAAAAACAAATCAAAAGCTGAAAAGGTCTTCTCAAGCATCCAAGGAAAAGAAAGAAAATAAATTTGTCTGGTTCTGCCACTAGTGTCTGGAGAGGTGGCCTGCCCCTCCACACCTGTGGGTATTTCTGGTCTGGTAGGACGAGAGACTGAGAAAAGAAATAAGACACAGAGACAAAGTATAGAGAAACAACAGTGAGCCCAGGGGACCGGTACTCAGCACACCAAGGACCTGCACCGGCACCGGCCTCTGAGTTCCCTCAGTTTTTATTGATTATTATATTCATTATTTCAGCAAAAAGGAATGTAGTAGGAGAGCACGGTGATAATAAGGAGAAGGTCAGCAAAAAACATGTGAGCAGAAGAATCTATGTCATAATTAAGTTCAAGGGAAGGTACTATGCCTGGATGTGCACGTAGGCCAGATATATAGTTCTCTCCACCCAAGTATCTCAGTGAAGTAAAGAATAACAAGGCAGCATTACTGCCAACATGTCTCGCTTCCCACCATAGGGCGGTTTTTCTCCTATCTCAGAATTGAACAAATGTACAATCGGGTTTTATACCTAGACATTCAGTTCCCAGGGGCAAGCAGGAGACAGTGGCCTTCCTCTATCTCAACTGCAAGAGGCTTTCCTCTTTTACTAATCCACGTCAGCACAGACCCTTTACGGGTGTCCGGCTGGGGGACGGTCAGGTCTTTCTCATCCCACGAGGCCATATTTCAGACTATCACATGGGGAGAAACCTCAGACAATACCCTGCTTTCAAGGGCAGAGGTCCCTGCAGCTTTCCACAGTGCATTGTGCCCCTGGTTTATTGAGACTAGAGAATGGCGATGACTTTTACCAAGTATACTGCTTGTAAACATTTTGTTAACAAGGCACATCCTGCACAGCCCTAGATCCCTTAAACCTGGATTTTATACAACACACGTTTTTGTGAGCTCCAGGTTGGGTCAAAGTGGCTGGGGCAAAGTGGCTGGGGCAAAGCTACAAATTAACATCTCAGCAAAGCAATTGTTTAAAGTACAGGTCTTTTTCAAAATGGAGTCTCTTATGTCTTCCCTTTCTACATAGACACAGTGACAGTCTGATCTCTCTTTTCCCTACAGTGTCAAAAATTCTAGCTGCATTGGATTGCATTGGATTCTAGCAAAATAACACAGAGAACCACAATCAATTCAAAATTTGGTAGGACATATTCCCACCTGGTCTCAGATTATCTCATGTATTTTCCTGTATACCTCAAGTTCTCGTCTCAGTAAAATCCTTGAGATACGTAGCAAGCAATTGGATTACACTCCAAGAGACTTGGATTACACTCATGTCTTTCTTCTTTGTAGACTTAAGACCCATGAACAGGTCAGCAACACACATCGTGACAGAGTTTATTCTCCTGGGATTCCCTGGTTGCTGGAAGATTCAGATTTTCCTCTTCTCATTGTTTTTGGTGATTTATGTCTTGACCTTGCTGGGAAATGGAGCCATCATCTATGCAGTGAGATGCAACCCACTACTACACACCCCCATGTACTTTCTGCTGGGAAATTTTGCCTTCCTTGAGATCTGGTATGTGTCCTCCACTATTCCTAACATGCTAGTCAACATTCTCTCCAAGACCAAGGCCATCTCATTTTCTGGGTGCTTCCTCCAGTTCTATTTCTTCTTTTCACTGGGAACAACTGAATGTCTCTTTCTGGCAGTAATGGCTTATGATCGATACCTGGCCATCTGCCACCCACTGCAGTACCCTGCCATCATGACTGTAAGGTTCTGTGGTAAGCTGGTGTCTTTCTGTTGGCTTATTGGATTCCTTGGATACCCAATTCCCATTTTCTACATCTCCCAACTCCCCTTCTGTGGTCCTAATATCATTGATCACTTCCTGTGTGACATGGACCCATTGATGGCTCTATCCTGTGCCCCAGCTCCCATAACTGAATGTATTTTCTATACTCAGAGCTCCCTTGTCCTCTTTTTCACTAGTATGTACATTCTTCGATCCTATATCCTGTTACTAACAGCTGTTTTTCAGGTCCCTTCTGCAGCTGGTCGGAGAAAAGCCTTCTCTACCTGTGGTTCTCATTTGGTTGTGGTATCTCTTTTCTATGGGACAGTCATGGTAATGTATGTAAGTCCTACATATGGGATCCCAACTTTATTGCAGAAGATCCTCACACTGGTATATTCAGTAACGACTCCTCTTTTTAATCCTCTGATCTATACTCTTCGTAATAAGGACATGAAACTCGCTCTGAGAAATGTCCTGTTTGGAATGAGAATTCGTCAAAATTCGTGAGCCAAAGATGTGCCATACTTACAAGTTCTAACGAAGAACAAGGTCGAGATGTTGTCAGTTCTTTAGCAGTCTTTCAGTCCTCAGTCTGAGTAGTTAGAGGTTGTATATTTTACCTGGAAGTGTGCCCAGCTTAAATATGTTTCCAGCACTGACTCTTTAAACCTTAATTAACTGGTCTTCAACATCCACTTAAAAGTTTTCAAAGCCTGTCTTTATTAGAATGATAAAATGGAATTTCTACATGAGATGCCCTCCTGCTGACATGCCCCATGGTTCATCATTGTATATCTTCTTCCTCATTGCAACAAGACAATAAACCCAACTTTGTTCAACTACAGGTATGCTCCTAGGAGTCTTTGTCTGATGGGAATCAATAGTGGCACAATACCCAGCAAACGGTAAGGCCTCAGACATGTTTTTTAAATATCTCTATCTCAATTTTTTTTACTTACAACAATAATATGTGATTGTTGTAATAAATTCAAGCAATTCAGAAGAATGTCCATCTTCACTCCCATATTCACCAATTTTCCTATCTGCTCCTCAGAGTCAATACATCTAAATCCCTCTGTCTGGCACTCGACACCCTTCGTAATACATCCCCACTAAATCTATTTCATTTGTTTTCCATTTCTTTGCCACATGAGCCCTTGGCTCTAGTCTGGCCAGTTACTTTATTTATTCCATTCTATCATCTTTTCACCTTTTCTTAGGCTATTTTTTTTTTTTTTTTTTGAGACAAAGTCTCACTCCGTCGATGGGCTGGAGTACAGTGGTGCAATCTCGGCTCACCGCAACCTCTGCCTCCTGGGTTCAAGCAATTCTCCTGCCTCAGCCTCCCAAGTAGCTGGGACTACAGGTGCAAGCCACCACGCCCAGCTAATTTTGTATTTTTAGGAGAGATGGGGTTTCACCATGTTGGCCAGGATAGTCTCGATCTCTTGACCTCATGATCCACCCACCTCAGCCTCCCAAAGTGCTGGGATTACAGGCGTGACCCACCACGCCTGGATAATTTTTCATTTTTAGTAGAGACTGTGTTTCACCAAGCTAGCCTGGGTGGTCTTGAATTTCTGACCTCAGGTGATCCACCCACCTCGGCCTCCAAAAGTGCTGTGATAACAGGCATGAGCCACCATGCCCGGCCTAGGCTGTTCTTTCAACCTAGAGAGCCTCACCTCATCTTCTGCCATGCGACTTGAGAAAGATATTTAACACTTAAATTCTTAACTTCTTATTTTATAAAATGGGTATAATTCATGCCTTGTAACAATGTCGTAAGAATTAAATCTGATCATTTCTGTAAGAGCCATAGCACAGAAAGACACATATAGGAGGCTCTGAGTACACGTTGTTCTCTTCTCCTTCCTGTCTTTCAAACCTGACTATGGATACTTTTCTGGTTATCTTTTAGATATTTTGCAATCCTCATGGAAACCTATATACTTAAAGATGGCTTATTTAAAAACCAGTTGGGATGGATATATATTTTATATAAATTTATATATAATTGTATATTTAAGACATATTTATATATTTTATATATGAAGTTTATATATGTAAAATCTCTTCATATATGTATATATAATATATACATATATAATATATACATGTATAATATATATGTATGTATATATACTAGATATATGTATATATAGATATAGATATAGATTTGATATAGATTTGGCAACCATAAAGAGATTGATTAGACTGCCAACTTTGAGTCAGACTTGTTGTGTCCTGGTTTATCTGCTTACTAGTTATGTGACTTTGGCAAACAAGCTGCTTAAATGCTATGAACTTCATCTGTAAGATAGGGTAATAATAACACCTTAGAGTTGTTGGTTTGTTATGACTTAATACTTATAGAGCACTTAGAACTATGCCTGGCAAACAGTAAAGTTCAATAAATATCAGCTTTAAAAAAATTATTTAACTCTGTAAAATATCATGGTAGCTTTCAAAATCAGCCCATATAATTTTTCCATTTAACAGATACACTGTTCCATTATATGAATGTTTCATCATTTATTCATTACTCAATGATAATATATCATATCATATTTTACAATTAAAACAATGCTGTAATTAATATCCTTGAATATGGCCTCATAGAGCCACATTGATATTCCATAAGTTAGAGGAAGAGTTTATGGAACACAGGAAATGTGCATTTTTAATTATGCTAAATACTGGTAAATTAGATGCCCTAAATAGAATGGGACAAATGGTGCTGGGGCAAGTAGATATCCATACGCAAAAGAAAGAAGTTGGATACCTATCTTACACCATTTACAAAAATTAATTCAAAATGGATCAAAGATCTAAATGCAAAAGCTAAAACTACAAAACCCTTCACAACCTAGGATTAGGCAGTGGTTTCTTAGATATGACACATAAAGCACAAGAAACTAAGGAAAAAATCAGTAAGTTGGACTTTGTCAAAAAAACAATTTTTGTCCTTCAAAGGATACCATCAAGAAAGTGAAATGACAACTGCTATGGCTTGAAGGTCCGTGTCCCGTCCCAAATTCATATGTTGAAATCCTAACCCCCAGAGCAATAGTGCTGGGAGGTGGGGCCCTTGGCTTTGATTAAGTCATGTGAGTGGACCCCTCCTGAATGGGATTAGTGCCCTTATAAAATAGGCGAAAGGAGCTCATTTGCCCCTTCAACCACATAAAGACACAGCAAGAAGTCACCATCTATGAACTAAGAAATGGACCTTCATCAGACACCAAATCTGTTGGTGCATTGATCTTTGACTTCCCCATCTCCAGAACTGTCAAAATTAAATTTATGTTTTTTATAAATTACCCAGTTTATGGTATTTTCTTATAGCAAACTGAACAAACTAAGACAAATATTTAGCCCCTAACATTTAGAGACCAAAAGTACATTAGTAGTGGCCAAGGACTAGGAGGAGAGGATGAGAAATGACTACTGCTAATGGGTACTCTGTTTCTTTGGGGGTGATAAAAATTTTCTGGAAACAGATAGTGGTGATGGTTGTACAACCTTGTGAATATACTAAAAATTACTGAAATATATGAGTAAATGTTCCATCAGGGAACTGTAGATTAAAACCATAATAAGATATCACCTCACATATGTTAGCATGGCTACTACCAAAAAGACCAAAGATAACCAGTGTTGGCAAGGATGGGAGTAAAGGGAACCCTCATATACTGTCGGTGGGAATGTAAATTAGCACAGCCACTATAGAATACATTATGGAAGTTCCTCAATAAATTAAAAATAAAACTACCATATAATCCAGCAATTCCACTTCTTGGTTATGTATCCAAAGGAATTGAAATCAGGATCTCGAAGAGATATCTGCATTTGCATGTTCATTTCAGCATTATTCACAATGGCCAAAACATGGAAGCAACCCAAATGTCCATCGATGAATGAATGGATTTTTTTAATGTGGTATAAACACACAATGGAATAGTATTCAGCACTATAAAGGAAAGAAATTTCACCATTTGCAACAACATGAATGAATCTGGAGGACATTATGCTAAGTGAAATAAGCCAGACACAGGACAAATACCACATAAGTGACGAATGCAAAATAGTTAAATTCATAGAAGCAGAGAGTAGAATGGTGCTTGCCTGGATTAATGGGAGGGTAAAATAGGGAGGTATTAGTCAAAGGGTACAAAGTTTCTGTTATACAAGATAAGTCCTAGATATCTACTATATAGCACAGTGCTTATAGTTAACAATATTGCTTTGTATACTTAAAATTTTGCTAAGAGAGTAGATCTCATGTTAAATGTTCTTATCACAAAATAATAGTAATGATTAATAAGTGGATGGGAAGAAACTTTTGAAGTTGATGGATATGTTCATGGCCTAGAATTTGGCAATGATTTCATGGATGTATACTTCTCTCCAAACTCATCAAGTTGTATATATTATATACCTACAAATGTTTACATGTCAATCATATCTCAGTATTTTTTTGTTTATCTAAATTTGTTCTCCAAATAAATCTGGAAAAAAAATCTTAGCTCTGTAGGACAGAACCTGGTCTTACCTATCTACCTGTGCTCTACTGACCTCTAATGGCCATTATGCTTCCATGGTACGCCTAAGAATGCAACAGGAGAAACCTCAACCCACCCAAAAGTAGTAAGAAAAGGAGTATAGGCCAGGTATGGCAGCTCACACCTGTAATTCCAGCACTTTGGGAAGCTGATGCAGGAGGATTACTTGAGCCCAGGAGTTGAGACCAGCCTAAGCAATATAGTGAGACCCCATCTCTGCAAAAAAAAATAAAAATTAAAAATTAAAAATTAACTGGGCATGATACACACGCCTGCAGTCCCAGCTATTTAAGAGGCTGAGATGGGAGGATCTCTTCAGCCCAGAAGTTTGAGGCTTGCAGTAAACTGTGATCGCACCACTGCACTCCAATCTGGGCAACAGAGCAAGACCCTGTCTCCAGAAAAAAAAAAAAAAAAAAAGAGAGAAAAGAAAGAAAGGAAAAGGGGTATATTGGTTAATAGAATTTTCTAGTTAACTGCTGACCAGAAAAAAAAAAAAAAAAACTTTGATACTGAGTATTAAAGCATTCCAGGCTGGGTGCAGTGGCTTTTCCCTGTAATCTGAAAAGGGAGGATCACTTGAGGCCAGGAGTTGGAGACCAGCTGGACAACATAGTGAGAACTCCATCTTTAAAAAAAAAAAATTAGCCAGGCGTGGTGGCGACTTGGGAGACTGAGGTGGGAGGATTGCTTAATCCTGGGAGGTTGAGGTTTCAGTGAGTTGTGATTATGCCACTGCACTCCAGCCAAGGAGAACTTGTCTCAAAAAAAAAAAATCTAAAGTCTATGTTCCCACCTTTATACTTTATTACGTTGAAAATAATTTAATCTTTTACCCCACAAGAACTCAGGAAGTGCAACATGTCCGAACAAACAGTGAACAGGCAATCAAATGATGGGGGTTTCCAATCCCAGCTCAACACCAACTAGCTATGTGTCCTTACACAGGACACCTGACCTCTCTGGTCTCAGCTCTCTTATCTGTAAAATAAGAAACTTGAACAAAGTGAATTTTCTTTCTTTTTTTTTTAAATTTTATTATTATTATACTTTAAGTTTTAGGGTACATGTGCACAACGTGCATGTTTGTTACATATGTATACATGTGCCATGTTGGTGTGCTGCATCCATTAACTCATCATTTAACATTAGGTATATCTCCTAATGCTATCCCTCCCCCTCCCCCCATCCCACAACAGGGCCTGGTGTGTGATGTTCCCCTTCCTGTGTCCATGTGTTCTCATTGTTCAGTTCCCACCTATGAGTGAGAACATGCAGTGTTTGGTTTTTTGTCCTTGTGATAGTTTGCTGAGAATGATGGTTTCCAGCTTCATCCATGTCCCTACAAAGGAAATGAACTCATCATTTTTTATGGCTGCATGGTATTCCATGGTGTATATGTGCCACATTTTCTTAATCCAGTCTATCATTGTTGGACATTTGGGTTGGTTCCAAGCCTTTGCTATTGTGAATAGTGCCGCAATAAACATACGTGTGCATGTGTCTTTATAGCAGCATGATTTATAATCCTTTGGGTATATACCCAGTAATGGGATGGCTGGGTCAAATGGTATTTCTAGTTCTAGATCCCTGAGGAATTGCCACACTGACTTCCACAATGGTTGAACTAGTTTACAGTCCCACCAACAGTGTAAATGTGTTCCTGTTTCTCCACATCCTCTCCAGCACCTGTTGTTTCTGACTTTTTAATGATTGCCATTCTAACTGGTGTGAGATGGTATCTCATTGTGGTTTTGATTTGCATTTCTCTGATGGCCAGTGATGGTGAGCATTTTTTCATGTGTTTTTTGACTGCATAAATGTCTTCTTTTGAGAAGTGTCTGTTCATATCCTTTGCCCACTTTTTGATGGGGTTGTTTGTTTTTTTTTTTTTGTAAATTTGTTTGAGTTCATTGTAGATTCCGGATATTAGCCCTTTGTCAGATGAGTAGGTTGCAAAAATTTTCTCCCATTCTGTAGGTTGCCTGTGCACTCTGATGGTAGTTTCTTTTGCTGTGCAGAAGCTCTTGAGTTTAATTAGATCCCATTTGTCAATTTTGGCTTTTGTTGCCATTGCTTTCAGTGTTTTAGACATGAAGTCCTTGCCCATGCCTATGTCCTGAATGGTATTGCCTAGGTTTTCTTCTAGGGTTTTTATGGTTTTAGGTCTAACATGTAAGTCTTTAATCCATCTTGAATTAATTTTTGTATAAGGTGTAAGGAAGGGATCCAGTTTCAGCTTTCTCCATATGGCTAGCCAGTTTTCCCAGCACCATTTATCAAATAGGGAATCCTTTCCCCATTTCTTGTTTTTGTCAGGTTTGTCAAAGATCAGATAGTTGTAGGTATGCGGCATTATTTCTGAGGGCTCTGTTCTGTTCCATTGGTCTATATCTCTGTTTTGGTACCAGTACCATGCTGTTTTGATTACTGTAGCCTTGTAGTATAGTTTGAAGTCAGGTAGCGTGATGCCTCCAGCTTTTGAACAAAGTGAATTTTCTACAGTTGCCTACACTCATGTTTCCTCAAAATGCACTATGTCTCATGGTACATACAGTGTAAGGGAGGGGAAACAGATAAATGAAAAGCCAATTTTAATTTAGTGTGGGAAATGCTATAACAGAGTGAGTATAGAATGCTGTCAGGGCACATGAGAGTAGCACATAACCCAGTCAAGATCTAAGGGTGTATGGGGAGGTGATGGGGAAATTGTTAAGGAGAAGTAACATCTAAGCTGCTGACACCTACTGGGTGAATAGGAATTATCTGATGAACTGAGATGGAAGAGAAGGAACAATATTTACAAAAGATCAGAAATGAAAGTGAGTAAGCATTCAGGAAACTAAAATTAGTTTGTTTTGGCTGGAATATACAGTGTAAGGAAGAAATGTCAAAACATAACAGGGGTAAGCATTGGCCAGCTCACTGAAGGTAATATACATCAAAATGAGAACTTTGGATTTTATCCTAAGACCAATGAGAAATGTTTGAAAGGTTTGACTCAGGAATGATATAATCATTTACATTTTTGAAAGATCAGTATGACCACAGGATAAAGAACACACTGGAGAATAAAGGTCAAGGTTTCTTTTGTTGTTTTTTCAGACAGGGTCTCATTTTGTAGCCCAGGCTGGAGGACAGTGGCATCATCATAGCTCACTGCAGACTTGACCTCCAGGGCTCAGGTGATCCTCCCACCTCAGCTTCCCGAGTAGCCAGTGCTACAGGCACACACCACCACAACCAGCTAATTTTTTGTATTTTTTGTAGAAATGAATTCTCACTTTGTTGCCCAGGCTGGTCTTGAACTTTTGGGCTCAAGCAATCCTCCTGCCTCAGCCTACCAAAGTGCTGGGATTATCTGCATGAGCCACCACGACAGGCCAAAGAACACACTGGAGAAGAAAGGTCAAGGGTAAAGGGAGGGGACAGATTATAAGAGTACTGCAGGAGTCAAAAGAGGATAGGACGGTGACCTAATCTCAGACAGTGTTTCTTAAAGTATGGTCTGCAATGAGAAAAGAACAGAAATTGAGAGAAAGCTTTAGAAACTTTTACAGCAATTCAATATTGTGGTAACATCCAAGCACATGATCAGTTGTCTCTTCTCCTTGAACAAGATATAAACAAGTTTGAGTATTGTAGTACTATCCATTTATACTAGTCATGCACAGTTGAACTGCATTAAGATGTAATATTTTAAAGTTGGTTTGTAAACTATAATCAAAAGTAAAAAAAAATTGAGAAAGCATATACTTTATTTTTATAGCTTATTTTCATAATCCTTTTAAATTGTTAATTAATAGTATAAATTTTGGAAATATAATTTATGTTATTTTTAATCCTAATTTATTTATGACAAAATAAACTTTACTGGACTCCTTTTCAAGAAAAGATACATCCTTTCTGAATGTAGACATTGTAAAAAACCAGACGATAGCAATGAAATGTTTCCCAAGAAATGAAGACTAGTCCCTACTAGTTTTACTCAAAAGTATGAACCTTCATGTATTTTTAATTACATAGCTATAGTTGAGTGTGAAGTACTAAAACCATAGTGTGTTATTTTGCAGAGATATATTGGCTAATGATGCAATGAAACCATCAAAAAGTAAGCATCTTTTGCATACAAAACATAGACCTAAGTTCAAAACCAAAGAATTTTTTAAGCAAATATTATTGAATTAAAAATTTTTTTAAAGTAAAGGCTCATTATTCCATGTGAACATATGGAATATGTTCTTATGGAACATATTTGAGCATTATCTCTTGCTAAACCTAAGCATTCAAGTTGCTAAACCTAAAAAAACATATACCATTCTGAGTCATTAGTTAAAGACTGTATCAAAGATGATTTCCAGCAAATCTTGAATGAATCAGTGGCAATGAAGATAGCTCAACTACTACTTTTTAATGACTCCATAGCTCAATGTATTAAATAACTAGACCATATGATGGTTGTACAACAGTATGAATTTGCTTAAAACCATTGAATTGTACATTTAATGGTGGTTAAGTTGGTAAATTTTCTGCTATATGTATTTTACAATTTAAAAAATGAAAAAAAAAACTAGACCACAGAATAAAATTAGCAAATTATTTTCCATCAACTTGATGAATGCACAGCTATTGCTAAAATAGCAATTATTTTTGTATATATGCAACCTGCTTTATTTTATTTTTTAATTTTATTTTAGGTTCAGGGGTACATGTACAGGTTTGTTATATAGGTAACTTGCATGTCACGGGAGTTTGGTGTACATACTGTAATATACAAACGGCAAATAAACACATGAAAAGATGCTCAACATCATGTCATTAAAGCAATAAATTAAAACTACAATGAATTGCCACTACACACCCATTAAAATGGCTAAAATCCAAAAGACTGACAATAATAAATGCTGGCAAGGATGCAGAATAGCAAACTCTCAATCATTGTTGGTGGGAATGCAAAATGATACAGCCACTCTGGAAGACAGTGTGGCAGTTTCTTATAAAACTAAGTATAAAACTTAACCATATAGCCAGCAATCATATTTCTAAGTATTTACCCAGGTGATTTTAAAACATGTCCACACAAAAATCTATATACAAACGTCTATACCAGTTTTATTCATAGTCACTAAAAACTGAAAGCAACTAAAATGTCTTCAACAAGGAAATAGATAAGCTGTGGTATATCCATACAATGGAATATTACTCAGCAACAAGAAGGAATGAGCCATTGAATCATGTAACAACACAGCCATAGATGATCTTAAATGCATTTTAGAAGTGAAAGAACAATCCAAAAGACTACATATTGCATGATTCCATTAATACAATAATATTCTGGAAATAGCAAAGCTATAGGGATGGAAAACACAGTAGTAATTGCCAAGGGATAAGAAAGAAGGGAGGCCGGGTGCAGTGGCTCACACCTGTAATCCCAGCACTTTGGGAAGCCGAGGTGGGCAGATCACGAGGTCAAGATATCAAGACCATCCTGGCCAACATGGTGAAACCCCATCTCTACTAAAAATACAAAAATTAGCTGGGCACGGTGGCGCATGCCTGTAGTCCCAGCTACTCAGGAGGCTGAGGCAGAAGAATCGCTTGAACCCAGGAGGCAGAGGTTGCAGTGAGCCAAGATCATGCCACCGCACTCCAGCCTGGTGACAGAGTGAGACCCTGTCTCAAAAAAAAAAAGGAAAGAAAAAAAAAGAACGAAGGGAGTGGTTGACAACAAAGAAAATGCACAGGAAAACTTTTAGAGTGACGGAATTATTTTTTATGGTACTGGGGTGGGTAGTAGATACATAACTCCATGCATGTGTCAAAACCCATAGAACTGTACATCACAAAAAGTGAATTTTAATGTACGCATCTAGAAAAGAATAAACCAAGATGTAGGGGAATCCAAAGATGGGATAAAGACTGTGACAAATGAATCTAACCATATCACAAATAAGTGACATATCTACACTGACAGGGGTAGGGAAAAGAGGCACTAATCTAAGTAACTTCAAAAAGGGTGCTTTGATTGGAAATTGTAAGGCTAAAGATAAAAGCAATTGTACATAAATACTGTGCTTTAGTTGGTTGATTTCTTTATAGTGGTGTGGTTAGCGATTCTGAAACTGCATCTAAAACAGCTTCAAAAGTATACTGTGGTTAAACAAGTAAGTAAATGATTGGTAGATGGTAGAATCCAGGTTCCTCAGTTTCTCATTGCTGCTGTGATATCATTTGGCTCTGTGTCCCACCCAAATCTCATGTCGAATTGTAATTCCCAGTGTTGGGGGAGGGACCTGGTAGGAGGTGATTGGATCGTGGGGGGGATATTCCCCCCTTACTCTTCTCATAATAGTGGGTTCTCACTAGATCTGATTGTTTGAAAGTGTGTAGTACTTTGCTGTCTCTCTCTTCTGCCATGTGAAGATGTGCTTGCTTACCCTTCACTCTTTCATCATGATTGTAAGTTTCCTAACACCTTTCCAGCCATGCCTCCTATACAGTCTGTGGAACTGTGAGTCAGTTAAACCTCTTTTCTTTAAAAGTTACCCAGTCTCGGGTAGTTTTTTGTTTGTTTGTTTGTTTGTTTTTAGATGGAGTCTTGCTCTGTCACCCAGGCTGGAGTGCAGTGGCGCGATCTCGGCTCACTGAAAGCTCTGCCTCCCAGGTTCACACCATTCTCCTGCCTCAGCCTCCTGGGTACCTGGGACTACAGGTGCCCGCCACCACGCCTAGCTAATTTTTTGTATTTTTAGTAGAGACAGGGTTTCACCATGTTAGCCAGAATGGTCTCAATCTCCTGACCTCATGATCCGCCCACCTCGGCCTCTCAAAGTGCTGGGATTACAGGCGTGGGCTACCGCGCCTGGCCAGGTAGTTCCTTACTGCAGTGTGAGAATGGACTAATACATGCTGCAACAAATTACCACCAATTTAGTGGCTTAAAACAACAAACACTTATTCATTATCCTGTAGTTCTGGAAGTCAGAAGTCCAGAATCAGCCTCACTAAAGTAAAGACGTCCAGGTTGCCTCTTGATGCTCTGGAGAATCTGTTTTCTTTGACTTTGCCAGCTTCTAGAGCCCACCTACATTCTTTAGCTAATGGCCTGTTCCTCCATCTTCAAATCTAGCAGCATAGGATCTTCTAATCTTAGTATCTCTCTTCATATCTCTCTCTCTCTCTCTTTCTCTCTCTCCCTCCTTCCATCCCTCCCTCCCTCCCCCCTTTAGTTATCACATTGCCTTCTTTGTCTTCAACCCTCCTGCCTCTCTCTAATAAGGACTCCTGTAATGACATTGACCCACCCAGATAATTCAGGATAAACTCCCACATTACAAGATCTTTAGCCTAATAATATATGTGAACTCTCTTTTGCCATGTGAAGTAACACATCTAAAAGTTACAGAAATTATAATATAGACATCTTGGGATGGCCATCTTTCAGCAGCCTACCAGCCCATCAAAGAGAGACATTACAGTAAAGCAAGAAAACAAAGCAAGAATAAACTCTGTGCTACTGGTTAGAGTCAGAGACACCCTTATAAATTCATATTTAGTGTAATATATACACAGATATAGAAATAAGTATGGACACGTGTATGTACATGCATAATATATGTATAAAGACATATATTATGTAGTTTTGTCTGCCAAAAGTGCCTAGAAGCAATAAGCACTCAGCACCCAGATCTTGGTTTTAAAATACCATTCTCCAATAAAAGGTAGTAGGGCTCCTTCAAGAAATGACTGTTTCTAGGGCTGGGACAAGGAAAATACAGAATGAACCCAGCGAATTTTGTAGTACCAAAAAGTACTCAAAACTCAAAAGGATAGAAACACATGAAGGTGATACAAGAGCCAATCTAAAAGAGCTCTCAAGATCAGCTGGCACAATTTGAGCAAGAAAATAATAGGGTAGTATTGGATTATAACCCAAACTATGAAATAAATATATGTAAGTACACACTGGTGTTAATAAATGACTGAATAAATAAACAGAAAAGGGGAGACAAATTTTCCTTACAGATGACTTCCAAATAATGTATGTATATACTCCCCCAGGAGGTGGAGCTTAATCCCCTTTCCCCAAAGGTGGCCTAGACTTAGTGACTTACTTCCTAAGAATATTAGGGAAAAGGGAAAATAGTAACTTTAGAGTGGCGAAACATGGCAAACACTACATTGACCAAGTGATGAAGACTAACATCACCAGTGATGTCATGTGATATTGTTTACCTCTGATATGATGCTGATATGGTTTGGATTTGTGTCCCCACCCACATCTCATGTCGCATTGTAATCCCCAGTGTTGGAGGTGGGGCCTGGTGGGAGTTGGTAAGATCATGAAGGCAGAATTCTCCCTTTGGTGCTGTTCTCATGATAAGAGTTTTTTATGAGATCTGGTTGTTGAAAAGTGTATAGCACCTCTGCCCTCTCTCTCTCTCTCTTCCTTCTGCTCCAACCATCTAAAACATGCCTGCTTCTCCTTCGCTTTCCGCCAAAGTTTCCTGAAGCCTCCCCAGAAGCCATTGTGCTTCCTGTGAAGCCTGCAAGACCATGAGCCAATTAAACCTCTTTTATTTATAAATTATGCAGTCCCAGGTATTTCTTTATAGCAGTGCGAAAATTGACTAATACAGATGTATTGAGAAAGGCACTTCATCTGCATGGTCTGTTTCCCCAAAATCCATTACTACAGTCTAATCATGCAGAAAAACATCAAACCCTGAATGGGGATCATTCTACACAATACTCCTCTGGACTGTCAAGGTCATAAAAAAAACAAGAAAAGACAGAAACTTTCACAGACTCGGATGGAGAGACATGACATCTAAATGAAATGTTGTACACTGGATCAGATCCTGAAAGAAAGAAAGGGCATTAATGGAAAATTGGTGAAATCCAAATAAAATCTGGAATTTAGTTACTAACAACATGTTAGTTAAGTAGTTAGCTTCTTAATGTACCATGGAGATGGAAATAGAAGTTGTTAACAGTGGGGGAAACTGGTAAGGAATATGTGGAGATTCTCTATATTATCTTTGAAATTTTTCTGTAAATATAAAATTATTCCAAAATAAAAGTTTATTTTTTAAAAAAATGGCTTACCTGATATTTCTGATCACCTGAATGATCTCATTCAAAAATACCAAGGCCTACATTAATTATATTAATGTACTGAAAATGTATATAGATTCAAAACAAAAGACAACTTTTAAAAAGTAAGCTTAAAGTGGTTTACTAGGCTGGGTGTGGTGGTTCACACCTGTAATCCCAACACTTTGGGAGGCCAAGGTGTACGGATCACTTGAGCTCAAGAGTTCAAAACCAGCCTGGCCAGATGGCAAAACCCCATCTCTACAAAAACAAACAAACAAAAAATTAGCTGGGCGTGGTGGCACACATCTGCAGTCCCAGCTACTCAAGAGGCACAAAAGTGGCTTGAGCCCAGGAGCCAGAGGTCACAGTGAGTAGAGACCATGCCACTGCACTCCAACCTGGGCGACAGACCGAGAGACTCTGTTTCAAAAAAACTAACAAACAAAAAACAGTGGTTCACTAGTAATGTTTAGTCAGGTTTATTATTTGAATCCTGAAGATTTATTAAGACTAGTAGAGCAATACTGGTATATGCTTGAGGGAAATCTTAGCCATTTTTTTATACTTGATATAAGAAAGTTTGATTCACTATTAATGTACTGTTAAAAGTTTCCTCACAAGACCCTTTAACATTACATTTGTCAATGACAGGAAAAGAAGAGCTATGAGACTTAAGGCATAATCACACCCTAAGCACAATCCATAAAAACTGATTTATCCAAGCTCTCATTAATAGAAAGATGTCCAACTATTATTATAGTAAAATATAAAAATATAGAAAAGGCAATATATACCTTCTACCACTTGCTACCATGTACATTGCAAAGAAAACTTCTCATCACTGGTGATTATCTAGAAGTTGAAGAGATCATTACTTGAAGTTTCTATCAGGAATTGTATGAACCAAACCAAGCAAAAAAACTAGTATTAAAAGTTACATATTTAAAATTTATGCCCAGGCACAGTGGCTCATGCCTGTAATCCCAGCACTTTTGGAGGGCGAGGGGGGTGAATCAATTGAGGTCATGAGTTCAAGAGCAGCCTGGCAATATATGAAACCCCGTCTCTACTAAAAATACAAAAATTAGCCAGGCATGGTGGTGTGCACCTATAGTCCCAGGTACTTGGGAGGCTGAGGCAGGAGCATCGCTTGAACCTGGGAGGCAGAGGTTGCAGTGAGCCAAGATCGTTATCACTGCACTCCAGCCTGGGCCACAGAGCAAAACTCCATCTAAATAAATAAATAAATAAATAAACTTACATATATATAAACAAGCTGAAAGTTTTTATTGAAAATTTGGTCCAAGTAGATGTGGTCAGTGAAAAGAAAAAAAAAGAAAAAAAGGAAAATATTTTATTTACAAATTTTATAGAAATTTAAAATTTAATACATTTGAATTTTTGTTATGAATTTAATCATATTGTTATATTTTTCTTCTAATAAAAAAATAAGACATTTTTCAACAAAATCTATACAGATGCCTCCAAATCCCTTCTAGTTTACTCCACTATGTCAAACATCATTTTCTTAATGTACCATTTTCTAAGCACTGCCTTAAAGAACAGCACGTCTGTTCAGTTGATGAATCTCTATAATATCCTGGTGAAATTAAGTTACTCTAATTCAGTTTCTCCTCCAAGAATTGTTCTTAAAGATGAATATATTTAGAGCTTTAAAACTTTATGAACTCGGCTGGGCACAGTGGCTCATGCCTGTAATCCCAGTACTTTGGGAGGTCAAGGTGGGTGGATCATTTGAGGTCAGGAGTTCAAGACCAGCTTGGCCAACATGGTGAGACCACATCTCTACTAAAAATGCAAAAATTAGCCAGGCATGGTGGTGCACGCCTGTAATCCCAGCTATTTAGGAGGCTGAGGTAGGAGAATAACTTGAACCCAGGAGGTGGAGGTTGCAGGGAGCCAAGATTGTGCCACTGCACTCCAGTCTGGGCGACAGAGTGAGACTCTGTCTTAAAAAATAAATAAATAAAGGAAAACTTTATGAACACTCTTGAGAGGTTGATCCTATCCAATACAACTTGTCTGTATTATTCTAATTCTGTGCTCTCCTCAGTTCTCTAAACATGCCATCCCTGGGCAAGCATTTTTTTTTTTTTTTTTTTTTTTTGAGACAGGGTTTCTCTCTGTCACCCAGGCTGGAGTGCAGTGGTGTGATCATTGCTCACTACAGCCTCCAACTCTTAGGCTCATGCAATCCTTCCACTTTAGCTTCCCAAGTAACTGGGATTTCAGGCACACACCACAATGCCCAGCTAATTTTTTTTTTGTATTTTTTCATAGAGACAGGGTCTCCTTATGTTGCCCAGGCTAGTCTTAAACTCCTGAGCTCAAGCGATCCTCCCACCTCAGCCTCCCAAAGTGCTGGGATTACAGGTGTGAGCCACCATGTCCAGCCTTCTATTTTTCATAATAGTATTTACTACAACCACCAACTCAATTTACCCCTTGGTTTAATAAGATCTTCTCATATTTTTTAGAATAAAATTTGCCATCATTCTGAGGTTTGACTTTGGCTGCTTACTTTTTCCTAGGGTCTTGAAAGATAATATTAAGAAAACTACCACACTGGTTATGTTCTAACAGTATAACTAGAAATCCAAAGAAGTGGTTTACTAAAAGGCTAGATTAACACAGTTTTATCCTCAATTATATATTTTTCTATAAAACAGGAAAGTATAAACATCAAATACATGAAAAAACTGCATTGAAAAATTAAATCTAAACACTCAAGAAGAATTAGGCACTGTATTCACTAATCTAAACAGAATTTAATCTTTCTTGCATTATATTTTCATGGGTTTAAATAAGAAAGCAATTATTTTCACTTTCCTACTTTGACATAATAACCCCACAAAACAGCCTGGCATAAAAGTACTGACTTGGTGGCAAGAGACCCAGACTTAAGCCTAGGCTTACCACTTACCAGCTGTATGACCTTATTCATCTTCAAACCCTTGTATGGCTATATCCAATACTAGAGAAGGTGTCCCATAAACACTTATGACTTTAGGAAGTAAAGTTTTCCTCTTTGCTTGCCTGTGCTACAGCAACAGGCAAATAAATAAAAGGAAGGATATAGTTCTCCCTCCCAATAGTTCAACCATCTGGCAGGGCAAACAGAAAATGACCACACCAGAAAAGGAGTACAAAGAGAAGCAAAACTGGAGAAAATGAAAAGGATAGGGGGCTTATCCCCTCACTGGGATTCCATATATCCTGGGAAGCATTGCTTTTTCCGTATCCACACTGGCCAACTATGTACTCTCCCATTCAGTGGGACCATGCTCTAAAATCCCATCACCCTGGATCTATTTCTATATTTATCTGCTGAGATTCTGGTGTAACCTCCTCTACAGCCATCCTGCCCTGAGCAAAGATAAACAGGACCATGAAGCTTTTTCTGTTTGTTTGTTTGTTTATCCTATCAATATAAATATGTAAATGCATGAAAAAAATGTGAGAATCTAATCTTATAAATCTAAAGTAAGCAGGTATAGAAAAATATGCGTTCAGAGAATTGTAATCAACAACAGAATAATGTTTATTCATTAAATATTTATTGTGTACTATAAATTGACACTACACTAGAATTAGGCACACATTTTAGAAAGATATATTTTCTATCTAGAAGACACCACAGTATCGTAGGAGATCTTTATAATTTACAAATCACTTATACATTACATAATAAAAATGTATACATACGATTGCTTTATCCAGAACACAGTTCCCAATAAACACTGATGAAACTATGTATAGACTGAGATTTCAGTGTCTTTCTTGGTTTTTTAAGCAAGTTTATCTATGGGCTAAAAAATACCCTATCATCCAGTAAAAAGGTTACAATTCAAACCTCAACAAGTGTTTTCCAACCGGACCTTAACTGTGGCCTGGCCAGAAAGTGTTAGTAATAAAGCACTCAAAGTCAAACCTACTGCATTGCTTGTCCAAGAACAGACTAAACTGCGTATCAAGAAAATTTCCTTTAATACTATCCATTTGTCAAAACAAAGGTTACAGGCCAGGCACAGTGGCTCACACTTATAATCACAGCACTTTGGGAGATTGAGGCAGGAGGATCACTTGAATCCAAGAGTTTGAGACCAGCCTGGTTAACATAGTAAGACCTCATCTCTACTAATAATTTTTTTTTTTTTTTTTGAGATGGAGTCTCGTTCTGCCACCCAGGCTGGAGTGCAGTGGTGCGATCTCGGCTCACTGCAAGCTCCGCCTCCCGGGTTCACGCCATTCTCCTGCCTCAGCCTCCCCAGTAGCTGGGACTACAGGTGCCCACCACCAAGCCCGGTTAATTTTTTTTTTGTATTTTAGTAGAGACGGGGTTTCACCGTGTTAGCCAGGATGGTCGCGATCTCCTGACCTCATGATCCGCCTGCCTCGGCCTCCCAAAGTGCTGGGATTACAGGTGTGAGCCACTGCACCCGGCCTCTACTAAGAATTTTTTTTAAATTAGCCAGGCTTGGTGGCTAATGTCCCAGCTATGTGGGAGACTGAGGTAGGAGGATTGCTTAAGACCACGAGTTTATGGGTGCAGTGAGCTATGATCATTCCACTGAACTCTAACCTGAATAACAGAGCGAGACCCTGTTCCCCCAACCCCCAAAAAAGAGGTTACACAAATATGCTTGGGTATGCCATAGATACACTTACCCTCTATTGTAGCTTTAGTATCATTCTAAAATTATTTTTAAATGTCCATTTTGAAAGGTAATCCATGGAGTAAGGAGTCAACCTGAAAAGGTACATACTCTGATTCCAATTTTATGACATTCTGAAAAAGGCAAAAGTATAGAAACAGTAAAAAGATAGTGGTTTCTAGCAAGGAAGCCCTGGGAGGCATAAGAAAAAAAAATTTTTAATTAAAAAATGAAAAAAGATAGTGGTTTCCAGGGGTGAGGGAGGAGGGGAGATAAGGACACACAGGTAGAACACATAGGATTGTACAGCAATGAAACGATTCTGTATGATAGTTTAATAAATACATGTCAGTATACATTTGTCAAAACCCATAAAATGTACAACACTAAGAGTGAACTCCAATATAAACCATGGACTTGGAGTGATAAGGATGTGTCAATGTAGGCTCATGAATTATAGGAAGTGTACCACTCTGGGATGGGACATTGATAATGGGGAAGGTTGGGCATAAGGTTGGTGAAGAGGTATATAGAAACCCTCTGTACTTTCTATTCAATATTGCTGTGAACCTGAAACTGCTTTAAAAGACAAAGCCTATTTTTAAAATAACTTTTTTAAATGTAACCCAATAATAATATTGGCCAAAGCTGCACAACTAGGTTTACTTTCCTCTGGGCAGTGACAAACAGAAGCAGACAAGGTAAGTTTTCCACAAGGCCTTTTGCTAATAGAGAAGCAGTATGTGGACCAATATGTTGAGGCTCACATTCCTCAAATGATATGCTCTTTCATCTTCTCTTTTCTCCTATCATTTGCCTCCCCCACTGTGGACACATGAAACAGATACCTAATCTTTTCCCCTCTCTGCCACCATGAATAAAAAGATTCAAGCTGAACACAATAGTTGGCAAAGTCTAGAAGATGCTGGCATTATTAAAACTGTCTCTGCAAAGGCAATGCCCAAAGGAACCCCATTCTCCCAGGCCTAATCCAAAGGCAAAGTTGTTTTAACAGATTAGAAAAGAAAGTTGAAGGAGCAGAGTCACAACAGAACCTAGGTCCCTGAGTGCCAGTTTCGGGCTCTCTGCAGCAGCTCTGCCATGGTTGATTAGCAGGAGTTGGAGTCCCCTGAGAGCCAATTAGAGGAGGAAGTCAGGGTGGGGGAGGGAGGAGTGATTCCATCAACTCCCCATTAAAAGTGAGTGGATCCCACAGCACAGAGAGACAGTGACTCAAACTGTTGCATCAGCCAAAGTTCCAATACTAACTCCCTAAACGTGAGGAAGGGCAAAGGGAAGGAGGGAGGGAGGAAAGTGAGGTGTCTCACACTCTGGCAAGCTTCCACTTCCTATCTCAAGCGAATAGATCTCCTCATTAGCCATGAAGAAAACCCCAACACACTATGAGAGGAATTAGCCAGGGGGCTGCTGACACACAGCCAGGCTGCCAATTCAGAATCACTCTTGTCAAGTCAGATCCCATGTGACTCATTGTCTTTTGTGTAGAAAAGTAAAACTTTCATGACTACCCTCCCTCCATCTCAAACTTATAAAATAACTGATGATTTTCCAAACATGTTCACAAACACTACTTGATTGATTTCTACAAAATCACTGAGTTTTTCCAGGTTTGTGTAAGTATTTTCATCTAGGAATTTAAAGAAGTTAATAATGAAGTTCAAGAGATTTTCCTAAAATCACACAGGCAGTGTTATTTGTGTATTTTTAAGCAATATACCACTATGCTTATATAGATAGAATATCTCCGGAAGAAAACAATAAAATGGAGTCGTTACTCCAGTAAGGGAAGTAGAGGTCAGGCGTGAAAATGAAGTTTTTTCTCTGTATAGTTTTTAATAACTTTTCAATTTTACACCATTGTATATATAACTTCCTGAAATAAATGAAAAAGAAAGTTACAATTAGGGAGCAGAAAACTATAATCCAATTCTCTTTCCCGCTGTACAGCACCATCTCCTATGGGGGGGGCGGGTAAGGAGTAAGAACAGTTTTCCTTTTCCTGTATCTTCCCACATATGCCCTATTCCATCACCTCCCTATCCACTTATAGATGCAAAATTTTCTGTGAGCACTTTCCCATTGTTGCCTGCTCTATGCAAACCTGCCAGGAGCTGAGAGTGTGCTGAGAAAACCAACCAAGTCCTAGGAAAATTTAAAATGTGACTCTGATTTATACAGAGACTAATTCTAACAACATAATTTTCATTTGAAATTAAAAATAGCATTTTTGTCCAAATGTCTTCTGAGAATAGATAAACTAACACTTCAGCATAAAAGATCAAGATTAGAAAGAATGAAGGCAGTAAACTTGCCAGTAACAGGCACTGTGCTTCCCCAGTACTCAACAGGCTGATGGGTCACTGACAGACGAGGAGGAACAACCTGTCCTAGATATCATTAAAGGAGATTCTTGGCTTGATGGAGAGACAGGCTCCCACAAAAAGAAAAATGAGAGGATGTTATGGTCATGTATTACTAATAGTTTAGAGGAGAAAATTTGAAAATGTAAATGAAATGGATAAATTACTATAAAAATACAAAATATTAAAACTGACTCAAGAGAAAAATTGAATGATTCAAACCAATAAACATCAAAGAATTTAAATCAGTAGTTAACCTTTCTATTAACAAAATGTGCAGTACTGATGACTTTACAGGTAAATTCTACCAAAAAAAAAGAGAAGACAATTTCATATAAACTCTTCAAATAATCACACAGAGGAAACACTCTTTACTCATTGTATGAGGCAAGCTTACATTTGATACCAAAACCAAACTAGAATACACTAAGCAATAAAAACTAAACTAAAATCACTTGTCACCCACACACACATAAACCTAGTTAAATGAATACAGCAGTGTATAAGAATATATATAACCTAGGCCGGGTGCAGTGGCTCACGCCTGTAATTCCAGCACTTTGGGCAGCTGAGGAAGGTGAATCACTTGAGGTCAAGAGTTCAAGACCAGCCTGGGGCAACATGGCGTGAAACCCCATCTCTAGAAGAAACAAATAGATGCCATAAAAAATGATAAAGGGGATATCACCACCGATCCCACAGAAATACAAACTACCATCAGAGATTACTACAAACACTTCTACGCAAATAAACTAGAAAATCTAGAAGAAATGGATAAATTCCTCGACACATACACTCTCCCAAGACTAAACCAGGAAGAAGTCGAATCTCTGAATAGACCAATAAAAGGAGCTGAAATTGTGGCAATAATTAATAGTTTAACAACCAAAAAGAGTCCAGGACCAGATGGATTCACAGCCAAATTCTACCAGAGGTACAAGGAGGAACTGGTACAATTCCTTCTGAAACTATTCCAATCAACAGAAAAAGAGTGAATCCTCCCTAACTCATTTTATGAGGCCAGCATCATCCTGATACCAAAGCCGGGCAGAGACACAATCAAAAAAGAGAATTTTAGACCAATATCCTTGATGAACATTGATGCAAAAATCCTCAATAAAATACTGGCAAACCGAATCCAGGAGCACATCAAAAAGCTTATCCACCATGATCAAGTGGGCTTCATCCCTGGGATGCAAGGCTGGTTCAATATACACAAATCAATAAATGTAATCCAGCATATAAACAGAGCCAAAGACAAAAACCACATGATTATCTCAATAGATGCAGAAAAGGCCTTTGACAAAATTCAACAACCCTTCATGCTAAAAACTCTCAATAAATTAGGTATTGATGGGACGTATCTCAAAATAATCAGAGCTATCTATGACAAACCCACAGCCAATATCATACTGAATGGGCAAAAACTGGAAGCATTCCCTTTGAAAACTGGCACAAGACAGGGATGCCCTCTCTCACCACTCCTATTCAACATAGTGTTGGAAGTTCTGGCCAGGGAATTCAGGCAGGAGAAGGAAATAAAGGGTATTCAATTAGGAAAAGAGGAAGTCAAATTGTCCCTGTTTGCAGATGACATGATTGTTTATCTAGAAAACCCCATTGTCTCAGCCCAAAATCTCCTTAAGCTGATAAGCAACTTCAGCAAAGTCTCAGGATACAAAATCAACGTACAAAAATCACAAGCATTCTTATACACCAATAACAGACAAACAGAGAGCCAAATCAGGAGTGAACTCCCATTCACAATTGCTTCAAAGAGAATAAAATACCTAGGAATCCAACTTACAAGGGATGTGAAGGACCTCTTCAAGGAGAACAACAAACCACTGCTCAATGAAACAAAAGAGGATAGAAACAAATGGAAGAACATTCCATGCTGATGGGTAGGAAGAATTAATATCGTGAAAATGGCCATACTACCCAAGGTAATTTATAGATTCAATGACATCCCCATCAAGCTACCAATGACTTTCTTCACAGAATTGGAAAAAACTACTTTAAAGTTCACGTGGAACCAAAAAAGAGCCTGCATTGCCAAGTCAATCCTAAGCCAAAAGAACAAAGCTTGGAGGCATCATGCTACCTGACTTCAAACTATACTACAAGGCTACAGTAACCAAAACAGCATGGTACTGGTACCAAAACAGAGATATAGATCAATGGAACAGAACAGAGCCCTCAGAAATAATGCTGTATATCTACAACTATCTGATCTTTGACAAACCTGTGAAAAACAAGCAATGGGGAAAGGATTCCCTATTTAATAAATGGTGCTGGGAAACATGGCTAGCCATATGTAGAAAGCTGAAACTGGATCCCTTCCTTACATCTTATACAAAAATCAATTCGAGATGGATTAAAGACTTAAACGTTAGACCTAAAACCATAAAAACCCTAGAAGAAAACCTAGGCATTACCATTCAGGACATAGGCATGGGCAAGGACTTCATGTCTAAAACACAAAAAGCAATGGCAACAAAAGACAAAATTGACAAATGGGATCTCATTAAACTAAAGAGCTTCTGCACAGCAAAAGAAACTACCATCAGAGTGAACAGGCAACCCACAAAATGGGAGAAAATCTTCGCAACCTACTAATCTGACAAAGGGCTAATATCCAGAATCTACAATGAACTCAAACAAATTTACAAGAAAAAAACAAACAACCCCATCAAAAAGTGGGTGAAGGACATGAACAGACACTTCTCAAAAGAAGACATTTATGCAGCCAAAAAACACATGAAAAAATGCTCATCATCACTGGCCATCAGAGAAATGCAAATCAAAACCACAATGAGATACCATCTCACACCAGTTAGAATGGCAATCATTAAAAAGTCAGGAAACAACAGGTGCTGGAGAGGATGTGGAGAAATAGGAACACTTTTACACTGTTGGTGGGACTGTAAACTAGTTCAACCATTGTGGAAGTCAGTGTGGCAATTCCTCAGGGATCTAGAACTAGAAATACCATTTGACCCAGCCATCCCATTACTGGGTATATACCCAAAGGACTATAAATCATGCTGCTATAAAGACACGTGCACACATACGTTTATTGCGGCACTATTCACAATAGCAAAGACTTGGAACCAACCCAAATGTCCAACAATGATAGACTGGATTAAGAAAATGTGGTACATATACACCATGGAATACTATGCAGCCATAAAAAATGATGAGTTCATGTCCTTTGTAGGGACATGGATGAAATTGGGAATCATCATTCTCAGTAAACTATCGCAATAACAAAAAACCAAACACCACATATTCTCACTCATAGGTGGGAATTGAACAATGGGAACACATGGACACAGGAAGGGAACATCACACTCTGGGGACTGTTGTGGGGTGTGGGGGGGAGGGACAGCATTGGGAGATATACCTAATGCTAGTTGACGGGTTGGTGGGTGCAGCACACCGGCATAGCACATGTATACATATGTAACTAACCTGCACATCGTGCACATGTACCCTAAAACTTAAAGTATAATAATAAATAAATAAATAAATTAGCCAGGCATGGTGGTGCATGCCTGTAATCCCAGCTACTTGGGAGGCCGAGGCAAGAAAATCACTTGAATCTACGAGGTGGAGGTTGCAGTGAGCCAAAATTGTGCCACTGCATTCCAGCCTGCAACAGAGATCCTGTCTCAGAAAGAAAAAGAATACGTATATCTTGACCAAGTAAGGTTTGTACCAATAACACAAATTTGATTCATTGATTGAAAGTTGAGTACTCTTATTCACTGCATTGACAGGTTAAGGAACAGAAAACAATCATTTGCCATGTCAATAAATACAGAAAAAGCATTAGATAGAAAAAGATAAATTAGGTAAAATTTAAAATTTTTGCTAAAAGCTCATAACAAACTTAGTGTCTAAGAGCAATTGTATATAAAGCCACATAACAAACATCTTAATTTGACAAGAAAATGTTGAAAGTATTTTCCTTAAGGACAGAAACAAGACAAAGACGCTTGCTATCACCATTTCTATTCAGCATACTAGAGGTCCTAACTAGTACAGGGGAAAAAAACTAAACAAAAGCTAAAAGGATTGCAGAAGACCCCAAGTGGTCATTATTTATATACAGAAAACCCAAAGGAATCATCAAATTATTAGAATGAAAGAGTTCTAAAAAGGCTATAGCTGCAAAAACTAAATAAAATACTAATTGTATTTCTATTCTGAAGCACAGTTAGAAAATTTAATTCTTAAAAATGATACTACTTACGATAGCAGCATAAACTATAAAGTGGCCAGGAATAAATCCAATAAAAGCCATAAACAAACTTTCTGGAGAAAGTATACTATTATATCAAAAGACTAAACCAGAAAGAAATAGAAATCCTGAACATAACAATTTGAAAAAGTAGTAAAATTGAATCAGTAATAAAAAGCTTCCCAAGAACAACTAAAAATCCCAGAACTAGATGAACTCACAGCTGAATTCTATCTAATGCAGAAAGAATGACTGGTACCACTCCTACTGAAACTGCTCCAAAATATCAAGAAGGAGAAAATCTTCCCTAATTCATTCTATGGAGTCAGTATCCTCTTGATACTAAAGCCAGGTAAGGACACAACTAAAAAAGAAAACTACAGATCAATATCTCTGATGAATATAGATGCAAAAATCCTCAGCAAAATACTAGCAAACCAAATCCAACAGTACATCAAAAAGATGATACATTATGATCAACTGGGTTCTATTGCAGAGATGCAAGGATGGCTCAACATATGTAAATCAATAAATGTGATTCATCACATAGACAGAATTAAAAAACAAAAACCCTACGATCATCTCAACAAATGTGGAAAAGAATTTGATAAAATTCAGCCTCCCTTCATGATAAAAACCCTCAACACACTAGACAGAAGAAACATACCTCAAAATAATAAAGGACATTTTTGCCAATGTGGGGAAAAGAAAGAGAGATCAGATTGTTACTGTGTCTGTGTAGAAAGAAGTAGACATAGGAGACTCCATTTTGTTCTGTACTAAGAAAAATTCTTCAGCCTTGGGATGCTGTTAATCTATAACCTTACCCCCAACCCCGTGCTCTCTGAAACATGTGCTGTGTCCACTCAGGGTTAAATGGATTAAGGGCGGTGCAAGATGTGCTTTGTTAAACAGATGCTTGAAGGCAGCATGCTGGTTAAGAGTCATCACCACTCCCTAATCTCAAGTACCCAGGGACACAAACACTGTGGAAGGCCGCAGGGACCGCTGCCTAGGAAAGCCAGGTATTGTCCAAGGTTTCTCCCCATGTGACAGTCTGAAATATGGCCTCGTGTGAAGGGAAAGACCTGACCGACCCCCAGCCCGACACCCGTAAATGGTCTGTGCTGAGGAGGATTAGTATAAGAGGAAGGAATGCCTCTTTGCAGTTGAGACAAGAGGAAGGCATCTGTCTCCTGCCCCTCCCTGGGCAATGGAATGTCTCGGTATAAAACCCGATTGTATGTTCCATCTACTGAGATAGGGGGAAACTGCCTTAGGGATGGAGGTGGGACATGCAGCAGCAATACTGCTCTGTAAGGCATTGAGATGTTTATGTGTATGCATATCTAAAGCACAGCACTTAATTCTTTACCTTGTCTATGATGCAGAGACCTTTGTTCACGTGTTTATCTGCTGACCTTCTCTCCACTATTATCCTATGACCCTTGACAAATCCCCCTCTCCGAGAAACACCCAAGAATTATCAATAAATACTAAGGGAACTCAGAGGCTGGCGGGATCCTCCGTATGCTGAACGCTGGTCCCCTGGGTCTCCTTATTTCTTTCTCTATACTTTGTCTCTGTGTCTTTTTCTTTTCCAAGTCTCCCGTTCCACCTAATGAGAAACACCCACAGGTGTGGAGGGGCAACCCACCCCTTCATGCCAAACCACAGCCAGCATCATACTGAATGTGGAAAAGTTGAAAGCAATTCACCTAAGAACTTAAGTAAGACAAGGATGCCAACTTCCACCACTTTTATTTAACATAGTATTAGATGTCACAGCCAGAGCAACCAGGCAAAAGAACGAAATAAAAGGCATCTGTGTTAGGCTGTTCTTACATTGCTATAAAGAAATACCTGAGACTAGGTAATTTATAAACAAAAGAGGTTCACTTGGCTCAGAGTTCTGCAGAGTGTCCCAGCATGGCTCCAGCATCTGCTTCTGGCGAAAGCCTCAGAACCTTTACAATCATGGCAGAATGTAAAGCAGAAGCAGACATATTATTGGTGAGAGTGAGAGCAAGAAAGAAGGAGAAGTGTCACACTCTTTAAACAACCAGATTTCATGAGAACTCACTGTCTCAAGGAAAGCACCAAGTTATTCATGAAAGATCTGCACTCATGACCCAAACACTTCCCACCAGGCCCCACCTACAACATTGGCAATTAAATTTCAATATGAGATGTGATTGGGACAAATATGAAAGCTGTATCTTTCCACTCCGGCCCCTCAAATCTAATATCCTTCTCACATTGCAAAATATAATCATCTGCTCCCAATAGTGCCCAAAACTCTTAACTCATTCCAGCATCAAACCCAAAGTTCGAAATCTCAACTGAGACTCATCTCCTTCCACCTATGACCCTGTAAAATCAAAGCGGGTTATCTAATCCCAAGATACAATGGTAGTACAGGCATTGGGTAAACATTACCATTCCAAAAGGGAGAAATTGGCCAAAAGAAAGGGGTAATAGTTCCCAAACAAGTCTGAAACTCAGCAGAGGAGTCATCAACTCTTAAAGCTCCAAAATAATCTCCTTTGACTCCATGTCCCATATCCAGCCCATACTGATGCAAAAGATTGGCTCCCAAGGTCTTGGGCAGCTCTGCCCCTGTGGCTTTGCAAGGTACAGCCCTCACAGCTGCTCCCACAGGTTGCAGTTGAGTGTCTGTGGCTTTTCCAGAAGCAGGGTGCAAGCTGCTGATGGATCTATCATTTTGGTATCTGGTGGGCAGTGCCCTGGTAGCGACTCTGTGTAGGGGTTCCAACCCTACATTTACCCTCCTCACTACCCTAGTAGAGGTTCTCCATGAGGGCTCCACCTCTGCAGCAGGCTTCTGCCTAGGCACCCAGACTTTCTCATATATCCCCTGAAATCTAGGGGGAAGCTGCCAAGTCTCCTTCACTCTTGCAATCCATATGCTCACAGACTTAACAAAACATGGAGGCCACCAAGGCTTATGGCAGCTTGCACTCTCCAGAGCAACAGCATGAGCAGTACTTGGGGTCCTTTGAGCCAAGGCTGGAGCTGGAGCACCCAGGAAGCAGGGAGCACTGTCACAAAGCTGCACAGGGCAGCAGTACTCTGGGACTGGCCCACGAAACCATTCTTTCTTCCTAGGCCTCTGAACCTGTGGTAGGAGAGGCTGTCTCAGAGATTCCTGAAATGCCTTCAAGGTCTTTTTTCCCCATTGTTTTGGATATTAGCACTTGACTCCCTTTTATCTATGCTGATCTCTCTAGCAAGTGCTTGCTCCACAATCTGCTTGGATTCTTTCTCTGCCATATGTCCAGGCTGCAAAATTTTCAAACTTTCACACTCTGTTTCCCTTTTAAATATAAGTTCCAACTTTAAGTAATTTTGCTCCCACATCTGATCATAGGCTGTTAAAAGCAGCCAGGCCATATCTTAAACAATTGCTGCTTAGAAATGTCATTCACTTCATACCCTAAGTTATCACTCTTAACTTCAAACTTCCACAGATCCCTATGACATGAACATAATACAGCCAAGTTCTTTGCTAGGGTGTAACATGGGTGACCTCTACTCCAGTTCCCAATAAATTCCTTATTTCCATCTGAGACTGATATGGTTTGGCTGTCTTCACCCAAATCTCATCTTGAAGTGTAGTTCCCATAATCCCTACATATTGTGGGAGGGACCAGGTGGAGATAATTAAATCATGGGGGTGGTTTTCCCCATTCTGTTCTCATGATAGTAAGTTTTACAAGATCTGATGGTTTTAATAGGGGCTTCCCCCTTTGCTGGATTCTCATTCTCCTTCCTGCTGCCATGTGAAGAAGGACATGTTTTCTTCCCCTTCTGCCATAATTGTAAGTTTCCTGAGGCTTCCCTAGCCATACAGAACTGTGAGTCAATTAAACCTCCTTCCTTTATAGATTATCCAGTCTCAGATATGTCTTTATTAGCAGCATGAAAACAGACTAATACAGTAAATTGGTACCTGAGAGTGGGGCACTACTGTAAAGATATCCAAAAATGTGGAAGCGAGTTTGGAACTGGGTAACAGGCAGAAGTTGGGACAGTGTGGAGGGTTCAGAAGAAGACAGGAAGATGTGGGAAAGTTTGGAATTGCCTGGAGGCTTGTTGAATGGCTTTGATCAAAATGCTATAGTGATATGGACAATGAAGTCCAGGCTGAAGTGGTCTCAGAAAGAGATGAGGAATTTGTTGGGAACTGGAGTAAAAGTGACTCTTGCTATGTTTTAGCAAAGAGACTGGCAGCATTTTGCCCCTGCCCTAGAGATCTGTGGAACTTTGAACTTGAGAGAGATGATTTAGGGCATCTGGTGGAAGGAATTTCCAAGAAGCAAAGCATTCAAAAGGTAACTCGGGTGCTGTTAAAAGCATTCAGTTTTATGTATTCATGAAGATATGGTTTGGAATTGGAACTTACGTTTAAAAGGGAAGCAGAGCATAAAAGTTCAGAAAATTTGCAGCCTGACAATGCAATAAAAAAGAAAAACCCACTTTCTGAGGAGAAATTCAAGCTGGCTACAGAAATATGCATAAGTAACGAGGAGCCAAATGTTAATCACCAAGGAAACGGGGAAAATGTCTCCAGGGCATGTAAGAGGTCTTCACTGCAGGCTCTCCCATCACAGGCTCAGAGGACTAGAAGAAAAAAACGGTTTTGTGGGCCAGGCCTAGGGCCTTGATGCTATGTGCAGTCTAGGGACTTGGTGCCGTGTGTCTTGGCCATGGCTACACGGGGCTAATGTGGAGCTCAGGCCATTGCTTCAGAGGGTGCAAGCCCCAAGTCTTGGTGGCATACATATGGTGTTGGGCCTGGGGGTGCACAGAAGTCAAGAATTGAGGTTTGGGAACCTCCACCTAGATTTCAGAAGATGTATGGAAATGCCTGGATGTCCAGGTAGAAGTTTGCTGCAGGGGTGGAGTTCTCAGGGAAAACCTTTGCTAGGGCAGTGCAGAAGGGAAATGTGGGGCCAGAGACCCCACACAGGGTCCCCCCAGGACACTCCCTAATGAAGCTGTGTGGAGAGGGCCACAGTCCTCCAGATCCCAGAATGGCAGATCCACCAGCAGCTTGCACACTCAATGCCAGCCCATGAAAGCAGCCAGGAGGGGGGCTTTACCCTGCAAAACCACAGGGGCAGACCTTCCCAAGGCTGTGGGAGCCCACCTCTTGCATCACCCTGACCTGAATATGAGACATGAAGTCAAAGGAGATTATTTTGGAACTTTAAGGTTTAATGACTGCCCTATTGGATTTCAGACTTGCATGGGGCCTGTAACCCCTTTGTTTTGGCCAACTTCTCCCACTTGGAATGGGTGTATTTACTCAATGCCTGTACCCACATTCTATCTAGGAAGTAACTAACTTCCTTTTGATTTTACAGGCTCATAGGCAAAAGGGACTTACTCGTGTTGTCTCAGATGACACTTTGGACTCGGACTTTTGAGTTAACTCTGAAATGGGTTAAGACTTTGGGGGACTATTGGAAGGGCATGATTCGGTTTTGAAATGTGAGGACATGAGATTTAGGAGGGGTGAGGGGTGGAATGATACAGTTTGGCTATGTCCTCACCTAACTCTCATCTTGAATTTTAGTTCCCACGTGTCATGGGAGGAACCTGGAGATAATTGAATCATGGGGGCAGTTTCCCCCATCCTGTTCTCATAATAGTGAGTTAGTGCTCACAAGGTCTCATGGTTGTATAAGGAGCTTCCCCCTTTGCTGAATTCTCATTCTCCTTCCTGCCACCATGTGATGAAGGACGTGTTTGCTTCCCCTTCCACCATGATTGTAAGTTTCGGAGGCCTCCCCAGCCATGCTGAATGGTGAGTCAATTAAACCTCTTTTTTTTACAAATTACCCAGTCTTGGGTACCAGTATTTTGGTCACAACCATTGAACCAGTCTCTGAGAAGTTCCAAACTTTCCCTTATCTTCCTGTCTTCTGAGCCCTCTAAACTCTTCCAACCTCCGCCCATTACCCAGTTGAAAGTTGCTTCCACATTTTCAGGTATCTTTATAGCGATGCCCCACTCCTGATACCAGTTTTCTGTTAGGCCATTCTTGCATTGCTATAAATACCTGAAACTGGGTAATTTATAAAGAAAAGAGGTATAATTGGTTCAGAGTTCTGAAGGCTGTATCAGCATGGCTCCAGCACCTGCTTCTGGTGAAGTCTTCAGAAACCTTACAATCATGGCAGAAAGTGAAGTGGGAGCAGTCACATCACATGGCAAGAGCAGGAACAGAGAGTGGTGGGGAGGTGCCACACACTTTCAAACAGTCAGATTTCACAAGAACTCACTATCTCAAGGACAGCACCAAGCCATCCAGAAGGGATCCACCCCCATGACACAAGCACCTCCCACCAGGCCCCACCTCTATCATTGAGGATTACATTTCAATATGAGACTTGGAAGGAACAAACATCCAAACTATATCAGCATCCAAATTGGAAAACAAGAAGTCAAACTATTGGGTTGGTGCAAAAGTAATTGCAATTTTTGCCATTTGCCACAATTACTTTTGCACCAACACAATATCTCTGTTCACTGATGATATAATCTTATACCTACAAAACCCTAAATACTTTTATTAAAAAACTCTTAGATTTGATGAACAAATACAGCAAAGTTTCAGGATACAAAATCAATATACAAAAATCAGTACCATTTTTATAACCAAGAGCAAGCTGAGAACCAAACTAAAAAAGCAATCCCATTTACAATAGCTACAAAGAAATAAAATATCTGGGAATATATTTAACCAAGGAGGAGAAAGATCTTTACTACAAAACACTGATGAAAGAAACTGTAGATGACACAAACAAATGGGAAAATATCCCACGCTCAGGGAGAAGAATGAATAACATCAGAATGACCACACTACCCAAAGCAATGTACAGATTCAATGCAATTCCTATCAAATTACCAATGTCATTTTCACAGAATTAGAAAAAGCAATCCTAAAATTCATATAGAACCAAAAAAAAGAGCTTGAATAGCCAAAGCAACCCTAAGCAAAAAGAACAAAGCAGGAGGCATTGCATTACCTGACCTCAAATTATATTATAAAGCTATAGTAACCAAAACAGCATGGTACTAGTATGAAAATAGACACATAGATCAATGAAATAGAAAAAGAGAACCTAGAAATAAACCCACATATCTACAGCCAGCTGATCTTTGACAAAGTTGACAAATATATACATGGGGAAAAAAATGACACCCTTTTTAATAAATAGTACTGGCAAAATTGGATTGCCATATGCAGAGAATGAAACTGGATCCCTATCTCTCACTATATACAAAAATCAACTCAGGATGAACTGAAGACTTAAATGTAAGATCTGAAACTCTAAAAATGCTAGAAGGAAATCCATGGAAAACTATTCTGGACATTGGTCTAAAGAATTCATAACCAAGACCTCAAAAGCACAAGCAACAAAAACAAAAATAGACAAATGGGACTTAATTAAACTCAAAAGCTCCTGCACAGCAAAAGAAACAATCAACAGAGTGAACAAACAACCTGCAGAATGGGGGAAATTATTTGTAAACTATGATCCAACAGGGGACCAATATCCAGAATTTACAAGAAACTCAAACAACTCAATAACAACAGAAATCAAAAATACAATTAAAAACGGGCAAAGGAAATGAGTGGACATTTTTCAGAAAAGACATACAAACGGCCAACAAGCATATGAAAAAATGGCCAACTTCACAAATTATCAGAGAAATGCAATTTAAAACCATAATGGGATATCATCTTATATCAGTCAGAATGGCTATTATTAAAAAATAAATAAATAACATGTTGGAGAAAGTACGGAGAAAAGACAACTCCTACATACTGTTGGTGGGAATGGAAATTACTACAACCTCTATGGAAAACAATATAGAGATTTCTCAAGGAAATAAAAATAGACCTACCATTCAACACAGCAATCCCACTACTGGGTATCTACCCAAAGGAAAAGAAATCATGATATCAAAAAGACACCTGCACTCATGTCTCTCATAGCACTATTTACAACAGCAAAGTCATGAAATCAACCTAAATATCTATCAATGGATGACTAGATAAAGAAAATATGGAGTGTGTGTTTGTGTACCTATGCATATATGTGTGTGTGTATATATATATATGCATATGCATATGCATATATGTGTATATATATATATACATATATATACATATATATATGTATGTGTGTATATATATATATATATATATATATATATATATATATATATACACACACACACACACACACACACACAATTTAATACCGTTTGGCCATAAAAAAAGAATGAAATCATATATTTTGCAGCAACATAGATGGAACTGGAGACCATTATCCTAAATGAAACAACTCAGAAAGTAAAATACAGCTTGTTCTCACTATATGAGTTAAATAATGTGTACACACATGGATACAGAGTGTGGAGTAATAGTCACTGGAGACTTGGAGGGGTGGGAAGGTAGGAGGTGGGTGAAGAATGAGAAATTACTTAATGGGTACAATGTACACTATTTGTGTGATGTTTACACTAAAAGTCCAGGCTTCACTGCTAAGCAATATATCCATGTAACAAAACTGCACTTGTACTCCTCACATTTATACAAATGTTAAAAATAGGAAACAAAAGCAAACTGGGTGGAGAAAAAAATGCAGATCATTCCATTGTATTTAGCAAAATCAAAGAATTCAAACACATTTAACAATATCCAACTTCATTTTGACAATCAAAAATATGCAATGTTTTCATAGCTTGTTAGTTCTGCTAAGAAAATACCTGATAGTGGATAATTTATAAAAAAACGAATTTATTTCTGACAGTTCTGCAGGCTGAGAAGTCCAAGATGAAGGTGCCAGATTCAGTGTCTGCTGTCTTGCTGCATTCTCACTTGGCAGAAGGCAGAAGGGCAAAAAAGGTATGAACCTGCTCTCTCACGCCATTTTAAAAGGACACTACTCTCGTCCCTGACAGCTGTCTTCATGACTTAATCACCTCCTGAAAGTCCCACCTCTTATCACATGGGTAATTAAGTTTTAACATATGAAATTCGGTGGATACATTTGGACCATAGCAAATGCGAATTAATCATTTTTAATTTTTAAAATAATTTGAAATAATTTCTAATGTATGGATATTTATCATTTGCCCAGATTCCTCAGCTGTTAAACTCTTTACCTCATTTGCTTTATAACTTTTTTTGCTTTATATATTATTGCATTTTATTCATTTCTTTCTGAAACATGAAAGGGGCAGGCATGGTGTCCACCCCTAAATTTGCCATTGTGGTTTTCCCCAAGGCAAAATTTTCTCTACATAATCATGCTACCACTTAAGGCAAAAACCAATGGCAAAACATGACTGCCCAAGCCACAGATGCCCTTCAGATGTTCACTCCCATGTGACAGTGTCTTGTTTTCCTTTCTGCTACAGGATCCGCACCCTGGAACATGTGTTGCATTCGGGAGTCATACCATTTTCTTCTTCTCCAGTCTCAAACTGTTCTTCATCATTCCTTGTACTTCTCACCCTCAATATCCTACATGAAATTGAATGATCCTCTACTGGGTCTTTCTGATGATTCTTCATGACCAGATTCAGTGATGTTCCCTTAGCGGGAAGAATACAGAAATTGTGCTGTGCCCTTAGTGCCTCCCACCAGGGATCACATTTGCTATCCCTCCCACCCTGGTGACGTAACCATTAATGACCTGGTCTGGTTGGCATCTGCCATCCCTATGCAGCTTTAATTTACACTTTTTACTTTATATTGAATAAGAGATATTCAAGGCAATGTCAGTAAACTGTTCCTCATCACATCTCCACTAACCAGCTTTTTTGTATAACTCCTATCTGAACCATCTAATACTATGATGATTGCCTAATGGCAGCTCTAGACATCCTGTAGTTGACGTCTACTCTAAGGAGTATTCCCTTCTCCTTCACTTTTCTATTTTTTTATTTATCTTCATATCAAAAATACTCTTCACTTATTATATTATCCAATGGGCTCCATTTTGTTACAATCACTTATTTTCATGCTTATGTGCCAGATTTGGCCAGTGGGAGACTTCTAAAGCTCATATTTTTACACAAGAGGTTCTAGGCTCAGACAATTCCAGATGTCATACTGATATTGTCAATTTCATCAAGAAATATGATTCCCTGTCATGGAGCATGTTATGCAGACACCAAGAGTGTTCATACTTATTTATACCTTATGTGTTTCAAAATCCAATCTCATAACCACATCTCTGATGTTCCCTGTCTCTATCTTACTTTCTCCTAATACCTCCATGTCCTCAGATGCTAGCTGGCTGGCTAGCTGCCAACGTGCCTCCATGTGACTACCTCCCCACTTCCTGTTTGAATCCTTGGGAGCTGGCTAATACACCACTAACACACATCTTCTCTGCTCACCTTTTCCCTCACTGCATTGCCTTCTAGGTTGTTCTAACCCTACTACTAAGGTAACCCAGCAACCAAGGCCAACCTCTGTGGCCAAAAGCAGAGGGAAGGAAATAACAGACAGGAAGAGAGAAAAGAAAGAGCAAGGGAAAGATACACATTTTCACTGGAAACAAAATTCTGAGCTGACCATTTTTTTCTTTCCTAATGGTACCCTAAGATTGTACAGCTCAAGGAGCAGAGCCAGGATTTTAAAAATGGGTGAGTCTGATTGCAGTTAGTAAATGTAGAAATTAGAATGAAATTAGAATATCACCATTTGGCAACTACTACAGAAATAGTAAAATTACGTAGTCACAAAAAAAAGAGACAATGAAGAAGACTGACTTACATAAAGAAAATGGTAAGACTCAACATTATGAAGGATGCCTATTCTTCCTAAACTTATCTGTAAATTCAATGCAGTCCCAACTAAAGTCCCTGGAATTTTTCATGAAAAGTTACAAGCTGATTTTAAAGTGTAAATGGAACACTTGTGAAGAACAACATAAAATAACTTGTCTGATTAGATAATTTTTTTTTTTTTTTTTTGAGCCGGAGTTTCACTCTTTGTTGCCTAGGCTGGAGTACAATGGCACAATCTCAGCTCACCACAACCTCCGCCTCCTGGGTCCAACGGATTCTCCTACCTCAGCCTCCTGAGTAGCTGGGATTACAGGCGTGCGCCACCACGCCTAATTTTGTATTTTTAGTAGAGACGGGGTTTCTCCATGTTGGTCAGGCTGGTCTCGAACTTCCGACCTCAGGTGATCCACCCACCTCGGCCTCCCAAAGATACTGACTTTTTATAAAACTATAAGGCAATATAGTACTGGCATAAAAATAAACAGAGCAGAACAGATCAGAATAGAGGACCAGGCGTGGTGGCTCATGCTTGTAATCCCAACACTGTGGGAGGCCAAGTCGGGAGGATCACTTGAGCTCAGGAGTTCCAGACCAGCCTGAGCAACATGGCGAGACCCTATCTCTACAAAAAATATATTTTAAAAAAATTAGCCAGGGATAGTGGCACACACCTGTAGTCCCAACAACTTGGGAGGCTGAGGTGAGAGGATTGCTTGATCCTGGGAGGTCGAGGCTGCAGTGAGCTATGATTGCGCTACTGCACTCCAGCCTGGGTGACAGAGTGAGACTCTGTCTCAAAAAAAAAAAAAAAAAAAGAATAGAGAACTCAAGAACAGAGATACATATGAAAAGTTGATTAAGACAGTCTGGGCTTTAAAGATCAGTGTGGGTGGATGGATGGATGGATGGATGGATGGATGGACAGAAAGATAGGGAAGAGAGAGAGAGAGATGGAAAGTCAGTGTAAGACAGACTGGGCGGGGTGGAGCAAAGATGGCCGAATAGGAACAGCTCCAGTCTATAGCTCCCAGCGTGAGCGACGCAGAAGATGGGTGATTTCTGCATTTCCAATTGAGGTACTGGGTTCATCTCACTGGGAGTGCTGGACAGTGGGTGCAGGACAGTGGGTGCAGCACACCGTGCATGAGCCGAAGCAGGGCGAGGCATCGCCTCACCCAGGAAGTGCAAAGGGTCAGGGAATTCCCTTTTCTAGTCAAAGAAAGGGGTGACAGATGGCACCAGGAAAATCGGGTTGCTCCCACTCTAATACTGCACTTTTCCAATGGGCTTATCAAACGGCACACCAGGAGATTATATCTCGCACCGGGCTTGGAGAGTCCTATGCCCACGGAGCCTCACTCATTGCTAGCACAGAAGTCTGAGATCAAACTGCAAGGCGGCAGCCAGGCTGGGGGAGGGGCGCCTGCCATTTGCTCAGGCTTGACTAGGTAAACAAAGTGGCCAGGAAGCTCAAACTGGGTGGAGCCCACCACAGCTCAAGGAGGCCTGCCTGCCTCTGTAGGCTCCACCTCTGGGGGCAGGGCACAGACAAACAAAAGACAGCAATAACCTCTGCAGACTTAAATGTCCCTGTCTGACAGCTTTGAAGAGAGTAGTGGTTCTCCCAGCACGCAGCTTGAGATCTGAGAACGGGCAGACTGCCTCCTCAAGTCTGTCCCTGACCCCCGAGTAGCCTAACTGGGAGGCACCCCCCAGTAGGGGCGGACTGACACGTCACACGGCCGGGTACTCCTCTGAGACAAAACTTCCAGAATAACGATCAGGCAGTAGCATTTGCGGTTCAACAATATCCGCTGTTCTGCAGCCACTGCTGCTGATACCCAGGCAAACAGGGTCTGGAGTGGACCTCCAGTAAACTCCAACAGACCTGCAGCTGAGGGTCCTGACTGTTAGAAGGAAAACTAACAAACAGAAAGGACATCCACACCAAAAACCCATCTGTATGTCACCATTATCAAAGACCAAAGGTAGATAAAACCACAAAGATGAGGAAAAAAACAGAGCAGAAAAACCGGAAACTCTAAAAATCAGAGCACCTCTCCTCCTCCAAAGGAACGCAGCTCCTTAACAGCAACGGAACAAAGCTGGATGGAGAATGACTTTGACGAGTTGAGAGAAGAAGGCTTCAGAAGATCAAACTACTCCAAGCTAAAGGAGGAAGTTCGAACCAATGACAAAGAAGTTAAAAACTTTGAAAAAAAAATTAGATGAATGGATAACTAGAATAACCAATGCAGAGAAGTCCTTAAAGGAGCTGATGGAGCTGAAAACCACAGCACAAGAACTACCTGACGAATGCGCAAGCCTCAGTAACCGATGCGATCAACTGGAAGAAAGGGTATCAGTGATGGAAGACGAAATGAATGAAATGAAGCATGAAAAGAAGTTTAGAGAAAAAATAATAAAAAGAAATAAACAAAGCCTCCAAGAAATATGGGACTATGTGAAAAGACCAAATCTACATCTGATTGGTGTACCTGAAAGTGATGGGGAGAACGGAACCAAGTTGGAAAACACTCTGCAGGATATTATCCAGGAGAACTTCCCCAATCTAGCAAGGAAGGCCAACATTCAAATTCAGGAAATACAGAGAACACCACAAAGATACTCCTCAAGAAGAGCAACTCCAAGACACATAATTCTCAGATTCACCAAAGTTGAAATGGAGGAAAAAATGTTAAGGGCAGCCAGAGAGAAAGACCGGGTTGCCCACAAAGGGAAGCCCATCAGACTAACCGCTGATCTCTCGGCAGAAATTCTACAAGCCAGAAGAGAGTGGGGGCCGATATTCAACATTCTTAAAGAAAAGAATTTTCAACCCACAATTTCATATCCAGCCAAACTAAGCTTCATAAGTGAAGGAGAAATAAAATACTTTACAGACAAGCAAATGCTAAGAGATTTTGTCACCACCAGGCCTGCCCTAAAAGAGCTCCTGAAGGAAGCACTAAACATGGAAAGGAACAACCAATACCAGCCACTGCAAAAACATGCCAAATTATAAAGACCATCAAGGCTAGGAAGAAACTACATCAACTAACGAGCAAAATAACCAGCTAACATCATAATGACAGGATCAAATTCACACATAACAATACTAACCTTAAATGTAAATGGGCTAAATGCTCCAATTAAAAGGCACAGACTGGCAAATTGGATAAAGGGTCAAGACCCATCAGTGTGCTGTATTCAGGAGACCCATCTCACATGCAGAGACACACATAGGCTCAAAATAAAGGGATGGAGGAAGATCTACCAAGCAAATGGAAAACAAAAAAAGGCAGGGGTTGCAATCCTAGTCTCTGATAAAACAGACTTTAAACTAACAAAGATCAAAAGAGACAAAGAAGGCCATTACATAATGGTAAAGGGATCAATTCAACAAGAAGAGCTAACTATCCTAAATATATATGCACCCAATTCAGGAGCACCAAGATTCATAAAGCAAGTCCTTAGTGACCTACAAAGAGACTTAGACTCCCACACATTAATAATGGGAGACTTTAACACCACACTGTCAACATTAGACAGATCAATGAGACAGTTAACAAGGATATTCAGGAATTGAACTCAGCTCTGCACCAAGCGGACCTAATAGACATCTACAGAACTCTCCACCCCAAATCAACAGAATATACATTCTTTTCAGCACCACACCACACCTGTTCCAAAATTGGCCACATAGTTGGAAGTAAAGCTCTCCTCAGCAAATGTAAAAGAACAGAAATTATAACAAACTCTCTCTCAGACCACAGTGCAATCAAACTAGACCTCAGGATTCAGAAACTCACTCAAAACGGCTCAACTACATGGAAACTGAACAACCTGCTCCTGAATGACTACTGGGTACATAATGAAATGAAGGCAGAAATAAAGATGTTCTTTGAAACCAACAAGAACAAAGACACAACATACCAGAATCTCTGGGACACATTCAAAGCAGTGTGTAGAGGGAAATTTATAGCACTAAATGCCCATGAGAGAAAGCAGGAAAGATCTAAAATTGACACCCTAACATCACAATTAAAAGAACTAGAGAAGCAAGAGCAAACACATTCAACAGCTAGCAGAAGGCAAGAAATAACTAAGATCAGAGCAGAACTGAAGGAAATAGAGACACAAAAAACCCTTCCAAAAACCAATGAATCCAGGAGCTGGTTTTTTGAAAAGATCAACAAAATTGATAGACCGCTAGCAAGACTAATAAAGCAGAAAAGAGAGAAGAATCAAATAGATGCAATAAAAAATGACAAAGGGGATATCACCACTGATCCCACAGAAATACAAACTACCATCAGAGAATACTATAAACATCTCTACACAAATAAACTAGAACATCTAGAAGAAACGGATAAATTCCTCAACACATACACTCTCCCAAGACTAAACCCAGAAGAAGTTGAATCTCTGAATAGACCAACAACAGGCTCTGAAATTGTGGCAATAATCAATAGCTTAACAACCAAAAAAAGTCCAGGACCAGATGGATTCACAGCTGAATTCTACCAGAGGTACAAGGAGGAGTTGGTACCATTCCTTCTGAAACTATTCCAATCAATAGAAAAAGAGGGAATCCTCCCTAACTCATTTTATGAGGCCAGCATCACCCTGATACCAAAGTCTGGCAGAGACACAACAAAAAAAAGAGAATTTTAGACCAATATCCTTGATGAACATTGATGCAAAAATCCTCAATAAAATACTGGCAAACTGAATCCAGCAACACAACAAAAAGTTTATCCACCATGATCAAGTGGGCTTCATCCCTGGGATGCAAGGCTGGTTCAACACACACAAATCAAAAAATGTAATCCAGCATATAAACAGAACCAAAGACAAAAACCACATGATTATCTCAATAGATGCAGAAAAGGCCTTTGACAAAATTCAACAACCCTTCATGCTAAAAACTCTCAATAAATTAGGTGTTGATGGGACGTATCTCAAAATAATAAGAGCTATCTATGACAAACCCACAGCCAATATCATACTGAATGGACAAAAACTGGAAGCATTCCCTTTGAAAACTGGCACAAGACAGGGATGCCCTCTCTCACCACTCCTATTCAACATAGTGTTGGAAGTTCTGGCCAGGGCAATTAGGCAGGAGAAGGAAATAAAGGGCATTCAATTAGGAAAAGAGGAAGTCAAATTGTCCCTGTTTGCAGATGACATGATTGTGTATCTAGAAAACCCCACTGTCTCAGCCCAAAATCTCCTTAAGCTGATAAGCAACTTCAGCAAAGTCTCAGGATACAAAATCAATGTGCAAAAATCACAAGCATTCTTATACACCAATAACAAACAGAGAGCCAAATCATGAGTGAACTCCCATTCACAATTGCTTCAAAGAGAATAAAATACCTAGGAATCCAACTTACCAGGGATATGAAGGACCTCTTCAAGGAGAACTACAAACCACTGCTCAATGAAATAAAAGAGGATACAAACAAATAGAAGAACATTCCATGCTCATGGGTAGGAAGAATCAATATCGTGAAAATGGCCATACTGCTCAAGGTAATTTATAGATTCAATGACATCCCCATCAAGATACCAATGACTTTCTTCACGGAATTGGAAAAAACTACTTTAAAGTTCATATGGAACCAAAAAAGAGCCCGCATAGCCAAGTCAATCCTAAGCCAAAAGAACAAAGCTGGAGGCATCAAGCTACCTGACTTCAAACTATACTACAAGGCTACAGTAATCAAAACAGCATGGTACTGGTACCAAAACAGAGATATAGACCAATGGAACAGAACAGAGCCCTCAGAAATAATGCTGCATATCTGCAACTATCTGATCTTCGACAAACCTGACAAAAACAAGAAATGGGGAAACAATTCCCTATTTAATAAATGGTGCTGGGAAAACTGGCTAGCCATATGGAGAAAGCTGAAACTGGATCCCTTCCTTACACCTTATACAAAAATTAACTCAAGATGGATTAAAGACTTACATGTTAGAACTAAAACCATAAAAACCCTAGAAGAAAATCTAGGCAATACCATTCAGGACATAGGCATGGGCAAGGACTTCATGTCTAAAACACAAAAAGCAATGGCAACAAAAGACAAAATTGACAAATGGGATCTAATTAAACTCAAGAGCTTCTGCACAGCAAAAGAAACTACCATCAGAGTGATCAGGCAACCTACAGAATGGGAGAAAATTTTTGCAACCTACTAATCTGACAAAGGGCTAATATCCAGAATCTACAATGAACTCAAACAAATTTACAAGAAAAAAAAAAACAACCCCATCAAAAAGTGGGCAAAGGATATGAACAGACACTTCTCAAAGGAAGACATTTATGCAGCCAAAAAACACATGAAAAAATGCCCATCATCACTGGCCATCAGAGAATGCAAATCAAAACCACAATGAGATGCCATCTCACACCAGTTAGAATGGCGATCATTAAAAAGTCAGGAAACAACAGGTGCTGGAGAGGATGTGGAGAAATAGGAACATGTTTACACTGTTGGTGGGACTGTAAACTAGTTCAACCACTGTGGAAGTCAGTGTGGCGATTCCTCAGGGATCTAGAACTAGAAATACCATTTGACCCAGCCATCCCATTACTGGGTATATACCCAAAGGATTATAAATCATGCTGCTATAAAGACACATGCACACGTATGTTTATTGCAGCACTGTTCGCAATAGCAAAGACTTGGAACCAACCCAAATGTCCAACAATGATAGACTGGATTAAGAAAATGTGGCACATATACACCATGGAATACTATGCAGCCATAAAAATGATGAGTTCATGTCCTTTGTAGGGACATGGATGAAGCTGGAAACCATCATTCTCAGCAAACTATCGCAAGGACAAAAAAACCAAACACCACATTTTCTCACTCATAGGTGGGAATTGAACAATGAGAACGCATGGACACAGGAAGGGGAATACCACACTCGGGGAACTGTTGTGGGGTGGGGGGAGGGGGGAGGGATAGCATTAGGAGATATACCTAATGCTAAATGATGAGTTAATGGGTGCAGCACACCAACATGGCACATGTATACATATGTAACAAACCTGCACGTTGTGCACATGTACCCTAAAACTTAAAGTATAATAATAATAAAAAAAAGAGAGAGCATTAAGAAAATGAAAAAGCAAGCTGCGATTTGGATAAATATATTTGAAAAACATAATTTATAATGGATTAGTATCCAGAACATGTAAGGAATCAATAAGAAGACAACCCAATAAAAATTGGACAAAAGAAAACAGAGATTTCATAGAAAAAGAAACAGGAATGGACAAAGAAATGTAATTTATGCCTACTATGTGATATTTTATAATCATCTGGTTGGTAAAAATTAAAAAGCTAGACAATTTCAAAAAAAGAAAAAGACAGACTGGGCTTTAAAGATCAGTAGGGAAAGGATTGATTCTTTAATAAAAGGTGCTGGGCTATTTACTCATTATGAAAAAAATTATATCCGTACATAACATAAAATAAAGTCATACTGTAAGAAAAGGACAAAATAACTTCATAAAGCAGTAGAGGGAAAATGTCCTTATGACTTTAGGAGAGCTAAGAACCTCTTAAAACACAAAAAGCATTATCATAAAAGATGGATAAATTCAATGACATTGAAATTAAGAACTTCTGTTCAGCAAAAGACCCAATAGAATAAAAAAAAAAACAGGATAAAACTGTATGTAGACAAACGATTAGTACAGGGAATATATAAATCAATTTGACATCCAATACAGCAGTGTGCAAAGACTCGAATAGGCATTTTACCGAGAGAAAATATTAGTGGCTTCTAAATATATGAAAAGATGCTCAAGCTCATTAATAATCAGAAATGCAAATTAAGGCCACAAGGAAATAATACTCAAATCTCCTGTATTTGCAATACCTAAAAGATAATACCAAGCACAGAAGAGGATGGGGAGCATTGGGGTGACTCATCTATTGATAGTAGAGACATAAACTAATATAAGCACTTTGGAAATGTTTAGTGCTTCTCAAAAAAGTTGAACATGTATATACTCTATGATCCAGCAATTCCATTCTATGTCAATACTCTTAAACAGTGGTTCTCAAATTTTACTGTGCATCAGAGTCACCTGGAGGGTTTGCGAAACACAGATTGCTGGGCTCCTCCCACATAGTTTTGAATTCAGTAAGTCTGGGTAGGGGGCTTGAGAATTTGCATTTCAAAGAAGTTCCAAGGGATGCTGATGCTGCTGGTCTGGGAACCACTCTTCAAGAGCCATTGCTGTAAAAGAAACTTTTGCACTTACATATCAGGACATATACAAGAATATTAATAATGTAGTGCTTTGGTAGTAAAAAAAGAAAAACTGGAAACCCAAATATCCTTTAACAACAGGATGAATAAATTATGGTATAATCATACAATGAGATTTATATAGCTGTGAAGACAAATGAGATCATGGAGAGGTATGCAAGGGCTTCCAAGTTATCAATGATGTTCTAGTTTTTAAGGCAGGTGGATATTTTATGGGTATTCTAGTTATTCCTGAAACCGTATGTACAAATTTTGCATACTTACTTGTTTGTACGCACTGCTTCTCTGTGGCTACCACCTACTGGCCATTTTTCTACTCTCTAGCCCTACACAGAACATGTCAACTCATCTCAGAATTTGAGTAAAAGGGGAACAGTATTTGGGTCCCACATCTCTACTGCCTCAAATGTTTACACATACTACTACCCCCATCTTCCCTAGTTGCTTTCAGCCAATTCTCAAGTTATTTTTATACCCCACAAGCTCCTAATCACTCTTCTATGACTCTAGGCCTCAAAATGACACCCAAAACTAATTTAAGACTCCATATGTGGTATAACAGACAGTACTTCTAATAAAAACTGTCTCTTGCTACCATAGGTTTTTTTGGTGCAGTCCATGAAGAGTGTTCTTGCAAACTATATCAGACTGGTTACTCATACTGACTTTAGCTTATCTACTAAGATTCTTAGTAATATTCATATATGATGTTGAAGCTATACCTGAGAATGTAAGCCTTTTTGGACCAAAAGAATGGACTGAAAATTTTATCTTATTAGACTCAGCCTTTATGACTTCTTAGATAGAGACAGATAGATAGATAGATAGATAGACAGATAGATAGATAAAACTTCTCTCATCAATGCATTTCTACCATCCATTCTCTGAGGAGGCCTCTGCACTCTTTATAAATTTAATGAGTCATCAATGATATTCAAGGCACTGATCAAAAACTGAACAGGACTGGACCAAGAACAAAGATCTGAGCCATTTCACTAGAAGACTTCTCAATTCATCTGTATACATTAATGTATTACAGCCATTCAGTTGTTGTTGCTGTTTGAGACGGAGTCTCGCTCTGTCGCCCATGCTGGAGTGCAGTGGCATGATATCGGCTCACTGCAACCTCCACTTCCCAGGTTCAAGCAATTCTCTGCCTCAGCCTCCCCAGTAGCTGTGATTACAGGTGCCTGCCACCACGCCCAGCTAATTTTTGTATTTTTAGTAGAGACGGAGTTTCACCATCTTGGCCAGGCTGATCTTGAACTCCTGACCTCGTGATCCACCCGCCTTGGACTCCCAAAGTGGTGGGATTACAGGCTGAGCCACCGTGCCAGGCCAATTCAATTGGTTATTAATCCTCACTCACATTTCTCCATTTTACCACAAGGATATTAAGATAAACTGTTATAAAACATGTCACTAGACTCTAAAGAAACTGAGGATTTATCTAACTCTCTCTGGTCCTTCAGCCTAGTAACACTATTAGAACAGTATTGCTCTGTCATCTTGGACCATAGTGAAGACCACCCCTAGGGAATGACAGAATGGGAAAATGGAAGAAAGCTGGTCTCTAGCAACTTTGTGGAGTTGCCATTCCTGCCTGGGGCTGTCTATTGTCGGAATTCTTTTAACTGGGAGAGAAATAAACTGCTTTGTATAAAGAAAAAAATGGGGGTATTACTCCAATAAATTGAAGTGATCCTAAAACAAAGAATACAGGCCTAGGGAGAATAAAGCAGGCCAAACTACGTGGTGTTTTTTTTTTTTTCCAAACAAATTTAATTCTGTTCCAGCCCCAAAGAAGAGGAAGGACCTAAAGTTCAAAAATAAAAATAAAAATTGCTAAAAATAAAAGCCATTACAAAATTAAGCCCCCTCCTTTAGCAATAAATACTGAACTGATATATACATATGAGGCTTAGGAAGGAGGCAACAACAGGAACCTTGGGGACTCTGTCCCATGGCAAGATCCCAAGACTTCTACCAATTCCATGCTCTTTGCTTAAAACATAGAGAGCAGTGGAAGAGACAGGAGAGATATGCCAGAAGAGTATGTGGCCCTGTAGAGAGCTGGAACATGATGAGGACAGAGGAGAGAGAAGAGATACGAAGTGTAATACAGGCAGGGAAAGAGAAAGTCTTCATTTAAAACATTCCTCCCATCCCTGCTGAATCACTGGATGTGGCTGGACCGGCTGTCCAGAGCCTTGTCTCCTCTCCTCCACTCCCTGTTGAGCATGCAAGTCAAAGGTCATTCACACTGTGGTCGCGATGCCACTGTGGCAACAGCCTGGCTGCTGGATCCCTGAGGCTTCCCATTCACCACTAGCAGGAGGGGCGTCTCCACTCGAACACTGGAAAAGGAATAGTCCTAGAAAAGACAGACAGACAAAGGTTCACTACAGATTCCAAGATGGAAAAAGCTCCAGCATGGGGATACACCACTTGCAACTTTCTGCACCACCTCCCCTGTTGTATACCCCCTCTACTTCCATCTCACATCAGACAAAACTGAGCTAACACAGGGGACGAAAATTTCCCAAAGTTTTCAATCTTCAGAAGGAAAACATGGAGCATGTAAGGTCATGTAGTGCCACTACAAGAATGAGACAGCTCTTTGATCCAAAAAAGGCAGGTTCCTGGCATTGCCTAACAAAAGAATGCAACCAACTCTCATAGAATCTGCCTTTTCCCACGGTGTTTCCTGATAATTAACTAGATACACATAGCAGCCGGCCAGAGCCAGTGGGAATCCTGAGAAAATCTCAGTCCAAATGTTTATAAGGTCCTAATTTAATCCACCAAATACAAATTAAAGTTACTTCTCTTTTATATCAAGAGGAGGAAATAGAACATGAAACAGAATGTAGCCGTTTTCCTAATAACAAAAAAGGTATCAGCTCACTGTATCAGTTTAAGTGTATTTTAAGTTGTAAAACATATTAAATAGTCTTCATCCAAAAAATATGGCAATGAGAGGCAGGCTCTTTTAAGTCCAAGTAAAGTAAATTTAAAAGTTCTCATAAACCAATTTTTTTTAAGTCTTCACAGAAATATCAACAAGTGACACAAAAAATGGCAATTTATACAAGAAATATAAATTAATATTCATGCTATATTTTCCATGTAAAATTAGAAAATAACTTTTCAAAGGTTTCCAACCAGAGTTGAGAAAAAAACTACAGAGAAACACTTATTTACATCCACTGTTGGTAGTGACAACTAACTAGTACAATTTTCCAAAGAATTATTTGGCAATATGTATCAAAAGCCTCAGAATTCTGCATACCCTTTGGACCCAGGAGTCTACATTAGAAATTCATTTAAGGAACTAATCATAGATACAAGCAAAGATACAAAAATCCTCACTGTGTTTCTAATTTTTTTTCTATTATAAAAGTACTAATTTAGATCGGAGGTCATCAAAGTATTTCTGCAAAGGGACAGATAGTAAATATTTTAGGCTTTGTAGGTCATATGGTCTCTGTTACAGAACAAGTCACCTCTGACACTATAGTGCAAAAACAGCCACAGACAATAGTAAGCAAATGAGTGTGGCTGTGTTCCAATAAAGCTTTATTTGTGGACACTGAAATCTGAATTTCCTGTAATTTTCACATATCACAAAATATTACGCTTCTGTCCATTTTTTTCACTTAACAACACAGAAACCACACTCTTGTTTTTCTTTTTTTTTTGAGGCAGACTTTCTCTATCACCCGGGCTGGCGTGCAATGGGACAATAATGGCTTACTGCAGCCTCAAACTCCTGAGATAAAGTGGTTCTCTCACTTCAGCCTCCTTAGTAGCTGGGACTACAGGCATGTGCTACCATACCTGGCTAAGTTTTTTAACATTTTTTTGTAGAGACGGGGTCTCACTATATAGCCCAGGCTGGTCTTAAACTCCTGGGCTCAAGTGATCCTCCCACCTTGGCCTTCCAAAGTGCTGGGATTTTACGCATGAGCCACCATGCCCAGCCTAGAAACCATTATTAATAAACACAAGCAGTGAGCCAGATTTGGTCAATGGGCTTTGCCAACCTCTGATCTAAATGGTTAAACAGTAGTTAAATATCTACATTCATAAGGTTTTTTTAAGAATTGAATGGGGCAAGGCAGGTAATAAAAACTCTTAGCACAGTGTCTAGCACTCAATTAAGTGTTAAATAAATGTTAACTATCATTACCATCTTCATCACCCCGTGTCTACTCAATGTGGTGAAATATGTAAAAACATAGGAAACATTCACAAACATTTGCATATAATATCCCACTCATGATTTAAAATATAGATATATGTGTATATATTTGTGAAAAGAAAAGACTTCAGGTATATACACCAAACTGTTAACAGTAACAGTTAAAAGGCAGTAATACCTGAGTGATAATATTTCACTGCATTTTTTTATTTTTCTGCTTACCAGTTTACCTTTTTAGTAAAAAAATACATATATATATATAAATAAAACATATACACACAAATATATATACACATAGCCTACACACATACTTACATATAATTATTTCTATATCTTTTATAAAAAGATAAGCTTGGTTCTACTTTTAGAGCCTACGAGTTGTAAGAGAATCCTAGCCATTGCTCACCTTTCCTTTGTGCTGAATTCGGTGAAGCCGCAGGTTGGGCTCAGGAATGGCTACAGAGTCTCCAATGAGCACTCCCCAGCTCTGCACTATATTGTACACCATCACTGCATAGCAAGGTCCATCTGAATCTACCAGGCCAAATGTACTACCAAGTAAAGACAGATTAGGAGAGAGGAAAACAAAAAGGTATGTGGGTAGGAAAGAAGAGCAGAAACAGTGGTTTAAAAATACTAGCAAAATACTGGACTTAAAGTCAGTGACAGGTAATTAAAATAAAATATAAAATTTAACTTAATTAAACTTTAAAAATAAAATACTAACAAAATAAACAAATGCTTTTTCTCAGTTACTCAGAAAACCTATGAGAGGTACCATCTTCCACTTTATATATCTGAGTCTTCATTTTTCTGAAACTCATCAGTCACTTTGCTAAGAACTTAGGACAAAGCACACTGAAGCCATTCAACAAATATTAATGATGAACTAGACCAACATGTTACAGTTGTAACATTATTCCTGGTCTATCAATTTAACTATCATACTCTTAACCAAAGCCTCTAACCATCACTGTCTGTGTAGTTTAACTCCACAAACTTTCACTGAATATTACATATGTGCCAAGCATTGTGTTTAGCAATAAGATACCAATCCAGCTATGAATGACCTATAGTCTAGCAGGAGTCAGACAATGAAGTCATCACTTACAGCACAGTGTGATGGGTGCTAGAATAGCTTTTCCCTTGTGCTGAATTCAATGAAGCCACAGATTGGGCTGTGGGAGCCCAGAGGACAAATATCTAAATCAAAATTGGAAAGCAGGGAAGATTTCCTGGAAGAGGTGACGCTCAAAGTGAATCTTAAAGGGTAAAAAACCAGCTGGGTTAAAAGAGAAAAATTAATCCTCGGTAAAAATGTTAAAAACCTCTGAGGGGATAGGAACAGAGATTTTGACTTGGAGGCAACATCAGGGAACTTCCCAGAATGGTGGTAATGATCTCTATTTGGGTTATACAGATATTTTCCATTTGTTAAAAGCTATGAAATGTACGCTTAAAATTGTACATTTCATTGTATGTAAATTTTACATAAAAAGAAAAAATTGAAACAAATACTGAACTCAGTTAATGACTGCATGCTAAAGTATGTAAAGTATATTGATCTCTGCAATTTACTCTGATAGCAGGATAAACAGACTGATATGTAATAAGCTAAGTAAAATAAAATATTAATGGTAGAATATAAGTGGATGAGAACACAAATGTTCAATGTAAAACTCTTTCAACTTAGCTATATGTTTGAAAATTTTTATACAAAATGTTGGGGGCAGAAGAGGATGTTAGCTATGTCAAGAAGAAGCTAGAGATTATCCAGGCAGAGTAACTGTATGTAAGACACAGAGGCATGAAAACAGCTGTTCTAAAACCAACAAAATTGTTCCATGGTTGAAACAAAAGGCACTGGTGGGAAAGAGACAAAAGATAATAGAAAGAGAAGCAGGGAGCAAATCATGAAGGACTTTGTATGCTAACCTAAGTAGTTCACACTTTATCCCAAAAGCTACATATAGTACCAGTAAGGGATCTTAAATAAGAAGTAGCAATGGTCAGATTTCCATCTAAGAAACATTTCTCTGGCAGCACTGTGGAACACTGGAGGAAACCAGAGAATCAGGGAGACCTATCTGGAGAAGTGATAAGGGGGTGAATTAAGGTGGTAAACACAGAGAAGTCAAGTCTATAGGACAAAAAAGGCAAATCTTTTTGGAGAATGGAGAAGCCTATTCTTCCAAAAGTCTTAATCAAGTGACTGAGAGGTGATACCATTCATTCACAAGGAATCCAGGGAGGAGAAGCAGGTTTACAGAGAAAGATTTAGGTGAGTAATACTGAAATACTGAGTTAGAGATTTCTTATTGGAACCCAGAAGCAGATGGTTATAGGAATCCAACACTTGGAAATGAAGCTTGGGCTGGAGATATATCTGTAAGCATATAGGAGGCTGCCAAAGCCTTGGGTTTATATGACATCACAGGGCAAGATGATCTATAGACAGGATGGAGAAGAATCACACTCATGCCATCACGTGACATGCCTGAATTCACAGGAAATATTGCAATCAAGCAAAGCACTCTCCTGATGAATCCAGTCAAAGCCTCAGAATCCTTCTACACAGTATGTCAGGCAACCACTGACAAGTGATCAAAGTTGGCAACTATAGGCCATCCTGATATAAAGAGAAAAAAGGAAAAAAACAAAAATAGAGTCCTGGGAACCTAAGATTTAAAAGTTAGGCAGAAAAAGAGAAACCAAGGAGTGGCAAAATATCTATTTGTTCTCAAGGTCCTCCAAAACCTACCTTTGTCTATATCCCTTTCTAATTCTTCTCAGCTCTAGGATTTGCTCTAGTAAACTAAACTGTTCTCAACTATCTTTTTGCCCTTCAACTCGTCAAATATACAAACCCCTAGAAAATGCCATGGAGAAAGCTTGGGCATATAATGGGAATTGTGAATATTTCTGTTTAGATGAACAGAAAGGATGTGAAAAGCAATAGTGAGAGATAAGTCAGAATGTTTTGGAACCATGCAATAGAAGTTGCTGGATCCAGTGCCTAGAAAGACAATGGTGATCCTAGGAAAATAACAATTTCAGTAGAAAAGAGAAAGGGGAAACCGGTCAACCAGGGATTAGGAAGTGAGTGAAGGACCAAGGAGTGGTGGCATTCACTAAACCGTAACTTTTCAAGATCCAAAAATTTTCTAAACAAATATTCTTAATTCATTTCCTCTGCTGCTAGAAGCACCTGCACCTGGGTCCTTTACATTTCTTTTTTCTCACTCCCTATGACACATATATTACACACTCAATAAATATTTGTTGAATGACATCTAAGACAATCTCCCAACCAGACTTTAAATTATAACTCAAAGCTCACTTTTCAGAACTAAGTATACCTAAGTACAAACAGGACTAAGAAATTTGTCCTCCTTCAACTTCTATGATCATGAAAATGCAAAGGGACAGAAGAATTTTGAGGTTTCTGTCTTATAAAAAAATATGTCCTGCCAAATTTCAACTATGGATATAGGAATCCACATAGCACCAAACTCAGGGATACAAAATGGGCAGTGACAGAATCTACAAAAGCCTCTGATCAAAAGATGGTTAAACATCACCCAGACAATATCTGCCCACGGGATAGTCACAGAAGGAAATCAGAAGTCACAAATCTGTGACCACTGACAATCTCCTCAACTGCCAGGGAAAGAACAGGAAGTGAGAGCAATTAGTTCAAAAGGGTAAAATGGGGGAAATCCAAGAGAAACTCACAAGGGGACTTTCTCCTCTGTGGTGAGGCTAAATACCACCTTTCCCAGGATGACGGCACCGCTGTTCACCCCAGGCTGAAGCGTACTCAGTGGCTTGAGCTCCAGGGTCACTTTCTGCCCAGAGGCTGACTGATAGTGCCCATCACTGCAAGGGCCTAGATGGGCTGGGCGCAAGCTTCCCAGCATGCTCTGCAGCTTTTTGGTCTTCACCTTTCCCTGCAAAGAAGGGGAAATAGGTAAGAAGCTGGAAACTAGTCGCCTTCCTTGAGATTCTAATCCTTCCCTCCCACCCACTTCTATAGGGTCTCTACCTCGTAAACCTATTTATTCTTATTTTATTGACCCACGACAAAATAAAAAAAAAAAAAGTGGAATTCAGCCCTTCAGACATTTTTACCTTACTCTCAAGGAGGCTGGTTAATCTATCCAGGAATTCCAGAAGTTGTTGCTCTCGTTGCCGGGGCTCTGGCCAGGCAGGGTCCAGGGCTGCAGCCCGAGAGAAGCCCTCCAGGGCCTCCCCATAACTCTCTTCATATTTATGCAACTGTACAAGAAGTGTATCCCAATTATAAGTATATCCAGACAAACTATCCCGAGGGAATGGCACCATGGGCTAGGAATCTAGAGAAATAAACTGTTTTCCTTCCTGGTTATTTTCCTGTGCTGCAACAAACAGCCTGAAGAGCTGGTAACACCTTACATCCTTCTTCCTAGCCAAGATGATCACAACCCCAAAGATGGAATCATTTCAAAGAAGCTAATTTCCAAACTCTAAAATAGTTAAGTTGTATATATTGGCTCACTTGACCTTTATATTTACTTAACATTTCAGAAGTCTTCTAAAAGATCCCCCCATTCTCTACCTATTCTTCCACCTCCACAGCCCCTTCTCCTTTCCCTCCAGTGACTACACCAGATACTGAAGCCAAACCGAGCTAGCTATTTATAGAAATAGCATGGCTTTCCTCTCGCAGTCTGTACCCAATCTTGTCCCTATGCAAACTCAGTTATCCTCACAAGCTAAGACATAGGTGTCTTATTTATTTGACCCTCAGATGACTACACCCCAAAGGTCTTACCGTCGCCCTGTTCAGATGAAGGTCAGGATTGCTAGAAGCTTTTCTGTCAACTTTCTCCTATAATGGGATGAAAAGATTATCAGTGGATCCTGTCTCAATGTTAAGGACTGACATGCCCAACATGTCCTACGCCTCCTCTTTCTAGAGAAATGGAAGTTTCTTCCTTGCCAAAATGGTATTTATACCACAGAAGCAGTTACCGTATAACAGTGTGGATATCTTAGTCCCAAAACCTTAGGGATATAAGTGTTTTTGTATGTGTGAGACTTCAAAATATTATTATAATTTATCCATGTAGTAGTATTAAGATAGAATAAATCTTTATATAAATGAAATATGTGGGCCGGGCACAGTGGCTCACACCTGTAATCCCAGCACTTTGGAAAGCCAAGGCTGGCAGATCACCTGAGGTCAGGAGCTCAAGACCAGACTGGCCAACCTGGTGAAACACTGTCTCTACTAAAAATACAAAACTTAGCTAGGCATGGTGGCATGCACCTGTAATTCCAGCTACTCAGGAGGCTGAGGTAGAATTGTTTTAACATGGGAGGTGGAGGTTGCAGTGAGCCGAGATTGCACCACTGCACTCGAGCCTGGGTGACAGAGTGAGACTTCATCTCAAAAAAAATAAATAAATGAATGAAATAGGTGAAATCATTTTGATTTTTAAAAATTTAAATAGTGAAGTGCTGGTAATAAATGAAGAAAGGCTAGGATAGAAATGGTGTTCATTTAATGCATTTCCTCTGCCCATAAACCTAGCTCCAGACACATGCGGAATCATGTTTCTACATCCAAGTTCCCTTAAAACACAGATAGAAAACCAAATTCAGACTCTAACTAAAATAGATGGCCAGGAAAAGAATTTTTTTTAAACAGATAAAATAGATGGCCAGACACCACAAGACAGTGCAGACCATGTGCTGTGAAGCAACTGCTGGCTATGTTCATGACTATGCTTATTATATTTTTTTAATTCTCTTCATTACCTGGCGCATTGTAAAAGCACAAACAACATGAATTAAAATTGTTTAAATGGTTGGTTCAGATATGTTTACAAATGCAGGTCTGGGCGAAAAACTTCAGATTAAAAAGAGATGACCAGGCACGGTGGCTCACACTTGTAATCCCAACACTTTGGGAGACCGAGGCGGATGGATCACCTGAGGTCAAGAGTTCAAGACCAGCCTGGCCAACATGGTGAAACCCCGCCTCTACTAAAAATACAAAAATTAGGCGGGCATGGTGTGGCACGTGCCTGTAATACCAGCTACTTGAGAGACTGAGGCAGGAGACTCACTTGAACCTGGGACACGGAGGTTGCAGTGAGCCGAGATCGTGCCACTGCACTCCAGCCTGGGTGGCAGAATGAGACTCCGTCTCAAAAAAAAAAAAAGATTAAAAAGTGACTATTTAGCAGAAGCCAAATATAAAATGTTGAAGGAATATACCACACTATTCTTTAAAATGTAAACATTCACCAAATTAAGAAATTAGAGTAAAATATAATTGCTCTAAAAGTTCCGTGATTGAAAAAGGGCAGTTTAAAGTCAAAGGTAGAGTTGTGGGGAGAGTGGCAGGAGGGGGAGAAAAACCAATTTAAAAGGGCAGTCCCTGAATTGCAAACATGAACATACAGTAACTGTGTTCTTTATTCTACCACAGGGAGCAGAATAAGTAATGATAAGTTAAAAAGCAATTCTCTATATCAAGAGAAGCAAAAGAAGAAAGGTAAATATGAGAGCTAAATAAAAAGTGCTCAGAGGACCAATGTGAAGTCAGAAGCCAATTCTAATAATGAGAAAAAAGGCACTCAAAGTCTGAGGGAAAGCCCTATGCAAATGCCTATCAACATAAAAATGCTTGAAAACCTAAATAAATTTCTTGAAAACCTAAATAACCTAATTCACTTAATTCCTAGGAAATGACACAGAACAAGCTACACATTGTTTTCTCTTTTAGCCCATGGGAAATCCAGAGCCATAATATTACCTAACGGTTAATTTGGGGATAGCACTTAATTTACACTGAAGTATAAGTTTTCATTATTCTTTAAAATGAATGTACAAAAATATTAATAAGTATTATTTTAATAGACTTTTTTCCCATTAAAAAAGATGAACATGTTGAGGCAGCTCTGTGATTTGGTTATATATGTGTGTAAGAAACCCAGACAGGTCAAGGAGCTATCCAGCACCAATGCGACACGATGCAAGTGGTTCCTAACACTCAAGTTATAAGAAGTCAGTCATCTCTGCAGACACATCTTTGCAAAATCACAAAAATGAGATGCCAGCAAACACTGCCACTGCCCATGATGCTTGCTAAAGGGCCACAAAGAAGACTGAACAATGCTCTTGCTTCTGTTGTTGCCTATTCATCTGGCCTGGTGACCATAAGTACTTACTGCTTGGGCATAGGCACTGAGGGCTTGCTGGGAGATCTTAGGGTTCTGGCCAGTAGAGAAGTAAAGGGAAAGATATGAATTCCCAAGAATATCTGAAAGAGAAACACAGTGACAAATCATCTCAGAGTCCAAGTTCAAGATATGACTTATTTTGATCATTCTTGAAAGTATATTTGAAAGGTCCCACAAGAAATCCAAACCAGGAATGACACGATACTTAGTATACCCAAAACTCCACTAGGATAGAGCACCAAGGACACCAAACTGAAGTTTGAACAGACTGTACAAAAGCCCTTCCTTGCTTACGTGAAAACTAGGATCAAAAGATCGAAGAGTTCCTAGAAAAGTAGTTCCCCAAAATGTCTTTCGTGTGTCTTCAAAACAAAGATGCCCTCTCTGGCTTAAACCTCAGAATCACACTCAAAAGAGGGACTGCAAATGTTGCTCTGATTGAAAACATCTGCTCTAGAAACCTGTTGGAGATCTTTTGAGAGCACTCACACCAGGAGCGGCCATCATGGACATCCATCTGAACAGCCAACTTAGCCTGTCGGACACTGTCCATGACATGGTGAGAATGTTCATCTTCAGTGTCAGTCCGCAGCTGACGAAGCACCATTGACAGGTTTTGCAAGGAGACTTTGTTCCTGCACTGCAAATAGGAAGGGCACATACTCAATCTTCCTGATTCTACCTCCCCTTTCCAGATCTATTCTGAACTCAGTCTTCTAAATCTAATTTTTTACCTTTCTAAGTTTTTTGTTTTGTTTTGTTTGAGGTGGAGTCTTGCTCTGTCACCCAGGCTGAAGTGCAATGGCGTGATCTCGGCTCACTGCAACCTTTGCCTCCCGAGTTAAGTCTTTCTCCTGCCTCAGCTTCCCAAGTAGCTGGGACTACAGGTATGCACCACCATGCCCGGCTAATTTTTATATTTTTAGTAGAGACTGAGTTTCACCATGTTGGCCAGGCTGGTCTTGAACTCCTGACCTCAAGTGATCTGCCTGCCTCAGCCTCCCAAAGCGCGGGATTACAGGTGTGAGCCACCACGCCTGGCCGTATTTTTCTTTTTGTGACAGGGTCTCACTCTGATGGAGTGCAGAGGCACGATCTCAGCTCACAGCAACCTCCACCTCCTGGGTTCAAGTGATTCTTGTGCCTTGGCCTCCTGAGTAACTGGGATTACAGGCACATACAACCATGCCCATCTAATTTTTGTATTTTTTGGTAGAGGCAGGGTTTCACCATGTTGGCCAGGCTGGTCTCGAACTCCTGACCTCAAATGATCTCCCCACTTTGGCCTCCCAAAGTGCTGGGATTACAGGCATGAGTCACCACGTCTGGTCCATGTATATATATATATTTTTTTTTTTTTTTTTTTTTTTTGTAGAGACAAGGTCTCACCATGTTGCCTAGGCTGGTCTCAAACTCCTGAGCTCAAGTGATCCTCCTGCCTCGGCCTCTCAAAGTGCTAGGATTACAGGTGTAAGCTACCACACCCAGCCCTAATTTTTTCATCTAAATTCTTGCTGCCATCTGTATCTTCAACCCCCATCCACAGGGATCAGCTTAGCTGCTAGCTTTTCTTCACTTCCTTTCTCCCCCTGAACCTGATCCCATCATCATCTTCCTTTCCCAGGCCCCTGCCTCTATTTTCCTCATTCAGGTCTGCTCTCTGACCTTTCCTCCCTCCTGATTCTGTCCTAGTTCAATTTCAGTTCTACTCTGGTATTCATGTCCTAGGGAAACTCATAGAACCAAAGAAATTCATCCTTCCCATCTCTGCTTTCCAAAGGGATAGGGGGCAGCTCACATGGGTGAGGGCTCCTGAGAAGCAGGTGTGGGCAGCTGCAACATCCCCTTTTTTCCAGTACACCTCACCCAGCTGGTTCCAGGCTTCCACCAGCTCGGGCTCCAGCTTCACAGCCTTTGACAGAAGCTCCTCAGCCTTAGGGCTATAGTCAGGAGTCACATTTAGTGCTTTCCCAGTTAGCATTAGAACTTGTGCCTTGCCCTGGACAGAACCTAAGAGGAAGAAAAAAAGATAAAGTGGGAAAAAAACAAGTTAAAGACCAGGGCACTTTCTCTCAAAAAATAACTACACGTCAGTTTTAGGAATAAAAAGAGTTGGGGAAAATATTTATCAATAAACCATTTATTGAAAGCTCACCATAGGCAGAGTGTATGTTAGCTAATTAGGCAACAAAGAAAGCACTATTTCTAGAGCTTCTGCCATCTGTTTCTTGGGCCCCTATCTACAAGGATCAGCTCGGTTGCTAACTTTCCTAGAGGGGTTTACAATCTAGTGGAGAAGACAAAGCGTAAACATGGAAAATTAAAACCATGAAAAAGAGCATATGGCATTAGCCCAATGAATGGGCTTTAACAAGTGAAGAGAAGATGAGTCAGGACAAATAGTTATCGTTAAAACAAAACAGAGAGAGAGAAGAAAAGACCCTCCAGGTTAGAAAATGATATAAACAAAGACACAGAATCAGAAGTACATGTGGCCATGTTCATGGGAGAATAGACAGTTCAACCTGGATGAAACAGAAAGTTCCTCTACAAGTAATTAGTCAGAGATAAGGTTAGAAAACAGAGTAAAACAATGGACACTTAAATACCAGGTTAAGGGGGTTAGACTTCAGCTAGTCAATAGCAGGAATCTTTAAAGATACCTGAGCAAAAAGGCAGATGAGAGGATAAGGTTAAATGCATGAAGTAATGATTTAGAAAGATAGCCATGGCCATGGTATTATATAAGTGGATTTGAAAGTAAAAGAAATTAGAGGCAGAAAGTCAGATTACTGCAATAGTTCAAGTAAGTATGCTCTTTCATTTCATGCCATTTGCTATAATCAAATTTTAGGAAAAGTGGCTTAGGGAATGAAAGGTTGCACAGGGGCCCTGAGAAGTAGTATTACGTTGTACTACCCTATAGCAGTAACAGATAGGATACCAAAGAGTCAATGAGGAGGGAGCAAAGGTCAATCACATTTCACTGAAGGATGGGGGTTGTACAATCTCTAGGGCTCATACCCACTACTTCTTCCATCTGCTGTAGGGTTTTCTCCATCTCCTTCTGCACATCCTGTTGCTTCCTCCCAGCATCCTCAACACTATGTGTCTCGAAATAGCAGTCTCGAAATGAGTAGAGCTGATCCACGAGTTCCTAAAAAGTATGACAATGGAACCATTAAGTGGAAAGATCACTGGATAGGGAAACTTGAAATTGGCTAGCCATACCAGCTCTTGGTCTAGAAATACCAATTCTCTTTCTCACCTATGAATGGCACAATAGGCAGGTGGACAGGTTTACTAAAATGCCACAAATCATGAGGAAAAGCAGCCAGTACCCCAGGCCAGCTCTCATGGTCCCATGTTGTCCCATGCCAGTGTCTCTATTGTGATGACCATTTTCTCTCCCTGCCTCAGCAGGGCTTCTAATATGACTAAGCACTTCACATACCACAGTCATGAGGAGGGAAACACTGCAACTTAAGATAAACCAAAAGTTAGTAAGATCATTCTATATGGTCCTGGTCCTCAAAGAATAACACTTTGAAATTTACCCTTAAAGTTGGACTTCTCAACTAAAACCATTTTATCCCTGATTTTTCATATGCTGAGATCTGAAAATACAACACAACCTTTGTGAATATAATAAACATGTTAGAGAGTCATTGTTTTCCACCACAAACATACCAATTTGAACTTGGTAACTTTGGTATCTTTGCAGCATTTTGTTCTTTTAAATGCTTATTGTGGTTTTGTTTAGTTTGATTTTTTTGTCAAGTCATCTTCTGGCTGCCTTGGATTTTTTACAAATAAATATTCTCTTTCCTCTTAAATGCCTCTGAGTCTTCCTGTCACACCAGGCAAAGCTTTTCTACTACAGGTCAAGCATCCCTAATGCAAAAATCTGAAATCCTCCAAAATCTGAAACTTTTGAAACGCTGACACCACAAGTAGAAAATTCCACACCTGACACACAGTCAAAATGCGGTCAAAACGTTGTTTCAGGCACAAAATTATTAAAAATATTGTATCAAATTACTTTCAGCCTATGTGTATAAAGTGTAAATGAAACAATTTTTTTTTTTTCTTTTTTAAAAGACAGGGTCACCAGGCGTGGTGGCTCATGCCTGTAATCCTAGCACTTTGGTAGTCCAAGGCAGACGGATCATGAAGAGATCGAAACCATCCTGGCCATCATGGTGAAACCCGGTCTCTACTAAAAATACAAAAATTAGCCAGGCATGGTGGCGCACACCTGTAGTCCCACCTACTCGGGAGGCTGAGGCAGGAGAATCGCTTGAACCTGGGAGGCAGAGGTTGCAGTGAGCCAAGATCATGCCACTGCCCTCCAGCCTGGCAACAGAGCAAGACTCCGTCTCAAAAAAAAAAAAAAAAGAGTCTCGTAGGTTGCCCAGGCTGGTCTCAAACTCCTGATTTCAAGCAATGCTCCCACCTCAGCCTCCCAAAGTGCTGGGACTACAGGCATAAGCCACCAAGTTTCATATTTAGATTTGGGTCCCATCCCCAAGTTATCTCATTATGTATATGCAGATATTCCAAAATTCAAAAAAATCCAAAATCCAAAAAACTTCGAGTCCTAAGCATTTCAGATAACAGATATCCTATTCTTTCCTGAAACTAAATAGATAGCAGCAGAAAGATATAATCACTTCCCTTCGAGTGTAATCAACAATCTTCACAACACATCCTGAATTCATCCACCTGTCTCCATCCCACTATGACCATTCCTGGATTACATCAGCTTCATTACTTGCCTGGACTGCAAGAGCTTCTTAACCAGTCATCTTGTTTCTGTTCTCTCCCATTCTCCTCACTGTAGTGGGAGTGATCTTATAAAAAACGTACATCATATCACAAACCTTCAAATAGTTTCCCATTGCAGACAGAATAAAATCCAAGTCCTTATCATGACCTAGAAGACTGTATGAGCTGACCTACCACCACCCATCCTGACACAAACTTCACCTCTCACCATTCTCTCTCCTACAATACTCAAGCCAGAGTTGCCTTCATGCAGTTTCTCAAACCCATCAAGCTCAGCCCACCTGGAAGACCTTATGCCTGGACACTTTCTCCAGATCTCTGCATAACTTATTCCTCATCATCATTTAGATCTTAGGTCAAATATCAATTCCAGAAAGGTTTTCCCTAATTACTCAACCCAAATGAATCCATTCCTTCTCTCCTCTACTGTTATATCATACTCTTATTTTTCTTCATACTTATTTAAAATCATGTGGCCTATCATTAATTGTCTATTGTCTGCCTCCACCACTGAAATGTAAGCTCCAGGATGGAAAGGCCTTTAATCTGTTTTGTTTCGAGCTACACCTGAGCACCAGAACGGGACTTGGGACATGATAGGCTCTAATTCACTACACTTGATTGAATTAACTAACTAACTATCCCTGTTCTAACAAATACATATGTGCTATACTTAATTTAAAATCCTATCCAGAATGAAGGGAACAGACTAGCACCCTCTGCAAATTTTATTGTATTATATCCAAGACCCAGCCTGCAGAGACTCTGATTTTAACAGTTTAGCAGAACTCAAAATTCTACATTTTTAACAGGCACCCCAGATGACTGTAATGAAACTGTCTGTAAAACACACTTTGAGAAATATCCATTTATACACTCTTTTTACACTAAAATGTCTTTAACAATGAAATCAAAGTTTACCACCATCTCCATGAACAGCAACACCATTATCTAATCCTTTTCCTCTTCTCTACTTCACTCCTTTATTCCATTCCTGCACCGACCCCACCCCAAGATAACGGAAGTATCCTCTCCCAAGCTGCTTAGGACATTTACCACAAATGAACCTAGGAAAAGACAATTCTCATAAAAAATTACAACCAATTTCCTTTTGTCCTGCAATCAACATGGCTGCAAATTAAGAGTTTTAGAGAAGGGCTTATTGATTGGTTTTAGTTGTTAAACCAAACATTCAAGAAGTTGTTTGGTTTTATTGTTTGGTTTTGTTTTCCTCTGGACTGAATGTTTTTAGAAACTTATTTTTTCATGGCAAAATCAATACATGTAAGTTGTTAAAATTCAAATAGATACATGTAAAAAAAAGAAAGTACAAAATTACCCCAAAGAACCTCAGTGATAACCACTGATTTGTATACCTTTTCAGATTTTTTTCTGTGCATATACAAACATATATACACAAATAATGTTTCTAATATAGAACCAGAATTGAGAATCTCTGATTTCAGCCAGTCACAGTTAGGGAATAAAATGAAGTTAATCCAAATCAGCTGGAACACTCTAAAAAGTGTTACTATTTTAATGTACCCAAGAACAAAGAAATTTCACCAGTATTTAAATTTGTGCGTTAAACACCTTTAGGCAAGTTACAAGCCTGTCATAGTTCTAATATTTAAGTTACAGGCTGCCTTAGAACGAAGAACTGAGTTCCTGAGGTGTAAGGAAAATCATGGGTTCTTAAAGGCAAAGAGCCAAGCAACTAGTTAACGCCTCCCTACCAAGTCCAAAAGACTAGTCTTACCTGTGGACTATGTGGAGTCTGGACCCCTCTGCATCAGACCCCAAAGTGGAATTACACAGGTTGAAAGAAATCAAAACTGAAATCCTAAGGGGAGTAACCAGGACACTTGCAGTGCAGGTCATTAGCGTGATTGTTGCCAAATTCAAAGCAGAAAGGTGTTAAATGGCTTTTGTAGGGATCAAAACAACATGTGACAGTAGTTCATGCAGATCTGCCACACACATGTATATGCTATTCGCTATGGATGAATCGAGAAAACAACGTCCTCTCTAAAAATGTACATGAACAGTTAGGAGCAACAAATCTTCTTCCATACAGGACTGAAATTAACCGCAGTCAGGTCGGCAGCAGGAGGTTCCAACGAGGCTCCCTGGCTGGCTGCGGCTGCACCCTCGAGGGTTGTTATAGTAACCACACAGACGCACGCAGCTTCGCGTGTGTGCCGAGGAATTCACGGGCAGTACATAAACTGGACTCCCTGCTTCATTCGGAGTAACAAAAACACATACAGAATTTAATCTACGGCCCCACCTGCAATTTCTGCAAGATCGGCTTGACTTCTTCCTCTTCATCAGCCATCATCTCCCGGCCACTCCACCCCCAACTTTATAACCACAGAGACGCACGCCCTCTCTCACCGCGGAACCACAGCGACATCTGGCGTTCTGGAGGCTTTTCTGCCCCAGAAGGGCTTTGCTTCAAACCGACTTAACCATTTATTTCCACAGAGATGCTCTACAATCACTTGTGAGTTCATAAACTTCTTTCTTTCCCAGATCCTGGAAACAAAATGTCCTCAGCTTAATTTCTATATTCTTGTTTCATGTCTTCCTACTTATTTATACTAAGATTATAATACTCCATAAAGAAGAGAGTTTAAGAAGTGCACACCTGTGTTGTTTGAAATTTCGAAAGCCATGTAGTACAATAGCTACTTTACTCAATCTTTTCCAAACTTTGCAGTAATTTTCTATGTATGATTAATTTTATCATTTTAATGCACTATCTTAATAAATACTACACTTGGGATGGCTCATAAAAACCACCATGCTCTACACTAACAATGCCTCCATATTTATAGACAACATCCAGAAGGATATATAAGAAAGGATGACTGTCTCTGCAGAGGGAAACACAGAAACTGGGGAACTGTGGGTGAGCGAAGAAAATTTTCACTGCCTGCCCTTTTGAATTTTCTTGCCATCTATATGTATCACCTATTCAAATATAAACATTTTTAAATAAAAAATTATTTGCTTCTACATAGTCTCTGGAAAGAGACACAAGACACTGGCAAGACTATCGCTTACAAAGAGCAGAAGTGAGTGGCTGGAGCAAAAATGAGTGACCAGGGAACTGGGGTAGACTTTTCACTCTATGCCTTTTTTGTAACTTTAAAGTTTGTACCTTGTGAATATATTAAACTTCTGAATAAATCTTTTAAAGTGTCATGTAATATTCCTGGCAGTTTTGCTTTACTTTTTTAGTTTTAATTACAGCTTCAAGCTGATTCTGTGAAACTAACAAAGAAGTAAAACGTTCAAGGCAGAAATCATGAATATACATAAAATCATTTCCTCAAATCATTTTCCAACATAAAGGAAATAGTTTGTATTGTAACCTATAAAATCTATGTCGTTAGCTGTAAAATAGGGAGGGATGTTTTAAAAATTTTTTTTTGAGATGGAGTCTCACTGTGTAGCCCAGGCTGGAGTGCAATGGCGCCATCTCGGCTCACTGCAACCTCGGCCTCCCAGGTTCAAGCGATTCTCCCGCCTCAGCCTCCCGAGTAGCTGGGGCTACAGGTGCATACCACCACGCCCGGCTAATTTTTTGTATTTTTAGTAGAGACGGGATTTCACCGTGTTAGCCAGGATGGTCTCGATCTCCTGACCTCATGATTCACCCGCCTCAGCTTCCCAAAGTGCTAGGATTACAGGCGTGAGCCACCACACCCGGCCCTAAAACTTTAAAATTTTTCATCCTCTTTCTCAGACATTTTAACTTTGGTGCACACGAGGCTGGGCACGGTGGCTCACACCTGTAATCCCAGCACTTTGGGAGGCCAAGGCGGGCAGATCACTTGAGGTCAGTTCAAGACAAGCCTGGCCAATGTGGTAAAACCCCATCTCTACTAAAGATACAAAAATTAGCCAGGTGTGGTGGCATGCACCTGTAATCCCAGCTACTTGGGAGGCCAAGACAGGAGAACCACTTGAACCCAGGAGGCAGAGGTTGCAGTGAGCCAAGATGCTGCCACTGCACTCCAGCCTGGGCAACACAGCAAGACTCCATCTCAAAAAAACAGTAATAAATAATTTTGGTGCACATTAAGAATAATTTTTAAGAGATTTTATACTCTATATTCCTAGTGAAGGAAACACTACTTGCTTTTCAATTATGTAAAGCAGGGGTATTTAATTGCCTTTCTACAATGACTAAATATATCTTCAAATGATTTCAGTATAATTTTTATTACCTAAAAAACAATGGGATTTGACATTTAGGGTAATTCCATTGTTAACACATCTTAAACCATTAAGAATCAATCCTAAAATTTAAGAGTTAGAAAAGGCTGTAAGGATAACTTAATTCAGTCCTTCATTTTACAGATACAGAGACTAAGTCCAAGAAAGTTCAAACTAAGTAGAAACCAGAACCCAGATCTTCTGCCTCTCCAGCCAGTATGCTTTCAAATCTTTCCTCTAACAGGACATAAAGTTACTGAGAATGTCCTTCAAATTTCTATCATGGCTCTACATTTTAAATAAATAAATGCATAAACAATTTAATTCCCATAATAATAGTCAGAAATACTCACTAAATAAAGGAAAACAATAAATAAATCTTTTATTTTAATACAATCTCGAGATCAATAACACATTGGTAAACTTTCTGCAGAAGTGCATTCCTAAATAAGTAAACCCAAGGCAATAGTTGACAAAAAGGTAAAGAAGTAGCTTTATTTTAAAATACAGTCTTCCTTTGGTATCTTTGGGGGATTGGTTCCAGGAACCCTCATGGATACCAAAATCCTTGGATGTTCATGTCACTTTTATAAAATGGCATGGTATTTGCATATAACCTACAGATTCTCCCAAATACTTTAAATCACCTCTAAATTATTTATAATACCTACAATGTAAATGCTATCCAAATAGTTGTTATATAGTATTGGTTTTTAATTTGTATTTTTTTATATTATTTTTTCTCAAATATTTTTGATATATGGTTGGCTGAATCTGCAGAAGCAGAACCTATGGATACAGAGCACCGACTGTAAATGCCAAAAAAATTAACTTTAAAAAATAACTTCATCAACGTGAGTTATTTTTAAATACAAATAGGGACTGAACATACATGCATCAAATTGTACTCTCGTTCACTGACATAAGCACACCTCCAAACAATACGAAGGTAAATACATAAATATATACAAATAAATACACACACCCAAATAACAAGCTACACATCACCCACCATTTTCCAAGACCAAAATTTTCACATAAACATACTGGCAAATACAGCAAAATATCAGTGTACATTAACATACTTACATATACAGATATGCATAAATACCAGAATTCAAAGCAACATGTAGCATATAACACAGGTACTTAAGGCATAAACACCACAGCTCAGTGAGAAACAGCACAGGGAGAAAGAGTTATCTATTGAAACAAATACTATTGTGACCTTCTCACACTAGGGATGAAAATTCAGCAGTTCACAATGGAATTGAGACTAATAAAATGCTTATGCTTTAAATAATAGAAACAAAGAAACCAGACTCTAAACCACTCCCCACTGCCAATGAGTTTGTTATGTTGATAATGTGAAAACAACTTCAGAGACTTAAAAGCACAGAGAAGCTGGGGAGTCCTATCTAGAAAAAAGATTTGCTACCCTGCCCCTGCCCCTGCCTCTGCCTCTGCCTCTCCCTCTCCCTCTCCCCTCTCCCCTCTCCCCTCTCCCCTCTCCCCTCTCCCTCTCGGTCTCCCTCTCCCTCTCTTTCCACTGTCTCCCTCTGATGCCGAGCCGAAACTGGACTGTACTGCTGCCATCTCGGTTCACTGCAACCTCCCTGCCTGATTCTCCTGCCTCAGCCTGCCGAGGGCCTGCGATTGCAGGCGCGCGCCACCACGCCTGACTGGTTTTCGTACTTTTTTGGTGGAGACGGGGTTTCACTGTGTTGGCCGGGCTGGTCTCCAGCTCCTAACCGCGAGTGATCCGCCAGCCTTGGCCTCCCGAGGTGCCGGGATTGCAGACGGAGTCTGGTTCACTCAGTGCTCAATGGTGCCCAGGCTGGAGTGCAGTGGCATGATCTCAGCTCGCTACAACCTCCATCTCCCAGCCGCCTGCCTTGGCCTCCCAAAGTGCCGAGATTGCAGCCTCTGCCCGGCCGCCACCCCGTCTGGGAAGTGAGGAGCGTCTCTGCCTGGCCGCCCATCGTCTGGGACGTGAGGAGCCCCTCTGCCTGGCTGCCCAGTCTGGAAAGTGAGGAGCGTCTCTGACCGGCCGCCATCCCATCTAGGAAGTGAGGAGCGCCTCTTCCTGGCAGCCATCCCGTCTGGGAAGTGAGGAGCGTCTCTGCCCGGCCGCCCATCGTCTGAGATGTGGGGAGCGCCTCTGCCCCGCCGCCCCGTCTGGGAGGTGAGGAGCGTCTCTGCCCAGCCGCCCCGTCTGAGAAGTGAGGAGACCCTCCGCCCAGCATCCGCCCCATCTGAGAAGTGAGGAGCCCCTCCGCCCGGCAGCCACCCCGTCTGGGAAGTGAGGAGCGTCTCCGCCCGGCAGCCGCCCCGTCCGGGAGGGAGGTGGGGGAGTCAGCCCCCCACCCGGCCAGACGCCCCGTCCGGGAGGTGAGGGGCGCCTCTGCCCAGCCGCCCCTACTGGGAAGTGAGGAGCCCCTCTGCCTGGCCAGCCACCCCGTCCAGGAGGGAGGTGGGGGAGTCAGCCCCCCGCCCGGCCAGCCGCCCCGTCCGGGAGGGAGGTGGGGGGGTCAGCCCCCCACCCGGCCAGCCGCCCCGTCCGGGAGGTGAGGGGCGCCTCTGCCCGGCCGCCCCTACTGGGAAGTGAGGAGCCCCTCTGCCCAGCCAGCCGCCCCGTCCGGGAGGGAGGTGGGGGGGTCAGCCCCCCGCCCGGCCAGCTGCCCCGTCCAGGAGGTGAGGGGCGCCTCTGCCCAGCCGCCCCTACTGGGAAGTGAGGAGCCCCTCTGCCCAGCCAGCCGCCCCGTCCGGGAGGGAGGTGGGGGGGCCAGCCCCCCGCCCGGCCAGCCGCCCCGTCCGGGAGGGAGGTGGGGGGGTCAGCCCCCCGCCCGGCCAGCCGCCCCGTCCGGGAGGTGAGGGGCGACTCTGCCCGGCCACCCCTACTAGGAAGTGAGGAGCCCCTCTGCCCAGCCACCACCTCGTCTGGGAGGTGTACCCAACAGCTCTTTGAGAACGGGCCGGGATGACAATGGCGGTTTTGTGGAATAGAAAGGGGGGAAATGTGGGGAAAAGATAGAGAAATCGGATGGTTGCCGTGTCTGTGTAGAAAGAAGTAGACATGGGAGACTTTTCATTTTGTTCTGTACTAAGATAAATTCTTCTGCCTTGGGATCCTGTTGATCGGTGACCTTACCCCCAACCCTGTGCCCTCTGAAACATGTGCTGTGTCCACTCAGGGTTAAATGGATTAAGGGCGGTGCAAGATGTGCTTTGTTAAACAGATGCTTGAAGGCAGCATGCTCGTTAAGAATCATCACCACTCCCTAATCTCAAGTACCCAGGGACACAAACACTGCGGAAGGCTGCAGGGTCCTCTGCCTAGGAAAACCAGAGACCTTTGTTCACTTGTTTATCTGCCAACCTTCCCTCCACTATTGTCCTATGACCCTGCCAAATCCCCCTCTGCGAGAAACACCCAAGAATGATCAATAAAAAAAATAAAAATTAAAAAAAAAAGTTAAAAAAAAAAAAAAAAAGAAAAAAGATTTGCTAAATGAAATCACTAAAGATGAACATAGAAACAGTCTGTAAAGTTAGCTAAATTATCTTTATTTTTTTTTAGAAACAGGGTCTCACTCTGTTGCCCAGGCTGGAGTGCAGTGGCATGATCTTAGATCACTAAAGCCTCAGACTCCTGGGCTCAAGTGATCCTCCCAGCCTCAACCTCCTAAGTAGCTGGGATCACAGGTGCGTGACACTATGCGTGGCTCAAATTCTTTTTACTTTGAAGGCCCTGCTAGAAACTTGCTGCTGCTCTAATTCACGACTTGGAGAGACAAAACTAAAAAAGCTGTTGCTGGGTTCAGGTGCTGTGGGAGAACCCGCAAAAAATGGTCTGAACTGAAAATCTCCATCTCCATCGCCCCGATTTCGAACAGGTGTATTATCCAAAGGAAACTTGGAGTTGTTACCTAGGGCAGAAAAAAAGGAAAAACATAATTTTATTCATTTGTTATCTATATAATCTACTTCAGAGGAATCATCAAATATATATATATGAATATATATTTTTTCTCCAATATTTGTCTTAGAAAAAAACAGACATATAAAATCTTTTACCCCAGGTTAAGAATTTTTTTAAAAAAACATTGCAATAAACATTCTAGAAAAAATATAACTGAAATATTGGCATATACCATGACCCAATATCAATTAGCATAGGCTTAAGACAAGCAGATAATAGATCTGATTAAATTAACATTTAACTACTTCCACTGAACCCTTCCTTGGCTTTTACAGGTTTTAAAGGACCAAATAACTAAAGGAAAATGCTGACTATATATCCTTCAAGCTAACAGTGGCAGCAGGACATAAAAAGGTTAACTGTGTACAAAAAGAGGAATGGGAAAGAACTGGTGAATATGAAAAAAATAAGACAAATGTGGACAGTGACAAAAAAATAAGTATATCTATAATGCCCATTTACAGTAACTCTGATTGACTAAATTACATTATATAAGTAAAACTGAAAGTTAAGCAGAAATTTAGGTTTTTATTCTTATATCTGATATTCCTCATCTCATCACCTCAAACCTGCCCCCCACCTTTTTTTTTTGTAGAGACAGGGTCTCACTATATTGCCCAGGCTGGTCTCAAACTCCTGGGCTCAAGTGATTCTCCCACCTCAATCTCCCAAAGTGCTGGGCCGCACCTGACCACCTCATACTTTTTATAAGACATCAGCTCCTCCCCTATTAAATCTTTTTCCTCAGCCTATAGTAAATATCCAAAAATGAGTATTAGGAAAGTCCAGCACAAGAGGCTTCACTTTTTTGTATGCCAAAAACAATTTCCATTAATAGCATAGCAAAAATCTATTAGATTTTGTTGCATAAAGAGTAGTATAAAGGAGAGAGCTCAGGAAGATATGAGATTCATTCCGTCTGCAAGGCACCTAACAAGCAGAAAAGAGATGGCATCATACTAGATTGTGATTTAAAGAAAGAACCCTATTTGGATAACCTTTATATCCTCATTAGTTAGGATCATACCTAACAAGCTGGTACATAAAACATATTTGCTAAATATTTGATAAATGGAAAAATGATTAGACAAAAGAACAAAACAACCAAACTGACAACTTAAGAACTGTACAATCAGTATTGGCAGGTGAAAAAAATTGAAACATGGCCTTCTTGGAGGATAGCAAATGGTTAAGAGTATAGGCTCTGAAAACAGGTTAGTGATATTGACCAAATTACTTAACTTTCTGTGCCTCAGCTTTCTCATCTGTATAAAAGAAGGATAATAATACTTACTTCATAAGGTTTTGTAAATTATATGAATTTATATAAAACACAACAGTGCCTAGCACTTAGGAATCAATAAATGACAGCTAATATTATTATTACTACAACTACATAGCTTTTAACTTAATGTAGCAATGTGCAAACTTTCATTTTGCAGAGATTAACTGCTCAAATTAAAGCTTTAATTTAAATGTAAGCAAATACAATAGATAAAAGCAATGATGTACAGGTTGAAACATGGGTGAAGAATTCAGAGCCTACCACAACTCAATGCTTGTCTTATCCTTATCGTCTCGACTGAATGCTTGGAAGTGGGCAGAGCAGTATAAAAAATCATTGATTTAAAGAACAGACACTTGATACATGTCCTTTCTTACCTAATGGGAAGCCAAGAACACCAGACTGTGCAATCATGGATGGTTCAAGGGTGCCTTCATGGTTAGCAATAGTGATGTTTCGTAGCCTAAGGCTATCATAGAGGCCTTGGAGCTTTTGATACTGACGATTGCGCTCCATAAGTTTCTCAGAGATGTCACTGAACTTTTTCTTGTATTCTTCTAGTACTTTCTTCATGGAGGTAACCTCCCCTTTCATAGAGGTCAATTCTACATCCTTGCTTTGTATTTGCTGAGTATATATCTTCTCCATCTGTTTCAGATGGCCCTCAGCCTTGCTGAAATTGTATTCTTGATAGAGACGTTCCTGATGTACCTGGTTCCAAAAGAAAAAAGATTTTTAAGGTATTGGGTACAAAGTTATATATTGTAAAATGTTATACAAACACAAAAGGAAAAGAAAGATGCTTATATAGGGATGTTATTTTATCATTTAGAACCCAGTTTAAGAAGCAATCAGGATACACAATGAGGCACAGAAAACAATAAGTTATGTTACTAAATGCATAGAAAAAAAGTCTGGAAGAATACTCTCAAACCACTAACTTTATACCACCAAAAGAACTGAGTATTTGTCTTAACAAGTGACATGTTTTCCAAAGGTTTTTAAGAAATATAATCCCATTTTTCAAGTAATCCAGAGCATGAAGAATAGACTCTAAGACAACCACAAATTATCGTCTCCTGGTACATACACCCTTGTGTAACTCCCTATCCCCTTGCACGTGGGCAGGACCTGTGACTAGAATACTACAGAAAATGTGACAGGTTGTCACTTCATAAGTATATTACCTAAGACTATAAGGTCTGTCTTACTAGGAGACACACTCCCTTGCTGGCTTTGAGGAAGCAAGCAGTCATGTCAGGAAGGCCCAAGAGACAAGTAACTAAGAACAGCCTCTGGCCAATAGCCAGCAAAAAATTGAGGACCCAATGAATCTAGACAGATCTTATACTTTTCACAAAAATAAACTCAAAATGGTTCACAGACTTAAACATAAAATGCAAAACTATGAAACTCCCAGAAGATAACATAGGGTAAAATCCAGGTGGATCTTGGATTTGGCAGTGACTTTTAAAATACACCAAAGGTATAATCCGTGAAAGAGAAAATTGATAAGCAGGACTTCATTAAACTTAAAAATCTCTGCTCTGTGAAAGACCCTGTAAGAGAATAAAAAGACAAGCCACAGATCAGGAGAGTATATTTGCAAAAGATAGCTCTGATAAAGGATCAAAGAATACTTCAAACTCAACAGTAAGGATAAAAAGAACACTTAAAACTCAACAATAAGAAAACAATTTAAAAATAGACCAAGAACTCGGCCGGGCGCGGTGGCTCATGCCTGTAATCCCAGCACTTTGGGAGGCAGAGGTGGGCGGATCATGAGGTCAGGAGATCGAGACCATCCTGGCTAACACGGTGAAACCCCGCCTCTACTAAAAATACAAAAAATTAGCCGGGCGTGGTGGCGGGCGCCTGTAGTCCCAGCTACTCGGGAGGCTGAGGCAGGAGAATGGCGTGAACCCGGGAGGCAGAGCTTGCAGTGAGCTGAGATCGCGCCACTGCACTCCAGCCTGGACAACAAAGCGAGACTCCGTCTCAAAAAAAAAAAAAAAAAAAGACCAAGAACTTCATATACACCTCACCAAAAAAAAAAAAAAAAAAAAAAAAAAAAGGCAAAAAAGCATATGAAAAGATGCTCCACATCATATGTCATCAGAGACATGCAAATTAAAATGAGACACCACTATACACCTATTAAAATGGCCAAGACCCAGAACATGGACAATACCAACTTCTGGCAAAGATGTGGAGCAACAGGAATTCTCATTCATTGCTGCTGGCAATATAAAATGGTATAGCCACTTTGGAAGACAATTTGGCAGTTGCTTACAAAAATAAACATACTCTCACCACATAAGCCAGCAAAAACACTATTTGGTATTTAACCAAAGGAGTTGAAAAATAGAGGAGCATGTAAGAGAAACAACTTACCCAGAAAAATATAATAAAAAGTTACTTGACAGATGACAAACATCCTTAAGAAGTATAAGTGTATATGTAAGATATAACAATACATTCAAGGACATGCTTAAAGTCATCCACAGGGAGGTCTTTCAAAGGAAATACTAAAAGTAGAAATCATAAAGGGAAAAAGTTAAGGATGCGTATTTGATAAGAATGCTTATCATAGCATTTTAATAACTTGGAAATAAATTATGATACAATATAACCATTAAAATATGATTATAGAATAGTTAACTAAAAAATATTTAACAAGATATTCATACCAAGTGAAGCACAGGCTACTCAGGAGGCTGAGGCGGGAGAATGGCTTGAACCCAGGAGTTAGAGACTAGCCTGGGCAACACAAGAAAACCCCGTCTCAAAAGGAAGAAAAATTCATACCAGATATAATATACTGTCAACTCTTAACAATAAAAGTGTGTGTGTTATCTTACTTTTATACAGAAGAGAGAGAGAGTGTGTGAGTGTGTGTGTGTGTATACCCAAAATATAAACAATGGTTATCTCTGAGTGATGGAATTATGAGTGCTTTAATTTTCTTCCTTTTGATTTTCAACAATAAACAGTATTGCTTTTGAAAACAATTTAATAAAAAGAGTTTCTCATATACTCATAAAAAATTAATAATAATACAATGAAGGAAAGACACTAGAAGTTCCCACAAATGCCATAAATCACATGCTCAAGAGAAACTAGACTAAGCACTAACCTGATATGTCCAGAAGGCCAGCGCTCGGGAGCTAATGTCCAACACGATCTCTGGTCGCAGTCCTGCCAATACCATAGCTTTATATTCCTCTGATGGACTGAGTTCTGTGCGGACAATATCTAGCTTTCCAGAAAGGGTACTGTTGCAGGCAGGACAGATAGCTGGTGAGCGACTAAACTCACCACTGCCATGCTGATCACAGAAGATGTGAGAGCAGGCAGTGACCCATGCATAGCCAGAGAGTTTGATGCGACACTTTCGATAATTACAAAGCAGCATGTCTTCACACAAAGACATAATAGGATAGTGAGGTCTCCAGAAGCTGAAGAGAGGCCTAAGAAGGGGTAAATAAAAAGGCCAAGTAAGTTAAATTGCAATGAAAATAAAAGTAAAAAAGAAATATAACATGCACGTTTTTATCATAAAATACTGCACATTTTATTATATTCCTTGTATTTATTATAATTGATATATTGATTTCAGTTACTCAATAATATTAATTGTGCTCGTTTGTCCGGTTTTCTAAAAACGCTTTAAGGACAAAGGTAAAGACAAAGGTGGTTACAGATCTTGCTAACGTCAAAAATAATATATACGTGGGCCAGGCTCAGTGGCTCAAGCGTACAATCCCAGCACTTTGGGAAGCCAAGGCAGGCGGGGTCCCTTCAGGTCAGGAGTTCCAGACCAGCCTGGCCAACATGGTGAAACCCAGTCTCTATTAAAAATACAAAAATTAGCCAGGCGTGGTGATTCAAGCCTCTAATCCCAGCTACTCGGGAGGCTGAGGCAGGAGAATCACTTGAATCCGGGAGGCAGAGGTTGCAGTGAAGTGAGATCGCATCACTGCACTCCAGCCTGGGGGACAGAGCAAGAATCTCTCTCATAACATGTATATATATAGGCTGGGCGCGGTGGCTCACCCCTGTATAATTCCAGCACCTTAGGAGGCCAAGGCGGGCGGATCACGAGGTCAGGAGTTCGAGACCAGCCTAACATGGTGAAATCCCATCTCTACTAAAAATACAAAAAATTAGCTGGGTGTGGTGGCGGGCGCCTGTAGTCCCAGCTACTCAGGAGGCTGAGGCAGGAGACTCGTTTGAACCCGGGAGGCGGAGCTTGCAGTGAGCCGGGATCGCGCCATTGCACTCCAGCCGGCGACGGACTCCGTCCCAGAAGGAAAAAAAAAAAAGTTGCCTTGGCCCTCCAGGTCGATAGAAAAGAACACTCGCACACCTTTATCCCAATAGCCCCGCTGAGTGAGTTTCCTCAGGTATGTCACCTGGCAGCCACAGTTAAGATTAAGAGGCCTATTTTACATCCGGCAGAGTAGGGGGCAGCGGGAAAGCAGAGGAGCTGGGAAGCTTTAAAGCTGAGCCCTCTCTCACGCAGCAGAGGCGCAGCTAATTCCGAATCTTCCACCAGCTGGGAGTAAGCGCCAATCTAACTTCTGTACAAGCTGCGTGAGGGGCAAGTTTTAGAGAAACAGACCCACAGAAATTACACTCTGGAATTTTCAGCCAGCTTTCCACGCTCAGTAGAGAAAATAATAGTAACAAATGATACTTAATCTGAGGCTGAAAGAAAAAGCGCGGAAAAACTCCGTTGCCTCCACAGCTCCACAAGCGAAGATTCCAGGATTCTCTGCGAGCGAGTGCTTCAGGGAACTACGCCAGAGCGCGCATGCGTGGGGTTGCCCCGAAGCATCCTGGGACCTGCCAGGCTGAGGGAGTTGCGGGCCGCAGCTCCGGCTAAGAATCGGGAGAAATTCCCAGAAACAGAGTGACAGCTGTAATTGGACAGCTGGCACCTCCATGTTGAGGTAGTCCACCATTTTATTTTTTATCCACCTTGGAATAGACATCTTTCCACTCTCACACATCCTCTATACACATTTAAGGAAATTATAATTTTCCTTGAGTCTGCATTACAAACATGCATTACAGCTCTTTAAATTAAGCGATAGTGGGCCGGGCGCGGTGGCTCACGCCTGTAATCCCAACACTTTGGGAGGCTGAGGCGGGCAAATCACCTGAGGTCAGGAGTTCCCGACCAGCGTGGCCAACACGGTGAAACCCTCTCTCTACTAAAATACAAAAATTAGCTGGGCGTGGTGGTGGACGCCTGCAATCCCAGCTACTCGGGAGGCTGAGGCAGGAGAATCACTTGAACCCACGAGGCAAAGGTTGCAGTGAGCCGAGATCGCACCATTGCACTCCAGCCACGGCAACAAGAGCGACCCTCCGTCTTTAAAAAAAAAAAAAAATTATTTAATTAATTGATAGTATTGAGGGTCAGAACTTTGAGGTGACCTACCTGCGTGCTCTCCTGGAACTGCTAGCAGTGTTTAAATGATTGCACTGTGCCAGTTTTACTCTAATGCTGTTGCCTGTCATTTTCTTTGCCCTTCTGTGCTTACCCATAGCAGCTGCTTTAGGTAATTATTTTCTGCTTAATCTATATGGATCTGTTAGAATTCAGATTAAAAATTAACCTGAAGAGGAAAGCTAGACGGGTCCTCAGGATATAAACCTTAATGAAGCTTTTTTTTCTTTTCCAGATAGGGTCTCACTCTGTCGCCCAGGCTGGAGTGCTGTGACGCGATCTCGGCTCACTGCAACCTCCGCTTTCCGGGTTCAAACGATTCTCCTGCCTCAGCCTCCCGAGTGGCTGGGATTACAGGCACATGCCACCACACCCCGCTAATTTTTGTATTTTTAGTAGACAAAGGGTCTCGCCATGTTGGCCAAGCTGGTTTCAAACTATTGACCTCCAGTGATCCACCCACCTCGGCCTCCCAACGTGCCGGGATTACAGGCGTGCGCCACCATGCCCAGCCTTATACCGTCTTTTGTAGCCATCTTTCCAGATGTTGTGAACCTATTATGAATTAGTAACAGATGCAATTAGCCACGCAGTGGACATCAAACCCTGCAAACCCCTGAGTAGTGCCAAACCATAATATCAAATCTTTTTCCTTCAAACAAAAAACTGTCAAAAACTGTGCAACTTCCTACAAGGTTTGTCATCTGTTTCGGAGTAATTAGGCCTTTGTACATTTCCTAAAATATCTTCTGATAACTTTAAAGTGGTAATTTAATTTTGGTATAAACCAGTTCCAAAAAAAGGAGATCTTCATGTGTGAACCATATACTCCCTAACATCTGTTTTTGGCTGTTTGAGCCTTCTGTGTGAATTCTGGTTTTAACTATGCCAAATGTAGAAATATTAATACAAAAAATAGTACAACTCATTTAAAGTTGAAAAATGCAAAATATTCTAATTTGACTAGTACCTAACTTTGTGATCCTAGCCAATTCCCTTTGCACTGCAATATGATCACTTCCTGGAGATGTATCTAAGTTAATAAATACTTAACATTAATTCATTTTAACAACATGTACTGCAAATATGCTACAATTTATCCATTCTTCTAATAGACATTGATTGCGGGTTTTTACAATTAAAAACAATACTGCAATGAACATTCTGTACATGTCTCCTTGAGTCCACGTGCCAAAAATTCCTCTAGAATATAACACCCAGAGCCTGGGTTAGTATATCAGCAACTTCAAATCAACTAAATGTTGCCAAACCACTCTCCAAAGTAAAAGCATAAATTTCACTGCCACCAGCAAAGTATAGAAGAGCCCAATGCTATAAATTCAGCAACATGCACACATGTCAAGTTGTTTTACTTTATTTCATTGTTGTCTATCTGATGACAGCGAAATGGTATCTCAGTGTTGTTTTAATGTACAACTCTTTCATTACTCGTAAGAGTGAGCATTTTTTCATCTGAATGACTACTCAGGGATCCTCATCTGTGATTTGCCTGTTCATGTCCTTTGATGACTTTCTTGATTTATATGGAGTCATTTAACAGTAATATGACATGCAAACATAAGTTTGAATTTTAGTGTACACAAATTTATCAACTTTTCCTTTTTGTACTTATGTCTACTCCAATATCATACTCTTGTTTTCAATAATTCTAAAGTTTTGCTTTTCATATATACAACTTTAATTCATTCTTCCCAACATAAAGAGTCTGAATAACTTACAATAAGAGTTGTGAAGGCCAGGCCAGAGTGACCACGACATTCAAGAAAGCAAACATTCCAACAACTTCAGTATTTGATGGAGTGGTAGTCTAGTCTGTAACATTCCTAGGTTATATTTACCATGCAAGGGATACAATATGCATCAAAATATTAGAAATGTATTTCATTTGCTTTTAGAATGATATTTCATCATATTTATTGGCTATAAAAAAACAAGGCAACCAACCACAAAGACAAAACTACTCAGAATAACAAAATTATATTCCAGCTCTTTGGGAGGCCAAGGCAGGTGGATCACCTGAGGTCAGGAGTTTGAGTCCAGCCTGGCCAACATGATCAAACCCCATCTCTACAAAAAAACACAAAAATTAGCTGGATGTGGTGGCAGGCACCTGTAATCCCAGCTACTTGGGAGGCTGAGGCAGGAGAATAGCCTGAACCCGGGAGGCGGAGGTTGCAGTGAGCCAAGATCACACCACCGCACTCCAGTCTGGGCAACAAAGCCAGACTCCGTCTCAAAAAAAAAAAAAAAAAAATTATAGATATGAAATACTTTCCATGAGAATCAGGCCAGGCGCAATGGCTCACGCCTATAATCCCAGCACTTTGGGGGGTCAAGGTGGGTGGATCACCTGAGGTCGGGAGTTCGAGACCAGCCTGACCAACATGGAGAAACCCCATCTCTACTAAAAATACAAAAATTAGCTGGGTATGGTGGTGCATGCCTGTAATCCCAGCTACTCAGGAGGCTGAGGCAGGAGAATAGCTTGAACCTGGAAGGCGGGTTTGCAGTGAGCCGAGATCACACCATTGCACTCCAGCCTGGGCAGCAAGAGCAAACTCCGTCTCAAAAAAAAAAAAAGAAATACTTTCCATGAGAATCTATATAGAGAAAAGCAGTCTGAAGATATTATAATTAAGGAGAAAAGGCTTTGAGTTTCAAGTAGTAGTTGTGCTATATTTGAACACATAGAAGTAACTTCCTGTTTATTTTGATACCTTGTTTTTATAGCCAAAAGTTGAGATTTGCAACAGAAAAGTCTGACTGCCTGAAGACCTAACATATTTCTTGTAATTTGTAAAATGGTTTAACTCAGTTGTTTACTGTTTTTAGACAAACTACTGAATATTCATGAAATGTATATTATCGATGAAGCAATTTCAAGAATCTTTTTTTTTTTTTGAGACGGAGTCTTGCTCTGTCACCCATGCTGGAGTGCAGTGGCACGATCTCAGCTCACCGCAACCTCCGCCTCCCGGGTTCAAGCAATTCCTTGCCTCAGCCTCCCGCATAGCTGGGACTACAGGCACGCTGCCCCACCCAGCTAATTTTTTTTGTATTTTTAGTAGAGACGGGGTTTCACCATCTTGGCCAGGCTGGTCTTGAACTCCTAGACCTCGTGATCTACCCTGCTCGGCCTTCTGAAGTGCTGGGATCATCGGCGTGATCAAGAATCTTAATTTAAAGAATACGTTTCATATTCTGGCCAACACAAGTTATTACAGTTGCATACCATTTGTGAGATTCTGGTATAAGCACGAGTATTAAATCTCATTACAAAAACAGTGAAGTATACCAGACTTTCAATATTTGGATTTTTATTTTGTACCCCTTGCATGTTAAATATACCATCATGGATGTAAACACAGCATATAGGACAGTATACTTTAGTCAAAACAATTGAGAATATTTCAACATGAAGCAGAAATGAGTTTTTAACCATACCTGAATGGTATGTGCAATTTAACTCAATGATAAATATCAAGTAAGATTGTAAATAAAATATTAACAATAAAAGATTTCCTACTAAATACCAGTAAGGTTTTATGTATCTATTCCTCACATAAATAGATTGGTTTTGGCAGTCATTCTTATAATAGGCACTGATTCCAGGTTTTACAATTAAAAACAATACCACAGTGAATGTTCTATACATGTCTCCTTGAGTACATATGCCAAGAATTCCTTTTGGAAACCGCCCTGGTTTGTCAATCAGGGCTTCCCCCACCTTCCCCACCACCCCACCCTGAACCCTCTATGGCTCCCACACCCAGAGACTAGGTTAGTATATAAGCAAGTATTTTTTTGGTATCTCTTTTGGGCCAAGCCTTAGGGCAAAAGAAGGTATCCTGCTTTCATGGAGTTTACAATCTACCAAAGGATCTAAGAATAACAGAAGAAAATGAAAATATTATTTTATTCTTTCCTTTGCCACCTCTTACATTTTTGCAAATTGATTCCATAAAGCCATTTCTGGTGAAAAAAGTCCATCTTTAACTTGAAGAATTATCTACCTTCATACTGCAAAGAAAAGTTTTATATATATATATATAATTTTTTTTTTTTTTTTGAGACGGAGTATCTCACTCTGTCACCCAGGCTGGAGTGCAGTGGCACAATCGCGGCTTACTACAATCTCCACCTCCCGGGTTCAAGCGATTCTGTTGCCTCAGCTTCCCAAGTAGCTGGGACTGCAGGTGTACACCACCATGCCCAACTAATTTTTATATTTTTAGTAGAGACAGGGTTTCACCATGTTGGCCAGGCTGGTCTCGAACTCCTGACCTCAGGTGATCCGCCCACCTCAGCCTCCTAAAGTGCTGGGATTATAGGTGTGAGCCACCGCACCCAGCCAAAAAGTGTATTTTTAAAACTGCCCTGACGTGTGTGAGCAACCACTCTAAAAAACTGAGTAAACCATTTAAAATTTGAACATGAATGACTTTAGAGTATAATGTTTCAGTAACTCTCAGAATCAACTGGCTTTATTTCACAGCACCAGATGACAGCTATCTAATTACTATATGCTCGTGTTTTGAAACTAGGCTGCTTCTTTTATTTTTTTAATCACAGGTACATTTTCTTAATCTGGAATCACCACCCGTTTAGTAATTGTTTGACTCCGCAAAAATCAGAAGGCACTAACGGACAGCCAGCCCATCCTCATGGTGCCCTGAGTGAAGATAAGCCATTTTTGATATATGATGGATCAAAATCCCACTGCCTAAGGCTTCAAGCAGTGAGAGGAACAGCCATCAAAGTTTAACTCCAACCACATTAATTTAAGAAACGTTTATAAAAAATAAAGACATCCCAACCTGGGCAACATGGCAAAACCCCATCTCTACAAAAAAATACAAAAAATTAGCCAGGCATGGTGGCCTGTGGTCCCAGCTACTTGGGAGCCTGAGGTGAGAGAATCACCCGAGGCTGGGAAGCCAGGGCTGCAGTGAGCCCTGATTATGCCACTGCACTCCAGCCTGGGCAATGGAATGAGTCCCTGTCTCAAAAAAAAAAAAATGAAGACATCAAGAGACTCTTATAAGATAGGAATCATTACATCTAAGTAAGAACTAGAGGCCGGGCGTGGTGGCTCACGCCTATAATCCCAGCACTTTGGGAGGCCGAGGCGGGTGGATCATGAGGTCAGAAGATCGAGACCACGGTGAAACCCCGTCTCTACTAAAAATACAAAAAAAATTAGCCAGGCGTGGTGGCGGGCGCCTGTATTCCCAGCTACTCAGGAGGCTGAGGCAGGAGAATGGCGTGAACCTGGGAGGCGGAGCTTGCAGTGAGCCCAGATCGTGCCACTGCACTCCAGCCTGGGCGACAGAGCGAGACTCCGTCTCAAAAAAAAAAAAAAAAAAAAAAAGTAAGAACTAGAAGAGATCATTAAGGATCAACTGATCCAGCAAGGGAAAATGAGGAACTAGATAACAAGTTAGTACCAAAATCAAGATTAACCAACTAAAGAAAATGTTATTCCAACAATTATATAAAGATACACATTATAGTGCCTATGACTAATTCTAGAACTTAATTAAGTTTTGAGGGGCGGGGTGAAGGTAATGAGGGGTAGTCTAATTAACAGAAAGATATATGAGCAATAAAAACAAAGAATTTCCTCTTTTTTTCTGAGACGAAGTCTAGCTCTGTCACCCAAGCTGGAGTGCAGTGGTGCGATCTCAGCTCACCACAACCTCTGCCTCCCAGATTCAAGCGATTCTCCTGCCTCAGCCTCCCAAGTAGCTGGGATTACAGGTGCACGCCACCACACCCAGCTAATTTTTGTATTTTTGGTAGAAACGAGGTTTCACCATGTTAGCCAGGCTGGTCTTGAACTCCTGACCTTAGGTGATCTGCCCACCTCGCCTCCCAAAGTGCTGGGTTTACAGGCATGAGCCACCACGTCAGGCCAAAACAAAGAATTTTCGTCAATCTATTATGCAGATGTCAAAAATTGCCAGGTAGTACAGAATCTAAGAGAAATATACGCATGGATTCTGATGACAAATAGTTAACATCAAACTGAGCATTTACCGTATGCTTTACCCACACCCTTACTAATTTAATCTTCAAAATAACCACCCTGAGTCAAATACTATTGCCATCCTCTAAAATATAAAACTAAGACATAGATATTAGGAAACTTGCCAATGCTGCATAACTGGTGAAGTGATAGAGCATGCGTTTGAACTCAGTCTGACTCCAGAACCCATATATATACTATACAATGCTACTTCTCAACATCTTTAATTGACTCTTTTTTTTGGAGACGGAATCTCCCTATCACCCAGGCTGGAGTATAGTTGCGCTCTCTCTGCTTACTAAAACTTCCACCTCCTGGGTTCAAGCCTCAGCCTCCTGAGTAGCTGGGACTACAGGCGCACACCACCAGGCCCAGATAATTTTTTGTATTTTTTTAGTAGAGATGGGGTTTTGCCATGTTGGCCAGTCTGGTCTCAAACTCCTGAGCTCAGACAATCCACCCACCTCGGCCTCCCAAAGTGCTAGGATTACAGGTGTGAGCCACCACGCCTGGCCTCAACTGACTTTTAAAAAGTGAAATTTAGCCGGGCGCGGTGGCTCACGCCTGTAATCCCAGCACTTTGGGAGGCCGAGGCGGGCGGATCACGAGGTCAGGAGATCGAGACCATCCCGGCTAAAACGGTGAAACCCCGTCTCTACTAAAAATACAAAAAATTAGCCGGGCGTAGTGGCGGGCAACTGTAGTCCCAGCTACTTGGGAGGCTGAGGCAGGAGAATGGCGTGAACCCGGGAGGCGGAGCTTGCAGTGAGCCGAGATCCCGCCACTGCACTCCAGCCTGGGCGACAGAGCAAGACTCCGTCTCAAAAAAAAAAAAAAAGTGAAATTTATAGCACCTTAGCAGCTGGCCATGAAGTCACAAACCTGAATTTTCAAAGACTCATATATATGGCAAAGCTTCTCAATCTCAACGTAAGCCTTACCATAAAAGAAAAACGCAGTACTCATCTACAGTATATCCAGGATTTACAGCACCAAAGAGGTCCAGACTGGAACAGCGAAACTCAGATCTGGTTTCAGTCTCTTGAAATTTTACTCCTGCAAAAGACAACAAAAGCTAAAAAATTATTTCAAGTCCTGATGTTACTTTGAGTTGTTTGTATTTCCTGTATTTCACCCTTCTTTCTACCTAATTCTCTGCTGAAAATGCAGGCACGGGTAAAGAATATAAGCTTGTCCTAAGTTACCTAAAATAACTTTTAAAATATTACAATACATGAATACAATAAAATTAGAAAATAGGTTTATAATAATAAAAGATTACTTGTAGAACCCAATTCTAGAGAAAATAACCCCCTAGTATTTTAGTATATATGTCCTTTCAGTTTTCTTAAGCAAACATATGCATATAAAAATATTTAAGCAGAAACATATTGCTCTATATAATCTGTTTTTCATGTGTCATGAATACCGTTCTATTTCAATAAACATAAAACTGTATCATAACTTTTAAGTGATTCTATAGTGTTGTACCGTATAGTCTTCACAAAATTGATTTAACCAACTCTGTGTTTCCTTTAATCTACATGTATAGATTGATAAAATAATGATTAGTTTAAAACTGCCAGGCTAAATTGCCTATAGAATTATACCAGTTGCCAGTGCTTTTTCTGTAGTGTTTGAACTTTTAGATTAATGATTCCTGACCCTAGTTCTAACTCACAAAAGTGATTTTTTGGGGATATAGAGATATCACAAAAGATCAAAGCACAACAAAACATTAGTCTCAAATTCATAATTTATTAAGATTTAAGAATTACCTGGGATTACAGACTAAATCCCAGTATGAATTCCAACAAGCAGAATTCAATTGCAGGTGTTTGCCCCTAGCTTTAGTCTGCTCAGAGCATGTGTTTAATCAGGCTGATCAGCTGAAACACGGACTTAACATGCATTTCATCATGGCAAACTGTAAATGACTGAGGAAGGGCAAACCAGCACTGGCTCCTCATCCCTAAACAGGAAAATTCTCCTAAGGTTAGAACTGGGGATTTTTTTTAATTACCAAATTCCATCCACTAATAACACCGAGTCCCAAGTCTTGCTAAGTGATTAGAAATCCAAATGAGGTAAAAACGAAGATTTTGCTCTTACTCTTACCTCTGGCATCACATGAATCCAGCTTCTATCTAGAAATCCAGTTGAACCACAGGATCTATCAATTATCTAGGATCATTTCTGGAAAATTTAAAAAACATAAATAAATTCACAAAGGTTATGATTACATGACAACTCACACCAGCATGTTCTATACCAAGTCACAAGAAAATTTAGAGTAACCGTTCATCCTTTATTTAACTCTCCATTCATTAATATAAATTATTGACTCATCTATTTGGAGAATGTCACCAAATGCCCAAGCTCAATATCAAATAGGGCAGGATCAGGAGTTCAAGGTTACAGTGAGCTGTGATCGTGCCACTGTACTCCAGCCTAGGCAACAGAGTAAGACCCCGTCTCGAACAAAACAAAAAAAATTTAACAACAACAACAAAAAAAAACCGAGCAGGACCCCTACACAAGCTTAATTTTGTATAAATTTACAAGCTTGGATAAAACTGCACAATAGTCTAACCAACTTCTGAAAGGCTATAAAGGTCAACAACCTCACAGTAAGAAAACAGTTATGCAAGAGGAAGGAGTCAAGAACTTTTAAGATTCAGATAACTGAGAAAATAATCCAAAATAGTCAGTTTTTTCAAAGCATGTTTCAATTTCATTTGAGCCAATGCCGGATTGTATTTAACCTTTACTCTTCGTAATCCTTTGTCAAAATAATCTGAAGAAAATCTTCCCTTTATATAGGAAAATTGAATTAGTAACATTTGTAACCCAAGTCTGCCACAAGATGGCAGTGTAAGAAAGAGTCTTGCTTTAATTTCCTCTTCCAGCATTTGCGTGTCATCTGAACTTTCAGGTCAAATACATACTAGATACGCAGTTCATCTTTGCAGGCAACCTTCACACTATTCCCTACTCTTCACCTAATTACTAGCTAGAAAATTTTTTGTATTTACTTGTAATGATCATCTAAAACTTGTTAGCTAAAAATACTGCAGTTATACTTTCATCATTATGTTCTTTTTCATGCAGCAGTGTGGAGATTTAAAAATCCATAACCTCAGATACAATCTAGCCAGAAAGACAAGACTCACAGAAATTAACATACCACCAAATAAGTAGTAGAAAGCAAGTAAGGTTAAGAAAAGAAGTAGGATTGGTCAAGGAAGGCTTCATGAAGCAAAAAGAGTGGGTCACAAGTGGACCTTAAAGTTGCATGTCCAATAAGTAACCACTTAATTAGAGTTAAAAATTAAATTTCTCCCATTACCCTAGTCACATTTTCATTACTCAATAGCTAAATTGGCAGTACAAACATAGAGCATTTCCATCATAACAGAAGGCTCCATTGGACATCAGTGCCTTTAAGAATGGGTCTAAAATAAGCTGACAGAAAAGAAAGCAGTGGCTATCATTCTTTAGAAATCCTATCTGTCAAGCTGTATAGAATTTGTATCATTTAAATTTTACAACCCCCTATTTACAGGAAAATTGAGGCTCAGAAAAATTACATAAATTTCCTAAGGTCACCTAACTAGTAAGAGCTAGGATTTAAATTCAATTCCATCAAAACTCCATACTCTTCAATTCACCATGGTACTTCCTACAGGAAATACACAGAGCTAAAGGTTTGCTTTAAAATGTAATGCAGTGACATGCTAGCTCAGTAGGTTGGAAAGAAACTGAAGCATTTTAAATATCTCAGACAGATATGATCAAAATGTTATTTTACTCCTTCCTTGCCCTATACTTAGCTTTAACTATGTAAAATGTTTTCAGATCAGCAGGATGCAAGGTTAACTAAGAGAATGTAGACAAGAAGCAAGACATGGTGTGAAAGGTTTCTCCAGTTTTAACAATGTCTACCTTAAAACTCCTTGATCTCTCCAAACCTAAAATAAATTTTTTTAAAAAGGAAATTAAAAAAAAAACTACTTGATCTAAGTATTCTTACAGGATAATAATTATAGGTTGAAAGGAACAACTTCTCTATTAATCTCAACTCACAAACAAAACCCAGATTGCAAGAGGCCTGGTCTTTTTGTTTTGACACATAGCACAAAGCCTGGCACATAAATCCTGATGTTAAATATGTGATACCTTTCCCAATGTGTGATGCTTCCCTGCAGGATTCTAGTCATGCATGCTTCAACAAGTGTCATTCCACCATACAAAGGACATTTCGTATTTACTAAGTATTGTGCAAATGCTCCATAAACAATCAATGATCCCAGCATTTTGTTGACTGTGGGCAGTAATCACTTCAAAGTACTAGTGTTCATAGCCAAAAGGTACATTTTATATGTGTGAACAGATGCTTCATGAAGGCCTAATACAAACTACAAATTGATACTAAATCAGCAGATACTCGTGTTAAGATTTCATCACCATTCCTTTTGACTCTATTCCAATTTACTCAGTGCCACCTAGCATTATAGGATACAATGGTAACTCGAATCTCTAAGCTAGGCTTTTTAGATAGGAAAGACACACATACGTGTAATGAAGAGAACTTAAGGCAGCTTATCTTGATCAAAATTCAAGTACCAGGCTTTAGGTACCATCAGCCTTTAACCCTTTCTGTTGAGAATATCCAAATCCAAGCCCATATGATTTTCAGGGGGTCTACAGATGGGCCAGTTCTGGACTGGCACACAGGGTGCTGGACTTCCCTCCTCAGTGGATTTCATCTTCAACCTGAAACAAAATGAACACACAAAATTTTGTTCATAGGAAGTAAATACTAGACTAATAGCTTGGTATAGTTTTCCTTTAGAGATAGTTATATAAGGTACTGCTATCAGAACAGACTCCAAGTTTTATTTCCCACTCACTATCAGTTTCCTTCCTTTTTAAGGCAGAATAGTATTCCACTGTACATATGTATAATATTTGCTTTATCCATTCATCCGTTGATGGACCCTTAGGTCAATTCCGTATCTTGGCTTTTGTGAATAATGATGCAATGAACATGGGAGTATAGGTATCTCTGACATACTAGTTTTATTTCCTTTGAATATACCCAGAAATGGGATTTCTGGATTATATGGTAGTTCTATTTTTAATTTTTTGAGAAATTTCCATACTGTTTTCCATCATAGCTGCACTAATTAATATTCCCTAAAATAATAGATTTTGAAATCATACTAAACTAGATTTTAATCCTGGCTCTCTCATGTATTTGCTGTGCCCATGGGTAAGTTATGCAACTTCTCTAAACTTCAGCTGTCCCCTCTGTAAAATGAGGACAAATACTACATACCTCTTAAAACTTCCGTGAAGACTGAGGTAATAAATACATTTTGCACTGTAGCTGGCATGGAGTTAAATGTTTAATATGTTATTTCTATGTCTTGCCCAAGCTCAACCAGCTAGTGAGTAGAAAGGCAAATATTCTGCCTAAAAATTTCACACTTTTCCACAGCCATAAAAAAAAAAAAAACAAAAAACATGTCCTTTGCAGCAACTGGAGCTGCTGGATGCTGCTGGGGGCCATTATCCTAAACGAATTTATGCAAAAACAGAAAACCAAGTATTGCATGTTCTCACTTATAAGTGGGAGCTAAATCTTGCGTTGGGAGCTAAATCTTGCGTAGGGAGCTAAATACTGGGTTCACAGGAACAAAAAGTTGGGAACAATAGACACTAGGTACTCCAAAAGGAGGAAAAGAGAGAGAGGGGCAAGAGCTGAAAAACTTCCTATTGGGTACAATGTTTACTACCTAGATGGCAGGATCAATAGAAGCCCAAACCTCAGCATCATGCAATATACCCTGAAACAAACCTGCACATGTACCCCGTGAATCTACAATAAAAACAAATTTAACAACAAAAAGTCACACTTCTCACAATAACCCAGAAGCCAGAAAGGTCACTCATATAGTACTCATAAGGGCCCTTCCAACTCCAAGATATTGTGTCCTTTTTTTTTTTCACTCTTGTTGCCCAGACTGGAGTGCAATGGCGCGATCTCGGCTCACCACAACCTCCACCTCCCGGGTTCAAGCGATTCTCCTGCCTCAGCCTCCCGAGTAGCTGGGATTACAGGCATGCACCAACACGCCCGGCTAATTTTGTATTTTTAGTAGAGACGGGGTTTCTCCATGTTGATCAGGTTGGTCTCGAACTCCCGACCTCAGGTGATCCACCCTCCTCGGCCTCCCAAAGTGTTGGGGTTACAGGCGTGAGCCACCGCGCCCGGCCATATTGTCCTTCAAGCAAAAAAGACACAGGTTTGCTTCCCCCTTCCCCTCATTTCCTACTTAACAATGAAGACTCCAATGTATTATGAAGTCTTATTAACAAAAGCATGCTTCCATTGGAAAGAATGTAATGTTTTCCCAACTCACAAAACTTCCACCTAAAAAACCGGAACTAAGCCTCTTAAGACTAAAACAGCTTTGGAGAAATTCCCAAAGGCTTCCTTTTTTATTTTGCATGTTTACATCCTAAAATACATTTCAGCTTTTCCTAACTTAATACTAAAATATGCCCTCAACACCATGAGTTCAGGGGCATATCCAGCACACATTTTCTAAGTAAACACTGAAAGCATGCCCTTTCTGCCCCTGTGAATACAAAGATGACTTGGTTGTTCTGGGCCACTGCTGTCACTCCTTCCCAGCATTAAACACATGCTCATAACAAGATAAACCATCCCCACTCAAACCAAAGTGGGCAAAGATATATTCACATAAAAGCCATCAAGATGATTTTCCTTTCGGTAGAAAATCCTTTATTGCTCAATCAAGTTTAGAGTATTGATTGGTTTCTAATCACCACCGTGTACAAAATAAATATAAATAGGAAGCACTGCAAAATATCTAGAGTCCTTTTAAACAAGAATATACCAAAACCCAATTGAAATGCCTTTATGCCAACTGACTGATTTACAAGGTTATTCATTTGAGGGGGAAATATCAAGATCATAAACTATCTGAATACCTACTGATAAAAGCTAAATAAATTATAGTAGGTACATAAATTAGAATACTGAGTTACCATTATACCCTGAAAACCTACTGAAAAAATATATTTTTTAAAAAAAATAATTTTTAAAGAATACTATGTTACCATTATGAAGAATGTGAACACTCTACTCATGGAACTTAAGTGGAAAAAGTAAGACACATAGTAGAGTAGGTATAGTAAAAGGGAAGGATACCTACACATATTTGCTTATATGCATAAAATATCTTAGTAACACTGTTATGAGGGAGAGGAATTGGATGGCTTAGGGAAGGGGATAAGAAACTTTGATATCTTTTGAATTTTGAACCATGTGAATGTATTACCTATTCAAAAATATATATATATATGATGTGTATACATATATATATATATATATATATTTTTTTTTTTTTTTTTTTTTTTTTGAGACAGAGTTTCGCTCTTGTTGCCCAGGCTGGAGTGCAATGGCGCGATCTCGGCTCACCGCAACCTCCACCTCCCGGGTTCAAGCGATTCTCCTGCCTCAGCCTCCCGAGTAGCTGGGATTACAGGCATGCGCCGCCATGCCCCAAAAAATAAATTTTAACAATGCTTGAGAATTATAAAAATTATGGGAGGCCTACAAATACCTATTACTACATTCGATTAACTGGTTTATTATTTGTCTTTCTCACACTTTCTGCCTATAAGAATATCCAACACAAACATCACATTAAAATTAACATGTACCAAAAGAAAGGAATTCAGTGAAATGACATTGAAGGTCACTAAGCAAACTTTTTATGAGAAAACAGATATCCAAAATACTTGCTGTAAATAAATAAGTACTGCTTACTTCTAAAGGTACCTAACATTTATTACACACCAACTAGAGCCTAGTTTTTATATATTTTATCTGATCTTGGAAAGCTAAGCCTCGGAATGGCTCACTGCTTCTCCCAAGGTCACCAGAGCTGTAAACTGTGGCGCTGGAATTTAAATCTAGAGGCTTGCCCTGAACTAAGGTCCCTAATCTTTTTCCATAGCTTTTAAGGACACAATCACCACAGTGGCAACATTAAAAATTAGGAGCTCCTTTTAAGGCTTATCTGTCTTCAGAGTTTGCTGCCCAGGTTCACCAAGAAAGCCGAAATGATCTGAGCGAAGGCCAGGAGAAAGACAAGGTACGCTGCAGCTTCCACAAACCCAGTAAGGACCTGGGCCCTCTAGACACTCACCGGAGAATTAAACTCTACTGAGCTGAACGCCTTCTCCCGAAATCTGACCTCACCCAGGGAGATATAAATCAAAACAGCATTAGGATGATAATATCTTTCCCGCCAAGCAAAATGAAGCCGGCGTTTTCCAAGAACACACGCACTGTGCACATGAAGCACAGTCTATTGTTCCTGGGTCACCAGGACTCGGAGACGGAAGGCAAACCCAGTACTGCAGAGGCCCACGTGGAAACAAGCCAGGAAGAGCATTTCACTGCCTTCTCCCAACCTCCACACAGCCGAAATTAATCTCCTTGCGACTCACACACACTCCTATGCCGACTTGAAATAAAGGCCTGCCACCTGGGTATATAACTCAAATGGAAGAGAAATTCAAAACAATTAGAGAGCAAAATTAAGCGCACACTCACCAGCCCACCAAAACGGAGAGGGAAAGAAAGTGGAGAGACAGGAAGTCGCCTTGGGAAGTGTCTTCAGAACCTGATTGGCTAATGAGTTCAAGAGGATTCCCTCCTCCTTTACCTTAAAAGGTGCTGAAATGACGTAACCCACTCCACCCCTCTTTATGGACCAGTGATGCTTCTTGCACTATTTTTGGAGTGAACTTCTTAAACCGAGTTTCCTTTTGAGTTAATGTACTTAGGCAAAAACAGGCTAATTTAAGCTATTTATACACGTTGTTGTTTGCGTGGGCCTACTGCATTCTATTCTAAAGAATTTTCATCCCTTAAGGGTAATTTCTTATCCTTTGTGACCTCAACATGCTTAACTTATGCTAGGCAACAGATTCCATTATAAACAGTCTAGATCGATTCAAGTTAAAATTTACCTTCATTTTTTCCCCCCAGATCCAAAGCTGGCCTGATAAAATTTACCTTCAGGTAATCTTTGAACTAACAGGCTTAGTAGATAAAAGGTAGGTGGGTTAAGTGTTTTAGGCTTCAAATAAAATTTAGCTGATTTTGAATCTGAACCTTGCCACTTATTTGCACACATCTAAGCCTCAGTTCCAACTATAAAAAGAGGGAAAAAAGATGAAATCTTCCTACTCTGATGGTTATGAGGATTAAGTAAAATAATTTATATAATGTACTCAGTACAATGCCCGGTACACAGTACTCAACAATGTTAGCTGTTATTATTGTTATTACATATTTCTTGTTAGATTTATATTCCCAAGTAGACTATAAACAACTGGAGATCAAAGTGTACGTTTTACACATCTCCAGACAAAAACAATGACTTTCAATGCTGAGGACATAATTGATTAATCAATTATTTTGACTCCTCACATCGCCCTCCAGTTAAAGTATAGGTTCTTACTCTGTTAAATTTTTTTTTTTTTTGAAACAGGGTCTCACTTCGTGTCCCAGGCTGGAGTGCAGTGGTGAAATCTCGACTCACTGTAGCCTTGACCTCCCAGGTTCAAGCGATCTCCTGCCTCAGTAAGTAGCTGGGACTACAGGCGTGCACCATCACACCCAGCTAATTTTTGTATTTTTTTGTAGAGATGGGGTTTCGCCATGTTGCCCAAGCTGAAAGATTTCTTTTTAAGCCATAATTAGAGGACTCCCCGGCACAATATTCATCATTATTCTTAATAAATACTATTATAGTAATAGGGAATATATATACAAGTATGTGTTATATGTACAAATATACATGTAATGTGCAAATGTTTGAAGTATAAAGATTCAAGTTATATGGAGAAATGATACAACTCTAACTCATAGTAGTTCTCATTTTTTAATCATTTCATCCTATCCACCCTGCTTCCACCTTACTAGAAATTACCTATTCCAATCCACTTTAGAGTTTACCTGCCCCAAATTTCCCAACATTTAGCATCAAATGCTAATTTGTTATTTCATAATTGATTTATTGTAACTTCTAGAGTCAAAACATTTCTTGAATGTTTACTATAAATATTCAAGAAATGTAATATTCATTACCTTGTTTAATCTTCACATTAACCCAAGAATGTAAGCACTTTCATTATAACTATTTCACCAAAAAAAAAAAAAAAAAAAAGGAAACAGAGTTATAGAGATTAAGGAATTTGTCTATTTAGCAAGTGGTAAAGTCAGGATTCAGATCCCAGTTGCTATGGTTTGACTGTCCCCTTCAAAATTCATGTTGTCACTCTAGTTTCTCTTCATATCGCATAAATCTTTCACCTTTTACAAAATTCATGTTGAAACTTAATCCCTAAAGTGGCTGAAACTTAATCCTCATTAGAAGTGGGGCCTTCAAGAGGTGACTGGATCATGAGGGTTCTGCCCTCATAAATAAATTAATCTATTCATGGATTAATAGGTTATCATGGGAGGGGAACTAGTGGCTTTAAAGAAAAGGCAAAGAGACTTAAGGATAGCATGTTAGCAGTCTCAGCATCCTGGCCATGTGATTTCCTGCCACGCCTTGGAACATCACAGCGAGTCCCCTCCAGCAAGAAGGAGTTCAGATGCAACCCAGAGGCAGTCCTTAACCTTGGACTTCACAGCATCCATAACTGCAAAAAATAAATTTCTTTTTTAAAATAAATTACCCCACAGCCTAGCCAACATGGCAAAACCTCGTCTCTACTAAAAATACAAAAATTAGCTGAGCATGGTGGTATGGGCTTGTAGTCCCAGCTACTCAGGAAGCTGAGGTGGGAGGATCGATCACTTGAACCCGGGAGGCGGAGGTTGCAGTGAACCAAGATTGTGCCACTGCAGTCCAGCCTGAGTGACAGAGTGAGGCCCTGTCTCAAAAACTAACTAAATAAATAAATAAACCAGGCTTGGTGTGATGGCTTAGACCTGTAATCCTAGCACTTTGGGAGGCCGAAGCAGGTGGATCTCTTGAAGCCAGGAGTTCGAGACCAGCCTGGCCAACATGTCGAAACCCCATCTCTACTAAAAATACAAAAAATTAGCCAGGCATGGTGGTGCACACCTGTAATCCCAGCTACTTGGGAGGCCGAGGCAGGAGAATCGCTTGAACTAATGAGGTGTAGGTTTGGAGTACCGCTATACTCCAGCCTGGGAGACAGAGCAAGACTTTGTATCCAAAAAATAAATTAATTAAAAAACAAACTAATAAATAAGTGACCCAGTTTCAGGTATTCTGTTATAAGCAACAGAAAACAAACTGAGACAGCAGCCATCCAACTTGACAGCCCAAACTCAACCACCACATTGCACTGCTTCCTATATTGTGTGATTTCAGAAAACCTTAGAAAGTACAATATTCTTTTCAAATTCCCATTAAATATCTAACATTTCTTTATGATATTCTGTATTCCAGGCTTTAATACTTATAATAATCCATGATGAAATTCTCTTCAGCTGGTAACATCAAAATTTTGTGCTCTGTAAAATAACTTTGAAATTGTTTAAAAGTCGATAGATTCCTGGGGCCAGGTGTGGTAGGTCACATCTGTAGTCCCAATACTTGGTAGGTGGAGGCAGAAGGAGCGCTTGAGCCCAAGAGTTTGAGGGCAGCCTGGGCAGCATGGTAAAACAACTGTCTCTACAAACAATAAAAATAAAAAATTGCCAAGAGTGGTGATGCCTCTATAGTCCCAGCTACTAAGGTAGGCTGAGTCGGGAAGAGAGCATGAGCCCAGAAGGTAGAGGTTGTAGTGAGCTGTGTTTACACCACTGCACTCTAGCCTGGGCAACAGAGTGAGACCCTGTTTCAAAAAAAAGTAGATTCCTGGGACACACGTTCAGAGATTCTAATTCAGTGGGTGGGACTCAGGAATATGTATTTTAATAAGCACCCTCAGGTACTTCCGGTAGATTTGAGGCTCACCCTTTGGAGAACACCAACTGAATGACTATCGTTTAAGGATGTTATCACTGAAAGGGTGGTGGGGTTGAGGGATAAGGACTACATGCTGAGTACAGTGTACACTGCTCTGGTGATGGGCGCACTAAAATCTCAGAAATCACCAGTAACCAAACACCACCTGCTCCCCAAAAACCTATTGAAATAAAAAATAAATTTAAAAAAAGGAAAAAAGGGATGTTATCACTGCTGAAGTGAGTAAACTCTTGGAAAAGGCAGCACTCTAAAAATTTCATTTATAATTTATTCAAAATGAAGAATTGAGAATGGCCATTTGTCTGTAATTAAAAATTAAGCATCTCCTTTGCAAGTTTACATTTGGTTATCCACCCTGGAGAACTATTGTGCTCAAATGGGCATGTTCAAGGAAGGATGTTCCTTGTAGCACTGGTTATGACAGCAAAACAATTAGAAACACCCATGTCTATTCAAAGATCATTAAATCATGATACAACTATTCCTTGGCGGCAGGGGTGGTTAATGGGTACAAAAAAATCGTTAGAAAGAATGAATAAAACCTACTATTTGATAGCACAATAGGGTGACTATAGTCAATAATGACTTAATTGTACATTTTAAAATAACTGAAAGACTGTCCATGGATAAAGGTTTCAGGGGATGGATACCCCATTCTCCAGGATGTGTTTATTTCACATTGCACATAAAACATCTCATGTGCTGGGTGCGGCGGCTCACGCCTGTAATCCCAGCACTTTGGGAGGCCAAGGCGGGTGGATCACGAGGTCAAGAGTTCAAGACCAGCATGACCAACATGGTGAAACCCTATCTCTACTAAAATATACAAAAATTAGCCGGGCATGGTGGTGTGCGCCTGTAATCCCAGCTACTCAGGAGGCTGAGGCAGGAGAATCGCTTGAACCACGGAGGCGGAGGTTGCAGTGAGATGAGATCGCACCATTGCACTCCAGCCTGGGTGACAGAGCGAGACTCAGTCTCAAATAAATAAGTAAATAAATAAATATCTCATATACCCCATAAATTTATACACCTATTATGTACCCACAACATTTTTTAAATGATACAACCATTCTATGAGATACTACCCAGTAGTTAAACAGAATGAAGTAAATCTGCATGTACTGACATGAAAACATCTCCAATGCATATGAAGTGAAAATAGCCAAGAATAACACCATGTAATATGCTCACATTTATGTAACACTTCTCCCCCCCCCCACAAAAAATGCAAAATAGAATAATTCTGTATGTGCACATTTTTGCAAGTAAATGAAAAGAAAATAGTCTGGAAAGAGACACACCAAACTGCTAACAAGTTACTCCAAGGAGAAGGATTGAGGGAATTAAGGGAGGAGCTTTTTGGTTTTGAATATCTGCAATGTTTTACGAGAAGAATGTGTTCGTGTTTAAAAAATAAAACAGTACCTCTCCACAAAATAAGGGTAGAGATCCAAGAGTAGGTTTCAATTTAGAGGGGAGAAGAGAAAAGTAGGAGACCCCAACCCCCTAAGGCAGCAAAGGACAGGCTTCAAAGGCTAAATGGACACCACATTGAATGCCTATCCCCCAAGTTGAACCTAGGACTCCAGAGATTGGGCCTTCTACATGTTCAACACCTCCTACCCCAACTCTGAGCTACTACTTTCCCCCTTTTAATACGTCTCAGAACTCTCTCCATTTTAAATTAATATCTCTTGAGGATCCTTTCCTTCCAAAGTTGTAGCAAAGTAGAAGGTTCTCATCAACATCCCTTTCCTAGCTATTCCTGAAGACATGTATGCAAATTCCTTTAAATGGTGGTCCTGATCCGCAGCTTTGCTGATCACTTTTGGAAAATTGGCAAATAATAAATTTGGAAATTTGTTTATAACATCAGGCAATATAATATATAAATAAATATAAATAAGTTTGGAAACATATTTATAACATCAGGCAATATAATAAACCATACTTGTGGAATTTCAAAGCTTTTAAAATCTTACTAGTTTCCTTCAATTACTGATCTTTTTGATTCTGAATTTCTTTTTTAAACAACTCTCAAGATCCACCTCTTTGAATAAGGTAGGAAAGAGAAATCCTCAAGACAGTGAAGTTCAATAAAGTCTCACCTTTCCTTCAGAACCCACCCTCTTTTTCAAGTCATACCCCTTGCTCCTTGACACCCTGTCTTATTTAGTATCTCATTCAACAAATATCATTGAAAGCTAGATACTGTTCCAGGCATTGGTTACAGAGCAGGAAACAAAATACACAAAGCCCTGGCTCACTTGGAGCTTACAGTCTATTGGAGAGAGTCAGATCTCCTAAAAATTAAACAAATATATGTTAAGTTGTAATTAGTACTCTGGAAAAAAATAAAGCAGAGTAAGAGGCTACAAGTGATAATGGGAGTGATGTTATTTATATCAAGGAAGGCACCACTGCTACTAAGAACAAAGACCTGAAGAAAGTCAGGGATCAATCTTGTTAGCTGGAAGAAGAGTAGACCAGGTAGAGAGAACAGAAGCCTGTAGGGAGAAGAGTGACTGGTATGTTTGAGACAAAGTGGAAAGAGGCCAGAGTGCCTAACAGGAGTAAGCAAAGGGAAAAATAGTAGCAGATGAAATCAAAGCACTGGGGTAAGAAGCAGATCATATAGAGCCTGGTCAAGCCACAGCATTTGAGATGGGGAGCCACTGGAACAAAAATCTAACATGATCTAACTTTCATTTTATTTATTTATTTTTAAATTTATCTTATTTTTTAGACAGGGTCTTACCCTATTGCCCACACTGGAGTGAAGCAGGGGAATTGCTTGAAACCCGGAGGCAGAGGTTGCAGTGAGCTGAGATCACACCACTGCACTCCATCTGTAAAAATAAAGTAATTCTAGATAACGTGATGTCTTATCAGAAAATACTATAGCATGCTTTTTTTAAAGAACTTTTTTTTTCCTTTTGAGAAAGGGTCTTACTCTATCACCCAGGCTGGAGTACAGTGGCATGATCACAGCTCACAGCAGCCTTGACCTCTCAGGCTCAAGTGATAAATTATACAGCTAATTTTTGCACTTTTTGTAGAGTCGGGTTTCGCCATGTTGACCAGGCTGGTCTTGAACTCCTGGGCTCAAGCAATCCTCCTGCCTGAAGTTCTGACTGCTGAGATTACAGGCATGAGCCCCCACACCTACCCTAAAGGACATTTTAAAATCATAACTAGAATATCATTATTTTAAACCTAACTAGAATACCATTATAATATCTAATAAATAATTCCCTAAAATCATCCAATTTCCAGTCCATATCCACATATCCCCATTTATTGCTGGCTTGTTCAAACCAGCATCCAAACATTGCATTTGGCTGTTAGGCTTCAAATGTCTCTTTTACTCTAAAACAGTCCTAACAATTTTTTTTTTACATAATAGTATGAAGAGAGTAGGCCAGTTGTCCTGTCGAATATTAATTTGTATTTTTCATACTATGTGAGCCTGAATATCTTTTCCATGCACTTATTTATCAAATGCAAACTGTTTATTAATATCTTTCATCCACTTATCTATAGAGGTTTTGGTTTTAATTATGAAAATAAATTTGTTGGTTTCTTCCAGGCTTTTTTTGTTTTTGTTTTTCAGACAGAGTCTCGCTCTCGTCACCTAGGCTGGAGTGCAGTGGTGCGATCTTGGCTCACTGCAACCTCCGCCTCCCCAGTTCAAGCTTCTCCTGCCTCAGCCTCCTGAGTAGCTAGGATTACAGGCACCCACCACCATGCCCAGCTAATTTTGTGCTAGAGAGGGGGTTTCACCATGTTGGCCAGGCTGGTCTCGAACTCCTCACCTCAGGTGATCCGCCTGCCTTGGCCTCCCAAAGAGGTGGGATTACAGGCATGAGCCACCGCACCCAGCCGGTTTCTTCCAGTTATTGGTGACATGCTTCAGTACTATTTTAGTTACACTTGTTCTGTATTTGACTATAAAGAAGTTATATCTTCACAATATATTTTCAGTAATTCTCACTCTGACCACCATAATAACTAAAAAAGAAAAAGAATCAATAAAAACTTTAAAAATACATTTTTAAAAATGTGTGTGGGATGGTAACTACTGTCATGAAACAGAATACATTAGCCTAGTAGATAACAACATAATTTGGAGTCACCCAGATCTGGCCCTGCCTTTTAGGAACTGTATATTATGAGCTGAATTGTGTCACCTCAAAATGTATGTATTTGAAGAACTCTCATTATCTCAGAATCTGCCTGTATTTGGAGATAGGACATGTAAAGGGGTAATTAAGATAAAATAAGGTCATACGGGTTGGGAATAATCCAATATCACTGATGTCCTTATAAGAAAAGGAGATTAAGGGCCAGGCACCGTGGCTCACGCCTATAATCCCAGCATTTTGGGAGGCTGAGGCGGGTGGATCACTTGAGGTCAGGAGTTTGAGACCAGCCTGGCCAACATGGTGAAACCCTGTCTCTAATAAAAATACAAAAATTAGCCAGGTGTGGTAGCCCACGCCTATAGTCCCAGCTACTCAGGGGACTGAGGCAGGAGAATCGCTCAAGAACCTGGGAGGTGGAGGTTGCAGTGAGCCGAGATCTTGCCACTGCACTCCAGCCTGGGCAACAGAGCAAGACTCTGTCTCAAAAAATAAATAAATAAATAAAATAAAGGAGATTAGGACATAGATGCACAGAGAGGAAAGACAGCATCCATCTACAAGCCAAGGAGAGAGGGAGGCAGGCCTTAGAAGAAATCAGCCATGTCAAGACCTTTACCTTGGGCCTCTAGCCGCCAGAATTACGACAATGTATGTAGTTATAGCAGCCCTAGCAATACACTGTGTGATCTTGAATAAATTAAATTTTTCTAAAGCTCAGTTTCCTCAACTATAAATGGAGATAATAACATATGCCTCATGAGGTTGTTGTGAGAATTAAATAATGTATGTAAAGCTCATAGCATAGTAAGAACTAAATAAATTCTGGCTATTATTCTTATGAAGATTAAATGAGGTTATGCATGTAAAGCATTAGCTCAGCCTCTAGTACACAAGAAAGTTCTACTAAGTATTAGCTATTTTTAATAAATTTTCATTTCATAAAGGCTTATATTTTTCCTATCTCCAAAGTATTTCCTTTTAGACCTAGTCTAATTTATTTGTGTCATAATTAAGTCAGATGTAACAGGCTTTGTACCGCTGAAACAGGTTAAGCAATCCTATCCAACAACATTTATTGAGCACTTACATTTTGTTAGATTTATTTCCAACTACTTGATATGCTTTGGTGTTATTGTAAATGCTACCTTATCCAAAAATTTTATTTATAGTTGTTTGAAGCTCTTTTATAAGCATGGAATTTATTTTCACACGCTATTTTCTATCAGTCTTGCTAGGCTTTGTATTAAGGTAAAATTTTTATCCTGTAGTTTCTTCTAGCTTTTAAAATATTCATAATCAAATTACATGCAAATAATGAGATTTTGGGTTTTTTCTTTCTAAACTTTACATCTTTTGATGAACAAAAATTAAAATGTATCAATTTTTTTTTCTTTGTTTTTTTCAGACGGAGTCTCACTCTGTCACCCAGGCTGGAGTTCAGTGGCGGGATCTCGGCTCACTGCAACCTCCGCCTCCCGGGTTCAAGCGACTCTCGTGCCTCAGCCTCCCAAGTAGCTGGGATTACAGGCGCCCGCGACCACGCCTGGCTAATTTTTCACTTTTTTTTTTTTTTTTTTTGTAATAGAGACGAGGTTTCGCTATTTTGCTCAGGTTGCTCTATAACAGATACTATGCTATCCTAACAATATGTTTCTAAATGATATTAGTGCCAAAACCAGGATTACCCAGTGATTTTGTTAATACAGGCTTATTGAATCGGAGGGTCTGGGGTGGGGAATTTGCTTAAGTATGCAGTCCCCATACTCGGTGATTCTCATGAAGCCAAACATTTGGGCGCCCCTCACCTGATGTCACCAAGAACCAGAAGACCAATTAGAATTTTCGTGGGCTTCCTGCCCCATGGTTCCCTCTGTTCCCAAAGGGTTTCTGCAGTTTCACGGAGCTTTTCACATTCCACTCGGTTTTTTTTTTTTTGAGACTCGCTCTGTCGCCCAGGCTGGAATGCAGTGGCGCGATCTCGGCTCACTGCAAGCTCCGCCTCCCGGGTTCACGCCATTCTGCTTCAGCCTCCCAAGTAGCTGGGATTATAGGCGCCCGCCACCACGCCCGGCTAATGGCTAATTTTTTGTATTTTTTTTTTTTAGTAGAGATGGGGGGGGGTTTCACCGTGTTAGCCTGGATGGTCTCGACCTCCTGACCTTGTGATCCGCCCGCCTCGGCCTCCCAAAGTGCTGGGATTATAGGCGTGAACCACCGCGCCCGGCCCGGTTTCGTTTTGTTTTTTTTTTTTTTTTTTTTTTCCAAAAATGGGCGGAGGAGAGTAGTCTGAATTGGGTTATGAGGTCCCCTGCGGGGTACCTCACCTCAGCCATTGAACTCACTTCGCTGGCCGTGAGTCTGTTCCAAGCTCCGGCAAAGGAGGCATCCGCCGGGCCCCTCCCCGAAGGGCGGGGTCCACGGCATCTCCTGCCCAGTCTGACCTCGCGCGGAGCCCCGTTCTCTGGGAACTCACCTCCCCGAAGCTCAGGGAGAGCCCTGTTAGGGCCGCCTCTGGCCCTAGTCTCAGACCTTCCCAAGGGACATGGGAGTGGAGTGACAGGACGCACTCAGCTCGTGGCCCCACTGATGAGCTTCCCTCCGCCCTATGGGAAAAAGTGGTCTCATACAGAACTTATAAGATTCCCAAATCCAAAGACATTTCACGTTTATGGTGATTTCCCAGAACACATAGCGACATGCAAATATTGCAGGGCGCCACTCCCCTGTCCCTCACAGCCATCTTCCTGCCAGGGCGCACGCGCGCTGGGTGTTCCCGCCTAGTGACACTGGGCCCGCGATTCCTTGGAGCGGGTTGATGACGTCAGCGTTCGAATTCCATGGCGGCGCGGCGGCGACGGAGCACCGGCGGCGGCAGGGCGAGAGGTTCGGAGCTCAATATCGCGGGACGGCATGCGGGGGGCGGGCAGTCAGAAAGGAACGATGCCACCTACTGTGACCCCCTTCCCCTTCCAGCTCCCTATAACCTGCACTTGGCTACCAAACCAGTTGGGGTGCTAAATTTTGTAAATTTCGGTTTTCAGAGCTTTGGGGATTACATAATTGTGCATAAAGCCTTGCGGAGCTGTAACAACTAATGTGCCAGTACTGTTGTTAATACCTAATGTCATCCAATTTACAAAAAGTAATTGTAAGGCACACCATTATTTTATACACAACAAAGGATAAGCACTGAAAATGGTGAACTGTGATTCACTGCTTATGTCATCCATTGTAAGATGCATCCCAGTTCCAGAGAGTAAAATGCGAGTCTTAGACCTATTGAGATACGGTATTATGTGTATAATGTTCTTAAATGCATAGGTGCACCCTATAAATTAGGTTCTATTGTACTTCTCTAGAAGTACAGTATTGTACAATATTCTAATATTGGAGTAAGTGAAGTAGGAAGAGATCAAATACTTCTCCAAGTTTCCACAGAGAAAAGCAGCAGAGCTAGGCTCTAAATTAGGCACAGACCCTTGAGCACTTAACTAACCTTTATCCCATACGGCCTCATGTATGAGGTGGGTATTTGGGGGACATTGGGACACAAGTAAAACAGATAAGCAGGCCTCAATCTATGAGCTTACAAGACTCCTGGGACTCCCTTTTATTTTGTTTTATTTCATTTGGCTAGAATAGCAATTTAGGAAGAATTACACAGACTGTTACACAAAAGTAGTGTGGGACAGTTGTTATTGCCTCTGTAAACTTAGAAAATTATCTTAAACCGGCGGGGTGAGGTGGCTCACGCCTGTAATCCCTTGGGAGGCCGAGGAGGGCAGATCACTTGAGGTCACGAGTTCGAGACCAGCCTGGCCAACATGGTGAAACCCTGTCTCTACTAAAAATACAAAAATTAACTGGGCATGGTGGTGCACGCCTGTAATCCCAGCTACTCAGGAGGCTGAGGCACGAGAATCACTTGAACCCAGGAGGCGGAGGTTGCAGTGAGCCAAGATCGCACCACTGCAGTCCAGCCTGGGCGAGAGAGTGAGACTCCACCTCAAAACAAAAAAAGAGAGAAAATTATCTTAAACCATTTCTTTAAAAGATTTTTTTCAATCTTTAAAATCTACACGTATTCGGGTGTGTACTCATTCTTTGCTAATTTCCAAATTCTGTAGCATTAAATGAAAGCAAAAGAGTTAATAATGGCAACACGGCTCCAGAAGACTCTTCCCCTGCCAAGAAAACTCGTAGATGCCAGAGACAGGAGTCGAAAAAGATGCCTGTGGCTGGAGGAAAAGCTAATAAGGACAGGACAGAAGACAAGCAAGATGGTATGCCAGGAAGGTCATGGGCCAGCAAAAGGGTCTCTGGTAGGAGTGGATCTGGGGATGATATCTTGTTATTTCAACTCCTATTTCGTCCTTCTTTCAGGGAATAATTAATTTCTCTATCCTTTGGGCATACCACAGCACTAATCTACTGCCTTGAATCTTCATTTTCATGTATTTGAGATGGATTGGGGTCTAAGGAAAGACCAGGATTGGTTGGGCGGGCAAAGTTAATCCTGACAAGTTTCTGTTTTACCACAACAGCTGTTTTTGATTCCCATAAAGTAGTACCTATCTGTCTTTCCTCAGAATCTGTGAAGGCCTTGCTGTTAAAGGGCAAAGCTCCTGTGGACCCAGAGTGTACAGCCAAGGTGGGGAAGGTAAGAGACTCTGGAACCGATCTTCAGTCCATGGATATCTCAGAGAGCATCCTTTGTTATAAGGACTCCTGTCTGGGATGCTGTTAGTACTCATTTTAGGAATCCTCTCCAAAATATGATGAGTGAGTAGTTTTCTCTAATGGCAAGAGATAGGAGTGGTAGGGCTTGGGGTTAATAATCAGGGTGTTTTTTAACATGGTGTGTTAGACCATTCTTGCATTGCTGTAAAGAAATACCTGAGACTAGGTATTTTATAAGAAAAGAGGTTCCTAGAGGCTGTACAGGAAGCATAGCAGTATCTGCTCCTCAGGAGACCTTAGGAAACTTTTACTCATGGCAGAAGGTGAAGCGGGAATAGGCACGTCACATGGCAAAAGCAGGGGAGAGAGAGAGAGACAGAGAGAAAGGGAGAGAGAGAGATTGGAGAAGGTGTCACAGAGAGAGAAAGAGAGAATGGGGAGGTGTCACACGCTTTTAAACTACCAAATCTTGTGTGAATTCACTCACTATCAAGAGGACAGCAGCAAGACAGTGGTGCTAAACCATTCATGAGAAATCCACTTCCATGATTGAATCACTTCCCACCAGGCCCCACCTCCAGTACTGAGGATTACAATTCAGCATGAGATTTGGAAGGAGACAAATATACAAACTATATCACATGCGTACCTTTTGTGGTTGCCATCAGCCTTCTACACCTCATTCTCTTTTTAAACCAGAAAATGGTATCATTGTTAAGGGAAAACTGTTTTCTTGTTCTAATGAGAAACTGTACCCTGGAATGGCATGAGTTACTGATGAATGGGGAAAAAAGAAGGCTACCTCTGGAATAAGTTTTCTTTAACTCAGTTAGAATCTTTTTTTTTTTTTTTTTTTTTTTTGAGATAGAGTCTCACTCGGTCACCCAGGCTGGAGTGCAGTGGTGTGATCTCAGCTCACTGCATCCTCCACTTCCTAGGTTCAAGTAATTCTCTTGCCTCAGCCTCCCAAGTAGCTGTGATTACAGGTGCCCACCACCACGCCCAGCCTGGGCTAATTTTTATATTTTTAGTAGAGACGGGGCTTCACCATGTTGGCCAAGCTGGTCTCGAATGCCTGACCTCAAGTGATCTGCCCACCTTAGCCTCCCGAAATGCTGGGATTGCAGGCATGAGCCACCATGCGCAGCCTAACTCAGAATCTTTTGTATAGTTAAAAAAAAGGAAGCATGTTTTCATTTATAGTAAGGTTACACCCAGGTTACTGGTAGAACATAGGTTTGCAATTCTTTCCTTGGGAGATGAATGTTGATGTTGCTGTAGAATGATGACTTGAGCCATAAGAAAATTTAGAGCCTCATTTAGGATGTCAGGGCTGAACCTATACTAATGTTGATTTTTTCTCTCTCTCCCTTTCTAGGCTCATGTGTATTGTGAAGGAAATGATGTCTATGATGTCATGCTAAATCAGGTAAGAGGCAAGAAGAGGTGGCACCATTATATTTATGAGACCATCTTCTTGATAATTATTGATGATAGCATCACAGTGTTCAGATCTTTAAAGTCCCTTTTTTTTTTTTTTTTAAATTTTGTTTTTTCTTTTTGAAATGGAGTCTCACTTCATCTCTCAGGCTGGAATACAGTGGCACAATCTCGGCTTACTGTAACCTCTGCCTCCCAGGTTCAAGCAATTCTCCTGCCTCAGCCTCCCAAGTAGCTGGGGTTACAGGCGTGCACCACCACTCCCAGCTAATTTTTTGTATTTTTAGTAGAGACAAGGTTTCGCCACGTTAGCCAGGGTCTGGTCTCGAACTCGTGACTTCAAGTGATCCACCCACCTCAGCCTCCCAAAATGCTGGGATTACCAGGTGTAAGCCACCACGCCTTGCCTAAAGTCCTTCATATGTGTGTGTGTATATATATATATATATATATATATATATATATATATATATATTTTTTTTTTTTTTTTTTTTTTTTTTTTTTTTTTTGAGACAGAGTCTTGCTCTGTCACCCAGGCTGGAATGCAGTGGTGCAATCTCGGCTCACTGCAATCTCTGCCTCCTGGGTTCAAGCAATTCTCCAGCCTCAGCCTCCCAAGTAGCTGGGACTACAGGTGCAGTGTCTGGCTAATTTTTTGGTATTTTTAGTAGAGATGGGGTTTCACCATGTTGGCCAGGCTGGTCTTGAACCCCTGACCTCAGGTGATCCACCCACCTCACCCTCCCAAAGTGTTGGTATTACAGGCATGAGCCACTGCGCCCGGCAAGTCCTTTATATTAATATTAGCCATTAGTGGTTAAACACCTGAGTACTCAGCCCTAGCACACTCTTATCAGATAGCAGAGTCCTCTGTGAGAAGATTTTTTTTTGCAAATTTCATATCATTTATTGAAATTGTTAACTCTCTGTTCATATCCTTTTGCACATTTTTTTTTTTTTTTTAAACAGACAGGATCTTGTTCTGTCACCCAGGCTGGAGTGCAGTTTGTACAGTCATAGCCCACTGCAACCTTGAACTTCTGGGCTCCAGCAATCCTCCCACCTAAGCTTCCTGAGTAGCTCGGACTTCAGGCGCATGCCACAAAGCCTGACTAATTTTTAAATTTTTTATGGAGATGAGAATCTCGCTATGTTGGATAGGTGGTCTTGAATTCTTGGCCTCAAATGATCCTCCTGCCTTGTCCTCATGAGGCACTGGGATTACAGGGATGAGCCACTGGGACAAGCTGTTTTGCACATTTTCTAAAGTTATTGGTCCTTTTCTTACTGGTTTCGAGGAACTTTATATAATATGGAGAATAGCCTTTTGTCTGTAATACAAACCACTTGTGTTTTCCAGATTTGTCATTTACCTTTTGGTTTTCCTTATAGTACACTTTTTGCCCATATTGAAGTTTTAAATTTTTTCTGTAGTTAAATTTATTAATTTTTCCTTTTTAAAAAATTTTGGGTTTTTTTTTTTTTAATTTTAGAGACAGTGTCTTGCTATGTTGCTCAGGCTGGCCTTGAACTTGTGACCTCGTGTGATCCTCCAACCTCAGCCTCCCAAGTAGCTGGGACTACAGGCATCTGCCCCCAAGCTCAGCTTTCTTTTTAATCAACCTTTTTCTCTTGTTTACCTTTGTGGTTTTGAGTAGATAATACATTTGCCTCATTAATATATTTCCTGGATATGACTTCATGTTTGAATTTATTGATCCAACATATATAATTTTAACAACCAATTAGTATTTATTTCTTACTATTTCTTCTACTTAAAATACCACGAGCAGATAGAAAATACCTTAAGGTTAGCCAGGTGCAGTGGCTCACGCCTGTAATCCCAGCACTTTGGGAGGCTGAGGCGGGCGGATCACCTGAGGTCGGGAGTTCAAGACCAGCCTGACCAATGTGGAGAAATCCCATCTCTACTAAAAATACAAAATTAGCCAGGTGTGGTGGCATATGACTGTAATCCCAGCTACTCGGGAGGTTGAGGCACGAGAATTGCTTGAACCTGGGAGACGGAGTTTGTGGTGAGCCGAGATCGTACCATTGTACTCCAGCCCTGGGCAACAAGAGCAAAACTCCTTCTCAAAAAAAAAAAGAAAAGAAGGAAAATACCTTAAGGCAGCCAGGTGTGGTGGCTCATGCCTGTCATCCTAGCACTTTCGGAGGCCAAGGCTGGAGAATCACTTCAGGTGTGAGTTCAAGATCAGCCTGGGCAACATGGTGAAACCTTGTCTCTACAAAAAAATACAAAAACACCGGGCATGGGCCAGCTACTTTGGAGGCTGAGGTGGGAGGATTGCTTGAGCCTGGGAGGTTGAGGCTACAGTGAGCTGTGATTGAGCCATTGCACTCCAGCCTGGGTGACAGAGGGAGACCCTATCTCAAAAAAATAAAAAATAAAAACCATAAAAACATTTACAAAAAAATTTTTTAAAGGAAAAGAAAATATCAAGCTGGGCATGGTGGCTTATGCCTAAAATCCCAGCACTTTGGGAGGCCAAGGCGGGCAGATCACTTGAGTTAGGGGTTCAAGACCAGCCTTGCCAACATGTTGAAACTCCATGTCTACTAAAAATACAAAAAAAAATTAGTCTGGCATGGTGGCGTGTGCCTGTAATCCCAGCTACTAGGGAGGCTGAGGCACAAGAAATTGCTTGAACCTAGGACACAGAGGTGGCAATGAGCGGAGGTTGCACCACTGCACTCCAGCCTGGGCGACAGAGCAAGACTCTGTCTCAAAAAAAGAAAATATCTTAGGCTCCTTTTTGTTCTAACATCTAATGACCTTTTTTTTTTCACCAGTGGGCTAAGGTCGTACAATGGCTTTAGAATGTGAGCAAGCAGGAGATAGAGGTAGGAAGGGGCAGCATGCTTAACAAAAAAGAATGCCTCCATATCCAGGGCTCGGCCATACAACACCAGCTGCTATGCCTTATCATGGACTTCTCTCTCTTCACTCTGAGTGATTTACTTACAGATACCTCTTTTTAGATACTGGCCATATTCTCTCTCAGTATCTCCAAGTCAGGTCAGGTTAGGTATGGGACGGATGTGGCAGTGGTTTTGCGTATCCCTTGTCCCCTCCCATTATTGCCCTGCTCTCAGCTCATTGTCAAATTTCTGCAGCTGACAAACAAAAGCTGTGAGTAGAACTGTCAAGGAGTAAGTCATTTAACAGTTGAGCATAACAGGTTTAGACCTTTGGAGCATCCAAATTGTTTTCATTTGGGAAATAATTATTGGGAGTGGATTGGGAGCTGGAAAACACATATAGCTTAGAAAATATCTAAATAGGGAGCTGAGGCAGGAAAAAACTGGAGGAGCCATTCAATGTAGGATATTTGAGGTTGGATAGAGGGTTTTAGGAAGCTTCTAGGCTCCCACTTTAATTCCTAAGAATCCAAAGTTTAATGTATAAGCCCTATTTCTTCTTTATATCTTTAATCTTACAGGAATCTAATTTTCTTGCCTGATGCTATCCTTTTCCTTATGGAAATAACTGGCACCTGTGACGAAGGATGAGTCATTGGTTTATGTGATTTCCATTTGCAAAACTCCTTTTTTTTGTTTTTGTTTTCACTCAACATAGACCAATCTCCAGTTCAACAACAACAAGTACTATCTGATTCAGCTATTAGAAGATGATGCCCAGAGGAACTTCAGTGTTTGGATGAGATGGGGCCGAGGTAATGATTTTTATTGAGATTTTATGAGTTGGCATTCAGAAAGTCAGAAGCAGCTTAGTGGGTGGCCAAAGGATTCTCTGGGTTTAAATTGGGTCAGTAGAGGCTCTGAAGTCTGGGAGAGCCTTAGGAATCAAGTTGAGCATCTTGAAATTGGGGAATGGCAGGCATCCTCCTTAGAGTTCCCACTGGAAAAACTAAGAGCAGCCCATTGAGTCTGAAAACTCTTCTATAGTTGAACTGCTAGTAGTGCTCATAGACTATGGCAGTTAGCAAGTAACTTGTATCAACATGATTAGTTCCCTAAATCCTTTCACCTTTCCCTTCTCCCTTTCCTGCCTGTTTGTCAGATGTTAAGCAGAGAGATCTTGGAGAGCTGGCCTGTTACTCTTAGGGAACTATCTTATGTGTGGCATTTCCTTTGCAGTTGGGAAAATGGGACAGCACAGCCTGGTGGCTTGTTCAGGCAATCTCAACAAGGCCAAGGAAATCTTTCAGAAGAAGTGAGTGCTGAAAAGTGACTACAAAAAAATATACCCTCCTCTTCTTAGATGTATATTCTCTAAAAAATTTTTTTTTAGACAGTTTCACTCTTGTTGCCCAGGCTGGAGTGCAATGGCATGATCTGAGCTCACTGCAACCTCCACCTCCTGGGTTTAAGTGATTCTCCTGCCTCAGCCTCCCTAGTAGCTGGGATTACAGGCGCCCACCACCACGCCCAGCTAATTTTTGTATTTTTAATAGAGATGGGGTTTCGCCATGTTGGCCAGGCTGGTCTCGAACCCCTGACCTCAGGTGATCCGCCTGCCTCAGCCTCCCAAAGTGCGGGATTACAGGCGTGAGCCACCGTGCCCTGCCTTCTCTAAGAATTTTATAAGTGTGTGGCTTATAAAAAACTTTTCGTTTTATAGGTGTGATTTGGCCTAAATGTTAATGTCTTTTCACCCTGACATTCTGTGGTTGAAACACCAAACTGCATCCTTAGTGATTAAATCAAACTAATACCTTGAAAGTCACTAAAAACAGAAGAATCTAATATATTTAACACATGACTGACAAATTTAGGAAATTTGGGATAAGTGGAGACTATCCTGGGATAGATAATATTCAACTAGGGGCTGAGCACGGTGATGCCTGTAATCCCAGCACTTTGGGAGGTTGAGGCAGGAGGATTGCTTGAAGCTAGGAGTTTGAGACCAGCCTGGGCAACAAAGCGAGACCCCTGACTCTCCCCCAAAAAAAAGGAAAGAAAAAAAGAGAATATTCAGTTAGAATTTTTAAAACTTTATGATATAGATGAAGAACTTTCTGGAGAATTGGAGAACATGTTTCTTTCAGGGAAAGAGATTAGATGGATATCTTTTGTTTGAAATCTCAATGGCTTTTGTGGTGTTTGGGAAGGACAAGCATTGTTTTTCCCATTTTTTAAATTCCATTTGTCTCCAGAGCTTTTTTGTCCATTTAGTGTCCTCATTTAGAATTAGACTAATTTTGATTTATGGAAAGTTGATGTGTAAAGGAGCTCAGTGCTGGAAAATAAATTCTTTGGAGATTTTCTGTCTTGTAAGTCCATCTTCATAGTAGACCTTTATTTGTAAAGTTTTCTTACACCTTGGACTCTACAGATTCCTTGACAAAACGAAAAACAATTGGGAAGATCGAGAAAAGTTTGAGAAGGTGCCTGGAAAATATGATATGCTACAGATGGACTATGCCACCAATACTCAGGTAACTCTCACTATACTTTTCGAAAGAAACACATCTTCTTTTTTTATTTTATTTTTTAGAGGCAAAACTGTGCTCTGTTGCCCAGGCTGGGTGGCACAATCATGGCTCACTGCAGCCTCAAGATCCTCAGGCTCAAGTGATCCTCCCACCTCAGCCTCCTCAGTATCAGGAACTACAGGCACGTGCCACTCTGCCCAGCTGATTTTTTTTCTTTTTTTTTTGTAAAGATGAGGTTTCACTATGTTGCCCAGGCTGGTCTCGAATTCCTGGGCTCAAGCAGTCCTCTTGTCTTGGCCTCCCAAAGTCCTGAGATTACAAGCATGAGGCACCACACCTACTCCTGTTTCTTCTTACTCAGGGTAAAGCAGAATAGCTTAGATCATTCCTGGACTGGGACAGGCCAGGATATCTTGAATCCTTTCTACTTCTCACCTCAGGGGTGCTCTCACTGATCTTTGTAATCCCAAAGGGACAGTAAGAATGAGGATAGAATGTGCCTTTCTAGTCTTGGCTCTGTTATTTACTAAGGTTCTTTTTTTTTTTTTTGAGCTGGAGTTTGATTCTTGTTGCCCAGGTTGGAGTGCAATGGCTCAGTCTCAGCTCGCTGCAACCTCCAGCTCCCGGGTTCAAGCGATTCTTCTGCCTCAGCCTCTCAGGTAGCTGGGATTACAGGTGCCCGCCACTATGCCCAGCTAATTTTTTTTGTATTTTTAGTAGAGACAGGGTTTCATCATGTTGGCCAGTCTGGTCTTGAACTCGTGACCTTGGGTGATCTACCCGCCTCAGCTTCCCAAAGTGCTGGGATTACAGGCGTGAGCCATCACGCCCGGCCTACTAAGTTTCTTATAAAATCTTAGGCCCTATTTCCAGACGTTTATTGTTTTTTTCGTTTTTTTGTTTTTGTTTTTTTTTGATACGGAGTCTCGCTCTGTCGCCCAGGCTGGAGTGCAGTGGCGCGATCTCGGCTCACTGCACGCTCCGCCTCTGGGTTCACGCCATTCTCCTGCCTCAGCCTCCGGAGTAGCTGGGACTACAGGCGCCCGCCACCACGCCCGGCTAATTTTTTTTTGTATTTTTAGTAGAGACGGGGTTTCACCATGTTAGCCAGGATGGTCTCGATCTCCTGACATCATGATCCGCCCGTCTTGGCCTCCCAAAGTGCTGGGATTACAAGCGTGAGCCACTGCGGCTGGCACCAGAAGTTTATTGTTATGGACCAAGAGAGGAGTGATAAAAAATCAAACTGATTAAACAATTAACATTTAAATTTGTTTTCACTTCTGGATATATACCACCATAAAAAATTTAATTTAGATAAACTGAGGTATACCAGGATGCTGAAACTGTCCGGAAACAGTCACATATCCAAAAAAATGGAGAAGTTTTAGTCTTTTTTAAGATGGGAAGATCTGAGACATAATAGCTGTCTTTACACACTGACGTCATGAGGAAAGCCTTTTTTTTCTAGACTTATTCTGAGTTGTAAAATGTGGGAGGCAGAACTTGGATGGTCAACCCTCTATATCCATGGATTCAATGAACTGAGAATCAAAAATGTTTGAAAAATTGCTTCTGTACTGAACCTGTACAGCCTTTTTTTCCTTGCTTCTCATTATTCCCTAGACAGTGCAATATAAAAACTTTACAAAGCATTTACATTGTATAATATTGGGTGTTATAAGGAATCTAGAGATGATTTCTTAGATTGTCTTGTGTTTTGTTTGTTTTTTGCTATAGGATGAAGAGGAAACAAAGAAAGAGGAATCTCTTAAATCTCCCTTGAAGCCAGAGTCACAGCTAGATCTTCGGGTACAGGAGTTAATAAAGTTGATCTGTAATGTTCAGGCCATGGAAGAAATGATGATGGAAATGAAGTATAATACCAAGAAAGCCCCACTTGGTAGGACTTCACATTTTCTTCTGCATTCTCTCCTTATAATTCCTAGCTCCTTTAATGGATACTTTATTATCATTATGATTTAAAGCTTGCTCATAGTACTGAATGAAGAAAATGGGATTTGGGGTGACAGGTTGTATGGAGGGAAGAGGAACTATTTTGAAAGTTGAGGCTGGGTGTGATGGGTCATGCCTATAATCCCAACACTTTGGGAGGCCAAGGCAGGTGGATTGCTTGAGCCCAGGAGTTTGAAACCAGCCTGGGCAACATGGTGAGACCCCATCTCTACTAAAAATAGAAAAATTAGCCAGGCATGGTGGTGTGTGCCTGTGATCTAGCTACTTGCGAAGCTGAAGTGGGAGGATCACCGGAGCCCAGGAGGTTGAACTGCATTTAGCTGTGTTTGTGCCACGGCACTCAGCCTGGGCAACAGGAGTGAGACCCCATCTTAAAAACAGGAAAAAAAAAAGTTGAAAGATGAAAGTCTTTTTTAGGGAAGGATGTTAAGTACAGTTCACTAGATGGGATCCTAGTTTGGAGTCTGATCTCTGGGTGGGCCTGCAGGGAAGCTGACAGTGGCACAAATCAAGGCAGGTTACCAGTCTCTTAAGAAGATTGAGGATTGTATTCGGGCTGGCCAGCATGGACGAGCTCTCATGGAAGCATGCAATGAATTCTACACCAGGATTCCGCATGACTTTGGGTAAGGCCTGTGCTGTTACTTCACTTTGTTCTTCTACCTATACATATCCCCTGTATCCATCAGCAGCAGCTATAATCTTTTAAATCTTTTATTCCTAAGAAAATGATCGTCTTGAATAGGTACAGAAACAAAATGATATATAGGTAGCCTATTTAATCAGCTTACAAATATGGGATGCAATCTCCCGGCTTGACCACAGCCATATTCTCTGACAAAGTGGAAGTTACCAACCCAAGAGAGAATGGGTCTAGCTATCCAACCACCCAAGTAAAACACCTTCAGGCATATCACCCCCTTTTCCTATTTGAGTAACTAAAACCACACAAACACCATTTCTGTGAACTCAAGTGATATTAGATAGACAAAATAACATTTTACATTTGTTGATTCTGTTTTCTGGTTTACATCCGATTTCTATTTCTTTTATAGCTTTATAGAGCCCCGTGACCTAGAAATAACCCTGAGTGGTCAACAGGTCTACCTGTGCTTCTAGATAGAACTGTATCCAACTGTTCCCTGTTGATATCAATATAACTTATTTTTAAATGATTTTATAAAAAATAATTTTAACTCTAGTCTCAAAAGTCAAAATCCACATAGTTCATCTTATACCGAGTATATATTTAATATTATTTTATATATTTGGAAGTTAAGATCTCTTTACAGATCTCTTTCTCTCTCAAATGGAAAACCTGTTTCTCATACCTGTTTTCTAAAGGACCTATCTGTCATTTTCTATTTTTAGTCATGCGCCTTTTAGCCACATGTCAGAAAGCTCATTATGGGTTATATCTCTGTTCTTAGACTCCGTACTCCTCCACTAATCCGGACACAGAAGGAACTGTCAGAAAAAATACAATTACTAGAGGTGAGATATGTATGATTTGAGAAGTATTATATCCCTTATACCAGTGTCCTCCCACATTGATTCTATATCTCATCTTCTCAGGCTTTGGGAGACATTGAAATTGCTATTAAGCTGGTGAAAACAGAGCTACAAAGCCCAGAACACCCATTGGACCAACACTATAGAAACCTACATTGTGCCTTGCGCCCCCTTGACCATGAAAGTTATGAGTTCAAAGTAAGAAAAATGATCATTTATTTTCATATTCTTGCACCCTTAACCACCTCCCCCATCCCACTGTTCTCTAACTACTTCTTGTCAAGAGCAAATTGTCAATTAGGGCAGACTTTTTATGTACTAGGGATTTGGGAAGGCCAAGCTTTTCCTAGCTGCCTTGTAAGACTGTTTGGGAGCAGAAAGGTCTGCCAAGTTATATCAGAATCCCCAAATTCTTCAGTTCAGCTCAGTCTCTTGTAGAGTCTACATCAGCCTTTTTGTCTTATTTTTCACAGGTGATTTCCCAGTACCTACAATCTACCCATGCTCCCACACACAGCGACTATACCATGACCTTGCTGGATTTGTTTGAAGTGGAGAAGGATGGTGAGAAAGAAGCCTTCAGAGAGGACCTTCATAACAGGTCTGAGTCTAGCTTTGCGTTTGGAAAGACACTCCTTGCCCGAAAGTACAGCTGTAGAACTTATAAGAGGGAGTCAGAGGAAGGTGTTGGCTTTTTTATGCTTATGGCCTATCTGTGCAGAACAACAGAGTACAATAATATTGGCTTTTCCTTAGGATGCTTCTATGGCATGGTTCCAGGATGAGTAACTGGGTGGGAATCTTGAGCCATGGGCTTCGAATTGCCCCACCTGAAGCTCCCATCACAGGTTACATGGTGAGTGAAATTGAACTCTGGGAGGAGCACAGGGGAAAGGGATACAGTAATGTTCTCAGTGCTTTTTTTCCTAGATTAGGATTAGATGGTTCCCCTCCCCAAGAGTTAAGCCAGCTCACTGATAACCTTGTCATCTCTTACTGTGTCCCTCTTTCTTTAAATTCCTAAAGATACCTCACCTTTCCCTCAGAAGGCGGAAATTCACAGGGGCTTCTACCCTCTCTAGAACAGAATTGTGAGGGGAAATGGAGAAGGGTCTATATTGTGTTTAAGGGAATGGAAAAACAGGGTCAGTGGTATGCACCTTCTCTCTAACACAGTGGGTTAGAAGCTGACCTTGGTATTCATGTATATATTTCAGTTTGGGAAAGGAATCTACTTTGCTGACATGTCTTCCAAGAGTGCCAATTACTGCTTTGCCTCTCGCCTAAAGAATACAGGACTGCTGCTCTTATCAGAGGTGAGACAGGAGTATGTCTGTGATCTCTAGTTTATTAATTCCAGTTTTTTTCCGATGAGAAAAGTTTGACCCCAGAACCAAGAGGTTTACCTGGGATAGCTTGAGAGAGGACCAAGTACAATTTCTAGTACATTGGATTCCTCTGCTGGAGTAGGGGAAAAAAGTACTGATGGGATTTTCTGTTTGGCTTTGGAGCCATCTAATTCTTAGTAGGATATGGGAATTCAAAGGTTTTTTGCTTTGCAGGTAGCTCTAGGTCAGTGTAATGAACTACTAGAGGCCAATCCTAAGGCCGAAGGATTGCTTCAAGGTAAACATAGCACCAAGGGGCTGGGCAAGATGGCTCCCAGTTCTGCCCACTTCGTCACCCTGTAAGTACTCAGAACCAGGAGGACTAGAAGACTCCTTTTGGCCAGATAAGACTACGTTCTCTATTGCAGCTTCTGAACCAGAGACTGATGTTGACACACTTTTTTTCCATTTGGCAGGAATGGGAGTACAGTGCCATTAGGACCAGCAAGTGACACAGGAATTCTGAATCCAGATGGTTATACCCTCAACTACAATGAATATATTGTATATAACCCCAACCAGGTCCGTATGCGGTACCTTTTAAAGGTTCAGTTTAATTTCCTTCAGCTGTGGTGAATGTTGATATTAAATAAACCAGAGATCTGATCTTCAAGCAAGAAAATAAGCAGTGTTGTACTTGTGAATTTTGTGATATTTTATGTAATAAAAACTGTACAGGTCTACCACTGGCTTCTTCGGGCTTTATTTCTCCAAGAACATATTTCTTCTGACATTAGTAGATCTCCATTTCCAGGACAGAAATTACTCATTGCTCTGAGGGTTATTCAGTATCCTGTTCTTAGTGGCATCTGTGCATTGAGGGACACTAATGGGGGCGCTAATGCTTTTACCTGTTTAATTCAATTTTTCTGCAAACTGGAATTTGTTGAGTATTATCACAGGAAGGGTAGAGGCAACAAAGGCTAAGTCGTGTTTTTCTTTCCCATGCATATGTATTCACTTGCCTTTTTCAAATTTATCCACTGCAGCCTAGGTCTCCCACTACTCAACATCCTAGGACTCATCACATGTCCAAAAATTTGGGAAGCCCTTGGAGGACTGTCACTAAGCCTGAATACATCTTGAGGAGGAAAGGAAAAAAGTGGAATGAGTTTTTACATAACCTGCTCCAACTAAGAAGTACTAAAGTCCAGGTCAGATCCTGATATGGTTAGGCTTTGTGTCCCCATCCAAATCTCATCTTGAACTGTAATCCCCAGAATCCCCACATTTTAAGGGAGAGACCAGGTGGAGGTAACTGAATCATGGGGGCAGTTTCCCCCATGCTGTTCTTGTGATAGTGAGTGAGTTCTCACGAGATCTGATGGTTTTATAAGGGGCTCTTCCTACTTCGCTTGGCACTTCTCCTTCCTGCCACCCTGTGAAGAAGGGCTTCCCCTTCACCTTCCTCTATGATTGTAAATTTCCTGAGGCCTCCTCAGCCATGGTGAACTGTGAGTCAAACCTCTTTCCTTTATAAATTACCCAGTCTCGGGCAGTTCCTTATAGCAGTATGAAAACAGACTAATACAGATCCAAAGACTTCCTGATTGTATTTAAACACACAACACAGATAAACAACACACTTCCTTAAGTAACAGAGAAGTTTGTTTAAATTTTTCCTGTAACTTTTTAGAAACCAGGTTTCCAATATCTATCAAAATTTGAAATGTTCATGCCCTGTTGACCTAAAACTTACAGATATATATGTTTGCATAGATGTCACTGAGGCATTGGTGTACACAAAAAGATCATAGATAAGGAACTAGTCAAATATATCTACTCACTGAAGTAACCTGCTATTAAAACTGAAGTAGACTGCATACTTTTCCAAAGAATAGAAGAGAGGAAAATACTTTGCAACTAATTCTACAAAGCAGAATGAAACCAAAACCAGATGAAGATATCACAAGAAAATAAAATTATAGACCAATATCCCTTAACAATATAATTGCAAAAATCAACAAAATACTACCAAGCCTAATCCAGCAACATTATAAATGGACTATATACAATGATCAAGTGAGATTTATCACAGTAATGCAAGATTGAAAACCAAGGTAGGGCAAAAATCACATGATCATCTCAGATGCAGAAAAAGCATTTGGCAAAATGTAACATTTTTTCATAATGAAATAAAATCCAACAAAGTAGGAATGAAAGGGAGCTTCCTCCACCCTATGAAGAACATCTATGAAAAACTCACAGCTAACATTACAATGGTGAAAGATTGAAAGCTTATCCTCTAAGATCAGGAATAAGACCAAGATGTTTGCACTCACCACTTCCATTCAATATTGTACTGGAGGTTCTAACCATGGTACTTAAGCAAGAAAAAAAAGGCATCAAGATTAAAAAGGAGATAAAACTAAATTTGCAAATTACGTGATCTATAGAGAAGGCCCAAAAGAATCCATATTTAGAGCTAAAAAGTTCAGCAAGATTGTAGGATACAAGATGAATTGTATTTCTTTTTTTTTCTTTTTCTTTTTTTTTTTGAGACGGAGTGTCTTGCTCTGTTGCCCAGACTGGAGTGCAGTGGCGCAATCTTGGTTCACTGCAACCTCCACCTCCCGGGCTCAAGTGATTCTCCTGCCTCAGCCTCCCGAGGAGCTGGGGCTACAGGTGCCCACCACCACGCCTGCCTAATTTTTGTATTCTTAGTAAAGACAGGGTTTCACCATATTAGCCAGGCTGGTCTCGAACTCCTTACCTTGTGATCCTCCCACCTCAGCCTCCCAAAGTGCTGGGATTACAGGCATGAGCCACTACACCCAGCCTGTATTTCTTTTTATTTTATTTATTTTTCTGGAGATGGCATTTTACTCTTGTTGCCCAGGCTGGAGTGCAATGGTGAGATCTCAGCTCACTGCAACCTCTGCCTCCGGGTTCAAGTGATTCTCCTGCTTCAGCCTCCCGCCTCGGCTTCCCAACTAGCTGGGATTACAGGCATGTGCCACCATGCCTGGCTAATTTTTGTATTATTAGTAGAGACAGGGTTTCACCATGTTGGGCCCAGGCTGGTCTTGAACTCCTGACCTTAGGTGATCCACCCACCTTGGCCTCCCAAAGTGCTGGCATTACAGGTGTGAGCCACCACGCCTGGCCTATGAATTGTATTTCTATTTCTACACACTAGTAAAGAATAATCTGAAAAATTAAGAAAACAATTCCATTTATAATAGCGTCAGAAAGAATAAAACACTAGGAATAGATTTAACCAAAGAAGCATGAAACTTGTACACTGATAACTACAAAACTATTGAAAAACATTCAAGGCCACCTTTATTTATTTATTTATTTATTTATCTGAGACAGAGTCTTGTTCTGTTGCCCAGGCTGGAGTGCAGTGGCACAATCTTCCCTTAATGCAACCTCTGCCTCCCGGGTTCAAGTGATTTTCCGGCCTCAGCCTCCCAAGTAGCTGGGATTACAGGTGTGCACCGCCACACCCAGCTAATTTTTGTATTTTTAGTAGAGATGGGGTTTCACCATGTTGGCAGGCTGGTCTTGAACTCCTGACCTCAAGGCCCACCTCAGTCTCCCAAAGTGCTGGGATTACACACTTGAGCCACCATACCCAGCTAAGACCTATTTATTTAGGTCTTGAATTTCTGTCAACAGTTCTGTAGTTTTCAATCTACAAGTGTTCGTAGATTGGAAAATTTATTATTAAAATGGTAATACTTCCCAGAGCAACCTATAGATTCCATACAATTCCTATTAAAATTCCATTATCCTTTTTTTTTGCAGAAATGGCCAAGAAAAATTCATAAGGAATTACAAAGATCATGAATAACAAAAACAATCTTGAAAAAGCTACAGTACTCAAGACAATGTGATAATGACATAGGATAGACATAGAAATCAATGGGATAGAATTGAGAGTCTGGATATAAACCCAAGCAAATATGGTCAATTGGTTTTCAACAAGGGTGCCAAGACCATTCAATGGGGGAAAAATAGTCTTTTCAACAAATGGTGCTGGGACGACTTGGATATCCACATGCAAAGTAATAAATTAGGAACACTATCTCACACTACGTAAAAATTAAAATGGATCAAAGGCCTAAATGTAAGCTAAAACTAAAAAGCTCTTAGAGCATAAGGAGAAATCTCTGTGACCTTGGATTAAGCAACAGTTTCTTAAATATGACACCAATGCACAAGCAAGCAAAAGAAATAAGTTGGTCTTCGTCAAAATTTAAAACTCTTGGCCGGGTGTGGTGGCTCACGCCTGTAATTCCAGCACTTTGGGAGCCAGAGGCAGGCAGATCATCTGAGGTCAGGAGTTTGAGACCAGCCTGGCCAACATGGTGAAACCCCATCTCTAGCAAAAATATGAAAAATTAGCCAGGCGTGGTGGCATTTGCCTGTAATTCCAGCTACTCAGGAGGCTAAGGCCTGAGACTAACAAATCTCGGCAAAGATATGGACAAATAAAAATCCTCACACATTGCTAGTGCGAATATAAAGTGGTGCAGCTGCTTTGGAAAAGCTTGGCAGTTCCTCAAATAGTTGAACATAAGAGTTATCAGGACCTAGCAATTCCACTACTAGGTGTATAACCAAGAGAATAAAAAAGCAATGTTCACACAAAAATTTGTACATGCATATTGATAGCAACAATATTTATAATAGCCAAGAAGTAGAAACACTCCAAACATCCATCAACCAATAAATGGATAAACAAAATGTGGTTTATTCCTGTTAGATATGTTAACTATCTTGACCGTGGTAATAATTTTATTAATATATATATATGTCAAGCTTTATCGAATTGTGTATTTTAAATATGTGTGGTTTATTGCATGCCAATCATAACTCAATAAAGCTGTAAAAACATAAAAAGTATATCCATCCAATGCAATATTATTCCGTCATAAAATGGAATGAAGTACTGATACTGCATGGATGAACCTTGAAAACATTATTCTAATTGAAAGAAGCCACACAGGTCACATATTATATGATTCCATTTATCCGAAATGTCCAGACTAGGCAAATTCATAGATACAGAAAGTAGATTAGTGGTTGCCAGTGGCTGGAGGAAGAGAGAGGGGAGTGATTGCTAATGGAGTCAAGGTTTCTTGGTGGGGTGATTAAAATGTTCCAGGATTAGCGGTAATGGTTGCATAATTTGTGAATATACTAAGAACCACAGAACCGTACACTTCATAAGGGTGAAAATGAATTACAGGCCAGGCACGGTGGCTTACGCCTGTAATCCCAGCATTTTGGGAGGCCAGGGCGGGTGAATCACTTGAGGCCAGGAGTTCAAGACCAGCCCGGCCAACATGGTGAAACCCTGTCTCTACTAAAAATACAAAAATTAGCCGGGCGTGATGGCACATGCCTGTAATCCCAGCTAGTCAGGAGGCTGAAGCAGGAGAATCGCTTGAACCCAGGAGGCGGAGGTTGCAGTGAGTCAAGATCACACCACTGTACTCCAGCCTGGGCAACAGAGTAAGACCCTGTCTCAAAAAAACCAGACAAACAAACAAACAACAACAAAAAGAAAATGAATTATATCACAATAAAAATATACCAAGTTTTTGTAATATAAATATATATATATATATAGGGGGATCACTTGAACCCAGGAGTTTGAGAGTACAGTGAGCTCTGATCATGTCACTGCACTCCAGCCTGGGTGACAGAGCAAGATCCAGTCTCAAAAAAAGAAAGGAAATCAGAAATAATTTCAATAACTAAATGTCAAAGGGAAATAGAAAGTATCAGGGAAAATGGAGGTGAATAGAAAATCATGATTAGAAAACCGCACTAATAATACTGCAGTCAAGATCCATGGATGAATGCTAAGATTAGTCGGGAAAATGATATTTGCATAGCCTCAAAAAACCTACCTCCAGATGTATAAATTTCTTTGATACCTCTCTCTTCTAGAGGTTTTCTTTCCTTCCCCTTGAGTATGGGCTGGACTTAGTGACCCGCTTCTAACAGAAGGTATGGCAAAAATACCTGGCAAATATCACTTTAACTTTAAAAGTGATCAAGGTTAACACCACCAGTTATAAGTTATGTTAATATCATATGCACCCAATAGGATGCAGTATGAAGGCACATCATCTCTTGAATTCATCCATTAAATCCATAATCTCAGCCTATTCATGAAAAAACAGAAAACAAAACCAAACTGAAGAACATTCTACGACATTCTTCACTCTTGTTGCCTAGGCTGGAGTGCAGTGATGTGATACTCGGGAGGCTGGGGCAGGAGGATCACTGAGCCCTAGAGACATGGGTTGCGGTGAGCTGTGATTGCACCACCACGCTCCAGCTTGGGCAACAGACTGAGACCCTGTCTCAAGAATAAATAAATAAATAAATAAATTTATTTTTTAAAAGTGTCAAGATTTTGAAAAGACTGAAAATCTGTCACAGTTGGAGGAGACTGAGAAAACGCAATGACTAAATGCAATGTGGGATCCTGGATTGGCTTCTGGAACAAAACAAAGTCGTTAGCGGAAAAATTGGGCAAATCCAAATCCTGACTGTAATTTAATTAACATTTTTAAATTAACTTACTGGTAATTTAATTAACAAATGTTAATTTCCTAGTTTTGATAAATGTAGCATGGTTATGTAAGATGTTAACATTAGAAGAAGCTGGGTGAAGGGTATCGAGGAACACTTTGTACTATCTTTGCAACTCTTCTGTAAATCTTACATTTTTTTTTATTTTTTAGAGACGGAATTTTGCTCTTGTTGCTGAGGCTGGAGTGCAATGGTGTGATCTCAGCTCACTGCAACCTCCGCCTCCCGAGTTCAAGCGATTCTACTGCCTCAGCCCCCAGAGTAGCTGGGATTACAGGTGCATGCCACCACGCCCAGCTAATTTTTATATTTTTAATAGAGACAGGGTTTCACCATGCTGGCCAGACTGGTCTTGAACCCCTGACCTCAGGTGATCTGCTCTCCTCAGCCTCCCAAAGTGCTGGGATTACAGGCTTGAGCCACTGCGCCCAGCCTAAATCTTACATTATTAAAAAAGAAGGATTAAGAGCCATTCTAGTGGGAAAGCACCAACACAGATATGTTCTTTGGGGATGTCATCTGTGTATTGGCTCCTGGTTCTTCTTTCAGACACATCGTAGGATACTTCCTCCCCATCCCTTGACATTAGGTATGGCCACGTGACTTGCTTTGCTTGTATTTATTAAATATGAGTGGAAGTGATGTGTTTTATTTCCAAGTGGAAGATTGAAGAGTTACTCGCCACGTGAAGCACAGAGCTCAAAATATGCGCAAAGTAGAGCAGGGCCTTCTCGCTGACCCTTAACGGGCCATGTGGCATGATTTAGAAATAAATCTTTGCTATTTTAAGTTGTTGAGATTTTGGGGTTGTTATGATAGCATAACTTTAATATTTTAACTGATAAAGAAACATACCCATCGTTCTGGATGAGAAGATTAGGTATTTGGAGGGTGGGAGGAGGGAGAAGATCAAGAAAAACAACTAATGGGTACTAGGCTTAATACCCGGGTGATGAAATAAACTGTACAACAAACCTCCATGACACAAGTTTACCTATGTAACAGACCTGCACTTGTACCCCTGAACTTAGAAAGAATACGAGTTTCACATTTTTTTGAAAACTAAAAAATTCGGTCCAGATTTTCTGATTGATTAAATATATACTAATAAATAAGACATTTATGAGAAAGAATAATGAGGTGATACTCGTACTGCTAGGTAACAAAAAGAACAGTCAAGTTAGCACTTATTGAATACTTACCACAAAAGTGTCACTGTTCTGTGTTTTACACCTTAACTCATTTAGTCCTTAAAACACTCCCATGAAGTAAGCACCATTATTATGGCTGTTGTACAAATGGGGGAAAGGAGGCATGAAGATTTGAACTCAGGCAGTCTTATTCCAAGTCCATGCTTTTTGCTGCTGTTACCCAGTCTCTCTAGAGTAGTGCTTCTCAAACCTTCTGAGATGAAGGACTAATTGTTCCTTTGTCTTTCTTTCTTCCTTCCTGCCTCCCTCCCGCCCTCCCTCTCTCTTTCTTGCTTTCTTTTTTTTCTTTTTTTTTTTTTTTTGACCAAGTTTCATTCTTGTTGCCCAGCCTGGAGTGCAATGATGCGATCTCGGCTCACTGCAACCTCTGCCCCCTGAGTTCAAGCGATTCTCCTGCCTCAGCCCCCCAAGTAGCTGGGATTACAGGTGCCTGCCACCATGCCCAGCTAATTTTTTGTATTTTTAGTAGAGACGGGGTTTCACCATATTGGCCAGGCTCGCCTCGAACTCCAGACCCCAGGTGATCCACCCGCCTTGGCCTTTCAAAGTGCTGGGATTATAGGCGTGAGCCACCGTGCCTGGCCTGTTTTAATTTCTTATCTGTCACGGAATAATACTTTTATAAAATATAATCAAAATGGATTATTAAGAAAATGAAATTAAAAAGCACACAAAATACAAGCCTCCATTTTTATTATTAAATTTGTCAGATATTACTTTTTAAATTCCTACACAGTTTCTAAATGGTTACTCTCAACTTCCGTACTTATCTCATTATAAAACATTAACAATTTGTGAACTGGCACTAGTCCATGAACCAAACTTTGAGTACCTCTGCTCTAGATTTCAAAAACAGATGTGGATATATGTGTAAAAATTTGGTATATAAAAAAGATGCTTTTCTAGATGGGTAGAAGAAAAGATTGTTCAAATGTCCTATGGTCTCACAATCCAGTGGTTATAACTGTAAAACTCATCCAGCCTTTGGGAGACACTGAAACTCCATTTAAAGATAAGAACTTGAAGGATGTTTAATGTAAACCTAAATTGATTTTCCCTTCAACTCCTTTTGGGTACATAATTACTTTTACCTAGAAGCTGTTCTTGACTTTACTCATAACAATTATACCATGACCTCACTGTCCTTCTCCAAGATGAAACAAAAAACCCTTCAAGTGGGCCTGGCCAACAAGACTGAATCTATTGAGCCTATTGGTCAAGTTAGCCTTTGCTTAACTTTCCCCAACCCCTTCACTCCAGCCTTAGCTGGGATGCTTTTATATAATTTTCAGAGCATGGAAGAGAGACAAATAGAGCTTCCTCCTGCAATTGGCCCAAGATTTTAGGGGAGCAAAAGGCAAAAGATTGAAATCAATGACTAGGATGATGCCATGCCATAGTTCGCTGCAGGATTTCTGGCAAGGATTATGGATCATAAATTTCAAAATACCATAACTAGGACTTCTAGTCACAAGGTAGATGTGGAAATGATGGTCCAGAAGGTATATTTCGAGGCTTGGCATGAGGCACATAAGAGAAGACAGAAGCATGGCCTATCAGCGGATGTCATCATCCTCTGGTCAGGATGGAAACCAGGGCATTGGATAGAAATAAAGTCCCTCAGGTTATTTCTCCATGTAAAACCTGGAATCAGGGTACAGTGAGAGTAAAACTCAGTGCCCTTTAACTCCCCAAGTCTTCAAAACTCATTTCTAGACCAGGGTGTAGTGGTATTTCTCCAAGAGAAACCTACCAAACCAGGACAAAATCCCTGTAATAGCCTTCACTTATCTCCTACAAGTCCTTGAATTCTTGGCCACAGAAGACATTTCCTTCTTCTTTAACCCTCAGAAAGAAAGGGCCTGAGGAAACTAAAGTCAGTGGTTTCAATCTTTTGCCTTTTGCTCTCCTAAAAGCATGGGCCAAGGGCAGGAGGAAGCTCTAGTTGTCTGTCTCCCATGCTCTGAAAATTCTACAAAACACCCCAGCTAAGGCTGGAGTAACAGAGGAGGAAAGTTAAGCAAAGGCTAACCTGCTCAATAGATTCTTCCATATGATTGAATTTTAGAAATATAATAAAGTTCTTTTATGGGCCGGGCACAATGGCTCACGCCTGTAATCCCAGAACTTTAAGAGGCTGAGGTGTGCAGATAACCTGAGGTCAGGAGTTTGAGACCCACCTGGCCAACATGGTGAAACTTCGTCTCTACTGAAATACAAAAATTAGCTGGGCGTGGTGGTGGGCACCTGTAATCCCAGCTACTCGGGAGGCTAAGGCAGGAGAATCGCTTGAACCCAGGAAGCAGAGGTTGCACTGAGCTGAGATTGCACCATTGCACTCCAGCCTAGGTGACAGAGCCAGACTCTATCTCAAAAACAAAAAAAAAAAAAAAAGGTTTTTTACTTAAGAAAATCAGAGTTCATGGCTATGATTGTGCCACCTCTCAATTAGTTTTAATCTTTGTGAATTTCAATTTGAGAGAGAGTAAGACACTTTCGTGATCTCTTCTGAGAATGCCAATTACCATATTGACTAAAGTTGAAAGTCGTGTCAGAAGTTGGGAAAACCAGAAGGTTTGTTCCGCTTTCAATGGCTTGGCTCCTCACCTCTCATCTGGGTAGTTCTTTTTTTTTTTTTTTAGACAGAGTCTCGCTCTGTTGCCCAGGCTGGAGTGCAGTGGTGTCTCGGCTCACTGCAAGCTCCGCCTCCTGGGTTCACGCCATTCTCCTGCCTCAGCCTCCCAAGTAGCTGGGACTACAGGTGCCCGCCGCCACACCTGGCTAACTTTTTGTATTTTTTAGTAGAGACAGGGTTTCACTATGTTAGCCAGGATGGTCTTGATCTCCTGACCTCGTGATCTGCCCACCTCGGCCTCCCAAAGTGCTGGGATTACAAGCGTGAGCCACCATGCCCGGCCTCCTCTGGGTAGTTCTGAGAAAAGGGCTGTCTCTGTGACAGAAACATAGCTCTTTCTAAATGCCCTGATGCATGACTGACTTATTCTCCCTCCCTCATTCTTTCCCGATGAACTGAAAGGTCTTCCATGCTCTGTTCAAATTGAATGTTGGCCAACATCACTCTCATTCCTCCTCCTGGCAAGAATGGCATCCTAGGGTCCTAGGGCCCGCGAGTGATGCAAGAATTCTAAAACCTAGTTTCAAAAGAGTACCTACTAAAGATTTCATTCACTTTCTTGTGGTTCTAGTAAGGATTAATGTTGAATAAGAAGAGACACACATTAGAATGTACATATACATACACATAGAATATCCTCCTGTTCTAAATCCACATGAGAACACAGGCAGGCCTACACTTGAGATTTTTTGACACTTCATTTTTATAATTATCAAGAAATTATTAATTTTATAATTATTAAAAGCTACCAGTGTCTTCAGGCTTTGCATCTCTAGCACAAGGGGTATCATTATTCCCGAGTGGCACATCTTCATTCCCAATTCAGAAAGTACACATTGCCCTGCACGTCTCCCACGGCAAGCTGCAGGGTGGAGTTAGCGCCCAGCCAAGGTTCCAGGCAGCTCACTGACCCTTCGCATCGGAACAGGCCCAGCTACGATGGGAACAAAAATAGGGGAGGTCAGGGCTACAAGCCTCCTTACTAACTTATTTTTTCTCACATTAATGCCTTTTATTTAGAAACAGGTTAGTCATACATTGCAAGTGATTGAAGAAAACAGAATTTTGATCTTTTGCCCTTTCTTACTCTAAGTTTGCTGTCTTGTGACATCCCTTTGGGATAGGTGTGCAGGCGCACGCACACACACACACACACACACACACACACTTACCAGCTGCATACTGGGTCTCTCCCATAGCTTAACATCTCTGTCCTTCGAAGCTGTCACCAGCAACTCAGGTAGCACATGGAGGGCTGTGACAGAGCCCGAGTGAATCTCAAAGAGGAAAGGGGAGAGCAGAATGGTGAGTTCTCAGGGGCCCCTCCTCAGAGAAGCATCACAATGTGCTGTGTCAGACCTACAGCCCTCCTCCCTTAGTATTTCTTTTTTTTTTTTTTGAGACAAGAGTCTCGCTCTGTCGCCCAGGCTGGAGTGCAGTGGCGCAATCTCGGCTCACCGCAAGCTCTGCCTCCCGGGTTCACACCATTCTCCTGCCTCAGACTCCCGAGTAGCTGGGACTACAGGCACCCGCCACCACGCCCAGCTAATTTTTTGTATTTTTTAGTAGAGATGGGGTTTCACCGTGTTAGCCAGGATGGTCTTGATCTCCTGACCTCATTATCTGCCCGCCTAGGCCTCCCAAAGTGCTGGGATTATAGGTGTGAGCCACTGCTCCCAGCCCTCCCCTAGTATTTCTGACCCTTCCTTCAAACTCACCTTTCTACGCTGCCGTGTCTTTAGATGTGGTGTTGGCTCACTATCCATGCTGGCATCACTATCCATGCTGGCATCAGATTCCCTGCAGGTAGATGGGTCTGTCCCTGGAGTTTGGGTTTCTGGAGTGTTTGCTTTTTTCTGCCACATGTTACCTGTGGTCCATTCTCCTTCTGGGCTGCATTTGGCCAGGTTCCATAGGATCCCATCAGAGCTGGCACACAAAAATGAGGACTCTGCCATTTTAAGGACAGAATTAGAGCCAAGTCTCAGGGATCTGCCATCCACCCTGGGCCATCTCCCGGCTCCTCAGGTCCTCCTGTTACCACTCACCAGATTCAGGTTTGGCTTGAGTTATCGATATTAGGGTCCTACTAGGATTCTCTAAGTTTATATCAAAGTTCAGCCTCTCTTCAAACTCTCCTGATTCCTTTTGCCTCTGTGAAAGAATAGGTAATTTTGTTTAGCCTACCCATATGAGTCAACTTGTACCAGACAAAACAACAGTTTTCTGCTCTGGGCTGGTCAGGAATTTTTTTTTTTTTTAACTACAACTTAGATACAATCAAGTGCGCAAATTTTTTTTTTTTTGAGACGGAGTCTCACTCTGTCGCCCAGGCTGGAGTGCAGTGGCGTGATCTCGGTTCACTGCAACCTCTGCCTCCTGGGTTCAAGCGATTATCCTGCCTCAGCCTCCCAAGTAGCTGGGAACACCGGCGTGCGCCACCACACCCAGCTGATTTTTTTATTTTTAGTAAAGATGGGGTTTCACCATGTGGGCCAGGCTGGTCTCGAACTCCTGGCCTCAGGTGATCCACTGGCCTTGGCCTCCCAAAGTGCTGGGATTACAGGCGTGAGCCACTACACCTGGGTAAGTGCACAAATCTTAAATGTACATCGGCGATGTATTTTTACATGTGCATCCACCCATGCAGTCACCCGACAGATCAAGATGTAGAGCATTTCCATCACCTCAGAAAATTGCCCTTATGTCCCTTTCCCATCAATACCAGACCATCACCACAAAAGCTAAAAATATTCTAATGTCTGTCAACTGAAATTAGTCTTGCTTGTTCTTGAAACTTCATTTAGGTGAAATCATATAGTATGTACTCCTTTGTAACTGGCTTCCTTTGCCCAGAATAATGTCTACGAGGTATGTCTGTATTATTCCATTCATCAGCATGCAGTATCACATTAATTTTTTTGCCATGTAGTATTCCATTGTATAGATATACCACAAATTATTTATCCCCTTTCTATTTATTAATATTTAGCTATGATGAATAAAGCTGCTATGAAGATTCTTGTACCCGGCTTTGCAGAATGTATGTACTCCTTTCTCTTAGGTATATATTTAGGAGTGGAATCACTGGGTCAAGCATAGGCTTTAGTAGATAACTTTAGTGGGTAGCAGGTCAGGATTTAATAACCTTCCCAATAACAAGCGGCTCCCAGGAAACTGCATTTGAAGTGAACAGCTAGCTTTGGCACACTCAATCCAAAAAGTGTTGAACATCTATTAAGTAACTGCTAAGTATGATGACAAAAACAAGATGGAGTCCTTGCCCTCAAGATGCTATTATTCATAGGGGCAAGACAAGAGAGACACGGGAAAAAATGCAATTGAGAAAACTTCTAGGTTTATGGTTTCCTATGGCTTTCTAAAACGGTAGAGTCCTTTCTTGTACCAGTGAAATCTTACATGGGAACCCAATACACAATGTCCTAAATTAGAACTGCTCCAGTTGAAGGAGGATAAGAGGATTTGCAGCCAACTGCCTTTCCCTTCCCTATCCTCCATGACGGGCCCCAAGGTGTAAAAACACTGGTCCTAGACGAATGTTTGCTTTAGCACACACTCAAATAGGACTTACCAAGAAAGAAAGAACTCCAGGATCCTTGGGCTGCAGGACAAATATGCCATACTCCTTGTGGGTGGACAATATCATAGGATTTTCTGTATAGCTGCTCCTGGTTTGTGAGAAAGGAATAGGTTGAGCTCAGGATTTAAAGAGAGGTAAAGAGAAGAACACCTCTCTTTAAGACTCCAGAGTTTTCTTCTAAGTTAGACTCAACCTCAGGATAACCACTAACTCAGGTTTCCTTTTTCCCCAGCTCAGGAGGAAATGGCATTTTGGATCTTACCAGATTTCAGATGGAGCATCCCCTGGCTTCATGCAAAGTAACTTCAAATCTGCTTTGGCCAAGATGAGAAAGTGACCATCAGGAGCCCAATCCAGACTTGTCAGCACCCCTAAGTCCTCCTGTAGAATTCGGTTCAGGTGAAGACTAGCTCAAAAAAGTACATGGACAGAGAAAGATCCTATTTTAGTTAACCTTTCTCAGGCTCCTCAATCCCACATGAATTCCTCAGGAATGAAGTACAAAGCAAAATGTATCACCTTCCCTGAAAATCCTGTTCCACTTTCTGGTTTTTGTTTTTTAACATTAGTATTCATCGGTGCCATCCCATTACTTGCTCAAACTAGGAATCTCTAACATTCTTGGCTTTTCCTTCCCTCTCTACCTCCAACTCACCAGTAAGGCCTGTGGATGCAACACATGCCTAAATCCGTATCTCCCCTTCTCATCTCCACAGCCCAGGTCAGGCCCACATTACGTCTTTCCTAGGCTATAGCTACAGGTGTAAATGTGGTCTCCTTACCTTTAGTATCTCTCTACTACCATCCATCTTCCATACTGCCACCAGTTCTCTTTATAAAATCCAGATAATTATTCCACCCAAAATTCTTAGCACTGTGCCCTCTACAGCCTGACCCCAGTTTATCTATTCAATTCCATTTCCCTTACTCCCACCAGGAATCCAAGGAGCTGGCTATACCCAGAATATACTACATACTCTCAACATCTCCATATCTTCTGTACATGTTCCTTCCTCTTCCTGAAACACTGTTCCCTTCTCTTACTGGTCCAGAAAACTCCTACTCATTCTGTAAGTGTCCAACCTTAAATACCAACTCCTTCCCACAATTTCTCAAATTTTGAAGCCCCAGGAATATGTGTGTGTGTGTGTGTATGTGTGTGTGTGTGTGTGTGTGTGTGTGTGTGTATCTTCATTATAGCACTAGTCAGTCTGAATAGTGCTGCTGGTTTAAATATATGCACATTCCTCTACTGTGAGCTTCCTTAATTAAAGGATGAATTTCATCTGTAACTGGTTCATACTGCCTGGCCCAGAGCTTGGCATCAAGTAGGCACCTGAGAATTATTCATTTACATTGCCATGGACAGAAGCAGAAAATAATGTCCCACTCAGTAACTAACATCCAATTGACCTAGTTCAGAAGCAGAAGTGCAGTAATTTGGGTAAAATGCCAGGAGTGAGGAGACTGCTGTTTCTATCCCATTAACCCATCAGCCTGTTTCACCTCAAATTTCCGGGTGCCGAACCCTTCCGCAGTTTCACTTGCCACTCGCTGATTTTCTCATCAGCACTGAGGACAAAAAAGGTGTGTGCCGAGGACCAGATCAGAGCACCAATGTGGCCTGGAGCCTGGTGTACACAACAAGTTCAATTCAGTGCTTCTGATGAGCCAGGATGCACCATCTTTTCCCTCCCAGGCACATATGCAACCTCTAACGCCCAGTAAATACACAGCCAGGGTAGAATTCACACAGACAAAGAACCAAGGGTACACCGACTCACCTGTGCTGTGGCCACAGCCTTAGCTTCCTGCCACAAGATTAGTTCCCCAGCTTGATTTCCAGATACTGCCATGGAACCATCTGGTGCCCAAGCCACAGCAGTGACGGCTGCAGAACTCCTTGGTATACATGTGTCATCTGGAGGAGAAAGGACGTGTTTCATTAGGAGCTGGGATACTGCTGGGATAAGAGATATCAGGCCACCCTTGACCTTTTTTTGTGCCAGTAACACACCCTGTCTCTCTCCAAGCCTCACTCACCTGCTTCCTTAGGAACCTGCCAGAGCCGTACAGAACCATCCTCAGAGGCGGTCAGCATGAGGCCTGAGGTTTCTGAAACAGCAGCAGCACGGACTGGGCCGCTGTGTCCCAGGAGGGTGTGGGTTTGGCACACCTAGGAGGAAGGGATGGAGATGGGCTCATGAGAGTGGGCACAACAGAAGGTTATTCCGCATACCTTCCCCACCTCCCTTGACTCTGGTCCTTGCAGGAACTCACCAAGAGTGGATGCCATAACCGTGTGGCCCCATCTAGCCCGACGGTTACCACCAGAAGCTCTGACCCAGGCTGTCCAGCTGATAAGACACAGAGACTGAGTCAGAAGAAGGGACGGAGCAGGGGAGAAAAGAAGAGACAGCAGGGAAGGGGAGGTGGCTGACGTTTTGTTACCTGCACGGGGCTCCATGGCAGCTGCACAGTGGCTAATGGGTCCTGAGTGAGCAGGGATGCTGGTCAGCTCCACGCCTTGATGGTCCCACACTTTCAAGGTCCCATCCCGGCTCACAGACACCACGTGCTCCTCCTGCCCACAGAGCACAAGATCAGAGCAGAGTCATATTGAGCAGGACATGGGAAACAGAACTTCCTCCACAGAGGTGGGTGGAGCATTAGGAGCATGGAAGATGTCAATGAGGGAGGAGAACTCAGGAACAGTGGGGTTGGGTGGCTCAGGACAGTGGGGTCGGGTGGCTCAAGTTCATGATACCAAGAGGCTGTGTTTTCATGCTCTCCTCTCTCCCTTTACACCAACCCTTAGCCTCAACACCATAATCCAATCCCAAGTATCTCATTTTCTTTTTCTCTTTTTTTTTTTTTTAAAGATAGGGTCTCACTCTGTTACACTGGAGGCTGGAGTGCAGTGGTTTGATCATAGCTCACTGTAGCCTTGAAATCCTGGGCTCAAGTGATCTCTCGCCTCAGCCTCCTGAGTAGCTAGAACTACAGGCATGTACCATGGTACCCAGCTAATTTTTATTTTTATTTTTTATAGAGATGGGGGGTCTTCCTATGTTGCCTAATCTCTAGGTATCTCATTTTTATGCTCATTTTGCCTCTGGGATTAGATACTCCATGCACCGTCTCCCAAAGCCCCCTTAGCCCTTCCAGAGACCCCCCAGTGGGATCTCCATTGCTTTCTCACCACAGCTGCCACAGCGCTCACAGCACTCTGATGACCCAGGAACTGACCAAGCCGCTGTCCTGACTCTGGGTCCCAGAGCCCCACAGAGCCATCACTGGAGCAGGATATCTACAGAGTCAGAAGTCAGAGGAGTGGGATTATCAGCATCCCTCCAGCATTTTGGTATATCTGTAGTGTAGGGTGGAAGGCGGTTAGCCACGTAATTAAGGGCCTGGGTTCTCCTGGGTTCAAATCCTAGCTCTGTCACTCATTACTTTCTGCTTTGTGGTCTGTTTCTCTTTCTGAGCCTTGGGTTTCCCAACTATTTAATGAGTATAATGATAATGTACCTATCTGATATGGTGGTTGTGGGGCTGAGTGCGTCTACATAAAGGACTTAGGCTGGGCACGGTGGCTCATGCCTGTAATCCCAATACTTTGGGAGGCCGAGGCAGGTGGATCGCCTGAGGTCAGGAGTTCAAGACCAGCCTGGCCAACATGAGGAAACCCCATCTCTACTAAAAATACAAAAAATTAGCTGGGCATGGTGGCAGGTGCCTATAATCTCAGCTACTCAGGAGGCTGAGGCAGGAGAATCATTCGAACCTGGGAGGTGGAGATTGCAGTGAGCAGAGATTGCGCCACTGCACTCCAGCCTGGGCAACAAGAACGAAACTCTGTCTCAAAACAAAAAAAAAAAAAAGGACTTAGCATGCTGCCTGGCACACAGTGAGCATATAATAAATGGTAGCTATTGTCCATATTATTATTGTTATTATTTTGAGATGGAGTTTCACTCTTGTTGCCCAGGCTGGAGTGCAATGGCGCGACCTCTGCCTCCCGGGTTCAAGTTATTCTCCTGCCTCAGCCTTCTGAGTAGCTGGGATTACAGGCATGTGTCACCACGCCTGGCTAATTTTGTATCTTTAGTAGAGACAGGGTTTCTCCATGTTGGTCAGCCTGGTCTTGAACTCCTGGCCTCGTGATCCACTCGCCTCGGCCTCCCAAAGTGCTGGGATTACAGGTGTGAGCCACCGTGCCCAGACCTAGGCTTTCTTATTAGAGAGTTCCCTGGCTCAGCTTCATCATTGACCTTGGAAATGTTCTGAGTTCAATTTCCTTGTCTGAAAAATAGAGATAAAAGGAGTATCTACTTTACAGGGTGTTGTAAAGATTAAGTGAAGCAATATATGAAAAGAGCTTAGTTCAATGCCTGGCACATATCAAGTTTGACAAATATTAGCTATCACTATTATTAATGGGTGCCAGAAAAAGGACGAGGTGGGGAGTGTTGTCTTGCCCCAGGAACCCAGCTGGGCTCTGTGCCACCCCTGGCCCTTTACTCACCAGTAGGTTATCTTTGGTCCAGGCACAGCCAGTGACCCAGTCACGGTGACAGGCAGGGAAGGAGTGGATCAAAACAGGGGTTTTGGGTGTCCTCACGTCCCAGCAGAGGAGACTCTGGATAGGCCCCAAGGAGAGGGAGCAATCAGGACCAAAGGAAGGATGGGAACCCCGGAGCCATTTCAGGCAAGAAATTTCAAGGAAAGAGGGGCACAAGGAAGCACAGGCAGACAGATCTATACTAGATTTGGCAAAACAAAAAGCAGGAGGAAGCAATGGGAAATGGGTTGTTAAGAAATCTAGGAACTAGAGAGGCTATGGGACCCCAGGGTTGCATCCTTCTGCAGCTCACCCGATCCCGGCCCCCGGTGGCCAGGCTGCCTCCATCAGTGCTGAAACTACAGCAGCTCACAGGGCCCTCATGTCCCCGCAGCTCAGTGCCACAGGGAAAGTCTTCTGCCTTGTGTGGCCGCGTCAGCAGCTGCCTTGGCCACAGCTGCACTGTGAAATCCTCTGCATTGGAAAAAGAGAGAGGGAACAGCTTCCTGAAAGAGGAAGCCAGACAGGCCCTGGGAGGCCAAAGACAGGAGCGGCCATGGGGGCTGAGGGTGACACCTGAGGCTCAGCTCCATGGGAGGGATGCAGGGAGTCACAAGGCTGTGGAGAGGCCCTGGGCAAGGGTCATCAGCGAGTGTGTACATAGGACGGGAACGTGCGGCACTCCCAGCTCCAGCTCCACAGCTCAGGCCGGGAACACAGTTCCTTGTCTCTGCTTCTCTAACTGTACTCCCACAGCAGCTGCTCCAGACCCCTCCTCTTCTCAAGTGTCCAGTGTCACTTCCACCTCGTGACCTGTGAGGACCAGTTCTCCCTCCTAGAGAGGGCCTAGGCCATTCTACATTTTCACCTCAACATCTCTCTCTCTCCTTCTAAGGGAAACCTATCCCTTTTCACAGCAAAGTCTCCCACGGGGCAGAAACTCAAAGGATTACTGGGAGGTTAGAGGTCCCAGAATGAAGGTGAAGGAATGAGTGGAAACAGTCTAAACAGATTATGCAAGATAATTGCATTCAAAAGCACTTTGAAAGTTGTAAAACAAAATCGCACATGTGTATTTTCATACACATATACATACAACTTGGAGAAAGGTGTTAGTGTCTTTAAAAGGAACAGTGATTTGTGGGCCAGGCGCAATGGCTCACGTCTGTAATCCCAGCACTTTGGGAGGCCGAGGTGGGTGGATCACCTATGGTCAGGAGTTCGAGACCAGCATGACCAACATGGTGAAACCCCATCTCTACTAAAAATATAAAATTAGCCGGGCGTGGAGGCGCATGCCTGTAATCCCAGCTACTCGGGAGGCCGAGACAGGAGAATTGCTTGAACCCAGGAGGCAGAAGTTGCAGTGAGCCGAGACCGTACCACTGCACTCTAGCCTGGGCAACAAGAGTGAAGCTCTGTCTTAAAAAAAAAAAAAAGAAAAGAAAAGAACAGTAATTTGTTAACCCTGCCCACTGTCTAGTAGTACCTGAGGCAGAAGCCAAGAGCTCCTGGGAAGTGGCCAGTCCTAGCACAGGCTTCTGGAATCTGGACAGGAGCCAGAGGGACTGAAGGGAGCATTCCTTGAGTGCCCAGCCCTGCAAGGACCCATCTTCTGCACCACTCACCAATACCTTGGGGCTTAGCCAGGCCAGGGCGGACACTGCCACATCCAGTGCCTGACCCTGAGCCCCCTGGGAACCTAGAGAATGAGAGAGAACAAGGGAGTAAGACACTTGGGAAGGGGTAGGGGGCAGGGGCTGCGCTCTTTCTAAAGGCTCAAAAACCCACCCATTCCCATTTCAGTACCTGAAGAGATTTTGTAGATCCTAATGCCATCCGCTCGATATCCAACAGCCACCCGATCACCATCTGGGCTGAGTGCCACAGAGAGGGCAGGAGAGAGAGAAAGGGAACCCAGGTGCCCACGGGGCCGACCCAGAGACCCTGACCACACCTGAACCTGGGAACCAAGAAAAGGGCTTAAGGATACCACCTCCACCACGCGGTCCTCCTTCCTGTTTTGAGTTACAGCCACCCCCATTAAAGTCCTCCTTCCAGAGACTCTTCTCATGAGAGCTGCCCCTGCACACAGCGGCACCCCTCTCCCCGTGGTTCCTGCAATCCAAGCTCCTCCACAGTCTCCTCGACAAAGGACCCCCACCCCCACCAAGATATTCTTTGCCTTTGCTACTCCTCCTCACAACCCACCACCAGCCCTCTGCAAGCTGACCTTGCCATCCTCTCCAGCCGTCAGTAACTGGCAACCCGCATGCAGGAAAAGCGCAGCAGCAACAAAGCCATGGTGGGCAGGGAAGGCAGCCAGCCGTGCCCCTTCTCGCCAGGCCCACAGCTCCACCATACTGTCCAGCCGGCCCACAGCCACAACCCCCCCAGGCACATTGAAGGCCAAGGTACGGATAGAGGCTCCGGGTGCCCCCAGGTCCTACACAGGGAGGTAGAAATGGAAACGTGAAGACCTGCTCTCAGCAAAATCTTAAGTGACCCAGAATGCTGCTGTCTGTCGTCTGCCACCCTCCACTCCTGTCCTCCTGTGCTTCCCCCAAGAGCAACACTGGACCTTCTTACCTTGGTGACTTTGAGCCCATCCACCTGGAAGAAGCTGATGCTGCCAGCCCAGCTGCCTGTGGCTATTACCTGCCCCTCTGGGTGGAAGGCAACACAGTTCAGGGACTTGGGGTAGGTGTGCTGGAAGGCCAGCTGCCCACGGACTGTGTCCCACAGCTGAGGGAGAGAGAGGAGGAATCAGGATGCTGAAGAGAGATGCCTGAACTTCTCAGTCCCAGACCTCCAGGAGCAACCTTGTCCAGTTACCCTGCCCTCAGCAGGGAAGGCCTTCTCTGGCCAGGGAGTCAGCAGCCTCTGCCGCACTGAGAGAACAAATTCACGAGGGTGAGTCATGGCTCAGGGCCACTCTGACCACTGCAGACCCCAAGTCTTACCTTTAGGCATCCTCCCAAGCACACGGTGGCTAGCAGCCGGCAGTCTGGGCTCAGGCAGCAGCCAGTGATTTGGTACTGGTGAGCCTTAGTCTGCAGCACCCTATCCCAGGAAGATGAAGTCAGTCCTCTGGACCCTGGCCATCAGCTCCCTCCTCATTTCCTTCTCCTGGGGCTTCCAAAAAATGGGGAAGGCCCTCATTCCAAGACAAATGGGGAGGACCCCTTACCGACAACCATGCTGCAGGTCCCAGAGCTCCAGGAGCCCGTCGAAGGCAGTAAGAAAGAGTGTATCATCGGAGAGGAACAAACAAGCAGAGATTCCATCACAGCCACTCACCACAGACTTCTCCTCCTGCGACAGTGGGTGAGGGAGCGCAGCTCAGGCCATCCCCTTGACCCTCCAAGTCCCACCACTCCAGGCCCCACCCAAAAAGAAGGCCAAGGCACAAAGGCCATGAGTCCTTGGCTCTCTATGTTCCAAGTCAAGCACACGTTCAAGTGGGGGCCTCGTGATCCAAGTGGGGCCACATTTTCTCCCCTACTCCAAACCCCATACCTATTCCCCAAGTTACAGAAAATTTTGATGGGTCTGAGAAAATGGGGTTACATGGGGTAGGGGATGACATGAGTGTAAAGAGGATAGAAAGAGGCTGTGGTTCTAGGACTCACCTCTCCAGCCTAATGTACTATTAGCCTCCCATAAGCACGCTGTGCTGCCATAATTCCCAGCAATTTACAAATTTACCAGGAACATTCCCCTCCTGTGTCTTTGCTCAGGTTCCTTGTTCAAACAAGAGTGCCTGCCCTTCTCTATCCTATGTCCTCCTATAGCTGCACAACTCACTCATGTCTTAATTAGATTACATGGCTATGTTTTGGTTCCTTTTTTACCTCGTATGTCTTATCTCCCAACAAAACTGACCACTTGGTGGGCAATGACAATGTCCCAAATCCTGTGTTTCTTGCAACGCTTAGCACAGTGCCTTAAATGGAAGGTGTGCAGCAAATATTTGCTGTGTGATTGATTTTTTGGCCAAGCCCTTTGAGCTGATGTGCAGGCAGTAAAGTTGCTGAATTAATCAGAGTGATAACAGGTGTGTTTGGCTCATCTAGGGCTTCAGGGCAGTCTGCATGGATTTTCAGAGGGTAAATTCTGCCCCTCCTTGATTGTCATACCTGCCAAGTTCTCAGGTCCAACAGGTAAACTGTCCCATTGGCAGTGCCCACAGCTGCTCTTTGCCCATTGGTGGAGAAGGCCACAGCAGTAGGGGATGAGGAAACTGCCAGAGACAGGCTGGAGCTAGAGAAAGAGTAGGAAGAAAGGGAGGAAATAAACGAGAGAATGCAAACAGGAGTTGATTTATGTGCTTCTGTGCCTGGATCCCTCTCCAGTGTTTCTGGTCATCCTTATTCCTCAGTTTCAGAAAGAGCTGCAGCTTGCTCTCTGGTGGGCTTACTAGGGTCTGGGGTCAAGGTCTTACCTTTGCTGATTTTTCATGGTCCGGGGTTTATTAAGCCATCGTAGTGTGTGTTGGAGGTGCCATCTCCGGGAGAGCAGCGAGGCTTGGTGGCAAAGAGGTGAGTCCAGGGGCTGGTTGGCTGCCTGCTGGGGCAGGAGCCGGGGGTACTGGCTGAGGATTGAAGCCTGCTGCCTCAGGAAGGTGCGAAACACTGCAACGTCAGCCTCGGGGAGCTTTTGTTCCTCTTTGGGGACTGAAGAAGCTATAAAAGGGTGGCAGAATGTCACTGGGGAGCCAGCTGGACCCCATTAGCCCCAGCACCAAATAAAACCATATGGTGTGTCTACAATAGTAAGTCTCAAAGTGTGGCCCTCTGGCCCTATATCAGGAATATCTCTTAAAAGTACAAAGCTTTGAGCCCCACTCCAAACCTAGGAAACCAGAATATGGAGACCCAAGGATCTGCAATTTGAACAAGTTTCCTAGATAGTTTTATGCTAACTAAATAAAGTTGAAGAATCTCTGGTCCAAGAGATCAAGGTGAAAGGTCTCCTGAGAGTCACGTGCTCACCCTCTTGGCATTTTCAACTCGAAATGGAAATTTGAATCTTTTTTCCCTGACACCCACACCCCTGCCCCAACCCTGAGCAGGGCCCCCATAAGCACACCCAGGAGTCCCATATCTCAGAGAAGAACCCAGCCAGTGACTCATCTCACCATAGAGGGCATGGGCCTCCAAGAGCCGAGAGACCAGACCCAATTCCAAGTGTGCAGCCACCACATGGAGGTTGGTAAGGAACTTCGAAAGAAGTCCACGGTTCCCGCTCTGGAGCTGAGAAGGTCAGATTGAATTCATTAGGGATATGAAGGGGCTGGTGAGAAGGGACAGTTTAGTCTCAGAACCTGGATACAGAGATAGGATCTGAGCTGGGACAAAGGACTTGAAGAAGAAGGGCAGGAAAACTGAAAGGAAAGAGGTCAAGGGAGTTTGGGAGGGGTAATGGCGGCGGTGATGGTGGAGATGGTAACGGGGAGAGGGGTCTCAGAGCAACCAAAGCACTCACTTTGGGAAAGGTGTCTATGGGGTCTAGGAACTAACCAGGTGGTAAGGCAGGTCTCCCAGAGCCTCAGGAGGGCAACTTCGGAAGGTGCCTGAGGCATCAGCGTCACATGTCTTCCAGAGCTGAGCTGCATGAACAGATATTGAGAAAGGCTCAGCCCTGCATCATTCCCAAGGGCAGTAGGTGAGCTGGCCAGCAGATGGGAGCACAGTGGGTGGTCCTGGCCTCCAGGCCCAAGCCCCACACTCAGTGCCCAGGCTGACTTGGGCTGCAATCACCTGCAATGAGGATGTGTGCCGTGTCCTCTAGCCCTGGCCTCTTCCCATAGCAACGTTTAGCTGCTGTTCTCAGGGGCCCATCAGGGAGGCACAGCCGGGCACCAGGGCGCTCCAGAGGGCCCTCCCCTAGCAAACTGTCCTCGTGTGAGGAAGGGAGAGAGAAGAAGGAAGAGGCCTGTCAGTGAGCTTCCTGGCACACAGTGGGCTCCTATTCCCCCCTCAAATAGCGGAAACTGGAGCAGCTGGAGCAGTAGCTCATTCATGGTCTGGGAGCCAGTTGTTGAAGCTATACAGAGGGCCCCGGCTCAAAGAAGGGAAGGCACAGAGAGGTCAGCGGGAGCTCTGCTGGGGCACCTGTACCTGCGCAGACTCTGGACGAGGCAGGCAAACGGGCCCATGGGGTAGGGGTCTCCACTGTTACCAGCAGCCACTGCTTCTTCCCAGCTCTTAGTCCCCTTCGGTAGTGTCCGCCACACACTCAGCACTCCGTGCAGCTGGTCCACAGTCAAACCTGAAAACTCAAGCTCTCTGAGGCCCTCATCTAACCATACGGTGTCCCCGCCCCCACCACACCCAGTCTCTCCTTGAACTGCCTGCTGAGACCCCAAGGGAACCAATGTAATCCGAACCCTGGCCCTCAGCCTCCCAACCAACCCACCCCAAGCACTGACCACTCCGTGTGACTTCTAGGGCAGTCAAGGCCTGGGGAAGGACATCAGGCCCGTGCTCCTTCTCCAGTGTGCTCAGGATGTGCTGCAGCAGCAGGGGGACAGTGGCAGGCAGGGTCCGGAGTCTCTCAGACACCTAGGATGGCGGGAGGACAGCCTTGTTCAGTGCAGTGGGAGGAGAAGCAGCTTGGCTTGTGGGATAGGGAAGGGGCAGCAGGAGGACAGTGTGGAGGAATGAAAAAGTAAAGAACAACAGTAGGAGGGAAGTGAGGCGAGGTATGAGGCGAGGATAGGGAGTGGGTGATCACAAGACAGCAAAGGACGTGGGATAGGGATGAGACAAAGCAGCTGAAGAGAGAATGGGAAGTAGTGATTAGGACTTGGAAGGTGATGAGAACTGACCTGCTCATACAGCGTGAAGAGCCTCAGGTGATCGGTGACCAAGCGCAGGTAGAGCGGCCGGCCTGATTCCCGCTTCACCAGCAGCAGTCGCATCTGGCAAGACTCAGGACTCAGGGTGGGGTCCAGGAGGGCTGCCCGCAGCCAGCCCTCTGCCCCAGCACCAGCCCCTCTGCCAGGCAGCTCCTCCTCTGAGAGTCCCCAGCAGACGCCAGGTCCATGGCATCATCCCAGGACACAAACCATCCCTCTCCTACGCTGCTCTGCCCAGCCAGCCCTGCCAGAAAACCCCTGTGGCTCGGCCTACCCCACCAAAAACCACTTGACTCATCCCCTCACCCCGAGAGGCCCTGGAAAGGCCATTCACCGGGGGAAGAGGGCTGGGTGACATGATCAGGAATCACAATTTTCTTATTAACAACTTCCCATGGACAGAATTTCTGAGAAAACAAAGGAGCAGGTCTGTGCAAGGCAGCTAGCGGCCTCGGCACCCCAGGTCCTCATAGCTCCCAGATTCACCCCACACACCCACCGGCCCCGGCCTAGAACCCAACCTGGTTGTTAAATGGTGACTCCTCCAGCCGCTTCCCGTACAGGGCCAGCTCCTCTCTCACCAGCCGGGCCCGAGCAGAGGCCTCCAGAGGCCCCAAGGCCAGCACGTGGGCACCCTGGCTCTGCTCAAGGGTCTCCCCTAGGCCTGCATCACTAGACACACTCAGCACCAGGTGTACACACTGTGATATTTGGGCAAAGGGGCAGGAAGGTAGAAAGAAAAGGAGAACCACATTGGAGAGGCCTCTCTCCTCCGTGCCGTATCCCTCCTTCTCCCCAGCCTGCCTCCCGACACCCACCTCCTTCTCACACTCACCCGGGGAAGCTTCTTTGGGATCCAGTCTGAAATCAGCTGCCCATTCTGGTCCACTAACCTATCAGCCCCATCGATGATCAGGACCTGGGTCTGGCCAGGATGCAGGGACTCAGCAGACTTGGGCAGCAGCCTCTGCTGCAGCTCCCACACCAGGCTTCTGTACATGGAGAGGAAGTCAGGGTCAGTGGGAGAGAAAAAAAAAGCAGGGGTGGTACGTGGGCATCAACAAGGCTGGGCTCATTGGGGGATACCCACCGGTAGGTGCTGGGGAGGGCACCTGGCTCTTTTAGTTGGCCACGCAGATAGGTACAGAGGCGTCTGAGCAGAGTGAGGGCAAGACCCTGGTCAGGACGAGCCCCAGAAAAGTGGAAGAAGACTAATGATGCCACCTTGGCCCCATCAGGAGCCTGCAGGGCTGACACAAGAGATGCCTGCATGGGACAGGAACAGAAAACATGGTCACATTTTACATGCCTGAGCTCCCTGTGCCTTACCTCCTTAGCCCACACAGCCTTCCCTCCCTCCTGCCCAGGCCCCTGAGACTCTGTACCAGGAAGGCTGTCTTGCCCTGTCCTGACTGCCCCGTCACCAGGCTCAGCCTTCCGTGGGGCAGCATCAGCCGTTGCACTGTGTCCTGAAGAAGGCGTGGCCGGGCAGGACTCGGTGGCTTCTGCAGCTGCTGGAAGGTGGCCTGGACCAAGTCATCGTCTGGGATGGACACTGGCTGCTCCAGCAGGGCCCCAGGCTGAGGGTAAATGGGTCAGTGACTATCCATGGTGCCATGCTCCTCAGCACTCCCAGGCTAAAACTCACAGAGCCCCCGCCAAGCTACTTCCTCCCCAGGACAACCCAGACCACCCCATGTCCCTCTCCATGCCTCTGGTCACCAGTGCTTCTGCTGACCTGCAGGTAGAGCTTCTGGATCATATTCCATACATCCTGCAGAACCAACTGCCCAAACTCCTCCAGCCCGCCAACATAGGGCCGGCCAGCTGCCACACCCCCCCACTCACAGGGGTATCTGTGGGCAAATCAAGCACAACCAGGTCAGAGCAGGCCCGGCTCCTCTCACCACATCTCTGTACAGGTGCTCCCTACCTCCCTCAGCTCACCTGCGGCAGGTGATCCCTTTCTGTCTGCTTAGGTAGCTCTTCAGTTCTGAGATCCGACGTGCGGCCTCTTCAGACTCAGAAACAAAGTCAGATTTCCAGGCATCTGGCACAGAGCTGACCACCAAAGACCCCAAAAGTTGGAATAGACTCAGACCCCAGCCAGCCTCCCTCCACCAACCACCAGACATAGCTGTAATTTCCTGAAGCTCCTCAAGTAGAGAGCTCCTGACTCCAGCACCAAGGCTGACGTGGGGCTGCAAAGGCATGCTGAGTCCTGTTTCTGCCTCATAGCACTCCCCTTCTATACTCTGAATACTGAGGAGAGAAGACTGGCCTGTCTGGCCTTTTGGGGAAGGAGCCCCAGCCTGCAGGCAACAGACAGTACCTGAGGAAGCTGGAATCCCGGAAGTAGATGAGAGCTTGGGCAGAGGGCTGCAGACGTTGGTTCCGGTTCAGGAACTGCATCACCTCCATCTCTGTCACAGAGCGCCCTGAAGGGTACTGCTGGGCCTGCGGGGAGGACAGAGACAGTGAGTTTAGTCCTAGGCCACAATGACCCTCCCTCCAGACCTGCCAAGGCCCCAGGACTCCTGTATCTCTGATGTTCCTCTCTCCTTCCCTCCAGGCACAAGCAATAAAATATAGCTAATAGCTAATGTTTTTTATTTATTTTTATTTTTTTTTCCTGGAACAAGGCACTAATAGCTAACATTCATTGAATGCCTGTAATGTATTGAGTATTCTGTTACAGACCTTTGATTTTTTTTTATTTTTTATTTTTTGTTTTTTTGAGACTGAGCTTTGTTCTTGTCACCCAGGCTGGAGTGCAATGGCGCAATCTTGGCTCACAGCAACCTCCGCCTCCTCGGTTCAAGCAATTCTCCTGCCTCAGCCTCCTGAGTAGCTGGGATTACAGGTGTCTACCACCAAGCCCAGCTAATTTTTGTATTTTTAGTAGAGACAGGGTTTCACCATGTTGGCCAGGCTGGTCTCAAACTCCTGACCTCAGGTGATCCACCCGCCTTGGTCTCCCAAACTGCTGGGATTATAGGCGTGAGCCACTGCACCTGGCCCTGTTACAGACTTTCAATTCTCATAATAACCCTCCAATGTCAATGTCATTGCTTCTCTTTAATATAGGGAAATGGAGGCTAGGTCAGAGTAAGCTGCATCACACAAAGCCACACAACTTGTAGATGACAGAAGGGAGATCAGTACCCAGATCTATCTGATGGCAACACCTAAGCAGACCCACCCTCTTACTTTTGCTCATGGCCAACCCCAGAGGCACTTCTCAAAGGACTTTTCTCATCTAGAGCATGGTCACTTGCAGTATCTTCAGCCTGTATTTCACTTCAAGTCTCAAGGACCTGCCTGTTCATAGTTGCAGGGTTTCTGACAGAGTGTGGCTTCTCCCAGCCTCTGCCCCAATCTTTGCTTCCTCCCCAGCCCTCCTCCAAACCTGTCTGCCTTACCCAGTGGAAGTGTGGATGGTCAGGAAGGTTGTAGCTGGGGGGAATGTATCCATAACGGGAGCCCAGAATCCCCACAAACAGCTGTGCGTTCTCCACCTCCCCAAGGCACACTTCCAGTTGTCTGTAGGCATGATGATAGGGACGTGTGGGAGTCACTGGGGGCATGGTATCAGGGAACATAGGCACAAACAGGGAGACGGGGCCCTGACTCGCAACTGAGTAAAGAAAAGGTAGGCTGCTCTTGTTAGTATCCAAGGAGCGACTCCCGCCTTCACCCTCATCCATTCTTGCAGCCCCAACCATGCCCACCTCAGGTCCACCACTCAAGCCCCTCATCCCCGACCCAGCCCCTCTTCTCTGCAGCCCCCACACCTGTTCCTACGGGTCTCCTCCTCAGTGACGCCCCAGCGGAGGTCGATTCCGTGAAGGCTGATACGGTGAGGGGCCGCTCGGGCCTGCAGTGCTGGCAGCACAGACCTCAGCAGCAGGTCCCGCTCCCCATGCATGTCTCGGAAAGTGGATGAAATGAAAAGCCGGATGCTGCGCCATCTGGGGATAAGCAGAGAGCTGGGCTCAGTCTAGGGATGATTCCCACCCCCCATCCATAGACACTGCTGTGATCACCCTTTAGCACTGAGCACAAGCCAGGTACGACAGACAGCAGATGGGTGCCCAGCAGGCCTTCAGAGAAGCACCTGCTAGTGGTCTCAACTGCAGGGCCCTGGAATTTAATGCCCACTTGCTATTTCTTGTACACCTCTCTTTTTTCTGGTAATCATTTTTATATACTTACTGCTTGTTCATGACAGCACTGTGAGGTAAGCACTATCATTATCTCCATTTTAGCAATCAAGAAACGATAACTTTTTTTTTTTTTGAGACAGAGTTTTGCTCTTGTTGCCCAGGCTAGAGTAAAATGGCGCGATCTCGGCTCACTGCAACCTCTGCCTCCAGGGTTCAAGCAATTCTCCCACCTCAGCCTCCCCAGTAACTGGGATTACAGGCATGAGCCACCACACCTGGCTAATTTTGTATTTTTAGTAGAGACAGGGTTTAGTCATGTTGGACAGGCTAACCTTGAACTCCCGACCTCAGGTGATCTGCCCGCCTCGACCTCCCAAAGTGCTGGGATTACAGGCGTGAGCCACGGCGCTCAGCAAGAAACTATAGCTTTAAGAAATTAAGCAACTGGTCAGGCGCGATGGCTCACGCCTGTAATCCCAGCACTTTGGGAGGTCGAGGCGGGCAGATCACCTGAGGTCGGGAGTTCAAGGTTAGCCTGTCCAACATGACGAAACCCTGTCTCTACTAAAAATCCAAAAAAAAAATTAGCCGGGCATGGTGGCAGGCGCCTGTAGTCCCAGCTACTCGGGAGGCTGAGGCAGGAGAATGGTGTGAACCCAGGAGGCAGAGCTTGCAGTGAGCCGAGATCACGCCACTGTACCCCAGACTGGGCGACACAGCGAGACTCCGTCTCAAAAAAAAAAAGAAATTAAGCAACTAAGCCAGATTCAAACTACTATTTGGCAAAGCCACAATGAAAAAGCCAGAACCTGTGCTCCTAAGCCCTCTGCCTACGCCCTGGCCATACGGCCATGATGTCTGCCGTCATCTTTGCATTCTGACTTCCTTTCCTCAGTAGAGAAAGGAAGGGCTTGCTCACAATCTGACAACTCCCTGTGGTAGAGAAACCTCCGCCTGAGAAAGAGGAAGCATGCCTTCATGAAGAGAACAAGCGGCACCTCACCAGCTAGAATTTCAGCCCCAGGGTTTCCCAAGGTTTGACTGCAGCCCCTCCCAATTCACAAAGGCATAGAAACACAGACTGACCCTTGCTGGGAAACAGGAGCCAAGGGGCTTGGAGTGTCCTCTTCCAGTGGCCGGAGAGACTGGACCCCTGTCTTTCCTGGGGGTGGTGGAATCTTGAATATTTTGTCCATTTGGCCCACATGTTCCAGAAGATGGGAGGCCCCATGCTCTGCAATGAACCTGACATAAATAACAAGATAAATGAGAGTAGAATACCACAGGTCGAAATCAGTGAGGTCTTCCGAAAAGGGCAGGGGGAAAAAGATATGTCCAGGTTTGGTGACCAGTTAAGTCAAGCTCCTTAAGAAGAGGACCATAAGCAGTTTATGCAGACTTAAAATAAATGAGGATGCAGAACCACAGGAATGAAGGAAAAGAGAAGCCCAGCTCTAGCCCCTCCTGCTGTGCGTGGTAATCACAAACTTGCTGTTGGGCCGGGGCAACGGGGTAGGGAAAGGTGTAAAGATTAAAGCCATCCCAGTCTGGGCTTGAGCAGCTCTGTGCCAGCCATAAAGGCCCCCTGGAGAAGGAGGAATGTGCCTGAGGCTTTCTCATAGGAGTTGAGGGAAATGGATGGTATCCAGAGGAAAAGCCAGGGGAGAAAACAAGTAAATAAGAAGGCAAAGGATGGAGAGACAGATAAAAAAAACGTGAAAAGATTTCTGTAATTTTAGCTTAAATAGACATAATTTTCTCTGGATCAAGAATTGAACAGAAGCCACAGTGACATGGCCAACTCTTGACAGTGAAGTCTCCCATGTCCCCTTTCTTCTTTCCTACTGGATATAATACAAACTTGGCTGAATACCAAGATGGCTGGAGCTCAGGCAGACATATTGAATTATGAGGTAGAAGCTGAGTATTTGAGGATCATGGAGCAATAAGAGAGAAAGTGCCTGGGTCCCTGTGACACTGTGTTGCTGCTATGCCTGGATGGCTGTAAAAGAGGAGTGAACTACCTCACTTTAAAAAAGAAGTAACTGGAGCCGGGTGCGGTGGCTCACGCCTGTAATCCCAGCACTTTGGGAGGCTGAGGTGGGTGGATCACAAGGTCAGGAGTTCAAGACCAGCCTGACCAACATGGTGAAACCCCGTCTCTACTAAAAATACAAAAATTAGCCGGGCATGGTGGTGCATGTCTGTAGTCCCAGGTACTCGGGAGGCGGAGGCAGGAGGATCGCTTGAACCCAGGAGATGGAGGTTGCAGTGAGCCAAGATTGTGCCACTGCACTCCAGCCTGAGCGACAGAGTGAGATTCTGTCTTAAAAAAAAAAAAAAGTGACTGGAGTAGAGATAATCTCCTAAAAACTTTCCAACAAAGTATCCAACCCTTCAGTATCCATTCTGTACTCACTTCAGTATCGCATCAGTACAGCCTGAGAGTGTCACATCATTGGGATTCAAATCTGTTGACCTGGCAAAGGAAGAAGCAGTCATTAACCATCACAAACAATACCTGGAACACAGTCACTGCCCACTAACATCCCAAGATGAAAACCCCACTTCTGCACCTTTAATAGGGTTATGTGGTAGGCTAGGGCTAGGGTGGACTCTCACAGAGGGGTACAGAGTTAGGCTAAAGTATCCACCTGAAGTGCAACAGAGGTAAGAAGGCAGAGTTGGGGAGATCCCTGCCAAGTGGGAGTGTCCTATGCTTTGGCAGGCGTAGAGAGGAAATGTAGACCACTGATTTCTGACACTGGGCAGGAAGTATAAGCACCCTTACAGGTATTGTACCCTTCTTAGGAGGATACCAACAAAGAGGCACTTGGAATTCACACGCTGCCAGTAAAGCTGTTTGGCCACATTTATCATTCCATCATCCATGCTTTGGCCAAGGAGGATGACCCTGTCCACCTGTAAGATGAAAAGGGAGAAGATGCTAGAGAAGGGATGCTAGACAGCCCAGGACATTAAGATATGAGCTTTCTGAGGACAGGAGGATTAGGAGAACTCTGAGAGGAGTACCTCTCCTGAGAGCACATAGAATGAGGGAAGCCACTGCATTTTAACTTACAGGGGACATCAAAGTGGAGGTTGGAGTGGGGCAGTGGTATACTGCAGCTGGCTCATTCAGGCTCAAGAGAGCTGATTGTTAAGTTTTCAGGAAGTTTGTGGGCAGTTGTTAAAGGTGGACATTATTAAACATTAAATTGTATACATTTAAAAAATTAAATAAGTTATATTTAAAACAAATGTGGCTGGGCATGTTGACACACACCAGTACTCCCAGCTACTTGGGAGGCTGAGGCAGGAGAATCACTTGAGCCCAGGAGTTTTAGTTGCAGTGAGCTATAAGCGAGCCACTTCACTCCAGCCTGGGCAACGGAGTGAGACCCTGTCTCAAAAAATAAAAATCAGAAAATAAAACAAATGTAATAAATACTCAAAATGTATAACTTCCTAATAATTTTACTACATTTTACTATTATCTACACGTGCTTATTTACATCTACTATATCAGGAGTGTGAGAATACTACACAGCAGTGTGCTCCTGAGCGTCTTTTCCCAACTCTATGTTCAGTAGCATCATGTCGATAGCTTGAAATCAGCCACGGTAGGACTGTTTACACCATGGAAATTTAGCAGATGCTACTAACCAAGGCTTATTTTTCTAGGCAGCTGGTTGTTAGATATTCAGCAGCACACCACTGGGTAGGGGGTTGTAGCCAGTAGAGCTGATCTGACTATTGTATGTGGTTGGAGAAGTCAGCTCTAAAGGTCAAGAAATGAAATATATCAGTTGCAGAGGAAAATGTGGGGGAGGGAGAGGGTTTCTCAGGGATTAATACTCACAGGAACCCTTTGGCCAGCCAGAGACAGCAGGTATTTCCCAAAAGTATTCAGGGACCATCCATCATTTTCATCAAACTCCTGAAGGAAAGAGACTTCATGTTATGTGGTTGCACAGTAAGCGACAAACACTGCAGTCTTGCAGTCTGCTTGGGAAATCTTCAGAACTGTGTATTGTCTGTGCCTTTACCAAATATCTGGGCTATTCCCAGGCCTGTGTCCTTCATGTATTTTTGGATGGTGGGTGTTGAGTGTCTGACCTGGACTTGAGCCTGGAGCTTGATGGCAGTCTTCAGGATGCCTTCTTCTGCCTTAAGCACTGCAGTCTTCAGAGTGTCACCTCCACACAGCACGACGTCCACCTGCTCCGCCCTCGTGATCATCATCCCAATCAACAGCAGTGCATAGTTCAGCGGGGGCTGATTGGACAAGTGTCAGGGGAAATAAAGCTCCCCTGCTTTGGAATTCACCCTTGCCCAGCCAGCCCTGGAGGCCAAACCCTTCCATTGGTTAGAGGGAATAAGAAAAAGTGTAAAATCCCAAGTTAGGAGGGGTCAGCTTCAGCAGCCCTCAGGAGGAGCTGACTGTGGAGGGAGGAAAAGAGGAGCCAGGATCCCTGCCCAAGTTCAACACCGGGATGTAGTGAGGTGAAAGTGAGACATATTTTGGTGATGCAAATTTAGAGAGTACCAAGTACCAGCCAAAGGTGAAATGTTAGTATTATAATCCATAAACCTGGTTGAAACAACATCCTAGGAATTGCCCCTAGGAACCAAGGACTGATACTTGGAAGCAAATTCATATCATTTATTTCAGTCTGAGTGTTTGCCTGGGAAAACCAGCTCTGGGAACAGGATACTGCTCAGGATCCCCAGCATTCTACCAACCCAACCCCTTGGAGGATGCTTTTTGTTTTCTTACCCCTTGTGGGTTGCTCTTTGGACAGAGCCTGTCTGCATTAGCATCTGTCAGATAGACCAAGACAGTGCGGCCTGGCAGCAGGGGCAGGCTGTGCTTCACAGAGAGGTTCACAGCTGTCTCTAGGGCCTGTCGGTACCTGTTCAGCATCTCACCATCATATTTCCACTGTCTACATGCAAGAAAGACACAGACACAGGGGCTCAGGGACTTATCTGCCCCTTAGAGGCAGACGGGGAGATGAGAAGTTGCCACTAAGTATTGAGTCTTCTCCCTCCCTCAAGCACCATACCCGCTTCCACAGCCCACTCCATTTCTGGTGTAGAGGACTGGGAGAGAGCTTCCCTCTGCCCCCATCCTATAGGATTCTTCTAATCCACACTCATGGTAGGAGAGGGGAAGTCACCTGTAGACCCACTAGCTACACTTACCACATGAATCCATTCTTACTTCATGAAGCAAGATTCAATGGCTACATAGTTTTAAATTGTATTTTAAAAAACAAATGCTAACTCCTTACTCTGAAAACTGGCAATTAAAGGAGAATAAATTGAATATTCATCCCACCTTTCCCATACAATCTATTTCCGGGTAACTAAATAAATATAGTTGATAAGGGAGGCTGTTTTTAAAATTCCAGTTAAAAAATATGCAGGAATGATAAAACCCTCATTCTGCAACCGCCAATGAAACAATTGGTTCACGCAAAGATCACCAATGGATGAGCATTAACTACTGTGGAGAGATTAGGCTATTACTACCTAGAAGTGCTGATCAACATTAGCATTACTGAGTAGTGGTCCCACTTAAATAGTATATATATAGGATCACCTATGAACTACTTGGCAAATCTAAATCTGTTCGAGGCTTTAGAGCTAATGCCCAGTGAACAAAAACAGAAAAACAAGTTAGATGACATCATGAGGAAGGAGGCAAATCCAGAATATGGGATATTCTTTGGGGTCCCTGAACCTGGTTTTCACAGTAGCTCAATGCCATAAGAACAATTAAAAGGTTAAAAGTGACATAACAGACTTAACAACCAAATGTAATGTGTATACCTTGTTTAGATCTTGATTTGAATAAAACTGTGAAATGATATTTTTAAACAATTGGAAAATTTGAATATGGACTAAATAACAGATGATTTCACCGAGGAATTATTTTTAGTTTTGTCAGGTATATTAATGACATTCTCATTGTATAAAAAATGTCCCTTTTTAAAGAAACACACATGAAATAAGGAAAGGTGAAATAAAATGTGTCTTATTATTTGACATTTGTTTTAAAAATATCTTCAAAAGAAAAGAAAAAGAAAAAAAGATCAGTAAAGAAAATGTAAGCCGGGCACGGTGGCTCACGCCTATAATCCCAACACTTTAGGAGGCCGAGGCGGGCAGATCACAAGGAGATCGAGACCATCCTGACTCACATGGTGAAACCCCATCTCTACTAAAAAAAATACAAAAAAATTAGCCGGGCGTGGTGGTGGGTGCCTGCAGTCCCAGCTACTCGGGAGGCTGAAGCAGGAGAATGGTGTGAACCCAGGAGGTGGAGCTTGCAGTGAGCCGAGATTGTGCCACTGCACTCCAGCCTGGGCGACAGAGCAAGACTCGGTCTCAAAAAAAAAAAGAGAAGAAAAAAAAGAAAATGTAATAAAATCTAGATAATCACTGAATCTGATAGTTTTATGAAAGTCTATTAATATTTTTATTACTTGTGTGCATATTTAAAGTTTTTTATACTAATTTTTTAATCTAGCAAAATCAGTAGTCTTCCCAGCACTATCCAATAGAATTCAATTACAATTAAATCAAATTAAACTTAAATTATACACATATAATTTTCTAATAGTCACATTTTAAACAGTAAAAATAAATTGGTGAAATTAACTTTTCTTTTCTTTAAGAGACAAGACAGGCATGGTGGCTTACGCCTGTAATCCCAGTACTTTGGGAGGCCGAGGTAGTTGGATCACTTGAGGTTGGGAGTTTGAGAGCAGCCTGGCCAACAGGGTGAAACCCTGTCTCTACTAAAAATACAAAAATTAGCGGGGTGTGGTGGTATGCACCTGTAATCCCAGCTACTTGGGAGTCTGAGGCACGAGAATCACTTGAACAGGGGAGGCAGGGGTTGCAGTGAGCTGAGATCACACCAGCCTGGGTGACGAAGTGGGACTTTGTCTCAATTAAAAAAAAAAAAAGAGCCAGGGTGCTTAGCTAATGCCTATAATCTCAGCACTTTGGTTTGGGAGGCCAAGGTGGTTGGATCGCTTGAGCTCAGGGGTTTGAAACCAGCCTGGGTAACATGGTGAAACCCTAACTCTACAAAAAATACAAAAAATAGCTGGGTGCAGTGGTGTGTGCCTATAATCCCAGCTACTTGGGAGGCTGAGGCAGGAGAATCACTTGAGCCTGAGAGGTAGAGGTTGCAGTGAGCTGGGATTGTGCCATTGCACTCCAGCCTGGGTGATGGGAATAAAATCCTGTCTCAAAAAAAAAAGGGACAGGGTCTTCCTCTGTTGCCTAGTCTGTGCAGTGGCATGATCATAGCTCACTGCAGCCTCAAATTCCTGAGCTCAAGAGATCCCAGCACCTCAGCCTCCCAAGTAGGTGGGACTACAAGTGCAAGCACCTGCACCTGGCTAAAATTAATTTAATACTGCATTTTATTTAACCCAATATATGAAAACATTTTCATGTCAGCCTGTAATTAATACAAAAGTTATGAATATTTCACACTCTTTTTTCAGACTGCCTTCAAAACCTAGCATGTCTCAACTCAGACGTCACTAGCATATTTCAACTGCTAAATAGCCACATGTGGCTAGTGGCTACATTGGTCAGTACACAAATACCATTTGGACTGGCCCCTTGGGCTTTTTTTTTTTTTTTTTTTTTTGAGACAGAGTCTCACTCTTGTTGCCCAGGCTGGAGTGCAATGGCGCGATCTCAGCTCACAGCAACCTCCGCCTCCCGGGTTCAAGTGATTCTCCTGCCTTAGTCTCCCAAGTAGCTGGGATTACAGGCACCCACCACCACACCCGGCTAATTTTTGTATTTTTAGTAGACAGGGGGTTTCACCATGTTGGCCAGGCTAGTCTCAAACTCCTGACCTCATGATCCACCTGCCTCGTGATCCACCTGCCTCGGCCTCCCAAAGTTCTGGGATTACAGGCGTGAGCCACCACACCCAGCCAGGCTTGATTCTTAAATGGCCCTCTGTTCAGCTACTGATTCAGGAGATTCCTAGTTACTGAGCCCTCTAGAAAGTTAAGTGAGTCCTGTGTTTGTTTTGAGTAAAAATAAGTGTAAGATACTGATGAACCACTTAAAAAGACAGCTGAGACTTCATCAAGCCTACAAAACAGATGGTACATCTGTCTTTGAGCCTGCTGATGGTAACTATCTTTGTGTGTATTTCAAAATACACACACACACAACAAAAACAAAAAAGATGAATGGGTCAAAAAATACAGAAAGATAGAAACAAAAAGAAAAACAAACATGTCACAGAAAAGAAAAAGAAAACCATGAATCAGAGCAGAAGCAGAGAGGACACCAGCATACACCACCATACATCAGCATAACTAAAAGAAAGGAATCTACATAAACCAATAAAACAATCACAGATAATAGAGTGGAGGTCCAGGAGTAGACTTTGTTTCATGATCTCTCTTTAGGACAATGTTAAAGACAAGGTGTGCTGTGCAAGAAACCAGGCAGTTCTGAGCCACTGCGATGACTGACAAGCAAACCTTTACAGAAAAACAGTTGGGATTCCCAGATGACTTCCAACCTGTGCCAGGGTAGCCCCGATTGCCCACCCTTGGCTCCCAGACAGTGCATACATACCTGGCCTTGTGTACTCTCAGCTTCTCCCTCTTGAGCTGCTCATACAACACAGGTATCCTCATTGCCATCCGAAGCTGCTGACGGCTTAGGTGGCAAAGAAACCTCCGCCTGGGACGGTTCTTTTCATTTCTAGTTAGTATCCGCCTCATCAGTGTTATATTCGAAGGAAAGGGCAATGCTGTATGATGACAGGTAAATTTCCGAGTTAGGCAGCTTCTATTCCCTCATCTTTTCCTACCAGTAATGTGACCTGAGCCCCAACCCTTGGGGCTGGCAAGTGCCTGACCTCTGCCCCCCACCCCGATACACCCTGAGACTGCAAAGCAAGAGGCTAAAAATATTGGTGCTGCTGCTTCATTTATTGTCAGATGTGGGAGGCAAAGAGGAGTTGGAAGAAAGGGGAGAATACCTTGATTTCTGAGTTGAGCCTCGAGGGCATCAATGGCATCATGGGCGTTAAGAAATCTGAATGGAAACTGCCGACTGTGGATCACCGACTTCTAGAAAGCAAAGGAGGGAGGGGTCATGAGCACAGGAGCCGGGAGTATGGGGGGCTTCAGGGGTCCACTCTATTAGCTTTGTGGGAAGGTACAGAAGGACAAAATGAACTTAGACAAGAGATATAGAAAAGGGGTAATAAGAAGAAAGAAAAAAGTCATCATTTTAGGATGTGAGAAAAGGTAACAAAAGAAGAGAAAGTAACAGAAGGAGCCCCGTTTCTTTTAAGACTCCCTCTGGGCAGGGTGTGGTAGCTCACGCCTGTAATCCCAGCACTTTGGGAGCCTTAGGCAGGTGGACTGCCTGGGCTCAAGAGTTTGAGACCAGCCTTGCCAACATCGCAAAACCCCATCTCTATAAATAAAAAACAAAGACTCCTTCTGAAATCAGTTACATCACACAAGTGTCTCTTCCTGGTAAGTCACTGAGCTCAGAAAATTAAAATGAAAGTTCTTATACTCTACTGTAACTTCTCAAAGGATTTACTGAACCCCAAAACTTATCTCCCTCAACCTAGCTGTATTCCCAGATCTACTTACAGCCCACATGGAAACAGCTTGAGGGCCGTACCTGCCTCTGCCCCCTGAAAAAGCCTGGCCTCTAAAGCAGCAGTGGCCTCTCCACGTGCACATCTAGTTGCTGGGCCCCATGGCTACCAGCCCCTCACACATACCGCATGCTGGAGTCTCTGGAGAATGAGCTCATGGTGGCGGGAACTGATTCCAACCCGCAGCAGGTTGCACAGGTTCCGAAGCATGGCCATGAAGGGAAGCTTCCCATTTTCTGTGGAATGTGGGGCATAGAGTGAGAAAAACAAATGAGAAGGCCAGGCACAGTGGCATGCACCTATAATCTCAGCTACCAAGGAGGCTGAGACAGAAGGATCACTTGAGCCCAGAACCCAGGAATTAGAGTCCAGCCTGGGCAACATAGCAAGACTGTCTCAAAAAAAAAAAGCAAATGAGGGATGATTAGAGAGAGGTCAGAGACCAGAGCAAGAAGTTCAGAAACCAGGCATGTGGAAAGTCCAAGATAGAGGAAGTGAGGAATTCACATACAATCTACCCTACTCAAAATGTTTTAAAGGCTTGGAAAGATTAAAAACAGGGTTGGCCCAAAGTTTGGAACAAAATTTATGCAACACTGTTTATGGGATGGCTGTTATGTTACCACTTAATCTGTTGGCTCTAGCCCTAAGATTGGGTTCAACTGGCAAAATGTATTATCTAGTCTAGAGCAAAGGTTTCTAAACTTTTTAGATGGCCAAAAGAGAAATTTCGTAGTGTAAGTTGATTTATGAAGTATATACTAACATAATGTAGCACATTCATTAGTTAATATTTCAAGGCACAATATCCATTTAAAAGAAGGTTCACCATTTATGAAACCCCGTCTCTACAAAAATACAAAAATTAGCCAGGCGTGGTGTCTGGTGCCTCTAATCCCAGCCACTCGAAAGGCTGAGTCAGGAGAATCGCTTGAAACCAAAATGCGAAGGTTGCAGTGAACCGAGATCACGCCACTGCACTGCAGCCTGGGTGACAAAGCAAGACTCTGTCTCCAAAAAAAAAATTAAAAAAAAGTTCACCATTTATAATGACGAATGTATGTAAATCCATATTTGAAATAGTCTTCATAATTTGTAAGCTTCTCACCCAATTTCTTCTATTTGATTAGTCATTACTTTTTTTGCTTAAATATAGGTGAAAAAGATTTGCACTGGAGATAGAATTTCACCACTGACCTCTGTCACTTCCTTATTGTTCCCTTGTACCTGTGTTATTAATATTATCTTCAAGCCATAGTTTCTTTTCTTTTTTTTTTGAGACGGAGTCTCACTCTGTCACCCAGGCTAGAGTGTGGTGGTGCAATCTCAGCTCACTGCAACCTCTGATTCCTGGATTCAAGCAATTCTCCTGCCTCAGCCTCCGAGTAGCTGGGATTACAAGTGCTCACCACCATGCCTGGCTAATTTTTGTATTTTTAGTAGAGACGGGGTTTCACCATGTTGGCCAGGCTGGTCTCAAACTCCCGATCTACAGTGATCTGCCTGCCTCGGCCTCCCAAATTGCTGGGATTACAGGCGTGAGCCACCATGCCCAGCCCATAGTTTCTTAATAATAATATTTTTAAGGTTTATATCAATTTTAGGCCGGGTGCAGTGGCTCACGCCTGTAATCCCAGCACTTTGGAAGGCCGACTCAGGCGGATCATGAGGTCAGGAGATCAAGACCATCCTCGCTAACACGGTGAAACCCCATCTCTACTAAAAATACAAAAATTAGCCGGGCGTGGTGGTGGTCGCCTGTAATCTCAGCTAATCAGGAGGCTGAAGCAGGAGAATCACTTGAACCTGGGAGGCGGAGGTTGAAGTGAGCCGAGGTCGCGCCATTGCACTCCAGCCTGGGCATCAAAGTGAGACTCCGCCCAAAAAAAAAAAAAAAAGGTTTATATCAATTTTAGACAGTTAATTTGGTTAATACTGAATAATATAATTCCAAATCCATCTACAATTGAAAGATAAATTGCTATAAGTCAAATTATATAGAAACCAAAATTAAAAAAAAAAAAGAGTGAAGGGGTGACATTAATGCCCTCAGATTGTGGATGCTCAGAAAACCTCAACTATTACACGTAACACATAACACTGTATCATATGGATTCAGTGACTATGTGGGTTCAATCTGCATGGTAAGTACTGGGAAAATTCTTTTCTTTTAGATAAAAGTAAACATAAATAGGAGGTGTGATTTTCTTTTCCTGGACAGAGGTGCATTCAAACCACTTTAGAGGCCAGGCCGGTCAGTCCGTCACCATGCCTTGTGCACCAGCCCACACCATCAGCAGCTTCATCAGGTAAATGCTGCTCCCTTTGTAAAGGGGATGTAAGTCTTATTTGAATTATAGCTGGAAGCTTTCAGCCCTCTGGAAGTCTTGGGATTCTCCAGTCATCATTCTTTTTTTTTTTATTTTTGAGATGGAGTCTGTCTCTGTCACTCAGTGGCACAATCTTGGCTCGCTGCAACCTCCACTTTCCAGGCTCAAGCAATCCTCCTGCCTCAACCTCCCAAGCAGCTGGGACCACAGACATCAACCACCATGCCCAGCTAATTTTTCTATTTTTGGTTAGAGACGGGGTTTCACCATGTTGCTCAGGCTGGTCTCAAACTCCTGAGCTCAAGTGATTTGCCCGCCCCAGCCTCCCAAAGTGCTGGGATTACAGGCGTGAGCCATGGTGCCTGGCCTCCAGTCATAATTCTGATTCACAAACTGTATGGAACAATTAGGTTGTATATGTACTATAAATGAACTATTGCATCCATTGTCGACTCAAGTTTTTTCCACTGTTACTATGTATAAAAGGTTTTCTAGATCATTTTCGGTAAGAAATTAAGTCCAATATCATACTGGTGATATTAGAAAATAAACTGGACATTTATCCTTAAGATTGCAAAATTCACTAATTTCATTCCAAAAAAATGTTAATGAGTTATTAATGAGATCTGTGGTCTTCAAAAAGGGTTCTGTATATCCAATTACATTTTATCTTATATTTTATACTTATATCTTTTTTTATATTTCCTTTTATTTATTTATATTTATTTTTGGCTGGGCACAGTGGCTTACATCTGTAATCCCAGCAATTGGAGACCAGCCTTGGCAACAAAGTGAGGCCCTGTTTCTTAAAAAAAAAAAAAAAAAAAAAAAAAGTACATATACATATATTCTGGTGTATCCTAAAAATTGTTTTTGTAGTATATGATTAAAAAAAAGAAACACTAGCCACCACGGGATTAGACTATGGGCATTTGCCTCAACCAGGATAAATGACATTAAAAGAATAAATTTACATGTCCTTACATTTTCAGGGACAGTGGTTCTCAACCAGAGGGAGGAAGTGGAGATGGGTGCATATAGAATTATCTTCATATGGCTGGGCGTGGTGGCTCACACCTATAATCCCAGCACTTTGGGAGGCCGAGGCGAGTGGATTACTGGAGGTCAGGAGTTCAAGACCAGCCAATATGGTGAAACGCCGTCTCTACTAAAAATACAAAATTAGCTGGGCATGGTGGCATGCGCCTGTAATCCCAGCTACTCGGGAGACTGAGGCAGGAGGCAGAAGTTGCAGTGAGCCAAGATTGCGCCATTGCATTCCGGCCTGGGCAAAAAGAGCAAAACTCCGTCTCAAAAAAAAAAAAAAAAAAAAAAAAAGAATTATCTACATATACCGGCTTCTATCCAGGCCCCTTTATTCTACTCCACCCCAAGTGGTTTCAACCATCAGGGAAGAAGAGGCTGTCAACTGGGGGCAGGTGTGTGTGTGTATGTGTGTTTGTGTGTGGGTGCGTGTGTGTGTGTGTGCAGTGGCTCATGCCTATAATTCCAGCACTTTGGGAGGCCAAGGTAGGAGAAATGCTTGAGGCCATGAGTTTGAGACCAGCCTGGGCAACATTACAAAGACCTTGTCTCTAAAATTTAAAAAGAAAAGTAATAATTTTATAAAGTAAAAAACGAAAGAAAGAGCCTGCTATAGGTAAAAGTAGACCAAAAAAAAAAAAAAAAAAAAAAAAACAGAGAAAGAGAAAACTGAAGATAACTTGATCCTCCTCTATTTGACTTTTTTTTTTTCTGTATCAATGTGGGCAAATTACCTAAAACTTCCATGTCCTAAATACAATATGAGGTTCTGTACAGATTCCAATATGCCATGTGCCAGTCCTACCTTTTTTGGAATGAGTTACAGAGATATCGATATGAGTACAATGAGAGAGAAGGTACTTTTGTCATATGTTGATAAAAACTTGTACATCACCTAACTACATCTGGTATAATGATCTATGATGCCAACATTACTCAAAGCAGGTACCACTGTTTACTTTGGTGTAGTCAATGGCAGACCTTATAAATCAAATACAACAACCAGGCAAAGTAATAACTTCATCATTCCACAGAAATCTTCTAGTGAGGATCTAAAATGTGGAGGCATAAATGGGGAAGAGAAGGAGGGAATGTGATGGTCAAGGTCACTCTACCAATGAGTTCCTCCCAGACCGACGCTTTGTTCCCCCGTAGGCTCAGCTCCCGCTCCCAGGTCTCTGGCCTAGACAGCTTCATCCTCTTCCCAGCTCTGCTAGAATCCCAAGGCCCAGGAAGGCGACTTCGAGAAAAGAGCTGTAGGTTGGAGGGGTATCTGAGGATAGGTAAGAAAGAGGTCTATCATTTCAGAGTCAGCAAGAAAATAACTCAGAAAAGGAAAGGTGAGTCATGTTTACAGGGCATGTCTGCCCAAATATGCCTAAAAATAACTCAGAAAAGGAAAGGTGAGTCATGTTTACAGGTGAGTCAGAAAAGGAAAGGCAGCAATTGGAAAGGCAGTCATGTCTACAGGGCATGTCTGTCTAAAGTCATGTTGCTGGGTTTGAGAACTACTGGGATGGGGGCCACGGATGTTGAAAAGTTAAGGAATTACTTAGATGGAATGCATGCTCAGGGTGCAGCTTCTCACCTGTAACCCAGCAGGGCTTGAACGTGCTGGGCAGGCTTGTGGATGTGCAGTCGCTGAACCAGCTTCTTCAGGGTGAACCTTGGAGGATTCTTTTTCTCTGACACTGTATCACCGGCCTTCTCAAACTGTGGAAACATCCCCAAGTCCCACAGGGGTCCTTTCATCCATGACCATGGGAACTTTCTTCAATAAAGCAGATTGTAAGACCATCCGATCCCTATGTGGTAATTTCTTTCTTCAAAATAGATTTGGCCAAGGAGCAGGAATAGAGGGTACAAATCTCTGGCAACAAGAGCTCCCATGGTAAGCAGCACAGGATGGCAACTCTTTGGGGTCACTGTTTCATTCACACAAGCAGTTAACATGGGTTGACTGGCTTGTGAGAAACAAGGTGGGGATAGAATGAACACAGGACAGCTTTGTTTGTAGAGGAGGGGAAAGGGAAAATCAGCTCCGATTTAAATCACTAAGACTCTTAATAGATAAATAGAGAAACGAGCACAATGCAGGCTACGAGGAGTTTAAAAACTAAAAGTAGGCAGGGCGTGGTGGCTCATGCCTATAAACCTAACACTTTGGGAGGCCAAGGCAGGTGGATCATTTGAATCCCAGCTACTCGGGAGGGAGGAGTAGGAGGTCAGGAGTTTGAGACCAGTCTGACCAACATGGTGAAACCCCGTCTCTACTAAAACTACAAAAAAATTAGCTGGGCATGGTGGTGGATGTCTGTACTCCCAGCTACTCGGGAGGCTGAGGCAGGAGAATTGCTTGAACCCAGGAGGTGGGGATTGCAGTAAGCCAAGACAGCACCACTGCACTCCAGCCTGGGCTACAGAGCAAGACTTCGTCTCAAAAATAAATAAATAAATAAAAACTAAAAGCAGGTAGCTTTCAGCATCTTCTATGGCAGAAGAACTAAATTTAGGATATATTAATAGGATGAAGAGAAAAGACGAGTTGACCAACTGAGAAAGCGTTTTTTCTTATAACGCTAATATATATTTTCCTAATCATCTGTTTTAATAACGATGATGGTAGTGATAGCTAACACTTATTTACTTCCAGGAATTGTTAGAAATACTTTAAATATAGTAACTTATTTAATCTTTATGACAACCTAACAATGTAGGTTCTGCTTTTATTCCCATTTAATACGTGAGAAAACTGAGGCAAGAGAGGTTAAATCATTTGACCAATGTCTCATAGCCAGTAAGGGGTGGATGGAAGATTCAAAGCCGGGTGACGTGAATCCAGATTCTATGCTCTTAAATGCTACGTACAATACCTTATTTGTCCAAAAGTAAAAAGATTTTGTTTGGTTTGTTTTTAAAACTTCCTGTGAAAGGTATATATTTCATAATGTTTTTAACTCACTTATCCAACTTTACTGACATGTCACCCGGCAGTAAAGTACAATACCAGCTGGGTGTGGTGGCTCACATCTGTAATTCCAGCACTTTGGGAGGTCAAGGCAGGTGGATCACGAGGTCAGGAGTTCGAGACCAGCCTGGCCAACATGGTGAAACCCCATCTCTACTAAAAACACAAAAATTAGCCAAGCGTGGTGGCACACGCCTGTAGTCCCAGCTATTCAGGAGGCTGAGGCAGGAGAATCGCTTGAGCCTGTGAGGTGGAGGTTGTAGTGAGCCAAGACCGTGCCACTGCAGCTCTCCAGCCTGGGCCACAGTGCATAACTTCATCTCAAAAAAAAAAAAAAAAAAAAAATACAATACCAAGGAGAGTGAAGTGAAAAAAAATAAAACCACATGCCTTTCCCAGTGCTCTCAGAACCTTACCCACAATCACAGCCAAGAATCCCCAGGAAGAAAGTATTTTCAACCCTAATAGAATTTTGTTCGTAAATATTAGTCCAGAAGAGATTGTACATGCACATATACAACCCCAGAAGAAGGGACTCACCTTTCTCTGCTCTTCTCTGAGAAACCCTATGTACCTTGGAAAACATCTGTGAGAAAATGGAGGCTCCATCCCCTGTAGGGACAGGAGAAGCAATTTCAAAAAAAGGGAACTGGCTGTCCTTGAAGAGATCCAGTCAATAGCCCTGAAGGTGCATCTCTACCAAAAAGGAAGCCAACTAGAAAAGAAGACTGCCCTGCACCATATGCCCATGAGCTCTACCCAGCTCCCCTGCATTTCTCTGACTCCCTTTGCTCCTGGTGTGGGACTCCCCAGCATCAGCATGCTCCCTTGTCCTGCCCTTCCTGGAGAAAAGGGGCGTGGGTCGAGGGCTGGGGCAGTGACTGACTGGAGAGCGGGGTGGCCGGCGGGGGTGTCTCTTGGCCCGGTGCTTCCGAGGGTTGTACTTAGCCAGCTGGTACTCGTCAAACTGGGCAAATTTGTCCGTCATGGCAGTACGGAGACAGGCGGGCAGGGGCACCAGCTTATTCTTATCTCCCTCAGCCAGGCTCTGTCAAAGAGAGAGGAGAGACCACTAGAAGCAAGACCCAAACCAACCCTCCAAAACAAAACGAGATCACTTCATGGAGATACACGAGAGCACAGAGTAGCGAGCAAGTTCCCAGCCCTAGCTCCAAAATCACAATTTCTGTGGTACTGATTTTCATTTCTTCATTAGAAACATGAGGTCCTGGCTGGGCAGGGTGGCTCACCTTTACGCCTGTAATCCCAGCACTTAGGGAGGCCAAGGCCAGTGGATCACCTGAGGTCAGGCGTTCAAGACCAGCCTGGCCATCATGGTGAAACCCCATCACTACTAACAATATAAAAATTAGCCAGGCGTGGTGGCGCACGCCTGTAATCCCAGCTACTTGGGAGGCTGAGGAAGGAGAATCGCTTGAACCTGGGAGGCGGAGGTTGCAGTGAGCCGAGATCACGCCATTGTACTCCAGCCTGGGCGACAAGAGTGAAACTCCGTCTCCAAAAAAAAAAAAAAAAAGCATGAGGTCCAGAATAAGACCATTTTTTTTTCTCAAACTTTGGTCCAGCCCTTCTCAATCACATTCTCCATGCTGGACAACCCAGCCTAGTGGAGGGAGAAGCTGTCCTGTCTGGGCACCAATGCTGAGGAAAGCTGAGGGGAAACCAAATTGCCTGAGAATTTTCTCCAAGGATGCAGTGAGCATAAGAGAAGGAATGAAGTGAAGGCCCAAGCTCAGGGAAATGAGCACCATACCTGGTAAAGCTCAGCCACCTGGATCCAGTCAGAAGGCAGCTGGACAATGGCACAGAAATATCGTCGCAGGTGGGGGCGACACGCCGGCAAGAAAGCAGCAATGGCCAAGATGTTATTGGCCACATTCCGGACGTTCAGCTGCTGCCTGGCATACAAAGATGCCTAGGACACAGGGTGAGAGGACTAGAATCTCAGTCACTCCTCCCGTAGCTTTCTGCCCTGAAATTACTTGCTGATTGAGTGTGCCTGTATAAAACCTTTCCTGAGCCCTCCACGTTGTCCACAAAATACGAAGCCCAGGCCACCTGACTTGGCATTCTAAGTCCTCCATACTCTATCCCTTACTCAACTTTCCAGCATGTCTTCTTCTGAGTCTACTGACTGCCTTGCAAGTCAACCAGGCCTTTTCCTTCTTTGGAAGACCTCCTGCATCAACAGCTATCAAAAATTTATTCTGGGTTCAAATCATTGATTAAACCTGCCATTTTCCAAAGCATCATAGAAGATATTTCCCACCGCGCTCTTCTTTGCTTCAGAAATGTTCACTATCTAATATTCCAGCTGTATTTGTATGATATTTGGAAAAGTATTTTGCTTCCCTAACAATACTATAAGCTCCTTGAGAGAATGGGTACTTACTAAACAAACCAAGTCTAGTATACTCTTTCCCCACTCTTCACTGAACCACAGGGACTAGGCCGCAGACTCACCCAGAAATCCTTCCTAAGAGAAGCTCCTCCCACCCCCAACATGAAGCTAGTCACCACCCCGCCACACACCATAACCACACTCCCAGTCTACCAGCTTCACACCCCCATCCCCTCCTTCACACCTCAATACCTTGAGGATAAACTCAGGCTCCAGGAGGGCAAGTTCACGACAGATTTCAAAAATGGCAGCCAGGGTGGGGTCAGATGTATTGTTCATGTTTACTTCTGAGACCAGAGTAGAGCACAGCAAGCTCAGTAGAGCCATCTGGGAATTGAGAAAGAGGGAAGAAATGAGAAGAGAGGTAACAAGGACCAACTTAAGCATCCATGCAGACTAACTTACAAAGTCAAGGACAGAGAGAATGGACCCGAGATGTGGAGTCCAGTTGAGAACTTACAAAAGGGGATTAGGGCCAGGCATGGTGGCTCACATCTGTAATCCCAGCACTCTGGGAGACTGAGGTGGGCAGACCACCTGAGGTCAGGAGTTCGAGAGCAGCCTGGCCAACATGGCGAAATCCCATCCCTACTGAAGATACAAAAATTAGCCAGGCATGGCAGTGCACGCCTGTAATTCCAGCTACTCAGGAGGCTGAGGCAGGAGAATAATGAATTCAGGAGGCAGAGGTTGCAATGAGCTGAGATTATGCCATTGCACTCCAACCTAGGTGACAGAGTGAGACTCCATCTCAAAAAAAAAAAAAAAGAAAAGGAAAAGAGAGAAAGAAAGGAAAGAAAAAAAGAAAAGGAAAATAAAAGAAAAAAGAAAAGGGGATTAGGAAGTGAGAAATAAGAGCTAGGTTGTATCCCTACCTTCCCCTTCCAACTGGGGAGGGGACCTGGTTCAAGTACTCCACCACCAACCTCCCCTCCACACCATTATTAACCTTCCCCTAACTCTTGAATTTTTACCTTCTTTTCCTGAAGGACATGGTCAGTAGGCTCTGGATGAGATTCAGAGTCTCCAGAGGTGAGCTTCACGGCCAGATCCTCCACCTCCTCCTCCTCTCCCAAGCTCAGACTATAAGAAGGCATTTGGGTCTCTGCCCCTTTCTTCTCTTCTGAATCAAACCAACGACCCTGGGGTAGTAGTGGCAGTTATGAATCACAGCAGGTATCCACAGCCCCTCAAAGCCAGATGGATCTGAAGGCAGCACCAGGCCACGGGAAAAGTCTACATCTCCATTAATAGCACCTCTAATGTTCTCTCCCTTCACACACCAGCACTGATGTGTCCTGTCTGACTTACTGCTCTCACACACCACCTTGCTCTACTCAACCTTCAGAGCCTTCGCCCACATGCTTCATGATCTGCCCCTGCTTTCATCTCTTCATTGGCGTCACAACCTGGGAGCATGGGGCTCTTCACACACCTTTTAGGATATTAGTAAGATGTTTTGGGGGTCAGAAGAAAAAGGGCAAAGCCCCATATTAATCCCCCAGCAGCCTTGGGCTGCTTAACCTCTCTGAACCTCAGCTTTCTCTCATTCACTACCACCTATCTGATAGGGCCACTGGGAAATTAAATGGAGTGTTATATGTATGTATGACTCTTTGCAAAATGCAAAGCCCTAAATCAATGTAAGATGGCAGCAGTTGTAATCCTGATAACAACCCTGTGAAGTAGATTTTCATTAAATTCATTTTAAAGGCGAGGAAATTAAAGCTCTAAAGGGTTAAGAGGTTGCCCAAGGTTGCATAGTTTGTAATTGGCAGAGACAGAAGAGGGTTCAGATTAGCCTTGTCCCTCAACCCGAAACACAAGTATATACAGAAGCAATGTGTGTCTTTCTAGTGATTCTGAACTGTATACTAAATGTAGGCATGTAGATGTGTAAAAGTGGACGTGTATTTGCACATGCACAGACAATTAAGTGGTCTCTGGTACAGGCCCTGATAGGGCTGTTGGAAAATTAATTAGCAGATGTATCTCATGCCTGATCTCAAAAGCACCTAACTGACTCTGCTATAGTAACATTAAGCTGGCTCACCTGAACAGAGGCTTCCTAAGGACAGGGACTGTTTTTTGTTGTGTCTTTTGGGCTTTCATTTTTTTGAGACACAGTCTCTCTCTGTTGCCCAGATTGGAGTGCAGTGACACAATCTCGCCTCCCGGTTTAAGCAATTCTCGTGCCTCAGCCTCCCAAATAGCTGGGATTACAGATGCGTGCCACCACACCTGGCTAATTTTTGTATTTTTGGTAGAGACGGGGTTTCACCATGTTGCCCAGGCTGGTCTCGAACTCCTGGACTCAAGTGATCCGCCCGCCTTGGCCTCCCAAAGTGCTGGGATTACAGGCATGAGCCACCGCACCCAGCCAGGACAGGAATTGTTTTTGATCTATTGCACAATATCTCCAATGTAGATATGCAATAAAAGTAATGATGCCAGTGAAGATGGTCCTGCAACAAAAGGCACCTTAGGAGAGGCTCTGAGGAGAGAAGATAGCCAGACACAGAGCAGCACAGAGGGAAACTGAGACACTGAAAGCTAGAGACAAGAGCATACAACAGACATGGCTGGAGTCAAGATGAGTGCCTGGAGCTATTACCAAAGTTGCTTCCTGAGCTGTCTCTGTGGCAGAGATGGATTTCAGGGCTATAGGGCAGGTTGAAAGGTCTAGTCCCTTAGAGAAATGCTGAGCCCTCCAACTTGGAGGCTCAGAGAGCAGGCAATTGCTGTTGTTCACACGGTACAAATCAGCTTGCGTCATGTGAGATATCTGTAGACTCTGGAACAAGGGGCTGGCAGACACAGTGCTCTTTAGACTAGAGAGGGTGGCCAGGCACCGGTTCTCCAAGGAGAGGATGTCTGGGTGGGCAGAAACATGTCCATGTGGTTTCTCCATGGTCTTCAGGTCAGAAAGTGTGGCCAGGCACTGGTTCTCCAAGGAGAGGATGTCTGGGTGGGCAGACACATATCCATGTGGTTTTTCCATGGTCTTCAGGTCAGGAAGCGTGGCTAGGCACTGGTTCTTCAAGGAGAGGATATCTGAGTGGGTAGATACATGCTGATGTAGTTTCTCCAAGGGCTGTAAGTCAGGGAGCATAGCCAGGCACCGGTTCTCCAAGGAGAGGATGTCTGGATGGGCAGACACATGCCCATGGAGTTTTTCCATGGCTGAAACTCAGCTTGTATATGCCTAGAAGGAGAGAAAGACAGGAGATGAGCACCTGGCTGCACTGAGCGTGTATTTGCATGAGAGCATATCTTCCCCACAGCCCTCCTGATAATGCCAATGATTTGTGGGTAGAAAACAACCAATGTTGTTTTTCCCAGGACTGGGTTCATCCAGAGAATATTCTAAGAGAGAGGGATAGGGAAAAGGTAAGGCAGAGGCTTAAGAGCAGAGAAATTAAGAAAAGGCCAGGTGCAGTGGCTCATGCCTGTAATCCCAACACTTTGGGAGCTGAGGCAAGAGGATTCCTTGAGCCCAAGAGTTTGAGGCAAGCCTGGGCAACACGGTGAAACCTCATCTCTACAAAGTTTTAAAAAATAAAAAATATTTCTTAAAAAAAAAAACAACAAAAAGGAATGGCTGGAGAGGAAGGGACATGCCTTCTCATAAGAAGGTAAAGGAGACCCAACCCCCCTGACCCCCGCTGCAGGACTATCAGTTTGATCCCTACTTAGTAGAGAGGCCTCGCAATATAATCTGGACTGTGGGTTCATAGCTCCAGAGAAACAGGTACTTTAATCAAGTTGTCAATATTCACCACCCCAGCTTCCTTGCCTCCTATTCACTCTTTAACCAACTAAATGGGATTCTGTCCCCACCAGTCCACAAGTCCTCTTAGGTAACCAAGGAACTTTTTCTTACTCCCATAAATAAATATATCTTGGCCTTTATCTTATTTCACCCCTCAAGTAGAATATGACATTGTTGATTACTCTCTCATTAAAACTCTCTCTTCCTTTGCTTTCCATGATGCTACTGTCCTGATTTTCTTCTTAAAACTATTCTGACTAGATCTTCTGAGGGATTCTTTCTCTGCCATTTCTTAACATCAATGCTCCTTGCAGTTCTATTCTAATCCTTTTACATACTTTCCTGGAGTGGTCTCACCCACTATGTGGCTCCAAATGACATTTCTATGCTGGCGACTCACAGATCTATTCCTGGACCTAGATCTCCCTTCTGAGCTTCATATTCACTTATCCATTTCCCCGTTGGACATCCCCACTGGATGACTCAAAGGTGCTCCAAATTCCACAGATCCTAAATGTATCATCTTTCTCCTTCTCATATCTCTGCCCCAAATCCATTCCCCTTCCTTTGCCCCCTTTGCCCACTGGAGTTGGAAGTGAGACAGACTTTACTTTGAATCCTCCTTTACCTTGGGATCTTGGTTGGATAAGATACTTAAATTCTCTGTGTCTCTAGGGTTTTCTCATTTATAAAATTAAGAAAAATGCTGGCCGGGCGCGGTGGCTCACGCCTGTAATCCCAGCACTTTGGGAGGCCGAGGCGGGCGGATCACAAGGTCAGGAGATCGAGACCATCCTGGCTAACACAGTGAAACCCCATCTCTACTAAAAAAATACAAAAAATTAGCCAGGCAGGGTGGCGGGCACCTGTAGTCCCAGCTACTCGGGAGGCTGAGGCAGGAGAATGGCGTGAACCAGGGAGGCGGAGCTTGCAGTGAGCCCAGATTGGCCACTGCACTCCAGCCTGGGCGACAGAGCAAGACTCTGTCTCAAAAAAAAAAAAAAAAAAAAAAAAAAAAAAAAAAAATGCCTACCTCACAGAGTTGTTATAGAAATAAATGAGAAAAAAATATTAGGCACTTTGAGCATTGCCTGGCACTAAGTGTTCAATATAGAAGCTATTATTATTTGTTATTATTATCCAGTAAACTACTAAATTCTATTGATTCTACTCCCTCAGTGTCTCTCAGATCTATCCAATTCTCTCCATTCCTCCTACCACCACCTTTGTTGAAACCCTCTAATCCATGTGGTGACATACTGTATATAGATTTGTCTAAAGGACCTCCCTGCTAGAGCCAGATGTGGTAGCCTGCAATCCCAGTGACTCTCAGAGGCTGAGGCAGGAGGATCACTTGAGCCCAGGAGTTTAAAACCAGCCTGAGCTACATAGTGAGACTCCTTTTTTTTTGAGACAGAGTCTTGCTCTGTCACCCAGGCTGGAGTGCAATGGCACGATCTTGGCTCACTGCAACCTCCGCCTCCCAGGTTCAATCCATTCTCCTGCCTCAGCCTCCCGAGTAGCTGGAATTACAGGCGCCCGCCACTATGCCCAGCTGATTTTTTTTTCTTTTTTTTTTTTTGTATTTTTAGTAAGAGACAGGGTTCCACTATGCTGGCCAGGCTGGTCTCGAACTCCTGACCTTGTGATCCACCCACCTTGGCCTCCCAAAGTGCTGGGATTACAGGTGTGAGCCACTGTGCCTGGCGGACTCCTTTTTTTTTAAGCATGTTTGCTTATTAGCCCACTTGCTAATTGTTTCTCCTTTGTGGTTTTTTTTTTTTTTTTTTTTTTTTTGCTTTTTGTTTTTTGAAACGGAGTCTCACTCTATTGCTGGCTGGAGTGCAGTCGCACAGTCTCAGCTCACTGCAACCTCGACTTCCCGGGTTCAAGTAATTCTCCTGCCTCAGCCCCCCAAGTAGCTGGGATTACAAGTGCCTGCCACCACACCCAGCTAATTTTTGTATTTGTAGTAGAGACAGGGTTTCACCATGTTCATCAGGATGGTCTCAATCTCCCGACCTCATGATCCACCCACCTCAGCCTCCCAAAGTGCTAGGATTACAGGCGTGAGCCACCGCACCCAGCCTAATTGTTTCTCTTTACTGAAATACAACTCCTTAAGGTAAGGGCTCCTTTGTCTTGCTCCCCTCTGCATCTTCAGCATCATACACAAAACCCGACTTCCGGTCACCTCCCAGCATCATCTCTCACTAACACCCCGATCTAACCCTCAGCACTCTAAGCTTCAATCATACAAATTTTATTTAGCTTATTAATTGCCAAGGTATCTCTTGACTACGGGCCTGTGCACAGGCAGATCCCTGGAACACTCTTTCTTCTACCAATACCACCCCTCCTTTACAAGGCCAAATGCTACTTTCCTCTCACTCTACAGACTTCAGTTTCATCAACTCCTCCAAAAAGCCTGTGCTGACACCAAGCCCCAGTCTGATTTAGGTGGCCTTCTCCTTGTTTTCACAACACCCATATGTCCCCTATCATAGAGCACATCACCTGTTTGTCTTTCTTCCCAATAGACCATTAAGTTCCTGAGGAGAGAGACCCTTTTAGCCTTGTTCCCACAATTGCTGGTCAGCGGGATTCAGAGGCTTTTGAGAATCTGGTAAAAGCTATGGAGCTTTTTCACAGAAAAAAAAAAAGTATATACTGTTTTGTGCTCAATTTTCAGAGTGTCTATGAAGCCCATTTATGGACCTCCCAGGATCTCCATAAACTGAAAATTAGAAACCTCTGCCTAACAGAATGCTTGAATTATACCATCAGGAACCTATTTTCTGGCTGGGTGTGGTGGCTCACACCTGTAATCCTAGCATTTTGGGAGGCTGAGGTGGGAGAATCACTTGAGGTCAGGAGTTCAAGACCAGCCTGGGCAACATAGTGAGACCTCTATTTAAAAAAAAAAAGGAATGTATTTTCTTACTTATTTGGACAAAGGCTAATCTCTCATTCATATGTAAATATTTTGGGAATAATATTGTTAAGTCAACCACCTAAACTTAGTGTGAAAAAGCTTAGGGACAAAAGTACAGAACACTTCCAAGAAGACCTGAATGACTAACAATCCAGGGCCAAAAAGGACAACAATATCTCACTGGACGTCAGTGTGACAAACACGTAAAAAATGATGGCTTCTGTGCCCAATACACTTTGCTCATGTCGTTGCCCTATATAAGCCCCCAAGGAAAGGAGTGGGGAAACTCAGAATTGACTCAGATTTTTTTTAAAAGAGATCTCAAGCCAAAAATAAACAGAAAAATAAGGACAGTTTATTTGAGCAACATAGTGAGACTGTCCTATCCTTAAAAGGACAGTCTCACTATTTTGCTCATTTTATTGTTTTGCACCCTGGAGTTTTTGAAAGGAGATTCGGCTGAACCACAAATGGAAAGTTAAAGTTCCGTCCCCACTTCCATCTCTAGTTCCCTTCTCTGGAAGTAAACATTGCTCACAGTTTTATACTAACAGTTTCACAGTTTCTATGCATATGCAAATACATGCCTTCACCATCACCACTGCTTTTGCTTTTGCTTTACACAAACAGGATCATAAGTTAGATGCTATTCTGCACTTAGTATATCTCAGAGACCTTGCCCTGTTAACACATTAATACCCACCTCACTCTTTCCTTTTTTTTTTTTTTTTTTTTTTGAGGCGGAGTCTGGCTCTGTTGTTCAGCTCACTGCAATCTCTGCCTGCCGAGTTCAAGCGATTCTCCTGCCTTAGCCTTCCGAGTAACTGGGATTACAGGCGCCCACCACCATGCCCGGCTAATTTTTTTGTATTTTCAGTAGAGAGGGTTTTCACCATGTTGGTCAGGCTGGTCTCAAACTCCTGACCTCAGGTGATCCCCAACCTCCGCCTCCCAAAGTGCTGGGATTACAGGCGTGAACCACCGCGCCCGGCCTCCACCTCACTCTTCAAGTGGCTGTATGGTAGTCTAGCACATTTAAGCACAGTCTGGGTTTCTATTATCACAAACGGTTCTCATACTACCATTTGTTGGTGACAGCCACTGTCCCCTTTCGATGGGCACACAGGGCAAGGAAGTAAGAGGGGATGATTCTTACGTGGTCTCTCTTCCTGTCCCTCCCTCTCCTTCAGCCTTCTCCTCCTCCTTTCTCACCTCCCCTTTCACGCAGTATACACTCCCTCCCCTTCCCGGAGCCGCCGGGAGGAGCAGGGTGGATGCACCCCTAGCTGAGTCTCGGGTGGTTCCTAACCGGCCCCGCCAGGCACTTCCCACCCAGCTCTCAGCCTCAGAGCCCAGCGCCCTAGACCCAGGGCCAGGGCAAGTTCTGCCTGCGCTCGGACCCTACCTTAGACTGGGGCTGGAAACCCTGGGTGCCTGACCTGGGGCGTCCGATTCCCGCAGCAGGAAGCAGAAACTTCGCTCTGGATTCTGCCGGTGGGAAGGGTGGCAGCCGGGGGAGGAGCCGGATGCGGATCTGAGAAGAGACGGTGCGGGCGGAGACTCTCGGGCCCGGGCGGGGCGCAGCAGCTGCTGGAAGGGCAGCGAGCCGAGGGCCGGGCAAGACGACATGCCAGGGCTGCGACGCGAATGCCCAGGACCCCTGCCGCCTTTTCTGGGGCCCGAGTTTAGTTTGTTATTGTTTCTATTTTTTTTCCCTTTCTGGTCCTATTTTCTCCTGTCCCTAGGGCTTCCCCCTCTACCAAATTCGTCTCCTCTGGCTAATTTTCGTCTTTTTTTCTCCCATTAACTCTTCAAACACCGTTTCCTGGAAAAGATTTTAGCATGCTCGCTGCCTAGCTGTACACCTCTCCTTCCTAATATCAAAGACGGTCAGACTCAATTCATCCTAAAGTTCCTTTGAGGAACTCCTTAAAAGGAGACGGAAAGCGGAAAGCAACCGCCTGTAACCAAGTGTAGACATCAGTCAATCAAAGTTCGCTGAACTGAGAGCAAGTGCCTCCCCTCCTGTTGATCAGAAGAGAGATCCGTGGATCACACAGAATCTATCTGGAGCCATCCTGAATGATTAATGCTGAACCCTTTCCAGGAAGATGGAACCAGGCTTAGGAAAGAGACAAGTGACCCTTAGGTTAATAATCCTAGCTTCATAAAGAGAGGACCAAACATAGTAGCAGGAGAAATATGCTTTCTGCCTTTATATAAAGCAGATTAGCTGTCTTCTGGAAAATATCATTGCTTTCCTTAGAGAGGTACCCTTGAGTCTCAGGTAACAGCTGAGCTTCCGCTCAGAATTGAGGGCATTCTGTCCTCTATTAACTGAGCCAGTACCCCTTTCCTTCCTTAGAAACCTCTATTGCCACCAGTCCCAACACTCCCTGCAATGGTCTTTATGTTTGTGTCTCCCCAAAATTTATATATTGAAACCCTAATCCCAATGCGATGGTATTTAGGGTGGGATCTCTGGGAGGTCATTAGGTCATGGAGTTTAGAATACTCATAAATGGGATTGGTGGCCTCATAAGGAGAGACGGAAGAGCTAGCTAGCTCTTTTTCCACGATATGAGGATACAAGAAAACAGCCATCTGCAATCCCAAGGAAGACCCTCATCTTCAGAGGCAGACCATGCTGGCAATCTGATCTTGGACTTCCATTCTCTAGAACTGTGAGAAATAATATTTGTTGTTTAAGCCACCCGGTCTACGGTAATTTGTTATAGCAACCTGAACTAAAACATTTCCTTTTTATAACAAATATTTTAAAGCTCTTTTTATTTTTCTGAAACATAATTCGTAAAGAATGTAACTTACCCCCACGCACAATTTTAAACCAAAATTTAAAGACAAAAAGTAGAGACAGGGTTTTGCTATGTTGCCCAGGCTCTCTACCTCCAGGGCTCAAATAGTCCTCCTACCTTGGCCTCCCAAAGTGCTTGGATTACAGGCATAAGCCACCATGCCTGGCCAAAAAATTAGTAAAATCTCTTAAAGAGATATAAAGGAGTCTACGGCCATACCACCCCGAACGCGCCCGATCTCCTCTGATCTTGGAAGCTGAGCAGGGTTGGGCTTGGTTAGTACTTGGATGGGAGATAAAAGGAATACTAGAAAGAATATGACTTATAATTAAATACTATATGTTTAGATATGTAAATGTTTGTGTATAACATTCAAGAAGACACAATGTGGTACTCAGATATATGCATCTGTATATAAAATCACCTGGAATGTAACAGCTACAAATGCAGAATGATACAGGCATTATAATGGCGATTCAAATACCATGAACAGAATTACTGATGTGGTATGATTTTCCAGAATACTAAATAGCTTTTGGCAGATTTTCAAACAAAACAAGGTATGATCATCCCATGATTTTCATGGTAGTTGCATCCCTGGAAAGTTCAGTGTGTATTAAAACTACGCATAAAATGCCTTGTGTTTATATTTAAAATTAAATTATGGTCAGGCACGGTGGCTCACGCCTGTAATCCCAGCACTTTGGGAGGCCAAGGTGGGCAGATTACCTGAGGTCAGGAGTTTGAGACCAGCCTGGCCAACATGGTGAAACCTTGTCTCCACCAAAAATACAAAAATTAGCCGGGCATGGTGGTGGCCGCCTGTAATCCCAGCTACTTGGGAGACTGAGGCAGGAGAATGGCTTGAACCCAGGAGGTGGAGGTTGCAGGGAGCCGAGACCACACCACTGCACTCCAGCCTGGGTGACAAGAGCAAAACTCCGACTCAAAAAAAAAATAAAAAAATTAAGTTAGATCCTAATTAAAACAAGTTTTCAGCTACATGAATGACTGGCAAGTTATTCAAAGTTAAAGATGCGGAAATGTCACTCATTGTGTGGTAGTGTCCTAAACAGTTCCTGAATGTTGAGCTATCCTGGGCCCTACCCATTTAAATGTGTAAAATCATCCTAATTATTGTGAAAGCCAAAAACACCCCCTAGAGGGCAGTACCACTCACATCGAAAACCTTCATTAGTGGTCTGTTTAGAGGAGAAAGAGAGGAGTTTGGTGAGGGAACACAAGAGCTAGGAAACCTGAAAGAAAGGGTTACGTGAGGTGACTACAGTGGGAGCATATTGAGGAGAAGGAAGTGAGGGGAGGGATTGAAGGAGTCCACACAGGGCCTTTCTTCTGAAGGCCAGCTTTATAAGGCCTCTTCCCCATAGAATATGCCTTAGATAATAATCCCAACCTCAAGACCTCGTAGTCTGTGACTCTCTGTGGGAAACACCTGCCCCACCAGTGAAAGAACAGCATATGCAAGCCCTTCCATCATATTCCCATAAATATCAGACCTGAGAAGACTGGCAATACAGGAGGGAAGGCAATTGGTGATGGCTTCCTGATTGGCTTTGAGGATCTAGTTTTACTTTCTGGTTTCCTGAAGCAGCAAAGAGATTCAAGGCCAGCAAGGCTTGTACACTGGAACTACCTGGAGATCTTTTAAAAATTCCAAAGTCCAGGCCACACCCCAGACCAATTAAATCGCAATCACCCAGAGTAGGACCCAGGCATCAGTAGTTTTTGAAGTTTCCTAGGTGCTATGGTCTGAATATGTCCCCCAAAATTCATGTTGAAACTCAATCTGCGATGTGATAATATTAAGGGTTGGGGTCTTTAGGAGGGATTAAGTCGTGAGAGCAGAGCCCTTATGAATGGAGTTTGCAGCCTTATAAAAGGGCTAGAAGAAACCAGCAATCACTCCTTTGTTTGCCCTTCCACCTTCTGCCATGAGAAGATGCAGCAAGAAGGTATGTTCTCACCAGACACCAAATGCTAGTGCCTTGATCTTGGACTTCCCCAGCCTCCAGAATTATGAGAAATAAATTTCTATTATCTATAAAATTACCCAGTCTCAGGTATTTTGGTATAGCAGCACCAGTGGATGGAGACATCAGGTGATACTAATGTGCAGAAAAGTTTAGGAACCTCTGCTCGAGGGTCTCACTAATCAAAGTATGGGATTGTGGACCACAACATCAACATCACCTTGTTAGAAATGCAGACTCTCAGGCTCTACCCCAGATCTACTGAATCAGAATCTTTTAACAATATTTTCAGGTTATTCCCACTCACATTAAAGTTTGAGAAACACTGATCCAGACAAGTGGGGTGGAACCTGAGAATCTATATTTCCAAACACTGTGGTCAGGGCCCAGTGATTTGTATTTTAACAAGCTGTCCGGTTGGTTTTGGTACATGCTTAAATTTAAGAACCCCTGATTAGGCAGGGTGTGGTGGCTCATGCCTATAATCCCAGCACTTTGGGAGGCTAAGCGGGCAGATCACTTGAGCTCAGGAGTTTGAGACCAGCCTGGGCAACATGGTGAAACCCTGTCTCTATAAAAGATGCCAAAAAAAAAAAAAAAAATTAGCTAGGCATGGTGGCCCACACCTGTAGTCCTTGCTACTTCTGGAGCTGAGGCAGGAGGATTGCTTAAGTCCAGGAAGTCGAGGCGGCAGTGAGCTGTGTTCGTGCCCTGGCAACCTGGGTGACAAAGCAAGACCCTGTCTCAAAAAAAAAAAAAAGCTCTGATTAAAACGAAGATTGTTGCTCATCTCTTTTGAAAATTTCTGATTCAGTAGGTAGGTCTGAGATGGAACCTGAGAATTTGCACTTCCAGCAATTTCTCAGGTAATCATGACTCTTATCTCTGATCTGAGGTAAACATTTAAAAAACTATTAATCTAGGATGATTACCTAAACAGAAGCGATAGTTACTACCTACCACATGGCAGAGGTAGGTAGTAAATAATGCACCTGTCACACTTGAATTGCATATATAAATTAAAAATTTGGCCCAATTCCCAGATGTTCTGTTCCAATCACACAGCCACTGAATGATCCCTAAAGGACATTTCAGCTGTGTTTTGAGGAGCCAGATAAACTATCTCTGCCTTGCAACAGAGAAAACCTTTCAACTGGCAAGATGTTCACAATGTTCAAATTCAGCTTTTCATACCCGTAGGAAGTGCTAATCATATTGCCAATATTTGCTTCTTTGAGTCATGCTTTCCTAAGTTAGCCATTCCCTTGAGTTGAACCAATCTTTCTTCAGATGACTATCATTAGAATAAATCAGGAGTTTTGCCAATCAAATAACTATACCAGGGCTGGGAAGATGTGCCATTTCCCACTGGAATGAAATCACTTAACTCTCACAGAACCATCTTACATTCCTTATTTGCAAGTTCTTAAAGGACCATTCACTTTCTCCTGCATATAGGCCAACACCACCTTACTGTTGATTAGTAGCATTGAGCTGCGATGGCCAACTGATGGGTGTAATATCCAGATTTGTCTCTGGGACAAAGGAGTGCCACCCCCTCAGTCTTCCCTTTTGGGAAGGGTCCTACCACCTGTTAAAATTGCTCACTTGTGGTCAGTTTTCTTGCATGTTCATTGTCCTCCTCTACTTTGATCAACAAACATCTGCTAATCCCCTGTCAAAGAATAGTGCTAGTACATGGGTAAAATGTATACAACATGCCTTCTTCTCAAGACTTCATCATCTTGTAGAGATAGACACATGTAGAAATCACAAAAATACAAGGCAGATAAAGAGAAGTGCTATAATGGACTAAGAGACAAACTATAGGGTTATATAGGTGAGAGCAAGGATCTCAAGCAACTCCCTGGAGAGATGGACTTTGAACTGGGAAGGGCAGGCCTCTGATAAGCTGGGAGGGGAGTGACCAGTAGGAAGTGGAAAGGCCATTGGTTTTACCTGATTTTTTTCTTCTTTGTGAATGATTACCTTTAGATTCACAGTATACGTTTGTTTGACCTAACCATCACAACTTAAAGCATCACACAAGCCGTGATATGTGGACAAGCACACACTTACTGGATAGCCACTTGTCACCTCAGACAAGCCCTTCTGGGCCATCTGAAAGCAGATTACAAGAACCTCAGTGTCTTCTCCCTTCTGACTCTTCTGAATCAAAACAACCCTGCATTTGGCCTCTGGTCTGTGGACATTTGCCAATATCTTTCTTCATCTTTCTTTTTTTTTTCTTTTTGAGGCAGAGTCTTGCTGTGTCGCCCAGGCTGGAGTGCAGTGGCACGATGTCGGTTCACTACAACCTCTGCCTCCTGGGTTCAAGCAATTCTCCTGCCTCAGCCTCCCAAGTAGCTGGGATTACAGGCACCCACCGCCATGCCCAGCTCATTGTTTGTATTTTTAGTAGAGACAAGGTTTCACCATCTTGGCCAGGCTGGTCTCAAACTCCTGACCTCAGGTGATCCGCCCACCTCAACTTCCCAAACTGCTGGGATTACAGACATGAGCCACCATGCCCGACCTCTTTCTTCATCTTTCTTCAAGGACATTCCTCACTGACTAGTCTCCCTAATCGGGTATGGTAATTAAAATAGGCCACAAATTCTTTGCTTCCTCTCCCATTGAGAGGCAGAGTCTAATTCCTTCTTGAAACTGGGCTGACCTGGTCACTTGCTTGACCAATATAATGTGGCAGCAGTTGCATTCTGGGACTTCTGAAGCTAGGTCAAAGGAAACTTGCACTTCCTCCAGGACTCTGGAACACTCCCTTGGGAAGCCCTGAGCTGCCATGTGAGTCCAACTACCGTAAGACTGCCACTCTAAAGAGGCCACATGTAGGTGTTTCAATTAACACACTCAACTGAGCTCAGCCTTCTAGCCATCTCCACCAGGGCACCAGACATGTGCCCTGTCTGGTGCCCTAGTGGAGAAAGAAGCAGTCTTAAGTCCCTCAGACCAGTTCATCTACCAATTGTCTATTATCAAGTAACTTCCACTAATGACACATGAAACAGAAGAATCATCTAGTGGAAGCCTGCCTAAATTTAGTGAAGTCAGTTACACATAAAATTGTGAGATATGATTAAATGGTTGTTGTTTTAAGTCACAAAGTTTTGGGCAGCAAATGATAACTGGTACACTAGGCCTGCAAAACATAAGACAGTTTACATCAGGGTACTCTGTAATCATCCTACTTTTTTTTTTTTTTTTTTTTTGAGACAAAAACAGTACACCTGATCCCGAAAAGGATTTGAGTCCTGCTTTTGGATGGGATGAGGCAGAGGTAATTGGAAGTAAACTTTGGATCTCAAAATAGTGAACTTGGTGCCGGGCACAGTGGCTCACACCTGTAATGCCAGCACTTTGGAAGGCAGAGGCAGGCAGATCACCTGAGGTCAGGAGTTCAAGACCAGCCTGGCCAACATGGTAAAACCTCGTCTGTACTAAAAATACAAAATTAGCCGGGTGTGGGGGCGTGCACCTGTAATCCCAGCTACTTGGGAGGCTGAGACTGGAGAATTGCTTGAACCTGGGAGGTGGAGGTTGCAGTGAGCCAAGATCACGCCACTGCACTCCAGCCTAGGCAACAAGAGTGAAACTCCGTGTCAAAAAAAAAATGAAAAAGAAAAAAAAGGCCGGGCATGGTGGCTCATGCCTGTAATCCCAACACTTTGGGAGGCCGAGGTGGGCGGATCCCAAGGTCAAGAGATCAAGACCATCCTGGCCAACATGGTGAAACACCATCTCTACTAAAAATACAAAAACTAGCTGGGCATGGTGGCATGCGCCTGTAGTCCCAGCTACTCGAGAGGCTGAGACAGGAGAATTGCTTGAACCTGGGAACGCGGAGGTTGCAGTGAGCTGAGATTGTGCCACTGCACTCCAGCCTGGTGACAGAGAGAGATTCCGTCCCAAAAAAAAAAAAAAATAGTGAACTTGGAACATTTTAATGACTTGTAGGAAGAATTTAAAAAATAGGGGAATTCAGATAATCAGGGAAGAACTGGAGTACTTGGCTGCAATCCAAGATATGGGTGAAGATAGTATATTACATATATATATATATATATATATATATATATATATATTTTTTTTTTTTTTTTTTTTTTTTTTTTTTTGAGATGGAATTTTGCTTTTGTTGCCCAGGCTGGAGTGCAGTGGCATAATCTCGGCTCACTGCAACCTCTGCCTCCTGGTTTCAAGCAATTCTCCTGCCTCAGCCTCCCAAGTAGCTGGGATTACAGGCACCTGCCACCACCGCTGGCTAATTTTTTGTCTTTTTAGTAGAGACAAGGTTTCACCATGTTGTCCTGGCTGGCCTTGAACTCCTGACCTCAGGTGATCCGCCTACCTCTGCCTCCCAAAGTGCTGGGATTACAGGAGTGAGCCACCACACCCAGCCAGATAATATATTATATATTAAATATGGTTGTTTAAACATGAACTCTGGAGTCCAACAGATCTGGGTTTATTTTTTATTTTTTTATTTTTATTTTTTGAGACAAAGGTCTTGAAACATGTGCCACCACACCTGGTCCAATGGATCTGTGTTTAAATCCTCCTCTGCTACTGACTAGCAGTGTGACCTAAGCTGTAGAAGAAAATAAGGTTAATAATCTCAACCCTCAAAGGGGCCAGAGAGTGGTCCTTGAGTCTGCAGTAAGATCACATGATGCTGATTTGGCAAAGGGGTCAGGCTAGGTTCTCCGTTTGAAAAGTCTCACCTCCTGTCTCATTTTCATAACAATCCCCAGCTCAATACATCCTAATAAGTGAAAAAAACTGCTGGAAGGAAGAACCCACTGCCCCTTTCTCTGGCTGAGCGTCTTTTAAATTCACAGCTATTTGCATTACAGCAATTGGATGTTAATTTTTCAAGACCATGTCTCCAAACCTCCAGTGGCACTTATACTCGCTCATTGCTCCCACTTGTAGAGCCCATGTATGAGTTTCATGGATAAAGCTTGCCACTCAAGTGGAGATGGAGCTACATTAGAGAGGGGGCATAATAAAGTCCTTCTACCAGTTTAAATACATGCTCAACATTTACAAACTCCTCTAATCTTCCAGTTTTCTCATCTATAAAGTGGGAATAATAATAGCACCCGCTTTTTATGGACTGTATTGTCATTCAAATTAGATAATATACATAAAGCACTTAGCATACCACCTGGCATATAGCTAGCACAAACAATGATAACTATAATCTAAAACAAGCAGTTCTAGGCTGGGCACAGTGGCTCACACCTGTAATCCCAGCACTTTGGGAGGCTGAGGCAGGTGGATCACCTGAGGTCGGGAGTTCAAGACTAGCTTGGACAAGATGGTAAAATCCCATCTCTACTAAAAATACAAAAATTAGCCAGGCATAGTGGCAGACTGCTGTAATCCCAGCTACTCTGGAGGCTGAGGCAGGAGAATCACTTGAATCTGGGAGGCGGAGGTTGCAGTGACCCAAGATCGCACCACTGCACTCCAGCCTGGGCGACAGAGTGAGACTCTGTCTCAAAAAAATAAAAAATAAAACAAGCAGTTCTTACTCTGCAATGAAAGAGTTGGCTTTCATCAGTGACAGCTTGCTTGAAAAGTGTGTATTGGGGCTCAGATTGCCTACCTGGCAATTAGTCAAACTGATATATAGGCCGGGCGCGGTGGCTCACTCTTGTAATCCCAGCACTTTGGGAGGCTGAGGCGGGCAGATCACTTGAGGTCAGGAGTTCAAGACCAGCCTGGCCAACATGGTGAAACCCTGTCTCTACTAAAAATACAAAAATTAGCCGGGCATGTGCCTATAATCCCAGCTACTCGGGAGGCTGAGGTAGGAGAATCACTTGAACCCAGAAAGTGGAGTTTGCAGTGAGCGGAGACTGCGCCACTGCTCTCCAGCCTGGGAGACAGAGCAAGACTCTGTCTCAAACAAAACAAAACAAAACACCAACTAACTGATACATAGCTCTCTAACTATATGCCTTGGCCTCATTTGGAATCCAGATGAATCTGCTTCCCTGTCTCAGGAGTACATCAGGCTGGAGTAGCTTATAACCTTCTGTACGGTACTCGTGGTCTCAGGAGCCTGTCACTACGGTATACTGGCCTCCTTGTTTGGCATCATTTAGCTCTCTGATCTAAAAGGATATGTCCTAGGAACTTGATTTATAGATTACCAAGGCACACTTTTCCAAATGTGCCTAGAGGTCCTTAGGACTGTCCCAAGCTCTGGGGTTCATGAGCTATAATAACACTGTGGTGTTTACAATACCATTATGGTGCTTATTTTATGGGGTACGAACTTGGAATTCAAACTGGTTAAAGGACTTACTCATAATTACCAAAGCAACAATTGAATTGAAACTTGAAGCCAAGTTACTGAATCTAGCTCAGTACACTTTCAAGGCTATACGTTTTTTTTGTCATTCTTCTAATACTGTATTTGTCTGTTCTCACATTACTATAAAGAAATACCCTAGACTGGGTAATTTATAAAGAAAAGAGGTTTAATTGTCTCATGGTTCTGCAGGCTATACAGGAAGCATGGCAGCATCTGCTTCTGGGGAGGCCTCAGGAAGTTTTCAATTATGGAAGAAGGCAAAGGAGGCGTGAAACGTCTTACATGGCAGGAGCAGGAGCAAGAAAGAGAGTGAGGCAGAAGGTGCTACACACTTGTAAACAACAAGTTCTCACGAAAACTCACTACCAGAAGAACACCACCAAGGGAATGGGGCTAAACCCACCATGGAAACCACTCCCATGACCCATCACCTCCCACCAGGCCCCACCTCTGACACTGGGGATTACAATTTGACATGAGATATGCACAGGGACACAGATCCAAAACATATCAAACACGAAATATAGATTATTAAATTCTGAATCAGCTACAGTAATAATACCATGATCATTTCTCTCTCAGAGAAAACAGACTATAATCTCACCACTAATGATATATATGTATGTATGTATATACACATAAATATCTATCTATCTATAATTTTTTTGGTAGGTGTTTTACCAGGAGCTGTGATGAATTCACACGTTTTCACTTAGGGCTCCTTGATCTCAAGGGCTAGACAGGATTTAGGATATAGTCTATGATCCTGAAAGAGTAATTATGACTGTCCTGTCTATAGACCTCGTCTGTGATGTTTGTCTTAGCCTGCCTGTTGGTCCTAATGTATGTGAGAGACTAGTTTCATGAAAAGCCTTCCTCTTCATTATCCAGACTGTGTACCACATAACTTTATTTCCTAAGCTGTGTAACAAAAGGTTTGAATTACATGATCTCTGAAACCTCTCCATTCTATAATTCTATTAAATAATCTTTCTATGCAATTTTTCTTTTATTCCTTTTTTTTTCAAGATGGGGTCTCACTATGTTATCCAGGCTGGACTCGAACTCCTGAGCTAAAGCAATCCTCCCACCTCAGCCTTCTGAGGAGCTGGAACTATGGGCATGTAGCACGGTGCCTGGCACTTTTTCATTCTTTTGATTGAACATTGTTGCTTCTACAACCCAGAGTGTCTGTCTGGGTAAGTAATAATTCTTGGTTTCACAGCTAGTGAAATTTTCATATAAATTTGCTCTTCTATTTTTTTAAACCTTCCTTGCTATCAATTTTCCATATATTATTATTATTAATTTGAGACAGAGTCTCACTCTGTCACCCAGGCTGGAGTGCAGTGGTGCAATCTCAGCTCACTGCAACCTCCGTCTCCCGGGTTCAAACAATTCTCGTGCCTCAGCCTCCCATGTAGCTGGGATTACAGGTATGTGTCACCACACCTGGCTAAAAATTTTCCGTATATATTATATTTAACACAGAAAAGATTGGGAGAAGACACTAAGTCAGTTTTTCTTTGGGTAGTCCAGTATTACATGATGAGTCAAGTAAAGAAGAAAAGATAAAGGAAAATAAGCTCAAGAGGATTCCAAAGCTTCAGGCCCAGGAAATAGGAGAAATGATAGTGCCAATAAAGCATGAGGAATCTGAACTAATGATGCTGGCACATCTAAATGGAGGTGAGAATCACTGAAAAAAATCAGACTAGAACCCAGGCGAACCATCAAGGTTGGAGACAGAGGAGAGGTGAGCTTCCTGACAGGGAGCATAAAACAAAGGAAAGGAAGAACGTGAGCAACCCAGCCAGGACTAGGCACAGGAGACAAGTGATACCTAGAGTCCCACACACTTACTTGTACTAAACATTAACCTGCATGTCCAGTCCTACCCAGTACCTGAGTCAACCTTGGAAAGATAAGAGAGATATCAGAAATTTCACCCTCACCAGCAAAGGGGGTGGAGGGAAGACTGTTGGGGGAGCTATTAGAGAGCATCTAGAACACCTTGGCTTATCATCTGATTCACCAAAGGTAAGAATCCCAGGCCTCTACAGTCATCAAACTAGTCTTGCCAGGTCACCACCACGGCTGCCCAATCTGTATGCATAGTTTCTATCCCAATTCCTACTTCTCACTCCACTTCCCTTCTGGGGTTGAAATGTTACCCTGATATTACCCTATTCTTAGTCTGCCTGGCTGAAGACCCAGACTGTTACCTTGCCTATATTCAGTCCCTTCTCACTGATGAATGGACTATTGACTAGGGTCCTCCTTCAAGTCAGAGGTCTCCTCTCTCCTCACTCTTCCCTCAGTTTTAAAGACAAATAATGAAAGTCAGAACTTTCTGCAATGAACCACCCTCATCCACATACCTGTGGATCCTTGGCTATCAGCTCCAAGGATGAAGCCACACCCCCCTGGACACTTTGATCTGGCTTACTGGATTTTGGATTGGAGAAATAAGAGAAGGTCCATCCAGGAGAGTGTGCTATCTCTAAAGCCAGAAGAAGAGAAATTTTTAGGGTAAGAGCCAGTTTTCACGCCAATCAGTTCCTGTAGAAAGATGAAAGAGAATGAAGATGGCCACAGATTGTTAGATTTGGTAAGAAGCAGGTCACAGTAACAGTGGAGGGAGATGATTTCAATCATGTGGTAGACCTAGAAGGCAGAATACAGGGAATTTTATTTTGAATGCTTTTTATAGTAGAGAAACTCAGATAAGAAAGATTCAGTCACTATGAAACCTTTATTTAAGTCTGCCTTTAGGTACAAATCACAAAAAATGTTCATAGAAGTTCATCCAGAGAGCTTGTCATCTCCTTCAATTTCCTTCTTCCCGTTCTTTATTCTTCCTTCTCTTTTCTCTTATACATCCTACTTACCCCTTCTCATTTTCAATTACATTCCTAGTCTATCTTAAATAGAGATACAGAAAAAGATCTTACTAAAATAACGAAATCTAAAAATAAATAAATAAAATACATGCCAAGTACTTCTGGGGCCAGAATGAAGAAGGGTGCAAGGGAGACTCCATCATCACCCTTAGAAACATGAAAATCTTAATAAACAATGGTAATAGAAAACTGACCTACACAGGCCGGGCATTGTGGCTCACGCCTGTAATCCCAGCACTTTCGGAGGTCGAGGTGGGTGGATCACCTGAGGTCGGGAGTTCAAGACCAGCCTGACCAACATGGAGAAACCCCGTCTCTACTAAAAATACAAAATTAGCCAGATGTAATAGCTGTAATCCCAGCAACTCAGGGAGGCTGAGGCAGGAGAATCACTTGAACTCAGGAGGAAGAGTTTGCGGTGAGCTGAGATCACGCCATTGCACTCCAGCCTGGGCAACAGAGTAAAACTCTGTCTCAAAAAAAAAAAAAAAAAAAAGAAAAAGAAAATTGACAACAGGTGCTGGAGAGGATGTGGAGAAATAGGAACACTTTTACACTGTTGGTGGGACTGTAAACTAGTTCAACCATTGTGGAAGTCAGTGTGGCGATTCCTCAGGGACCTAGAACTAGAAATACCATTTGACCCAGCCATCCCATTACTGGGTATATGCCCAAAGGAATATAAATCATGCCGCTATAAAGACACATGCACACATATGTTTATTGCATCACTATTCACAATAGCAAAGACTTGGAACCAACCCAAATGTCCAACAATGATAGACCGGATTAAGAAAATGTGGCACATATACACCATGGAATACTATGCAGCCATAAAAAATGATGAGTTCATGTCCTTTGTAGGGACATGGATGAGATTGGAAATCATCATTCTCAGTAAACTATCGCAAGGACAAAAAAACCAAACACCGCATGTTCTCACTCATAGGTGGGAATTGAACAATGAGAACACGTGGACACAGGAAGGGGAACATCACACTCTGGAGAATGTTGTGGGGTGGGGGGAGGGGGGAAGGATAGCATTAGGAGATATACCTAATGCTAAATGACGAGTTAATGGGTGCAGCACACCAGCATGGCACATGTATACATATGTAACTAACCTGCACATTGGGCACATGTACCCTAAAACTTAAAGTATAATAATAATAAAATAAAATAAATTAAAAAAAAAAAAAGAAAAAGAAAATTGACCTAAACACACACAAAAAAACTGACCCTTTTTTGCTCTCAGCTGTCCAGTAGGCAGAAATGGAAAGAGCAGACAGGAAGGATAGAGGTGAGTCATAGAGGGCGGGAATACACAATCATTAAGTGAAAGCCATTATCCTCAGGAAGGCTCCAGAGAAGAGAGTAGGTGGCAAGAGCAGCAGAATTATCTGAAAAGCCTCTGGAATACCCACTTCCTCTTTGCTATGGAGAAACAGGGCATGGCATGCCCCACTTCTTTCTGTTTCAAATGCATTCCCCCTTCTCTAATGGGTGAGACTCTAGGCAGCCTTTAAGATCCAGTTCAAAATACACCCATCGGATGACACCTTTCCTAACAGAAGCCTTCCTGAGCAGAGTTCACTGCTCTATCCTCTGGGCTCTCGCAAGACTCGTCCATACATGTAAGTCCACTCAAAATTTGTATTTGTTTATGTCTATCTGCTGGTCAGGAGCTCTCTGACCTCTGTATCTTGGTGCCTCCTACAGTGCCTGCCACACAGTAGGTAATTAATAACTGTGTGAGGGAGAAAGAAGAGAAAGAAAAAAGAGAGGCAGTGGGGAGAGCAGGATGGGGGAAGAGAGAAAGAGGAAGCACCTGACTACCTTCCCTGGCCAAGATAAAGGGAAATGGATTTAAAAATAACTCTGGGGGAAAGGAACTGAAAGGGGGAAATGACTTTTCTGAGTCTTGTCTGCTTCTCACTCTTCTCTCCCCCCACATCCTCTCACCACTTGAGACCTCAGGCAACAACGGTCTCATTTTCACTCCTGATTCCTCAGTTTGCCCAAAAGAAAGAAGGCACACAGGCTTCTGACTTCTTCCACCCCATCTCCTTAAACCTCAGATCATCTGTTTTTCCACTGTGGGCCTCTCCCTCCTTGGCCTCTGCCCCCATCATCTTTCCCACACAACACTCCTGCCACATGGCCCTGGGGGGCCCGTCAGGCCTCTCAGGCCCCTGTGCCGTGCATGTCCATGTGGGAGCTTCTGCCTCAGAAGGAAACCAAGAGGTTCTCAGGGGCAGCCTGTGGTGTCTCGCTGGGAAACGCTAGACCAGGCCTACAAAGTTACCCGGGAGAGAATATTGTTAAGAAGGTTTAGGCATCCCAGGGGTGGGAGAGGAGAAAGGAGCAAGTTCCAGGAAAAAAAGGGCTGAACGATTTACAGTCCTTACTCCTACACTCCTCAAACTCTTTCATGGATGGCCATTCCACATTTTTCCCATGATCCATGGGTCAGAACCATTTTTCCAACTGTCCTCCCATGGTCTCTACACTTTGGCTACTGAAGCTTCTTAACTCTCTTTCAAACTAGATGCCCTTTCCCTAAGAATCCCTAAGCCTTGTGGAGTTGCTCCCGAGTCTCCTTTCCTCACCTGGGTATTCAGCTGCCTCCCCTTTCCCTATATGTTTTCCCTAGGAGTTCTGGAACCACCATTTCCTCAACGGAGATCATACGTACAAAAGCAGTTTACAATGCACAGTGTGAGAATAAAATACTACCAAGAATAAAGCCTCTTTTCACTCCCCACAATCTCTGTCCTTCTCTCAGGCTATTTCTTATGCCCTCCTCTCCCCATACACTGTTGCTCCCTCTTCACCCAGCAGGTTTGGTTTGGTGTGGGGTGGGAACCAAAGCTATGTGCTGCACAGCGGGCAGTGTCAGGATGCAGGCAGGCATCTCAGCCCGAGGCCTTGGCAGAGTTCCCAGGCAGAGCCATCGGCCCAGGCCAGGACAGTAGGCATGGATAAGGTGAGAGAGGGCATAAGTACGGTGACTGTAGCCCCCGAGCACCAGTAGCTCCCCCTGCAGCACAGCACTTGCAGCCCCCACATGGGGGGAGGGTAGGGGTGCCAGGTGAGTCCAGCTATCAGTCCTTAGTTCATAGGCCTCAAAGCTTAGCAGGTCCTCAGTCTCACCCAGCCCACCTGCCACATACAACCTCCCACCCAATGCAGCCATGACATGGCCAGCCCGAGGTACCCCCATAGGGCTCAGAAACGTCCCTGGCTTCTCAAGTTTGGGGTCATAGTGCATCAGTGAGGCCAGGTATTGGCCAGTCCCACCACAGCCACCGCTCACGTACAACTGGCCCTCCAAAATCGCAGCTGCGTGGGCAAAACATGGTGCTGGAAGTGCAGGTGCTGGCCTAAGGGAGAACAGGACACAAGATAAGGCAACTAGCATCTTCAACTCTCCTTCTATTCCAAGTCTCCTAATCTCTCCCAGATGCCCCCTTGCCTGCTTACCTCCAGACATTGAGCTCAGGGTTGTAGGTCTCCACAGAGTCCAGGGCAACATCATTGTGTCTTCCACCCAGGGCATAAAGTTTTCCATCCAGTGCCACCAAGGAGAAAAGGCTTCGAGCCTGGGACAAAGGAGCCATCTCCTCCCAGTCCTCTTGACTGGGCTCCCACCTGGACACAGTAGGACAAGAGATTGGAAGAGGGACTCTGGGCATCCGTGGTTGGCTAGGCCAGCAATTTCTCTCCCTGCCCACCTTAGGGCCTGCCACACCCTGCCCACTCCTAGAAGCTTATACCTGAGAGTTGAAGCCAGGGTGTTGGAGTGACTGTAGAAATCTTGTCCCCCACACACATAGAGTTCACTTCCTGCCAGGCTTGCAGCCCCATGCCGGAAGCGTCCGGGGGCAGGCAGGGCAGGCAGCTGCCCCCACTCAACAGTTCGTACCAGTCCCACGCCACAGCGGAAGGCCCGGGCCCACCACACTGCTCGGGATGGTTGTCTTAGGGCCATGTCTGGTCTGAGCCCATCCCCGCCAATCACTACCAGTGCCCGGTCAGGCTCCCTCCGTCTCTCTTGGCCTGGAACATCAGCCTCTACCATCAGCTGGTGCAACAGATCTGGGGTCAGGGGTGGAAGTAGCCCGGCTGCCCGCACCCTCCGCAACTCCCTGGTGGACATGCGGCCAAAGCGGACACATCGCAGCAGGGCCTTGGCCTCTGACTCCTGGGTCTCGGGGTTGGCAGCCAGCCAACACCGTGCAGCCACAAAGGCCTCAAACTCCTCCTGCACATGGAGCTCATCACTATCCAGGAGCTCAGCCAAGCAGGCAGCTGGTAAAGAAGGGAAAGCAGGACACAAGGCTACAGCAGGCAGGTGGGTGAGGAGGTAGTGACGGGCTTTGCTCCAGAGCCTCTCCAACCCAGGGGCTTCCGCCATGGGGAACAGGGCCAGGCAACGGGCAGGGCTGAGGCCCCGTGCCAAGCCTTTCTGACACAAATCCAAGCAGGAAGAGCTCTGGTACTGCAGAGCAGCCTGGGCAGCTCTCAGTAGCCCTGGCCACCTTGCCCGCACAACTCCGGAGTAAGCAAAAGAGACGAGGAGTCGCAGGTCCTGGGTGGAGATCGTCCGCAGAGATACCTCTGTGCCCTGGGATTCCCTCATCCCGCTCAGGAGCATGGCCCCAAAGAACTCACTGCCACAGGCCAGGGCGGCTCGGTGCACTGCAGGAGGGGAGAAGGAATAGAGGAGGACTCAAAGTATTGCAAGACCGATAGGCATTACCCCAACTTGGTACTCTAAGTTTGGCCAAACTCTAAGTTTGGCCCTCCAAGCCACCCACTGCTACAGACCAAACTGTGGTGTGCATCAGAATACCATGGGGTAGTTGTTAAAATGCAGGTTTCAGCAGTCCACTCCCAGAGATTCTGATTCAGCAGTTCTGGACGGAGACCCTAGAAATTTGTATTGTAACACTTCAAGTAACCCTATGTGATTCTCATGTTAGTGGCCTGAAGACACTTAGATAAACATTGCTTTAGTCTTTTTGGTCAGATGAGTCAGAAAAAGAGTCTTCATGGATCAGGTTGAGAGGAAAGCATTTGCTAAGAGGAGCACAAAATAAATGGGAAATGACCAACAAGCAACTTATATAGGTCTGTCTATATCGTGACAAAATAAAATTCTTTACAATCAAGAGCCAAGACTGTCAGCCATTCTGTTAGATTTTGCTGGGAAAGTGGCACCACTCGGGAATGGCTGTAATCCAACCTCATCGGATTGCTGTCTCCTCTTGCCTAAGATTTAGTGTTTAATGTTTTCCGTGCGTCCCAGCTTTTCTCTGCATAACCCTCTCCTGTTCTTGGTGTAATTTGTAGAATCATGAGATCTGAAACTTGAGAACTTCAAAATAATCTAATTCAATTATTCCCTTTAAAATAAGGAAACTGGTTGGGTGTCGTGGCACACACCTGTAATCCCAGCACTTTGGGAGGCTGAGGTGGGTAGGATCACTTGAGGTCAGGAGTTCAAGGCCAGCCTGGCCAACATGGTGAAACTCCATCTCTACCAAAAATACAAACATTAGCCGGGCATGGTGGCAGGCGCCTGTAATCCCAGCTACTTGGAGACTGAGGCAGGAGAATAGCTTGAACCTGGGAGGCGAGGGTTGCAATGAGCTGAGACTGCGCCGCTGCACCCAGCCTGGGTGACAGAGCGAGACTCCATCTCAAAATAAATAAATAAATAAAATGTGGAAACTGAGTTGGGTCCCAAAGAAAGCATGTGATTTATTTTTCATTTCCATGCAGTGGCTGTGTGGGCAGATCATCTCCATCCACTGCCACTGATGTCAGGCTGCAATAAGCATGCTTGTGTACCAATACCTTGGTTATCTGCATGGTCCTCATGACAATGAAACTGTCCTATTAACCTACGCTGTTAAACAATTAGACCTCATACTCAGCATCACTTATGGATTATTCTGGCCAAAATATTTAACTTGAATCTGTTCAACTCTTTAGATCTAAAGTCAAGTTTATAGGAAGTTGAAAGGCTAAAGGAACAATTTAGAGGGGAAAAACCACACAAATCAAGAAAATGGAGCATTTTATAGGATAACCAATTTTTTTTTTTTTGAGATAGGGTCTTACTCTGTCACCCTGCCTGGAGTGCAGTGGTACAATCTCGGCTCACTGCAACCTCCACCCTCCAGCTTCATGTGATTCTCGTGCCTCAGCTTCCAGATTAGCTGGGACTACAGGTGCACGCTACCATGCCTGGCTAATTTTTGTATTTTTAGTAGAGACGGTTTCGCCATGTTGGACAGGCTAACCTTGAACTCCTGGCCTCAAGTGATCTGCCTGCCTCGGCCTCCCAAAGTGTTGGGATTACAGGCGTGAGCCACTATGCCTGGCCCAGGGTAACCAATCTTACATGTTATTGTCTTTACCAATCAATATATAAAGTAATAAAAAAAAAAAAGGAGGAAGGACTGTACTAGATTAAAGGAAGCTTAAGAGACATGCAACTGAGAATAGCATAGTCCTTGATTAATTCCTGGGTTGAACAAACTCACTTTAAAAAATGTTTTTTGGACAACTGGGAAAATATAAATGTGGACTAGGTGATATTAAAAAATTACTGGCCAGGCGCGGTGGCTCATGCCTGTAAACCCAGCATTTTGGGAGGCTAAGGCAGGTGGATCACCTGAGGTCAGGAGTTCAAGACCAGACCAGCCAACATGGTGAAACCCCATCTCTACAAAAAATACAAAAATTAGCTGGGTGTGGTGGTGCACGCCTGTAATCCCAGTTACTCGGGAGGCTGAGGCAGGAGAATCACTTGAACCTGGGAGGTGAAGGCTGCAGTGAGCCGAGATCGTGCCATTGTACTCCAGCCTGGGTGACAGAACAAGATTCCATCTCAAAAAAAAGAAAGAAAGAAAGAAAGAAAGAAAGAAAGAAAGAAAGAAAGAAAGAAAGAAAGAAAGAGAGAAATTACTATTAATTTTGTCGTGCATGATAAAGGTATTATGGTTATGAGAAAATGTCCTCTTTGTTTTATTTTTTCCTTTCACACCTAGTCCCACAGAATTGTCTTCTTTTAAAAAGATACATACCCAAATACTTATGAGTAAAATGTCATGAATTTCCTTTAAACTTCAGTAAAAAATAAAATGAACAGATGAAATAAATATAGTAAAATATTAGTTGTTAAATCTGGGTGATGGGTGTTGTTTGAATGTTCATCTTAATATTCTTGGTTTTGTAAAATGCTTCATAATAAAAAGGTGGGGGGTAATGCTCCTAGAAGTCCTTTTAGGCAGGTCACAGAGGGCCAAGCTGTTTAAGAACTCCATGCTGCTTTGACCAACTGAGGCATGCGTGCCTTTCCCAAAGGGCAGGTGTTGTTCATATGACTTTCCACTGTCTTTTAAGCAGTAGGTAGTGGCCTGGTGCTTCCCAAGTAGTAAACATCAATGACAGATTTCAAATATATATTGTCTGAGAAAATCTGCATTCCTCAAAACAAGCTAAGCCATCTCAGCTCCCATATCATCAATCAACCTATAGTTCAGAGCCAACCCTGAAAGGGCTCACAGCCACTTGTATTCACCTCTTACTCATTACTATACCCTAGGATTTTAAGTGACAGATTCGCAACCATTAAGTAGGAATATTTCCTAGGGAAATAAAAGCAGTGATATGAGTATGCTTAAATTCAAAAGCCTAGTGAGAATTTTATGATTATGAAAAATTTAAATCCCCTCTCCATCTAGTGCTATCATAAATGAAAATAGACTTTTGGAGTGGTTTTCCTTCTAGGAGTCCCAGAAGCACTTCAGTTCCCAGTCACTCCTCTAATGGGCAGTAGCTATGTGACTTTGGACAAGTCTTGGATTCTGATTTCGTCATCATCAAAGTGTAACAGCCCAACTAGATAATCTCTAAACTAATCCCTTGTAATTTTAAACTTTCAATGTGTCCACATGGCCTAGTGGAAGGAGACTGGACTAGTGATGTAGGCTTGTATCCTGGGGTTGTCCCAAGTCAACATCTCCAAATTTAATGTTCCTTATGTGCACCTGTAGATAATGATATTGACCTCACCAGCTTTCAGTAAAATTTAAAAAGAGATGTCATGTGTAAAAATTTCAGGTACCCAGTGCCTCACTAAATGTTAGTAGACTCCGAATAATACTCAACTTATGCAACCCTACTTAGCTTTCCTGGTGATGAGCAGAGTTAACTTCAAAGTGCCATGGCCAGGCCGGGTGCAGTGACTCATGCCTGTAATCCCAGCATGAGACAGGTGGATCACCTGAGGTTAAGAGTTCAAGACAAGCCTGGCCAACCTGGTGAAACCCCATCTCTACTAAAAAAATACCAAAAAAATTAGCCAGGCATGGTGGCAGGTGCCTGTAATCCCAGCTACTCGGGAGGCTGAGGCAGGACAATCACTTGAACCCAGGAGGTGCAGGTTGCAGTGAGCCAAGATTGTGCCACTGCACTCCAGCCTGGGCAACAGAGTGAGATGCTGTCTCAGAAAAAAAAAAAAAAAGTGCCACGGCCTGGTAACCTTAAACAGTACCAGACCTTGCTCATTAGCTGCAGGGCCCATAAGTCAGCCATGGCGTCAAGCACACCAAGGTGAAAGCACACATTGAGTTTTCCACCATGTTCCCCTGGCTTTCCTGTGTCCTGAATGGAGGATGCCAAGAAGGGCCTTTTGTTAATTTCTGCTTGAGTCAATCCACTTTCTGCTTGTTCTACTGCCATGGATTGTACCCTTAGCTCTAGCCAGCTGGCTGGAGATTCCTTGTTACTGGACACAGGAAAAGCCAGACAGAGGGTCAGTTTAAATCTGTCAGAGCGCCTAGAAAACAACTCGACTGCGCATGCCCGGCTCTCCGTGGGGCAGGAGAGGCACCAAAGGCCACCCCAGGGAAATTCTGACAGCAGCAGGGATCAAAACCATCATGGTGGGGATAAAACCACCTGCTGCTTGCACACACCATTCCGTTAGCATATGCACCTGCAGTAATTTAATGCCCCACAGGCCCTCACCCGACAGCTGGCAGCCGCCTGCCTCCAGCTTCAAGTCACACCCGACGCCCTCTCGGTAGAGGAGCTCGATTCCGCGCAGGTTCTCCCTCAGCTCCTCTGCCTGGCTGGGCTTCTTTACATCTTCCCTGGCATTTCCAGCCCTCTCGCATGTCTGCTGGGCAGCAGCCTTCACCCGGGGCGCTCCCAGCGCCTCTGCTGCGGCCAGCACATCCCCCTGCGAGGCGGGGCCCAGCACCCCCTCATAGGCAAAGGTCAGCACGGCCTCCCAGCCCCCTGGGGACACCTCGAGGCTGAAGGGGGGCCGCGGACCTCCGCCGCCCAGCAGCCTGTCTCGGAAGAGGCTGCTGATTGCGGCCAGGATCACCCGATGCACCCCGTATACCCGCCCCGCGACTGACACCTCTTCGTCCAGCAACAGTCTCTGCTCCCGCAGCCGCTGGGCCTCGGCGAAAAACTGGCTCGGATGCTCCTCGCTGCGCAGCCACTCGGGCTCTGCCGCATCTTCATCTTCTTCCTCTTCCTCTTCTTCCTCTAGGGACAAGGCTGGAAAGGGAAGGTTCCTTGGGACCAGGGGCCTGGAACCAGGCTCCTCCAGAGGAAAGGAAGGCAATCTGGGATCCTCGTCGGGGGAGGGAGGCCAGGAAGGGGTTCTCTGGGCGTGCACAAGGAGTCCAAGGCAGTCCCTCTGGACGGGATGAGAGACACTCTCCAGCTCAGGGGGATAATGTGGGGTGTCCGAGACGCTCATGCCGAGGTTTGCTGGATAGCTGCAGGTGAGCAGAGGCAAGACAGCCTGGCGTCAGAGCTGGGCCCAAAGAGGCCAGAGCAACCATGTCTCCAGCCAGTTGAAATGTCAGTCTCTCCCCTGCTCCAACACCCTCCTCCTACCCTCAGCCACATCCCAGCACTGGAGTATCTGGGATATACAGGACAGCTATAGGGTGCACGCGGTGCAGTGAAACATGCAAGAAGCCCTGTAAAGATCCGGTAACCGGGACCACACCCCTCCCCTATTGCCCCCATCCTTTTAGTCACCCTCAGGAGACACCAGCGTTCCGCTTGCCCTCTCACTTAAGCGCCCGCTGTGCTTGGGGCTGCGTGGCAGAGGGAACTTGCCCACATGGCATCCCAGTCAGCCAGTGGCCCCATGGGGCTAATTATAGCCAGTCCTGGCTGGCTAGGCACTTGGCACCTGGTGTCCTAACTCTGACACCCAATCCCCTGGGCTCCCTCCCAGACTGACATCCCCACCCTTCCACCTGTAGGTCATACAGGAGTGTGCTGAGCTAGGCAAATTAGGAAACCAAGGAGAATGAGGGGATCTGGTGGAATGAGCCCAAGGCCAGAAGGGCTGGGCCACTAGAGTGGGCTGGAAGGATCAGGCAAAGAGTCTGGACCAGGCTTTGGCTGTTGACTTTTCTGTGCATGATAAAGCTGGGACCCCGCCGGGCATGGTGGTTCTTGCCTGTAATCCTAGCACTTTGGGAGGCCAAGGTGGGTGAGTCACTGGAGCCCAGGAATTTGAGACCAGCCTGGGTAATATGATGAAACTCCATATTTTTTATATCTACCAAAAATTACAAAAATTAGCTGGACGTGGTGTCTCATGCCTGTAGTCATAGCACTGTGGGAGGCCAAGGCGGATGGATCACTTGAGGCCAGCAGTTTGAGACCAAACTGGGCAACATGGTGAAACCCCATCTCTACAAAAAAATACAAAAATGAGCCAGGCATGGTGGGGCACATCTTTAGTCCCAGCTTCTTAGGAGGCTGAGGTGGGAGGATCACTTGAGCCCAGGAGGCAGAGGTTGCAGTGAGCTGAGGTCGCACCACACACTCCAGCTTGGGTGACAGAGCAAAACCCTGTCTCAAAAAACAAAAAAGCTGGGACCCAGGAGCGAATATAGCCCAGCTTTATTCATGGAGGGCAGAAGAGTGGGGAAAGTGAAGGGCCAGGGGGCAGGGCTACGGACCTAGGTGGCTCACCCCACACAGGGATTACTATCTGTCCAGAGGTGGGGTCCAGGGTAAGAGCCTGAAATCCAACCCTGTGTCTTTGGAAAAGTGTGGGGAATTCTAACTCTCATCTTGGCACTGGGATAAGAACCAGACAGTGGAAGGTGTGCTTGATCTGCATGCTGTGAGGACCAGAGTCCTGGACTAGATGGGCTATGGACATGCAAGTATTCCATTTGAGCCAGACGGTAACAGCCACTCCTTCTCCCTCCAGGACAACACTTCCTTTCTCATCCTGAGGCCAAGTGCTAGACTAAAGCCCCTAAAAGCCAGGCAATCACTTTGTGCCGCAGTTTTGAGTGTCATCTTGCAGAAAGGATTTAGGGAAAGGTGCAGTGACACACTTCCTCTCCCTTCTCTGGGGGAGGTAGGACAGGCCAAGGACTCCTACTTCCTGGCCTATAAAATGTCTGGTCCAGGCTGGATAGGTTGACTCCACAGGCAGACTTAATAAGGGAAGGAGGAACGATTGCTCCTTGTGATTCAGATGAAAGGGCTCATGTGGAGGGCGGGGTAGGGTGGGAAGTGGGCTGACCTGCACAGCACCCCCTCCTACTTTCAGAGTTGTCTCCATTTCCCCATTTGTGGCCTGGGTACCCCTGGCAACTCTGAGTAGCTAGCATTCCCTGGGTGAGCCTAGCCAGCAGGTGCACTCCCCAAAATGGTTCGACTGAGAGGCAGTTTATGGTTATCCTGGCCAGCAAATGGGGAGATAGTGTCCAGGCTCTGCACCCTGTTTCCCAGTTCAGACATTTCGAATGCCTCTCATGTCCTCCCCAGAGCAAGACAATGTGGCCAGCATCTTGGCCCCCAACCAGGAGTTGGAGGAACTGCAATCTGGTGGAGACATACCCCGAGCCAGCCTCTGTTCACCAACTGCTTACAAGGATGAGGACACTGGACCCTGCTACGAGTTCTATGCCAACTCCGTAGTCCTGGGATGGCTCCATACAGCTTGGTAAGACCCAGGCCCCACAGTGAACTCCTGAAGGTAGGATAACATCTGCCTGTGGGCTACCACCACCCTTCATGTAGCTCTGGGACTGCCCTCCAGGTCCATTAGCTGTCCTCCTGGTTGCAGACGCGCTGGCTAGCAAGGGGTCTTGGCATTTCAGTTATGTATGTGCTGTCCCAGCCAAGAAATAGTGCCACGTCCACCTCGAGAGGAAACCCACACCCAGCCACACTCCCAAGATGATCTGGAGAATTCTGGGGCCAAAATCGGCAAGGCCCCAGTGCACTTCAGCTGGGTCATAGGAGTCATGGTAATGGATTGGCGCTCATGGTTCCCTAAGTCTGGGGATCTAGGCAGGCGAGAACTCTTTGCTCCAGGGGAGTTTTTGGGAGGTACCTCTGAAGAAGGGGGCAAGGGGTGGGACTCACACTGGAGACTGCAACCCCTCCCTTACCACCCCGCTCCCCAGATTTGCTGTATGCTCAATATCTGGGGCATCATTCTCTACCTGCAGCTGCCTTGGATCGCTGCTCAGGCAGGCACAGGTATGAGCTCAGAGCTCTCCTGGGCAGTAGGAAGGGATGTGCATGTATGAATAAATTCCCATCCTCACCCCAGGGCTCACATGGCTCATCATCCTGTTCTTGGCCTCAGTCATACTGTCACTGGATTGTCTATCTCAGCCATCTCCAGCAACGGCAAAATCAAGGCTGGTGAGTCTGTAGTGACTCCCGCTCCTCCCTTCATGTTTCCCCATCCCTCATATCTGTTAATGAATTGTATGGTGTTCTTCGATGATCACATTTGGTCATTTCCTCACTCCCCCAACCCCTGCCACACAAACATTTTCATTTCCCCTTTTGGTACTGGTGGTACCTAGATAGCCCTACTGCTTTGGGATGGGGTTTTCTTCCCATGAAGAAATGTGTATCCTCAATCTCATTTCTAGGCTCCTGTATGATTCAACGTGCTTCCGAAAATAGGACTGACATGGGTGTGCAGAATGGGAGCCGCCTGGGCGCAAAGTGCCAGTATGGCTGGGATTTCAGCAGTTGTCGAGAGCAAGGGTCCTGCCTCTGTGGGCTCTCTAATCACTATGAGGTGAGTGAACCAGAGCGGAAGTGTAGAGAGAGAAACCTTGCCCATTGCCTGGCATAGCATAGATGTTTAAGTTGATTAATTTGGGGCAAAACCTTCAAAGATGCAGATAAATTTTAATAAGTCTGGGAAAACTAGGTGAAAATACGGGTGGAATGCATTACTTTGGAAAGGCATTGATTTTTGCCTCTGTCTGCCCTTTTCCTCAGACCATGAACATGGTGTCTGCCTTTAGCCCTCTGATGTCTGCTGGAATCTTGAGAGCCATTCTGTTCTGTACCCTTTCCTGCTTTGTTTCAGCCCCTAATATCTTCCAGGCTAGTTGAGATCTTAGCAAGAGGCTTGCAAGAGAAAGGAAAGAATGTTAGTAGACACGGTCATCCCAAGTGTATAATTTTTGAGGAGGGGCAAAAGACGGCTCAGTTCTCAGCAACTGGGAGTTAGAAGGTAACTTTGGGAGATGGAGATGACTGTGGCTGGCTAATGTTTAAAGAGATAATCCAAGCCCACATAGCAACATTCAAAGTCTGCCTGTAAATCAAGGGAAAGTATGGGGAAGGTGTCACTCTTTTTTTTTTTTTGAGACACAGTCTCACTTTGTCACCCAGGCTGGAGTGCAATGGCATGGTCTCGGCTCACTGCAACCTCCGCCTCCCAGGTTCAAGTGATTCTCTCGCCTCAGCCTCCCAAGTACAGGCACGTGCCACCACATCCAGTTAATTTTTATATTTTTAGTAGAGATGGGGTTTCACTATGTTGGCCAGGTTGTTCTCGAACTCCTGACCTTGTGATTCACCCGCCTTAGCCTTCCAAAGTGCTGGGATTACAGGCGTGAGCCCCCAGGCCTGGCCCGGTGTCACTCATCTATCTACCTCCCCACTCTCAGTTTTTCCCATCCCTCATTCCCAGGGATCTTACCACCCCCTACTCCCTCTACTCCTATCCTTTCTGCCTCTGACCCCTAAACTCCCTTGACTTCTGTCTATGCTTCCCACTCTCCTGCCTCTTTAGAGGGAGAGGGCTCTCATTCTCCTACTTCCTGGGACCCTCCCCTATTGATCACCAAGACCTCTTGCAGCAGCTGTGCCAGGATAAACCATACACAATCACTGGCTTTTTTGGGGGGAAAGGCCATGGCAAGAACCACGAGCCTCTGTGGGGCTATCTGCTCACCTTCCTCACTGCTGTAGGTTTCATCCTTATCGGTGACTACTCCCCACCCCACCCTCCACACTGGGCTCTATTAATCACCATTCCTCTCAGGCCCTTCCCAGCCCTACCTCTGGCTTCTAGGAGCTGATCCTAAAACCTCTTTTCTATCTCTCTTTTCCTGAAAGTGGACGAAAAATGTCTCCTAACCTTGCACTGCTAGGGGTGGTATGTGTGTGGGGGTGGAGTGAGGAGTAAGAAGGGAATAGAGAGAATGGAGAAAACCATAAAATGATGTCCTGGACTTCTAGACCTGCATCTTATGACACTAGTGTGGAGACTCACTCCTGACCTTTCATCTCCCCCAAAGCCGAGCTGAGTATCATTGCCCCCACCATCGCCAACTTCCTCCTCTGTTCCTGTGCCCTCAACTTTGGCTGTCTCTACGCCTCCCTTACCTGGTTGTCTGGTTAGTGTGGGCAGGTGTTCAGGTAAGCTCTAGGGCTGGAAAGACCTGGGGAGTTGGGAGAGCATCCTTGCGGTACATGAGTGGGTGGTGCTGGGGCTAAGACAAGGGCTTACATTTGCTGTCCCCTGCAGGCTGGCGCCTTTCCTTCTGCAGGTAAAGTCCCTGGGTCTCTCTCCTGGGCTCTCTGCTCTGCCTGCTCATCACATTCCTCCTCACATGGCGGGCAACACTGATTACTGTGTTGCTTACCCTTCTGCTGTTATATGATCTACAAAACCTGGTGAGTGAGTAGGCGGGTGTGCAGGGAGTCAGGAAGTGAGTTACAACAGGAGGCTGGCCCCTAGAAGAAGCCCAGAACTACGAACAGTGTTTCCTCTTCTACCTCACCATTGATGCACCACCCCTTTCTCTGCACAGTTGTGAACTGGGGCTCTTCAGCCCAGGCAGACACCTACCAAATGGCGCTGTCCTACTCAGTGAGCCTCACCAATGTGTAAGATCACATTAAGAACTTCCAGTCAGGAAGTCTGTAGATGAGAGATTGAAAACGGTGGCCTATGGACGGAATGTTGCCTGGAAATGAGTTTTTTGATTGCACAGCATTTACAATTTTTAAAATAAACTACCAACGTTTAAGATCCAGGCATCTGCTAATCCTGGGCCTCCAACCCACATGACACAGTTAGCTGGGGCTGAGTAGCTCCTGTCCCATGGGACAAGGCAGGTGCTCTCCAGTTTGCCACAGTTCCCACTTGGTCCACTTTATTCTTTAATACTACATGACTGGTTCTTGCAAACTTTTGGCTTTTTTGGGAAAGGCCATGGCAAGAACCATGAACCTCTGCAGGGTTATCTGCTCAGACACAGAAGGAAACTAGCTTCCTGAAATCTGGGCGGGGTAGTGGAGAAAAAGGAAGCCTTCTTGTCACCTCTCATCCAACATACCATATCCCCTTCTTTCCTCATTGCTTCTCCTTTCAGGTCTCATGTTTGAACCAACTGAAGTCCAATGTGCTGGTCTTGGGATATAAGCAAAATTGGGAGAAAGGGCCTGTATCTGCCATGGAGTACTACATAGGCATTCTAGTGCGAATGTGAGATAGAGAAGGGTAAGATGGACATAGAAATGGTCAGGAACTAGAAAGAAGAGGAAATATAATCGTGGTGAAGCCCTTGTTCCCAACAGCTGCCCAGCAGTGCCTGTGTCCCCAGGAAAGAGACCCCCACCCCTTCATCTCTTCCTCCTATATCTCTTTTTCTCTCCTCTCCATAAAGTGATGACTTTGACTACAACTATGGCATAGGCCTCATAAGGATGCCAGGAGGGTTAAGCCCGGCTACTCAACACCAAGCTCAAGGTGAGTGAAAAGAGGTGGGCCTAAGAGAAGGATGTGGTGTGGGAGGTATAGAAATTGGCTCTCAAAGACAGTCTGGGAGGCAAATGAACTCATCTAGAGTTACCAAGACCTAAGACTGAATAGAATTGGGTACCAGGATGCGAGAGAAATGAATTTTGCTTGAGCTTTAGTTCTCCTGAAATTTTCAGGGTGGGGGAAAACTTTAAAGGTATCTTCTAAATTCAGGTGGGAGAAATTTGGATCAAAAGATACAACATAGCAGGGTAAGCTGGAGTGTGGTCAGGAAGGGCTATGGCCCAATTCTAGAGAAGGGTTTCTGGCACTACCCCAATTCTAATAATATTACACATCTTATCAGTTAAATTTTGGGCATCCTTAGCAAAAAGATAACATTATTTTGTGTTATACCCCCACTTTTCCCAGTACACCCAGCATATTTGGATGTCATAGGGATGGATACTTAGCAGGCAGGAGACCAATTCTAAAACATGTCCTGTTTTTAGGAATAACAGAGTTGTAGAGCGGGTTAGAGAAGCAGACACCAAGGAAAATAAAAAGGAAATGCGGTTAGTCAATGCGGAGAGAAGCCACATGACGTTTCTCTAGGATAGCAATAATTCTCATAGGGGAGGAGAGGTATTATACTGAATTAGGAGCAACTGCTCAGCTGGAAAGGAGTTTGTCTCATTCTTTTCTTCTCTTTTCTCGGGCAGCATCCTTATTCCAGCAGCCTCAATGTTCCAATCCAAGCAAGGCCGGAGGGCAGTGGACGTGTACTGGCTCGGTGATGATGAAGGTAGGGACTCCATGGCTCCCCAGGAAGTCCCAAGTTCTCCAAGTTCCAGGGAGAATAGGAGAGGGAAGATAGTGACATATAAACCAGAAAGGACTAGAAAATGAACTCTGCATTTACCAAGTACCCAATACTCTCCTCCCACCTCAGAGGACAACTGTGGTGTTTAAAGGCCAACAGAAAAGCCCGTGTTGCTGGAGCAGCGCAAACAAGGAATTGAGTAGCAGATCAAAGTGGTAGGCAGGGAAGGGCAGAGTGGATCACAGAGGGTCTCACAGGCCTTTAAATAGACTGGCCAGCCGCCCTGTCCGGGAGGGAGGTGGGGGGCGCCTCTGCCTGGCCGCCCCTTCTGGGAAGTGAGGAGCCCCTCTGCCCGGCCGCCACCCGGTCTGGGAGGTGTACCCAACAGCTCATTGAGAACGGGCCATGATGACGATGGCGGTTTTGTCAAATAGAAAAGTGGGAAATGTGGGGAAAAGATAGAGAAATCGGATTGTTGCTGTGTCTGTGTAGAAAGAAGTAGACATGGGAGACTCCATTTTGTTCTGTACTAAGAAAAATTCTTCTGCCTTGGGATGCTGTTAATCTATAACCTTACCCCCAACCCCGTGCTCTCTGAAACATGTGCTGTGTCCACTCAGGGTTAAATGGATTAAGGGCGGTGCAAGATGTGTTTTGTTAAACAGATGCTTGAAGGCAGCATGCTGGTTAAGAGTCATCACCACTCCCTAATCTCAAGTACCCAGGGGCACAAACACTGCGGAAGGCGGCAGGGCCCTCTGCCTAGGAAAACCAGAGACCTTTGTTCACATGTTTATCTGCTGACCTTCCCTCCACTATTGTCCTATGACCCTGCCAAATCCCCCTCTCCGAGAAACACCCAAGAATGATCAATAAATACTAAAAAAAAATAAATAAAAAGACTCTGGTTTTTCTTTTGATGTAAGAAAGCACTGAAGGTTTTGAGCAGAAGAGTAACATGATCTGGCTTCCACGCTAACACTATTCACTCTGGCTGCTATGTGGAGAATTGACTCTAAGTTGGCAATGGGGAAAGGAGAAGGAGCAGCTACTGCAATAATCTTGAAGACACATAATTCTGGCTTGATCTACAGTGGCAGCAGTGGAAGTGAGGAGAAATGGAATTCTGGATGTATTTTGAAGGTAGAGCCAAGAGGATTTGATTAATTGGAGAAGAAAGAAAACTGACAAAGATACTTTGACATGAACAACTAGAATGGAGTTGTCGTTGACAGAAATAAGAAAGACTACAGGACTAAGTTGGGGAAAGAATAAGTGCAATTTTGAATATGTTAAATTTGAGACGCCTATTAAGCATCCAAGTGGAGGTGCCAATGAGCAGCTAGGTATTTGGGATAGAAGTCCAGGTTGGAACTATAACTGGGAGTAACCCCCATCAAAATGATTTTAATGTATACAACTAGATGAAGTCACTACAGGTGTATGTGTAAAGAGAGCAGTCTGAGGACTAAACTCTGTGGAGATGAGGAGAAACTAGCAAAGGAGATTAAGAAAGGGCAGTCAGTAAGCTAGGAGGCAGACCAGAGAATGCATCCTAAAGCCAAGTAAGGAAACTTTTCAAAGAGGGAGTGTCAAATGCTGCTGATAGCTTCTGAGGATGAAGAATACGCCATTAGATTTAGCTATGTGCAGGTCATCAGTGACTGTGATAAGAATAGTTTTGGTGGAGATTTAATAGGGAACTGGTGGAGAGAAATTGAAGACAAGTCTTTCTAAGTTTTGCTGTAAAGTGGAACAGAAAAATGGGAAGCAGCTGGAAGGGCAAATGGGGACAAGCAGGCATTATTTGTAAAATGAGGAAAACAGTGGCATATTTGTGGACGGCAGGATTCAGGAGAGAAGGAAATACTGACTCTCCAGGAAAAGAGGGAGAATTATCCCTTTTTTTGAGAAAGAGTCTTGCTCTGTCACTCAGGCTGGCATGCAGTGGCACAATCTTGGCTCACTGCAACCTCCGCCTCCTGGGTTCAAGCGATTCTCGTGCCCAAGTAGTTGGGATTACAGGCATGCAACATCATGCCAGCTGATTTTTTGTATTTTTAGTAGAGGGGTTTCACCATTGCTGGTCAGGCTGGTCTTGAACTCCTGGCCTCAAGTGATCCACCCGCCTTGGCCTCCCAGTGCTGGGATTACAGGGGTGAGCCACTGCAACCAGCCCTGACTTCTAATCAGTAAAATATCCTCCTATCGACGGTGACAATCCAGTGTCCTCTGAGAAGCAAAATCAGCTCTGGTTGAGAACCACTGGTTTATGGTAACAGGAGGAAGGCAGAGTACATGGGTACAGATACTGGAAGATGGTTAGTTTCAGGGGCAAAAGCTTGTAAATGTATACTGATTGTTTCTATTTTCTTACTGAAATAGGAACTAAGGTAAGAGTCAGAATAGGGGGAGATGTTAAGAGATTTGAGGGGTCAGAAGGTATGAAACAGTCACTAGAAAAGAGGGCAAGTGAAAGGACTAGAGAGATGGCATATTTCTGGGTGGCATAAAGGACCCATTTTAGTGTCATGGTCGTAAGTTTGAAGTAAGATCAGTCAGCATGGCTATTTTTTACTAGCCCTTTCAGCTGCATGGGTCTAAAGTAGGTGATGAGTTGAATATGACAAAAGCAAAAGAGGGGAAGGGAAATGAGGTGGATTATGGGAATTTAGCTGAAGGAGGGAAATAAAAATACGTGGGGGATAAAATCTGCAGAAAGGAAGTATGATCAATGGACCGTAGGTCCTGGTGAAGGGATGAACTGTTGGATTTAGCATACTAAAGAAAATGAACTGGAAGAACAGGAGGTGGTGGTAGTCGAGAGTGGGACGTCTGAAACTGAGATGTGGAGGATCTGCAGCTCCAGAACATGACCAAGGAAATAAGTGGCTGAAGCGGGTGTTAGTATGATCTACCTGAATACTGAAATAAGATTTATGACAAACGTGGTGTTCGTATGGTAGTTTCTTTCAAAGCAGAAGGGTACTAGGGATGAGGGATAATGGTCTGGAAACAGTATGAGGACACGTGCACCACCTCCAGGCCCAGTGGGACACTGGGTGTGGAAGGGAAAATGCCACCACTACTGAGGTGGTAGGAGAAGCAGAGTCCTCATAAGAAACCAAGTCTGAAGAGCATAAATGTGAAGGGAACGTTCAGAGAAGAGGTTGAGGACACAGAGAATTTGACAAATGACTGGCCATCAGTTCCAGAGGGCACAGTGGAAGAGCTTCTAGAGTTGGAAAAGGTAGGTAGATGGAGACAAAACAGAGTGGAGATACATGGTTATTAAGTGTAAAAGATGAGATGACTCAGTAGTTTAGGACTAATTGTGATGATTGATATCAACATCAATAAGATTAAGGGTATGAGATTCGTTCTGTTGTTTGTGGTACGGAGGGATGTGCATCTGCGGGCATTCCTCAAGCCTGCCGATGGATGTGCATGTAGGAGAAAGTATACGGAGTAGAGGCAGTTTTAGAGTTACAAGTTAGACCAATCTCCAGGCTGTTTGTTTGTTTGTTTTTAAGAGACAAGGTTTTGTTCTGTCACTCAGGCTGGAATGCAGTGGCTCAATCACAGCTCACTGCAACCTCAAACTCCTGGGCTCAAGCTATCTTCCCGCCTCAGCCTCCCTTGGAGCTGGGACTACAGATGTGCGCCACCATGCCCAGATAATTTTTACATTTTTCAAATAGATGGTGTCTTGCTATTTGCCCAGGCTGGGCTCAAACTCCTGGGCTCAAGGGATCCTCCTGACTTGGCCTCCCACAGCACTGGGATAACAGGTGTGAGCCTCCAGGCTATTTTGAGAGAAGTCTTGCACACCTACTTCAAAGAATTTAAATGAGAGAATGAATGTAAAGCAGTTAGCACGGGACCCGATGCTATAATAATAGTTATGATACTACTATTGTTGCCAGGCACAATGGCATCCTTACTCAGGAGGCTGAGGTGGTAAGACTGCTTGAGCCCAGTTCGAGACCAGCCTGGGAAACACAGCAAGATTCCGTTTCTTAAAAAAAAAAAAAAAGATACCTCATTCTTGGTTCCACAGCAGCAAGCTCCAACAAGAATTTATCCAGCACCAAATCTACATTGGTCCTGAACAACACAATCCAATCACCAACATACAAAACCAAAAAACCAAAAATATTTTATTGCTGAGTCATCCTGGGGTTCCATAAAGGACCCCAAGCCTTGCTTGGAGTCTATAGCTTTGCTAGGACTCCCATGACATCAGGATAGAGATTGAGGCACGGGGTCCTTTGGGTTCCGATTAAGGAACTATCTACTCTGATTCTGTTGATCTTATTAGTCCCTCCAGGTCACCTCTACTTCATCTGTCCGATACCTGTGGAAAAACAGAAGAAACATGGTGGAGAGCGAGCCCTTAACATCCTTCATTCTTCTCTGCCCTCATGTTCCTGGACTCTTCCCTGCTGTTTTTGTCTATGTCCCAATAATCTACCCTCACCAAGAGGTGAATCACTCACCTCTGTGTAACCCCAGAATCACTGAGTGGGGTCCTGTGTCCAGCCCGAAACATCTCCCAGCCAGCCTGGGCTATCATCGCTCCATTGTCAATACAGAATCTGGGATGCAAGAGAGATGAAAATTGGGATCTAAGGGTGGAAAATCACTATAACAGGAGAAGTAAAAAAGAAACCAAAGGGAAAGTGTCTTTACCTCTCATCTGTAGCAAAAAGCCGGGCTCCACGTTCCTGGCACATTGTTGCCATCATCTCCTGTAGCCTCACATTACCTACAAAGAGGCAGGGAACAGGATTAGCTTAGTTTTAGCCATCTCTTCATGGTCCAGCAGAACACGTCATGTGCACTCACTTAGAACAATGACATAGGGGATTAGGGGCAAGGATTGGGAAGCCTACTCCAAACGCTTAATGATTTAGAGTACCAGGAGGAAGACGCATAGTGTTAAGAATAGGAAAGAGGAACACTTTTCAATAATACATACACCCCACTCCTCCCACAATGAGGGCCTCCTGGGAGCCACAATGTGCCATGGCTCGCTCTGTGATCTCTACCAGCATTGCAAACACAGTTTCCTGTCAGGGACAGATAAGGAGAAAATATTAGAGGGGCATCCCAGATTAGTTCTGCTCTACAATATAAAACCTTCAGCCCCAACTTTCTGTCCCAGTTTTTTACTGCATTACCTGCAGGGAGAAACACAGATCCTCAGGAGTACACTCGCCTGTGGCCAGCATCCGATGGGCTACATCCTACAATTAAAGGGAAAAACAAAAGAATCAACAAATCATGGTTTTGGGATTACACGAGAGCAAAAATTAATGCATTCGGAGGGTCATCATGTTTCACCACAATTCAAGTTACCAGCACATCCTGTACCACATTCCCTTCACTGGCATCATGGCATAGAATGAGCAGCTTTCATTTAAGATGCAATCATTACTTTTTGAATACTTGTCCTGACATCTCTCACCCCTTACTTATCCTGCTTAATTTTTCACCTGTACTCATCATCATCTGGCACTTCATTATTTTCCTCTTTCTTATCTCCCCCGCCCCCCATTTAGAATCTAAGCTCCATGTAGACAGGGATTTTTGTTTTGCTCCATGCTGCATCTCTACTATCTAGAACAGCATGTGGCACACAGAGATATTCAATGAATACCTTCTAAATGAATTTACCCAGCACATGATATGGACCAGTACTGTGCTACATGAATATACTGAGCTATACGAAATATAATCGTAAGTAAAACAGATATGCTTCATTTAAAAAGCATGAAAGTGCCCGTCTCATCACCTCTCACACTCACCTCAATGAAAGACAGGATCCCTGAGAATGAGACGTCCATCCCCTTTACAGTGTATGGCAGCTCAACTAGCTTCTTGCCTCTATGTGGGAATAAGCGTACGAGGCACTAAGCCTACAGTCAGCTGGCTTCTCACCCTCCAAAGCCCGTCCCAAATTTTGTTAATATATACCGTATATGGGGAAATCCCTGAAGCCCCAGCAGCCAGCCTGCTTCCACCTTATGTCCCCTTACCGCTTTGCCATCTGTTCAATGTTGTATCCTGGACTTGGGTCGTTAGAAATCTAGCAGAAGAAAAAAATAAGGAAGGAGGGAATGGAAGAGGATGAAATCAGATATGCAGGAAGCATAAGAAGCTCATTTACTATTTCCTCCCTCCACCTCCATGGCTTCCCAAAAATTCACCCACATTTTATGTTCTCTGCAGCCCCACTGGCTTACCTTCAGCACTCGAGCAAAACGATCCAGACAATTACCCACTGCAATATCGATGGTTTCCCCAAAGATACGGTAACGATGTTCCGAGTATGCAATCACCTAAGGGTGATGAGGAAGTCCATGAAACCCCAAGTCTGTAAAGAGGATTATTTGGCTTTGGGAGAAAAACATAGCAGAGGATCAACATGACCACCAGGGCTTCCAATAAGAAGTGGAAGAAAGGTGTTTCCCAAATGGTGAATGGGTAGTTTTTACAGCTCTGATTTGAGAAGAAATCTGTATACCCTGAGGATTCCAGGAACAGATTCCTAGACAGTGTAGGTTCAGGCAGAAATAAATTGTCATTTCAAATACATTGGTTTTCCGGCTTAGAAGTTCCTAATATATCCCTTAAATGCAGTCTTGATAGTAGGTAACCGGCTTTTCTGCTTGGAGGCAGAGAACATGAATCCTTCTAAATTATGACACAGTGGCAGTGGTAATTTTTTTTTGAGACAGGGTCTCGCTCTGTCTCCCAGGCTGGAGTGGAGTGGTGTGATCATAGCTCACTGTAGCCTCCACCTCCTAGGCTCAAAGGATCCTCCCACCTCAGCTTCCTGAGTAGCTGGGCTACCATGTGTGGCTTATTTTTATATTTTTGTAGAGATGGGGGTCTCACTATGTTGCCCAGCCTGGTCTCAAACTCCTGGTCTCAAGCAATCTACCTGCCTCAGCCTCTCAAAGTGCTGGGATTATAGGTGTGAACCACCGTATGCAGCTGGGCAGTGGTATTTAGAACCAAGAAGCAGAGCTGAAGAACTCAAAAATCTCATATGGAGTCAGACTAATGGCCCAGCCAAGTCAGCAATGGCAATTCACTTAAGGCCATTTTTCTTTTCTTTTTTTTTTTTTTCTGAGACAGAGTCTTGTTCTGTCGCCTAGGCTGGAGTGCAATGGCGTGATCTCAGCTCACTGCAACCTCTGCCTCCCAGGTTCAAGCAATTCTCCTGCCTCAGCCTCCCAAGCAGCTGGAATTACAGGCACCCACCACCACTTTTTTGTATTAAGGCCGTTCTTCATATGTGACCAACTTTTAGCACAGAGAATATCTGTCCCTTACTGACACATATTCTGCAGACTTATAACACCGAGGGCTTCCTACGAACCTTAAGAAGTCCCTTTCCCTTCCCAGTGCTGTTAGGGATTTCTTCCCTTTCTGATACAGATCTTAATCTGCTGTCAAAAAGACAGTAACAAAGGCGAAGGAAAAATCCTGCCTTTCTGCTTCTGCTATCCACTCCTCTCCACCTAATCACCCTCCCTGTTTCTTACACCTAAGCAAACATTAAAAGAGAAGAGGAAGACAAAACCGTCACTGCTCCTTTCATCAACTCTTGTAGCCTCCATTATACTTTCCACAACCCAAGTCTCTGACCTTGTATGTCATCCTTCAGGCCTCAACCAACTACTTGCCCTCTACCTGCTGAAGTTTCTGCATCATTTTCATGGGAAACATGTGCCTCATCTTCTCGACACAACCCTTTCATGAGCTGGGGACAATGCTGAACTATTTCTAATGATAATCAAGTGTTCTGTTGGAAAAGAATCCAATCCCAACCTTAAAAAGGTCATATAAGGTAACCCAAACAACTTTAGCTTCACCTATAAATTTAAAATACCTTCTGGCCGGGCATGGTGGCTCACGCCTGTAATCCCAGCACTTAGGGAGGCCGAGGCAGGTGGATCACCTGAGGTCAGGAGTTCAAGACCAGCCTGACCAACAGGGTGAAATCCCGTCTCTACTAAAAACACAAAAAATTAGCCAGGTATGGTGGCGGGTGCCTGTAATCCCAGCTACTCGGGAGTAGAGAAGAATAGTTTGGACCCGGGAGGCAGAGGTTGCAATGAGCCAAGGTTGCATCATTGCACTCCAACCTGGACAATAAGAGCGAAACTCCATCTCAAATAAATAAATAAATAAATAAGATAAAATAAAATACCTTCTATAATTTACAAAGTATTTTTTAAAGTTATTTATATTTCTAAACTCTTAGAATAACAAAGTCTACATAATCATTCCCAGTAATATAAAAACAAAACATGTACTTGCCCCAAAATAATAAATCAGGTAGTGTCCTTTAGTTGTTTTTTTTTGTTTTTTGTTTGTTTGTTTGTTTGAGACGGAGTTTTGCTCTTGTTGCCCAGGCTGGAATGCAATGGTGCGATCTCGGTTCACCGCAACTTCCGCCTCCTGGGTTCAAGTGATTCTCCTGCCCAGCCTCCGGAGTTGCTAGGATTACAGGCACCTGCCACCACATCAAATTAATTTTTGTTATTTTTAGTACAGATGGGGTTTTGCCACGTTGGCCAGGCTGGGCTCAAACTCCTGACCTCAGATGATCCACCCGCCTCGACCTCCCAAAGTGCTGGAATTACAGGCATGAGTTGCCATACCCAGCAACTGTTAGTTTCAATTGCTAAGATTTATAGAAAAAATAAGCTTCAAAATAATGCAAGAGCTTTCAGATATTCATTATTTTGAAGATTTCAATCCTTTTCAATCCCATTCATTCCTTTCCTGAAGTAGAAATTCCTAATCTTTATAATCAGATATAAAGTCTGATAATGATAAGCCATCTAATGTTCTGATCATGCTGCCAAAATTTGCAATGTTACAAACTCTGTTGGGGGTTTTCTGGTCTACAGTATTTTAGGTTCAGATAAGTCCATCTTTGTTCCTGACATTCCCATGACTCAGATAGAACAAAGAAAATACTGGTTCAGTGCCTCAGAAATTGAGATGGAGTGGGTAGAGCCCTCTAAATACCTGCGTATTTCCTCCACTCACATACAACACGGTTGGGCTGGTGGCTCCAGTGATGAGGCGGCCCATCTCAATGTGGCCTATACAGTGGTTCACACCCACCAATGGCTTATTCCACAGTTGGGCCACAGTACGGGCCACAACAGCCACAGAAACCAGTGGGGCACCCATGCCAGGGCCTAGGGAGATAGAAATGGAAGTTATAATCCTAGAGATTGGAAAAAAACAATAGTGGGGGACATAAGGGATGTGAGGTGGGGTAGGGGTAGTGATGGTGGCAGAGGTAAGGTGTTGGCTATTTTGACCTAGCCAGGTTGCAGGTATATTCCTCCATCGTTGACCACTCTCCCAGCCATACCCTTGGTGTATGCAATGCAGTCGATATCCTGGGAGGTTAATCCAGACTCTGTTAGTGCCTCCTGCAGCAGGTCTAGGATAACAGCTCGGTGATGCCTGGCTGTATCACCTGGAAGGAATCCTAGAAAATGAACATAGGTCAGAGATCACAGGGATTTTCTGTAGCAAAGGTAGGTAGGAAGTTAAAGAAAGCAACAGGAGTTTTAGTGATGTAGTAAGAGTCCTTTCACTTTCCCCAAGCATCCTATCTTCCACATTTTCACATCTACTCTTTCCGGCTTCTATATAGGCTATTCAACTTTCAGAAATGCTCTTCTTCTTACCCTACTCAGCCTTCAGGTCTCAATGCAAGTAGTATCTACCTCATACCCTTTCGTGATCTTTTTTTTTTTTTTTTCTTTTGAGACAGTCTCAGCTCTGTCACCCAGGCTGGAGTGCAGTGGCACGATCTCGGCTCACTGCAACCTCCACCTCCTGAGTTCAAGAGATTCTTCTGCCTCAGCCTCCTGAGTAGCTGGGACTACAGGCGACACCACCACGCTCAGCTAACTTTTGTATTTTTAGTAGAGACGGGGTTTCACCATATTGGCCAGGCTGGTCTCGAACTCCTGACCTCGTGATCCGTCTGCCTCGGCCTCCCAAAGTGCTGGGATTACAGGCCTGAGCCACCGTGCCTGGCCTTTGGTGATCTTCTTTCTCTGTGACCCTACAGAACTCTATGCATGATGATGTCATTTATTTAACATAACAATTACAGCATTATAATTTTCTGTGGTTTGCTCAGCTTAATCATGAATATCTCAAAGCATTGAGTATTTTATTTATCTTTGTATTCCCAGTGCCCAAGTGCCCAGAGGAGTGAATGCTAAACATACATATATATTTCTAGTGAGTATCTGTCACAACATCACCTGTTCAGGGAGGCTTTTCAGATACATGCAAGTCAGCTGCCCTCTCCTATGTATGCAAGTGTTTGAGGGGAGAGTAGCAAGATATAATAGCTTATTTAAAATATCAATTAAAAGTTGTAATGTGTTTTGTACTTTTTTTTTTTTTGAGACAGAGTTTCACTCTTGATGCCCAGGCTGGAGTGCAATGGCACCATCTCGGCTCACTGCAACCTCTGTCTCCCGGGTTCACGCAATTCTCCTGCCTCAGCCTCCCAAGTAGCTGGGTTTACAGGCATGCGCCACCACGCCCAGTTAATTTTTTGTATTTTTTAGTGGAAACATGGTTTCTCCATGTTGGTCAGGCTGGTCTCGAACCCCGACCTCAGGTGATCTGCCTGCCTTGGCCTCCCAAAGTGCTGGGATTACAGGCGTGAGCCACCACGCCCAGCCGTGTTTGGTACTTTCATCTAATCTTCAAGACCTAATGATACAGGTATTATTCCCATTTTAAAAACAAAGACCAGGCCCGAGCGGTGGCTCATGCCTGTAATTTCCACACTTTGGGAGGCTGGGGTGGGCGGATCATCTGAGGTCAGGAGTTCGAGACCAGCTTGGCCTGGTGGAAACCCCGACTCTACTAAAAATACAAAATTTAGCTGGATGTGGTGGCGCACACCTATAGTCCTAGCTACTTGGGAGGCTGGGGTAGAAGAATCGCTTGAACCTGGAAGGCAGAGATTGCAGTGAGCCGAGATCGTGCCACTGCATTCCAGCCTGGGCGACAGAGCAAGACTCTGTCTCAAAAAAATAAAATAAAATAAAAAATAAAGACCAAATGTCCAAAACAAAAATATTTAATATGAATATAGCAAAGCCAGCCAGTTCTGTCTGACATGTAAGCCGGGAGTCTTTCCACTCTCATCTCTCTACTCATCCTAGAATATTTCAAAAAATAATTTTTTTTTAAAAAGGGAGTGTATATTCAGGGCAACTGGAATCTATACTCCTGCTAAGCGTTTTTTAAACAGAATATTTCGAGTCCATCTCTATTATACTGTTTATCATGCTGTAGTATAAACATCTATTTATATGTCTGACTCCACAGCAGTATAACATCTATTTCTGAATACTTAGCACATAAAATGCGCTCAGTAAAAGGTAAATGAACTCATCAGATCCACGTCCAAGTGCCTGTAACTCTTCTAGTCATCAGCCTTGTGACGTTAATAATGTCACATAATTTCAATGAGACTCGGATCGAAAGCTGCACCTCACTAGTATTTAGGAAGATGGAAGGCTGATTCTGTGCGGGGAAGTGCGCGGAAAACTCTTAAGTCCCCTACTCACCAACCTGTGCCAGGAGGCGTGACGTAAGTCCGCCGCGGGTTCGCCAGCACCTTGCCATCCCGCACCACGCCCACGCCAATCTTATTGGCGCTGCCTTCAAAACCCAGCACCGCCGGCATGGCGGAGGCTGGGAGAAAACGCCGACAGGACTCCTGGCAATGTCAGGAGCTGTGGAGGTCCTCACTAGTCCGCGCTGGGCCGCAGCTTTCCGGAGCGCAGAGGAAGCTGGCCAGCCTGCAGATAGCACTGGGAAAGACACCGCGGAACTCCCGCGAGCGGAGACCCGCCAAGGCCCCTCCAGGGACCTGTCTTCCTAACTGCCAGGGACGCCGAGCCAACTCTGTGCCTTACATTCGTATCCGTTTTCCTATCTCTTTCCCGTGGTCCAGCCCAGCCTTCTCCACTGTTTTTTTCCCTCTTGCACATAGTTAGAATCTTAAGTCAGTGTCACACAATGTGCTGTGCATCTGGCACAACGATAAACAGCCCGAGGGAGGGTTGGGGACCTAAGTGTCCTAGAGAATTAGAGGAGGGAGGCGAGGCTAAGCGTCTCCGTCACGTGGTGTCAGACAGACCAATCACGCGCATTCTTCGGCCACGACAAGCGCGCCTCTGATCACGTGACCAGGTCCGCTACCCACGTGGGGGCTCAGCGTGCACCCTTCTTTGTGCTCGGGTTAGGAGGAGCTAGGCTGCCATCGGGCCGGTGCAGATACGGGGTTGCTCTTTTGCTCATAAGAGGGGCTTCGCTGGCAGTCTGAACGGCAAGCTTGAGTCAGGACCCTTAATTAAGATCCTCAATTGGCTGGAGGGCAGATCTCGCGAGTAGGGTACAAGGCACTATGAAATGATCTAGTTTCGTGGGTGAGGGGCTGAAGGGCCTATGATGCACGGAGGCGGGGAAAGGATTTAGAGATAACGTGGTTTGAAAGGCGGGACCTGGTGCGGGGACGCTCTTGGGAGGAGTCTTCTCCCCAGCCTTAGCTGGTTTCATGATTTCTTTGCGTCTGTAGGCAACGCGGTAAAAATATTGCTTCGGTGGGTGACGCGGTACAGCTGCCCAAGGGCGTTCGTAACGGGAATGCCGAAGCGTGGGAAAAAGGGAGCGGTGGCGGAAGACGGGGATGAGCTCAGGACAGGTAAGGGAATGAAATCAGCCCTTCTTCCTAGAAGCTGCGGCGGGGGTGTTTGTCATTCCCTTGATGTACGGTAAGTACGGGCCGACTCATTTTTGCAGGGGTTTGTGAAGAAGTCGCAGGAACCGTAGGCTTTCGTTGGGTCTATAGTTAACGCCGGATCGCAGTTGGAAACCACCAGCTTTTTGTCAGTATATATTACTCATTTTATAGAGCCAGAGGCCAAGAAGAGTAAGACGGCCGCAAAGAAAAATGACAAAGAGGCAGCAGGAGAGGGCCCAGCCCTGTATGAGGACCCCCCAGATCAGAAAACCTCACCCAGTGGCAAACCTGCCACACTCAAGATCTGCTCTTGGAATGTGGATGGGCTTCGAGCCTGGATTAAGAAGAAAGGATTAGATGTGAGTGGAATTTGAGGGAAAGAGACATTTTTTAGTATTGAATGGTCTTAGGGTTTAGTCACCCCTTTTCTCCGTTTAGCCTTCAGGCTGTTTTATTTTTCTCCTGCCCGTAGTTTTCTGTGGGGCTTCCCCAGTCTTGCCAGTTGTATTTCCTAAATGTCTGTTCCTTCACTTCCATTGCCATTTTCTTTTTTAGTGTTCTCTCCTCTTCCCAGAATGTTGCAAAAACCTCTTCACTATACTTCCTCCATTTTATCTTCCTGCATTGCATTCCATATGAAGCATGTCCTCCATTCCATTAACCATAGCTTAAAAATCTTAGCTTGCTATCCACTGCCTATAGAAAAAACACATCTCCTTGGCATAGCATGTAAGACTTTCTTACCTCTCTATATTTGTTTTCATTTATCTAGCTTAGAATTGTTTGAATATTGTGCTGCTTGACTCGAACTCCTTAGGCCAAGAGACTGTTTAACCCGTGCGTATCTATGACTTAGCATATAGATTATTCAATAAATGTTCTGCTGAATTGATAATACGTTTTCCACCTTTCTTTTCACTTACAGTGGGTAAAGGAAGAAGCCCCAGATATACTGTGCCTTCAAGAGACCAAATGTTCAGAGAACAAACTACCAGCTGAACTTCAGGAGCTGCCTGGACTCTCTCATCAATACTGGTCAGCTCCTTCGGACAAGGAAGGGTACAGTGGCGTGGGCCTGCTTTCCCGCCAGTGCCCACTCAAAGTTTCTTACGGCATAGGTGAGACCCTATTGATGCCTAATGCCTGAACTCTTCAAAACCAATTGCTAATTCTCTATCTCTGCCCCACCTCTTGATTGCTTTCCCTTTTCTTATAGTTTTTTATGCTAATTCTGTTTCATTTCTATAGGCGATGAGGAGCATGATCAGGAAGGCCGGGTGATTGTGGCTGAATTTGACTCGTTTGTGCTGGTAACAGCATATGTACCTAATGCAGGCCGAGGTCTGGTACGACTGGAGTACCGGCAGCGCTGGGATGAAGCCTTTCGCAAGTTCCTGAAGGGCCTGGCTTCCCGAAAGCCCCTTGTGCTGTGTGGAGACCTCAATGTGGCACATGAAGAAATTGACCTTCGCAACCCCAAGGGGAACAAAAAGAATGCTGGCTTCACGCCACAAGAGCGCCAAGGCTTCGGGGAATTACTGCAGGCTGTGCCACTGGCTGACAGCTTTAGGCACCTCTACCCCAACACACCCTATGCCTACACCTTTTGGACTTATATGATGAATGCTCGATCCAAGAATGTTGGTTGGCGCCTTGATTACTTTTTGTTGTCCCACTCTCTGTTACCTGCATTGTGTGACAGCAAGATCCGTTCCAAGGCCCTCGGCAGTGATCACTGTCCTATCACCCTATACCTAGCACTGTGACACCACCCCTAAATCACTTTGAGCCTGGGAAATAAGCCCCCTCAACTACCATTCCTTCTTTAAACACTCTTCAGAGAAATCTGCATTCTATTTCTCATGTATAAAACTAGGAATCCTCCAACCAGGCTCCTGTGATAGAGTTCTTTTAAGCCCAAGATTTTTTATTTGAGGGTTTTTTGTTTTTTAAAAAAAAATTGAACAAAGACTACTAATGACTTTGTTTGAATTATCCACATGAAAATAAAGAGCCATAGTTTCAGCCTTGCTGTCTTCGTGTCTTACCCCTTCGTGGGGCTACACATTCTCTTCCTCATATTTTCATGCACACAAGTTAACAACTGAAAAAGCGTAGAGTCATGACCTTATTTATTTACAAGCACAGGATAAGTCCCTAACCTCCCCCAAAGACTGAGCAACCCTACCCAGCCCAGTTAAATACTGCAACTGGGGGGGTAAAAAAGGTCGGGAGGAGGAATTAAGGGAAATACAGGAATAGGGGAACATATCCCACATTAAATAGTTATATACACATCAGTTCCTGTGGTTCTGTACAGAGCAGCGGCTGACCCCACCCCCACAGGACACAATGTGGGGAGAGGAGACTGAGGGTACTGAGGCCAGAGCCAACCTCTGGTGAAGTGCAATAGCAGCAGCAAAGTCCTAATGGTGCACAAGAGGGAGGGGAACCCCCAGGGCTACCCACCCCCACCCTGCCCTGGAATGTGTAAGGGACAGGAATGGCTCTCAGGGAGCACACAGGAAGGACAAGGCTGGAACCGTCTTCAGGGCCCAGTTTTAAGGGCAACGTTTTGCCTACTTCACCCTAGACACAGCAACCCTTGGAGGAAAGCAGATGGTCAGCAGTGCTCTTATCTGCCCCTCCAAACCTAAGTGAGGGCCTGGTTCCTTCCTACCTCTCCCCAGGGAAAAGGAAGGCAGCTGCTTGGCTTCCTTCTAGAAGCCCCGGGAGCCTTTAACTACCCCAGCTCCCTTCGTAGTGTCACTGTCCCCACCAGGGAGGGGCCAGGCACAGTCTGTGGGTCATCAGGCTCAGGAGAAGTTCTGGACAGGGTGGCTGACCTTCATACAGGCCCAATAAAGAGCCCGGCCCAAACACAGCACAGCCAACAGGATGACAAATGCCCAGGCTGCATAGATGCCTCCATATCGCCGTGCATGCTTCCATGTGCCAAACTGATGAAGATAAGGAGGGAGAAGAAAAGAAAGATGGGGTTAATGTTGGTCTCCACTACCTCCTATTAGTTCTAAGAACAGTAATAACTCACGCTTCAGTCCTTGTTCCTTATCCACATGTAGCCACCCTCAGGGACCTTCTTAAAGGCAGAGCTGATCAGCTTCCTTCCCTTAGGCGTAACATACTCATCCCATCCCACACTGTATCTCAGTTTTTCTTAATATCTGACAACTGAGCCAGGTTTGAAAAATAGCAACTCTTAAATTAAGAATTTCACTGTCCTATCCTCATCCTACAGAGAAAGGAAGGCTGTTTTTCACTCTTGTAGTAGTAATAAAGTCTGTTTGATCAGCCACTTTGCACTTTAGCTCATCCATATCTTAAAACAAAACAAACTAGTCCCCCAAGTTTCTTCCACTTTTTTTTAGGGTAGCAGTTTCCCAAATCTTAGCCTATGGAGATGAGGCTGCAGAATGAAAGAGGTTGGGGCAAGGGTACTCACGGCAAGGCCAGTGGCAGTGACTGCCAAAAGCAAGCCAAGCAAGAAGCAGCAGATACATCTCTTACGTGGGTATCTGCGCCCAATAGATGACCTGTGGGGAGGCAAATAGAAATGGATGCTTTCTATGGCCTTGTAGTTTTTACTCCATACATCAATTACCAGCTCAATCCCTAATCACTTACACTTTCCTGCAGTGAGGACAACGTGCCAAAGTGCGGTCTGTGAACTCTGTCCACTATGGAGAAAGAAAACAAAAATAATAGCACAAGCAGGGTCTCCCTCAATGAGAACCTTGGGGTGGGGATGCAGAACATGTTCCCATAGGACAGACCTTTCAGGGGTCATTACCATTACTCTAAGAAATATACTCGAAATGACTCTTAGTCTCCTTTCCCCTCCCCTTCCCAATACCCCTTCCTCACCAGAAAAGTATTCTTGCAATGTCCACAGATAACCCTGACACCCATGGGTTGGGGTTCTGGACTCAGAGGTCCGGGATGCACAGGCCCCAGGTTGATGATTCTTTTGCTATACAAAAGAAAAAGACTTGTATTTTCAAACTTGTGTTTGAAAAATTTTTAATCCTAAAAATCTTCACAGTCCCTGTTCCACATCCCCCACTCCCTGTCTATTAAGTCACTCGACTTCTCTGTACTTAAGATACTCTGTCCCCCAACTGTATACCCTCAAGAATCCTTGAGAAAGAAAGAGCACTGTTTAAACTTCAGGTCCCCAATTCCCCTCCGACCTCAGGATAACACACCCAGTCCCCAAGGCTCTCTATTCTCCGAAACGACATCATTTCATCTCAATATTTTTATTGAGAAACGAGAAAGACAGCTATAACATTCCTGAGGCACATGCTTCAAAGCCTTTTCTCCTAAATAAACACTAGGCTCTCTCACCTTTACATTCTCTGTATACGCTCATCCTTTTTTGACTTTCCAGTTCCCCACTTAGGCCCTTCCCCACCTTATGCCTCTTACCAGTAGGGCCGAGGGCATGCAATCCGTTGGGATGTCACTTTGCAGATAAGGAGACAGTTACAGGGGCATCGAACATATTTTTTCCCTGGGGGTGCATTCTTGATTGGCTAGAGAATAATAGGGTCATCAGCAAGCAAACCTCTAATCCCAATCCCCTCCACTTCCCTCCAAAAACACTTTATGAGATCAGAAAAATAAGGTGCTAACCAGGAAGGAGAAATAAAAGAAAGACTATATCATGAGATTTGCAAATAGGAACTAGGCTAGGTGTAAAAGTGAGAGAAAGTGAACATTAGCTTTGGTGAGTGGCTTCTGGGGAAATGGCTGTGTGAGACACCTGGAACTGAAACCTGGGTATCATCAAAAGCACTTGGCTAATAGCCGGAAGGTCAGGGTCTAGAACCAAGACATCAGAAAGAGGATCCAGGAAACAGGGCCCATTTCATAGATATGTGTAACTCACGGTGGCTTCATTGCAGACACCACATTTGACTACATGCTGATGCATCTTGCCTTCCACGTTGATGAGAGATTGGCAGACTCGGCAGGTGATCATAGGGGCACTCCCACTGTCCGGGCTAGTTAAGGGTGAATAGGGGGGTGGGTCCTCCCCAGGCAACACGGCTGGATGCCCCTCGGGAAACGGGGGAAATGCTGGAGAGGAAGCAAATAGAAGGGCTGGGATCACTTACACCCCCACTGATGCTCCACGGTGGTAGGGAAGTCCTTCTGATCTTCAACCCTCTGACCAAGCTCGGAGGGCTTCTCATAATTGGCACTTCTATCAGGTTGCTCAGAACCCCCTTCCGTCCCTAGGCTGTGGTCGCGATTACGGAGGGAAGGAAGCCTCGCCCAGTCACAGGTGCAGCAGTCCCGCACCTGGCGACTGGGACCCGCCTCCGCCCTCGGTCCCGCCCCCTCCCCGGCTTTCAGAGTACCCCGGGGAGCACCTCGGACCCGCCCCGGCTTACCCTGGGGCGGGGCATGTTTACCGGCTCCGTACGGTGGTGCGGAGGGGGTCAGGCCTCCCCCGGGCCCAGCCCCACTCCCGCCGGGCCCCACTAAACCGTTGCCGCCCGCGCCACCGTCGATGGGCTCAGACAGCAGCGGGGAACGCTCTCCATCTGCCGCCATGGCCGCCACCGCCGCCTCCCGCTCAGGTCGGCGATCCGGCTCCCTTCGCCTCTGCCGTCGCCGCAGCCACCGCCACCGCCGCCACCGCCACCGCCGCTACCGGGTCCCCAGGGCGCCTGCGCGCCGCGCGCCCAGCTCACTCCGCAACCAGTGGCCTGCCCCGCCCCGTTCCGTCTAGCAGCACGTGATAGGCTATCCCCGCCCGGGTCATGCTATTATTCGCGTAGATAAACCAATTCCTGGTCCTGTGAAGGCAGCTCTCCTTTTCCATTGGGGAGCGACGCACAAACGTCAACTGTCACATGACCTGCCAGATGCTGCTGGGCTTGCAAAACCTGCACGTGACTAGAGGTTCTGCAAGCTATTGGGAGCGACGCCCATCGCGCTACCTCCAGACCAGGAGGTAGGGCTAGGCTGCGTCTGCTCAACTGGTCACGTGTTTCTGGAAGCTGCACGGTCCCTGTTGCTCTGCTCCTCATTGGTTCAAAGACACCACTAAAACACTTTTCTCCGGCTTTGCGTTGTAGCTGGTTTCCTATTGGCTGGTGACTTTACTTCTTTCGTCCTGTGATCCTAGCGGCGCAACTGCATTGGCCCGAACTTAGCGCCAGAACATGGGGGGCGTGGCTTATGCATTTTAAAGGAGGCTGGGCGGGTGCAATAAAGGAGTGCGGAAGCTTGGGATCTTCTGAGCGGGGAGAAAATGGACGGTGGGGAACAGTAGACAAAGTTAGCTGTTCTACTCAAAGAAGTACCTTTAAAAAGTCAGAGTAATGAGGTACCAGAAGGAAATGGATTAAAAAGTTAAGATTATCACTCCAGCCTTTGTCGCTAGAGTCACTTTCAGGACAGGACACAAGACTGGGTTTTCCTGGAAGCTGTCCTTACAGAGCCCCGTCTTTCCCCATTGCTGATCAAATTGTTAAATTATCTTTTCATTAGTGTCTCCACTACTAGAAGATTTCATCGTTTTACTAAAAAAAAAAAAAAAAAAATTCAATAGAGATGGGGTCTTGCCTATGCTGGACTCAAACTCCTGAGTTTGATCTCCTGCCTAAGCCTTCCCAGTAGCTGGGACTACAGGGACAAGCCACCGTGCCTTTACTCAGTTTTATGACCACCAACCTTTAACATACGCACAAGTTTGTAGATTGGATTAATCAAATACAAGGTTATTTTCGTCACCTTATTTGACAGATGGGACAGTCTTTAGGCCTGTCTCAACTTTGCTTCCAGCAAAGGGGCAGTGCCTCCTCCCCTACCTGAAGTCTCGTGTGGTCTTTATGGGCGCCTGAACCACACCTGGATTTTTTCCCAAGTCATAGCCCAAACTGGGACTGCTTTAAATATGGGAAGCAACAAGGAATTGATAAAAACAATAAACCCCGAGGAGGTCCATTATCAGTTTGGCTAGCAGACTCTCCACTAAGAAAGGAAGTGCATCAAAGAAAGTACAGCCAGCCCCAAATATGTAATAACAAAGGAACTGCAGATGTCCCAGCACTTGGCTGCTACAGGGGCTGGAGACTTCACCTAGGTCCTGATTTTTTTAGACAGGGTTTTCTCAGGCCAACTTCTACTTGGAAGCTAGTAACCTTCGACCAGTTAGATAAGAGCCCCTAACAGACACTTAAAGAACTAAGGAAGCTCCAGATACAAAATAGGGAAGAGGTTGTAGCTCCATAGAGGGAGGCCAGTCTGCTGCTTTTTCTGCTGTTTGTGGCACACAGATGCTCAAGCATTGTCTGGGGTTGGAGTAGGATCCATTATTTGCGCCCTAGTTACACATATATTCCAAAAACTGTCCTAAAAATATTTTTTAAATATCTACACTTTGTGAAAGACACTCCTTAAAAAAGCTTACACTCTGGGTAGGGAGACAGAATAGTGTAAACATTGACAGTATAACATATCAGGTCAGGAGTGGTGGCTCATGCCTGTAATCCCGGTGTTTTGGGAGGCTGAGGTGGAGGATTGCTTGAGCCCAGGAGTTCAAGGTTACAATGAGCCATGATCTAAACCTGGGCAACAGAGCAAGATCGTGTCTCAAAAAAAAAAAAAAAAAAAAGAAAATCAGCACTAGTATTTTATTACATGGAAAAATATCAATACTAGAAATTCATGATACAGCACATGCTTCATAATAAAAGAATTAAACAATGTAATTCAAGTTCAAGAAAAGAAGAGATCACTTCTAGCTAGAGCAGCCAGAGAAAACTTCTAAAACATAAAGAAAAATGAGTATTGTGCATGGATAACTAGGATCTGAGCTCTGTGTTGTTGAGTAGATCAATAGGCAGAAAAATGCAAAAAGTAATCATAATATTTGGAACTTGCTCACAGTTAATAAAGCATTTTTTTTTTTGAGACAGAGTCTCACTCTGTCGCCAGGCTGGAGTGCAGTGGTGTGATCTCTGCCCACCTCCCGGGATCAAGCGATTCTCCTGCCTCAGCCTCCCGAGTAGTTGGGATTACAAGTGTGTGCCACCACACCCAGCTAATTTTTGTATTTTTAGTAGAGATGGGGTTTCACCATGTTGGCCAGGATGGTCTCAATCACTTGAACTCGTGATTCACCCGCCTCGGCCTCCCAAAGTGCTGGGATTACAGGCGTGAGCCACTGTGCCCGGCCAATAAAGCACATTCATAGTTATATTCATTTTATTTCAGAACCCACTGTGATGTGGACAGGGAAGGCAAGACTATATCTTTATTTTACAGATGTGGAAACTGAGGCTGTGTAAACTGGAGTCATTTAAGCTAAGTGACAGATTGAAATGGAGCTCTAAATCCCCGTCTTCTGACTTATGATCTAATATTTTACATTCAAATAATTTGATAGGTAGATTGAAAGGGACAGAAGCACAGAAGTGGCAGAGAGAAGGTGCTTGGGATGAGCCCCCTTTTATGCTAAATGCCTGGAACATAGAAGCTGCTTGATAGATGGCTCTCTAATTAATTAATGAAGTAACTTAAGCCCCATCTTGGGATAAATTTGCTGGGTACTGAACAATATTGTTAGCTGCAGTTGCAAGCAGGGAGGATATTCAGCTGGGGCACTACAGGGTGGCTGGCATTGGTTGTTTATGGCGCCATTGGTTCTGATTGGTTGGTACCTGTATTTTACAGATAAGCCATTTTAATATTATCTCTGGTAAATATTGAGTGTCTCAGGTATTGCCTGATTTTTACCTATGGGGTGGGATCTTCTCACTTAGATTGAGAACAGTTAGGCTATTGAGGTGTATTAATTTGCTAGGACATAAAAAACACTATAGATAGCATAAACGACAAACATTTATTTTCTCACAGCTCTGGAGTCTGGAAGCCCAAGATCAAGATATTGGCAGGTTTGCTTTCTCCTGAGGCTTCTCTCCTTAGCTTACAGATGGCCACCTTCTCACTGTGGCATAAATGGCCTTTTCTCTACACACATTTTTGCTTTCTCTTCCTCTTTCTCTTCTTTTTCCGTGCTTTTAGAGACAGGGTCTCACTCTGTCACCCAGGCAGGAGTGCAGTGGTGCAGTCATAGTCTGTGGCGGCCTTGAACTCCTGGGCACAAGCAGTCCTGCCACCTCAGTCTCCCAAGTAGCTGGGATGACAGGTGCATGCCACCATGCCTAGCTAATATTTTAATTTTTTGTAGAGACAGGGTCTCACTATGTTGCCCAGGCTGGTCATTGGTCTCTAACTCCTGGGCTCAAGTGATCCTCTTGCTTTGGTGTCCAAATGCTGGGATTACAGGTGAGCACCACCCTGCCTGGCCTCTCTTCTTCTTATGAGAACAACAGTCTTATTGGATTGTGGCCCCACCATTATGACCTCATTTAAACTTAATTACCTTTTTAAAGGACTTATCTCCAAATATAGTCACAATGAGGATTAGAGCGTCAATATAAGAATTTGGGGGAACACACTTCATTGTGTTATATAATAGAATAGATTTCAAAGCATTTTTTTCTTTAGATTTCCAACAAAGTGATAACTAGTACAGTGTGTACATGGCCAGAGGATGGGGTGGAAAACATCTGCTTGGCTTCTATGACCCAAAGTGTCCCAATCTGATTTCTTTTTTTTCACATATTCCACATGCCCTATTTCTTTTTTCCTCTTTCCTGAAGTGGTAATTTACCACCTGTGTGAAAACAACACAATCCCTTACTGCATTTCAAAGGCACAGAAAGTTTCTGGTAATGTGCAGAGTGAGTTAACTAAGACGAGGGGTAGTTTGCCGGGGGTTGGGTGGGATTGGGTAGGGTGTGACCTGGTTTTAAAGAATTAATTTACGTTAATTACATTGGGACTTTGCTCCCTTGTGCTCCTTGCTCTTCCTGGGCCTCAGTTCTTTGCTCTTTCCTTTAGGGAATTCCTGGCTTCCCTTTCTAGGAGCCAAGGTCTTTGGAATAGAGGGTGGTAGGCCAGTCCTTTATCTCTGCTCTGTTCTTCCTGCCACTGAGTGAGGCACAGATGGAAGTCTCACTCTTAGAAAAGAGAAATAAAAGTGATCCCTATAACAGAAAGAGAAGGGCTGGATGTGCTGGTTCATGCCCATAATCCCAGTACTTTGGGAGGCTGAGGTGGGAGGATCACTTGAGCCCAGGAGTTTGAGACCAGCCTGGGCAACATGAAGATACCCCATCTCTAAAAAAATAAAAATAAAAAATAGGCGAATGCGGTGGTGCGTGCCTGTAGTCCTAGCTACTTGGGAGGCAGAGGAAAGAGGATCGCTTGAGCCTAGGAGATTGAGGCTGCAGTGAGCTGAGATTGAGCCACTACACTCCAGCCTGGGTGGCAGAGCGAGACCCTATCTAAAAACAAACAAACAAACAACAACAAAAAAAAAACAGGGAAAAACCCTAAAATGTTTTAATTTCAGTAATTGGAGAAAATGGAAGACCAAAGATTATGGTGATAAGGGGAGTAGATATTTTATTTTATTTTTTGAGATAGGGTCTCACTCTGTCACTCAGACTGGAGTGCAGTGGCTCCATCACAGCTCACTGCAGCCTTGACTTCCTGGGCTCAGGTGATTCTCCTGCCTCAGCCTCCCTAGTAGCTGGGACCACAGATGCCACCACACCTGGCTAATTTTTGTATTTTTTGTAGAGATGAGACTTCACCATGTTGCTCAGGCTGGTCTCAAACTCCTGGGCTCAAGTAATCCTCCTGTCTTGGCTTCCCAAAGTGCTGGGATTACAGGTCTGAGGCACTGTGCCTGGCCAGGGATAGATATTTTTAAAACCGCATATTTAGCTTGTGATCTAGAGAGAATAAGAGATCTCAGTTGAGAGGGCAGGAATAAAATACGTTCCACAAGGCAATACTGAGTGACTTAGAACCTATTCCTGCCACTTTTTTTTAGTTTCCTTGATCTTGCGGGTGGAGGGTAAGTGTGTTACTAAGTATGTTCCTGGACAAGGAGTCCCTCTGAAGATAGAAGTGATGAGAAGATAGAAGAAAAGGTAATAAGGCATTAATGAACTCTAATCACACTAAGATTGATGATCGTCTGGTTCCTGTCTATAGGAATGCTACAGGAACTCTTTTACCCTAAAAGTAAATAATAAAGCACAGTTCCAGTTTCTTTTATGTGGATACAAGGTGGCAGTGACTAGAAAAGATAAGAACAGTGCTGTGCTCTAGCATAAAAACGTAATTATGCTATGCAATATGGTAGCCACTAACCACATGTGACTATCGAGAAGTTACAATGTAATTAGTATGATTAGGTAACTGAATTATTTTTATTATATTTCATCTTAATTAATTTTATTACTTTTAAATAGCCACACATGGCTAGTGCCTTCTGTTTTGAACAGTGTGGGATTCATTGGTATTGATAGGCTGGATATACCTCTAGTTTTTATTTTGATTCAATTTATGGTTAGGTGAGTCTAGAAAGAACAAAAGAGAAAGAGACAATGGAGATTAATCATAATAGCCAGCATTTAATGTGTGCTTATTATATATCCAGGCATTTACCTAAACATGTAAAAGGTATTCTGTATAATCCTTGCAAAAATACTAAGATTATTGCTATTTTACAGATGAAAAAATTGAAGCATAATAAGAATTTTACTTGCCTAGAATCACACGAGTAAATAAGGGGTGAAGATGGCATTCATACACAGGTAGTTTTATTAGAGCCCATTCATTTACACTACATAGATTCAGGAATGAGGTGGCATGGAGTGACTGGGGCCATGGTTCCCAAACTGTGCCAAAGTACAAGCTCACAAGGGTATTGTGGAATATTTTTAATTTTCAGAGGAAACACAGCAATATTTTATATTTCTTAAACACTGTGTGACCTATTAACTTGAGGTGATTCACAGTTGGAACATTAGATTGTGCTACATTCCTTTTGATGACAATATATCTGGCCAGGTGTGGTAGCTCATGCCTATACTCTCAGCACTTTGAGAGGCCGAGGTGGGCAGATCAGTTGAAGTCAGGAGTTCAAGGCCAGCTTGGCCAATATGGCAAAACCCCGTCTCTACTAAAAATACAAAAATTAGCCAGGCATGGTGGCAGGCACCTGTAATCCCAGCTACTCGGGAGGCTGAGGCAAAAGAATGGCTCAAACCCAGGCAGCAGAGATTGCAGTGAGGCAAGATCGTGCTACTGTACTCCAGCCTGGGTTACAGAGTGAAACCCTGTCTCAAAAATATATATATATATAAAGACAACATATCTTTACAAAAGATGGTTTTAGAAGGTCCCTCTGATAAAAATTAAGTATTAAGTAAAAAAAAAAAGTACTGTGTAAAAATCAGCATGGAACAGAAAATGAGGGTGGCAGCATTGGATTCCTGCATGTGAGAAGTTGAGTAGTGCCAAACAGATGTACATATCCCGTAAGTAACTGTTTGTGGTTATTTAAGAACGAAATTTTTTTTTCAATTTGTGTGCATTGTTATTTTCAAAGTGCTAGTAAGTTCTCAGGAACCAGCTACTCACTCTGTTGCCCAGGCTGGAGTGCAATGGTGTGATCTCAGGTCACTGCAACCTCCACCTCCCGGGTTCAAGCCATTCTCCCTGCCTCAGCCTCCCAAGTAGCTGGGATTACAGGCGCCTGCCACCACGCCCAGCTAATTTTTTGTATTTTTAGTACAGATGGGGTTTTGCCTTGTTGGCCAGGCTGGTCTCCGACACCTGACCTCAGGTGATCCACCCACCTCGGCCTCCCAAAGTGCTGGGATTACCGGCGTGAGCCACCGCGCCTGGCCTTTATATATAAATTTTTTTTTAATTTTTTAAATTAAAAATTAAATGTAAATTTAATGTAAAAATGTAAATTAAATGTAAAAATTAAATTGTAAATGTGGGCAGAAGTAATAGTTGTATTCTACCAAAGACACGCTATTTATGTTATATTCTGGTACCCGTGTATTCCGATAACAGAATTTTCTTCGTGGGAGGAGTCCTCTAGTTACCTGAATTGCTTGGATCAATATTGCGCAGATCAAGGGATTATCTGTGTCCCTACCCACCAAATCCATCCTTATCCTTTCTGTCGGCATCTAGGACCCCGGAATTCTTGCCTGAGAACTTTTTCTTCTCCCGGTCTGGGCCTGGATGTGCTCTCCTAAACCCTGTATCCTCCAAGTTAGCACTGTTGCCGGGGGCGACCCAGCTTCCCTTGTCCAGGGAGCAACTCAGACACAGTCTCGCTTCATTTTTATTCTGGGGTTGTACAATCTAAGGTATGAAATTTTTCCTTTTTGAATCTCTCACGGTTTGCTATTGACACAGCTGGAATGAGGTTGCAAGGAGAGGGCTGGGGGCTCTCCTCCCTACTTCTAGCCCTATTTCCGCATAGGCCTTCTTGCTGGGAACTCCTGCCCTGCGGACTGGAATGGGTACCGAGATGAAATGCTGGGTGCGCTCCGGCTCCCCCCGCCCGCCCCGGGGCAGAAGGTTTAGGGCTGGGAAGAACTCTGATTAGGTTTACAGCCCAGGTTCAGCCGATTGAATTAGGGTGTGTCACCATGGAGACAGGGCCGGCCCGCGTGCTCGCTTGCCATTGGCTGGGGACTCCAGGGCAAGGGATATAAGCCAGAGCCTAGACCAGTGAGCCAACTGTGCGAACCAGACCCGGCAGCCTTGCTCAGTTCAGCATAGCGGAGCGGATCCGATCGGATCGGAGCGGATCGGAGCACACCGGAGCAGGCTCATCGAGAAGGCGTCTGCGAGACCATGGAGAACGGGTGAGGAGGGCACCAGGCCCGCAGGACCCTTGGGGAGGGGCAGGTGCTGTGACCCGGGAACCTGGCACACTGGGCCCAGAGGGAGCTGGCGGAGGGAGCGAGCGCCCAGGGGATGCAGAGAGGCCTGGCACTGAGCCTAGTGTCGGGAGCAAGGCGGCAGAGTCATGCGGCAGCCAGCGCGGGCAGGGACGCACGCGGGAATCGAGCTGGGGTGGCGCCACCGGAGCAGGAAGGGGACAGGTCGGTGCGGTCTAAGCTACTCCGTAAAAGCAGCCGTTGTGTGTCTCCGTGTGTGTGTTAGGGGAACAAGTGGAGAGTGAGTATATGTATATATCCCTCACTCCATACCAGGAGGAGGTCTCCTCACCCCCTGCGCTCTTCATAAATTCCCATGCTAGGGTCTGGGTAAAGCTGCGAGGTACTTTTGGTGCTCAAATTCGGAGTTCCTCCTTTAGAGGCAAGATTACTCACCTCCTTTGCCAGTTGCACTCCTCCCTTCCTTCCAGACTGGCAGTATGATTAACTCGGTGGGAAGTGACTGCTAAGTGGAGACGGAAATCAGTCACCGAACTGAGCAACAGTCCTGTGCTCACTTCCCCCACCCCACGCCTTTGAAAACTCTTCTCTCGGCTTGGGTCCTGGATATCCCAGTCCAAGTGACCTGCATTAGGCATCACAGTTGCTTTTGGATGCCCAGGGAGCCAGGGTGTTCTTGAGGGGACTGATAGCCAATGAGGAAGTGCTGTGAGATGTGGCTAGACATGCCATGTGGCGGCAGCTTCACACATTCATTTCCTTTGCACCTTTTGGGGATGCCATTTGATTAACATTTTACCAGCTTAATTGCTTCTCTCCATTGTCCTGTGGCTCCGTTGACCAGCCCCCAACCTACCTGATCCAACTGCTTCCCTGAGGGTAGCCTGGTGTATTGTGCAATCATGTCTGGTTTCCCGGGCTCTGCTTTCCAAGTAAAAAATTTCCTGTGAAAGCTTGGTTAGTTGTGTTCAGCTCTGTCACACCTCATTGCCACCTCTGAAAGCAACGTTTGGTCTTCCCAGATGGATGTGAGAGAACTGGACTTGGAACTGGGAGAAAAGTAACACGGGTTGATTCTTGCTAGTGTAGGGGTTCTGGGTAAGTGCCCTGAGGTTTCTGAAGAGCAAAGATCCTCGGTGGAGAGAAAGGAAACTGGGAGGAGGCAGGGAGGGGGAAGGACAGGAAGAAGACCACAGGCAGGTGGAAAGCAGGAGAAAGATTCAAATACTTTGTGTAACAGAGCCATAGGTCTTTGGAAGTTGTTAGCAAGTATTCAATTCATTTTCAGATTGAGCCTATAAGATAGATGGGGCCAATTTACATCCCTTGTTTATACCTGAGAAAATAATTTAAAGCACAAATTACATGCCTAAAAAGACAATATTGGGACTAGAATCTAGGTCGAATTCTGCTTCCCTCCAGACCAGCAATTCCTAAACCTGGTTTTATTTTATTTTATTTTTATTTATTTATTTTGGAGTCGGAGTCTCGCTCTGTCTCCCAGGCTGGAGTTCAGTGGAGCGATCTTGGCTCACTGCAACCTCTGCCTCCCGGGTTCACACCATTCTACTGCCTCAGCCTCCCGTGTAGCTAGGACTACAGGGGCCCGCCACCACGCCCGGCTAATTTTTTTTTTTTTTTTTTTTTTTTTGTATTTTTAGTAGAGACGGGGTTTCAACATGTTAGCCAGGATGGTCTCGATCTCCTGACCTCGTGATCCGCCCACCTCGGCCTCCCAAAGTGCTGGGGTTACAGGCATGAGCCACCGCGCCCAGCCCCTAAACCTGGTTTTAAAATCAAAATTACATGGGCTTCAGAATCTGTTTTTTGTGGGGGTTTTGTGTGTGTGTGTGTGTGTGTTTTTTATAGGGTCTCACTCTGTCACCAGGCTGGAGTGCCAGAATCTGTTTTTCTAACAAGCTTCTGCTGAGAATTTGTGTAGTCAGTCCTGGTTTAACCTTTGACAACCAGTACTGTGGACTGGGTCTGCTTTTTTGTACAGCAGTTTATCTAGTTTTTTGTCTGGAATTAACCCCCTTGTGATCCAGGGAGCTAAGAATGGCACGTAGACCTCTACCAGGGGTGGTCCCATTGTGTTTTATTGGTTAAAACAAAAAAGAAATGTAGCCCTTAAGTCTTTGGCTGAGGAAGGAACTGGAGGAATGAGGGTTCAAAAGGAAATTTGAGTTTATCTCTGCCTTCATAGTAGTTGGTCTTAATTACATTTTGAATGTCTTTGGGGAACAGGTAAGGTAATAAGGGGGATTTTACTAGGTGGGCACCACCCTCAGGAAGGGCTTAATCCCATTTTGAGTACTCTTCTTGGGCTCCCTCCTGGCCAAGCCCTTTTACCCTCCCTAATTTGATTATTTCCTTGCACTTCCCCGTACACTCTGGCCCCTTCCTCTCTAAACCTTTGTCATAAGGATAAGTATGCAGCTTGCCAGTGTTCAGTGGATCCAACACTGGAGTTGGGCCTGTTAGTAGAAACAGGCTTTATTAACTTTTGCCAGGCTCTAGAATGGAGGTAGTTTCATATCAGACTTGTAGTGGGCTTGATTCAGAAAGAAGGGTGGCTGAGTAGATGGAAGAGCATAGTATGGCCTTTCCCTCTGTGCCAGCTTCTCCGTCCCTGCTGCCTCAGTATACCTGCCAGCCTTTTTGCACCGAAGGTCATTTGTCTGTGATGCCCTTGGAATGGGAGCAGAATTCACCTTGATATTTTTTCTCCCCCAGATACACCTATGAAGATTATAAGAACACTGCAGAATGGCTTCTGTCTCACACTAAGCACCGACCTCAAGTTGCAATAATCTGTGGTTCTGGATTAGGAGGTCTGACTGATAAATTAACTCAGGCCCAGATCTTTGACTACGGTGAAATCCCCAACTTTCCCCGAAGTACAGGTACTGGCAAGGGAAAGTGGGGAATGGGACTGAGGGATGTTCTTGGAATTCTGTGGAACACAACCAAGGAGGCCAATGTTTCTACTCCTTGACCTAGCATTTCACTGAAGACAAATGTTGTAAGAGAGGAGAAAAGCCCACCATGAGTCAGAGTGACTTTAGGAGATGCCTCTAGCAGACATCCCATAAGAGACAGGACATGTGTGTGTCAGTGGACTGAGGCTAAGACTCAGAAGAGGGCCAGGTGACAGGGGCCAAGTAAAGGGCAAGGGTTGTTTATTTGGTTTACGTAATTTCTCAAATAACTAACTTCTGTTGGTTTATTTATTAATTTTTAAGATTTCTATCTTCTTTTCCCTGGAGAGTTAAGAATTTTTTTTTAAGACCTGTCAGCAGGAAAAGACCTTTAATAGCTATTTTTTTAAACTCTTTAACACAAGACTGGAAGAGCAGAGGGAGAAGGTGAGGGAAATATTAACAGAGGGTGTGTGAAGGGCATACTTCTCTAAGGGAGATAGTAGTGACGCTGGCTCCACTGGCCACTCCTACCCCCAGTGAGAAGGGCACTGCATTAAATGATAAGTGGGTTAGTTTTTTTAAGCTTATCAACATGTTTATTTTTTATACTCCACTTGGGTTTCCTTTGTCAACTTTATTACTGTTTTTGTTTTGTTTTTTTGCATAAGCTCCTCTATCTTTGAGAATTTCTCAGCTCTTCCTCTTGGTTCTAGTCCCTCTCCCATTCCCTAAGGGATAGGTTGGCCGTCTATTAGAAGTGACTGCCAGATAAAAGAAATGGTAATAATGGCTGTTATGTCTGTGGGGAGTTATCTTTGCACTCCCACGCACCCCTCCGTGGGCATGTGTTCCCATAGGACTGTTCCGTGGGTCATAAGGAAAGAGACACTTGCATGCGTTCAAATTCTTTCCCCCTTGTTCAGTAGCCTCTTCTTTAAGAAGCCAGAGTAAGTATACTATGAGCTTGCTTGCTGGACTGAGGAGGCAGGTAATTAAGTTAGGGCAATAGATAAGAATACATGTTTTGAGAACTTTGAAAAATTTGAAGAGGTCTATAATTACTGCATTCACTGTACTCACTTTATTTTGAAACAGAGTCTCGCTCTGTCACCCAGGCTCGAGTGTAGTGTTGTGATCTCGGCTCACTGCAACCTCCACCTCCCAAGTTCAAGAGATTCTCCCACCTCAGCCTCCCGAGTAGCTGGGATTACAGGCATGTGCCACCACACCTGGCTAATTTTTGTATTTTTAGTAGAGATGAGGTTTCACCATGTTGGCCAGGGTGGTCTTGAACTCCTGGCCTGTTGATCCGCCTGTCTTGGGCTCCCGAAGTGCTGGGACTACAGGTGTGAGACACCGCACCTGGCCTATTTTTAATTTTAATTTTTATAGATTTACAGGGGTACAATGCAGTTTTGTTATATGGATATACTGCGTGGTGGTGACGTCTGTGCTTTAGTGTAACCATCACCTGAGCAGTGAACATTGTACTTATTAGGTAATTTCTCATCCCTCATCCCCATCCCACTTTCTCACCTTTCCGAGTCCCCAGTGTCTATTATTTCACTCTGTAGGTCCATATGTACACATTTGGTTCCCACTTATAAGTGAGAACATGTAGTATTTAATCTTCCATTTCTGAGTATCTACTTTTTTTGCTCACTTTTTACTCTCTGGCAGTATGGCTTGTATTATCTTGAAATTTCTTTAAAAAGCCCTTCCTTCTTTGTGTGTTCATGCTGAACATGCTGAACGCACCCCATATCTCTAATCTTGGGTTGTATTTGTATAATTATTAGTAATGCCTGGCTCTCTCACCAGACTTAAACTTTCTGAAAGCAGAGATAATAATGAGTCTTTTACTTAATTACAACCTAACATTTTGAGCAGAGCGAGTAACTCACAGTAGGTGCTTAATGGATATGTGTTGCATGAAAATATAATCCCATTCATTTCTCTTTCTGTTTTGTATACAGTGCCAGGTCATGCTGGCCGACTGGTGTTTGGGTTCCTGAATGGCAGGGCCTGTGTGATGATGCAGGGCAGGTTCCACATGTATGAAGGGTACCCACTCTGGAAGGTAAGTCAGAGGGATAGGTCCGGTTGGATCTGGAAGAGGCAGGAGAGAACTATCTAGCCTCTTTCACTACCTAGCTATCTGGGCTAGGTGGATTTTTGGTCCTCTCCTTCCTTTTCTTTCACGATGTATGTCATGCATTTCAGTGTAGCTGAATTAATGAAATTTTGTAAATTTTTTTCGGATTGTTTGCTTCGAAGGTGACATTCCCAGTGAGGGTTTTCCACCTTCTGGGTGTGGACACCCTGGTAGTCACCAATGCAGCAGGAGGGCTGAACCCCAAGTTTGAGGTTGGAGATATCATGCTGATCCGTGACCATATCAACCTACCTGGTTTCAGTGGTCAGAACCCTCTCAGAGGGCCCAATGATGAAAGGTATGTATGTTACTCCGTTTTTTTTAGGTGGGTAGGATTTAAAGACTTCTCTAGGAGCTGTGGGAGAATTTTTAAAATTCCGTTTATGTGAGATAATTCAACCTGTGTCCTAGGTTTGGAGATCGTTTCCCTGCCATGTCTGATGCCTACGACCGGACTATGAGGCAGAGGGCTCTCAGTACCTGGAAACAAATGGGGGAGCAACGTGAGCTACAGGAAGGCACCTATGTGATGGTGGCAGGCCCCAGCTTTGAGACTGTGGCAGAATGTCGTGTGCTGCAGAAGCTGGGAGCAGACGCTGTTGGTGAGAAGGGGAATTTGGCTGGAAGCTTGAAGAGGGAGGGGTTTAGCAAAATGGGAAGGGGAAGGAGTAGGAAATAACAGGCCTCATTGGACTGAGAGGATCTGATTTCAGGGAAGGGTGAATTAAACTGACTTATTGAAATACAAACTGGTGAGATTTGGTGTAGCATCAAATCTCCCTACGAAGCACCAAGGGGTTAACAGCTGCAGTGCTAATGAATGATCTATCCATGATTTGATGACTGTTTTTTGAGACGGAATGTCGCTGTGTTGCCCAGGCTGGAGTGCAGTGGCATGATCTCGGCTCACTGCAACCTCCGCCTCCCGGGTTCAAGCAATTCTCATGCCTCAGCCTTCCGAGTAGCTGGGATTACAGACGTGTGCCACCACGCCCGGTTAATTTTTGTATTTTTAGTAGAGACAAGGTTTCACCATGTTGGCCAGGCTGGTCCTTGAACTCGCGACCTCAGGTAATCCGCCCATCTTGGCCTCCTAAAGTGCTGGCATTACAGGCGCGACGCACTGTGCCTGGCCAATGTGATGACTGTTTCTAAGAATTCTAAAAAATTCACTATAGCCACCTTCTGTACCTCTAGCTGGAAGATGGAACTCTATCATTAGGATTGAGTTCAAAATTGCCACAAATATAGAAATGAAGGATTGTATTGGTAATTTTAAGAAATGTGTATTTATTTTAGGCAATACAGAAGATAATTTAGCTGCTTCTTTGGATTTGTTTTAGGTGGGGCCTTGCTCTGTTGCCAAGGTTGGAGTGCAGTGGCACCATCTCTAGCTCACTACAGTTCTGACTGCCTGGGCTCAAACAATCCTCCCACCTCAGCCTCCTGAGTAACGGGGACCACAGGCGTACACTACCACACCTGGCTAATTTTATTTATTTTTTGAGCCGAGGTCTCTTTATGTTGCCCAGGCTGGTCTCAAACTCCCGGGCTCAAGACATCCTCCTGCCTTGGCCTCCCAATGTACTGGGATTACAGGTGTGAACCACTGCACCCGGCCATCTTTGGATGTTTTTTGAGATTTTTAATTCTTGTTGAAAGCGAGGCTAAAGGGCAAGGAAAAGAGTTATTTGAGGATCCTGACAGTTGGTTTCCATCTTTCTCACTATCAGGCATGAGTACAGTACCAGAAGTTATCGTTGCACGGCACTGTGGACTTCGAGTCTTTGGCTTCTCACTCATCACTAACAAGGTCATCATGGATTATGAAAGCCTGGAGAAGGCCAACCATGAAGAAGTCTTAGCAGCTGGCAAACAAGCTGCACAGAAATTGGAACAGTTTGTCTCCATTCTTATGGCCAGCATTCCACTCCCTGACAAAGCCAGTTGACCTGCCTTGGAGTCGTCTGGCATCTCCCACACAAGACCCAAGTAGCTGCTACCTTCTTTGGCCCCTTGCTGGAGTCATGTGCCTCTGTCCTTAGGTTGTAGCAGAAAGGAAAAGATTCCTGTCCTTCACCTTTCCCACTTTCTTCTACCAGACCCTTCTGGTGCCAGATCCTCTTCTCAAAGCTGGGATTACAGGTGTGAGCATAGTGAGACCTTGGCGCTACAAAATAAAGCTGTTCTCATTCCTGTTCTTTCTTACACAAGAGCTGGAGCCCGTGCCCTACCACACATCTGTGGAGATGCCCAGGATTTGACTCGGGCCTTAGAACTTTGCATAGCAGCTGCTACTAGCTCTTTGAGATAATACATTCCGAGGGGCTCAGTTCTGCCTTATCTAAATCACCAGAGACCAAACAAGGACTAATCCAATACCTCTTGGATTTTATTTAATGTCATAATGTTGTCAGAATAAAGAGAAAGATGAAATAATTTCATTTTTTTGTGTAACTTGGTATGGGGCTGGGGCACAGACCAAGATTGACATGAAAGGATGTGAGATCGCATGTCTTGTGTGACTATCTGCTTCTCAGACAAGCAGTTAGGAACTGAGATGAGATAGTATGTGAGGGCAGCAAAGGATGAAGAAGGGCAAAATGATGAAAGGTGAGGTGGAAAGAGGTTATGAGATGGTAAAGAAAAGTTAACTTCTGGCACTTGATTGCCACTTCTGTCAGGCTGGTCCTGCCTCTCTCCCTTGCCTTCTGATTGTTTCATTTCCTGTTTATTTGATCATATCTGAATTAGTTCACTGGTTAGCCTCTTCCTTAGTTCCCACTTCCTTACCAAAGCCCTAATTATATTTCCTCTTGTTTGCCTTTTCTCTCCTACTCTTCTCTAACATCTGCAGCCACACTCTCCATTCACTCCATGCTGACAAGGCAGTGGCAAACACTTTTCTCTGCTGCCAGCCACTCCACTGTTGACTGGATTGCTGCCAGCCCCAGGCAAACCTGTGAAGTTGTTTCATACTCTGCTTCTCTTTGAGTGCCTCCTTCTCTCCTTCCTCTTCCTTTCTGGGCTCCAGTCTTTCTCTTCACTTGTGCTTGTCAGAACCTCCCTGTGATACTGCCTCCAGGCATTTCCCCCATGTTGGCTCACCGCACTATTATCTTTGCTTATCAACTTGCATTCAGCTGGCTGGCATGTTTCAAAACCACACTGCCCTCCCAGGCCTGTGTGCCTTTTGAGAAAGACCAGTGCTGGATGAGCCTCTAGTAATGACAACATTTTAGTTGTTAGTGGTATAATACGGAAGAGATATTTTGCACAGGCTGCTTTGGAGAACTTTCAAATTATCCTTTGTTTGGTAACTGACCTACTTAACTGCCCAATACAAAGAAAAAGCATCTTGGAGTGGCTCTGTCTCCTTTTTTTTTTTTTTTTTTTTTTTTGATACAGGGTCTCACTGTCACCCAGGCTGCAGTGCAGTGCTGTGATCTCAGTTCACTGCAACCTCCGTCTCTCAGGCTAAAGTGATCCTCTCACCTCAGCCTCCAGAGTAGCTGGGACCACAGGTGTATGCAACCACACCTGGCTAATTTTTGTATTTTTTAGTAGAAATGGAGTTTCATCATGTTACTGAGGCTGGTCTCGAACTCCTGGCTTCAAGCAATCCTCCTGCTTCAGCCTACCAAGGTGCTAGGATTACAGGAGTAAGCCATCGTGCCTGGCCTTGCCCTACAATCTTAAGATTCATTTACAAAGCCACTGTTGTATAAAGCTTGTACAAAATGAGTACAAGTCACACGTGGGAGCTCAAAGGAGGGATTGATTGTATACACCGAACAGTGTGAATTGGGTAGATTAGGGAAAGCTTTTTTTCCTTTTTTTCTTTTGCTTAAAGTGATGGATACTTAATATTAGGTAAAGTTTTATAGAAAACTTTGAGCCTAGTCTTGAAGGATGAAGCAGGGGAAGAGGATTTCACATCAGGATGAGGCAAAGCAGAGCTGCAAAAAGTACTAGGCATGTTCGTGAGTCGTTGTCACAACTGGTGGGACTAGATCAGGACATGGAAGGCTCCGGTGAGACAGGCAGAAAGGTAATTGGTTTGAGGAGGGCTGCATTTGGCACTTGGCTTTCCTACCCCCAGTCTCCCTCTTGGTCAGATTGACCAGGAATCACAATGGGGCCATCTGAAAAATATGTCCTAGAGATACTTGAGTGGAATATTTAAGAGTGGAATATGTAAGCTTTTTAGACTTAGTAAGTAGATTTACTAAATTCATATTTATTTATATGAAGACATAATGTCTTCAGTTTCTTTTTTAAAAAACAGCTGTATTGAGATAAAATTTACGTACCATAGAATTCACCCATTTAAGGTGTGTGATTCAATGGTCTTTAGTGTATTCACAAATAAGTGCAATTATTGCCAGTTAATCTGAGATCATTTCATCACTTCAAAGGGAAACGTTATCTGCTCCCCCATAGCCCCAAACAGCCATTTATCTACCTTCTGTGCCTATAGATTTAACTATGTTGGACTTTCACACAAATGGAATTGGACTTTTGTGGCTGGCTTCTTTCACTTAGCATAATGTTTTCAAGATGCATCCAAGTTGTAGCATGTATCAGTACTTAATTCTTTTTTGAGGCCAAATAATATTCTATTGCATGGATACACCACATTTTGTTGATCGAGTGTCTGATTTTAAAAAGCCAACCAGTCCAGCCAAAACCGAACGTATCAGTTTAGGATTGTAGGATACGAGCACAAAGTGAAGGGAAGTAGGTGTGGGAGGGCTTTCCAGAGAAAAGACATTCTTGAAAAAAACTGGCGATGATACCATTCATTTCTGGAGGGGCCTGCAGAATGCCTGCAAAATAGATTGATTTTACTGAGTCTCATGGTAGGTGTCCAAACACATTGAAGTCAGGCTTGCTTTCTTGACCCTATCATGACCATCTTTATTAGCATCAATAAATATTCATTAATCATGTATTATGTAGAGAACATTGTCCTAAAAACCAAAATGTAAGTTGGTATAAGATGAAGTGTCTACAGTCTAGATGTGAGACAAGATGTATGCATAAAAAGAAATAACTAGGCTGAGTTATTTGAGCCCTTTATAGCTGCTAAAGACTTTTACTAATCTCTTCATATGTTATATTGTCATTGTTTAGAATCAGCTTTTTCGACTGAACTGAGGAAGAGGGCCTAATTTTTTACAAAAGGAGTACAGTAATGTGTGAAAAGTAGCGTATGCTAAGTGTCAATGATGGTATGTGCTACAGGAATTGAGAGAAGAGGACCATCACCGGAGCTGGGGAGTAGGAAAGGATTGATGAGACATTATTTAGGCCTTACAGAAATGCCAGGCACAGTGGCTCATGCCTATAATCACACATACTAGGTGGGAGATTCACTTGAACGCAGGAGTTTGAAGCTGCAGTGGGCTTTATGATTGCGGAACTGCACTCTAGCCTAAGTGAGAGAGTAAGACTCCATCTTTGAAAAAAAAAAAAGATAGGTGAAGAGGACATGGCAGAAGCCATTACATACAGATGAATCCAGGAATGTTTAATCATTGAACAAACTGAAATGCTTAAAGTGAAGAAATAAATGGGAAGATGGGCAGCAAGCTGGAGAGGAGCTCTGATTCCAGGCTCAAGAGTAGGACCTTAGGGCCAGGTGCGGTGGCTCACGCCTATATCCCAGCACTTTGGGAGGCCAAGGTGGGCGGATCACTTGAGCCCAGGAGTTCAAGACCAAGTTCGAGACCAGCCTGGGCAATATGGGGAAACCTCGTCTCTACAAAAATTACAAAAATTATCTGAGCATGATGGTGGTTGCCTGTGGTCCCAGCTACTTGGGAGGCTGAGGTGGGAGGATTGCTTGAGTCGGGGAGGCTGAGCCTTCAGTGAGCCATGATGGAGCCACTGCGCTCCAGCCTGAGCAACAGAGTGAGACCCTGTCTCTCAAAAGCAAAACAAAATGAAAGAGTAAGACCTTATTTTCTAGGCAAGATGGCCAGCCATTGACAGTTTTTAAACGAAGGACTGGTAGATAAAAATTGCACTGTAGTATTTTGGTGGCTAGAAGCCTGACTAAAAGAGAGGCTTGTTTTGATAGTAGAATTACTTTCACCCAAAATTAACTGTACAGAATAGCACAATGGTTGGTGTTAAGTATTTAATTTTTAGTCAGGTTGGGGTCTTCTGTAGTGTTTTAAAGAATAAATTAGCCGGGCACAGTGGCTCATGCCTGTAATCCCGGCACTTTGGGAGGCCAAGACAGGAGGACTGCTTGAGTTCAGGAGTTTGAGACCAGCCTAGGCAACATAGTGAGACCTTGTTTCTACAAAAAATTTAAAAATTAGCTGGGCATGGTGGTGCACACCTGTAGTCCCAGCTATTCGGGAGGCTGAGGTGGGAGGCTGGCTCAAGCCTGGGAGATCGAGGCTGTAGTGACCCATGATCATACCACTGCACTCCAGCCTAGGTGACAGAGCAAGACTCTGTCACACACACACACACACACACACACACACAAAAGGAATAAGCTGTTATAAAATAGAATGTAGAGGCAAAAGTGCAAACAACTTAGAGATGAAAATATACACTTAAGTCAATAGTTTCCCCTTCTTTTTAATATAAAATTGTGAATAGGTATATAATCACATAGTTCAAAAATTAAGCAACATAAAATGTGTATAGTGAGAACTCTCACCCCTATCCTGTCCTCATATGCCCTTCCTTCCCCACCCACTGGTGACCACTGTTATTAGTTTCTTTTGCATTCTTCCAGGATCTATACAAATATAAACAAATACAAATTCTATTTTTCTTCTCTTATTATAAACAGCAGTTAGTATGTTATATATACTTTCTGTATCTTGCTATTTTATTTTAACATATCTTGGAGATCTTTTCACATCAATGAATTAGTGTGCCTTCTTGATGACTTACATCAATGCTGCCAAGGATATATGTCTGTCACCTCCAGTTTTTTAGAAGCAAAGGGAGAATATGGTCTTAATTTTTTTTGCCACTTCTCAGTTCGTTTGTTGATTACTAATAGGAATAGACACAAAGAGGTAATGCCACCTGCTGCTCCTTTAAAGCAAGAAGTTGGGAAGAAGAGAGCTATTCATTCTGTGCTGTGCCTTCTGCCTAATTCAATTTGGCTTAGATTTGTGTTGCCTTTTTTTTCTTGTAAATAGGCCCCTGATTTTCATAATAATGTTTTGTTTCTCAGGGATGCCTTCGAACAAACACTGGTTATCTGCTTGGTTTTTCTGTTACTGTAAATTTGGATTTTAATAAAAATAAAATTTTCCTGTCTTTAATCATTTTGTCTAATTTTTAGTTTTGGCTTAAATTAGATGTGATATTCTTTTGGATTAATCTGAATTTGCTCTGTTGTTTTCGGGTCAAAGAACCCCTACCCCTCCATCGGGCTTTTACTTTCACGTCCATTCTGAGTTTGTTTGTTCATTGTAGAAAGCTTTTACTTTGTCTCACTTGCCAATCTTTTTTTTTTTCTTGTTCTCTTCTTCTTTTTGCTGTTACTCTTTTTAAAACACCATTTCACTTGTTAGCTACTTGACTTTGGCCTTGGTTTTCCCTTTTCCTCTTTATTTTGAACTGTTTCTATCTGAGCTCCTGTTGTAATTTATAATAAAAAGTTAGTAGAATATAGTACTTCTCTTGTGTAGCCTGACCTGATCTAGTTCTATCAACTGTTCTTTTACCAATCAGAGGTTGTTTAAGATCAATTCCAGTTCACAGTATTAATCTTTATTATTACCTGCTTGTGTCGTCTCCCCCAAAATAATAATACATAGCTACCACCATTGTCACTGTTCCACTAATGTCATCAAAGTATGAAAATTATTTAATTGCAGTAAGGGATAAGTAGTTGTTTTTCATACGGTTGTTTTCGCAGTGGGAAAGCTCTCACTCTGGACATCATAGATAAGATGTTACGGAGTCAGTAAAGTCCCTGAAAAGCAAAACTGAGTCATGCCTGAAATTTTTTAGGCAGGTGATGGACATTAGATTTCCTTGGATGCTTACTTTGCCAATTTCCTCTCCCCGTCACAAATAGAAACTACTAGTATTAAAAAAGACAGAATTATGGTAAGAGTAATTTTGGATATTTTCTGTCACTCTGCCATTCTTTATGGCTGTGCAGCTTCTTAACTATTTTTTATCTACTGACTCTTCACTTCAGGATACACCCTATGGCTGTTAGCTGGTCTGTCAAAGATCCAGGAAACTGATCCCTGCTTCAGTTCCACAATACCGAGTTCAGGAATGTTCTCAGACCAGGATATACTGTCTGAGAGAGATGCCTTAGAGAACCAAACTGTTCTCTAAGACCGGGCAATAGTGCTGTCATTATATAACCCTTACACACATGAGATACCTCTGCCCAAGGAGGGGCTCTAGGCAGATTCACACTTGTTTATGAGCACAGATAGGCTGGACCAAGAGAGACTAAATTTCTGCAGAGTCTTCTCACCCATTTAGGAGTTTTCAGTAATAACGCACACACTTTTAGTGAAGATGTTGGAGTGAAGATATGCTTCTGTCTGAATTGGAAAATGTGTTCACTTTTTTGACTGAGCTGAATTTATGCTGTGCTCTTTGGATAAATAACCTTGTTTGATTTATTCAAGTGACATTGTGTCAGGTCTTGCTATCAATCTGCACCTAGTATTGACATTTGTAAATGTAATGGCCATTCAGTTTCTAGATAACCATAACATTTACTTGACAACTCTGTATTGCGCTTACGCTCATTCATTTTTTTTTCTGCATTTGCTTTGAACTTTGTCCTTTTGATAATCAGATGTATTAAGCCTCATATAGAAATGCCAGGATGTGTGTGTGTGTGTGTGTGTGCATATACATCTGCAAACATATGTGTACATATATACATGTATGCAAAATCCAAAATTGACAACTTATAAACTGTCATCTGCCCATGCAAACTTGAAGAAGCTGAGCTTTTCAGCTTTTCAATATCCCAGACAGGGCACCTATCAAGTGTATCTTTCTAGGCTGCTGAACAAGAAGAGATGAACACATGAGAAGGATATGTTTATTTACTTACTCAACAAACGTTCTAGGGGTTAGGGATATGGAGAAGAACAAGACAATGTTTCTGCCTTCATGGTATTTACATTAAATTAGGGGAGTGCGACAACCAATAAACAGAAATGTTTTTAAAAACCTAAGGTAATAATAAGTGTTAAGAAAAAAATAAAGAGGATAGAAGGTAATAGAGGAAGGAAAGGCAAATTAAAACTACAATGAGATACCACTTCACACTCACTAAAATGACTATAATAAATAAGACACACATTAACAAATGTTGGTAAGGACGCAGAAAAACAAGAATCTTTTTAAATTGTGGAATTTCCACTTTCTGGTGGAAATGTAAAATAGTGTAGCCAGTTGGAAAACAGTTTGTCAGTTTCTCAGAAGGCAAAGCACAAAACTACCATATGACCCATCATTTCTACTTGTAGCTGTTTACCTAAGAGAATTAAGATCATAACCACACAAACACACACAAATGTCCACAGCAACTTTTAAAATAATAAGGACTGGAAACATCCCAAATGCCCATCAACTGGTAAATGGATTGTTTAAAAAATGTATATCTAGGCTGGGTGTGGTGGCTTGTGCCTGTTATCCCAGCACTTTGGGAGGCTGGGGCGGGTGGATGACTTGAGGCCAGGAGTACAAGACCAGCCTGGCCAACATAGCAAAACCCTGTCTCTACTAAAAATAAAAAATTAGCCAGGCATGGTGGCATGCACCTGTAATCCCAGCTACTCTGGGGCCGAAGCATGAGAATCACTTGAACCAGGGAGATGGAGGCTGCAGTGAGCTGAGATCATGCCACTGCACTCCAGCCTGGGCAATAGAACGAGACTCCTGTCTTAAAAAAAAAAAGAGAGAAAGAAAAAATGTAAATCTATACAATGGTATACTATTCATTAATAAAAAAGAACAAACTACTGACACATGCTATGTCATGGGTGAACCTCAAAAACATGCTAAATAAAATAATCCAGATACAAATCTGTATTATGTGATTCTATTTATATGAAATATCCAGAAAAATTTCTAGAGACAGAAAGTAGATTAATGGTTTTCTGGGGCTTAGTGTTGAGATGGGGATTAATATAATGGGCATAGAGATCTTATTTAAGGGATAAAAATGTTCCAAAACTGATCTACGTGATTGTTGCAACACTAAATAAAATGATAACAATCATTGAATTTTGCACTTGAAACGAGTGAGTTTTATGATACGTGAAATACAGCTCACTAAGGCTGTTCTGTTTGTTTGTTTGGTTGGTTGGTTGGTTTTTTTTTGAGATGGAATTTTGCTTTCGTTGCCCAGGCCGGAGTGCAATGGCGCTATCTCTGCTCACCGCAACCTCCGCCTCCTGGGTTTGAGCGGTTCTCCTGCCTCAGCCTCCCAAGTAGCTGGGATTACAAGCATGCACCACCATGCCTGGCTAATTTTGTAGTTTTAGTAGAGACAGGGTTTCTCCGTGTTGGTCAGGCTGGTGTTCAACTCCCGACCTTAGGTGATACACCCCCTTGGCCTCCCAAAGTGCTGGGATTACAGGCGTGAGCCACTGCGCCCAGCCAAGGCAGTTTTTTTTAAAAAAAAAGTGATAAAAGGGTGAGTGATTTCAAATAGGTTGGTTCAGGGAAGGCCTCTCCAAGGAGCTGTCAGTTGAGCAGAGACCTGAGTAAATGAGGGCGTGAATGATGCAGTGATTAGAGATGAGTGTGCAAGCAAACATACAAGTTCTTAGGGAACTTAACAATTTAGCAGTAACAGAAGGCCAGTGCTATTAGAGTAGACTGAACAAGGGGAATGGTGATGGTAGATAAGGCTGGAGATGAAGGCAGGTGTTGTAGGTCATGATAAGTTTAGGTTTTATTTTGAGCATGAAAGAAGGTCACTGAAATGATTTTTAACCAATTTACTTTTTTTTAAAAAAAAAAAAAAAAAAACCTCACTGGCTGCTTTGTAGAAAATCAGTAGTATTAAGCAAAAATAGGGTGATTGGTTAGGAGACCTCAGAGGTAGATTAGGGTAAAAGGTGGTTTAGGCTGGAACCAGTGGTGGTAATGGAGGTGCTAACGATACAGGAACTAGAAGAAATTATTAGGTAGATGATGAGGGCAAGAGTCCTTAGCAAGGTTTCCCTTTTTAACTAAAAGCAGCCCCCGAGTCATTTCTTTTCTAACAAAGAGTGGCCTGAAAAATCGAGCTGCAGACAGAGATAAGCAAGCTGGAAGTTTGCACAGGTGAATGCCGGCCGCTGTGCCAACAGAAAAGGGCTGCCTGAGGGCCAGGCATGTTCAACATGGAGGCTCCATCTTCCCTTTTCTTAGTCACCACGTGCACAGTAAAGAACCAGGCAATATGGCAATGGCCAAGTAAAAAACCCATCCGCATAATAAAAGATTAGGGTGGGGCAGCCAGCTTCTTTGAGTGCTATGCAAATGGCATACCTGGTCCAACCAATCTTTCGAGCCCTGTGTAAATCAGACACCGCCTCCTCAAGCTTATCTATAAAACTTCCTGCATTTCACTGTGGAAGTGGCAATCCATTTTCCCCAGGACCCCTCTCTGCACAGAGAGCTCTTCTCTTTCTTTCGCCTATTAAACCTCCGCTTTTAACCTTACTTCTTGTGTGTCCACATCCTTGATTTCCTTGGCATGAGGCAGCAAACCTCAGGTATTACCTTAGATGAATGATGCTGCTTCAGTAAGAAGAGGTTGGATTCTGGAGATATTTGAAGGTAGAGCAGATAGGACTTACCTATATTTACATAGATATAAGGAAATATATATATATAGAGAGAGATATATATATAGAAATATATATATTTCTATATATCTACATATAGAAAAAAATATATATTTCTATATATCTATATATATATTTCTATATATCTATATATAAAAAATATATATTTCTATATATCTATATATATAGAATAAGACTTACCTTATTTCTATAGATATATAGAAAATAAAATATGAGTAAAAAATAGGAATTTAGAAAGGTTCCTAAGTTTTCAGCTTGACCTGCTGGGTGAATGGAGTTGCCATCTACCAAGACACCGCTAACAGAGGAGCAGTTTTGGCATGGTAATCAAAAGTTTCTTTTAAGGCTGTCACGTTTGAAAAGCTAGACCTCCAGATGGACATGTGGATTACACAGTTGGGTATATGAGTTTGGAGTCCAAGGGAAGAGGTTTAAGCTAGATAAATACATTTGGAAGTCATTAGCACATAGGTGGTGTTTAAACCAAATTATCTGGACGATATCACTTGGGGACAGAAGTCAGGAGAAGGAGAAGGATCTAGCAAATGTGTTTGAGGAGACATTAATGAGGTAGAAGGAAAACCAAGAAGTAGGATGCCTTGGAGGGCAAGTGAAGAAAGCGTTTTAACACAAGAGACTGATCGAGGTCACTGCTCACCTTGACGAGCAGTCTCAGCGGGGTAACAAAGATGATATCTTTATTAGAGCGGACACCAGAAAGAATGAGAGGTGAGGAAATAGAGGCAGCAAGTGCAAACCATGAAATTTTGCTATAAAGGGAAGTGGTAGCTGGGGGAAAGGATGTGGGTTCAGGAGAAGGTTTTTTCCTTTTTTTTTAAATGATGGGAGGCATTTTGAACTGGAAAGAAGCCAACTGGGACTTGGGTGTGATCTGAAGAAGAGAAGATGGCCTGTACCATAGTCTGAGAGTTAAATGGCACCTTTATTGATTATTGATATAATACCCTATGGCTTGCTTATAGTACAGTTACACCTGTGTTGTGTGATAGGGAGCCTTGCCAGTGGAAGCAAATTGGTCTAAGATAGAAGCTTGGTTTTGACTTGATAGCTGCCCATAAGAGGGCAGCAGAGCAGAGCTAGGAAATTAAAAACAACAACAACAATAATAACAACAACAAAGAAAAACTCTGCAAGGTGATCCCTGCAGGGTAAAGACTTTTTAGCAAACTCTTTAAAGATATTAAAGAAAGTTCAGCCCTTCCTCCCCAGAGCCTCAGTGCTAGATTCTTGCTTAGAGACCCCAAAGGCTCCAGACTTGGGAATACAACTGGTAACATGGCAGACTATGAGCCCTGCAGGGGAGGGAGCAACTGTAAAGCTGATTGAGTGTAAAAGAATGGCTAGTACAGAAGGAAGATGTAGCTGTTATATCGAAGCATTAAAAACAAACAAACAACAAACTAGGCCAGGTGGGGGCCGGGCACAGTGGCTCACGCCTGTAATCCCAGCACTTTGGGAGGCTGAGGTGGGAGGATCACTTGAGGCCAGGAGTTTGAGACCGACCTGAGCAACATAGCAAGACCCTGTTTCTAAAAAAAAAAAAAAAAAAAAAAAAAAATTTACAAGCTGATTGTGATGGCACACACCTGTAGTCTCAGCTACTTGGGAGTCTGAGGCAGGAGGATCACTTGAGCCCAGGAACTCCAGGTTACAGTGAGCAATGATCATGCCACTGCTCTCCAGCTTGGGTGATAAAGCGAGACCCTATCCCTCTCTAAAAAACAAGACAAAACAATAACAATAAAACAAATTAGTCTGGACCATTGTCATTATGAACAGACTATTTTTTCAAAGTAATCACTGCAATTTACTATCATTCCATAAAAGCCATTGATGCTGAATTCCAATGTGTGTGGCTAAATTTTACCAAAAAAACCTAGTATAGAAGGACTTAATTTATGCTGGGAGGAAGGGAGACACTCATGCTGAGATTGGACCTTTAATGTGAATATTCACAGCAGGTAATATGTACATAGTGCTTTATAGTTTACAAAATATTTTACATTTTTTGGTCCTTTTTAGTTGTGATAATTACTGAGACCCTTGAGCAAGTATCATTGATATTTTTCTCATTTTCATTTTTCTGATTTAAAAAGGCTTAGAGAAAGGTTATCTGACTTTTCCAATACCACACAGCAAAGGAATAGCTAAGCTATTCCTTCAGGCTCAGAACTTTTGTCACCATAGCATTAGATCTACATAAAGAGATGGGGATGGAGAATGTGTAAAAAGGCATCACGTTTAGGTTGAATGAAAAGCCAGAGAGTAGTTAAGTTTGGTGGTAAACAGAAGATGAAAGGAGGTAGTGAAGAACTGTCTTCTATTAATATTATTATTATGATTTTTTTAAGAGATAGAATCTTGATCTGTTACCCAGGCTCTGTGGAATGCACTAGTATGATCATAGCTCTCTGCATCCTTGAACTCCAAGGCTCAAGCAATCCTCTTGCCTCAAACTCCTGAGTAGCTGGGACTACAGGCACATATCACCACACCCAGCTGATTAAAAAAAATTTTTTTTGTAGAAACAAAGTCTTGCTATGTTGCCCAGGCTGGTCTCGAATTCCTGGCCTCAAGTGATCCTAGCACCTCGGCCTCCTAAAGTATTGGGATTACAGGCATGAGCCAACGTACCTGGCCTTATATTATTTTTAAACTTATTTATATAGAAGAATCAAATTTACTCTGTGCAACTTTGGAGAGTTGACTAGGACAGGAGAGCCCACTCAATATTAGAAAAAGAGCTCTACAAAAAAGACATTGTTACGTTACATTCCTGAAATGTTGAAATAGGGGCTAGAGGAATATTTGACAAAGCTGTAGAGAGAAATAGTTGACCTTATGACCTCTAAAATTCTTTTCAAGATATTTTATCTGCAAAAACCTGAATAGCAACAACTATAGTTCCACAACACTCTAGTTCTACAGAAGGAGGGTGGGATGTTACACTGTGCTTTCATGTTTCAATAATTATATATCTATCCATGCATGTCCACTTCTGCTTGATGCCACTGAAGTGGGACCTGAGGAGCTGGGGTGCTAGGGCAGAAAGAGTAAGGTCTGTGCCCGATCCTAGACAAAAGTGGAAGCAATTCACTGCTTCATCCATCACGGAAGGGCAACTCTTTAGCTTAGCAAACTGAGAAATTTTCAGGCTCAACACCAGCAGGAATTCAATTTGCAGCAAGATAGACCTCAGGGGATTGAGGCAATGATTCAGAGAGGATGGGTGGGGTAGGGTTACACAGGAACTTTAGAGAAAGAATCGTTTGTGGGTGGAAGCCTTGGGCAGAGGTGCACTCAGTAGAGAAGAAAGCCATTTGTTCCAGAACAGCAGTTTGAAAGGGGTGTGTTTTGTGTGGGCAATGGTGTATGAGGAAAGGGTTTGTGGGGAAGAAGCGTGTGGGGCTACTAACAGGCACAGAAACACTTGTTGAGAAATGTTGTTCATAGGGGGATTGCTTTGCTGGGGCCCAGGAGCAGGTGGTTTGGTGCAGTGAAAGAGGCCAGAGGGGCAGAAAGAAGGGTCCTAGCTGTGGCCTTAAACACACACATACACACACACACACACACACACACCAAAAAGCAAGGAAGAACCCCTTATCCTCTCAGCCAAGATAAGCAAGCGCTGTTACCAGCTAGGTGTGCTTACTATGGATTTTATACATTTTAGAGAAAATTTCTAATGCCCATTTGTCCTGAACTTTTTACTTGGAATATCGTTAAGTTTACGGAAAAGTAGAAAGGATCATGTAATGAACACTAGTGTACCTCTCACCTAAACCATCAATAGTCAATAATCTGCTACATACATTTGTTTTCTCCTGAGCCATTTGAAAGTAAATTGCTGCAGACAATTTGCCTATCAGTCCATTTTTGAATATATTGGCACGCATCTCTAAGAATAAGGACATTCTCTTACATAATAGCATTGCCATTATGAAGATCTTACCTATGAAGATCCACATTAATTCATAAGATCTGCATGTGTGTTACTTATCAGTACGTCTTATAATGGATTCTGAATGCTTTCCCTTTTCTTATTTCTCTAGCTGTCATCTTTGAAGGTAAAACCTCGACTGCATATCTGGCCAGCCAGGCCAGGCCAAAGTACCTGTATACTGGGTGAGGGGATAAGAAAGACTCTCTCAAAGAGCACAGGAACCTGGAAGCCTGTCAGAGGTCACCTCTCACGGAAGCCCAGGACGCTTCCTTCCTGCTGAGCTAATCTTAACTGCTGACCTCCACGCATTGCTCAGGGCTCCCTCCCTCCCTTCTTCCCTATTTCCTTCCTTCCCTTTCCTCTCCTTTCCTGTCTCTTTCACCAAACCTTAACGGACAACTCTTCTGTGCTAACTTCTGTGCCAGTGTATTAGTCCGTTTTCATGTTGCTGATAAAGACATATCAGAGACTGGGAAGAAAAGGTGGTTTAATTTGACTTACAGTTCCACATGGCTGGGGAGGTCTCACAATCATGGCAGAGGGTGAAAGGCACTTCTTACTTGGAGGAGGCAAGAGGGAATGAGGAAGATGCAAAAGTGGAAACCCCTGATAAAACCATCAGATCTCGTGAGACTTATTCACTACCACGACCAAACCATATCAGCCAGTATCTGCCATCCCAAGTGAACTTAGTCTGTGAACTCAAAATAGTGCTGGCCAGGCATGGTGGCTCACGTCTGTAATCCCAGCGCTTTGGGCGGCCAAGGCGGGGGGATCATGAGGTCAGGAGATCGAGACCATCCTGGCTGACATGGCGAAACCCTGTCTCCACTAAAATACAAAAAAATTAGCAGGGCATGGTGGCACATGCCTGTAGTCCCAGCTACTAAGGAGGTTGAGGCAGAAGAATGGAAGAATGGCTTGAACCCAAGAGGCAGAGGTTGCAGTGAGCCGAGATCGCGCCACTGCCCTCCATCCTGGCAACAGAGTGAGACTCTGTCTCAAAAAAAAAAAAAAAAGTTCAGAAAAGGCAGAGTTTCTTCTGGCGAGTCATTCCTTTCTTTGGCTCTGTGACCCGCCCTTTAGGAGCATCGTGCAGATGGACTGGCTTGTCCACCTGGTGGCCCTATCAGGGTATATGGGCTTGGCATGGAAAAAGCCTCTGCTCCTTGGATCACTAATATTACCTTGATCATCATCATTACCTGACCAGAGTACTAGACACAGTTTCATGAAGAGAAAGCAAACCCTTTCATCCTGAAATTTTAACTTAGTTGCTCCTCCCATGGGGTGATTCTTGGTGCAGGGGAGATATCTATTTGCAAATTGAGGGGCATTTGTGTCTACCTTCTTGACTTAGGTGGTTTCTGTTTTGTTTCTCGTTATGGTTGTTGGCTGTCCTTTCAAGATTATTTCTACGCGTCAAAAAGTCTGTGAGCTAATTTTAACATGTCAGGCATCTTACTGGAAACCACACATTTACTCCGAATAAAGCTACAACATGCTAACTAAAACTAAGTTTGTTTGAACTATTCAAACCATTGTGGTCATCTCATTCTTACTAAAAACCTTTTCTGGTAAGTTTCATTTATTTATTTATTTTTATTAGTACAAATGGGAAAATAAAGTGGTGATTCATAGGTATAAATATTATATGGCAAAATTTCTTCAACACTTGAAATTATTAGTACCACCTGAGAATTACATCAGGTCAAATCAGCATTTGGTAAATAGTAGTCACCATTTGTAGAATTAAACCATCCAAACTTCTAATCTATCACCTAGGGCTAAGGACTCACACACTTCAGCTCTGGGGACCAAAATGCTGGCTTCAGGAAGCATAATGATTTTAGCCTCGATACAGTGATGGCATAATCAATCAAGTTGTATCCTGCCTCTTTTCTCTCACCTAAATTTGATTTGTGTGATTATTTATTGCAGACAGTTTTGCAAGCTGACTTTAATCCTATCTTGGAATGAGGTGGAGTATAAAAGAATACAAATCAACAAACATGCTAATGTATTTTAAGAAGGAGATAGGAGAGTTTGGAAATTGGAAAGGGAAATTCTAAATTTTGAGAATTGCTTTCTACTAAACCATCATTGTCCAGGAGTAACACACTAGCTCACTTCTTAATTTCAAGTCAGAAACATTTTCCCAAGCTTATCCTGGCCCGAAGGAACTGTGACGCTGCTGACCACTGATGCTCACCAAGCAATCATCTCTTTGAGGTTTGGTCTCCCACTTGAGTCAGGGAGAGAATGTATGGGGCAGGTTTATTTTCACTGCACATATTTTTCAATGTAGATCTTGTTCATAGTTTTAACTGGGGATTGGTTGGTGTGAGTAACTCGCATGAAACTGAAAAATGCGCTGGACACAGTGGTTCATGCCTGTAATCCCAGCACTTTGGGAGGCTGAGGCAGGCAGATCACCTGAGGTCAGGAGTTCAAGATGACCCTGGCCAAAATGGTGAAACCCCATGTCTACTAAAAATACAAAAATTAGCCAGGTGTGGTGGCGGGTGCCTGTAATCCCAGCTACTTGGGAGGCTGAGGCAGGAGAAGCTTGAACTCGGGAGGTGGTGGTTGCAGTGAGCCGAGATCACGCCACTGCACTCCAGCCTGGGCGACAAGAGTGAGACTCCATCTCAAAAAAAAAGAAACTGAAAAACTCAGATAAGATCAAGTTTGCACCTGTAAGTTGTGGATAGGATCCAATGTATCTTGGATAATTGTGCAGCCTCCACCTCCTGAAACCCTTTCTGGGTGTCCATCTGGTTTTTTTGGACATGGTCCCCCAGATACATTTGCTAAGTTACAACTATATCTTAACAAATATTTATAGGGACCTATGGGGGCTGGGAATAATAAAAAGGGTCTAATAGGTTGGGCAACCCCATCTCTACATCTCTACAAAAAATTAAAACATTAGCTGGATATGGTGGTGCCCACCTGTACTCCCAGCTACCTGGGAAGGAATTTTTAAAATTTTATTTAAAAAAAGGAAAGAAAAAAGAACCCATGATGATCAAAAGATTAGAAGCTACCAGTTTAGCTGGTACATCTTCTTCAGACTTTAGTGGTTTTGTCATTTGGATTGAACGCAGTTCCCACTGAAACTTATTTGGCCACTATCTGAAGTTGAAATATCACACAGTGACAATTGTTTGAAAATTTCAGCTCCCCTTCTCCTGCCTCCTCTTCATCTCTAAGTATTTTCACTCCCATCTACTCATGGCAGTATCTGGCCACTGCCCATTCTCAGACCAGAAAGGGATCAGGAAAAGGCCAGTGTGTGGGGTGAGGCTGACTTCCAACAGTTGAGCTAGTACAGAGCCACTGAGCATTTCCCTCCCTAGGGCTCACTCTTCCTCAAAACTGCTAGTGTCTTGCAGATCCTCTCTCAAAACAAAAGAGGAAGTCAGAGGTGGAGCAGGGAGTGGTTTGAACTACTGGTTTTACTGGAAAAGGATTCCTGTTCCAAACCTCAAGAGCAAGTTCTTCGATCTTGAGCAGGAAAGAATTAAGGACAGGGCGCAGAGTACAGTATAGTTAAAACAGTTCATTAGAAACTACTCTATTACAGAGTAGGGCATCCTCAGAGAGCAAGAGGAGGAATGCCCCTACTTTAAATGTAATGCTTGCTTATACAGGATATTAAGGTTAAGAATAGTTTACTTTGGGAGTCCGAGGTGGGTGGATCACGAGGTCAGGAGATCAAGACCATCCTGGCTAACACGGTGAAACCCCATCTCCACTAAAAATACAAAAAATTAGCCGGGCATGGTGGTGGGCACCTGTAGTCCCAGCTACTCGGGAGGCTAAGGCAGGAGAATGGCATGAATCCGGGTGGCGGAGCTTGCAGTGAACCGAGATTGCGCCACTGCACTTCAGTCTGGGCAACAGAGCCAGACTCCATCTCAAAAAAAAAAAAAAAAAAAAAAAAAAGAATAGTTTACTTTATTATAAAGGCTTGTGATCAAGTTGTGACAGGCTATTAGTATTGTTATTCTCCGGTGTAACTATTGATTTCAGCAATAATTTATGAGTGTAGTATTATCTTTAAAGTGAAACCCATGTTTATTTTTATGTGTTTATTTGCTTACACCTTCACCACCACAAGAAACCCTCCCACCCACCTTTTTTTTTAAGACAGAATTTCACTCTTGTCGCCCAGGCTGGAGTGCAGTGGTGCGATCTTGGCTCACTGTAGCCTCCACCTCCTTGACTCGATCCTCTTTGATCCTCTGGATTCTCTCACCTCAGTCTCCATGCCCAGCTAATTTTTATTTTTATTTTTTTATAGAGATAGGATTCTACCATGTTGCCTGTCACGTGTGTCCGTGTGAAGAGACCACCAACGGGCTTTGTGTGAGCAATAAAGCTTTTTAATTACCTGGGTGCAGGCGGACTGAGTCCAAAAAAGGAGTCAGCAAAGGGAGATGGGGTGGGGCTGTTTTATAGGATTTGGGTAGGTAGTGGAAAATTACAGTCAAAGGGGATTGTTCTCTGGCGGGCAGGGGTGGGGGTCACAAGGTGCTCAGTAGGGGAGCTTCTGAGCCAGGAGAAGGAATTTCACAAGGTAATGTCATCAGTTAAGGAAGGAATCGACTGTTTTCACTTCTTTTGTGATTCTTCAGTTGCTTCAGGCCATCCGGATACTTACACGTGCAAGCTTGGGCTCAGACGCCTGACATTGCCCATGGCTGGTTTGAACTCCTGAGATCAAGCAATCTAACTGCCTTGGCCTCCTGAAGTGCTGGGATTACAGGTGTGAGCCACCATGCCATCCAAGAAACCCATTTTTAAACTAAGAATGCCTTTTTCCATCAACTCATTTCCTCAACCATAAACATTTTGTGATTAACAGTGCCCAATTTCCTGGGAAAGTAACCCAGCAGGTTTGGCTTCATCTGGCCTTTATTCAAGATGAGTCACTCTGATTGGGACACCTCGAATACTGGTGCAAATACCCAAAATGAAACAAAACTGCCTGAACTTACTCATTACCCCCTTCCTTACAAAGCCAGCAGACTTCCTTTTTGTAATTTCCTTCCCCTTCAAGTTTCCTTTCCTTTCCTGTTCTTTCTTTTTTTTCATTCCTTTTTCCTTTCCTTTCTCCTTTCCTCTTTCCTGTCCTTTCCCCTTTCCTTTCTTTTTCTTTTCTTCTTTTCTTTTCTTTCCTTTCTCCCTTCCCTTCCTTCCCCTCCGCTCCCCTCCCCGCTTCTCCCTTTTCCCTCCCTTCCCCTCCCTTTCCCTTGCCCTTTCCTCCCCTCCTCTTCCTTCCTCTCCCTGCTCTCCCCTCCCTTCCTTTCCCTTCCTTTTCCTTTCCTTTACCTTTCCCTTCCTTTTCCTTTCCTTTCTTCTCCTTTCCATTATGGAAATTTTTAAACATGCACTGAAATTAGAAAGAAGCATATGATTTAATCCCCAAGTGCCCATTACATGCAGCTTCAACAGTAATCAACATTTTGCTCATCTTGTTTCATCTCTTCTCCTTATTTTGTTATTTTTACTTATTTGTTTATTGCTGCAGTATTTTAAAGTTAATTGTGAGTTTATTTTTAATGGAGTCTCTGTCTCCCCATGGTACAACTTGAGGCTGGGCAGAGGAAACCAAGCTTGATGAGTTCAGTGCCTCTGCCTGCCTCCCTGGCTCTCCATTGCCGCCTCACAGTTGGAATCAGGTGCGAAAGCTATTTCACAACCTGATATTTATTCTTCTCATAAATGTTGTTGACTACCTTCATTGTTCCACACACTTTGCTTGGCACTGAGGACAAGAAGAGAGATGGCATAGGAAGCTCTCAGCTCAGTGTGCTGGAAGATAAGTAAAAGGGCAATCCTGACGGTTTGGCCTGATTATTTCCACAGGTGGAAGAGTTTTATTTACCATATAGGCCTTCTTAAGTTTGCTTCGTAAATCTAGAGCCATATACTATTCACAAGGCCACAGAATGAACTTCTTTCTAGAAGTTTCCTTAAGAAATCTCAGACTGACTTTTAAAAGCCTCTATTATTTGCTGTTGTGAGGTTAGAAAAACCAAGCTCAAGAATCTCTTTCCACTAGATTTTTACCCACAGTACCTATACATTTGGATGAATTTCTTTCTTCTCAAGTTTCTCATATTTTCTTGAAGTTTCTTACCTGCCAAGAAGGTAAGGAACCAAGAACTAGGAAGTGACCTTCCTCACCTCCTGCAAGACTGGGACTCTGTAAGCCAGATCCCAGGTGGGTTTTTCTGAGAGGATTTTGTAGGCATTGGCTCATCAAAGCTGATTAAAGGAGCACCATTCTCAAAAGTGACATTCTGGCCCACACCTTGGTTGTGTAACTGTTTTTCTGTTATATCCTGGCAAAAAAGAGAAAAGATTCTTGCTGAACCTATTCAGATAACTATACTGTTATAAAAAGTAAGAAAGGAGGTAAGAGTTTCTGAATTCTTAGTTGGAGTATGTGGGTCAGTAAGAATCAGATATCATTTAAAAATGTTTATTTTTGATAAATATTTTAATTTTCAAAAGCTCCTAACTTATGAATTAGAGAGATTTTAAGAAGAAAGGAAAAAACCTTGTTTATATGTTCAGAATAGAACATTAAAACAACATCAACATTAAAGCAGAACTTTAAAACAATATTCCAAACAAATAACTACAACGTTTCTTTATAAGTTCATTCAGCTTTACATAATTAATTCTTATTCTGTTGAAACTTGAGTTAACTGTCATGAAGAGGTTTTTTTTTTAAATAAAAAAACTAAAATGAGTTTTGGAAATCTGGAGTCAGTCTACAGGTTTGATATAAAAAAAATTTTTTTTTTTTTTGAGATGGAGACTGGCTTTGTCACCTAGGCTTGACTGCAGTGGTGCGATCTCTATTCTCTGCAACCTCCACCTCCCAAGTTCAAGTGATTCTCCTGCCTCAGCCTCCCAAGTAGCTGGGATTACAGGCCCCCCGCCACCACTCCCGGCTAATTTTTTTTGTATTTTTAGTATAGACAGGGCTTTGTCATGTTGGCCAGGCTGATCTCAAACTCCTGATCTCAGGTGATCCACCCGCCTTGGCCTCCCAGAGTGCTGGGATTACAGGCGTGAGCCACTGCACCCAGCCTGATCTAAAAATTGTCTAAATGATGTTACATCAAAAGCCTATATCCAAGTATATGCTTTGAAGTATTAATAGTTTGAAATATCTGGTACAATCGTTTTTCATGAGGCTTTGAGACTGTCCTTCTTTATTGAAGACACAAATTGTGGCCTGTAATTTATAGCAGAGTCTTTAGGCAAACATTAGAGTAGAGCAAAAACTATCTGTAGGTGACAGAGCTTTAAAATGACTGTGGTTAGTTTATTACCAATAATTTTCAAATGTGAAAGGTTATGCAGGCTCATGATAAGAATAATGCAACTTACAGGCCGGGCGCGGTGGCTCACGCCTGTAATCCCAGCACTTTGGGAAGCCGAGGCGGGCGGATCACGAGGTCAGGAGATCAAGACCATCCTGGCTAACATGGTGAAACCCTGTCTCTACTAAAAATACAAAAAAATTAGCCGGGCATGGTAGCGGGTGCCTGTAGTCCCAGTTACTCGGGAGGCTGAGGCAGGAGAATGGGGTGAACCCAGGGGGCGGAGCCTGCAGTGAGCCGAGATCGCACCACTGCAATCCAGCCTGGGCGACAGCGAGACTCCGTCTCAAAAAAAAAAAAAAAAAAAAAAAAAAAGCAACTTACAAAGAAATTTGGTTATTTCTTCAACATATACAACCAGATAATAAAGTCATCTCCAATAATTTTTAGATGAAATATCTCTAAAGATAATGATTAAGCCTATTTCAAAGAAGAGAGTGAATATTACTTACACTGATAAAAATGTTTGAATTTTTTTTTTCTTTTGAGACATTCTGTTGCCCAGGCCGGAGTACAGCAGTGTGATATCGGCTCACTGCAGCCTCAACACTCTGGGCTCAGGTGATCTTCCCACCTCAGCCTCCAAAGTAGCTGGGACTACAGGCACGCACCACCACACCCAGCTAGTTTTTGTATTTTTAGTAGAAACAGGGCCTTTCCATGTTGCCTAGGCTGGTCTCAAACTCCTGTGCTCAAGTGATCCACCTGCCTCAGCTTCCCAAAGTGCTGGGATTACAGGCTGAATGAGCCACTGCACCCGGCCTGAGCATGATTTTTATCGAGGATGACACCCAGAATATCAGAGAGCTGGCATCTTTTCTAGCAGAGGTATAGGCTGTAAAAAAACAAAGAACTTCTTGGCAGGAGTGATTCATAAATTAGATGTGATTTTGGGGAGCTCCTTTTGTAGACTGTTGGTTCTGGAAGTTTCTGTTGCACCAGAGTGGTTGTGGTTTGTTTAACGGTTCATATGTTATTAGCAAAACTCTTCCAAGATTGCAGAAGCTGCCCAAATCACTCAGTTAGAAAGAACAAGACATAATGTGGTAACTCCCCCAGAGATCAATCCATGGACTGAACCCATGGCTATGCAGGGCCTGAACAGGTAGAAATCTAGATCAGAGAACTACAATGATTAGAGAGGGGGAACAAGGATCATAAGAATAAAGTAGCAGGCAGACTAAGAAGGGTTGGGTTCTATAGATTGTGAGCAGGTTTGTGTAGTTCATTTTACAAATGTGAATTGTGATTCTTAATAATAACTAAAAATACCTATCTTATATATTCAAGATTGTTTTCGGAATCACTGGTAACCAATTGTTCTCTAGGTCCATGAGGAAATGATTTCACCTGGAACACATTATCAGGGTCTAGGCAGATGCTAAAAAAGAAAAAACAATGGGTGGAAGTCAGCAGATCGGGGCCTCATTCCTGTTCTGCCACTCGCCACCTATGTGGCCTCAGGCGAGTCACTTAACAGCTTGAGGCCTCAGTTTTATTGTAAAACCAAAGAAGTAATTTGAGACCTTCTTACTTGGTGGGGAAGTTGTGAGGATCACATGAGGTTACTTATGTGAAAATGAACTAAAATGTAGCACCATCTGTTTAGGTCCCCAGAAAGCCCAAACAGCACTTTTATATGAATGAGAAGAAAGGCTCTTCCTCCTGGTGAAGTCAACTCAGCGCTAGTTTGTACAGTTTGTTTACAGAGTATAGGTTAGGTTTTCATTTCTATTTACCCCCTTTGCTGGCTACCCTTAAGCAAACCATAATCTTCAGAAATGTTTCTGTAAGAAGAATTATACTACATAATATCATAAGAAAGCCTTTTCTAGGAAGATGTTTAATAGGCTAGGTCCCTCTGTGTTTGGTGGGTAGACTGACGCTATGATCTGCACACAATTGAGCACTCTGGGATCCTGATGGAAGACCGTGCTTAGATATTGGGTCATCTCAAATAACATGGCAGTTTCTGAAAAAGTGCCCCCTCTCCCACCACAGACTTTGTTTATCTGGTGGGCATGTGAACGACAAAAACCGTAGGAAAAAAGATAATGGCTTCTTTGGGACCCACAAGAAAAGCATTGTTCAGTATTCCTTCCCTTCTGCTGTTCCCATGTCTCGCATCCCAAGAGAGACCTCATACCTGGAAAGCCTCCATCCCACAGCTGAGCTGGATTCTTATATCCAGTCAACTGGAGCAGCTGCAATTGCAGAATTAAGGAAAAACTCATGTGTGCACAGTGTAGCGAGACACTAACCATTACTGATTGTTTCAAACCGCTGGTTCTCAACCACGTCACCAGATCCAACCTTTCATAGCAAACATGTTGTTTCCCTTTTACTATCCTGAAGTGTAATTCATAGATAACATAACACATTTACACACATAAACCTAGGTGATCTATTCTCAGTCTTAGCACTCAAACTATTGCTCTAACAAATATTTTCTTTCACTCCTGCATTACGCTTTTCCTCTCTACTGTGTCTTTACTATCAACAAACAAGCTATTATTTCCCCCATCTTAAAAACAAACAAAACAAAGTTAAAAAAGAATCTCTGGACACTGTCATCCAGTCTCATGTCTTTAGATACATAACCATATGCCTTTATGTCTCTTTATGTCTCAAATTTATATTTCCAGACTAGACTCTTCAGAACTCCAGATTGCTGTATCCACTATGTCCAACTACCACTTGACATTTCAGCTTGCAGGTTTTTTTCTTTTCTTTTCTTTTCTTTTTGAGATGGAGTGGAGTTTTGCTTTTCTTGCCCAGGCTGGAGTGCAATGGTACGGTCTCGGCTCACTGCAACCTCCATCTCCCGGGTTCAAGCGATTCTCCTGTCTCAGCCTCCAAGTAGCTGGGATTACAGGTGCCCTCCACCAAGCCAGCTAATTTTTGTATTTTTAGTAGAGACGGGGTTTCACCATGTTGGCCAGGCAGGTCTTGAACTCCTGATCTCAGGTGATCTGCCTGCCTTGGCCTCCCAAAGTGTTGGGATTACAGGCCTGAGCCACCATGCCCGGCCAACTTGTAGTTTCTATAGACATGTTAAACTTAACGTCAACATGGGGTTGAGTTGGGTGGAGGAAGATTGCAAAGATACACACCAACGTGTAAATAACAGTAGGATGAGGGTCTTGTGTGTGTATTTGTGTGTTTCTATATACTATTACATAAAACTTCTATAATGAGCATTAACATTTTGAAAAACTTTTTATTTTGAAATAATTATAGATTCACAGAAAGTTGCAAAGATGGTACAGAGAGTCCCCATGTACCTGTCAACAGTTTTCCCCAGTGGTTATATCTCACTTAAAGAGTACAATATCAAAACCAGGAAATAAACATTAGTGTGGTGTGTGTGTGTGTGTGTGTGTGTGTGTGTGTAGTTACAAGTCATTTTATTGTGTGTTTATTCCTGTAACCACCACTGCAATCAAGATACAGAACTATTCCATCACCACAAGGATCTCCCTGGTGATACCTCTTTGTAGTCACGCGTATATCCCTATCCCCATGATCCTTGACCCTGCAACTATGAATCTGTTCTCCATGTTATGTAAATGGAATCATACAGTACATGGCTGCTTGATGATACATTTTTTTCATTTAGCATAATGCCCTTGAGATGTATCTAATTTATTGTGTGTATCAATAGTTCATTCCTTTTTACTGCTGAGTCATATTCCATGGTACATGTACCATGGTTTGCTTAATGCATCACCCATTGAAGAACATTTGGATGGTTTCCAGGTTTTGAATATTATGAAGAAAACTGCTATTTTATTTCTGTACAGGTTTTTATGTGAACATATGTTTTCATTTCTCTGGGTTAAATGCCAAGGAGTGCAATTGCTGGGTTGTATGGTAAGCATACACAGTTAGACAGAAGGAATAAGTTACAGTGTTCAATAGCACAGCAGGATGACCATAGTTATCAATAATTTATTGTATATTTCAAAATGATTAGAAGATTTGGAATGTTCTCAACACAAAGACATGATAAATGCTTGAGGTAATGGATATCCCAATTACTCTGACTTGATTATCGAACATTGTATGAATGTATCAAAACCCCACAAATATGTACAACTATTATGTATCAGTAAAAAAAGGAATCTGACAAACTGTTTTACAGAGTGGCCATAACATTTATATTTTCACCATTAATGTATGCGTGTACCCAGTTTCTCTGCCTCCTTGCCGGCAGTTGGTATTTGCGCTATTTATTCTTTTAGCCATTCTGATGGATGTGCAGTGACATCTTGTCACTCCAGATCTCTGAAGTTCTGTCTGCAATTCTGTCCTCTCTGGTACTGTGCTCTGTGAACTCCAGTTGCCTTGGCTTCCTTGGACCCCCAGTTTTATCTCCTCAGCTCAGGAAGACTGGCGGACTCTGCCTGGGTCTCCCTCTCTGTGCCACAGCCTGAAAACTCTTTCTAGGAAATAAGCTGGGAGAATTGTAGGGTTCAGTTTTAACATCAATCTTTTCTACCCCTATCTCTTTACACCTATCTATCTGTCTGTCTATCTATCTACCTATCATTTATCCACCATCTATTTATTTATCATAAATTTTTCTTAACTACAAGCCAAGGGTTTTAGTATCAGAACTGCTATTAGTTATCTGTAGCATTTGGGACATTAACTTACTTGAGCCACTTCTTTGTTGGTGAAATGAGGGTCATCTTATATCAGCCTTCTCATAATTCCTTCTGAGAGATTCCAGGATACTGGTTGACTCTTCTAGAAGATACAGTGAGCAGTGTTGGTAGCTACGGTCCTTAGTATGTGCTATTTCTAAACAGGAAAATGATATTGATTGGGTGGGTAATGAGCATGTGTTGGTAATTGCTATGTAAGAGCAATAACAACAACAACTAATACATTTAGCCTTTTACATGCAGTGTCTTATATAATATTTACAACAGCCCTGTAAAGTAAGTGCTACTATTATCCAAATTTATTCATTTTTTATTTAAAAAATTTTTTTAGTATTATAAACCACTTTATGTCCAAGAACGATTCAAATTTAGAAGACGAGAAAACTGTAGCCTAGAAAAAGAAATAAAAATGAAAATTAAAAACCTGTCCAGTCTAAAGGTTATACTTACACAGACTTAGGTTCTTTCTTTGTATTTAATTAAAGGTTAATTTCAAATGATCTCTAGTAGTAACAAAACTCTTTAGTTATAAAGAAGCAGGTGATGCATGGTTGTTGAATACATTACCCCTGCTGACCTTAGACTGCTGCTGGGCTCAGCAGATAATTCTTGATTTTCTCTTCACATTGCAAATAGACCTCACCAGAATAAATGGGCAGAATAGACACCAAAGAGGGATAGCGCAAGCAAATGTGAGGGTGAAATGCAGTCAGTGCCTTGCAAAAGGAAGTGCTCAATACTGGTAGTCGGTGTCATTGCTCTTACTGCAAATTATAAACACCAGCACTGCAAAAGTCAGCCCAGTAGACTTTGTAAATCACAGAAGTGGCTCCTAGACCACCATTTGAAAAATTCTGCCTGAAGGACTAAGGAAAACATCTTCTTTTATTTTTATTTTATTTTTTTATACCACAGTTTAGGAAAACATCTTCTTAAAAGATCGTGTTTATGTCTACAGATGATTTTTATAGTGCCTTAACAGTCTCCAGAGTGGTTTTAAAAATATTATCTCAGAATGTCAATTTCAGCTAAAGAAGTGAACCTTAGGATCAACATTGTAACCCTCCTGGTTTTATTCACCCAGAGTATAGGGACTGATAATGATAATGCTGCTTTGGATAGTCTCCTATCTAGGGCTAAATGATCAGATTTGCAAAATCCAGATATTCTTATGGGAATGTGGTTATTGGCTAGGGGAATGGAAAGAGGGAGTAGAGAGTGGAAAACTGGATAAAGTTATAGGTAAAGATATGTGAAAACTCATGATTGTCTCAAATACTCTAAATCTTGTCATAATACACTTGTAAAGTAATAATCATGTTGGAGAGATGGCCAAATAAAGGCCAAAGATCTTGACACTGCAGAAATTATAGGAGAGGATTAAAGGAAGTACATGTGGCAGATATAAGAAAAGACTAAACTTGAGATTCATGCACAAGGTCAGGCTGCATAAACCACAGGATAGCGGGTGTAACTCAGGAGCAGAACAATTGATCCATGAAACAAAACTGTCTGCAGTTTCCCAGGCTGGAGAGATTTCCCGTCTTGGATGTCTGGATCTGTCTCAGTGCCCAGATAGCCTCACTTCAAAGTGTTTGTGGGAACAGAAAGAATTGGCTGAGTGTGTTTGTTCAGTGCTAGGCGGAGGAAGTGAAACGGGGAGTGGGTTTAGGAAGTAAGTGTGTGTTTAAGAGCACGTGGACCACCAGAAGATAACCATTTTTCTTCAGACTAGCAGCCAGGGCACTGCTCACGAAGAAGGAAACCCTGGGAGGGAAGAACTTGGGGAACGAGAGGACACAAGAATCTCTGCAGCTGCTTATGCATGTACGTAAGTCACAGAGGTGTTGGGTGCCTCAAGGAACAACATGGAAGTCCTCTCTCTTTTTTAAAATAAATAATTTTTTAATAAATTTTCGAGCACTTTGGGAGGCCGAGGCGGGCGGGTCACGAGGTCGGGAGATCGAGACCATTCTGGCTAACACGGTGAAACCCCGTCTCTACTAAAAAATACAAAAAATTAGCCGGGCGCGGTGGCGGGCGCCTGTAGTCCCAGCTACTTGGGAGGCTGAGGCAGGAGAATGGCGTGAACCTGGGAGGCGGAGCTTGCAGTGAGCCGAGATCGCGCCACCGCACTCCAGCCTGGGCGACAGAGAGAGACTCCGTCTCAAAAAAAAAAAAAAAAAAAGGAATCTGTCATTACAACCTTCTCTCACAAAGAACTCCAGGCGCAGACAGCATCACCACAGCATTCTACCAACCATTTACAGGGAAAGTAATGCACGTCCACAAAACTCTTCCAGAAAGACAAGGGAGCACTCACCAGCTCCTGAGGCCAACGTAGCCTCAGTCCCTAACCCAGCAAGGACAGCAGCGGAGAGGAGCTCACAGGCCAGCCCCCGCCACACGTACACACCACTGCGAGGCTCCAAAGCTCAAGCAGCGTGTATCCAGCGAATACAACAAGAATAATGAAAAAGCGTTATCTGATCAATTGCTAGAGGAGCAGAAGTAACTCTGGCAAACCTCACTGAATGTGAATCCTGAAAGTGCCTTGATCTGCGGTTCTACAAGTTATGGTGCTGGAGGTCTCAGCCAATGCTGTAGGGTAGGACAAAGAAAGAGCTCCAGTGCCAGACAAGAAAAAGTAAAACTCTGATTGATTCACCCATGAAACAGTGTCTGTGTTTAGAAACCCCAAAAGAATATATAGACAAATCATAAGGATGAAAAAGTGAGTTTGCTCCCTCTCCCTCTCCCTCTCCCTCTCCCTCTCCCTCTCCCTCTCCCTCTCCCTCTCCCTCTCCCTCCACGGTCTCCTTCCACGGTCTCCCTCTGATGCCGAGCCAAAGCTGGACGGTACTGCTGCCATCTCGGCTCACTGCAACCTCCCTGCCTGATTCTCCTGCCTCAGCCTGCCGAGGGCCTGCGATTGCAGGCGCGCGCCACCACGCCTGACTGGTTTTCGTACTTTTTTGGTGGAGACGGGGTTTCACTGTGTTGGCCGGGCTGGTCTCCAGCTCCTAACCGCGAGTGATCCGCCAGCCTTGGCCTCCCAAGGTGCCGGGATTGCAGACGGAGTCTGGTTCACTCAGTGCTCAATGGTGCCCAGGCTGGAGTGCAGTGGCGTGATCTCAGCTCGCTACAACCTCCATCTCCCAGCCGCCTGCCTTGGCCTCCCAAAGTGCCGAGATTGCAGCCTCTGCCTGGCCGCCACCCCGTCTGGGAAGTGAGGAGCGTCTCTGCCTGGCCGCCCATCGTCTGGGATACGAGGAGCCTCTCTGCCTGGCTGCCCAGTCTGGAAAGTGAGGAGCGTCTCTGCCCGGCCGCCATCCCATCTAGGAAGCGAGGAGCGCCTCTTCCCCGCCGCCATCCCATCTAGGAAGTGAGGAGCGTCTCTGCCCGGCCGCCCATCGTCTGAGATGTGGGGAGCACCTCTGCCCCGCCGCCCTGTCTGGGATGTGAGGAGCGCCTCTGCTGGGCCGCAACCCTGTCTGGGAGGTGAGGAGCGTCTCTGCCCGGCCGCCCCGTCTGAGAAGTGAGGAAACCCTCTGCCTGGCAACCGCCCCGTCTGAGAAGTGAGGAGCCCCTCCGTCCGGCAGCCACCCCGTCTGGGAAGTGAGGAGCGTCTCCGCCCGGCAGCCACCCCGTCCGGGAGGGAGGTGGGGGGGGGTCAGCCCCCCGCCCGGCCAGCCGCCCCGTCCGGGAGGTGAGGGGCTCCTCTGCCCGGCCGCCCCTACTGGGAAGTGAGGAGCCCATCTGCCCGGCCAGCCGCCCCGTCCGGGAGGGAGGTGGGGGGGGTCAGCCCCCCGCCCGGCCAGCCGCCCAGTCCGGGAGGTGAGGGGCGCCTCTGCCCGGCCGCCCCTACTGGGAAGTGAGGAGCCCCTCTGCCCGGCCAGCCGTCCCGTCCGGGAGGGGGGAGGGGGGGTCAGCCCCCTGCCCGGCCAGCCGCCCCGTCCGGGAGGGAGGTGGTGGGGGTCAGCCCCCCGCCCGGCCAGCCGCCCTATCCAGGAGGTGAGGGGCGCCTCTGCCCGGCCGCCCCTACTGGGAAGTGAGGAGCCCCTCTGCCCGGCCAGCCGCCCAGTCCGGGAGGGAGGTGGGGGGATCAGCCCCCCGCCTGGCCAGCCGCCCAGTCCAGGAGGGAGGTGGGGGGTCAGCCCCCCGCCCGGCCAGCCGCCCCGTCCGGGAGGGAGGTGGGGGGGTCAGCCCCCCGCCCGGCCAGCCGCCCCGTCCGGGAGGGAGGTGGGGGGGGTCAGCCCCCCGCCCGGCCAGCCGCCCCGTCCGGGAGGGAGGTGGGGGGATCAGCCCCCCGCCTGGCCAGCCGCCCCGTCCGGGAGGTGAGGGGCGCCTCTGCCCGGCCGCCCCTACTGGGAAGTGAGGAGCCCCTCTGCCTGGCCAGCCGCCCCGTCCGGGAGGGGGGAGGGGGGGTCAGCCCCCCGCCCGGCCAGCCGCCCCGTCCGGGAGGGAGGTGGTGGGGGTCAGCCCCCCGCCCGGCCAGCCGCCCTGTCCGGGAGGTGAGGGGCGCCTCTGCCCGGCCGCCCCTACTGGGAAGTGAGGAGCCCCTCTGCCCGGCCAGGACCCCGTCTGGGAGGTGTGCCCAGCGGCTCATTGGGGATGGGCCATGATGACAATGGCGGTTTTGTGGAATAGAAAGGCGGGAAGGGTGGGGAAAAAATTGAGAAATCGGATGGTTGCCGGGTCTGTGTGGATAGAAGTAGACATGGGAGACTTTTCATTTTGTTCTGTACTAAGAAAAATTCTTCTGCCTTGGGATCCTGTTGATCTGTGACCTTATCCCCAACCCTGTGCTCTCTGAAACATGTGCTGTGTCCACTCAGGGTTAAATGGATTAAGGGCGGTGCAAGATGTGCTTTGTTAAACAGATGCTTGAAGGCAGCATGCTCGTTAAGAGTCATCACCACTCCCTAATCTTAAGTACCCAGGGACACAAACACTGCGGAAGGCTGCAGGGTCCTCTGCCTAGGAAAACCAGAGACCTTTGTTCACTTGTTTATCTGCTGACCTTCCCTCCACTATTGTCCTATGACCCTGCCAAATCCCCCTCTGCGAGAAACACCCAAGAATGATCAATTAAAAAAATAAATAAATAAATAAATAAAATTTTCAACTTTACAAACAAATGTGATAATAATTCATGGAACTCATGAATATTCTTTATCCAGGTACATTATTTTTTTAAACTTCCCTTATTTATTTATTTATTTATTTATTTATTTATTTATTTAGAGATAGATTCTCACTCCGGTTGCCCAGGCTGGGGTGTAGCAGTTGGATCATGGCTCACTGCAGCCTCAACTTCCTGGGCTCCAACCATCCTCCCACCTCAGCCTGCCTGGTAGCTGGAACTGAAGACACACGCCACCAAGCCAGGCTAATTTTTTCATATTTTTTGTAGAGATGGGGTTTCACCATGTTGCCCAGGCTGGTCTCAAACTCCGGGACTCAAGTGATCCACCTGCCTCGGTCTCCCAAAGCACTGGAATTGCAGGCATGAGCCACTGCGCCCAGGCCCCCTATTTATTTTTTATCATTTTCTCTCTCTCTCTGTAAACACACACATGTATACATATCCATATATCTATATTCCGAAGCATTTGAGAGTATATTGCATATGTTGTGCTCTTTTCCTGCTTAATATTTCAGTGTGCATCTCCTAAGAAGAAGGATATTTTCTTAAACAATCAGGGTACAGTTTTACATTCAGTATATCAAATACATATATACAGTGATTCTCCCTACCCAAAGTTTCAGTTACCCATGGTCAACGACGGTCTGAAACTATTAAATGGCAAATTCCAGAAATAAACAATTCATAATTTAATGTTGCATGCTGTTCTGAGTAATGTGATGAAATCTCTCACCGTCTCACTCCATCCTGCCTGGGATGTGAACCATCCCTTTGTCCAGCGTGTCCATGTTGTAGACACCACCCACCCATTAGCTACTTAGTGGCCAATATCAGATGCACCGTCACAGTATCTCAGCGCCTGTGTTCACATAACCCTTATTTTACCTAGTAATAGCCGCAAAGTGCAAGAATGATGATGCTGGCAATTCAGACACGTCAAAAAGAACCCGTAAAGTGCTCCGTTTGAGTGAAAAGGTGAAAGTGTCTCAACTTAATAAGGAAAGGGGGGAAAAACATGCTGCAATTGGTAAAATCTACAGTAAGAAAGAATCTTTTATCTGCAAATTTTGAACAGTATATTGTTATAATTATTCTATTTTATTAGTTGTTGTTAATATATATTACTAATTTATAAATTAAACTTATGTAGATATGTATGTATAGGAAGAGAACAGTACATATAGGGCCTTAGACATTCACTGGGGTCTTGGAACATATTCCCTGTGGATAAGGGGGACTGCCATAATACTCTTATCTACTACAGAGATCATACTTTTATCAATTGCCTCAATAATGTTCTTCATAGCAATTTTTTTTTTTTCTGGCAGGGAATGTGTCTCTTTGTTAAGGGGATGAGACTGGCCTAGCAAGACAAAGATGCATGCTCAGCTCTCCTTAGGATCTTCTTTTTTTGAGACAGAATCTCACTCCGTCACACAGGCTGTAGTGCAGTGGCACCATCTTGGCCTTCTCACGGGTTCAAGCAATTCTCGTGTCTCAGCTTCCCCAGTGGCTGGGACTACTGGTGCGTGGCACCATGCCGGCTAATTTTTGTATTTTTAGTAGAGATGGGGTTTCACCATGTTGGCCAGGCTGATCTTGAACTCCTACCTCAGGTGATCCACCTGCCTTGGCCTCCCAAAGTGCTGGGATTATAGGCAGAAGCCACCAAGCCTGGCCTCCTTAGAATCTTTATGAGTAGGGGAACCCCCAGCAGGTCAATTGTTTGATTTTCTTTGGTTTCATTCTTATTCCATTTCTTCCCTGAGAGTATAAACCTAATCAGCAAGACTACTCAGATGTTAAGAGATCTTTAATAGTAGAAGGAATCTGGCTTAACAAGATGTAGCTTTAGCAGGGGCCTGAGATGTAAAGTTGGACATCTTCCCTCCAGCCTCAGCTTAGGAGTAAGAATGGACTGTGGTACTTTTTCTATTCCTTTTTATCTTTTGTGGGGAAGGTGGGTAACAAGAAGAGTAATAGATATTTGAATAAGCAAAAGCAAATTTGGGTTAAAAATAAAGAGATGGTCTTCTGTGGTAAATCTAGTCCTATATTGACAATAAGGCTTTCTACAAGAATTTCCCTAAAGGAGAGTGTGACACTGTACACGCTTGTCTTCTCAATCATTCTCTGGTTATTTGGCACAAATTTCTGTTTAAGAATCAATTGATGTCAGGGGCATGGTGGCTCACACTTGTAATCCCAGCACTTTGGCCAAAGTGGGATGATTAATTGACCGCAGGAGTTTGAGACCAGCCTGGGCAACATAGCGAGACTCGTCTCAAAAAAAAAAAAAAAAAGAGCTGGGCATGGTAGTGTGTGCCTGTGATCCCAGCTACTTGGGAGGCTGAAGCAGAAGGATCACTTGACCCTGGGAGATTGAGGCTTCAGTGAGCTATGATGGTGCCACTGTACTCCAATCTGGGTGACAGAGCAAGATCCTGTCTCAAAAGGAAAAAAAAAAAAAAAAGAATCAATTGATGTCAACTTTCCTCACTGATTTCCCATATGTAAATTACCTCAGAACTGCTTCCCTTGGTCATCTCCCTACTCTTCAAGAGAAGAAACATGAGGAAACTTCCACATTTTATTACACAGCAACAGGGAATGTGGTAGGGAGGAACAAGAGAAATGGGAATGGAAAGAGAAATCGCTGCCTTGAAGAGGGTAGAGTAATGTGCAGAAGACACAGGAGACCCCAGATACAATGCTGTAGGGCTTAGTGAGATTACAGTCTCTACTAGAGCCAATTTTGATCTCAAAGTCACGTTCTTCCATTTCCCGCTTCCTCTCCAGGCAAAATGAAGCTGAATCTGGTGCAGATCTTTTTCATGTTGCTGATGCTGCTGCTGGGCCTGGGGATGGGCCTGGGGTTGGGACTTCATATGGCTACAGCAGTCTTGGAGGAGAGTGATCAACCGCTCAATGAATTTTGGTCCAGTGACTCACAGGACAAAGCTGAGGCCACTGAGGAGGGAGACGGCACCCAAACCACAGAAACGCTGGTGCTTAGCAACAAAGAAGTGGTGCAACCTGGCTGGCCAGAAGATCCCATCCTCGGTGAAGATGAGGTTGGGGGTAACAAGATGCTCAGAGCCTCAGCTCTCTTTCAGAGCAACAAAGACTATCTTAGGCTTGACCAGACAGATAGAGAATGCAATGATATGATGGCACACAAGATGAAGGAGCCCAGTCAGAGTTGCATAGCCCAGTATGCATTCATCCATGAGGATCTAAACACAGTCAAAGCTGTCTGTAACAGTCCTGTCATTGCCTGTGAGCTCAAGGGGGGAAAATGTCACAAAAGCTCCCGACCTTTTGATTTGACATTGTGCGAGCTGTCCCAACCAGACCAGGTCACTCCTAACTGCAATTACCTAACTTCTGTTATAAAAAAGCACATTATTATAACCTGTAATGACATGAAGCGCCAGTTACCAACTGGACAATGAAGCAACTCATCATCTTTTTTCTCTTCACCTTCTCCTGTTCCTCTTCCTTTTTTACTTCTTCTTTCTCATATAGTTCTCCTGATCTTAGGTATCATGCAGATGGAATTCTTCCTTGCCCTATGGGTCACCCAACTTGCATTTTGTTCCTAGGATTAGAGATGGTAGGATAAGGTGATGATGCCTAGTTTCTCTAAGCTCTCTGCCTCTCCTTTCCCTTACCCTGGAAAGGAGTAAGTGAAGAGCTGCTGTAGTCCGTACTGTAGTCCTGGCCATCCATTTGTTTCCTGCTCTGCTCTGAGTTTGTCTCTGGATGTGGACTGGAAGAGTTTAGTGTATCCTTTACCCATGTTCTTCCCTGCTGCCCACCCTGAGCCTCTACAACAATCACATAAGACTCTTGGGTTTTGCACAACTGCACTTCTCTATTGCGGATGAAGTTAAAGTGATTCTATCTGTAATGGCTTCTGGAGGACCATGTGGAACAGGCTTCCTTTTCCGAGCTTGGAAAAATTTAGGGCCTAGGTATGGGGGTCTGCTGGGGAGGTGGTGTGGTGCTGTAGAGCAAGATAGAAGATGGGCTGGAGCAAGAATAGAACTCTTTTTTCTTGACCCTTCACTGCCCTTTTCTCTTTCTTCCCACCTTTTACTAGCAGCCTCCTTGCTTGGCTTCTTGTTTTCATCTCTTACCTTTGCTTTTGTCCTTTGCTTCTTTTTCTCCTTACTTTCTCTGTTCTCCTTTTCCTCTTCTTTTTCTTTTTGGGCCCGCTCTTCTCTTTATCTGGATCCTTTTAGAGATTCAGTCAGCCGATACTGATCACTTATGCTATGTTGGTCCTATAGTCAGTCATGCAAGCAGATGTTCGTCCTATAGTCAGAGTCTGGCACAGGGAGTTAGAGGGGGGTGGGTCAAGAGAATGAGAAAAAGAGAGAGGAAAAGAGAGAAAGAGAAAGAGAGAGTGAGAAATCTTTTTTGAATTATGTCCAGAAGCAGAATAGTGCTCATATGAGGTGCCCAGTAGATGTGGGATGAATGGGATGGGAGACAGTCTTTTTCTCATTTAGCATCGTTTCCGCTTTATTGCTCTAAAGAACAAGAAAGTTAGTGAAAGAATAATTTCAGCAGAGAAGGTATCAAACTTAATCAAGGAGAAGAGAAGCTGTGTGGCTGGATACACAGAAGATGCAAGTGGCTGCCCTCAGCCTATTTCCTCTAAATTCAAATGAGAAATAGTGTAGTTAGTCATGCATAGGGAGAAGAGGAATCTGAGAACATAGCTGTAAGGATTCACCGTGTGACTGAATTTTGAGATTTCCTTCCCCTAGAGTTTTTCTCTGCTTCACATTCCTAGACTATTATAGACCCAAGTCAGGGACATACATAAATGGGAGACTGAAGGGAAGAACGGTTTGCTTTACTCTGACCTGGCTTGCATTTTCCTGTTCTTTCTGTCTTTATTCTCTTTATCCTTCCTGTTTTCACAGACAGGCAACCACTTTAGTATCCTCCTAGACGTCCCTGATTCAATATATCCCTTATACCTCTGACTCACTTCCAGCAATAACCTCTTAGGAACAGTGTTGTCTCCCAGGGAATTCTAATAATAGTGGACAGGAGGTATGTCTCCATCTGTGGGCTGGCCTGATGTTTTAGAGGTGGTAATGAAGTGGTGAAAGGTGATGACCCAGCCAAGGCAGATTCCTATGCTTCCTGAGGGCGAATCCCTCTCCGGGGAAAGAGACAAAAGATTATCTAAGGTAAGGGGGAAAAAATGAGAAATAGGATGGGAAGAGGGGAAAGAAGAATAGGTGTCAGAGAAAATCGGCCACGTTAGCAATCTGTCTGGTAGGTAAACCAAGGATTTAGGAATGAAATGTGAAAGATCTCCATTGTATGGAGTGAATTATTAAGAGAATGGAATTAGCCAGGGATTAAAGCCTATATTCTCTAGTATTCAGATGTGGCTCCATCCTCTTCAGCTTCCGTCCAGCTTCTCTCCCTAAGCGTTCCGGCACTGTTTGATGGGCATACTCATCTCCTCCGGGTCTTCACTTTGGGCAAATCTCAGTGGGTCATGTTTTTCTTTTGTTTTGTTTTGTTTTGTTTTTGTTTTTTTTGTTTAATCTGACCACGTAGACTATCGCAGGAAAGCAATTTACAAAATACTCCACAGGCGCCTAGTGGCTCAAGCAGGAAAATATAGCTTCCATGGCTGATAACAGGGTGACAAGGCATTGTGGGGACCTCACCTCCCAGGGGCAGAAAATTAACTCACTGTAGCTCAAATTCTGCCTCATTCACAAGACTTTCACCGAGTCTTCTAATTCCAATGTAGCTTCCTCTCTACACTTCCAGGATCTGTGTTGAGCCCATATGACAGATCCCAGTCCCTTATCTACAGTACCCAAATCTCTGAAGCTCTGAAAATGGAAAGTTTTTTTCAAAGTGGCCCCAAAACTCATTTAGATATGACACCTGACTAGATTGACAATGTGAGGCTATTTATCTTGTTTATTTATGCTATGTGACCATTACATATTTCACTGTGGAAATATCACTGTGTTTTGTTATGAGTAGGTCCTTCTAAGAGTGTGTTAGTCATATATGATATAAACATACACACATTAACATACAATAGTGCTTTTTAAAATCTGAAAATGTTGGCCAAAATGCATTGGCCCCAAAAGTTTCAAGTAAGAAATTGTGGGATCTATATATACTATTTAATTAGCCTTAATTAATTTGAGTATACTGGATATGATCCTAGTTAGGCCACTAGCACCTTTGTGGAAGGATCTGTATTATAAGTTTCTTCTATATTCTTCATTGACACATTTATTAATCAATGACTATCTACCTATGGGCCAAGGGATGTCTCCTCTACTGTTTGGAAGACACTCAAATATTGTCTTCAAAACACTCTGTACAAGTTTTTGGCCAGGTGTGGTGGCTTATGCCTGTAATCCTAACACTTTGGGAGGCTGAGGTGGGAAGAACACTAGAGCCCAGGAGTTCAAGACCAGCCTGGGCAACGTAGGGAGACCTCATCTCTACAAAAAATAGAAAAATTAGCCAGGCGTGGTGGCACATGCCTGTAATCCTAGCTATTTGGGTTAGGCTAAGGTGTGAGGATTGCATGAGCCCCAGAGATTAAGGATGTAGTGAGCTATGATTGCACCACTGCACTCCAGCCTAGGTGACAGAGTGAGACCCTGTCTCAAAAAAAAATTTTTTTTAAGTTGTTCTGAGCTTTGCTGCTTATTAACATTACTGTCCAGGAATGGTGGCTCACGCCTGTAATCCCAGTACTTTGGGAGGCTGAGGCAGGTGGATCACCTGAGGTCAAGAGTTCAAGACTAGCCTGGCCAACATGGCAAAACCCCATCTCTACCAAAAATACAAAAATTAGCCCGGCATGGTGGTGCAAGCCTATAGTCCCAACTACTTGGGAAGCTGAGAAAGGAGAATCACTTGAACCTGGGAGGTGGAGGTTGCAGTGAGCCAAGATCATGCCATTACACTCCAGCCTGGGCGACAGAGCAAGACTCTGTCTCAAAACAAGCAAACAAACAAACAACAACAACAAAACATTACCTTGGGGAGTTTAAAAATTTTTTAATTAAAAAAAAGTTACAGGGCCCTCTTCTAGCAATATTGGTTTAATTAGTCTGAGTTGGAGCCTAGACATCAGGTGGGGTCCAGCATCTTGGAGCCTACCAGTTTTCCTGTGAATTAATGTTTCAAAACTGTTAATAAAGATGTTGAACTGCTCAGGTTATTAACTAATATGATGTGGTGTGATGTAGGAGAAAAGAACCAATTCTTGGGATAAACGTGAGAATATCTCAGCTCTGCCATTCAAAAAAAAAGCAGCTGTGACTATGGGAATTGCCCTCAGCTCTCAGAATCTGAGGTTTCTTATCAGTAAAATGAGAAAATGATCATACCTACTTTATAGGGTGGCAGTGAGGATTAGATGAGATTGAACAGCCCATGGTAGGGTTCAATGAATGGCAGCTGCATTTGGTGGTGATGCTGCAGGGCTCACTGCCCACGGAGAACACATAATATTTTGACGGAGTCCTTCTGGAAGCAGCACTATGACACGAAGTGCAATACCATCAGCACAGGTTTGAGTTTCAGGTGTGTTGGCAGTATGTGGACATGTGGGATCTTATAGGATTTTTAAAATTTCATTCCTTGGATGGCCACAAAATTTATATTCTAGGGCCAGTAGAGTCCTTAGACTTGAGCGAGCAGGGCCACTGCCCTCAAGGGTCCCTTTGGAGTGCCTTCCATACAGGAAGTTACCCCACTACAGTATCTGGGACTGGCTGAGGCCAGCAGTGCCATGTGGGTAGGGTGCTCTGAGCTTAGACTAGGACTGGTGTGGGCCCGGGTCCCATTTCTCCCCTTTGGAGCACTGTCTCCCCACTGCCATGTGTGGGGTCAACTAGGTGCTGCAAAAGAGTTCTGGGACTTGGTCAGGCGTGGTGGCTTATGCCTGTAATCCCAACACTTTGGGAGGCCGAGGCAGGTGGATCACCTGAGGTCAGAAGTTCGAGACCAGGCTGGCTAACATGGTGAAACCCTATCTCTACTAAAAATACAAAAAAAAAAAAAAAAAAAAAAAAAGCTGGGCATGGTGGCAGGCACATGTAATCCCAGCTACTTGGGAGGCTGAGGCAGGAGATTTGCTTGGACCTGGGAGAGGGAGGTTACAGTGAGCAGAGATTACAGGCATGAGCCACCGCTCCTAGCCCCAATGGGGCATTTCCTGTCAATGTTCTCTCTTGCCTCCAACTGGTGGGTGATAACATGCTTTCTTGGGTTGGTCTTAATCTGTGCAAGATGAAGGATAATCACTCCTTGCATGAACAGGATGCTTTTTTCACTCTGCCCACGGGTCTCTTGCTAGTAGCAATGTGTGGAAGGTAGGAATGTGGTTAGTTGTAAAAGAGGTCACGTTCTAGGAATGCAGTAATTACGGCTTAAAGAGTTCAAGAGAAAATATGATTGGAAGATATGTTTTATGTTTATACTACAAAACTCCAAATGGCAAATTCTACATGGCCTGAAAATTAATTATCATTCTCATTTTCTGGCATATTCTGGATAAGACTTGCATTTGTGATCATCACCAACAACATAAAGTAATAAAGTAACCTTTGAGAGAGTCATTGGAAGTTGGTATTTAGGCCATAAACTGGATAATTCCCTGTCATGAGTAACACTATAACTGACATTAAATGGCATTAGGAAACTACAGAGGCAAGAAGATACAAATTGTTTCAATTTAAATAGGTTTCGAAGAGCTGTAGCAGTGTGATACCCTTTTTTCTTGTGGTTGGAGACATGAAATATTCAAGAATGGTGCATTTGACAGTAAGGAGTGTGAAGAAATGATTCCTAGATCTAACAGGAAGAGATGATATCTGGACAGTCCGAAGAATCTCCATATACATTGATGGGACAATAAAGAAATATATAGTATCTCTTTCTTTTCTCATTATTCTAAAACTTCATTGACAAATCATGATACTTCACTTGGGCTCATAAATTTTGTAATATATTTAAACATGAAACTGTTTATATAGATAGGGCCCTCTTCCTCACCCTTACCCCCCAAAAAATTTAGCCAGGGCCACACACAGTAGAGGCAGCTCTGGTTGTGGCTGTATCCAAGGTAATGTCTCATGTGTTATGTCCTTATTAGGCTCTCGACAAGAAGTCATCTCCTCGCCTTCCTCAAGTGCTCAGTCTACCAAGCAGGGTAGCCTCAGTTGGTTCTTTTCAAGCCTCTCTTTCCCATGAAATGAAGTTACGTTATCCAGCAGAGATTCATTGCTGGTGGGGTCAAAAGGAACTCCAGGGCACAGAGTTTCTGTCATTTTCAGCAATGCTTTGATTTAGCGTGGAATTTGTTGATGTTCCTGCCTCCATTTCCTGTATCCTACGCAGAGACCTGCCTTTCTCTCCTCTTCACATTTTTGCAATGGGCTCCAGTTTGTTTTCAGAAAGTGATTCACATCCCAGAGACGTCACTTCCAGGAGCAGCTGGGCTGATTCTTTATAAGAATTATGATTCAGAAACCCAGTTAAGTTTGGATTTAGGGGAAAGGTAAGGGGAAGAGGAAAATGGTAATATTAAGGCCAAGCAACAGAGGCAATGAGGGAAATGTGAGTCTCATGTTGAGACATAATAGTCCATTACCTATGGAAATAGGATTTCAGGAGGTACTGGGATGCCCCAGTGTTTGAAAATGTCAGCTCTCCAGCACTAGCATGAGGTTAGTGTTTGGAATTATATCCTTATAAACTTATTGCATATCCCTATACACAAGTATATAAAATTATTAACTTCAAAAAATGGGATCTTCGGCACATTTATAAGGTGACAACAAGAAAAGAAAAAAGCAAAATAGGCCTTATTCTATGAATGCTTTTGCATGCGTTTGGCACTGTGCTACCTACTTACTGGGTATACAGTCATTAAAACAAAACAAAACAAAACAAAAGAAACAGGCTTTGCAACATATCCACAAATGAGATCCAGAGGGGATAATTGTGATAGGAAGAAGGAAGGTGATGTGATTAGAGCCAGCCCTGGGCACTGCTCTGGAAAGCTGGTCTTGCTAAGGACCAAACATACAGCAAGCAACTGTATTAGAAGACTGGGGTTAAAATAATATATTTGTAAGGTTGAGAACAGTTGATACATATAGACCTCCCTTACCAGGGAGGTGCAGCCATCCCACAGCTGCTGAGTATTCTCTGTCAAGAATTCACAGGTGCACTCTTCTCCAGAGCATAGCCTCCAGCCTATGGGGGCCGCCTTGTTGACAATGTCTAAGAGGTTATGTCCTTCCCCAGGGGTAGCCCATAGCCAATGACTGGCTGATATGGATGTGTAAGAACTTAGACCTCTTGCCTCAATCTTATGGCATCAGTCATGTTTTAGAGCTCCCCATGGGGTCAGGTTTGAGACTAGCTTTTAGCTAAAATCACTTCTTTTTTTAGCTTCTTACATACAGGTTTCTCCTAAGAGCACTCCCTCAATAAATCACTAACTCAAGAACATGTTCTTTTTTTTTTTTTTTTTTTTTTTGAGATGGAGTCTTGCTCTGTTGCCCAGGCTGGAGTGCAGTGGCGCGATCTCGGCTCACTGCAAGCTCCGCCTCCCGGGTGCACACCATTCTCCTGCCTCAGCCTCCTGAGTAGCTGGGACTACAGGCGCCCGCCACCATGCGCGGCTAATTTTTTGTACTTTTAGTAGAGACGGGGTTTCACTGTGTTAGCCAGGATGGTCTCGATCTCCTGACCTTGCGATCCGCCCGCCTCGGCCTCCCAAAGTGCTGGGATTACAGGCGTGAGCCACCGTGCCCAGCCCCTCAAGAACATATTCTAAGGAAGGAATAGGGAATTCATTTTTCTTGAAGCCCTCCAAGAGCTGAAGGTCAGGGGCCCAAGCTGGAGATCACTTCAGGCAGGTGGGCAGGGTAGACTCTAGAATGTCAGTGAAGCATAATGGTTAAGCACATGGAATCTGGAACTTCAATTGAAAATTCCAGAACTTTCATTGAAATTGTACTTCTAACATTTACTAGCTTATCTTAGGTAAGTAACTTCGATTGAAAGTTCCAGAACTGCGTTAAAATTGTAGTTCTAACATTTACTAGCTTATCTTAGGTAAGTAGCCTCTCTGGTTATACCCAGTAGAACTAACACAATGCCTTGTGCATTGTAGGTGTTCAATGTGTATATATCTAGTTGAACTCACTTATTTTTATTTTTATTTTTTGCATAGCCTATTCTCATACATTGACTAATATGCCTTTTTTTTTTTTTTTTTTTTTTGAGATAGTCTCGCTTTGTTGCCCAGGCTGGAGTGCAGTGGCTCGATCTCGGCTCATTGCAACCTCTGCCTCCCAGGTTCAAGTGATTCTCATGCCTCAGCCTCCTGAGTAGCTGGGATTACAGGCACCTCCCACCACGTCAGGCTAATTTTTGCATTTTCAATTGAGACAGGGTTTCACCATGTTGGCCAAACTGTCCTCGAACTCCTGACCTCAGGTGATCTGCCTGCCTCAGCCTCCCAAAATGCTGGGATTACAGTGTCACTGTGCCCGGCCATGACTTGATCTTCCCTGGTCCAATATTCTGGCCCCTGAATCAGTGATGTTTCCATTACACTAGGTTTCCAACTTTATTTTTCTAAATTTAAATGTAAAAAATGTTTTAGGCTGGGCATGGTGGCTCATGCCTTTAATCCCAGCACTTTGGAAGGCCAAGGCAGGAGGATCACCTGAGGTCAGGAGTTCAAGACCAGCCTGGCCAACATGGTGAAACCCCGTCTCTACAAAAAATACAAGAAAATTAACCAGGCGTGGTGGCACATGCCTGTAGTCCCAGCTACTTGGGAGGCTAAGGCAGGAGAATTGCTTGAACCCCGGAGGCGGAGGCTGCAGTGAGCCGAGATCGCACCACTGCATTCCAGCCTAGGTGACAATAGCAAAACTCAGTCTCAAGAAAACAAAAATATTTTTAGAGATGGGGGGCTTTCTATATTGCCTAGACTGGCCTTAAACTCCTGGCCTCAAGTAATCCTGTTGCCTTGGCCTCCCAAAGTGCTGGGATTATAAGGGTGAGCCACTGCACCTGACCTTTCTTGATCTGTGGTTAGTTGGCCATCTGTCATCAATATCTGAGACTATAGAAGCTCTTGATAAGAGCTTCATGTGTTTTAGCTATTATGGTAGCCTTAAAATGTGTCCACACAGTCACTAATGCTCTTCCCTCCAAAAGGTGAGCTTAATCTCTCTCTCCTTGAGTGTGACTGAATTCAGTGAGAGAATCTGCTAGAAATGGATTCACTTCCAGCGAACAGAATGTGATCAAAGTGATGGCATGCCTCTTCTGAAATAGGTCCAAAAAAGGATTTGGCTTCCTCCTTGCTCTTGAGCTCACATCACTCGCTCTGGGGGTAAGCTAGGTGCCATATCATATGAACACTCAAGCAGCACAATGGAGAGACCCATGTGGGAATTGAGGTCTCCTGCCAACACCAGGAAGGAATTAAGACCTCCTCCCAAAGGCCGTGTGGGTGAGCCATCTTGCAAGCAGCTCCTCCAACCCCAGTCAAACCTTCAGATGACTGCAGCCCTAGCTGACATTTTTACTGCAAGCTTATGAGAGACCCTGAACCAGAACCTATCAGTTAACCTTCTTCTAAATTCTTGACCTTTAGAAACTGCAACATGGTAAATATTTGTTGCTTTAACTGCTAAGTTTTACAGTAATTTGTTTCACAGCAATAGATAATATAGTTATGAAATGCAAGACTTTCTGGTCTGGAATGGCTCATTATAGTGTTTTTTCCATCTCTCCACTCATATCATTTTTTCTTTATCTAGTAACTAAAGAATTATTTTACTTCCTCTCCCCTTCCCCACTCCCAGGCTAATAATTGACCTACCAACTTAGTTAAAAAACATAGAATGTTTATCATTTTTAGTACATTTATAAGCTTATGAAATGTATTTTCTTATCCAGTTATCTCCAGAAATATTAAAGATTACTGTTTATTCTGATTATTTTAAGTTCCTCACATAGAAAAAAGATACTATTTAACATTGTCATGGGTTAGGGTACCAGGCAGGTAAGAATATACGCCGATACACACACTTTCTAGAGGGCAATTTGATAATATGCAGCAAAAGTGCCTAATATTTTTTTTTAAATCTTTGACCCCAGGATTTTACTTTTCATAATTTATCCTAAGGAATCAATTTGGCAAATGCATAAAGTTGTATGAATAAAAATGTTCATCATAGCATGATTTATAATGGTAAAAGTAAAAAAATTCTAAGTGTCCAACATCAGGGATTATTTAAATAAATAGTAGTTTAACAATGAAATAGTATTCAGTCCCTAAAGGGATAGTAAAGGCCTAAATTTATTGACGTGAAAGAATGTAGATGAATTCAGTGAAAAAAATTTATGGTGTGTTTATTATTATTTCATTTTGTGAAAACACATGCCTACCTTTGTAAATAACATTTTATATATATATGTTTTCTAATATATATTTAACTTTCTTATACATGCATATATATATATATGCGTGTAAAAAATCCTGGAAGGATAGATATCAAAATGTCATCAGTGGTTAACTTTCAGTGATGAGATTTAGGGCAATTTTAATTGATTCATTATTTTCAAATTTATTTGTATTTTCTAATATTTTTCCTAGTGATTTAATGAATAAAAATAGCAATACCATTCATTGTAAAAAAAATTAGGAAAATACAGACGAAAAAGGAGAAAATCATGGTCAAATGTAGTCACACTATTTAAGATTAATCACCCTTAATATTTAGGTGCATATACTTTTAGATTTTTATGTGCAAATATACATACGAACATGTATATGTTAAAAAACTTGGAATCAAATATTATTTACAGGGTTGCCTTATAATTTTGAACTGTAATTTTAAATGTTTGAAGTAACATCAATCTCAGAAAAATTGCAAGTACAACACAAATAACTCTTTTTTTTTTTCCAGAACCATTTGAGAGTAAGTTAATGAATGCGCCTCCATTCCTGAATACTTTGGTGTGCCTTTCTTGTAACAAGGATATTCTCATATACAGCTATCAAAATCAGGACATTAACGTTAACATTCACATTATGCTACCATCTAACTCAGACTCTACTCAAATTTTACCATTTGTCTCAATAATGTTCTTTAGAGCAAAAAGATCCAATCAGAATCATGTGTTTCATTTAGTAGTCATGTCTCTTTATTCTCATTTGTTGTAATACAATTCCGCAGGCTTTCTTAGACTTTGACTCTTTTGAAGATTCCAGTCCAGTTATTTTGTAGAATGTTTCTCCATGTGGGTTTGTCCTGATTAGATTTAGATTCTCCATCTTTGGCAGAGATGTCACAAAAATGGTGCATGTTCTTCCCACTGCATCCTCTAAGTTTCAATTCAATTTCAATTTAAACCATTATTGATGATGTTTACTTTGTTCACCTGATTAAAATGAAATCTGCCAGCCTTCTCTACTGAAGTTATTATTTTTTTCTTTGTAACTACTAAGTATTTTGTAGTGGATGCATTTTTAAACTATGTAAGTATTTCAGCTGGGTCCGGTTGGCTCAGGCCTGTAATCCCAGCACTTTGGGAGGCTGGGGGGTTGGTGGAGGGTGAAGATCACCTGAGATCAGGAGTTCGAGACCAGCCTGGCCAACATGGCAAAACCTCATCTCTACTAAAATTATAAATATTAGCTGGGTGTGATGGCAGTTGCCTGTAGTTGCAGTTACTCAAGATGCTAAGGCAGGAGAATCACTTGAACTTGGGAGGCTGAGGTTGCTGTAAGGTGAGATTGCCTCACTGCATTCCAAGCTGGTTGACAGAGCAAGACTCCATCTCAAAAAGAAGAAGGAGAAGGAGGAGGAGGGAGGAGGGAGGAGGGAGGAGGGAGGAGAAGGGGAAGTGGAAGGGGAAGGGGAAGAGGAAAGAGAAGGAGAAGGAGAAGAAGAAGAAGAAGAAGAAGAATAAGAAGAAGAAGAAGAAGAAGAAGAAAACTGTGTAGGTATTTAAATCCTTATATTTTAAATGCATTCATTTATTTATATCAGTATGGATTCATGGTTTCTTGTTTTATTCAATGAGTTATAAGTTGTCCCAGATTAGCCAGTGGAAGCTATTTTAATAGGGCTTCTGTGTGTTTTTGATGTATCCCTATTCTTTCTCCTCCTCCTCCTCCTCCTCTTCTTCTTCTTCTTCTTCTTCCTCTTCTTCTTCCTCTTCCTCCTCTTTTTCTTCTTCTTTCTCTCTTCTTCTTCTTTTCTTTGCTCTGTTGTCCAAGCTGGAGTGCAGGGGTGTGATCATGGCTCACTGCTTTCAAACTCCTGGGCTCAAGCAATGCTCCTACCTCAACCTCCTGAGTAGCTGAGACTACAGGTGTGCATGACCATGCCCAGCTAATGTTTGTTCTTTTCTTTCTTTCTTTCTTTCTTTCTTTCTTTCTTTCTTTCTTTCTTTCTTTCTTTCTTTCTTTCTTTCTTCCTTCCTTCCTTTCTTTCTTTCTCTTTCTTTCTTCTTTCTTTCTTTTTCATTTTTTGTAGAGATAGTGTCTCACTATGTTGCACAGGCCGGTCTCTGAACTCCTGGGCTCAAGGGGTCCTCCTGCCTCGGCCTCCCAAAGTTCTGAGATTACAGGCATGAGCCACCATGCCCAGCCTCCCCATCATTATTTAGGCAGTTCCTTGCTTTTAGAAACTACAAGATGGTCCAAGCTCATTTTATATTTTCCTTCCCCTGGAACCAGTCATTTTTCTAAGATGACCTGGTTGTGTTTAGTGACGAACAGTATTTTGAAACCTGGATCTGGGTGCTAGGTAGGTGCTCATTGCTGTTGGGGTGAGAGAGCTCTAAGGCTGTCTCAGTGGACATAGGTGGGAATATGGCAAATAGCCAATCACACTCACACTCACATGTATTTGCATGTATTTTCTCTTTTTTCTTTCTTTCGTTTTTTTAATTTTTGCTTACAAACCTTTTTTATTTCTCTTATTTTTGAGAAAATCTGATCCTACTGAACTTTGCATGAAGATTTCAAATCTATATGCAAATACGCATAGGCATTATTGTTTTGCATATGGAAAAATGAGGGCTCAAGTCATAGAAATATATGATGGCAGATCAGTGAGGAAATCCTGGGCTATTTTCTAACATGATAGAATAGGGTTTCAGACCTCTTGAATTCAGCAAGGATGTAATTTACAAGTAACTACTCCCTTGAAAATCAGAGTGACCACACTTGTAGTGAAATTCATTCCTGTGGTGCTTGCTGGATTCCATTCTGGTGCTGGAAGCTGGACTGGAGACTGACCATGTTCCTTCAGGTATCCTCAGCAGTGTACAAGGGAAGCTCCTTTCTGAGGGAACCATGCTTGCATGTAGACCTTCACAGTAGTGCAACATAACTTCTCAGAGATCAACATGCCACCATTCAGTGAACTTGGGAATTTCAAGAGGAGGCTAAGTGTCAGCACAGCGTCTACTGAAGTGCAATGCCTGCTTCTTAGGGAAGGCAACAACTCACTAGAAGCAGGCCCTTCAGATCCACAGGTGGATGAAATGAGGATTATTACTCAGCCAAAAAGGACCGGTTGAGTGGCTGGAAGGTCCAATGGCTCATCATCCTCTTGTTTAATAGCAACATATGGGATTTCCTGTCCCTGGGGGTGTGGCAGAGCAGAGTACCCAAAGTACAAGTGGTGACCTGGCCACTGATGTGCAGTTTTCCATAGATCTCATTAAATCTGGCCACAAGGGCAGGCATATCCTTCACTTTTCCTTCACTTTTGCCAGCACTTCCTCTGAGAATGCATGTCTTTTCACAAATTTTAATAAATTTCCTTCTGCAGCATTTTTTTAGTGTCTCTATCAGGGTTTCCAACATATTTGACTGGATATGGATTATAATAGTTAAGTTAGTGCAGGCTATGCTTTCTGGATTCATGGTTTGAGAAAAAAATGGACATAGCTTTTGCCACTTGGTTCTGATTCAGAGCTAACGCCACAAAGAAACGGGATGCTCTCCTGGAGGGAACCTCTCCTTTGAGTGGGGCTTCTTCTGTTAATGCAGAACAGATTTTGAAAGACTCAGCGCTCTTCAGTTTGTTGCAAACTGCAAAACTAAGAACATAGGATATTTGGTGAATTTCACAGCTTGATTTTTCATCTCTATCAATACTTCCAAAGCACTTTTATATTTGCCTTTGATAAATAACATATCCATCAAAATATTGAATGATGTGGAATCTGAGAAGGAATCTCATAAATGCTGGTCTTTCATGAGCCCCTCAAGATCCAACCCATAACAGACTCATGAAAAGTGGTCCAAACCTATACTCCCCCAAAGTGATATTTCTGTTCCCTGCATGGTACCTGTAAATGACATTTGTAGCCAGCTCCACATGGTCCTGGGACCCACAAAAATAAAGTAAGGTTATCAACTCCCCCTTCAAGATGAGCTTGTCAGTTTCTCTTCCAAATTCCTAAAATAGGTTTCTTTAGGAAAGATTACATGCAACAGCCACCTTCTTGTGCTGAAATTCTTTTAATTTCACAATACTATCTGTAAGTAGGTATCTGTTAGCTCTGAAAGGACAGCAGCCACAGGCAAAGCTGGAGGCTCCCACCCCAGGATACACCGAAATCTGCAGCAACCTGCAGGAGAACTCGATTCGAGGGCCTAAGTGCAGCACATGTATTTTCTTTATGTAACATGTAAGTTCTCACATGTATTTTCTTTATGTAACTATATTGAAAACCATACGTTTATACCAATACCTCAATTCAAATCCAACCCCACAAGCTCATATTAGGTTTTCTCTTCCCATATTTATATCTTAATTTTCTTATTTATAACTTTTTGACTTATAAATTTCTTCTCCCATATTCTTTAATATAGTTGCTTATTGCATGCATCTTCATGTATGTAACCAATCTCACCTTGCTGCCGCCATTCCCCCTCCCATATGGATGCCCTTTGCCCACTCTGGCTCTGACACTCTGTGCCAGGGCTGCCCCTCTACATGGGTGTCCACCATTTGGGCCTGGATATCTCACACTAGGCAACCCCTCTGAGTGGACATCTCCTCCACTTGCTCAGGCTGTGATTCTGCAGGCTGTGTTCCCCTCTCAGCCCCCTCAGACATCCCTCACCAGGGACACCTTTTCATCTCTCTTGGGTTCTGAGTTCTTATTCCTGTGCCAGATGGCCCCTCCTCATCAATGTCTATGACCTTGTTCTGCCCCACCTGGTGGCTTTAGGACTAAATGGTTTAGAAAGGGAAGGTTAGGGAAAGAGGACTTATATCTTTTGAAAATTCTATTATATAATAGAATTTTCCATATTGTTGAGTAGTCATTAAAAAGTTTTACTCGATATATTTTATTCTATTAATGTAATGTGATTTATTTAAGTATTCCCTCTTTTGTCACATTAAGGTGATTTCCAATCGTAAGTAATTTGGGCTGGGCATGGTAGCTCATGCCTATAATCCAGCACTTTGGGAGGCTGAGGCAGGTGTATCATGAGGTCAGGAGTTCAAGACCAGCCTGGCCAACATGGTGACACCCTGTCTCTACTAAAAATACAAAAATTACCTGGGCATGGTGGTGGGCGCCTGTAATCCCAGCTACTTGGGAGCTGAGGCAGGAGAATTCCTTGAACCTGGGAGGCAGAGGTTGCAGTGAGCTGAGATCGTGCCACTGCACTCCAGCTTGGGTGACAGAGGAAGACTCCATCTCAAATAAATAAATAAATAATTTGCAGGCTGTTTTCCCTCAAACGAATTCCCTCTAATGGTGTCCTCTACTAGGAAAGGTGTCCTGTACTCACTAATCCATCAAAGGTCTATTGACTTTACAACATATTAAGGTTTAGCTCAACTCCACCTCCCTCCCCTCTTCCTAATATAGCTATATTTCAGTTCTCTTGTTTACCTTTCTAACTTAATACTATGCTAATCATTTTAGTATCTTTTTCAGATAGGCACTGGGTATTCTGAGTTCCTATTTTGTAAAATAAGAATATTAGTATCCTTCTTTTCATTCACTCTCTTTTCGTCTGTGTCCCAGCTTCAGTCAACTGTACTTTACTTTTACATTGCCTTGATTGTTAATATTAATATTTAATTCTGTAACCAAAATTAAGACTTAAGTTCATTGACTGTAAAAGCTGAAAATTGATACAAAATATTTATATTCTTTCTTTCTTTATTTATTTTTGAGACAGGGTTTCACTCTGTCATCCAGGCTGGAGTACAGTAGTGAGATCTCAGCTCACTGCAACCTCTACTTCCCCAGCTCAAGTGATCCTCTCACCTCATCCTCCCAAGTAGCTGGGACTATAGTCATGTGCCACCACTCCAGGCTATTTTTTGTATTTTTCTGTGGAGACATGGTTTCGCCATGTTGCCCACACTGGTCAAACTCCTGCGCTCAAGCGATCCTCCCCGCTCAGCCTCTCAAAGTGCTGGGATTACAGATGTGAGCCACTGTGCCCAACCTATATTATTTTATTTTTAGTTTTTAATTTTTTTGTGTACATATTTAGTCTTATTGTAACAAAGCAACTTGTGCACTTTTAACGTTTAAAACTGAGCATCATCTTTTCTTTCCAGTGAAACGAAAACAAAATTTAAAAATAAACAGGAACAAAATTACAATCGAGAATGTCAATTCCAAATAAGATCCTACAGGTTCTGCTGATTCTCCCATTGAGTGGCAGGGCTCAGGTCATCATTAGGAGAGAATTTATTTTTAAAGTGTCATCTTAAACTGCAAGGATATCTGTCAAACATCACAAACATCCCAAGGAGAAGCCATGTTGTCAAAATGCCCACTTAACCCGGCCAAACATGTCAAAGCCACCCTTTGCTGACCTTCTAAAACCCCATTTTTTAGAACTGTTTTTTTCCTTTTTTTAAACAAAAGACAGTAGACAGATACATGTTGGTAAATGCTAACTGTCTTTATTCACATACAGGCACAGTGTACTCTCTGAGCTCAATATATAGAGAAAGTAGGAAAGAAGCTAGAATTCTCCGCACTGCCACACAGGGCCCTCACACCCTCCAGCTTCCAGCAGAGCAAAGGGAGCAGGTTTTTTTTTTTCCCCACAGAGCTCAGTGGTGTTGATTCCATACAGTTTTTGCTCAGACAGGAAGGGATAAAAATGAATTAAGAATAGAAAGAGGATAGAGGCTCTTTTCCCATTGTATTCTGCTCAAGGTATTTCCCTCCCAAATAAGTTGAAAACCATGGTGTAGAGAAAAGGGACCACGAGAACAGGGTTACTGAGCACAAGAAGCGGGGTGGGGCGGGGGAAAGACTGCAACTTGCTCCCAGGAACTGGAGAAAATTTCTTTAAAAGGAAGGTTGGAATCCATCAGTGTTCTATTAGTCATCTTCTCCTTCATCCTCCTCTCCTTCCTGCCCTTCATCACCATTGTCATCTTCTTCACCTTCACCCTCATCTTCTTCATCAATATTTTCTAATTCTTCCTCCTACTAATCTTCTTCTCCTTCTTCTTCTCCATCATCCATATTGGGAACCAAGTAGTACTATAATGGGTTTGGCCAAATATCACCTTTGATGACCTCTCCTAACTCATCAGCACCTTCATCAGAATGGTGGGTAAATCAGGTAGAGAAGCTCTCTGGTGCCTCATGCTGCCTCTTCCTGCTGGCTTTACTCTGCATCTGACTTTAATGTTTTGTCAAATTTTTTCTAAATTTCCATTTGATTTCAGTGGAATTTGCAGATGGATCACCACTCTCATTCAGATGAAATTCTTTGGAGACAACTTTGTTTTCAAAGTAAGGATTTTCATCAGAATAAAAACCTATTCTATAACCTGATTTAATATTTTCAAATTCTGTCATTTCAACTCTGATCAAATAATGCAGTGCCTCTTCCTCCTCCTCCCCAAGCAGTGCAGACACGTGGAGATGGTTGACAAATGTTGCCCGAAAATTTGGGATCTTGGCAATCAATTCTGACGTCTTCTGAAAAAATGGTTGCAGGAGTTTGTATTATTTCTGTTCTGCTTTCAAAATCTCCTCACTAGCTTGTTCATTAAGTCTATTTCTTTTTGTACTTCATCAATATGTTCAATTGCTTCTTGCTGTTCTTTTTCTCCCTTCTTCGGCAAGCCTACAGAGACTGATGTCTCCTCCAGTCTCAGAGCAGGAGGTAGTCTTGATTTCTTCTTTTGAGGTGGGAGTGGAGACGGGCATTTGGGGGCCATGCTGCTAGGGAAGTCCAAGAACCAGACCACAAGTCTCCTCACTTGTGAGGAAGCAGGCAGAAAACGGCCTATATTATTCGAAATATCCAAACAATGTCTTCCGGAAGTCCAATAACACCATACAGCCTAAAATAGCATTATGTGTTTCCTGGAGTTTATTGCTAACTTTTTTTTTTTTTTTTTTTGAGAAGGAGTCTTGCTCTGCTGCCAGGCTGGAGGGCAGTGGCGCGATCTTGGCTCACTGCAATCTCTGCTTCCCAGGTTCAAGCAATTCTCCTGCTCGGCCCCACAAGTAGCTGGGACTACAGGCGCACGCCACCATGTCCGGCTAATTTTTGTGTTTTTAGTAGAGACGGGGTGTCACCATGTTGGCCAGTTTGGGCTCAATCTCTTGACCTCGTGATTTGCCCACCTCAGCATCCCAAAGTGCTGGGATTACAGGCATGAGCCACCGTGCCTGGCCTATTGTTACCTTTTAATTTTCTTACACTTTGTGCAGGCCTTATATCCTCAAACTCATCCATCTTCTCAGTCAAGTTGTGTTTCCTATTAGCTACTTGCCTTTTTCCTAGAGATTTTTGTCCTTGAGCCTCTGCCTCAATAAATCTGCTCTGCAGCTATAATCCTGTAATCAGTGTTACCCAGATCTCATGTTTCCTTTTCCTTGGTCTACTCTTCTCTGTTTATTCCTGATTTTTTTTGGAGCATATCCCGAAGTACATTCATAAGAAAGTGTGCTTGGGAGGTACATTTTGTGTGTTCTTCCATATCTGAAAATGTATTTATTCTATTCTCTGATTTGATTAATAATTTGCCAGAGTATGGAATTATAGAGTTACAATTCCTCCACAGAATTGTGAAAATGCATTGCTTCAGAGTCATCTATCATCCAGTTCTATTGTTGAGAAGCCTGACGCCATTTTGAATCTTTGAAATTGATGCTTCCCTTTTCCTAGAAAGCTTACAGGATCTTTTTATGCCTCTGTTCTCAATCTTCACAGTGACATGCTTAGGTACGAGTCATTGTATCCTGCACTGGGGATGGGGGTGGGGTTAATTTGGAAACTCAACTTTTCGGGTATGGGAAATTTACTTCAGTAAATTTCCAATTTCTGTTTCCCTCTCTCCTCTCTTCCTGGAACTCTATTAGTCAAATATTGAATCTCTTGGATTGCTCTACTGTATTATCTTTTCTTCTGTTTTTCCTCTTTTGGAAGTCATTTCTTTGACTTTATCTTTTGAACCTAATACTAATTCTTCCACTCCTGCTATTTTATATATTTATTTTCCAAGTGCTTGTTCTTTTTTGCTTTCCTTTTACAAGTTTTTGTTTGTTTGTTTTGAAAACAATAGTTCCCCAAATAACTCGGAATATACTAACTAGAGGTTATTAAGGCTTTATCCTCTGTTCTCTGCTTTGTGATGTTTCTTTCACTTTATGTTTTTAAATTACAGTCTTCACAGAATTATGGAGACTGTCGAGTATGTGTGGAGAATGGACCTTGCAAACAAATAAAACCAATTTTGTAGACTTTGACGAATAAATTTCTCTTTAAAATAAAGATAGCTCAATGTTGTTAAAATTATATACACACATACAATTCTAAGCACATGGTAGGCGCTGAATTTATGGTAGCTCCAGTCTTTTCTCTTTTATGAATCAATTTCTCAAAAATATTTAAAGTGGCCAGTGCAGTGACTCACACCTGTAATCCCAGCACTTTGGGAGGTGAAAACGAGCGGATCACTTGAGCCCAGGAGTTTGAGACCAACCTGGACAACATAGGGAGATTCTGTCTCTACGAGAAAAAAAAAAGAGGAAAGAAAGAAAGAGAAAGAGAGGGAAAGAGAGAGAGAAAGGAAGAAAGGAAGAAGAAAGAAAAGAAAGAAAAGGAGGGAGGGAAAGAGAGAAAGAGAAAGAAAGAAAGGAAGAAAGAAAAAGAAAGAAAGAGAGAGAAAGAAAGAAAAGGAAGGAAGGAAGGAAGGGGGAAGAAAGAAATGAGTCGGTGTGGTAGTTCATGCCTGTGGTACCAGCTACTTGGGAGGCTGACGCGGGAGGATCACTTGAGCTCAGGAAGTTGAGGCTGCAGTGAACTATGATTGTGCCACTGCACTCCAGCCTGGATGGCAGAGCGAGACCTTGTCTTAAATGATGATCATGATAAAACCCCCAGTATCTACAACGTGCGTGAGATGTGCCACCAGATGGCGCCATGATTGGAACTGTAACATGGAAGAACTCCAACTCCCTTCTTTAATATTTCTGCAGATTTCTGGTGAGGCTTTTATCCTTATGATCCGCTCTGCTTTTTGGATACTTTTTTTGCATGTGAGGTCCCATGTTGACCCCATTCCTGAAACCCAGCTCCTTTCTTAACTCTTATTTATACCTGTCCCCTTCTGCTACACACACCCCAACTCAGGTAAAGTCTTCAGGAGTAGATTTGGAAGTTAAAGAGTAAATGAGGGTTTATGTTTTTGTGTTGAGAAAACTTTTTATTTTACCCAGATTACATCTCTTTTCTTAAAATGTAATTGGCCACACCATCTTCAGTTCACTGGCCCTTCATCTTGTACAGTTCTCAACCTTACACTTTCTTGCTGGCTTGTGATTTTTTTATATCCACACACACAGTCCCTCTGTTTCGTCCCCTCTTCCTTAGAACAAAACAAATTATTTTCCTTGATTTCTGCTATATTTAAGGCACATATTTATTATGTAACTTCCTGTGACATGTATGGCCTTAACATCTTACCTGCTAGGTGAGCAGCATATGATGTTATTTTCCCAAAAAGAGTTACTTTACTTCCTAAGAAAAGCTGTTGTCAGTTATTTAGGATAGTAATATTTTTACCTCATCATTCAGGTTTCTACAAATCTGAGGGAAAAAAGGAAAATATCTGAAATCAAGAAAAGAGAACTAACTTAAGTGTGTGGGGATATAGGGAGGGCAAGAGAGGTGATGACTGAGCTTGGACTAAGAAGAAGAAGCTATAATGTGTGAAAAAGAAAAAATAAGTAAGAGAAATATGTAAGTATGGTCAATTTCTGGATTACTTTTATTTTATTATTTCTCAAAATGCCTCTAAAATTTGTTAGTGAGAATTCTGAAGTGATTAAGTGGTACCAATTTCTATGGTTTGGATTTTGGATCATGGACTGAAAAGAGTGTGCTGTGGAATTAGACATATATATTTCGTTCCAACTCTGCCATTATTATGGTGTAACCTTTAGTAAGTTACTTCACTCCTCTGACAGTAGTTTATTATAAAATGGGAGTAATAATGTCTTTAAAAATTAGATGATATAGTGAAAGAAAACTATCTGTCTTAGTCTATTCTGGCTGCTATAACAAAATAGACTGTGTAATTTATAAACAACAGAAATTCATTGTTCACATTTCTGGAGGCTGGGAAGTTCAATATCAAGGTGCCGGCAGATTTGGTGTCTGTTGAACGCTCACTCTCTGCTTCAAAGATGGTGCCATCTATCTGTATCCTCACATGGGGAAGGGGCAAACAGTTTCCTTCAAGATTCTTTTATAAGGGCACTGATGCATTCATGAGGGAAAGCCCTCATGAACTACTTATCTCCTAAAGGCCCCACCTCTTAATACTATTACATTGGGTATTAGGTTCCGACATATAAATTTTGGGGCAACACCAACATTCAGACCTCAGCACTACTAAACAATGGCTATAAAGTATTCAATAGATGATAATTATTCCTAGAATGAGATTCTTTGACTCCTTTTTAGCCCTAAGATCTTTGAATTCTTGATGAGGAAGAGATATAAAATAAAAAGAAGTAGAAAGCCTGCTGACTGACTTCTCAGTTTTCATTCTCTGCTTATTGATCTAAACCAATCATGACAATCCCTCACAATAGTCAGTAATTGGTTTAGGGATAAGAATTCATGAGCCAATTTGGGGCAATGAAATGTAGAAAACACTTAAAAAGAACTTTTGCACAAAAAGTTCCCTTCTAACTAAGGGATAGGGTGATCAAAAGATTATTTTTATATAGCTAGACGCAAAGACTCATGCTGTCTTGGTTACAGCTAACAGCCATTTCATGACTATTAAGGTAATTCACTTATTACTTATATTAATCTTCCACTTTGGATGGATTTCTGAGGATTTTCTACATAAATAATTATGTCATCTGTAAAATAATTATTTTCTAAATTATATGTTTTTTTAATGCTATAATGTACTGGCTAGATCTATAATACAATGTTGAATAGAGGTGATGAAAGTGAATGTCTTTACCTTGATTTCAATCTTAAAAGAGCATTAGTTGTAGGTTTTTTGTAGATGTCCTTTATCAGATTGAGATGTCCTTTATCAGATGTCATTCCCAGCTTGATAATCGTTTGTAGAATAAACGGGTGTTCATTTTGACAAATGGGTTCTTTTTTCAATTTTCAAAAATTGTGGTCATATACACATAACATTTACCATCTTAACAATTTTTTTTTTTGAGATTGTATTTCGCTCTTGTTGCCCAGGCTGGAGTGCAACAGCACGATCTCGGCTCACTGCAATCTCCACCTCCCTGGTTCAAGCAATTTTCCTGCCTCAGCCTCCCACGTAGCTGGGATTACAGGAGCCCTCCACCACAACTGGCTAATTTTTTTTTTTGTATTTTTAGTAGAGATGGGGTTTCACCATGTTGGCCAGGCTGGTCTCAAACTCCTGACCTCAGGTGAGCCACCTGCCTTGGCCTCTCAAAGTGCTGGAATTACAGGTGTAAGCCACCATGCCCAGCCAGTATTAGATACATTTATCATGTGTAACTATCACCACCATCTATCTCCATAACTCTTGTCATCTTATAAAACTAAAACTCCATACCCATTAAATAATAACTCCCCATTTCCCCCTTTCCCCAGCCCCTGGCAATCACTATTCTACTTTCTTTAACAAAGGTCTTTTTCTGTATCGTTTGAAATGGTCATATGGTTTTTCACTTTTATTCTGTTAATAAAGTGGACTATATTGATTGGTTTTTATATGTTAAACCTACCTTGCATTCTTGAACAAATTCTCTTTTTTCTTTTAAAAGGCAGGGTCTCACTCTATTGCCTAGGCTGGAGTGCAGTGGCATGATCATAGCTGACTGTAACCTCGAACTCCTGGGCTCAAGTGATCCTCCTACCTCAGCCTCCCAAGTAGCTAGGACTATAGGTGTGCACCACTAGGCCTGGCTAATTTTTTTTTTTTTAAATTTGTTGTAGAGATGGAGCCTTGCTATGTGGCCTATAGGCTGATCTCAAACTCCCAAGCTCAAGTGATCCACCCACATAGGCTTCCCAAAGTTTTGGAATTATAGGCATGAGCCACCTGTCTGGCCCCTTGGGTGAACTATATTTGGTTATGCTGTATTATTCCAATAATATATTGCTAGATTTTATTTGTCAATATTTTATTAAGGAGTTTTGCATCTGTGTTCATGAGGGCTACTTGCATATAATTTTCTTTTTTAAAAATGTGTTTGTCAGGTTTTGGTATCGGGATATCCTCCTGGCTTTGTAAAATGAGTTGGGAAGTATTCCCATTTCTATTTTATGAAAGATTTTGTGTTGAGTTGGTTTTATTTATCTCTTAAATGTTTGAAAAAATTCACCAGTAGTGCTATCCGGATCTAATTTTTCTTGTTGGTAAGTTTTAAATTATGAATTTATGTAGTAGATACACACCTATTCAGATTTTCTGTTTCTGCCTGTGTCTATTTTAGTAATTGATATCTTTCACAACATTTGCATATTTCTTCTTATTTCTTACATTTATTGAAGAAGTTGTGCAAATGCTGTTCCTTGAAAAGTAATACACCTTCCCCTCCATACTTTTTTCCCTCTGGCTGTTTTAAAGATTTATCTCTTTGGTTTTTATTAGTTTTCCTATGATGTTGTTAAATGTGGTTTCCTTTCTGTGTGGTTTTTAGCCTTTTTTTGAAACTATAGCTTAATATATTTCTACAGTTTAGAAATATTTCAGCCTTTTTTCAGCCAACTTTTCATAGACTGTTTCTCTCCTATTCACTCTTCTCTTTTCTCCAAGACCTCAAGTCCATGTATGTTGTTTATGCCCCATATGTCACCTACACTTTTTTTCTCAGTATTTTTCATGCTTTTTTTCTTTTTTAATTACTGGTTGTTTTATTCTAATCAATTTTCCAGATCTCTCTCTCTTTTTTAAAGTTGTGTCTATCTGTTTTTAAACCCATGCATTGAGCTTTTTATTTCAGTTGTAGTTTTTAGTTCTGGCATTCCATCTGTTTCTTTGGCATTGTTTCTTATTGCCTGCCAAAGTTCTCAATCTTGTTACATTGGCTATTTTGTTACTGCATAACAAATTACCACAAACTTATTGGCTTAAAACAACATATATTTATTATCCCACAGTTCTGTGGGTCTGAATTTTGGGTGCAGCTCAACTGGGTTGTCTACCCAGTATCTAACAGCTGAGTTGCATTCTTATCTGGAGGCTGTGGGGAAGAATTTGCTTCCACGCTCATGCAGGTTGTTGGTACAATCCAGCCTTTTTGGTTATAAGGCTGAGGTCCTTGTCTTTTAGTTGGCTGTTGGCCAGGGGTCACTCTCAGCAACCTGAGGCCATCAGCTGTTCCCTGCCATGTTGTCCCCTCCATCTTTAAAGCCAGCAATGGAGGATCTCCTCACATCAAATCCCTCCCATACTTCAAATTATTTATTTTCAGCAGCCAGTCCACCTAATTAGGTCAGGCCCACCAAGGATAATATCCCTTTCTTAAATTCAACTGTTCCATAAACCATAATGTAATCACGAAGTAACTATCCCATCATATTCACAGGTCTTGCTGCACTCAAGGGGAGGAGATGATGTGGGCACATATAACAGGAGTGGGCATTTTGTAGGTCATCTTGTAGGAGCAGAACTAGACTACCGCATTGGTCTTTCATGTATTTCAACATAGTCATTTAAAAATTCTTGTCTAATAATTGTTTTCTGGATTACGTGGACATCATTTGTTTTCAATGTCTCTTGTTCTTGGCTTTCGTCATGACTTATCTTCTTGTATCTTTGATTATTTTTCATTGTATATTGAGTGTGGCATATATAAAATTGTAAAGATATTTGAGGCCCTGAAAGATGTTATTCTCCTCCATGAAGTTTCTACCCCAGCCCCCACCCCACCACCATTACCACCCACTGTTGTCCAGGCTGGAGTACAGTGGCGCGATCTCAGCTCACTGCAACCTTCACCTCCCAGGTTCAAGTGATTCTCTTCCTGAGTAGCTGGGATTACAGGCACGTGCTACCACGCCCAGCTAATTTTTGTATTTTTTGTAGAGACGGGGTTTCACCATGTGGCCAGGCTGATCTCGAATTACTGACCTCAGGTGATCCACCTGCCTTGGCCTCCCAAAGTACTGGGATTACAGGTGTGTGCCACTGCTCCTGGCCTCTCCGTGATATTTTTCTTTTGCTTTTTTCAGGAAGGAGAGCTTGGACCATTAGCAATCCTAATTGAATTTATTCATCAGAATTCTACATGCGACAGGGCTGGGATTTATTCTCAGTGATGGTAGGTCTTTTTCTGGCTCCTTCTGACTCCTAAGATATAGCTCTCAGCATTCTAATTAAAAGCCTGGGACACTATCAGATGTCTCCTCATTCTTGTGTCTTAAACTTTAATTTTTGTTTCCTCAGCCCTATGATTCTTATTAAAGCTCTTGTCAGCTTCTCATTTGCCACTTTTGAAACTGACATTGACTTGAAGTGGGGGAAAGTGACCCCAAATACCAGGCTCAGCCTGTCCACTCCTGAATGGTGGTTACACAATTCCTCACCACCTTGGTACTCTCTCATGCCTTAAGAAAGATTAAAAAATATTTGTGTTCAGCTCTTCATTATTTTAACAAGAAGTCGATATGAAACAACTTATTCCGCCATGCCAGAAGCTGCAGTAGTAGAATTTCAAACTAATGGTGACCTATTGGGCTATACTTTAAAAATCAATAATGTTGGAGTTTTACCTCACATCACGTACTAAAAAATATCTCATCTGAATTAAATATTCAAAACATAAAGAATTTTAAAAACATTATAAAAGTAGATGCACAAAAGGTTGGAAAATGTAATGTTAAGGGATATTGCAAACCATTGTTCATAATTTATTATATAAATTTTAAGACTTCTAGGTGACAAAAATATCACAAATTTGTAAAAGAAGCATCTGACTAAGATAAATATTTGCAGCATCTACTAGAATTAATTTTTGTTGTATAAGTGCTCCTAAAGTCAATAAATATATAAAGACATGCAAAAGACATGAATAGGAAAATCACAAAAGAAAATAAATTGCTAGTAAACATATGAGATGTTTAACCTCATTAATAACCAGACAAATATAATTTTATATCTACTAGAATGGAATATGATATATCTGATAATGTTAGAAGGATTTAGAGATTCTGGTAGACTATGTTTTGATGCAGGTTTTTGGAAAAAAATTGTCAATGTGCATAAGTTTTAAAATGCAGATTTGCTGATTCCAGAACAATTTTTTTTTTTTTTGATGGAATCTTGCTCTGTCGCCCAGGCTGGAGTGCAGTGGCACGATCTCGGCCCACTGCAACCTCCGCCTCCCGGGTTCAAGCAATTCTCCTGACTCAGCCTCCTGAGTAGCTGGGATTACAGGCGTGCACCACCAAGCCCGGTTAATTTTTGTATTTTTAGTAGAGATGGGGTTTCACCATCTTGGTCAGATTGGTCTCAAACTCCTGACCTCGTGTTCCGCACGCCTTGGCCTCCCAAAGTTCTGGGATTAGAGGCATAAGCCACCATGCCCGGCTGATTCCAGAACAATTTTAAACATATTGAAACTGAGGTATAATGCAGTTATAGAAAAGTACACAGAACATACATGTACATTTTGGTGACTATCACTAATCAAATACTCACGTAACCCATGAAGTTTGTTTCTAGGGCTCTATCCTTAGAAAATATTTCCAAAGGCAAACAAACAGGCTTATAAAAAGATGTTACCTTCAGCATATTTAAGTACAGTTTGAATGTTTTTAAATCCCAATTTTATTGAAATTTAATTTCAAAGATTTTTCTATTTGATCCCAGCTCTGTTCTGAATAATTAAGGGAAAGACATAGTCTATTCTTGTTAGAATTTATTCATTTATTTATTTATTTTTAACTTATTTTAGGTTCAGGTTACATGCGCAGTTTGTTATATAGGTAAACTTATGTCATCGGGGGTTGTTGTATAGATTATTTTGTCATCCAGGTACTAAGCCTAGTACCCAATAGTAATTTTTTTTCTGCTCCTCTCCCTTCTCCTACCCTCCACCCTCAAGTAGGCTTCAGTGTCTGTTGTTCCCTTCCTTGTGTCCATGAGTTATCATCACTTACTTCCCACTTATAAGTGAGAACATGCAGTATTTGGCTTTCTGTTGCTGTGTTAATTTGCTAAGGATAATGGCCTCCAGCTCCATCCATGTACCCACAAAAGACATGATCTCATTCTTTTTTTTTTTTTTTGAGACGGAGTCTCGCTCTGTCGCCCAGGCTGGAGTGCAGTGGCGCGATCTCGGCTCACTGCAAGCTCCGCCTCCCGGGTTCACGCCATTCTCCTGCCTCAGCCTCCTGAGTAGCTGGGACTACAGGCGCCCACCACCACGCCCGGCTAATTTTTTGTATTTTTAGTAGAGATGGGGTTTCACCGTGTTAGCCAGGATGGTCTCGATCTCCTGACCTCGTGATCCGCCCACCTCGGCCTCCCAAAGTGCTGGGATTACAGGCGTGAGCCACCGTGCCGGGCCTATCTCATTCTTTTTTATGACAGCTTAGTATTCCATGGGGTATATGTACCACATTTTCTTTATCCAATCTGTTATTGATGGGCATTTAGGTTGATTCCATGTCTTTGCTATTGTGAATAATGCTGCAATGAACATTTCGTGTGAACGTATATTTTTTGTTTTTTTTTTTTTAGACGGCATCTTTGCTCTGTCGCCCGGGCTGGAATGCAGTGGTGTGATCTCGGCTTGCTGCAACCTCCGCCTCTCGGGTTCAAGTGATTCTCCTGCCTCATCCTTCCAAGTAGCTGGGACTACAGGTGCGTGCCACCATGCCCAGCTAATCTTTGTAATTTTAGTAGAGATGGGGTTTGACCATGTTGGCAAGGCTAGTCTTAAACTCCAGACCTCAAGTGATCTGCCCGCCTTGACCTCCCAAAGTGCTGGGATTACAGACATGAACCACTGCGCCTAGCTGCATGTGTTTTTATGGTAGAATGATTTATATTCATCTGGGTAAATACTCAGTAATGGGATTGCTGGGTTGAATGGCAGTTCTGTTTTTAACTCTTTGAGGAATCACCACGCTGCTTCTCACAATGGTTGAACTAATTTACACTTCCATCAACAGTGCGTAAGTGTTCTCCTTTTCTCTGCAACCTCCTCAGCATCTGTTATTTTTTGACTTTTTAATAGCTATTTGAAAGTGTATAGTGTATTAACTATAGCCATTCTACCATCATATAGAACACTAGAGCTTATTCCTCTTCTCTAGCTGTAATTTTCTTGAGATATAAAAGTCCAGGGGAAGCAGCAGGGACCTGTCACCTGAAACAGAGGCGATGGGTGATGCCGGAAGCAGCAGCTCCTGTGGGAACAGGCTCAAGATATCCTCTGACAGGACAGTTATGGACATGACACCTGGACAAGGAGCAGCAGGAAGAACTCAAAGGACCTGTGAGGATGCATGAAGGTAGCACCCCCAGGAAATTCATAAGTTACCCAAGGACGTTAAAGGAAAAGTACATTCCGATCTGGGGATATGGACATTTGAAGTCTTTAAGTGTTTTTTAAATGAAGGTGTAGCCTTATTTTATACTTACAAGCTGTTGAAGCCTGGACATGTTACTTTCATAATTTGTGTTCTTACTGTGAGAAGAATGAGGTCAATGTGTGATGGACTGCACATATCAGAATGTTCCATATCTCTTACATAATTTTTTTAACTGATCAACTCTGTCCTTTGATCATGCCCAAGCTGTGCCCCAGGGGTTCCCTTGAGTCCGTCAGTAAGGTCCATAGCCATCATTGTATGCTTCTTGGCCCTGAGCCTAAAACAGAAGGCCCAGGGCAGGCTCCACGCCTAGGATCATGGGGATTTTTCTCTAAACTAAGCACTGAGCAGCGATTGAGGACATGCTGATGTTATCAGGCTATTGCAGAACAGAAGATGCAAAACAGAAGGGCTGATGTGAGTTTTCTGGAGCACTCAAAACAGTTTTTTCGGAAAGCCTATTCAGAAGTTTATTTTGGTTTTAGCAATTGGAATTCACATTGGTTAAAATTTAAAAACACAAGACACATAGTTCTTCCTTAGGCTTTTAAATAAATTTGCAAATTTTATTGTTCAATTCACAAATTCAGTAGATATCTGACTGTATTTTGTGTATCTCACAAAGCTTTCTTGTGACCTGTGTTCATAAATCATGATGGATACTGAGGACACCAAGCACTAGGAATCTCGGTTTGGGTCTTAGCTTGGGGCTTAGAGAGGCAGAGGGCTGATTAAAGGGCCTCACTTACGCTTGCAAGAGTTTCAGGACTAAGAAGAATAATCTGTGGCTAATGAAGCATAAATTATTTCTGCAGTCCTCCCGGCTCATAAATAAGTCATAAATAAGGGCATCCCAAACTGTAATTCTCAACTTAAGAGTTGTTTCCTTAGGCCAGGCATGATGGCTCACACCTGTAATCCCAGCACTTTGGGAGGCCAAGGTGGGCGGATCACGGGGTCAGGAGATCAAGACCATCCTGGTTATCACGATGAAACCCCGTTCTCTACTAAACCTACAAAAAATTAGCTGGGCATGGTGGCGGGCGCCTGTAGTCCCAGCTACTTGGGAGGCTGAGGCAGGAGAAGGGCGTGAACCTGGGAGGCGGAGTTTGCGGTGAGCCGAGATCGTGCCACTGTACTCCAGCCTGGACGACAGAATGAGGCTCCATCTCAAAAAAAAAAAAAAAAAAAAAGAGTTGTTTCTTTAATCCATAAAATTTAATTTTTTTGTTGTTGTTCTCCTCCCATGCCAGAACATTTGAGGTAAAGAATGTGGATTGGACAATAGTTAGAAGAAGAGGTTCACAATTTCTCTAATGTAGCCTCGGCTGTTATGCCTCTGTTTTTATAATTATCTCATTATATGTAGTGCTAGAAATTCACACCAGGCCTAAACTTGGATAACCAAATCTTTTCAGGCCTCACCAGTCTGGAGTTACTGATGGGACCACTTTAATAGTAACAACCTATATCTCATGAGTTTATTACCATCTCTCTAATTCTTGTGTGTATTAATTAGAATTGGTTTGGCAGTGACAGAAACTTCAGGTAGCAGTGGCTTAACAAAAAAAGTGTTTATTTCTCTCATTTCTTTTTATTTTATTTTTTAGAGACGGAGTCTCACTCTGTCACCCAGGCTGAAGTGCAGTAGTATGAGATCATAGCTCACTTCAGCCTCGAACTCCTGGGCATAAGGGATCCTCCTGCCTCAAACTCCTGGACAGCTGGGACTACAAGTGTGTGCCACCACACCTGGCTAATTTAAAAAATTTTTTGTAGAGATGAGGTCTCATGCCCAGGCTAGTCTCAAACTCCAGGCCTCAAGCAATTCTGCCTCAGCTGCCCCAAATGCTGGGATTACATGAGTGAGCCACCATGGCCAGCCTTTACACTTTGTTTTCTGAAGTCCAGGGATAGTCAATTTAGGTCTGTTATGGCGTTCCATGGTGTCAGACATTCAGGCTCTATCTTGCTGCTCTGCTAAACTCAGCATGTGGCTTCCCCATCAGGATCCAAGATGGCTAGTCTAGCTTCAGACAACATGTCCATTCCAAGGAAAAAGGAAAGAAAAAGCAAATATGGCATTCTCCTTCCCTTCAAGGACACTTCCCAGAGCTTTCACTCAACTCTTTCTCTTCACGGATATGTCCCAGGCTCTCTTTTTATTTTGGATCGCTACGTGCTCAGGTAAAATTGGAGGTTTCTGTTACGACCCACAGAAGAAGAAAAGAGTTGCAGACACTGAGAGACAGTGGGTAATGTCTACTCCATCCCTTACAGTTCTCCTTAAAATCTCACCTGTCTCATCTCTGCCATATCTAGGATTCTCCAGGGAAGCCCTCAAAATGCTCCCAGACAAGGAGGTCAGGTGTATCAGATGGTGTCTTTGATCTCTTTTTCTTCTGCTTCAGTCTTGATGGTGCCTTTTAGTAAAGCAGATACCTGTGGGAGCCTGATCGACTTCATGGCTCCATGAAAACAATAGCACCTGTGCCAAGATGTACTTTCATCCAACAGCGCTGAAACTGTTTAGATGAAGTCTTAGAATTGGGTGGGTTTTGGGGGTGGGAATTAAGTGGATAGACTATGGCTTTATCACTCAGTACTGCCTTTTATCCCCTGAGCACCAAAATAGTATTGTTTGTTTCTCTGTCTCTCAGCATCTTTCATAAAAATAACTCCACCACATTCTACTTAAAGCTCCTCCCTCCATAGTATTCAACACTGGTCAAAAAGGCAAGGTGCATGTTGTTAGTGTGTATGTGGTGTGTGGGGTGAGGAGGTGGATGGATGTGAAACACCATTCTTGCTTCTCTGCCCCACTATTCATCTTTTCTATCATGCAGAATCCTTCCTCTTCATCAATTCTTCCCATGTAACTGGAACCCTTCCAAACACTGCCTCACCAGTTAACCATGTATACCTTAATCTTTTTGAACTCTGGTTTTAGGAACAACTTAACCTTGAGCCAAGTACCCACATTTTACTTTGTGTGCCCAATGCCGGCAAAGCAACTGGCATGCATAGATACAAAATACATAGTTGTTAAATAAATGAATGAACACGTGTTTAAGTAGTGACAGAGATGGTGTTGTTGAGTTTAACTATGTCTTACTGATTTTCTACCTGCTGTTCATTTATGATAGAGCAGTGCTGAAGTCTCCAACTATAATAGTGGATTCATCTATTTCTCCTTGCAGATCTATCATTTTTTACCTTACACATTTTGATGTTCTGTAATTACAATTATGACTTCTTGGAGAATTCTGATGTCTTTAACATGTAACAACCCTCTTCATTCCTGATAACTTTCCTTGCTTTGAAGTCTGCTTATATCTAAAATGTATATAGCCATTCTCAAATTCTTTTTTAAAAATTAATTATTTTAAATTGACAAAAATTATACATGTTTATCACATACAATATGTTTTGAAATATGTATGTATTGTGGAATGGCTAAATTGAGATAATTAACATGGTTTTTGTGATAAGAACATACAAAATCCACTTTTAGTGATCTTCAAGAATAAAATACATTGTTATTATTATTATTATTATTATTATTTTTGAGGCAGAGTCTCGCTCTGTCACCCAGGCTGGAGTGCAGTGGCATGATCTTGGCTCACTGCAACCTCTGCCTCCTGGGTTCAAGCAATTCTCCCTGCTTCAGCCTCCCGAGTAGCTGGGATTACAGGCACCCGCCACCACATCCGCTAATTTTTGTATTTTTTAGTAGAGATGGGGTTTCGCCATGTTGGCCAGGCTGGTCTTGAACTCCTGACCTCAGGTGATCTGCCCACCTCGGCCTCCCAAAGTGCTGGGATTACAGGCATGAGCCAACACACCGGCCAACACATTGTTATAAACTATAGTCACCATGTTGTACAATAGATCTCTTGAACTAATTGCTCCTGTCTAACTAAAATTTTGTACCCTGTGACCAACATCTCCTCACCGTCCCAGCCTCTGGTGACCATTTTCTACTCTTTCCTTTTTTTTTAATAGCTTTAGGGGTACAAGTGGTTTTGGTTACAGAAACAAATTGTATAGTGATGAACTCTAGAATTTTAGTGCACCCATCACCTAAGTAGTGTACGTTGTATCCAATAGGTAGTTTTGCATCCCTCATCCTCTCCATCCCTCACCCTCCCCGCTCTCCCCTCCTCTGAGTCTGCAGTGTTCATTAAGCCACGCTGTATGCCTTTGTGTACCCACAGCGTAGTTCCCATTCATAAGTGAGAACGGGCGGTATCTGGTTTTTGATTCTTGAGTTACTTCACTTGAAATAATGGCCTCCAGTTCCTTCCATGTTGCTGCAGAAGACATTATTTTGTTATTTTTCATGACTGAGTAGTGTCCTATGGTATATGTATATACCACATTTTCTTTATCCACGCATCGGGTGATGGGCACTTAGGCCGATTCTATATCTTTGCAATTGTGAATTGTGCTGTGATAAACATACATGCGCAGATGCCTTTTTGATATAGTGACTTCTTTTCCTTTGGGTCACCCAGTAGTGGGATTTCTGAATCAAATGGTAGATCTACTTTTAGTTCTTGAGAAACCTCCATACTATTTTCCATAGAGGTTGTACTAATTTACATTCCCACCAGCTGAGTATGAGCATTCCTTTTCACTATATCCATGCCAACATCTATTGCTTTTTGACTTTTTGATAATGGCCAGTCTAGATGAGGTAAGGTAGTATCTCACTGTTGTGTTAACTTGCATTTCCCTAATGATTAGTGGCATCGAGCATTTTTTAATATGTTTGTTGTCCATTTGTATATCTTCTTTTCAGAAATGTCTATTCATGTCCTTTGCCCGCTTTTTATTAAGACTTTTTCTTGCTGATTTGTTTGAGTTCCTTGTAGATTCTGGATATAAGTCCTTTATTAGATGTATTATTTGCAAATATTTTCTCCCATTCTGTAGGTTTTTTTGTTTACTCTGTCTGTTATACTCTGATGATTATTTCTTTTGCTATGCAGGAGATTTTTAGTTGTAATTAGGTCCCACTTATTTATTTTTATTTTGGTTGCATTTGCTTTTGGGGTCTTAGTCATGAATTCTTTGCCTAAGGCAATGTCTAGAAGAATTTTTCCTAGATTATCTCCTTGAATTTTTGTGATTTCAGGTATTAGATTTGTCTTCGATCCATCTTGAGTTGATTTTTGTATAAGGTGAGAGAAAAGGATCCAGTTTCATTCTTTTACATGTAGCAATCCAATTTTCCCAGCACCATTTATTGAATAGGGTGTCCTTTCCCTAATTTATGTTTTGGTTTGCTTTGTCAAAGATCAGTTGTTTGTAAGTATTTGGCTTTATTTCTGTGTTCTCTAGTGTGTTTCATTAGTCTATGTATCTACTTTTATACCGGTACCATGTTGTTTTGTAGTGTAATTTGAAGTCAGGTCATGTGATTACTCCAGATTTGTTCTTTTTGCTTAGGATTGCTTTAGCTATTCAGGGTCTTTTTTTGTTCCATGTGAATTTTAGGATTGTTTTTCTAATTCTGTGAAAAATGAGGTTGATATTTTGATAGGAATTGCATTGAATCTATAGATTGCTTTGGGCAGTATGGTCATTTTACAATATTGATTCATCCAATCCATGAGCATGGGATGTATTTCCATTTGTTCGTGACATCTACAATTTCTTTCAGCAGTGTTTTGTAGTTCTCCTTGTACATCCTTGGTTAAGTATATCCCTAGGCATTTTATTTTTTGTAGCTATTGTAAAACGGATTGAACTCTTGATTTGATTCTCATCTTGGTCATTGTTGGTATAACTGTGCAACTAATTTGTGTGTATTGATTTTGTTACCTGAGAAGTTACTGAATTCATTCATGAGATCTAGGAGTCTTTTGGAAGAGTCTTTAGGGTTTTCTAGGTATAAGATCATATCAAAGTATAAGATCATATTATTGGAAATAGAGATAGTTCAACCTCCTCTTTCCCAAGTTGAATTTCCTTTATCTTTCTCTTGCCTGCTTGCTCTGGCTAAGACTTCCAGTACTATGCTGAATAGAAATGGTGAAAGTGAATATCCTTGTCTTGTTCCAGTTCTTAGGTGAAATGCTTTCAGCTTTTCCCTGTTCAGTATGATGTTGGCTATCATTTATGGCTTTTATTATTTTGAGGTGTGTTCCTTCTATGCCTAGTTTGTTGAAGTCTACTCTGTACTTCCATAAGTTCAACTTTTTAGATTTCTAGGCTCCTGGGCTCAAGGATCCTCCTACCTCAGCCTCCTGAGTAGCAGGGACTTCAGGGACACACTATCATGTCCAGCTTGGATATTTATTTTATTCTGAGTTAAAACTCATAGCAGTGTAGACTTCATGAATGTTTATTCTATTCTGAGTTTACATTCGGCAGTGTTTTTAAAATGTATTTATTTACACTTAATCTCCAATGTGATGGTATTTTAAAATTTATTTTGGTGCTAACATTGTTCCAGCTTTGGTCATTAAGTGCTCCTTCAGGTCCCTATCCTTTTTAGAATATTTCTGTGTTTTCCAGAATTACAAGATACTACAGGCTCATCTCACATTTTTCCTTCCCTAGTCCTGAGATTAGTTTCTGTCAGGAAAAAATCGGGCCAGGCACAGTGGTTCATACCTGTAATCCCAGCATTTTGAGAGGGATTACAAGGAGAGCAGATCACTTGAGCCCAGGAGTTTGAGACTAGTTTGGGCAACATGGTGAGACCCTCACCTCTAAAGAAACAGAAAAAAAAAAATCTAATTTCTCAATGAAGTTTGTAGAAAAGCTTAGGATAGCTAGGCCATGCGGCTTACTGTTACTTGCAAGTAAAAGAATTTGATAAGGACAAGCAAAAGAAAGCTTTGCCCCATTTCCAGCCAAAACCAGAGGGATGATAGTAATGAGAACAGAAGGACAATATGAGAGCAAAACCATTAGGCATACATCTCTCAATTTCGTCTGGTGAGGCTTAGTCTTGGAGAATGAAAAGTTTCATTAGATAAACTGGAGATGACATTGAGGAAAGAGTCCTTAGGTTACACCCTCATCAGAATAAAAGATGAGGCACATCACAGACAGTCAGAGGGGATGCTCAGGCTTCTTGAAATGCATTCAGCCTCCATGTAGCCTAGATGATGAGTGGAGAGGCAGGTAACCTCTCCAAGATAACCCTGCACAGCGGAGGCTGAACTGGACTTCCAGATGCAGTCATGTCACCTATGAATCTGCAGTCAAGGGGAGCCAGGGTAAGGCTGAGTCAGCCAGGTAATGCTACTGGGCCCCAAACAAGCTGATAAAGTCCAGATAACATATTACATCAACCACACCAGGCACATTGCAGACAGAGGCTACAGCTCTGCAAACAAAGGGAAGGAGGGGGCAGAACACCAGAGGGCCATGAATCTCTACTGCTACAGTGTAGAAACATACGTATTTCCCTCCCCATATACTTCCTTTCCGTATAAGAAGAGAGGTTTGGGAGGGAGGAGTTTTTGAGAGTTTGGACATATTAATTAATCTCAATGAGAAACTGTTTTCTAAGAGGCTGTTTAATGTATTGAATGATCTTCAGTTGGAGCTGTACTGAATATGTAGTTCATATGTTTTTCAGCCTTCTTAACAGTGGTATCTCAACAGAATGTCAGATTAGTTATCAACAAAATAAAGACATTGCAATTTTTTTCCTCCACAATTTGTAGTAGAAGGAAAATTTTGAGATCTTTTTGTATGAGGATTATTGTAGTCACATTAGAGATTTGACAAAAATTTCCCTAGGAGAGGCTGGCTAGAATTATTAAGGTAAGAGCACCACAACTGAGTTTCTGTTTTTAGCTTTGCTTTTCAGAACATTGATTTTTATTAACACACCAACAGTTAAGAAAATTCTGACATTTTGCTATGTACCTTTCATATATCAAATCATAATGCAGGTCTATGAATTTATAGGGAGAACAAGACTGCCATAAAGACTCTCATTCCTCGGTTATTTTTGTTGTTTGTTGTTGTTGTTGTTTTGATTTTGTTTTGAGATGGAGTCTCGCTCTTAATGCCTGGGCTGGAGTGCCGTGGCATGATCTTGACTCACTGCAACCTCTGCCTCCTGAGTTCAAGTGATTCTCCTGCCTCAGCCTCCTGAGTGGCTGGGACTACAGGCACCCGCCATCACGTCCAGCTAATTTTTATATTTTTAATAGAGACAGGAATTCACCATGTTGGCCAGGCTGGTCTCGAACCCCTGACCTCACATGAGCTGCCAGCCACGGACTCCCAAAGTGCTGGGATTACAGGTGTGAGCCACCGCGCCCGGCCTTGTTGGTTATTTGTAATAGGTTGCTTAATTTCAACCAGAGCAAGGAGAGCTAGCTAGATGTAAAATGTTGATAGCTATTGTCATTCATCTGTGATAGCCTGATGCTATCTTTAGTAAAGGAAAGTTCTTATATTGGATATTATATCTTCTTGATGGTTTGTTTTAGTATTAGACTTCTGGCATGACACTAACCAATGATCCAAAGCTCTGGCTGAAGCTTTAATTGCCTGTGACACATGAAAAAAATACAGATGGCTAGGTCTTACCCACACATAGTGAATTAAATCTCCAGGAGTGGGCCTGAGCTTTGGCGTTTTTGTTAAAAGTTTTACAGGAGACTGGTTAATTAGGCAGAGTTGAGAACCAGTGAACCAAGTCTTTGCAGTTAGGTTTCTGCAGTCACTCTAGGCAGAAACTGTTGGCAATGGATCTGTACTTCTGTTGCAGTTGACTGAGATAAGACCTTGCAAACGTAAGCAAGACTCTTACCAGCAGCCTTACATAGAGCTGCGCAGACTAGAAGGCAGTAGAGCAGTGAATGCGTTCCCATTATTCCTACAGAGGTCTAGAGTGGGTCTAGGCAGATGTTTAAAGCTGGATGACAACAACAATAAGAAAAAAAATTTCGGCCAGGTGCGGTGGCTCACGCCTGTAATCCCAACACTTTGGTAGGCCAAGGTGGGTGGATCACCTGAGGTCAGGAGTTTGAGATCAGCCTGACCAACGTGGTGAAACCCCGTCTCCACTGAATACAAAAAGTTAGCCAGGCATGGTGGCACATGCCCGTAATCCCAACTATTTGGAAGGCTGAGGCAGGAGAATCACTTGAACCCAGGAGGTGGAGGTTGAAATGAGCCAAGATTGCATCATTGCAGTCCAGCCTGGGCAACAAGAGCAAAACTTCATGTAAAAAAAAGAAAAATCATTTTATTAAGTAAGATGAAATGTTTGACAGACTGGTAATTGTTTCCCAGGATACATATTTTTCCTTCTAGAACCAGACTGCATTTCCCAAACTCCCTGCCTTAAACATGTCCATGTCACTATGTTCTGGCCAAGTTGATATGAGCTGAAAAAATGTGAGCAAATTCTTAGCTAGGTCTTCTTTAGAGAAATCTGGTTTCCCTCTACTTTACTTTTTCTTATTCCCGTGCACTGAAAGGCAGATAGATCTGTGGTGGGCTGGCTTCAACCAACCAGACCAAGACACACCTCAGAACTGGGAAATGGTAGAATCACAACCTTGATAAACCCCCTCAATGATCACATGGAGAAAAGCCAGCTTCCCACCATGATAGATTGCCTTTCCCTGGATTGTTATGTAAGGAAGAAATAAACTTCTTTTTTTTTTTTTGAGACGGAGTTGCCCAGGCTGGAGTGCAGTGGCACAATCTTGGCTCACTTACAACCTCTGCCGCCCAGTTTCAAGTGATTCTCCTGCCTCAGCCTCCCGACTACAGGCACATACCACCATGCCCAGCTACTTTTTGTACTTTTAGTAGAGACGGGATTTCACCATGTTGGCCAGGCTGGTCTCGAGCTCCTGACCTCAGGTGATCCACCCGCCTCGGCCTCCCAAAGTGCTGGGATTACAGGTGTGAGCCACTGGACCCTGCTGATAAATAAACTCCTATTTGTTTGAACTACTGTATTTTGGAATCATTGTTGCATTAATTTTTTCTACATCTTAATTACTACAAGCTACAGGACCAGTAGTCTCAGATCTTCACTTACTTGTTGAACTTCTTTCACTAGAAACTTCTCCAAATGCTGGGGTCAAAATTTCAAAAAATGAGTCGCTAATAAGCTTTCAATGTCCATTTTTCTAAAGATGCAACCTATATCTTAAATTGGAGTAGATTATGGCAACTATTAAGTCTTCAATGCCCCACCAAAAATTAACAAGTGGGCATGCATGCTATTGGAACACAGGCCTAGGACTTTCTTTCTCCCTCTGCCCTCCCCTGTGACCTCCACATTCTCCGTACAGAAAGGGGCAGGAGGTATGAAAGGGCAGACATTGGGTAACACTCACTATTGCCTTAGTTCCCAGGTACTAGCAGTGCCCCTTTACTGACCTTACTCTTCTTCCTGTTGTAAACACCTCCTTAGAGTTCTTTTCATGTCCAACCCTTGGTCATCTTCCATCCTGCCTCTCAAGCAGGGTAAAATCCCTCATTCTCTTACTCTTATTTTCTCCTGAAATTCCTCCCTTTCATATTCTTAATGTTCCCTCCTCCTTAGAAGCCCACTCTCTATTTTGATGTTTGCTGCACAGGTTCCTAGACCAATATGGAAAATCCAAAAATGTGCTGCTCTCCCCTTTGTTGATCTCTCACCTGAACAATGAACACAGTGCATGCTGTGGAATATGGGTAAAAAATTAGTTCATCAAAATGTTTATATAATTGAAAATTCTGTATTATATGTAATGTATTTGTTCATTTAAAAATACTTATTGAATATTAAGTGGCAGGCATTAGGCATTGAGGATAGAAAAGAATGAGAGAATGCTTGAAATACTATGCATTTCGTTATGGAAATACTAGGGCATTATTACACTAGGGTGTATATTGAAGTGGTGAGTTGCTTGTACCCACTTGTAATGAACATATTTTAAAAAGAGAAGGAAGAAAATCTTTGACAATGGAATAATGTCAAATATTTGAATATTTTGAATTAAGTAAGGCAGCACATTTGTGTATATACCCATCACTGCGAATGTTCTTGTTCACTTGAAGTTATAATCTAGTAGCTGGAAAACATGTCAGTGTCATCATTCTATCTTATGGGAAATGCCCCTGAATTCAAAATCTCACTTGGTTAAAGACTAATTTACCTTCAGTTTGATAGGACTCGAAGCACGCTCCAAAGGCTCCAGGTATCTCCTTTGATCTTTCAAGAAGAACTTGATATTGATGACTAGCTCTTGTAATCTTTCAACTATGGAAACTTAGGTGGAATATTTCTTCTTGTATTCAATGCAAATTATGCAATGAATGCATCAGATGTGATGAGGAAGGGATGAGCCACTGCTTCCTTGTGTTTCTAAAAATATGACAGTTCACAAATGTCATGATCTTATGTCAGAGACATGTGAGAAAGATCCATCTTAGAGAAAGAGAAGAAAGATTGGGATAAAATATGTGATTTCATTTTTTAATCCTTATTTGTTGTGTGACAGGAAAAATAGGAAACAGTGGACAGAGAATATGATCCCCTTACTTGTGACACAAGAGGTAATGATGAACAGTGAAAGGGTATATAAAAACACTTCGAAAATTTTATATTATAGAGAAGATACTGTGTGAGGTATTGTGACTGCTACAATATATACATATATATATATATGAATAAAAGTTATTGGCTCTGAATTTATCAGGAATATTAATTCAACTTTGTACCAAAATATTACAGGGCAAATGAATAGGGTTCAATTTAGCATCACCAATTTTCAAGGAGCAGCACAGGGATAGTTAGTAGCTTTGGTTTTATTCTTTTCCTAATGTCATCTAAGAATATCGTGCTAGAATAGAAAGGTGTGAATGGTTAAATTAGGTGTCAGCTTGATTGGGTTGAAGGATGCCTAGATGGCTGGTGAAGCACTGTTCCTGGGGGTGTCTGTGGGGGTGTTTCCAGAGGAGATTGGCAGGTGAGGCAGTTTCCAGAGGAGACTGGCAGGTGAGACTGAGAGAGGAAGACCTGCCCTCAATGTGGGCAGGCACCATTCAATTGACTGCTTGCTCCCCACAACCTTCCCACCCTGTGGCAGCTCTGAGGCCTTCAGCCTCAGACCAGCTTCTCTAACAACCTTGCTTGCTACCAGCTTCTGTCATTCTCTAGCTTGCATATGGCCTGTCGGCCTATTGTGGGACTTCGCTTTTAATCATGTGAGCCAATTCTCCCTAAAAAATTCCCTTACGTATACCTATCCTATTGATGCTGTTCCCCTGGAGAATCCTGTCAACTAAAGAAAAAAAAGATCCAACTTTTAAATAATTAAAATTAGTTTTATTCAGAAGTCTTACTGAGGTCTACAGGCTGGGAGGCCTATAGCCCAGGAGCAGCCCTTTAGAGGGGTTCTATTAGATGGCTCCCATGCAGTATTTTAGTTGACAATTTACAGGTGGTAAAGATTCAGTATATGTGAAATCACATCAAATTTGCTCAGAAGTTACATTAAAGCAGAATCACATCAAGGTTTGGGTGTAAGAGTACATCTGGTTATAGATTACAGGAGTATAATCACTAACCTGGTCAGACCTTATTTTATGCGTAAGAAAACGCAAGGACTGGTGTAATTTATCTTTAGGAATATAGTGAGTCAGGTAAACAGACACGGAGCATGGGGACCGTGCACTCTATTCTGTGGTATCTTCAAACATTCTTCTCAAAGAGCTGCAGGTTGTCATAGAGTGAGGGGCTTTGTGAAATTATGCTGGCAAGCAGAAATGAGCAAAAATGGCATTTACTACTTTGTCTCGCAACTTCCACTAACACAAAGGGACGGGAGCAACTGTGCTGTCTGTTCATTGGGCTAGACTTTTCTCCTATTTACTTAATCAATAACATCATAGACATCAGAAATTTTCAAAGAGAATACCAATTGGGTTTATTCTGGTTAGGAAACAAAATGCTGTGTTTATAGTTTTTCTTACTCTTGGGAATGCTTTGCCTACATTCTTTCACTGAGTAAGTATAATTTAAAGTTAGTGTTGCATCGCCACTTCATATCCATTGAAATTGCTATTAGATATTAAAAAAAGAAGTATTGATGAGGGTTTTGAGAAACTGGAACCCTAGTGCACTACTGATTGGAATGTAAAATGGTTCAGCCACTGTGGAAAACAGTATAGTAGTTTCTTAAAAAAAAAAAAAAAGAATTACCATATGATCCAGCAATTCCACTTATGCGTATATACACCAAAAAAAAAAAAAAAATGGGAAACAAGGACTCAAACAGATATTTGTTTGTCAATGTTCATAGCAACATCATTTACAGTAGCCAAATGGTGAAAACAACCAAAGCTTCCTCAATGGATGAATGGATAAACAAAATGTGTTATATACATACAATGGAATATTATTGAGCCTTCAAAAAGGAGAAAATTATGACACATGAGTAAAACTTGGAGACATCAGGCCAAGTGAAATAAGCAAGTCACAAAAGGACAAATGCTGTATGAGTCTACTTATATGAGGTATCTGGAGCAGTCAAATTCATAGAGACAGAAAGGAGAATGGTGGTTGCCAGAAACTGGTGGAAAGGATGAAAGGGGAATTATTATTTAAGTGAGTAGAGAGTTTTAGTTTTGTAAGATGAAAAAAGTTCTGGAGATGGATCACAGTGATGGTTGCACAACAATGTGAATATACCTAATGCTATTGAGCTGCACACTTAACATGATTAAAATGGTCAGTTTATGTCATGTATATTTTATTACAATTGAAATAATTAATGGGGTATCATCTCAAGGAACGCTAGCATAAATAATAAATTGTTATGTGAGTCAAAGTTGTGTACAATGTTCATTTTAACAATGAAGTTTGATATTATTGAGGATAGAGTGTTAATATATGTTGGACAATAACTATTTGAAATATTATAATCAGTGAAGCTGAAATTACAGCTTGGACTTACCATAGGGAATCTGGTGGATAGGGGCCAGGATCTTGGTTTCTTGTGCAATATTAGACTACGGGGGAAATCTGTGCAAATGAGCCTCATTCTATTTCTATGATTCTAATTCTAAAAGGCATTTGGATCGGATTTTCTATTCTGGAGAGAGAAAAGTTCATTGTGATTGTTTTCATGTCTTAGTTATTGTACTATACCATATCTTTCTTTTTTTCTTTTTTTTTTTTTTGAGATGGAGTCTCTCTCTGTCACCCAGACTGGAGTGCAGTGGCGCAATCTCGGGTCACTGCAACCTCCACCTCCCAGGTTCAAGTGATTCTCCTGTCTCAGCCTCCTGAGTAGCTGGGATTACAGGCACGGGCCACCACGCCTGGCTAATTTTTGTATTTTTAGTAGAGACAGGTTTTCGCCATTTTGGCCAGGCTGGTCTCGAACTCCTGAGCTCAGGTGATCCGCCTGCCTCAGCCTCCCAAAGTGCTGGAATTACAGGCGTGAACCACTGCGCTTGGCCATATTCTTATAAATATATTTTATATTTTATGTTGTATAACCTCCAAGATCAATGAGATGAACATGACCCAGAGAGATGGTCTGTAGAACATAGCCAGGCTAGCCCATGTGCAGAATTTCTTCAGCTCATGTACAAAAGGTTGGGTTTTAGAAGGTGTCATGGAGATTTCTAAAAGTTGGATGGTACCTTATTCACTCAGACATTTCAATGAAAAGCCATGTGCCTCCAAATGAAGATTGGTGCTGTTATTAGTCACGGTTCTCCAGAGAAAAAGAACTAATAGAGCATATATTGATACATGGAAAGAGATTTGTCATGTGGAATTGGCCCACACAATTACTGAGGCTGAGAAGCCCCACAATTTGCCATCTGCAAGCTGGGAAGCTGGTGATGGAGTTCCAGTCCAAACCCAAAGGTTCGAGAATCTGGAGAGCCAGTGTCATAAGTTCTAGTCTGAATATAAAGGTCCAAGAACCAGAAGCACTGATGTCCAAGGGCAGGAGAAGATGGACGTCTCAGTTCAAGCAGAGAGAGTCCATTTGCCCTTGCTCTGCCTTTTTGTTCCATTTAGGCCCTTAACAGATTGGACGATGCCCACCTGCATGGGTGAGGGAGATCTTTACTCAGTCTATGGATTAAATGCTAACCTTTTCCAGAAACACTCTCACACTTACACTTAGAAAAAAACGTTTTACCAGGTATCTGAGCATCCCTTAACCCAGTCAAGTTGACACAGAAAATCAACCATCACAAGTGCCTAGAAGCTTGATTTCCTGTGTTCCTCCCTTAGACACTAAAATGGAGTCTAGCCGTCCTTCGTTCTAGGCCCTTACTTACATCAACCTATTGATAAATTAGGAGCTCAGCTCTGAGTATAAAGACAGGGGTAAGGAATGGGAGGAGACTAACAGACTGGACTGGGGTAAAGCATGCAAAGAGCAATGGATGCCTCACTACCATCCCCCATTACTACTCTTTACCCCAGTTTCAGAAAGTTTTAAGCAGTAATAATAACAAGATGTTAAGAAGTTTGAAGAAGGCCGGGCGCAGTGGCTCAAGCCTGTAATCCCAGCACTTTGGGAGGCCAAGGTGGGCGTATCACCTGAAGTCGGGAGTTCGAGACCAGCCTGACTAACATGAAGAAACCCCGTCTCTACTAAAAATACAAAATTAACCAGGCGTGGTGGCACATGCCTGTAATCCCAGCTACTAGGGAGGCTGAGGCAGGAGAATCGCTTGAACCTGGGAGGCGGAGTTGCAATGAGCCAAGATCGCGCCATTGCACTCCAGCCTGGGCAACAAGAGCGAAACTCCATCTCAAAAAAAAAAAAGAAGTTTGAAGAAAAGGAGATAATTGTTACTTAAACTGGACAGAGAGGTTTCTTTCATCAGACTGATCCTCCAGCCTCTCTCTGAGGTGATGTATTCTCAGAGGCAGCCACATCTACTAGAAAGTGAGGAAAATAATTGTAGATAATTGTGACTATTCCCAAAAGTGAGAAATTGTTTGTAATTTTGTAAACACAAACATCTAAGCTAAATTAAATTAAAGATGTGGGAATTCACACAAATAACATTGGACGACTGAAATGTCCTTTGGGGAGTTTGCTTTCCTAAATATAGAAAGGTGTTATCCTGAGCTGCCCACATCTGGATCTGTGTATTGCCCTGTAAGAAAGAATAAGACAAGTGAAATAGCCACACACATAGCCCTGGGTAGATGTATTGCATAAATGTCTGAAAGGGATTTGAGTTCCGTTGGTGCCAAATTGTGTCACAAGGAAGAAAGTTCCAAACTGAGAAACCCCACGTCACCATACCAGAGCCACTGCACTAGATTGAAGCAATTTTTATTCTTTCTGCTGAACTAGAGAATCACATGGATGTGTCTTTGGAGCACACTTCAGGCAACCATTTCCTTTTCCTCTTGGTGCTGGTCATCCTTCCACTGCAGGCATCTGTATCCGTAACACATTCAAGGCATGCTAACTTAGGGGACCTGCATGAGACCACATCTCAGAGCACCGTCTGTGAACCTAGCCTAAGGTGCTTTTGTGAGGTGTTGGGAAAGGAAGAAAGGAAGGTGGGTGATTAAAGTGAATGGAAGCAAAATTACCATTCTCAACTTTGATCTATAAGGATCAGTATGGAGAGAAATATTCCTCCCACCCTAAGCTCTCAGAGAACGCTCTGCTAGGGCGATATGACAAAGACACCATCCTCACTGAGGAAACTTCTGTGTTCAGGTGGCTCCACGAGATCATTTATAGTATGAGGAATACGTTTTTGCATTTCATTTTGCCATGAACAAGTGATAAGGACGTAGCCCTTCCTATAAAGTGATTCGTATTTACACGCTGGTATTTCAAATGCTTCTGTTAAATTACAATACACTCCTTCTACAAGACCTTTGCTCCTGTTACATTTCCTAATTCCATTCTTACATGGCACAAATCTGTTGTAACAGATTTTTTGGAGCTCGTCATATTGCATAAGAAGGAAGTAATGTTCTGCCACCCAACGGTGTTTGTAGTAAACATTTTTTCCCATGATTTCATGGTTACAGTACTCTATATGATTTAGTGGCATTCCAGGTTCAATAAGGACACGTCTTTTGACTTTTTCTTTGGTAGGTGGTCTGGCGGGCCCTGTACTAAAAAATTTTTCCAAACACTCTTCAAATTCTTCTTTTTTATCTTCTTCTGGGAAATCAAAATCTGTATCCACCTCTTGAAACTGCACCAGCTGCAGCAGCTGCTGCGGCAATAGAAGCAGGGGCAGTGGGTGTGTGGTGATGAGAGTTCTCATCATTTTTCCTGCAGACACTAAAAGAGATAACGGGATATGTTCTATTGTGATAATGTGCTTGCTTCCATTTCCTGTGTGGGGCACAGTTATGCCACATGTTGCTGTTCTGGGCTCTAAGATTTTGGACCATTTTTAAATTACCAACTCATAATCGATCTGAATACTTCTAAATTATTGACAAAAATGACCTTACTAGGCCTACAGTCAGTCTAGAGCTGTGGTAAGAGAAGAAAAGGTGAAAGGAAGGAGAATGAGAAAGGGAGAGAAATAAAGGTAAGGAGGAAGAAAAGGAAACAAGGAAGAAATGGAGCAAGAGAGAGATTAAGGAGAGAGGGAAGGAGAAAGGAAATCAAGACAGCAGTGGGGAGAAAGGGAGGGTGCAGAGAGGAGGCTCACATGCTCCTTTCGTCTGAAATAAATGCATCTTTTCCCTTTCCAGGAGTTGAGAACTTGCTCTGAAAAGAGCCACCCTCCCCTTTCGAACATTCCACTTTGATAAGAAAAATTCCTTAACCATGTCTTTCTTTCTCCTCTTGCCCTTATTTGACCATAGATGCCCTTGGGGAAGGGGTCAAGGAAGGTTCAAGTTTGAGCAGCTGGGATAAATACATTCTTGAAGTCACCCTAAAGTAAAAACAATGATACACAGTCATAGCTAGCATAATGAGGAGTTAAGTGCCAAGCACTAGACTAAGCACTCTAAGTACATTATCACCATCATCCAAACAACCCTATAATAAATATATTATTTTTAGCATTGTTGTTATTATAACAATGAAAGTTGCAAAAAGAAGTGTAAAGTTATTAACATCTCTCCGTGAAGGGAAGTTGCTTAAAATCTCACATTAGATCCGGCAGACTCCTGGTTCAAGCCTATTTTTGTCTAAATTCCACACATCTGTCCTTAGCTGCTATTCTATGGCCTCTATCAGTCTGGTTTCCCTTCTTAAGGCTAGACTGTATCTCTCTCTCTAGGCTGTCAAACACAATGACTACTGAAATGGCCAGTGCTAAAACGGAATTTGAGCCCCTAGAGTGCTTTGACAAATTGGTCCATGCTCCATGAAGAACCAATTATTTAATTGCAGAAGCAACCTCCTGAGTTTTCTTACCTTACCAGGCTCGTTGTAAAAGAAGTCCTACTTGGTGGCAACCTGAGTGATTCTCTAACAGTCATTACCTGGAGACCTTGATCTATCAGTGATGGAGATGGACAGCCTCCTGTTCTAGGCTGGATACTAAGTTTGTATATATGTGTGTAGAAAGGTTAGAGAATGATGGAATTAAAGAAAGGTGGGTGTTGGGGAACACATCAGAAAGTAGAGACAGGAAAGTTGAGCATAGGAGTGCAGAGAATGGGAAAGAAAAGAAAAAGTTGCCTAAAATGGCGATGTGAGAATGGGCACTCTGGGGCGGCCATGTGCCACACTGTCCCTCCCCTCCCTGCTTTTCCTCCCATCCCTGCTTTCACACTGTCATCAGTGTCCTCCAGGAAGTCTCTTCAAAAGAGTGATCCCATGGTGACAGGTCAGAGAGCTCGGAACATACTCTCACAAGAACGCGGAGCCTCTGCAACATCTTGATCTGGAGAGAACATGGACAGTACACGTGTGAAAAGCAGAATTCAGGCAGCTGTGGCCCTGCCCTTTCTACTTCCCGAGAACATGCACAGGGCCTGTCCAGAATACTCTTTTGTTTTTTAAATCTGCAACCTTCTTAATTCTTGATTTATGAATTCAACTTTTGGTTTCATTCTTCTCAAAATCCTTTCTCATCTCAAAGTATGTGAATTTTTTAAATACTGTATTTTGTTACTTTTATAGATTTTTAGAAATCTTTCACCATCTGGAATTTATTTTAATAGATAGTAAGAAGTTAGTGTGGTCTTTTTTCACATGGTTTATACATAATCTCATCATCAATTATTTGGGAAAAAATCTATTCTCTCATCCCTAATTTTAAAAGCTAGTTTCTATATTTAATAATTCTGTTTCTGAACAGTTTATTGTGTTTTGATATGCCAATAATATACTGTTTTACTTATTATCATTTTACTGTTTTTTTTTTTAAGAGTCATGGTCTCACAGTGTTGCCTCGGCTGACTCAGAACTCCGGGGTTCAAGGAATCCTCCCACGGCCTATCAAGTAGCTGGGCCTACAGGTGCACTACACTGTACCTGTACTTATTATCATTTTATAAAACATTTTGATATCTCATAAAGCAATCTACACTCATTCCTCTTCTTATTCAAATGTTCACTGCGGAGACAAACACAAAGTAGATTATAGGGTGCCCGGGACAGGTGGTAGAAATGGGGATTAACAGTAAATGGAAGAAAGAGAGACAGAGGAGAGAGAGACAGAGAGAAAGAGAGACAGAGAGAGAGAGAGACAGGGAAGCAGTGAGGGAGGGAGGGAGGGAGAACACAGAATAAATAGTGTTGAAACATGATCACTCAGTGTTTCTGAAGTTTTTGCCTGGTAATCTCACACAGCAGAAACGCCTCTGGCCTACCTGTGGAATGCAGGCTTCTTGGTTTTTCCTCAGTTCTCACTAATTGAAATTTCTGTGGATGAATCCAGAAATTTGCATTTTAAACAAATTTAAAGGTGATTCTTAGCTCACTAAAGTTGAACAAGGAATTTCTTAATATGCATTAAAATGAACTTGTGAAAAAGAAAACATCCTAAAACAGTAGGGAAAACGTTTGGCCCTTTCAGCAAATGTTCTTGGAAGAAGAATGGGATGAATTGCTTCCTCCTTTTGGCTATTGTGAATCATGTTGCTATGAACATGGGTGCACAAATACCTGTTCAAGTCCCTGCTTTTCTTCCCTGCTTTTAAACTTGCTTGGAAGGTTTATTGTAACTTAGAATTGCAGACTGAGAAAGGCCTTGGAGGGGTTGTCTATCTAGTCTCTCCTCCTAAAATGCAAGTTCTGAGCCCCAGATCAGAACTCTATATTTAACCACACACATAAGAAGTTTATAGTAAAAAGAAAAGATTGGAATGAGTTATGGGCTTGTAGGTGAACCAATATGTTTCAGAAGGATTATTAAGTGGTATTTTAAATTTTTAAATTTAAGTTTAAGATTAAAATTTAAATTTAAAACTGATTTAAATTAAATTAATTTTTAAAAAGATTTGTTTGAACACCTTATATAATAAAGCATCAATAAATCATGATCATATAATAATTATATAGCCTCAATCACAGAAGGAAAAACTAAATTAAATCTTTTAAATTGGCAATAATTATAATAACTTACAAACTCAATGCTGATAAGAGTGTGATGAGATGTTTCTGCAGAAAGAAATTGTTATAATTTTTTTGAAAAATTTGAGAAATACAATAAAAAGAATAGCTGATACTTTTCTCTAGCATTTCAATAGCTAGAATTCTAAGTTGCAATAATTTATATTGAAAGACAAACAGCAAATTTTACTTAAAAGGGAAAAAAATTGAAATTTTAAAATATAAATATCCAAAAATGTGGGAAAGGGAAAGGTTAAAATGAGTCTGATGTGTTTATAGAAATGACAATACACATTGCAATAATAATTATTATTATAAGAGCTAATATTTATTGAGACAGTATTTTATATTCATAGAATTGTATATTCTTAGAATGGGCTATTTTTCAGAATTTACAAATATATTAATCAATAAAGTTTTAGATCATCTGAGAAACAAGGAGAATAGAAAAAAAGCATTAAAAACTTTAGAGATATGAAATATTTTGTGATATAATATTATAGTACTAGGACTCTCTGGTTGACAGTGAGAAAAATTCCAAACAAATTACCTTAAATGCAAGAGGCACTATGTTGACTCACAGAAGTTGGAAGTCCAAGAGGTAGAGCAGGAGAAAGAAATCAAATTCTTGACTAGACTCTTGTTTTTACTCTCTCCCACTCTACTCTCCTTTGTACACTAACTTTATTCTCATGTAGGGGCCTCTCCATGTAATGACAGAGTCAATCACTGCCCCCTTTGTAGCCTTATATTTAGGATCACAGTAGGAAGTGCCATTCTCTGCCACCTTCACTCAACATGGAAAATAACTTTTCTGATTGGCTGTGCTTCTGTCACATGAATAAATCCAGGGATGTGGGGCACTCTGATTGGCTACCTGAAACACATGTCCTCTTTGAGAAGTAAAGGCAAAACTACACAATTAAAACCCAACAGAATTCCAATTGTCGATAGAAGGGCTGTTCCCTATTACACAAAAAAGGAATGGAGACCAAATCCGAAAGTAATAAACGTGCTTTGCTGTTTAGCTGGGGGAAAATCAAAACACTCCATCTACAGCATGTTCCCAATTAACAGAAATATAGATTACAAGGGAAAGAAAAGAAAAAATGTAATAATAATAAGTTGTTATTTCTGAATGATATATTTCTGGTTAATTTTTTATTCTAATCTTTAAAATTGTCAATTTTACAAATTCAAAAAAATAACAAAATATCATTGAAGAAGTCAAGTTTTAAGATCTGGATTGGCCATGTTCTTAAATATTAAGTGATAATTTTCCAGACTCCCACATGTTTATATCAGTAAACTCATTTTTCATCAGCATCAGGAAAATCTGTGCCTTAGTTTGAGTGGTTGAGAAAAGACAGATTATAAATCTTCAATCCTCAGAATTAGACTAACCTTTGTGAATAAATCCCAGGGTATCTCTTAGTTAAATCCAGTAGAAAAATATAGGTTTTAACCAGCTTTAAATTAAATTTTCACAAACATTTTGAGGCAATATTTATGTCTCAAACCTTTACACCCATGATTGAACTGAGAATGGTATCAGGATGGGAAAATCTGGAGGAAAAATGTTATCCTTGTGAGTAAATAAGAGAATCAACAAGTTCACTGGTATATCACACCTTTGGCCCAATTCAAGACGTTTCCTCCCTTAGGGCCACTGTAAAAACTTGAGTGTCAGAGCTTAAAGCAGCACACAGACTAGACATACAGAAAACAAGTGTTTCTAAATAATTGAAAATCAACCTTCGGAGCATAAATAGAGTAATTTTCATATCTGATTTTACAAAAATGAAGTCAAACCAGGTCTGGGTTCACAGAAATCTCTTCAGAACTGACCGCACGTTTTTGCAAATTTATTTTACTCATATCTTATTTAGCTTTTTAAATGTACAATTCTGCAAAATTTTAAAAGGACTTAGGTAGATATTTACTATTTTTCATGTAATGCTAGTGTGAGTCTAGAAGGTATAGACTGAGATGTGGCCTCTGGTTTTGTTTGATTTCCTAAGTTGGTATTTCTCAGGGATCAGAAATAGCAAGAAAATTGAAATATGGAATATATGAGGATTGGCTCTCTCCTAGATTTGACACTGGAAAAGGAAGTAAACCTGGTGAAACAGTAGGTTCTATATTAAGAAAAAAATAACATACATCCCAGTTTTCATGTCATGCACACACATACACACACAGTCTACAATTTATGATGAACTAGAAATCAAAGTAATATTTTAAAAACAATATTAAGGATATTGAATTAAAATATGCAGAATATTTTTCACAGTTTTTGAGTAAATAAAAGATGTTCTTATTAAAAAAAGACAAAAGCACCATCACAAAGAAAATTACTGAAAGACTTGATTACACACACATAAACTGAATCGCATACTATATACATGAGTGCACAGAAAATTTCACCATAAACAAAAAGCAAAATAAGAATCTCTAAATACACCAAATATAAGATTCAAAGACCATAAACAGCTTAAAAAACACTTTCTAAACATGTGCAGTGTGAATGAGCTTCTCAAACTCAGGTGTAAATAAAATGTTAATTTCTTCTCTAAATCCAACATATCTGTACCAAAACCCCAACTATTGAAGGTGGCAGCAAAATGTAGTTCAGTTATTATTCTAGGTGTCTTCCACCATTCTTACAGAATCAGAGAAACCCAGGAATCTGAAGTTATCCTAGCACAAAAAGTTCAGTACTTTATATGTGAGTGTTGATTGACATTATCAAAGTTTCTCTTTCTGTTATAAATGGCCTTAATATTGAGCAGAGATTTTCATCTGCATTTCAGGTATCTAAGAATTTAATACTAATGCTATTAACTTCCACTTGAGCCATTAAGGCCCAAAGATATGACAACTTCTTGTGTTATAGAAACAAAGAAGTTCTCCCTTTCTTTTCCAGTCTTCTACAGCAATAAAAACTAAATGTCAATCTATAACATATGACAAGGTAGAAAATGTCACTTTAAGAAGGCTGCATAATATGGTTTGTATTATGTTCACTGCCAGTCTTTATTCAGATTGTATTAATCGTGAGCCAGTCACTCTAGTCTCTTCCTTCCTTCCTCTGGGTCCTTATGTCTGTGAAGAGAAACTAATAGGTCCCAGTCTGGTATAGCCTCAAGCAACACCTGAGGCTCCCTATACTTTCAGAGAACTAAAATACTTTAGATATGGCTTTGAAAAACAAGATAGAGAGAGAGAAAGAGAGCAAAATGGCAGAATAGAAGATTGTCTGGCATCATTCCCTCCCAAAAAAACATAACTAGAAACTACTCAAAGACAAAAATACCACCCTGAATCCCTGAATACAACAAAACTTGGGGGAGAAGTAGAGAAACCCCCTTGATCCACAGAATCAAAACAAGCCACCACCAGTAAGAGAAATAGCCATTTTAGACTGTGCCAACCCTTCTGCAAGCCACCAAGCCTTCCCCAACCCTTCCCCTTCCATGGAGCATTTCTGTGGCAGGTCAATTCTCCCTGACAATCACACAGACAGGCCTGCATAGCACTCCACTTACACAGACAAATTTCCACAGAGCTGCCGTAACATTGAGCAAATAGTTAAACCTAGAGAAATTGGTGCCCAGACATCAAGGAAATGAAACATATGGTCAGTAGGAGCCTTGCATGAGCTTTTCCCTAACCTGGAGCAAGTCAAAATAATAGGGACAGCCTTACATTCCTAGTGCCAGGACCTGTCTTGGATGCTGAGATGAGTCAAGGTAACAGAGACAGCTGTTTGAATAGATTTATTGAAGAGTCTAAGGCAGCTCTCCAGACCAAGCTGTGAAGGAAATGAGATAGAAATAATCACTCTGATACCACAGTAGACAGGCCTTGAAGATACTGGGGCCCTCACAGCTTAATCGGACTTAGCAAGCATTCTTTTTTTTTTTTTTTTTTTTGCCTCTGATCTTCTAGTTGAAACAAAATTAATTACCAATAGACTTAGACAAGTGCTATACTGCATGTAGACACATAACCCCAATCTATATAAGAAAATTGTAACACTTTGAGTTGGTCTGATGGAATTATCTCCATTCTTCTCCCTGTATCCTGTAACAGCAATAAATTCCCTTCTTATCTAGTTTGTCTGCTTCTCGTTATTGGGCCACAAGAAAAAGCAGCCGAACCTGGCTTATTTCCGGGAACATTTCCTTACACCCATAGTTGCTGAGGTGAGAGGAGAGAATTGGAGGTGAACATCTGACCCCACCACTAGTCTGGGAGTTTTCATGGGAAGCCCCATTCTGGTCCCTTCCCATAGGAACTATTGGGAGTGCCAGGAGGACCAGACCACCTGGGGTGAATTGAGATGTTGACTGCAGTGACTGGCACATGAATCATGGTGTCTACTCAGTGCTCCAAACAGTGAGGGTACCGCACTGAAGAGATTGGCTGGTATCATAGCGCCACAGGGGGCACAATCTGTGGGAAGGCCCAAATTCCTAGCCAGGTTTTTCACAAAGCCCAGGTGCTCACATGGAGCCCTCCTCTGGCCTGGAAACAACTAAAAGATCAGGATTAAGTTGCAGTGCCTGTTTATGTCTTTCTCAGACTGGGAAACAATTTAGTTCTAGAGCAGTGTTTAAGTTCCAATGTTCTCTATAAATCTTCCCCTAATTAGAAAACAATGCCAGGAAAAAAAGTTAGTTCTAGCGCAGTGTTTTAATTCTAGTGCTCACTATAAGTCCCCCCAAGAACCAGAAGCAACAACAAGCCATATTTAAGTTTTGATACTAAGAAGCGAAACCCTAACATCACCAAAGAACAACTAGAAAAGCTGGAAGATGTATCTATCTCCTCAAATGCACAGACATAAAAGTGAATCAATAATCAAGAACAAAAACCGTATGATCATGTTAATAGATGCCAAAAAAAGCATTTGTTAAAATTCACATCTTTTCATGATGAAAACTTACACAAACTGGGTGTAGAAGGAATATGCCTCAAAACAATAAAGGTTATATATGACAAACCCACAGCTAATATCATACTGATGGGAAAAAACAGAAAGCCTTTCCTTTAATATCTGAAATAAGGAAAGGATGCCCACTTTCATCACTTTTATTCAACATAGTACTGGAAGTCCTAGCCAGACAAATTAGGCAAGAAAAAGATAAACAAATAAAGGGCATCCAAATTGGAAAGGAGAAAGTCAAGTTATCCTAGTTTGCAGGTGACATAATCTTATACCTAGAAAAATCTAAAGATTCCATCAAAAAACTGTTAAAACTGATAAATGAATTCAGTAAGTTTGCAGGACACAAAATTAACATACAAAAATCAATAGCATTTTTATACATCAACAACAAACAATCTGAGAAAGAAAGCGATCACATTCACAGTAGCTGCAAAATATTATAAAATAATTGAAATAAGTTTAACCAAAGAAGTAAAAGATCTCTAAAGTGAAAACTATAAAACATGGATTTAAAAAGTTGAAAAGGACACCAGAAAATGCAAAGACATCCCATTTCCATGGTTTGGAAGAATTAATATTAATAACATGTCCATACTACCCAAAGTGATCTACAGATTCAATGCAATGCCTATCAAAATACCAGTGACATTCTACATAGAAATAGAAAAGATAATCTTAAGATAAGTGTGAAGCCACAAAGGACCCTGAATAGTCAAAGCATTGCTGAGCAAAAAGAATAAAGCTGGGGGCACCATACTACCTGACTTCAAAATATACTACAAAACTATAGTAACCATTATAGCATGATACTGGCATAAAAGCAGACACATAAACCAATGGAACAGAATAGAAAACCCTAAAATAAATCCACATATTTACAGTCAATTCATTTTTGGCAAATGTGGCAAAAACATACACTAAGGAAAGAATATCCTCTTCAATAAATAGTGCTGGGGAAACTAGATATCCATAAGCAGAAGAGTAGATCTAGACCCTTATCTCTCACCATATACAAAAACCAAATCAAATGAATTAAAAACTTAAATATAAGGCCTAAAACTATAAAACTACTGAAAAAAACATTGGATAAGTGCTTCAGAATATTGATCTGGGCAAAGACATTTTGGGTAAGACCTCAAAAGCACAGGCAACAAAAGCAAAAATAGACAAATGAGATTACCTAAAGCTAAAAAGCTTCTGCATAGAAAAGGAAACATTAAGAGTGAAGAGACCACCTACAAAATAGGAGAAAATATTTGCAAACTACCTATCCGACAAGGGGTAACCAGAATACATAAGAAATTCAAACAACTCAATAGCAAAAAAAAAATTTGATTTTAAAATGGGCAATGATCTGAATAGAAATTATTTAGAAGACATACAAATAGACAACAGGTATGTAAAAAAAGCTCAGTCACTAATCATCAAGGAAATGTAAACCAAAACTATAATGTGTCGACAAAAAGAGTCAAACTCTGTAAAATACTTGAAGAGGTTTATCCTGAGCCAAATATGAGTAATCATGGTCCATGACACAGCCCACATGAGGTCCTGAAAACATGCAGCCAAGGTGGTCAGGGTACAGCTTGGTTTTATATATTTTAGGGAGGTATGAGACATCAATCAGATACATTTAAGAAATGCATCAGTTTGGTTCAGAAAGGCAGGACAACTCAAAGCGGGGGCTTCCGGGCTTTAGAAAAATTTAAACATTTTCTGGTTGACAATCGGTTGAGTTTGTCTAAGACCTGGGATCAATAGAAAGGAAATGTTCAGGTTAAGATAAAAGATTGTGGAGACCACAATCTTTTGATGTTCTTTTGAAGTCTTATAGTGGCTGCCCTTAGAGACAATAGATGATAAATGTTTCCTATTCAGGTCTTTAAAAGGTGCTACACTTTTAGATAATCTCTTCAGGATTGAGAGGGCCTGGAAGAAAAAGATCTAGCTATGTTAGTAGAGATTCTTTACAAATGCAGATTTTCCCCCACAAAGGACACTTTGCAGGGCCATTTCAAGATATGGCAGAGAAACATGTTGTGATGGTTAATACTGAGTGTCAACATGATTGGATTGAAGGATGCAAAGTATTGATGTTGGGTGTGTCTGTGAGGGTGTTGCCAAAGAAGATTAACATTTGAGTCATATGTAACAAACCTGCATGTTGTGCACATGTACCCTAGAACTTACAGTATAAAAAACAACAACAACAACAACATTTGAGTCGGTGGGCTGGGGAAGGCAGATCCACCCTTAATCTGGTGGGCACCATCTAACCAGTTGCCAGTGAATATAAAGCAGGCAGAAAAACATGAAAAGACGAGACTGGCCTAGGCTCCTAGCCTACATCTTTCTCCTGTGCTGGATGCTTCCTGCCCTTGAACATCAGACTCCAAGTTCTTCAGTTTTGAGACTCAGACTGGCGCTCCTTGCTGCTCAAGCTTGCAGACAACCTATTGTGGGACCTTGTGATCATGTAAGTTAATACTTAATAAACTCCCCTTTATATATAAACATCTATCCTGTTCGTTCTGTCCCTCTAGGGAACCCTGACTAATACAGATTTTGGTACCAGGAGTGGTTCTAGAGGAAGAGAATATTAAGGATGGAATTCTTTTATTGGTTTTGGGGTTTCTGGAGTTAGCTGCTTAATATGATTAGACCCCAAAATGCTAAGGACTGCACTTCTAATAGTATGGAAAATACTGATAGTCTTTGGCATTAACTGTTTAGAGACTTATGCAAAATAAATGCACTCGACACTCCTGATTCACCGCTCATGAGAGGCAAGGAGCTTAGTGACTCTATATATAATACCTTTGACTGTATGTGGAGAGCCAAGGAACATGATGAAGCTGTTAGTTGCTCCTAAGTTCAGTGGATAAAGTGATGAAAGAAAATTATGAACTCAAGGATTCTGTCTCTCAGCTTCAGAAGCAGATACTGAGCCTCAAATCTACTAAGATTGCTTTGAGTGAGAGTCTTATCTCCTGTAGAAAAAGAGGTGAAATTGTGAAAAAACAGACACAGACTTTTATCATGCGAGTGGCTGAACTGCCACAAAAGGGGCATGCACAGCCTTACCAGGTGTCTACTGTTAAAGTGAGGGCATTGGCTGGAATGGGACCCTGCAACTTGGAATGAGGACGTGTGGGAGGACCCTGATGAAGCTGGGGACACTGAGTTTGTAAACGCTGATGAACCATTTTTGCCAGAAGATACAGCTTTCTCATCCCCAGTAGTGGCAACATCCCCTCCCCAACCCATGCTGCTATCAGCCTTTCCACCTTTGTCTGAGGAGATAAACCCTGTGCTGTCTGAGGCAACACTGATGGCCCCCCATGAGGCAGTTGCCAGTCAAAATAATGTTGATTCTCCTCAGGAGCCACCCCTAACACTCCTATCTGCTTCTAGACCTGTAACTAGACTAAAGTCCCAGTGGGCCCCTAGAGGTGAGGTTCAGAGTGCGACCCATGAGGAGGTATGCTACACTTGAAAAGAACTGCTTGAGTTCTCTAATTTATATAAACGGCAGCCTGGAGGGAATGGGAACGGATATTAAGGGTATGGGATAATGGTGGAAGGAACATAGAGCTGGATCAGGCTGAATTTATTGATTTGGGCCCACTAAGTAGAGACTGTGCATTTAACATTGCAGCTCAGGGAGTTAAAAAGGGTTCTAATAGTTTATTTACTTGGTTAGCTGAAATACAGTTTAAAAGATGGCCCACTGCAAGCAAGCTGGAAATGCCTGATCTCCCTTGGTTTAATGTAGAGGAAGGGATCCAAAAGCTTAGGGAGATTGGGATGGTGCAGTGGATTCATCACTTTAGACCTACTCATCCCAGCTTGGAGGGTCCAGAAGATATACCCTTGACCAATGTCTTGCAAAATAGATTTGTAATGGCAGCATCTGCATCTTTGAAGAGCCCTGTACTTGCTCTTCTCTGCATGTCAGGTCTAACAGTGGGAACCACAGTCACTCAACTACAAAATTTAAATACAGTGGGAATGATTGGATCCTGAGGTGGCAGAGGCCAAGTCATTACATTACTGACAATTTATGCAGTGAATCTTTCTCCTATCTTTCCCCAAGGAGACCTCCAGCCTTCTACCAGGGTAACTGTACACTGGGAAAGGGAAATGATCAGGCATTTTGGGGACTACTGGACACAGGGTCTGAGCTGATGTTGATTCCAGGAGACCCAAAACGTCACTGTGGTCCTCTAGTTAAAGTAGGGGCTTATGGAGGTGAGGTAATTAATGGAGTTTTAGCTCAGGTCCCACTTACAATGGGTCCCCGGACTCATCCTACGGTCATTTCCTTAGTGCCAAAATGTGTAATTGGCATAGACATACTTAGCAGCTGGGAGAACACCACATTGGCTCCCTGACTGGTAGGGTGAGGACTATTATGGTGGGAAAGGCCAAATGGAAGCCATTAGAGCTGCCTCTACCTAGAAAAATAGTAAATAAACAACAATATCATATTCCTGGAGGGATTACAGAGATTAGTGCCACCTTCAAGGAATGGAAAGATGCAGGGGTGAGGATTCCCAACACATCCCCATTCAACTCTCTCATTTGGCCTGTGCAGAAGACAGATGGATCTTGAAGAATGACAGTGGATTATCGTAAGCTTAACCAAGTGGTGAGTCCAATTGCAGCTGCTGTACCAGATGTGGTTTTATTGCTTGAGCAAATTAACACATCTCCTGATACCTGGTATGCAGCCATTGACTTGGCAAATGCCTTTTTCTCCATTCCTGTCCATAAGGCCCAACAGAAGCAATTTGCCTTCAGCTGGCAAGGCCAGCAATATACCTTTACTGTCCTACCTCAGGGGTATATCAGCTCTCTGGCTTTGTGTCATAATCTTATTCGAAGAGACCTTGATGGCTTTTTGCTTCTGCAAAATATCACACTGCTGGTCCATTATGTTGATGACATTATGCTGATTGGATCCAGTGAGCAAGAAGTAGCAAATGCACTGGACTTATTGGTGAGACATTTGCATGCCAGAGGATGGGAAATAAATCTGACTAAAATTCAGGGAACTTCTACCTCAGTAAAATTTCTAGGGGTCCAGTGGTGTGCAGCCTGTCAAGATAGTCCTTCTAAGGTGAAGGATAAGTTGCTTCATTTGGCCCCTCCTGCAACCAAGAAAGAAGCACGATGCCTAGTGGGCCTATTTGGATTTTGGAGGCAGCACATTCCTCATTTGGGTGTGTTACTCCAGCCCATTTGTTGAGTGACCCCAAATGCTGCCAGTTTAGAGCAGAATAGGAGAAGGCCCTGCAACATGTCCAGGCTGCTGTGCAAGCTGCTCTGCCACTTGGGCCATATGACCCAGCAGATCTAATGGTGCTTGAGGTGTCAGTGGTAGATAGGGATGCTGTTTGGAACCTTTGACAGGTCCCATATGTTAATCACAGTGGAGGCCTCTAGGATTTTGGAGCAAGGCCCTGCCATCTTCTGCAGATAACTACTCTTCTTTTGAGAGACAGCTCTTGGCCTGTTACTGGGCTTTGGAGGAAACTGAAAGTTTGACTATGGGTCATCAACTCACCATGTGATCTGAACTGCCTATCATGAACTAGGTGTTTTCTGACCATCTAGCCATAAAGTGGGTCATGCACAGCAGCATTGCATCATCAAGTGGAAGTGGTATATGCGTGATCAGGCTCAAGAAGGTCCTGAAGGCACAAGTAAGTTACATGAGGAAGTGGCTCAAATGCCCATGGTCTCCACTCCTGCCACCCTGCCTTCTCTCCCCCAGCCTGCACCAATGGCCTCATGGGGGGTTCTCTATGATCAGTTGACAGAAGAAGAGAAGATTAGGGCCTAGTTCACAGATGGTTCTACATGATATGTTGGCACCACTTGGAAGTGGACAACTGCAGAACTACACCCCGTTTCTAGGACATCTCTGAAGGACAGCAGTGAAGGGAAATCTTCCCAGTGGGCAGAACTTCAAGCAGTGCACCTGGTCGTGCACTTTGCGTGGAAGGAGAAATGTCCAGATGTGTGATTATATATTATTTCATGGGCTGTAGCCAATGTTTTGGCTGGATTTGTCAGGGACTTGAAAGAAGCATGATTGTAAAATTGGTGACAAAGAAATTTGGGGAAGATGTATGTGGATGGACCCCTTTGAGTGATCAAAAGCTATGAAGATATTTGCATCTCATGGGAGTGCTTACCAATGTGTGGCCTCAGAAGATGAGGACTTTAATAATCAAGTGAATAAGATGACCCACTGTGGACACCACTCAGCCTCTTTCCCCAGCCACCCCTGTCATTGCCCAATGGCCTATGAACAAAGTGGCCATGGTGGCAGGGATGGAGGTTATGCATGGGCTCAGCAACATGGACATCCACTCACCAAGGTTCACCTAGCTACGGTCACTGCTGAGTGCCCAATTTGCTAGCAGCAGAGGCCAACACTGAGCCCTCGATATGGCACCATTCCTCGGGGTGATCAGCCAGCTACCTGGTGGCAGGTTGATTATATTGAACCTCTTCCATCATGGAAAGGGCAAAAGTTTGTCCTTACTGGGATAGACACTTACTCCCGATGTGGATTTGCCTATTCTGCATGCAATGCTTCTGCCAAGACTGCCATCTGTGGTCTCACAGAATGCCTTATTCACTGTCATGGTATTCCACACAGCATTGCCTTTGACCAAGGCAATCACTTTATGGCTAAAGCAGTGTGGCAGTGGGCTTATGCTCATGGATTTCACTGGTCTTACCATGTTCCCCATTATCCTTAAGCATCTTGATTGATAGAATGGTGGAATGTCCTTTTGAAGTCACAATTACAATGCCAACTAGGTGACAATACTTTGCAGGGCTGGGGCAAAGTTCTCCAGAAGGCCCTGTATGTTTGAATCAGCTTCCGATATATGGTACTGTTTCTCCCATAGCCAGGATTTACAGGTCCAGGATTCAAGGGGTGGAAGTGGAAGTGGCACCATTCACCATCACCTCTAGTGATTCACTAGCAAAATTTTTGCTTCCTGTTCCCATGACATTACATTCCGTTGGCCTAGAGGTCTTAGTTCCAGAGGTAGGAACACTGTCACCAGGACACATAACGACAATTCCATTAAACTGGAAGTTAAGATTGACACCCGGACACTTTGGGCTCCTCCTACCTTTAAGTCTATGAAGCCTAAGAAGGGAGTTACAGTGTTGGCTGGGGTGATTGACCCCGGCTATCAAGATGAAATCAGTCTACTACTCCACAATGGAGGTAAGGAAGGGTATGCATGGAATGCAGAAGATCCATTAGGGAGTCTCTTAGTATTACCATGCCCTGTGATTAAGGACAATGGAAAACCACAACAACCCAATTTAGGCAGGGCTACAAATGGCCCAGACCCCTCAGGAATGATGGTTTGGGTCACTCTGCCAGGGAAAAAAAATCACGACCTGCTGAGGTGCTTGCTGAAGGCAAAGAGAATACAGAATATGTAGTAGAAGGTCATCAATACCAGCTATGACCACGTGACCAGCTGCAGAAACAAGGACTGTAACTGTCATGAGTATTTCCTCCTTCTTTTGTTAAATGCATGTTTGTGCATGTATACACTATTACTAAGAAAATATCTTCATTTTATTTCCTTTATCATGTGACATAAGATTTATTGACTTCATATCAGCATGTAAGTATTGTTAACTTTATGTAATAGTATTTGGGTTGGAGATTGGTGCGTTTCCAATTGTATGAAGGATAGTTGTATTATGTTAGGCATAATTATAACCTTATTATTGTCTTTATTTGAAGATTATGTGTGTTCTCAGGAGATGCGTATGGATTCAAGTTGACAAGCGGTGGACTTGTGATGGTTGTTACTGAGTGTCAACTTGATTGGATTGAAGGATGCAAAGTATTGATCCTGGGTGTGTCTGTGAGGGTGTTGTCAAAGGACATTGACTTTTGGCGAGGGGCAGACCCACCCACCCTTAATCTGGTGGGCACAATCTAATCAGCAGGCAGAAAAATGTGACAAGGCGAGACTGGCCTAGGCTCCCAGCCTACATCTTTCTCCCGCGCTGGATGCTTCCTGCCCTCAAACATCAGACTCCAAGCTCTTCAGTTTTGAGACTCCGACTGGCTTTCCTTGCTGCTCAAGCTTGCAGATAGCCTATTGTGGGATCTTATGATCATGTAAGTTAATACTTAATAAACTCCCCTTTATATATATATATCAATCCTATTAGTTATGTCCCTCTAGGGAACCTTGACCAACACATGTTTTGGGGTAAAATATCTTTGTTTTCTTCCTTGTCTCATAATGTTATGCCAGAGTCAGATTGGAAAGTAAGTCACGATATATAGGGTTAAACAAAACTCATCTGATGATAATTTATGGTTTGTAGGGCATGACTCCCTAGACCCCTTAGATAGGAATTTAGGTAAGATAAAAAAAAATCAGAGCTTAGTCCTCAAATGAGATGTTACCTCTCCCCAGTTAATATAGCTATTATCAAAAAGAAAAATATATAGCAGATTCTGGTGAGGATGTGGAGAAAGGGGAATGTTCATACACTACTGGTAGGAATGTAAATTAGTATAGCCACTATAGAGAACAGTATGGAGATGCCTTAAAAAACTAAAAATAAAACTAACAAATGATCCAGCAATCCCACTGCTGGGTATATACCCAAAAGAAAGGAAATCAATATATCAAAGTGGTATCTGCACGCTTATGTTTATTGCAACACTATTTACAATAGCCCAGTTATAGAATTAACCTAAGTGCCCATCAATGTATTAACAAATAAAGACAATGTAATATATATAAACAATGGAATACTATTCAGCCATAAAAAAAACAATGAACTTCTGTCATTTGCAGCAACATGGATGGAACTGGAGGTCATTATGTGAAGTGAAATAAGTCAGTCACAGAAAGACAAATATTGTACATTTCATTCATATCCAGGAGCTCAAAAAGTTGATCCCATGGAGGTAGAAAGTAGAATGATGGTTACCAGAGACTGGGAAAGGGTGGGAAAGGAGGGGTAAGAAAGGCTAGTTAATGGGTAGAAAAAATACAGTTAAGTAGAAGGAATAATTTCTAGCATTCAATAGCATAGTAGGGTGACTATAGTTACCAATAATTTATTGTACATTTCAAAATAGCTAGAAGAAAAGACTTGGAATGTTCCCAACACAAAGAAATGATAAATGTTTGAGGTAGTGGATATCCTAGTTACCCTAATTTGATATTACACATTGTATGCATGTATCGAAGTATCCAGTGTATCTCATAAGTAGATACAATTATAATGTATTAATTAAAAAAGAAAGGAAAAAAAAAAAGACTGGGAACATCTTCCAGCCAAGATGGATAACACAGACCTGATTTACTTCCCCATCCAAAACCATAAAAAAACTAACAAAAAGCATTAAAACTTATTTTCAAGACACTGAACTTGAGGCCACGAAACACACTCATCATTGAGAGAGAGGAACCAAACAAGGTGAGCCCTACAATCACTCAGCTTGCTGTCTATAGAGATTTTAGGCAAAAGTAAAGGAAGAGTAAACTTAGAGTCTTCAGACTACCTGAGTTCAGGACATGAAACTGAGAGGTCAAAGAAGCTTGAGCCTTTAGGATAGAACATGTGAGATGAGAAAGCTGCATGGAGACATAACCTTAGAGATCTGCACAGGGCTCCTGTAATGGTCAATACCGAGTGTCAACTTGATTGGATTGAAGGATGTAAATGATTGATCCTGGGTGTGTCTGTGAGGGTGTTGCCAAAGGAGATTAACATTTGAGTCAGTGGGCTGGGACAGGCAGACCCACCCTTAATCTGGGTAGTAGTGGTCGATAATTAACTCCGGACTAAGCGCTTCTTCAGAGCTGTCTAACAAATCATAAAGTCAAGATCCAAAAGGATCAAAGTGGTTCCAAGTAGCTTAAACGTATCCTTGAACAACACTCAAGAAGATTTATAGGAATATACAAATATTCCTACAAGGTAAGCCAACAATGTAGAATTCAAAACATCTGAAATCCAATCAAAGATTACCAAGCATGTAAAAGAGCAGGAAAACACAAACCTTTATGAGGAGAACAATCAGTCAATGGAAACCGAACCAGAGCAATTACAAATTTCAGAATTAACAGAGAAACAGTTACCACAACTGAATTCTACACAGGCAAAAGAAAGGGTTGAGTTTTAGATGATTAAAAAAAAAATCAAACTTTTAGAAATAAAAACTACAGTGTGTGAAATTAAAAAAAATATACACTGGTTGCGATTAATGGCAGATTAGAAATTGCATAAGAAAAAAATAGTATACAATAAATGCAAGTAGCCCTGGAGTCTCTAAAGGGGAGAACTGGGGAAATTAAATTTTTTTGAAGATATAATGGCCAAAAGCTTTCAAAACTTGATGAAAAGTATACATTCACAGATACAAAAATCTCAGCAAGTCCCAAGAACAAAACATCAAGGTGTATCATGCTCCAAGTGAGAGGGGGAGAAAACAGTGATAGGGAAAACCTTAGAAGCAATCTTACAAAAAAAGACATTGTTATAGTCAGCGCCAGGCATGGTGGTTCATACCTGTAACCCCAGCACTTTGGGAGGCCCAGGCAGGTGGATCACTTGAGGTCAGGAGTTTGAGACCAGCCTGGCCAACATGGTGAAACCTCATCTATACTAAAAATATAAAAATTAGCAGGGCATAGTGGAGCATGCCTGTAGTCCCAGCTACTCTGGAGGCTGAGGTGGACAAATGGTTTGAGCCCAGGAGGCAGAGGTTGTAGTGAGCCGAGATCGTGCCACTGCACTCCAGCCTGGGCAACAGAGCAAGACTGTCTCAAGAAAAAAAGAAGGCTAGGCACGGTGGCTCATGCCTGTAATCCCAGCACTTTGGGAGGCCGAGGCAGGTGGATCATGGGGTTGGGAGTTCAAGACCAGCCTGGCCAAGATGGTGAAACCCCATCTCTACTAATAATACAAAAATTAGCTGGGCGTGGTGGTGCACGCCTGTAGTCCCAGCTACTTGGGAGGTTGAGGCAGGAGAATCGCTTGAATCCAGGAGGCAGAGGTTGCGGTGAGCCGAGATCGTACCATTGCACTCCAGCCTGGGCAACAAAAGTGAAACTCTGTCTAAAGAAAAAAAAAAAAGAAGAAGATACGTTATGATCAGAGAAACAAAGATAAACTTGACATTAGATTTTTCATCTGAAATAACATAAGAAAGAATACAGTGCAAAAGCATCATTAAAGTTCTGAAAGTATGAAAAATGAAATTCCTGCAGATTCTACACTTTGCAAAAATATCTTTCAAAAACTCAGGCAAAATAAACACAAAACAAAGAATTTATCACCAGCAAATCCACACTGCAAGATATGTGTTAAAAAGTTATACAGGCAGGAAGAAAATGGAAATCTGCATCTATACAAGGGAATAAAGAATGTTATAAATGTTAACTATGTATGATTTTTCTCATTATTTAAATTTATTTAAATATAATTGACCTAAAAATAGCAGTTATTGGCCAGGCACGGTGGCTCACACCTGTAATCCCAGCACTTTGGGAGGCTGAGGTGGGTGGATCACCTGAGGTCAGGAGTTTGAGACCATCCTGGCTAATATGGTGAAACCCCATTTCTACTAAAAATACAAAAATTAGCCTGAGCATGATGGCTGGTGCCTGTAATCCCAGCTACTTGGGACCCTGAGACAGGAGAATTGCTTGAACCCAGGAGGTGGAGGTTGCAGTGAGCCGAGAGCACGCCATTGCACTCCAGCCTGAGCAACAAGAGTGAAACTCCATCTCATAAAAAAAAATAAATAAAATAAATAATAATATCGGTTGAAAGTAGGCTGTGGTAAGTTACAGAGGTGTACTATAAATCCTAATGCAACCCTGAAGTAACAAAACAAAGAGGTATAGCTAAAAAGCCAACCAAGGAAATAAAATGAAATCATAAAAAATACTTGATATGTCCAAATGAAGGCCAAAAATACATCAAAAAACAGAACAAAGAATAGATGGGATAAACACAAAAACAGCAAGACATTAAACTCAGACTAACCATATCAATCATCTCATTAAATGTAAATGGTCTAAACACACCAATTAAAAGCCAGATATAGACTGGATTTAAAAAAAGAAGACTCAACTATACACTATCTACAAGAAATGTACATTATATGAAGACACAAAGAAATTAACAATAAAAGGATATGAAAACATACACCGTGCTGATGCTGGTCAAAAGAAAGCTGGAGTAGCTATATCAATATTAGACTATATAGATTTCAGAAGGAAGACTATTACCCAGGCTCAATAGAGTCATTTTCAAATGATAATGGGATCCATTAATCAACAGGACAGAACAATTCTAAACACTCAAGCCACTGAAAACATGGCTTCAAATTACGTGAAGCAAACATGGAAAGAACTGAAAGGGGAAATGGACAAATCCATAATTGTAGCCTGAGTTTTCAATATCTATTATCCATAACTGGTAAATCAGGAAGGCAGAAAATCAGCAAGAGTATTGAAGACGTGAACAACATTATCAATCAACCTCCCCGGACACTTAAAGAACACACAATGATAGCAGAGTACACATTCTTTTCAAGTGCACATGGAACATCCACCAGGATTTACCATATTTTCTGCCAAAACACAGGTCAAACAAGAAACCAAAAGGGAAGTTACAAAATATTTTGATCTGAATGACAACAAAAACAGCATAGCAAAACTTTTGGGATGCTGTTAAAGCAGTATTGAAGAGAAAACTGGTAAATACTGCACATCTGTATTAGCTGCAAAGCATATATCTGTGATGAAAGACTATTATCCAGAAAACTCAACAATAAAAATACAAATAATGCAATTTAAAAATAGGCAAAATATTTTAACAGACATTTCAAAAAAGAAGATGTTCGAATGGCAAACACATTTAAAAACATGCTCAAATATCATTAGTTTTTAGGGAGATGCAACCTAAAATCACAATGTGATACCAATGGACACCCATCAGAATGGCTAAAATTAAAATGACTAACTTTAATAAGTAATGGTAAGAATGTTGAGGAACTGAATTTCTCCTAGATTGCTGGTAGAATTGTAAATGGTAAACAATTTACATGGTTTGCATGTGAGTAAAGTTCCTCCCAGCAGGAGACTTTCCAGAGCTGGGGCACAGTGGGGACACCATTCAGAAGGGGATCAGGCTAGAGAACTACCAGAGGGAAAGGGAAATCAGAGAGGGCGATTGTGTGGATGACGTCACTCAGCAAAACAAAGTAGGCCCCCATGTTCCACAAGCCCTGCATTAGTGTGTGGACTGCTCCCACAGGGCCTGAAACCAAGACACATTGAATATCGGCCTTTAAATGAAAGTCTTATAATTGGCCTGGCTCCAGAAATCTGTCCAACTTGTCACTGTATACCCAAACAGTGAGTGTGAATGCAAGACACACAGAAAAGAACACATAAAATTGAACAGTGCAAAGCCTAAAAGGAAAATAGAATACAAAAGTCATGGCAGTGTGCAAAAGGGAGATGTGTATTGAGGGCACAATCTAGTCAAGAGAAGAGAGCATGGAAGTTGGATGAGGAAGGGATGTAAACGGAAAAAAGGGGAAAGGTAGCATTAGCTGGATGTGGTGGTGCACGCCTGTGGTCCCAGCTACTTGAAGGGCTGAGGTGGGAGGATCACCTGAGCACGGGGGTCGAGCCTGCGATGAGCTGTGTTCGCGCCACTGCAGTCCAACCTGGGTGGCAAAGTGAGACCCTGTCTCAAAAAAATAAAAGAAAAGAAAGAAGAAGGTGAAAGGTATAAAGAAGGGGGAAGTGATCACACTTTGTGTGGGCAGGGTCAAGGGTTTATCTTCCCAACCCTGCCTCCCACCTCATATTCCTCCTCTAACAGGCATCTGTTTCCTGTACCCAGGAGAGATCTCCGAAGGGACATTTAACATGACAGGTCAGACAGCTCAGCCCACATTCTCACAGAGAACATGGGGTTCCTGGAACAGCCTGAGCTGGGGAGGACGAGGGGAACACATGCATAGCAGCAGAGCCCGGAAGCTTGGCCAGCCGTTGTGACCGTGCCCTTTGACCCTGTGTGAGACAAACCTCAGGACCTGTTCAAGCCTCCAGTGAGGACGCCTCCTCAAAGACCACCTCGGCCAGAGTTGACTGGGGCAAGTCTCTTACCTAAAGAAGGTTTAAGAGGAGAGGGGAGTGTCAACAAGGAGGCAAAGCAGCCAAATGTGCAGAGGGCCTGGAAACTAGAACGGGGCTTAGCTCACATTGCTCTCCTCAAAGACAGCAAATGCATCAATTTGCTTTCCTGGGAGGACTGCATGAGAACATCCCCTTCCTGTACCTATGCCCCCACTATGTTCTATTTTTAATCTTATTTGTGTGGATTGGGTAGGCAAACTATGATAGCCCCTTGATTTAATTTATATTACATTTACATCTTTTTCTTATTAAACTGATGACCTCTTTATATATTAAAGATATCAATCCTTTTGATACATTGAATTTTTTTCAATTATCTACTTAGCACAGTGTCCTTATTTAATCATAATGAAATTAATCATAATGGTTTGCCATTTAATCCTCAAAACAATCCTGTGAGGTAGAATTTTTTCAGGAGCATTCTACCTTTATCTTTCTGTGTGGTTATAAGCAAGTTTGCTGTTTTCCTTCAAATAAAGATGAGTGGCGAAAAGTGTGGCCTACAGAATCAGGCTATCCTCGTTTGCTCCTGGGGGGCCACCTATTATACACGTGACCTTGTACATTACCTACAGTCTTTGTGCTTCTGTTTCTTCATCGCTAAAGGGGGAAGAATAATAGTATTTGCCTCCTGGGCATTCTTCTGAGAATAAAAAGTAAATAAACTAGTGCCTAGCACATCATAAAAGCTCTATTGTTATTATGATTATTACCATTAAACATCTTCGTAATGATTGCTATATATGATTTCGAATAAGTTCAGCATGCTTTGAAACCTGAAGGATTAAGGATTTAAAACAGCCATGTTATCCCAAATCAGCCAGTTCTCTGGTTGCTGGAGTGAAAAGGAGGCATTTCATGTGTGTGACACCTCTTTTAACTTGTCACTGTTTTGGAAACATGAGTTCCTCTTACAGTGACTTTGCGTTTGCTCACAGATGTACCCTATAGTGAAGGACTTTCAGCATAAAAGGACTGCCTTGCTAGTTCTGGGAGACTGTGTAGGAGGTGGAAGCTCTTTGAGTTAAACTGAATTATTTTGCCTCAGTGTTGTCTTCAAAAGCTCTGAATATATACGCAGCAAGCTTTTTTCCTTCATCAGGACTAGAATGTCCTATGATTAAAAAGAGAACTTTAGTTCATCTAATCCAGTAGAGTTCAAACTTTGCAGCACATCAATAAACCTAATGCACTTTTAAAAGACCCACATGCTACAGTCTTATCTTTGATCGATAGAAGCCAAATTTCTGGGATTGGGGCCCAGGGATTTGTATTTATAATAGCTCCAAAAGCTGTTGAATTTGTTAGTGTAAGGCTAAGCTCATGGAATGAAATATCAGAGTATAGTGGGTAAAAATATATAAACATTTTAATCTCATATAACAGTCCCAAAATGAGCAATCCAGGCTAGCAAAATAACTGTGCTTAACAATTATTCAGGGATGTGGCCTCCTTCCATTTTACCGTTCAGGCCATTTCTAGGACATTGCCATTATCTGCATGATTAAAGTTGGGGCACACATGTCCATTTTGGCGATCTAGCTGTTGGGAAGAAAAAAGTCACAGAGGAGGCCAGTCCAATGTTGTAAGACCTGGACTTGGAAGCAGCATGAATTACTTCTGCTCACAGAGACTGGGAAAGTCAGTCTGGCTGGGCATCCTGTGCCTCACTGCATCCCTTTGCCTTGGGAGCAAGGTGGGTTGATTTGGGTGGCTAACCTGAAAACTTTGCCACAGTGATCCTGATGCACATCTATGCCTGAGAACCCAGACCTAATCCAGTTTCCTCCTTGTGTAGATAAGAAAATTGAATCTCAATGAGGGGAAATGACTTTCTTGGAAGGCATGGTGAGCCCCGCCACAGAACATATGAAGACTTATCGGTGATGTGGCAAAGGCACTCCTTCCTTCAGTACCATCTTGGGTACTTGAGGCCAGGGACTTGTTTCTTCATAATTGTTGCTTAAGAGATATTTAATATACTTTATTTTGGGAAAGCAGAGGGAATGTTAGAGACAAGAAGGGTACTCCTTTTAGGCTAAACAACCCCTGTTGGTGTCTTTCACAAACCTCTGTATCCTTCCATCCTCTGTCCATCCTCAGCTTCCTTCTCCTACCTGACTCTCCCTTCTTTGGCCCTTTTTAAATTGGGTCCATCTCCTTTATCATCCCATCTCATGCCCTCTAATGTTTTCTTTCAGCTAAGGGATATAACACACATTCACTTCTCAGTTATTTTTCTTTTCTTTCTTTTTTTCTTTTTTCTTTTTTTTTTTTTTTTTTGAGACAGAGTCTCACACTATCACCCAGAGTGGTGTGCAGTAGTGTGATCTTGGCTCACTGTAACCTCCGCCTCCCAGGTTCAGGTGATCCTCCCACCTCAGCACCCTGAATAGCTGGGATTACAGGTGTGCACCACCACATCTGGCTAAGTTTTGTGATTTTATTTTAGTAGAGACCGGGTTTCACCATGTTGACCAGGCTGGCCTCAAACTCCTGGCCTCAAGTGATCCACCTGACTTGACCTCCCAACGTGTTGGGATAGGTGTGAGCCACTGCGTCCGGCCCACTTCTCAGTTAGTTTTCTAACATGTGCAAGAAACATTTGTTGGACTGTATCTGGAACCCAGAGCTTCCGCTTCCTTCAGAGAAGTGGAAGGGTTTGGTCTTAACTAAGCCTCTTTAAAGGATGCTCCTGGCCCAAAAAGAGCTAGCTATTCTGGGTCTTTGTTTTCTCTTCTGGTGAGGGATGATATGAGTACTCAATTTGAAGTAGGCAGCATTTACTTTTTCTTACACATTAAAGAAAACTCTCCCAGAGTTTAAATAGTTAGGCTCTGAGGCTGACATGACTCTCAGCCAGAGCTGGAAATCTACTGTCGGAAAGAAGTTATTCAAATCTGAACTAAATTTGAACAAGAGGAGACTGCTTAGACTACTCTACTGTGGATGGAGTCCACCCTTCTTTTTGATGAGTGGGTGGTAGCATCAGACTCACTATGTGGAGCTATCCCTGGGATGGAACTCGGTAAGCACATCTTCCTTTCTGGGTCCTGAGTCCTCCTCCTACAGAGAAGAGACCTTTGGGACCCAAGCATTTTGCTTTATTGCTCTGTCCTTTGGCTGCCGAGTGCAAACTGAGTCCTAATTACATACCTGTTTGGCCAAACCCACATTGATTATTTAAACAACGCCTACACTGACAAGGGAAAGCCAGCTCAAACGTACAAAAATGTTGCTGTAATGCTGCAAATTGGTTGATTGTAAATGTTTTACAGTTCCAGTATATTGAGAATTCTGCACCAAATATGATAAAGCTTCGGGAAAATGACATATAGAGAATTATGTACAAGAAAGATGTTACCATGACATAATTTACATACATTTACATGCATTTAGTTAAAATTAGAACATTAAGAAAGAGTGGTCTCAGGATGGAGGGAGGATTTAAGGAGAGGAATAGAAACATATGGCCACACATCGATGAAGAAGATAACTGTCCATACTTTAAGCAGAATGTTGAACCACGAACGTTTGCAAATAAATAGCTGGTAGTGAACAAAATTAACTACAGTATCATAAGACATCAAGGTTGAAGACCAGTCCTGCCTGGTACTTAGCACAGACTTTCTATTCCCATCTTTCTGGCTCCTCTATTCTTCCATGGCTTGCCATTCCTCTCCCACAGCCCCAGGGTATCAAGACTTGGCTTGAATAAAGATTACAATAAGAATTTTCTTCTCTTTACAGCAACCTGTGAAATAGAGATGGGGGTGGAAGAATGGAGATTGCATAGGGCTGGAGCTATTGACACTGAGAGCATCAGCTCAGCCAAAGAATCTTTTTCCTCTGGCATTTCCTGAAGGACAGGCAGACTCTTTGTTATGTGCATACATCAATTCACACAAGTGTGAGCACATACCCTTTGAAGAGAGTAGTGATAATAATATATGTCACACTCATTCACTATTTTTCTGAATAGTATCATTGGCAGTACAATTAGCTTTTCATTGTCCATATTGGCTTTAGTCCTTGTTTCCTTAATTCTGCCTAGTTAGGTGGATTCTGTTTCTTGGCTTTATAGCTGAGCTAGGATGAAATTCAGTTTGTTTTACACCCTCCCCACCCTCCCCCCACACAGAGAGAGAGATAGAGAGAGAAGAATCTGCACGCCAGTATCAGTCATAACTTTTAATTGAATTATCCACAATTTTGGATTTTTCACTCCTCCAGTTAGAATAAATAATCAGGAGTTCACTATAGTGCTAAAGAGTAGATATTAAGGAAAGGTTTAAACAAGAATGAACAAGAAGAGGTCCTTCTTTAGTAAGACCCTAGTCCTAAAGCTCTGTGGGATTTACAACTTAGAGCCACAAACTAACCAGCTCATCAGAGAATGACCTGTCAGCACTGTCAATATCTTCTCTAATGAGGTAACACTATGGTATTGGCACCTGGGGAATTGTTTGCCTGTAGTGAACTGGCACACTGTATTTTCCAGTTCTAGGCTCTCACAGCAGCTTATGCCAGGATTCTGTACAAACTTGCAGCTGGGGGCCCTGTGGACCCTGCGCATCACTTCTGTGGAGCTGCGGATGAAGTTATTGCTCCACTTGCACGATCCGTTTGCTTCTGAAACTTTTCTCCAGACTGTCATGTCATTGCAACACTCTTTGTCATTACCCGAACTGTTTCCCTTGGGGTCATTATAATGTAAACTTCTGAATGTCAGTAATGTGGAAGACATATCATCCTTGGACATGCTGAGGCTGGTATTTTTAACTAACAGGATCGGGTTCATTAATATCTCAATGGTCTGTTTTTCTTGGCCACTTTTTGCCATGTCATATTGCATCTCTTCGTCTGTAAATTCTTCTTTAATTATCTTCATTGTGCTTTCTGATGCTTCTGCAAGAACCAGGCCCAGGCTGAGCAGCAGCAGAGGAAAGGTCTCCATCTCAGATGTAGTGTAATCTCTTCTGCAGTAAAGACAATAAATGAAAGATAAAATAAGAAGATTAAAGAGGTAGTTCTTTCTTCCTCCTGACAGTTATTCCTGGTAGGGACCCCTACATGTAGGTTAAAATTTTTATATCTGTGAATGGAACTATGATATAATAGAAAGACAATCAGCTGTGGAGTCTGAAGACTCATGTTCAAATTCCTGCTTTTCTGCTTATAATTTATTCAACCTTATTTAACTCCAGTTTCCCCATCTGAAAAAAATTGTGAGAATTACGTAAGGTGACATGTTTAAAGATCTACAACCAAGTATTTGTTTCTTATCCTTTTCCCTTGGTCTATAATCTCATTGGTGGGGTGTATAATCTCCATGGTGGGTCACGATTCTCACTCAACACATTCCCTCACCATTACTGTATCTCCTATAGCCTCATATAGAACCTGGCACATGGTAGCCACTCGAAAACAAAATAAAACACACATTGCCATTTCCCCATCTCTCATTTCTTTTGCCACCCATTCTCATTCATAAGATTTCTGTCTTTACCAGTTCCTTCGGCAAGTTGATCCTGTAGAGGAAGATTCCACTTTGTTGCAGAGCTAAAAGTGAAATCGTGTTTGTTTCCTGGGAGTTTCTGCTGTTGTGTCTAACTGAGGGAAGGAGGGGCAACAGAGGGGTAGATAGGGTTGTATGAGATTGACTCAGGAGACCACGTGGAACCAAGGAAGCTCAGGGAGAACTGAACAAAGTGCCCATTTGGCAGTCGGAATCCCAATGACCTGGGCAGTACCATTGCTTCTTATTCTGTGAAATATTTTCTGTCTATTTATACCAAAACCCAGCATGACTTTTTTGTTTTCTGAAACCCTACAGCACAGATTAAGTTGCACTTCATTTTATATGATCTTTTTCATTTTTCCAGTTAGTCAATTCATGTTAATCTTTTCTCCCTCTTGTTAGGCTAAAAATTCCTCGAGCCTGAAACACAGTTTCTGATTATTTATACTTTTATTCATATAGAATCAAATAATGAACTGTAGATTAATAAAGAATCTGCACTCCAGGATCAGTTATAAATTTTAATGGAATTATCCACAATTTTGCATTCTTCACTCCTCCAGTTAGTATAAATAATCAAGAGTTTACTATAGTGCTAAAGAGTAGATGTTAAGGAAACAGGAAGAAGAGCAGAGCAGAAATTCTCAGTCTTTCTGAAACATGTAATTCAAGTGGGCAGCATTCATAGCTGCCTGAGTTTTATTTAGTGTGTGTAATTACTGCACACACACTAATTTCTCAACACTATTTGTTAACAACATAACATGACCTTACTAGTATATAAAATCCTTTACTTGAGGTCAATCCTGGAAAATCCCTAAAGAAAGGTTATTTAAGTTAATAATTATTTCTCTCTCTTTAGAATGATTCTATTTTCCTCTTTTTTATGTTCCACCTCTAAAGCCACCATCCCTTCTACATTGATCTCCTACATTATTACCCTTACTTCCCTCCTAATCACCCCTTCCTGACCCTCCAATTTCTTCTATACACTACTTTTCTAAAAACATAACTTGCAACAACACTCAGAATTTTTGAAACATTCCTCTTTGCTCACAGTAGGAAGTCTGATCCCCTGAGCCCAGGAGCCAATGCTCCACTTGCTCTCATCTCAATCTGCCTATCGGGATTTATCTCCCATTATTTTGCTACACAAACCTGCCCTAGTCAATCAGTGTGACTCTTTTTTTAATATACCCTATGCCATCTCTCCCACTTAGCTTCTTTCTTGAATGGCTATTCTTTCCTGCCTCTTGAAATCCTTCAAAGCCCAGTTCAGATCTCATTCTTTATTTTACATGTTTCATCACCGCTTAAGTCTACTAAATCCATTTCCAACTTCTCTGAACTTCTTATCATTCCCTTCTTATACCACTCATTTGATGTTATTATGTATGAACTTTTAAAAAATTATATTTGAATTTAAAATGTCTGTGTGAGAAACTAGAGGAAAAACCTAGCACCAAGAATACATAAGCCTTAATTGGGTTGATGGATTATTGATAGATTATTAAGAATTAAGTATATGTGTCCAGGTGTGTGTCCAAGGATGCCTTGACCAAAGACCTGATACATTTTGAAGGCAGAAAGGATGAGGGATTTATAGGGAATTTATTTTGTTTCCTAAACTTCTATATCCTATACCATTGACATCAGTAGTGAGGTGACAATAGGGAAACAGAAAGACCAGGAGGAGAAAGATAAACAGGAAGAAGAGCAGGGCAGAAATTTCCAGTCTTTCTGAGACATATATTTCAAGTGGGCAGCATTCACAGCTGCCTAGGTTTTATTTGAAACTGCTAAGAGGTGCCCTTTAAAAAAATATACCTGGCTGGGCACAGTCACTCATGCCTGTGGTCTCATTGCTTTGGGAGGCCAATGCGGGAGGATCACTTGAGGCCAGAAGTTCAAGACCAGCCTAGGCAACATAGTGAGAATCCATCTCTACAACAACAACAACAACAAAAAGCCAGTTGTGGTGGCATATGCCTATAGTCCCAGCCACTCGGGAGGCTGAGAGGAGAGGATTTCTTGAGCCCAAAAGTCTGAGACTGCAGTGAGCTGTGATCACACAACTGCACTCCATCCTGGGCAACAGAATGAGACTCTGATCCTATATATCTGTATAATATATATGTATATACATATTTAGATACAGATAGATAGATATAGATACACACACACCCAAACTACGAATGTCTAAAATGTCACAATTCATTTGAATTTGGTGTTGATCCCTATTGAATGAAATTACTCTGAGGATACATCCTATTGGTTCATCTCAGTTATACTTTTATCTGCAAGATATTTTTAATTAGAAAGGAGGAGCTTCGGTGAAGAAGGGGAGAAAAAGCACTGAAAAGGAAAGAAAAGACAACAAAACCTAGGGAGAGGGATAGAAAAAGGAATCAGAATTCAGAAAATAGATGTAGGAACCTAAAGGATGCATTTCATCCACTTCAAAGTTTTGCCCAAAAAATGATGCTACCAAGGCCCAACAAATCATGTGCTAGGGACCACCTACCTGTTCCTGTTCAGTTTCTATTCAGATGCTGAGGGCTCTGTTTACCTGGTGACACCCAAAATTCTATGGAGACAACAATGACAACAGAATTACCACAGAGAACTAGAAAATGAAACTCAGCTGAAAAACGGCCACCTAAGATGGAAGAAGCCATGAGATGAGTAAGCGTTGCCTACTCACAAGGTTGCAAACTGTCCTTCACTTACGATTATCCCCCAACGCCCCCTCCTAAATCTGATCAATCGCATGGAACTTGATGGTTACAAAAGACAGAGCTAACAACTAGCGTAAGTGCACCTTCTTCTTTGACATGACCTTGAACTAAGTCCAAATGAGCAATGAACAGCTGAAGTCTCTCAACTGAAAAGATCAGGACAGAGAGTGCTCTCCAAAGCCTGTGACCCACCCATGCCTGCTCTAGGTCACTGTATGAGTCTCTAGCTCTCACATACAGGATTGAAATGCCATAGCTCAGAATTAGTGACAACATAATCTGGCCTTTATTTGCCAATTGCCCCTTATTTCTTACTACCTCACAATACAAATTCTCCCCTCCAACAATGGCTATAATATAGCCATTTTCTGTACTACTTAAGAAATAGAATTATAGACTAATAGACTTGGAAAGAACTTGAAAGATTATCTAATTCAAGATCCTCACTTTACAGACAAGGAAACTAATGAATAGAGAAGAAGAGGACTTCATGAAATCCCCAGAATTAGAAATCTCTCTTTCTCGTCCTTCTCCTTCTAGCTGTAAGGATACTATGCCCATAGCTGAATGTGGGGAAACTAAGCAGTAAGTCCAATTGTAAGAACTAAAAAGAGAAAAGAGTTAGTAGTCCGGCTCAAAGTCCTCTCTGTTCCTTCTGGAGACACAAAGAGGAGGTCACTGAGCTCTGAAAGTCTCAATCCCTCCCTGGGAAATCCTTATCTGTGTCTCTCTAAAGTCTTTAAGGGAAATGGTTTCAGACCAGTCAGGCTCCTTTCTTTATTTCAAGACACAAAGGGAGCTGCTGAACAGGAACAGATGCTGCCTGAGTTGTATATGCTATCTTTAAAAAAGACCCTAAGAGGTGACCTCTGTTGCTTCTACAGCTAGAAGCAGAGCTAGGATTAGGCTGAGGTTAATGAGACACTCACTCTAAGACCAAAATTTAAGAGAGTGCCACAAAACTCAATAATCAAGATAAATAATATTTTAATGCAACAATTTTAGAAAATATTTATTTATTTATTTTTGAGACAGAGTCTTGCTCTGTTGCCCAGGCTGGAGTGCAATGGCATGATCTCGGCTCACTGCAACCTCCACCTCCCAGGTTCAAGCGCTCCTCCTGTGTCAGCTTCCCAAGCAGCTGGGATTACAGGCGTGCACCACCACACCCAACTAACTTTTGTATTTTTAGTGGAGAGGAGGTTTCACCATGTTGGCCAGGCTGATCTCAAACTCCTGACCTCAAGTGTTCCACCTGCCTCAGCCTCCCAAAGTGCTGGGATTACAGGCATGAGCCACCACGCCTGGCCAGAAAATAAATTTAATGCAAAATAATCCCTGATGAACAAATGTTAAAATTTTAAATACCAGGATCTGGCCCTGCACTACGTTTCTCACATAACTCATCTTACCCTGATCCTAGCCTTGTCAGATTGGATCTTCAAAATTTTGTGATAGATATTTTGAGCATCCAAGATTTCTTTTTTTTTTTTTTTGAGACGGAGTCTCACTCTGCCGCCCCGGCTGGAGTGCAGTGGCGCGATCTCGGCTCACTGCAACTCCGCCTCCTGGGTTCACGCCATTCTCTTGCCTCAGCCTCCGGAGTAGCTGGGACTATAGGCGCCCGCCACCACGCCCGGCTAATTTTTTGTATTTTTAGTAGAGACAGGGTTTCACCGTGTTAGCCAGGATGGTCTCGATCTCCTGGCCTCGTGATCCACCCGCCTCGGCCTCCCAAAGTGGTGGGATTACAGGCGTGAGCCACCGCGCCCGGCGAGCATCCAAGATTTTTGCATTAATTTTGATTGTTTTAAAATACTGAAATCAAGGCCAGGTACAGTGGCTCACGCCTGTTATCCCAGCACTTTGAGAGGCTGAGGTGGGCAGATCACCTGAGGTCAGGAGTTTGAGACCAGCCTGACCAACATGGAGAAACCTCATCTCTACTAAAAATACAAAAATCAGCCGGGCGCGGTGGCACATGCCTGTAATCCCAGCTACTTGGGAGGCTGAGGAAGGAGAATCACTTGAACCCGGGAAGCAGAGGTTGCAGTGAGCCGAGATCGTGCCATTGCACCCCAGCCTGGATAACAAGAGCAAAACTCCGTCTCAAAAAAAGAAAAAGGAAACACTGAAATCAAATATATTCATCTAGGTTACTAGGTTTTTGGTCTTCTGGTGCCCTCTTAAGTTTTGCACCTCAAGTGAGTGGCTCATTCCCTTTATCTTAATCTCAGTCCTGTTTCTCATCAAAGGACCTAGAGATAAGGGACAAAAAATGGAAACACATGTAGAATTTATGGTTTAATTCAGTAAAGATTATTTTATTGAAGCAGAATAAAACAATCCCAACCCAGCAATACAGGAAGGATAAATTAATTACCAGTGGCTTCCCCTTCCGCTCAAGGCATTGCCCCATGTCCACGGTCCAGGTCTGCCTCAGGCACAGCCAGCTCCAATGCCATTGAGAGAAGAGATCTCAGACTCGGGAGCTGATCTTGAGTTATTTAACATAGCCAAGGAAACTATCTGGCCTCAAGTCATCACAAGTGACAAGAACAAACCCCTCTGTGGGGGAATAGTGGTACCTGCAGGCAGGGTATCTTGTGCCTTCAATGAGCTGACAGACTGTCATTTTGAACTTTGTCTCACTCTGAAAGCAGAAAATGGCCGAAAGGTTTTGGCAAGCAACCTTCTTGGGAGAAATGCAAATACCATTGATTTTTCGAGGCCTCTCATGGATGAAGACATGCTCCTTTTTACAAGTGTGGTCAGGTTCCCTGATAACTCTTTGTATGATCATGTGGTTGCAGTACCTTGCAGGAACGGGAACGTCATTCTGAGGGTAGTCCACATGCAAGTGTTCTAAAGTTGACATCACTGCTTCATCATTCACCTCATTTTCCCAGAACAGAAGCACCAAGAAAATTATCACCATTATTATCATCAGAGGTAAGAGTGACTTCGCATCTTTGGCTTTGACTGCTGTTGAGTAAGGGAAGATAGAAAGTAGCAAAGGACAGTCAGATTCCTCCTGCTCCAACCCCTGGCTGCTCCCCCATCCTTGGAATATTTTATTTCCTTCTCTCCACTAATTAAAATCACACTGACCTTGCAAGATCCAGCTGGAGGCATAGTTCCCCAAGAAAGCCTTTTCTGAACATGCCAGCTCTCAGAGTTTGGTACTGAGCTGTTCTCTAAATTATTCCTGTTGTGTTTGTTTTGTTCTACAAGTTCTTTGACAGCAGATACCACATCTCCTATTTCTCAAATCCTTCGAAGTGCTCAACACAGAGCTAGACATATAGAAAGTGGTCAAGGTTATTCATATTGCTGAATAACCTTCTTTCCCGTAATTTTCTCAACCTTAAATCCACCCAATTGCACATGATTTTAGTACCTTCTACTCATCTATTCTTCCCAATTCCTTCCAAGTCCCTCCCTCTGTCAATCCTGCTTGGCTCTGTGCTAGCTCCTCTCACCTGTCATTTTTCTGGTCACTGTCACAGGTAACATAGCCTTTTGATCATGAATTTGACAAAATCGCTTGTGTCTTGCTGTTCCCTGACAATAACTGATAGAGAGCCTGTTGTTGAATGTGGGGAGGGCCAAAGTAGAAAGAGCAGAAAGGAGGGACCCGCACAGGGTGTGCTTGGGCACCGCTGGGGAGGAAGAGAAGTTACCTCCAGCAGGACAGTCGGGTAAGGCAGGTCCTGAATGTGTCCTCATTAAACAAGTGAGGACTTTTCAGAACATTTAGTGAAGGCCAATGTGTGCCAGCCACAGTACTGTCTCCTTTCTAAATTTTCAATCAGTCCTTATGACAAATACATGAAATTTTTCATTTCATTGACAAATAAATGAGTTGTAGAAAAGGTTAAGGTGGAGATGGGAAGTGAGAAGGAAAGCAAGAGTCCCATCCTTTCAGTGCCAAACACTCGAATTCCAGTTTTAGCGAGTTTCATTTCCACCCGGCGTCCAGCACAGGACAAAAACAATTCCCTTGTAATAACGTTAATCTTGATAAAGCCCTGGGCTTCTGAGGAGTATGGAGACAGTTCCCAAACTGCTGAACGTTGGAATCAACGGGAGATTTAAAAAAGTATTGGCTTCCACCTTGATACATTCTGCTTTAACTGATATTGTGTGCGATCTGGGTTGGGGATTCTTAAAGGATCCCCACGTGATTCTAATATATAGCAAAAGTTATAAGGGGAACCACTGAACCATGGTATACATGGGAAACCCACATGGGAGATTAGTGGATAAAGGCTTAGCTAAAACACAGTGGTTCAAAGTATTGAGACCAGAGAATTATTTTTGTTGCTATCATCTCCCAGTTAGTTGATATAGGAACGGGCAAATGGACTTAGTTTTACTACTTCATGCCCTGAAGTCATTTCTCTTTTGGAGCGACAGGTACAAAATCTCCTCTGTGCATATCTGTGTCTTTCTAATTGGCAGGAAGAAAATAATCGCAGCGTAAAAAATTATCTAGGAAAAACAGAATCCTGGAGAAGCCTTCAAAGAATGCTTTTCTTTCTATACAAAAACGAAAGCAAAATTTCAAATTGTGAAAATGAGCAACCAGGAGAATATATTTACTTCCAGAAATGTCCATTCTGGGTGCCCTTTCAGAATTCAGACTATCCTGTTTTGGATATGTGTTACCCAATGCCACAAAGATATAAGTGCATGCTTAATTTTTGACATGATTTTCAATTAACAAAATTTGATTTTGTACATCTTGCAGAAACATTTCCAATGTATACAGAGAATTATATCTATGTACTGTAACATGTTCATTATTTCCTGCCAGAACTTCCAAGTAGCTGAAGTACAGATAATTTACTAAGTGTACAGGCAGAGAAGTAATCCCCGTTACAAAGATTTTCCCCAAAGGAGGCAACTAAACCTATCCCTAGGGTATCACACTGCAAAAGGAGTTGAGACTGAGTCCAAATGTTAACTAGTGTGGCAGCCTGGAAGAAAATATTTGTAATGCCTAAAACCACATTTGTGGTTTTAGATTTATATGTAGATTAGCATCTACATATAAGAAACTCCTTCATGTCAGCCCTAAAAAGACAGGAAACCCCAGGGGAAAAAAAAAATAGTCAAGGAAAAGCCAATTTCAGAAGATAAAGCCAAAATGGGTAATGAGCAATGCTCCACTTCATTAGTAATTAAAGAAATGAAAGCTTGAAATAACAAAGAAATAGTTTATAACCATCAGATTATCAAAAATGATTATCAAGAATTGGAAAAACAGATCATATCAACTGCTGGTAAAAACATTGCTGGGCATAAAAATAGATGTGGCAATACTAGAAAGGAATCTGGAAACGTTTGGTAAGATTAAGGGTTTGACCTGAGACCTTTTAATCCCACTCCTGGGTGTAGAATCTAACAAAATGCCACAGTATTTCTTCTGCATCAAATTAAAACTAATTCAGAATGGGCGCAGTAGCTAATGCCTGTAATCCCAGTACTTTGGGAGGCAGAGGCCGGCAGATCAATTAAGGGCAGGAGTTTGAGACCAGCCTGGGCAACATGGTGAAACCCCTTCTCTATAAAAACACAAAAATTAGTGGGGTGTGGTGGTGCACGCCTGTAGTCCCAGCTACTTGGGAGGCTGAGGTGGGAGGATCACCTGAACCCAGGAAGTAGAGACTGCAGTGAGCAGAGATTGTGCCACTGCACTCCAGCCTGGGTGACAGAGTGAGATTCCATCCCCCACCAAAAAAAAAAAAAAAAATTAAAACTAATTCTGAGTCTTTTGACTTAGAATTAATTTTCCTTGGGGAGAATTTCAACTCATGCCATTATAAAGTTCCCTTTTCCTCCCCAGATTTCCAGGGGAATCTGGACAGCATATTGTTCTTATTCCTTCTTTATTCTGTGGCACCTGTAGTGGCCAACGGCATTAACTAAGGGACAAACATTCTCATTCACCTCTGGTAAAAACACCTAGAATACAGAGTTCAGATCCAGAATCTTGACCCTTTGTTGTAGTAAGACGTGACTTTTTTCAAACACCTACTATATAAAGGATTTTTGTCACCTATTGTAAGGGCCTTTTATCATTCACATATTATTTAATTCAACATATATTTATTAAACACTACCTGTGCCAGGCACTCTTCTAGGCCCTTGGGACACACCAGTGAAAAGGCAAATGTCCCTCTCCCCACTACTGACTCTGAATCAGTACCTCAGTATGAAAATTGGTAATTAAAATATAAGACTAGTACATTTATTCTGCCGTTCCTTCAGGAAGTATATTCCTGGGCGACCAAATCGCTTCCATGTGCTGTGGAAAAGCTCTTCTTTAGAGAACAATGACAACTAATAAATATGAAAAGAATAATAAAATTAGAAAATCGCAATTTTATAATCATTAATGAAATCATTAAGCCAGGCAAAAAGCATTTGCTGGGTGGTAAAATTATTAAATGAGAGGCTATATAAGGCCGGGCACGGTGGCTCACGCCTGTAATCCCAGCACTTTGGGAGGCCGAGGAGGGCGGATCATGAGGTCATGAGATCGAGACCATGCTGGTTAACATGGTGAAACCTCATCTCTATTAAAAATACAAAAAATTAGCTGGGCGTGGTGGCGGGTGCCTGTAGTCCCAGCTGCTCGGGAGGCTGAGGCAGGAGAATGGCGTGAACCCGGGAGGCGGAGCTTGCAGTGAGCCGAGATCGCACCACTGCACTCCAGCCTGGGCGACAGAGCGAGACTCCGTCTCAAAAAACAAAACAAAACAAAAAACAAACAACAACAACAAAAAAACCAAACAAACAAAAAAAAAGAGAGGCTATGGGGAACTTTGCAATGGAAGATCTAGCTGCCACCACCCAAACAGAAGTAGAAGGTGAGTTATGATGTGCCTCCTAATAAGGTACTGTAGCACGTGCACAGCACTGTTTACCCAGTAGTATTGCCAAATAATTGAGCAGATTAGTTTATTATGCCTGAGATTTAGCTTCCAGATTATAGGAAATTTAGGGAAAAGAGGTGCAAATTATATAATACTACAAGGAAGCAATAAGACAGATCCAGATTATGTGACATTCTACCAGTTTCTTCACAAAGTCTATCACACAAAAACAAAGAGGGATAAACTGTTACAGATTAAAAGAATATTCAAATTTTGAATCTTACTTGAATGTGCATATGGACTGGGCATTAGATTATGTTAAGAACATAATTTTACTTTTATAAGATATAATAATTATAATTATGTAGAAAATGTCTTTATTTTTTGGAGATAATATTCAATAGTTCTAAGTGTGAAATATCATGATGTCAAGTATTTTCTTCCAAGAAATAAAGCAAAAAGAAACGAAGAAAGAAAAAGGGAGGAGGAAAACGGGAAGAGAGAAAAAAAATCTCTGGCAAATTTTTTATAATTGTTGCTTTTAGGAGGAGAGGTGTAATAGGATCTATTATTCTATTCTTTCTACTTTTGTGTATATTTGCAAATAAGTATTTTTTAAAAATTAAATTCCTACTCTCATGGAATTTACATCTGGTGGAAGGAGATAGACAATGAAAAATAAGCATAATCAATACTTTAGTGTTTTAGAGGATAATAAGTGCTGTGCACTTTTTTTTTTTTTTTTTTTTTTTTTTTTGAGACAGAGTCTCACTCTGTTGCCCAGGCTGGAGTGCAGTGGCACAATCGCGGCTCACTGCAACCTCAGCCTCCCAGGCTCAAGCGATTCTCATGCTTCAGCCTCCCGACTAGCCGGGATCACAGGTATGCACAACTATGCCTGGCTAATTTTTGTAGTTTTGTAGAGATGGGGTTTTGCTATGTTGCCCACGCTGGTCTGTAACTCTTGGACTCAAGCAAGTCACCCATCTTGGCCTCCCAAAGTGCTGGGATTTCAGGCGTGAGCCACTGCACCCAGCTGGTGTTGTGCAAATTTAAATAGGATGATCAGAGTAGTCCTAGCCATTACAGGTTTTCTCTTTCTGCCTTTCTAACCAAGCACTAATATTGTTTGAGAATGTACCAGTTCTCCACATAACCATGAGCTTCAAGGGAACCTGCTGGGGATCTGGGTGTGAATCTGCTGGGCCCTGAGTCAATCAAGGTAATCCCATTCATGTGGGGCCAGTGAGAAGGAAAGGATGCACAGCTGGAAGCTTTTGGGAAGAGTGCACAGGGTAAGGATAAGCTGCTGTAACAAAGACATCATCAGGCCAGGCGCAGTGGCTTATGCCTGTAATCCCAGCACTTTGGGAGGTGGAGGCGGGCGGATCACCTGAGGTCAGGAGTTGGAGACCAGCCTGGCTAACACAGTGAAACCCTGTCTCTACTAAAAATACAAAAATTAGCCAGGCATGGTGGCGTGTGCCTGTAATCCCAGCAACTCCGGAGGCCAAGGCAGGAGAATCACTTGAACCCAGGAGGCGGAGGTTGGAGTGAGCCGAGATCGTGCCACTGCACTCCAGCCTGGGCAACAGAATGGGGCTCCATCTCAAAAAAACAAGAACAAAAACAAAACAAAAAAACAAAGACATCATCAGTAATCCAGTGACTTAAAGAAGTTAGAAAGTGATTTCTTCTTGGCTTAACAGTTCAAGGTGAGCACTTCAGATTCTGTTCACACTATCATTCAGAAACTCAGAATTATTCATATATACTTTTCTAAAACCATAAAACACTTTAAGAAAATATTAAGAACTAATTCAACTATATTATGGAGTGGATACCCACCAGGTTATCTAGTCAGACTTTTTTTTAATTTAGATTTTTATTTTTAATTGACAAATAATAATTTTATATATTTATGAGGTTCAATGTGAAGTTTTGATATATATAGTACACTGTGGGATGATTATATCAAGCAAATTAACATATCCATTACTTTTTTAATAGTGCAGATCCTTTTTTAATAGCGAGAACATTTAAAACCTACTCTTCGAATAATTTTGAAATCTACAAAATGGCAGCATGGCCCAGGAGTGTGACTGGCAGTGAAGGAGCTGGGAAGACCTTGGATGCAGGAAGGTCATTTAAAGCAAAAGGTGCTCCCCTAACTCCACAATTTTCTAGACTTTTCCTACTTCTCTATCACCCAGAAGCTACCTTTGAGCACTTTGAGCACCTCTCTTAAGACAAAAAGGTTGAAAGTGCCTCTGAACTGGGTACCGATTTCTTTCCTTTTCTGTGTATTTTCACTAAGGAGCCCCCCGAACCATTTTCACCTCCTACTCTGGTGATGAAAAGAGTCAGGTGATATCCTGAGTTTCTTTCTAACAGTGGAAGTAGGCCTTGCTCATGAGGAAATCTAGGCTGGTTCACACACACTCTTAGTCACCCAATGCAAGTTCACATGTCAAGAAATATTTCTAAGAGCAATGCAAAGGCCATGGGACTTTACCAACCCCTCCAGGAACCCCTTCTTAAACTAACCACCCCCCTCTCTTCCTTGAGTGTCTACAAGAAGCTTTTCTGTGTGGTTCCAGCACATAACTCCCTAAGTGGTGCTACAGGCGATTCATCTGGCCTTCTCCTTGCATGCTGTGAGCCTCTGGAGAGCAAGAGGAATGTTCTTGTTCTCTCTAGCACAGTGCCTGGTATTTCTGAAGAGATCAAAAAATGTTTGTGGAGTGGATGAATGGGTGAAAGATGTCAGATCTTTCCCCTCTTCTGCCAGTAAGTAGCTGTGAAGTCATGTCACTGCTCAGGGTCTGCATTGCTTCCACTCTAAAATGGGGGTAATAAGAAAGAATAAAGGAAGAATTTGATTATTTGTAAGATCTCGCTCTGCTTTCACAAACTAAAGTTCTGAGCTAAATTAAAATGGACTCCATGGCTGTTCTCTTAAGATGACAATGCTCTGGCCACAAGTTTTATTTTCCCCCACCCTGAGGGAATAGGAGGTGGTCTCTGCCTCCCAGCCTGGAGTGCAGGGGAGCAGTAGCAACCGGGAAGCTGGAGCCTGGGTACCAGACCCTGAAGTGGGAGCTGACTCATGAGTGTGGTGGAGCAGTTCTGTGAACTTGCCTAGGAATTGGCATTCGGTTGAAGGGACACCTTCCTAAATCGGGAACACTTACTACTGGGGAAAAAAGGCACGAGACACCCCTGCTCTGGAGGGTTCATTGTCTACTTTTGGCAATTGCAGAGCTGTTTTCTTGACAAGGTGTGAAATGAAGGATTGTGCGGTACCCTCATAAGCCCCTGGGCACTCTTCCAAACCCCCTCCTACCACCTCACCTGTCCCCTTGTCCAGGTGGAGTAGATAGACTGGGGCCTGTGTGTGTCCAGAACAAGCTGTTCCTGATCGTGGGCAGGACATGTTCTGACGAAGCCATCAGTCTCAGCCCTGCAGTTATAGCCCTGTGCTATGCACATAGGAGGTCCTGTTCTCCCTTGGGGAAAAACAAGTCATTTCTTGCTTTATAACTTTCTTCGCGTCTCTGAAATGATTGCCACCAGGCAATAGCCCAAGGAAGACCAGGCTAAGGGAAAGTTACCTAAGTGTGTCTTTCTAACAGCTTCTGGGTAGGCCGGTGCCTTCAGTTTTCCACTTCTGAGAATGCTTTGATCATAGCTTATCTGGCTTCTCCTGTGTGTCCCCAGGCTCAGCCCTCAAAAGTTCCCTTTGAATTCTCCTTGAGGAAGGACCATTAGCCAGCCTTCCCCTATGGCACCTCCCGGACATTCATATCTTTCATAGCACTCCCAGGCTTGAAATAATATAAATGTCCCCTGATCCCAAATAATCACGAAGGCCCTAAAGAACCCAGATGTGGTAAAAACAGAAACTCCCACGGAGAACCCCGCCTCTACTAAAAATACAAAAAATTAGCCAGATGTGGTGCCGCGCGCCTGTAGTCCCAGCTACTCGGGAGGCTGAGGCAGGAGAATCACTTGAACCCGGGAGATGGAGGTTGCAATGAGCCGAGATTGCGCTATTGCACTCCAGCCTGGGCAACAGAGCAAGACTCCGTCTTGAAAAAAACAAAAAACAAAGAACAAAAAAAACACAGAAACTCCCTTTTCATAACCACCTAACTAGAGCAGAATGAGCAGTGAGCCGAGAGTTGTGAAAGCTGGATTCCTGGCTTGACACTGGCCCTGCCACTAACTAGTTCTGTGACCCTGAGCTTCATTCCATGGGTCTCACTGGCCTCCTTTTAAAGTGGCCGGGAGTTGGCAGAATTGGTGGGATGGAGGAGGTGAAAACAACTCACAGTTTTAGAGGTGAAAAAGCACCTCAAACTATACCATTCTCTGAAGCAGGGCTCTATGCTTGTGTATTAGGAAGTTGAAACGTGGCTCCCAGGGGCTCAGCCACGTTTCCAACAGCTTGTTCTGGACACGTACAGGCCCCAGTCTGTCTACTCCACCTGGACAAGGGGACAGGTGAGGTTGTAGGAGGGGGTTTGGAACAGTGCCTAGGGGCTTATGAGGGTACTGCACAAATCCTTCATTTCACACCTTGTCAACCCTACTGCACCACAGTGATCTTTTTAAAACACAAATCCAGTTATGTGCCTGTGATATCCACTTTCTTCATCTAAAATGTGTCAATGGCTTTTCATTTGTCTTAAGATAATGACCACAGTCCTCACCTCTGCCTACCAGGCCTTGCATAGATGGCCTCTCCTCAGACCACTCTCTCTCCATCTTCATATTCCTGCCATGCACTCCGCTTTTTTAGTTCCCTCAACTCTTTGGGCTTTCTTCCAACTCAAGGTTTTTGTTCGTTTGTTGCTGTTGTTTGTTGTTGTTTTGAGATGGAGTCTTGCTTTATTGCCCAGGCTGGAGTGCAGTGGTGCGATCTCAGCTCACTGCAACCTCTGTCTCCTCAGATTAAGCGATCTTCCTGCCTCAGCCTCCCAAGTAGCTGGGATTTCAAGCATGCACCACCGTGCCTGGCTAATTTTTGTATTTGCAGTAGAGACAAGGTTTCACCATGTTGGCCAGGCTAGTCTCAAACTCCTGACCTCAAGTGATCCGCCTCTCTCGGCCTCCCAAAAGTGCTGGGATTACAGGCGTGAGCCACCAGGCCCAGCCCAACTTAAGGTTTGTTGTTGTGGTTGTTGTTGGTTCCACTAAAGTAACCGTCAAAAAGATGAATGAGCTTTATAAAGAAAAGCTCTCTGATATTATAAAGAGCAAACTATAGCTCTTTTAGGCAATGAAAATACAGCATTACATTTACTCAATATTTATTGAGCAAACAGTTGTTGAACATTTATTGTATTCCAGGCACTGTGCTTAGAACAGAGATTTCTACAGGAAAGCAGACAGATGTTGTCTCTGCCCTCAAGAAACAGTCAGACAATTTTTTAAAGCTAAGAAATATAATAAATTTATTATGTTAGTGATAAGGACCGCAAGGGAAATTACAGGGTTTTATGCAAGCAAAACAGACTACTTCACTTGTTCTGGGTTTTCTGGGAAGGCTTGTCTAAGGAAAGGAAGGATGCATAGGTTCACCAGGCAGAATGGGGAAGGTGAGTGGAGTAAGGAACACTCCACAGTGAGAGAACCAGACTATGTGGCTGCAGCATGAGCTGTGGTACCCGGTGGCAGAGGCGCTGCTTGGATGCGCCCCAGTGGAAACATGGGAGGCAGTGGACAGGTCTCCCACAAGTGTGAAGAAGGCACTGAAGCAACTGGAAGCTCACACCACCAAGAAGGGGTGCACCTTCGCCAGCAGAGTTGGATGGGCATTTCTGACTGCACTACGTGAAGTATACGCTCAGTCCCTGCGGGACATGGCACAGCTAAAGGACCTTCAGGCCTAAGTTGGGTCTCTGGGGGCCCAAATGCACAGCTTGGAGCAAAACCTGGGTGTAAAGGACCTCCAGGTGCAAGCAGGGTGCTTACAGGCTCAGATAAACAGCCTGGAGCAGGAGCTGGAAATAACTGTTGGCATGACCTTGAGCCCATCCTCCAGGCCGGACACTCGCGCTTGGTCTGATCCTGAGGAGGAGGCTCCTCTGCTGTGGGCTTGTCCTGTGATCCATCAGAAGGTAGAACATGAGCAGCTGATGGGACCCTAGGGGAGAGCCCAGAGGCCCCCCGCAGTGGTGGAATACACCTCCTATAGTGCTTCTCTTTCCACTGAGTTTTGGGAGTTAGGTAAGCAATGCAAGGAGCACCCAGGGGAGCCCCCCCTGCCTGGCTACCCCATTTTGGGGATGAGGGGGCTGACAGCGTTTCTTGCTCTGCCTCCGAGATGGAGAAGCTGGCTTCTATCATAACTCACCCCTCCCTTCATCAGTGGCTGCAGCTGTGCCGATGGTTGGCACAAGGGCAAGGTGATCACATGTTAATTGAGTGGCTGATGGCAGCCATATGGACTGTTAGGAAGGATGCTGGAGAGATACCAGAAATTATGAGTCAATGGCAATCATAGCTGATTTGGTACAGGTACTCCTGGAGATGGGCATGCGGCAGGCTATGTTGGATCTGAATCCCTAGAGGCCAGATGATGAACATTTTATCTCCCACGTGAGGGATCTTGTGCTGACTGGCAGCCTCTGAGTGCTTTTGGCTCTCTAGCTGCTGTTCTTACTCCATATGTGGGGTGCCACATACATGAAGTGACTACTGCTATGGCAGCCCTTGAGGAGGCAGAAGGCCATCAGCGGGATTGGGGAATCCGCGCCATAAAGAAGGGGAAGGTGCCCCCTTCACAGGTAACCACCCCACGAAATAAAAAGGGACCCCAGCGGGTGACCCGCATGCAGATGTGGATGGATTTACTTGCAGCCGGGGTTGCTCGGGAGGAAACTGAGAGGAAACCCAATGGAATGCTGTTGGCTCTGTGGAGGCAATTGTACCCCCAGCAGCAATTCCGGAAAATACCCGAGGGGGCAAAATACTGTTGCTCAACCCAGCCCCGCGGGGACACGGCAGCTCAAGGATGATTTGCAGACTGGTGAAGAGACTGGGCCCTTCCTGTTTGATTAGGGAACTGGCCGAGGTGCTTGGCTTGGTGGGGGGCGCCGGACGACTGGAGGCCTCATGTGGAACTGGGAATCCACTAGTCCCCCACCAGTGTACAGCAGGTCCTAGCACTGGTATATACTGGTGCAGACTGCAGTCTTGTTTATGGGAACCCGGATAAGTTTCCAGGAAAAGCTGCATTCATTGATGGTTATGCGGGCCAGTCAGTGAAAGTGAAACCTGTGTCTCTGCATCTTGGAATTGGCCGCTTGGCTTCCAGCCTGTACGCTATGTATGTTTCTCCTATACCTGAATATATTCTGGGGGTGGACATTTTGCATGGTCTGGACTTACACACCACGGCCAGAGAATTCAGACTCCAGGTTCGTGTAGTAAAGCCGGTACTGCGTGGGCATATACATATCACCAGCCCCAAGTTCTGCCACAACCCCGACAGGTTACCTCCATTCATCAATACCGTTTGTCAGAGGGGCATACAGAGATAACCAAGACGATTAAGAAGTTAGAGGAGGTGCAAATAGTGCCTGACATCCATATCCCCTACAGTTCCCTGGGATGTCCAGTCAGAAAGCCTGATGGGACTTGGAGGATGAGAGTGGATTACCAGGAGCTGAATAAGGTGACACCCCCTCTGCATGCAGCTGTACCATGGATTTGAGGGACCACCTGACAATGGAACTGGGACAGTACCACTTTGTAGTGGACTTAGCTAATGCACTCTTCTCCATCGACATTGCTCCAGAGAGCCAAAAATAATTTGTCTTCACATGGGAAGGGTGGCAATGGACGTTTACTGTGCTGCCACAGGGCTATGTGCATAGCCCCACCATTCGTCATGATCTTGTTGCCATGGACTTAGATGCCTGGAAATGTCCAAAAGGGGTTTGCCTGTTTCATTACATTGATGGTGTCATGTTAACCTCTGATTCTCTTGCAGATTAAGAAGCAGCAATGCCCCTCTTGTGGCAAGAGTTGGCAGCGTGCGGTTGGTATGTCAATGCATCCAAGGTCCAAGGGCCTGGATTGTCTGCCAAATGCTTGGGAGTTGTTTGATCAGGTAAGACAAATGCCATACCAGAGGCCATCATTGACGAAATCCAGGCATGCCCCTGACCCACCACGGTGAGGCAACTGCAGACCGTTGTGGGCCTCGTGGGGTATTGGCGGGTATTCGTGCCCCATTTGACTCAAATGATAAAACTGTTGTACCAGTGAACAAAAAAGGGAGCTACGTGGGATTGGGATGATGAGGCTGAAACAGGCTTTCTGGCTGCCAAGCAGGCCATTCAGCAAGCACCAGACTTACAAGTAATTGATCAGGGGCACCCATTTGAAGTTGATGTACTTGTAACCACAGATGGTTTCAGCTGGGGCCTACAGCAGCACACGGAGCACTTTAGAACGCCAATAGGTTTTTGGTTCCAGCTGTGGAAGGGAGCTGAGCTCCGGTATTCACTGATAGAGAAGCATTTAGCTGCTGTATATGCTGCTGTTCAGGCCTGTGAGAGCTTGACAGGAAGGGTTGCAGTCGCTGTGCAGATGACTAACCCAATAGCAGGGTGGGTGCATTCATGGGTAACAACCCCCCAGACTGGGGCAGCACAGGCATCCACATTAGCAAAGTGGGGTGCCTACTTAGAACAGCAGAGTATGCTGAGTACAAGTCTATTAGCAACAGAGTTACAAGAGGTCTTAGGGCCTGCAGTCCTAACGCAAGATAAGGCCATGGGACCTGAGGCACCCCACGCCTTGAGCCATCACCATTTAAAGAAGAGCGCCTTCCCATTCCTGATGGGGCATGGTATGCAGATGGGTCCAGCCGGGGTGCTACTGCTGCCTGGGCTGCTGTAGCAGTCCAGCCTAGCACCGATACCATATGGTTTGATAACGGGTGCGGACAAAGCAGCCAATGGGCTGAACTTAGAGTGGTGTGGACGGTGATAACTAAGAAGGAGTCACCTATAGTACTTTGCACCAATAGCTGAGCAGTCTGTCGAGGTTTAACTCTGAGGCTGACTACCTGGAAGTTACAGAATTGGCTTGCAGGCCATCGGCCCATTTGGGGCCAAACCACATGGCAAGACCTCTGGGAAACAGGTCATCAGAAAGATGTAACTGTCTATCGTGTGTCAGGTCATGTGTCTTTGGCCACCTCCAGTAATGATGAGGCAGATGCCTTAGCCAGGGTCTGATGGTGAGAGTCAGCACCTACACAAGATGTAGCTTTGTGGCTACATAGGAAATTGGGACATACAGGGAGTAAACTGATGCAACAGGTCAGTAGGCACTGGAGTCTGTCTTTGCCTTCACAGGACATTTTAGAGTCCTGCTGGAAGTGCCAGCATGTGCTCAGGCATACCCCAAATGGAGGCAGCTGCCCAGTATAACACAGCAAGTGACGGTAAGCCAGATGCCCTTAACCAGATGGGAAACGGATTCCACTGGGCCACTGCCAAAATCACAGGGCTACACATATGGCTATAGACACAGCCACTGGCTTGTTGTTTGCCTACCCTTGCAGGGCGGCTGACCAGCAACACACCATTCGAGCCCTGCAACACTTATGTGCCTTTATATGGCCGTCCCCTGGCTGTTAAAAGTGATAGAACACATTTCACTGGACAGCAGGGACAACAGTGGGCACAGCAGATGGACATACAATGGGGGTTTCATGTTTCTTATAACCCACAAGCCGCTGGCATGATTGAGCAATATAACAGACTCCTGAAGAACGGGTTACAGTTGCATGTTGCTCCCCAATCTTTGCGGGGCTGGAGTTCCAGGTTGGACCAATTACTTACAAGTAATTGATCAGGGGCGCCCATTTGAACCTGGTGTACACGTGACCACAAATGGTTTCAGCTGGGGCCTATGGCAGCGCATGGAGCCCTTTAGAACACCAACAGGTTTTTGGTCCCAGCTGTGGAAGGGAGCTGAGCTCCGGTATTCACTGATAGAGAAGCATTTAGCTGCTGTATATGCTGCTGTTCAGGCCTGTGAGAGCTTGACAGGATGGGCTGCAGTCGCTGTGTGGAACGACTTACCCAATAGCAGGGTGGGTGCATTCATGGGTAACAACTCCCCGGACTAGGGCAGCACGGACATCCATGTCCAGGTTGGACCAATTACTTACAAGTAATTGATGAGGGGCCAGTGCAACACATTTGCCATCTGGCTGAGGGCATCTGCCCTACCATCACTTAAAATTTTGTGTTAAAATTTTGAATGAGCGACCACGGAAAGGTGGCCCAGCCCTGGTGGAGACACTGTTACCGTGGGCCACCATCCCCATCCAGCTACAGATACACACCAAGGATGACCTCCTCTGACCAGGTATGGGGACAAATGGTAATCTATTGTTGCCTGCCCCAACGCCCCTGAAGGCAGGGGAAGAGAAAACCTGATGTTGGCCATGGACCCTCCAAGCCCCGCATTGCAGATGGTTAGCTATTGTAGCCCCCTGGAGGGAGCATCTGCAGTATGACTTACATGTGGTTCCTTGGGTATTTAATGTGTGGCCTCCACGATTGACCGTTTGTAGGGGAATGGCCAGGTAAGGGACCCTCCTATATATGTACTGTCTGTACATATATTTTGAGCTCCCCTGTGACTTTGGCTTGGGTACAAGACTGAAAAGGACCATGGGGAGCTGAGAAGGTGTGGTATCATCACCCAGGGCAGGAGCCTTGGCAGCTGCATTGTTATCCAGAGATGAAAAGTTAGCCTGTATTGGCTGGGCACGGTAGCTCACGCCTGTAATCCCAGCACTTTGGGAGGCTGAGGCGTGTGGATCACCTGAGGTTAGGAGTTCGAGACCAGCTTGAACAACATGGTGACACTCCATCTCTACTAAAAATACAAAAAATTAGCCAGGCGTGGTGGCACATGTCTGTAATCCCAGCTACGCGGGAGGCTGAGGAAGGAGAATTGCTTGAACCCAGGAGTCAGAGGTTGCAGTGAGCCAGGCTCGTGCCAGTGCACTCCAGGCTCAGCAACAGAGTGAGACTCTGTCTCAAAAAAAAAAAAAGAAAAAAAAGGAAAAGTTAGCCTGTATTTTGCCTGAGGGACGTGATTTCCCCGTTAATACCTGTGCCTGCTTTGTTGTTCTGGCTGTAGGTTGACATGCTCCAACAGCATTGTGGACTGGGCCCACACCTACGCTGAGGTGACCAATGTCTCCAACTGTTGGATCTGCTCCACCTTCCAGCAGCAGCTGCGGAGAGTTTGCCCTGGAACGCGTATCCTGCTTCTGTTAAGAACTGGACATGGCTAGAAGCTTGGGGTCCCACGGACAATGGGTGGGATGCCACAGGGCGGGCTTTGGATAGGAGGCATCACAAAACCCATGGCAAACCTGGCCCTTGGCTGACTCATAGTGTCCATGATGGATGGAGCTGGCTAATGGGAGAACACGTGGTGCCCCCATTGCAGGTATCACAATGTATAGAGCAGCACTGGGGTAAAGTCACTGTGGGATGGTTGCCTACTGAGGTTTGTGCAAACATAACATGTGTCACCACACCAAGGGTGCAGTGGAACAAGCGGCCTTACGAAGGCCAGGCCCCCATGGACTTTGTGCCCCCTGGGAGTTTATGGGTCTGTGGGGACACAGGATGGCCATATCTCCCAGCCAACTGGACTGGACATTGTACCTGGGGTTGGCCCTATGTGCCTGCCACTGGGCTTCCCACATTGCCTAGTCGCCACATAACTGGGAGCCACTGTGTTCCTGCTTTTTCCCAGTGCAGCAGGCCCTCTAGTGGTTCTATCCCTTAGCAATGACTATCCCTGGAGCAGGCGTCATTACTATAGAAAAGCAAGTTGCAGCCTTTGCAGACCACACAGCTCGGTCCCGAGTTGCCCTCCTTTTGTTAACTGATGAAGTTGATCAGATCAGGAAGGTGGTGCTGCAAAACCAGATGGCCTTAGACATAGTCGCAGCTGCCCAAGGTGGCACCTGTGCCCTTGTAGGGACACAAGGTTGTACATTTATCCCTGACAACCACTGGAATATAATGGCAGCTTCACAAGGGGTGTCATAGGAGATTAAGGTGATTGAGCACCTTACTGATGACCCCCTGCAGAGATGGTGGGCGTCTTTGGGATCTGGCCTACAATGGGCTCTCATAATCATAGGTAGCATAGCAGGAATATTAGTGGTAGGTTGTTGCTGTCTGTGTTGTTGCTGTGGCCTATGGGTCCAGGGTGCTGCCACATGTGCATGGGTCCCCACCAAGAGGATTCCCTGGCCTAGAGGGTGGAGTGTAAGGAACATGGCTGTGTGCAGGCAAGCAGGCATAGGCCAAGGTAAACAGCCTAGATGACTCAGTGGGATTGGGGCACAAGTGCACAGTCCCATATCTTATATAATCATAGCCGTGTAGGCACAACATAAAGAAGCTCCCCACCTGGCTCTCAGTCACTATCGTTTGTGTAGTGTATAAATGTAACACTGACCCTGTGAAGGGGCTGCTGAATAAAGCCATGTCTCATTTACCTGCTGTCTCTTGAGGGTTCTTCCAGCTCCCTGCCCCACGTCCACCTACTCCCCTCAGCCCTCAGCTGGGGCTGGAACCTAACCCTGAGCATGACAGAGATGCACAGAGGGTTGTAAGCAGAGAAATGACAAGCTCTTAGGATTTGACAGGATCATTCTACTTTGTGGAAAATAGATTTAAGGGCACACGGACAAAACAGAAAGACCTGCTAAAGGGCTGCTGCAATAGGGCAGATGAGAAATGGTGATGGCTTCGACTACAGCAGTGGTGGTGGAGGTGGTAAGAAATGTTTGAAATCTGGAAATATTCTGATGATAGAGCCAACATCATTTGTTAAGGGATTGAACATGAGTTGTAAGAGAGAGGAATAAAGGATAATTCCAAGATTATTTGTTTCATAGTTCTTCTAAATATCTGAAGAAGTATCAGAAGTTAAATACTCAACAGTGTAGCTAGGAATGAAGTGAAAAATACCTGTGATTTCTAGTTCTTGTTCATCAGATGAGTCAGGACACATGTGGCTGAACTATAGGATGTAAACACTGAATACCCCGCTGGTAGCAGGGTAATAGAGATGAAGAGGGTGTTCTGAGGATCTAGCCGTTGCGTAGAAAGTGAAAGCCTCCCTCCCCGCAACACACGCAGCCACATACCCTTCTCAAATAAGCAGGGTGAACCACTAGGCTGTCTTTTCCCTCTTTGAGGGAAACACATGTTATGTTTGCACAAACCTCAGTAGGCAACCATCCCATAGCACAGTCCATTTCTGTGGCTTGGGAAAGTAAGGAGGATTGCAGAGGCAAAATAATGTGGCACACGGTTGTACCCAAAAGAAAACTTAACTAGGGAAGATCAAGTACCAGCTAGAAGGGGGTGATTCTGAGGAATGCAGAGTAGGACACAGGGTTCTTACGGAGTTACCCCGCCCTGCATGGTCTCCAGCTGTGTCTTGTAGAGGAACTTAGTAGCATATTAGCTCCCAGGGCAATTCCAGTGACATCTTGGGAGCTTTTTTTCTGAAAAATAACCACTCCTAGGCTGGGCATGGTGACTCTCAACTGTAATCCCAGCACTTTGGGAGACCAAGGCAGGTGGATCACCTGAGGTCAGGAGTTCGAGACCAGCCTGGCCAGAATGGTGAAACCCTGTCTTTACTAAAAATACAAAATATTAGCCAGGTGTGGTGGTGCAGGCCTATAATCCCTACTACTTGGGAGGCTGAGACAAGAGAATCTCTTGAACCCAGGAGGTGGAGGTTGCAGTGAGCCCAGATTGCACCACTGCACTCCAGCCTGGGCAACAAGAGTGAAACTCCATCAAAGAAAGAGAAAGAGAGAAAGAGAGAGAGAAAGAAAGAAAGAGAAAGAAAGAAAGAAAAGAGAAGAAAAGAAAAGAAAAGAAAAGAAAAGAAAAGAAAAGAAAAGAAAAGAAAAGAAAAGGGAAAGAAAGAAAGAAAATCATTCCTAGGGTCCCATCCTCAGAGATTGCAGTGTAATTGTTCTGGGGTTGGACCCAGCAGTGGATGGTCAAAAAGCTTCACAGGTGACTCTAATATGCAGATACGATTGCAAATCCCTGTTGAGAAGTTCATTCCCAAGGGGCTACACCAACGAGTTCCCCACCCCCATGCGCACACAGAAGGGTTCAGTGAGCTGAGGCTTGAATGACGGAGTCTAGGCTTTATTTGTGACAAGAACTTCGCGACATCTGCTGGCCCCTGCGCTTACAAAGTGAGGTTTATGTGAAACTATTAAAATATGACTGTCCTGAATGAACAATTCCTGGATAATAACAAAGAACTGCAAAAGTAAAAAGCTGGTTGATTTAAAATAATGATTATGTAAAAGAAATGTACATGATATGTGGTAGCACCTGGTATTTATCCTCATAATGTAATACCATGACAAAGAGCATTTTTGCCTAAAGATGAAATACATATATTTGAAATAATGGAGCATTACATAGTACTCACATACTAACTTCAGACGGTGCTTACTTTGTGTGATGGTGTTTAACGTGAATAAACCTGTGGTTTTATTGGGATGTCCACTGACAGAAAAATCTGTGACTTTATGGGGGCCAGCTAACTGGGAGAGAAAGAAAAAAGGAACAGGGCTCGTCCGGGATTTGAACCCGGGACCTCTCGCACCCTAAGCGAGAATCATACCCCTAGACCAACGAGCCACCTATGAATTTCGGTTGGGTTACTAAACTTTAATAAAACTTTCAGCCACGTCTACAGTTGGTCACTGTCTTCTTTTATAACTATGGGCATGGGTGACACCTAGTGGATAAAGTAAACCACTGCAGGTTTTCTCACCTAAATTCCGGAAGGCGGCGCCTTGTGACTGCAGATCCCTTTTAGGAAAAATGTTCAGGCGTCAGTGGGAATAATTTATGACATGAAATTGCATGTTATAACATGAAATTGCATGTTTTCACTTCCGAGTGAGCCGAAGATGCTGTTGGACAGGGAGCAGGCAAATCAGGGACCGTCCCGAGTTATCCGGTGGTCGGAAGGCATCTCGTCCTTAACAGGTACCGACCGCCGTGCGCGCGGCCGGCGAAAGCTGTCGCCGCAGGGCGCCCTCCGTGAAGAGACCCCGAGGCAGAAGAGGGCCCCGACGCTGCCCGGTGACCCGCCTTGCCTGGCACGGGGCTGGCGCTCCAAACCGTTAGACCTGACAAGGTTGCCCTCCCTCTCTCGCGACGCCTTTCACAACATGTATTATAACTCTTTCCACCAATTTCAAATAGTGCGGCTTAAAAGATGAAGGAGAGCTAAACAAACCAGAAAGAAAAGAAAGAAAAAATCCGGTAAAACTACAAATACAGGATCATGAAGTTGGCAGGCGGGGAGGGTAAAAGAGGAAAGGGTAGAGAATAGGTTCCCAACTGTTAGCCAGTAGGTAGCGTGGCCGAGCGGTCTAAGGCGCTGGATTAAGGCTCCAGTCTCTTCGGGGGCGTGGGTTCGAATCCCACCGCTGCCAGGTGCTTCCCTTTTCTTGGGGAAACCATCCGTGTATTCCGATTAGTGTACTGGTGCTCCCACGTTAACACAGTCTCTTCACCTTTCTCTAGCACCCAATTTCGTATCTCCAGTTGGTAAAGAATGTAGCTGTCCGCTATTTTGGAACGTCTCGTATTTCTGAGTCTTTCACAATGTGAAGTACTTCATAAAGACAGTAAAATCCTCTCAAGATCATAAAGATGCTTTTGAATCCATGGTTTCCCAAAGGAGGGAAAGCGCCAGGACATTAATATAATTCATGTGTAGCCTTTGCTTTGCCTTTAAGTGGACGAGCGTACTTTGAGCTCTTTGCCTTTAAGTAGACGAGCGTAATTTGCACTGTTCTAGTTGTTGAGGAGTACAAAAAGAGGAATAAAACAATGCCTGCCCACAAGAGAAACTCACGGTCTACACTGCAAAAATAAATCCTACAATTACAAAAAAAACGGTCTTGAAACATTGTAAAACATCATCGAGTAGAAAACAAACGCGGCATAAGGAAGGTAGTGCAGTGATGTGGGAAGGATGGTGAAGGGACCGTGGGCTGGGCTGTTAGAATGCAAGGGGTGGCAATTCTCACATTACTAATTGTGTGACTTGGGCAAGCTGCTTACCTTTTGTGTGCCTCTATTTCCTCATTTGTACATTGGAGATAATATATACCTGTATTATGAAAATTAGTGAATACGTGTAAGGTGCTTAGCGTATATTCTGCAGAGACAAGAAAGATCAATTTAGGTATCCATTTGCAACATAATTCCATAGCCATGGCTATTATCCCTGGGAAGATTCCAATCTGACTCTACAGAAACTGGAAATAAATTGCCCTTTAATTGTGGCATTTGGAGACCAGCAGGTGTGCCCAGAAGTGTGGTAATATTCGTCCATCCATTCATCTATTCATTATTAATTGCCAACTACAAATAGTACACATTGCTAAGTGCTGAGGGTACAAAATCGAGCACGACAAAACATCTGCCTTCCTGGAGCTTATATCCTAGTAGGGGAAACAGAAAAAAAGAAGGAAAGAACTGCATATAATAATATTAAGTCGTGATAAATGCTGTGAACAGCCATAAATTAGTGTAGGGTATAATGGCAATTGGAGGCTATTTTGGAAAGAGTGGTCAAGGAAGTTGTCTCTAAAGAGGTAACATTTGAGCACAGAAGGAGTGAGAGAGAGAGGGGGATACAAATATTTGAGAAAGTGAGATGTTCTAGACAAAGGAAACAGTACATGAAAAGTCCGGAACAAGAAACAAGGCACATGGATTTGAGGAACAGTGGGAGGGCCAGTATAGCTAGAAGACAGTGAGTGAGAAGGAGGAGGAGGGGGTAAGCAGTTGCGATCAGAGGGACAGACACCATCAGAACACACAAGGGCTCGATCACAGATTCTGTTCTAAATGTGAGAAGTTATTGGGTGCTTTTAAGTGGAGGAGAGCATTGTTTGGCTTACATTGTAATAGGATAACTCTGGCTGTTCTCTAGAATAGGGAGTAGAGAAAAAGTAGGAAGATGAGTTAGAAGGCTATCATTGGGATGTGTAAGAGATGAAGGAGAGTTTAGACCAGGGTGATAATGAGTGTGTTGGGAAATAGACGAAGATAGAACAGTGGATTGGATGTGATGTTGGAGAAACTGGATACATGATGGATTTGTTTCCTGAGATATGGGTGGTGGTTGGAGAGCAATTGGAAGAGAAGTGGCAGGAAATCAAGGGTATCATTTGAGACAAGTAAATTCTGAGATGCCTATAACTTGTTCACATGCTGGGGCAAGCAGGTGACTATATCTACAAATCTAGATCAAGGCTTATGAATAGGAATCATCAGTATACGATGCTATGTTAAGCCTCATGACTTGATAAGTATAGAGAGATAAAAAAAATTGGCAAGGGGAGAGCAAGATAACACTCAAATATTGAGAGGTCAGGAAAGGAGGAGCCATTAAAAGAGACTGAAAAGTAGCCTCCTGAGATGAGAAATGAAGTAGGACGAAGACTGAAAAGTGACCTTTAGATCTGGAAGCATCAAAGTCATTGGCAACCTTGACAAAAGCCATTTCAAGTAGCGTGGTGGAGAAAAAAGGCCTGATCATACTTGGTTGAGGACAGAGCATGAGGGGAGGAAGTTGAGATACACAGTGCATAACTTTTAAGAAGTTTTTTCTATCTATGCAGAATAAAGAGAATTGGGAAGAGTGGCTAAGAAGGAATTTTTTTAAAGGATTGGTGATACTGCAGCTGTTTAGTGTTTGTATGCTAATGGAAATGATTGGCACACTGGGGGAAATAGCTGCTGTGTGTGTTGTTAGGGGCTTGGGGGTGGAGGAGCGGAGGTAATGTTGATTTCAGAAACCAAGTCCTTACCCGAAGGAGAGGAAATGCGAAATTCATCTGATGTGAAACTGAAGGAGCTGCCCTCAAATATGAGAAGTGAAAGATGGGCCTTGAAACAAGACAGAAGACAGAGATGATGAGTGTCGATGTGGGTAAGTTAGTCCATCTGTTGCCAGGAAGGGATATAGTTCACTTCTAATGGAATCGTTTTATTCTGTAATAGTTATTCACACACTAAAGAAAGTTGCTAAGGATCCACAAAACATTATTTTTAAAGTTAACATTTCAAAATTTGCCTTTGGAGATACACTTTCTCTCATCACTCTATTGCTCCACTGGAGTTAACAGAATTCATTGCCTACCTCACAGTACAAAACAAACAAACACCAGAAAGGGTGGGGAAAAAGGAAAGAAAGGAAAAGGAGAAGAAAAGGCAATATTATGTAATAACATGTAAACCCCTTTTTAAAAGATAACACATCATACAGTTACACATGGTGACAATGTTAGTATGTGTCAGCTCCCAATTCATTCCCAGGAAAGAAAGCAGCTCCTTGTGTTTACCAAGGGCTAAAATTTCCGAGCAACTTTGCATAGACTGTTTTATTTGACTTGACAGGATTGCTAGAGATAGGCAGGGAGAGGAAGATGTGTTACAGTTTGTCAGAGAGAATAAGAAGGATAACCTGGGGTTTTCTGTGCTTTGCTTCTTCACATCCCTGGGGAGTTAATAGCTGCAATTTTTCAAAGAACGGTATACAGGGACAGCAAAGTGCAGTCGTGAAGTTTTCAAACAAGACACACCTTGTTGAGTTGAAAAGAGCGAGGGCTCGTCCGGGATTTGAACCCGGGACCTCTCGCACCCTAAGCGAGAATCATACCCCTAGACCAACGAGCCGCGATACAGATACTCTTAAGTTTTGCACTAAGGCTCATTCAAATCATTAGGCATTTTTCTGATAAACTAGGTTCTTGGGTGCCTTCTATCGGCAAGAATGCGTACTTATTTGAATAGTAGAGGTAAACCACACGCCCCAAGAGTCATTGAGACTGGCAGCTTCTGCAGCAGGCGTGAACCCCCGTAGCCTAAATGACAGCCGAAGAGGCGCCGAAGACATGCAGATGTGCCAAGCGGCAGTCACGTTGCTGCCGCGTTGTCCGACCCCGCTTACCTCCTGATGTGGAAATCCCTGTGGGTAGGAGGAAAAAACACACAGGCCCCAGCGAGAATTGAACTCGCGACCCCTGGTTTACAAGACCAGCGCTCTAACCCCTGAGCTATGGAGCCCTCGTCTGCTTTTAGTTTCTCTTCCTTTCATCTTATAGATTGATGTTATGCTCCTAGCATTCCGGCTACTGAATAGGATGTTAGCTTGAGTAAAATTCCAGGATATTCTCCTACAAAATGAAAACATTTTCGTGCTCTGTAAATCCCTCGAAAAGGTTCTGCTTTGAGCAGAGCAACTATCAGGCTGTCTTCCCGTTCCTCACCGTGATACTCTCTTGAGACTTTGCCTACTGTGCCTCTGTGGTGCATGGAAACGGTGTTGATGTAAGAATTTCAGATCTTTGGGTACAAGGGCGACCCCCCCCACACACACCTCCCGAAATATGAGGCGTCTATGGAGGGCGTCTGATGGACAAGGAAATTGTAGTGCTCGCCTTCCGCTTAATATGGTGGTAAAATCCAGGGACGGAGGTGAGAAGAGATTTTCCACGGCTTTTTCCTTTCTCAATCCAGATCCCTAAACCTCTAAACTTGGAGGAGTTTTCTGTGGTCAGAGGAAAGAAAGTTAACTCTTTCTGGAGTTAATCCCTCACTCTTCCAAGGTCCAGAGGTAGAAGCAAACAGGGAAAAGGGGTGTTGAGGAAGAAGAGTTTAATCCTTCCCTGAAGACATACACAGATTTACACATAGTTGGTATGAAAATAATACGACTTTTTAGAAAAGATTGTTTTTAATTTTTAGAAACCTTGTTTATATAAGCTGGTGAACAGAAACTAAACAATTATTTAACTAAGAAAGATCTCGTACCCATTTCTTACGGCAAATAAGCCGTAGGTGAGAACATTGGAAAATAAGCACTGATTCATGAAACACCAAGAAGTGACGCGACTCTGCTTAGTAAGATTTAGACCCTCTGACCACAGCTCTGCTCTTATACTCACTATTTTTTAGTGCTTTCATGTCCAAGATCACAAAATTTGTAAGAAATCTGTAAGGTTATTATGATTCATTGTCTCCTTTATTTTTCATTATTTAAACGTAAAACATGATGCTGTTGACCTTACACATTTTCAAGGAAGAAAAGTGCTCTATTTAGATAGGCAAAGTAAGGCATTTGTGGCAGATTTTCTTGGATTAGGGATGAGTCAGGAAGAGGCCTCACAATGTTGTCCTAAGGTGAGATGAATACATATATTTTGTAGCCTGACAAGGGCTGTTCCTTCTACTGCTCCTGGGTGTTTAACCCTCAGTCTTCTGCTCCCAAGAGAACTACAAGGCTTTGTTTTAACTGATTGAATTAAAAATTGAGTCTCTATACTCTATTTGCCTACACAAGACACTTCACTGGAGAAAACCTCTAACATGCTCTCTTTGGGCCTAAAGACACACCTCATAGCTTAAGGAAATGGCAGGTTGCCTACCTTTTTTTTTTTTTTACGTCAGGGGAACACAAGTACGCCTACCTTTTTTCTAGAGCAGAAAAGTCAAATTAAAATAAACTTTTGGTCATAGTTGATGTGTGACTGTTGGCATGTATAGACATAGAGTATGTAGTGCAGTGGTTAGAAAAAACCTAAATCGGTTATTTAACTTTGCCAGGTCTCAACGTCCCTGTTTTCAAAATAGGTGTTTATTATTATCATCATTGTTAGTATTATCTTCATTATTATTATTTTCAGAGAGACTGGCCATAGGCAAAATTACTAAGCAGTGGAAACTGTCTCTCAAACGGCCTTCTTCCTCTTTGCTGTTTCTCCTCCTCTCTTTGCTTGTCTTTCTCTGATGGTATTCATGATGGCCCCTCACCTTCTCTTAGAACCTGTCCCCTCATTCTCACCCTGTCACAATTTGGCAAGCTCACTTCTATTCCCTACATGAATTGATTTCTTCTCTTCTAACCACAGACTGTTATTCATTTAAGAATAATTTAAATTTGGGAGGCTGAGGCGGGCGGATCACGAGGTCAGGAGATTGAGACCATCCTGGCTAACACGGTGAAAACCCATCTGTACTAAAAATACAAAAAATTAGCGCATGGTGGCACGGGTCTGTAGTCCCAGCTACTCGGGAGGTTGGGGCGGGAGAATTGCTTGAACCCGGGAGGCGGAGGTTGCAGTGAGCCGAGATGGCGCCACTGCACTCCAGCCTGGGCGACAGAGCCAGACTCAGTCTAAAAATAATAATAATAATAATAATTTAAAATATTCAAAGAAGTATTCCAAGGAGAGAAGCCAGGGCAACAACCATGGATCTGATGTTTCTGGTTTCTGCTAGACAGAGGCTGGCTTTGCGGAGAGGGTTCTCACTCCTCTATCAGTACAAATAAACCTTTGACCAATTGACCCTATCCACATTCAGCCCACTTCCTACCATCAAAGGTTGTCCCAGGACCTTATGTTACATTCTCATTCTTCCAGGCCCTTACTCCACAATTCACTCGAGTTGGCGTGTCTGACGCTACGAAACTCCAAAAGCCCCTTCTACTAGTTTATTAGACTTAGCATCAGCAAACCTGGTTGTGCTCCAGTGTGTTCTGGCCCATCCTGAGCACTTCCTCTGCTGAGCAACTTGACCCCTAGTTGTAATCTTAGCAATATTTTTAATTGCTTTTTTTGTTGTTTGTCTGTATTTCTTCCATTTCCCCTCAACTTTTCATTTGGAAAAACTTTAATCCTAATGTGGAAATAAATGAACACCAGTTAATGAGAACCAGCAAAAGCTATTCAGAGCTTTCTATAGCAAAGGAGTTAGCAGCCTTCACTTGTGATTTTTTAAAAATATAATTTCCATATTATTTTTCTCTAGAGAGAGTTTTTCTTCAATCCTTAAGGACTCACCTTCTTATATGGGCTTTGGTAGGGGTCATGTGGCAGCACCCATAGGTCTGAATCAGGGTGGCGGTGTTCGGTCCTTGCAAGCTTCACAAGATTAATTCCTGTCTACCTTGCTGTGAATGACACAACTCCCACCGTAACAGAATTTCACGAACAACTTGGGAAGCCCATAGGCGTCAAAGATACTAGCTTCAGAAATGTCCCTGACAGGTGCAGTCTCTACTACGTTTTGAATGATGAACTTCTTAATAGTCTTGCCTTTGGGTAGGCATAGGGCATAATTCATGTAGCAAATAGGCTGCACGTGGCTGTGGCCCTTTTTGGCATGACCATTGTTATTTCTTTTCTTTGCCATCTTGGAAGTGGGGACCCAAAAGAACGTCACTTGTGATTTGGCAGAGACTCAAAGGCAAGCAGAGGAGTGGGAAAACTTTATAGTGGACAAAGGGAAGCCTTCAAGTGTGCCCTGACTGGAGACTGTGGCATGGGGACACGGTGGGCAGGCTAACTAGAAGCGGGGCATCCTATGTGATTGGTTAGGGATGCATATTTGGCTTTCTCTGGTTGATGCTAACTTGGAAACAGAAACAAATAATAGGAAAGGTGTTAATTATTCATAAATTCCTAGCCACTGGGTCTGGTTTTTACAGAGGTTATTGTTTGGCTTCCTGGGCTGGTTGCTTAGAGATAGTGGTCTGACTTCCTAAAAGTCTGGCTTAAAGGCAATGGACTGGCCGGGCGCTGTGGTTCACGCCTGTAATCCCAGCACTCTGGGAGGCTGAGGCAGGCGGATCACCTGAGGGTCAGGAGTTCGAGACCAGCGTGACCAAAATGGTGAAACCCTGTCTCTACTAAAAATACAAAATTAGCCTGGCGTGGTGGTGCATACCTGTAATCCCAGCTACTCAGGAGGCTGAGGCAAGAGGATTGCTTGAACCCAGGAGGCAGAGATAGCCAGTGATAGGCGGTGAGCCAAGATAGTGCCATTGCACTCCAGCCTGGGCAACAAGAGTGAAAATCCGTCTCAAAAAAATAAATAAATAAAAGAGAGAGAGAGATAATGGGCTGGCTTCCTGTGCTGGTCACTGTGGGTTGACTTCCTGCACTGGCTGTTGTAGGTTAGTGCTGGTCAGAGGTCTATTTTTATATATGTTCTGGCCACTGTCTGTTTGTATAGTAATACCCTAGGGAAAAGTTAAAAAAACGGTACGGTAAAACCTGTATACCCTTTAACTAGAACACCCATTATTAGGAACATTTGCATCCTTCTTACCTACCCTTCCCCCTGTTTACATGTACTATCCAAGAGCAGAATATTAGTACCATAACACACCCAAGAAAATTTATAATTCCTTATATGCTAGTAGACATACAGTCCATATTCAGATTTCCCCACTTACCCACTCCCTATTAAAATAATGTAAATTCTAACAATATATCTCACTGCATTTAGTTGTAACATCTCTTTGGTCTCTTTTAATCTAGAAAATTCCCCTCCTCTTAGACTTTCTTTTCTCATGGCAGTTGTCTTACAGGAAGTCTCACATTCTGAATGTGATTATTTCCTCATATAAGATTCAGTTCAATATTTACTTATTTCCTCATGATTAGATTCAGCTTAAATATTTTTGTCAAGGACCCTACTACTAATTTTCCAGGATAGATTGTCTAGGGTCTAGGTAGGACTGAATTTCTAGTAAACCAAGCAGGAAGAATGAAGTCTAATGACTGATACTTATTTACATGACAGTGCACTATTTCAAGGAGCTTCTGTTCAGAAAAGGAAACTATTATGTCATCCTTTGGGGAAGACTTTGTAATTTTCAGCTTCATTGGCTATAGAATATTTTTAAAGGTCAGGAATTTATATCCCAGAAAAGTAGGCACAATTACCAGGACTCAACCAATTATTCACTGTAACAACATCCACGAACACCTATGACAGGCATACTGGTTTCCAAGATACATAGACTGTTTATCTCAGACATCAAGGAACGTGAGTTTGCAAAGCTTTAGCCACACACACACACACACACACACACACACACGTACTTGCCTCGATTTGTACTTTCTCAAAGTTTTCTTCAGATTTCCACAGACATCTTACCTTCTGGAAACTGAGGCTACACTCACTCTGGTGATTATCAGTTACCACTTGTATTGCCATCTAACTGTAGTGTGTGTCTCTGTGTGTTTGTTCATTCTTCTAGGTTTGTATTGTATATATTGTAAAAGGTGGAGAAGATATTTTCTTTTATTCAAATTCAAGTTCCCAATGAGCAAGGATAATATTCTTGTTTGTCTTCTGCTCCTCCCCAAACCTGATCAAATGATAAGCACAGATTTATTTGGTGGATGTGAAGTGGGCAAGATTCTATTTCCGAGACCCAAAAGGCTTCCTGGCACATGCACCCCACTGGCTTGCCTCAAATGTTTAAACCCATTATAAACACTCCTGTGTGTTCACTGAGAAGCTGACTGTGTTTTGAGCACTTGGTACACTATGGAATTAAAGTCAGGGACTAGGAAAAGCAGTAGAGGGAAATCAAAGAAGAAATTAAATTGTACATCAGACACGATCTTTTTAAACCCAAAGCACCAAGACTATTACAATATTTATGGGGACTGAGTAGGTGAAGGAGGACAATGATACCAGAAGGATGGACAGAAACAAAGAATAAAAAATGCCTCATATCCTTCCCCTTTCCATTCCTGTTGATCATACCATAGTTCAAAGATTGCATTTCTTTTCACCTGAAGCTTGCAGAGGTGATTGATTTCACTGGATTACTCCATGAAATCCCTCTGGTCCCATCTCTCCAATGAAGTTCAGTGAAAAGTGTAAAGACAAATACAAACTAGAAATAAGGGGCTTAAATCTCCCTGCTGAGTATAAGGAAATTTCCCTTCCCTCTTTTTACTTTGAGCATTTACTTTTGAAAACTTTTTTTTTTTTTTGAGACAGTCTTGCTCTGTCGCCCAGGCTGGAGTGCGGTGGTGTGATCTCAGCTCACTGCAACCTCTGCCTCGCGGGTTCAAGCGATTCTCCTGCCTCAGCCTCCCAAGTAGCTGGGATTACAGGTGTGTGCCACCACGCCTGGCTAAATTTTTTTGTATTTTTAGTAGAGACAGGTTTCACCATGTTGGTCAGGCTGGTCTCGAACTCCTGACCTCATGATTCGCCCTCCTCAGCCTCCCAAAGCGCTGGGATTACAGGCGTGAGCCACTGCATAGAAAACTTCTAAGTACAATCACAGTACTTTGCTTTACTGTGATGGTCAATGTGATAACCATATGAAACCATATCAGAGCTAAGTAAGTCGGGTTCAATAAATGCTGAAAGCATTGACTATCTGATGGAGTCATCAAAAATATTATTTAATTTAAATATAGTATTTAATTTTGAGCAAGATTTTACAGCACATAGAGGGGTCCTCAGGCCAATAGGGGGATGGCTTTTTTTTTTTTTTTTTTTTTTGAGACAGAGTTTCACTCTTATTGTCCAAGCTGGAGTGCAATGGCACGATCTCAGCTCACCACAACCTCCGCCTCCCAGGTTCAAGCAATGCTCCTGCCTCAGCCTCCCAAGTAGCTGAGATTACAGGCGCACAACACCACGCCCGGCTAATTTTTGTATGTTTAGTAGAGACGGGGTTTCACCATGTTGGTTAGGCTGGTCTTGAACTCCTGACCTCGTGATCCGCCCGCCTAGGCCTCCCAAAGTGCTGGGATTACAGGCATGAGCCACCATGCCCAGACTGGGGCATGGCTCTCTATTGGAGCTAGGAACAGAGCTTTACATTGCAATGTAGTGCGTGTCTTCTGCTGCAGACTGATCCAGAAAGATTCTGGTGGGAATTTTCAGATGCTCTAAATGAACATAGAACATCTGATACAGAAGTTGGTACATAGAGTATTTCTCAAAATTTAATGCATACTCTAACTTTTGGGGAGTTTGTTAAGATTCTGATTCAGTAGGCCTGAGATTCTGCATTTCTAATCTGCTACCAAAAGATGCTGATGCTGCTGGTCCCCAATCACACTTTGCATATTAAGGCCTTAAAGTAAATCTCTTGCTTATCTATAAATTTTCATCATCTGAACTATTAACAAGGTATGGATAGCAAGAAATTCAAGGTTAAACTCTCCGACAATATTACAGAATGCTAGAGCCTAGAATATCAGCATTCTGTGCTGAAGACTGAAGGAATAGACATGTGCCAGCCAGACGAACACATTGCATGTATTTGTATCAGGCATCTTTCCAAAAGGGTGGTTATCTATTTGCTTTAGATATTGGGCAATCAAGTATGCAGCAAATTTGGCATTCTACTAGGAAAGCCAAGACACCTGGCTTATGGGTCTCAGGGCACTTACTGTTTGAGCTGTGCAATCCAACATGTGATCCACTTCTTGAAAGGAACAGGCCAAGTTTCCTCCCTCCCTACTGAAGGATCCTGTGAGCACAAGGTGGGAAATAGGTACTCCAGCAACACTGAATAGGAAATTGAATAGGAGAAGCTATGCCCACTTGTTAGCAAAGGAACTTCAGCCAGGAACAGGAGAGTGTGGTACTTTCTTGATAAGAAAGTGCTCTGACGCCTGTCAGTTTGAGGAATTTGAACCTGCAGCATTCCAGGATCAAAGAGGGCTCTGCTGTGATGATAGGTTCTTTCCTGTTGACTGCTTCCTTTTATTGCCTGATCTGGCACTAAAACAGATCAAAATGAGCTCAGGCCACTTCCATCACTTGAGAATCTTCATATTTAAAAAAAAAAAGTCAACACATAGAGAAACTATGGGTTATTTAAATGAGTATTATGATTTTTTTTGTTTATTTGTTTTTGTTTTTGTTTTTAAATGGAATCTCTGTTGCCCAGGCTGGAGTGCAGTGGTGCGATCTCGGCTCACTGCAACCTCCATCTCCTGGGTTCAAGCGATTCTCCTGCCTCAGCCTCCTGAGTAGCTGGGATTACAGGCACATGCCACCATGCCCGGCTAATTTTTGTATTTTTAGTAGAGACGGGGTTTTGACATGTTGTCCAGGCTGGTCTCGAATTCCTGACCTCAAGCAATGTGCCTGCTTCAGTCTCCCAAAATGCCGAGATTACAGGCGTGAGCCACCACACCTGGCCAAATGAGTATTGTCTTCGTTCGTTTTGTGTTGCTGTAATAGAATACATGAGGCTGAGTAATTTAGAAAGAAAGAGGTTTATTTAGCTCACAGTTCTGCAGCCTGGGAAGTAGGAGAAGCATGTTACCAGCATCAGCCAGGCTTCTGGGGAGGGCCACTACACTAGGTCAAAACAAGGCAGAGAAGGTCAAAGGGGAAGCAGACACATACAAAGAGAAAAAAAGAAAAAAAAAAGTGAGGGCCTCTTGGCTGTATAACAACCCACTCTCCCAGGGAACTAATCCATTCCCAAAGGAAGTAATCCAATCTCACCAGAGCCAGAACTCACACACTACAGAGAGAAGGGCACCAAGACATTCATAAGGAATTTACTACTGTGATCCAAACACCTCCCACTAGGCCCCATCTCCCAACACTGACACATTGGAAATCAAATTTCGACATGAGTTCTAGTGGGGACAAATTAACCATATTCAAACCATAGCAGGTATGTTTATCAGACTAGCACTGAAACACAGAGACATAAATGTGACTGTAAAATCTCATCTGGAGAGCTCATCAAAAGTTTCAATATGAGACCCATTCATGTGCCCTAAGTCTCTTATTGGCTCAATTCTAGGTATAATAGCTCAACAGATATTTTAAATATTTGTTATCTCCCCTCCCATTCACCCTGCACAGCTCTTTCAAGTCGTAAAGAGCCCCAGGATCTTTCTTTTTTTCTTTCAAGCTGATGCTTCCCCGGCCTGCACACTGAGATGGTGGCACAGGATTCCTAGGATTCTCTCCAGCTTAAGAAGAACATTAGTCTTTCCACTTCTGACCCTGGCAAAGACTTGCGTGTACTGATGGAGGCAGTAAGCTCACACTCCTTTTCCCCTAAGGCTTCCTCCAAAGCTTGAAAACACAACGTGAAATTTCTTAGTAGTCATACATTCAGCCAAAGGGGCTGGCGACGGGTATTTTAATCTCTCCGTCTTAAGTGATGCGTAGGAGGCCATATCTTTGACCATCCTGCTGGATTCAAAACCTACGAGATGCTGCCTGCTGGCCTTGGGTGCTGACTTCCTCCTTCTAGGGAGAAAGAGACCTGGTCAGGGCCAACGGTGGGTACCCAGTGAGCTTAGATTGCCGGTGAGCTGGAGGTTGGTGAGGAGGGTGCTGGCGCCAGAGGGTGACGAGGCGTGAAGAGGGGGATGTAACACGGGGTGAGTTTGGGAGGCACCGCGGGGAGCCCGGACTAGAGTTGCGGGGGGGCGCGGGAGGAGAGCCTGCCTCCGACCTCCGAACGTCCCTGCCCTTTCCTATGCCGCCCCCGCTTCCCTGCCTGGGTTCTACGTTTATGCGGTGCTCCCTGAGCCCTATTTTAAAGCTGCTTTTTAAGAACTTCCTTTCTGCTCGCCTCCCCCAACTCCTGGCAGCGGTGACCGTGAACTCGCAGGACCTTCGCCCCCGCGGAGACCCAGGGAAGAACGCTTTTTTCCTCTCTATTCGCCCTCAACCTGACCCGCTGGGCCACCAGGGCTTGGGGAGAGACCTCAGAGGCCTAGAGCCAGGAGAGGCGAGAAAGGGTTGTGGTTTTTTTGAGTGATTGAGATGGGGGACAGAGAGAGCACTTAAAATTAGGCAACTTTAATTAGGCTCCCAGGAGAATTTCTGGATCCACAGACCAAGAAAACAGCCAAGTGGGAACAGCAGCAAAGAATATAAATAATACATAATCCAGGGCTTTGCGCCGAGTGGGGTTGTTCGCAGGTCAGTGATTCCCACTTTGGGTGCGGGAGACCCCAAGTATCACCTCTGAAACCGTTTTCTAGCTTTCCCTCTGCTCCTTTAGAAAGAAATGTTACAACACATGAAATAGATGCAGAAAAGGCTTTCTGTAAAATTCAACATCCCTTCATGTTAAAAACCCTCAATAATCTAAGTTTTAAAGGAACATACCTCAAAATAATAAAAGCCATGTGTGACAAACCCACAACCAACATCATACTGAATGGGCAAAAGCTGGAAGCATTCCCCTTGAAAACCGGCACGAAACACGGATGCCCTCTCTCACCACACGTATTAACATAGTATTGGAAGTTCTGACCAGGGCAATAAAGCAAGAGAAAGAAATACAGGGCATTCAAATAGGAAGAGAGGAAGTCAAACTCTTCCTGTTTGCAGATGACATGATCCTGTATCGAGAAAACCGCCTCATCTCAGCCCAAAAGCTTAAGAAAGCTGACAAGCTGCCGGGTGGGGCGGCTCACGCCTGTAATCCCAGCACTTTGTGGGGCTGAGGCGGGTGGATCACCTGAGATCAGCAGTTCGAGACCAGCCTGGCCAACATGGTGAAAACCCATATCTATTAAAAATACAAAAAATTAGCCGGGCGGGCGTGGTGGTGGACGCCTGTATTCCCAGCTATTCAGGAGGCTGAGGCAGGAGAATCGCTTGAACCCTGGAGGCGGAGGTTGCAGTGAGTCGAGATGGCACCACTGCCATGGGTGTTGCCTATCCAGCCTGGGCGACAGAGACGCCGTCAAAAAACAAAACAAAACAAACAAACAAACAAAAAACAGCAGGCAAGTAGAGAGCCAAATTAGGAATGAACTCCCATTCACAATTGCTTCAAAGGGAATAAAATACCTAGCAATACAGCTAACAAGGGAAGTGAAGGACCACTTCAAAGAGAACTACAAACCACTGTTCAAGGAAATCAGAAAGGACACAAACAAACGGAAAACAGTCCATGTTCATGGATAGGAAGAATCAACATCATGAAAATAGCCATACTGCCGAAAGGGAGGGAGAGAGACAGAGAGAGAGAGAGAGGAAAGAGGGAAGGAAGGAGAGAAAGAAAGAAAAGAGAGAGAGAGAGAAAGGAAAGAAAGAAAAGAAAAGAAAAGAAAAAAAGAAAAGAAAAGAAAAAGAATGAGCAGCACCAGGGCTCCAGGGAAGCCCGGGACCACCCTTTCTGCGCTGGGGATGCCCTTGGAATGTGACCTCCCTCTGGGGAGCCGTGCTACTGCCATGGGCGTAGGCGTCGGTCTACCCGAGCGTGCAGAGCGGCCTTCTTCCTCAACAAGAAACCCGGCAATTGCCCAACCCAACCTCTCCTTGCTCAAACTGCAGGAGGGAGCGGCCATCGAGTTTCCTTTGAACGCGGTGACAGGCTTACAGGTCTGTGAACGAAAGGGCGCCTAATAAGTGACGTGAACTTCGACCCCATGGCACTCTAAGCAATATTTGTACCCACAGAACCACGATCCAACAGCAAGGAGTTCTTATTCTTCAGTCTTCTCGAATAACTTTCAAATCACCAGTAGGATTTTTAAAGTCTCCGTGTTTTATTGCCTAGGTTAAAGAAAAGATAAAGGTCTTCCAAAGACATTGACGCTAATAATCTTCCATTACCTGCTAGCCCACTTCCCAGGGCGAGTGAGAATTCAGTAATTCCTCCTCTCCTTGAGTTTGCTTAGATCCCTAAGGATGAATGAAAATGCTATCCGGAACCCTGCTTCCGCGAAGAAAATTCAGAATTTTGCACTTGTACGCTGGGGCAAAATGCTGACAGAATGAAGAAGGTAATTGCAAACTCCTATAACGTGTGTGGTAGTGTGGCCGAGCGGTCTAAGGCGCTGGATTTAGGCTCCAGTCTCTTCGGGGGCGTGGGTTCGAATCCCACCACTGCCAGTGGTACGTTTTAGCACAACAAGGATCCTGAAGTACTAACACTTTCTAACTAGTAAAATAATTAAATCTTCCTTTCCCAGGATTCTCCCGGATTACACAGCATCAGTTCCTCTGAATTCTGCATTCGTAATTAAAATCCTGATTTCCAATTGGCATTTCTTTCGGTTAGGCAGGGAGGCCTTCTCGCTCGCGGTCTCCTACTTTATCCGTTGTACTGACTCTCTGGACCCCAGTTTTTGCACTGCACCATTTGGGTTCCCGCAATCAGGAAAGCTCAGTTCTCATCTAAAATACACGCTCACATTGAATCATTGTCATTACCTAGTTTAAGCATAAGGTGGTCAGGAAGTTTTTGCAGAAACTTTCCCATTGGTCCCATCAGCCCGCGGCCGGCACTGCTTTAGGAGTTGCAGCTCTGTGCTCGCGAAATATCCTGCCTAGACCCTGTTTTGGTTCTAATCACGTTACTTTTGTAATTGAACATGATGGATGGATGCATGGACAGATGGACGGACGGATGGATGCAGAAAGCAAAAACTCAGCGGCCGGGCGCAGTGGCTCACGCCTGTAATCCCAGCACTTTGGGAGGCCGAGGCGGGCGGATCAAGAGGTCAGGAGATCGAGACCATTCTGACCAACATGGTGAAACCCCGTCCTTAGTAAAAAAAAAAAATACCAAAGCCGGGGGTGGTGGCGCGGACGGACCTGTACTCCCAGCTACTCGGGAGGCTGAGGCAGGGGAATCGCTTGAACCCGGGAGGCGGAGGTTGCAGTGAGCCAAGATCGCGCCACTGCACCCTAGTCCTGGCGACAGAGTAAGACTCCGTCTAAAAAATAAACTCAGCAAGGTTCATGTTCTCATTCAGGCATCGTTACCTCATGGGGAATGGGGAGAAGACAAGTAAACAGTTATTTTGAGTTGGTGATTCAAAAACACTTCAAAGCGGATTCTTGACTAACTCCATTCATTGGGCCCAGGGGGCGTCTGTAAACGTGGGTTTAGTCACCCTCCTGCCCCTTCCCAGTGAATCAGGTCACGGTGGTGGCGACTGTTCAGGTTTCTGAACTACCCAGCTACAATATTCGCGTAGAAACTAACCCACTGTGGAAAATCAGAGGGGGTACACTCAGGGCCTATTTAGTGGTATCGTCTCAGAATGGTTGTCCTACTGCGTTTTTCAGCCACTACAGCCCGTCACCTACAGAAGTGCTCATGGATTTGGCCGGACAGTTTCCTCGGGGAGAGATTTCACTGCCGTGACATGAGGAATGAAAGAAAGAAACTGAGCAGAGAACTGCGACTCTGTGCAAGAACCAAGTGTCATGCCACCCAGGCTGGAGTGCAGTGGTGCGATCACTACTCATTGCAGCCTCCATCTCCCGGGCTCAAGCGATCCTCCCGCCTGTCTCCCAAGGAGCTGGGATCACACTTCTGCACTATCACGCCCACGCCCGGCTGTTTGCTTGTTTGTTTGTTTGTTTGTTTGTTTTGGTAGAGCCGAAGGGTTGGGAGGGAGTGGGGAGGGGCGGGGGAGCTGATAATGGTCTGTCTATGTCGCCCAGGGTGATCTGGAACTCCTGGGCACCCAGCCTCATGCCACTTTTTGACTCTGCCCTCCTTTTTATATCTTCCTCCCTCCTCATTCAAAATCCTCTTTCGGGCACTCCCATAACATCTTCCATTTCACTTTGATGACTCCTCCAGACCAGTCCCCTTCCTTTTCACATACCTATCACCAAGAAATATCTTGGGCCCGCAAGATCTTCACAAAAGAAGCCTTTTGTTTTGTTTCTCTCGGAAATCGAGAGACAAGGCATGTTTTGCTCCCAGTGCCTAGTTGGGGGAAAATATCTCTATATCTGTGGATAAATTGGACCTTCCTGGCACTTTTATAAAATTCCCTGTTTGCATAATTTCCATATCATTGTTCTTCCTTTTTCCACAAGGCAATTGTTCTGTCTTCCAATTCTGTTTTATGAAAATAAATCAAATTTAAAAGTTGTTGGAACCCCCCCACCCACCCACCGCCACAATGCTCTAAGCCTTCAGAGAGATGTGAATGCCGTCTGAGTCACATATGGTTACAACTTCTGTTCTCAGATCATAGATTAATGTACTTTCTTATTTTTCTTGTTCTGTGTGTACCAGAGAGAATTAAACGACATCAAGAACAAAAACCTACAGTCTTCTTAATTAATGACCCTCGTTACAGATGAATTTCCCTTGTCTTGTCCTGCTTTGTTTGCTTAGACCAGATAACAGAAAACCCATGATTATTATGCCCTCTGCAAAAAATGTTAAATGCACCCTTGCCAAAAAGAAACACTGCCTGTAACCAATCAAATGGCTGTAACTATGTGCCAACCTTGTATGAACTGTGTATGAATAATGAATAATGTTGTAATCCTGCTAAAAACTCCTCTGTCTCTGCCTATACAAATGAAACCTCAACTTTCCTACTTCGGAATGCTGACCCTATTCCTTTGGAGCTGGTTTTTCCATGTGGCTCATCCTCACAGTTTTGGCTTGAGTAAACTCTCTTTAAATTAGTCTTACCCTTTTGATTATTTCAGGCTGACGGTTTGTTTTCCCTTCTTCCTGAAACGTAATTCTGTGCATTATCTTGAGACTGGGTTAATTTTTGTTTTTCTGTTCATCTCCCTCTAGTGACTCCCAGAAACCTGATCTACCTAGCTCGATGTTTTCAGCTGCATAGAGGCCATCATTTCCATTGAAACAAAATGAACTGAAACTTCCTCCATTCTTTCTCCCACTCCTCCTCCCCAGTCAGGCCAGGATTTTCCACATTCCAGCATTCTCTACATCCACCAAGGACACTAGCATTCCCCAGACTCTCAACAGCACCACCTCGGAACGTTTTTGTTTATATTGTTTTGCTCTTTTCACTGTCCCTTAGTTTTCAGTTAATTCCCTCTCCTGTTGATGGAAGGATGCCGACTTGTTTCTATCTCCCCTCACTCATGCCACTCACCATCCCTGCCTTTTTTCTGCCTGCATCACTTCTGCACCACCAAAATGATCCTGAACCTCTATCCTTCCTTCTGTCCCCTCCTCTTGTTCCTCTTGACAGTACCAGCCGCTCCTCCAGCTCTACTCTACCACCCCTGCCACATCACCTACCCCTACTCCTCTCCGGCACTCTGACTGGCATTTCCCCCAACACATCTGTCTCCACACACACATATCGGAAAGCTCCCTTAACTCACTTAAGCATGCGTCAATATTTCTGTCAAATTCTAGCTCAAAATTCAACTTCAGGAAGCTCTCTTCAGTTAGTTTCTCCTCACCATTCTGATCACTCCTTTTCATTGTCTTAAATGTGGTCCTATATCGTTTTGTAAACGTTTATGGCAGTATCAATATATCAACACAGCATTATCTATTCTGTTACTTCAACTAAACTGTGAATTACTTAAGTCACCAAGTTTTTTAAAAAGTTAATAGATTTTACATCCAAGAGCAGTTTTAAGTTTACAGCAAAATTGGGTGGAAAGTACAGAGAGTTCCTACATTCTGCTCTCTGTCCCCACAGCCTCCCTCATCAAGGACATCCTGCACCAGTATGGTACATTTGTTACAACTAACATTGATACACCATTATTAAACAAAGTCTGTAGTTTAAATCAAGATTCACTCTTGGTACTGTACATTCTATGAGTTTGAACAAATGCATCATAATCATGACATATATACACTATTGTAACACCATACAAAGTAGTTTCACTGCCCTAAAAGTCTTCTGTGGTCCACATGTTCATCCCTCTCACCTAACTCCTGGAAACCGCTGATGCTTTTACTGTCTACATTGTTTTGCCTTTTCCAGAATGTCATATAGTTGAAATCATACAGTATATGGGCATTTCAGATTGGCTTCTTTTACTTAGTAATATGCCTTTAAATTTAATTCCATGTCTTTTTATGTCTTGATAACATATCTTCTAAGGGCTGATTAATATTCCATTGTCTGGATATAGCACAGTTTGTCTATTCCCCTGTTAAAGGATATATTTGTTGCTTCCAAGTTTTGGCAATTATACATAAAGCTGCTATAAACATTAACGTGAAGGGTACTGTGTGGACATATGTTCAACTCATTTGGGTAAGTACCTATGAGTGTGATTGCTTATTGTATGAGAAACATGTATTTGGTTTTGTAAGAAACCGCAAAAATTGTCTACCATAATGGCACTGGGTATTTTTAAACTTTATTTTATAAAGTAAAAAACTGTTTTTTTATGTAATGTATACAAGTGGCACATTTTGAAAAATACATAAAAGTATAAAGAATATCAATCACCCACAGATAAACAGATTTTGGCATATATCCTTTTTCATTTTCGAATAATAAATTTCTAAAAGTAGAAATAGAATGCTTGATAAAATACAATGTCTTTTTAGAGTTCTTGATTTATAATGCCCAACTGTCCTCCAGAAAGCCATGACATTCTACAAGAATGTTCTTATCAGTATTAGATATTAATAAATAGTTTCCAATTTGATTTCTTATTAAGGAAGGAACATTTTCCATATGCATACTTGACCTTTTGCTTATTCTCGGTATCGTTTGTTTAGATCCTTTTGAGGGGCAGGCCTTTCTAAAGTATTTCTCCTTGAACCCTGAATTGTCCAGTATGAATTATTCACGGAAATGAAAAAGTGTAGGGTTTGGGGGTGAAGTTGAGGGATGTTATCCATTATCCACTCAACGTTAACTAGTCTTACAGATTAGGAGATGGATTCAAATCTAAAAAGAACGTCTTTAATTAACACCTTGTGAGTAAACAGAATCACATCTACTGCAGAATCACACCTGCTGCAGAATCACAGAGGACGCATTAAATGTTCTTTTGTTGCCTGAAAATATAATTCAAATTACTGCTTCACAGTCTTTGGATTAGGAGGATACATTAATAAAACCTTTCGTTGGCTGAGTAGACTGAAGCATGAAAACACAGAGAGAATCGAACCGGCCACCTTAAGGATGGCCGTAGTTGGAAATTCTTAGAGTCCTCCGCTCTACCAGGTGAGCTATCGGAAAGTGTCTGTGACATTCGTTAGCGTAGATTTTTGTGCATTGAGTAGCGGCTGGTGAGACTCCTGACTTCTTTGCATTTGGGCTCAGATTACTGTTCAAGAAGTTCCAGAGAGCCAGGTCTATAGTTAACTGAGTCCCGGGAGCAGCCTTGAGGCAGTAGGAAGTGAGATCTGAGTCGGAGGTAGTGAGAATGGAAACAGAGCAGAAGCCACCGGCTTGGGGTGAATCTGCATAGCTTCTGAACTAGGCTGCCCTCAGAGTAATCTGCGAGCCAGTTTTCGCCCCAGGAGCGCAGGAAGGGACCACCAGGCAGGCTACAAGTGGAGAAGTGCGCAGGACTCCGGGAGTCATGGCTATCAGCAGATTAGATTAGATCTGTTCCCCACAAACACAGAGGTATGGACCAAGTGTAACATTTTTCTCCCAGAGACGTGAACAGTCTAGTTTCTTCCTCGCTTACTGCAGCGTACAAACACCTATTTTCCCAGTATCGTTCATAGGATCCCGACGCTGTACTTTTTCGTCTCAAATCCAGGATCTGGCTTTCATGGAAAGATCATAAAATGCTTCCTTTCTTCACTAGTTTGTTTCAGCGTTGAAAAGGCTAAAAAGCTCCTGCTCTTTTGCTTGGGAAAAGTATTCCTACAGCCGAGGCCCCAGCGAGATTTGAACTCGCGACCCCTGGTTTACAAGACCAGTGCTCTAACCCCTGAGCTATGGAGCCGCCACAGAGAGCAAACATTTAACAATCAATCTATTATGCAGCTAAAATCCTAGGTAAATAGTGTTTAAGTCTAAATAAAGTTTAAGAAATAAATTAAAAGGAATTTTTGAAGGACGTGCCTCTTACGTATAAGAAAGAAACATTTTCTTGACCAGGCTCGGACTGGAATGCAAGTCACTGTAAGGGTAAAATGGGGAATAACAAAATTATTTAATAAAAAGTGATGATTATTTATTCCAACTTTTAAGTTCTGGATTATTTGCTTCTTTGGAGACAGTTGAATTATTGTCTTTTGAAAGTGGCTCTGTTTTTATTACAAAAATTAAAAGTATGTGTTTCGATAGACAAATGACTTACGTTCTTTAAAAGAGATGAGTTTTCAGCTTGCTTGCTCATCAAAAACGAACAAACAAACCATAAAAGACATTTAATATATATTGTTATCTTAAAAACGCATGCTCCACGATACATGCTCCCCAGCTTCAGGCTTGACAAGTCCCAAGTGCCGAGCAACATCAGGGTCAGGGTGCGTTTCATTACAGAAGAGAATGCAGTAGTGATCAGAGAGGTTCCCCCCAACCCGCTTGGATTCTTAGTCCAACTCTCTTAGTCTGAGATTGGGGTTGTTTTTAAAAGGGAGGCGGCTGTCTTCAAGCACAGGACGTACCCCTCGGACCTTCAGAGTTTGGGGGTGGACGCAGTGAGGGCGCCAAGGCTTCCAGATCTCCCCCAGCCTTTCAGCGGAGTCCGGCTTGGTCACAGATTCCTCTAAGTTACCTGAAGCAGAGGTGGCTAGAAGGGGTCCAGCCCTTTTCTTGGTCCTTTAACACTCCTCTTCCTAGCATCTCGGAGTCGGAAGGCAGCTCCTTCTCTTTGGGCCTCCAGGCTTTTCTAAGCGCCAACTTGAAGTCCAGAAAGAATAAAAGTGGCGTCGTCGCATGGGAAGGTTGGGGCGGAAGAGTTTCTCTTCTTTTCTCTCCTTTGGTGTCAGCCTGACCAGGAGGCTCAGTCATTCACTGGACAGCTCCCACTGGCCGGGAGCCAGCTTGGCGCAGGGCAAGCAATGTGATCAAGGCAGACACTGATGCGCCCTGGAGAGGTTAGAGCAAGAGCCCGGGAGCTTCGGTTCCCAAGCAGAAGAGGCTACAGAGTAAGGACAACCGTCCCCCCCACCACCCACCCACCACCTTTTGAGTGGTAGAGGAGTGGGCTTCTACAGAAGAGAGTGTGGGCAGACAGCAACTTTTCCCCGACGGCACCTCCTGGGCGCCCTTGAAAGACGCCTTAAATCTAAACCTATAATACATAGGTAATCAACTAAAGCTGAAAGGGAATGGCCAAAGCACCCACGTGGAGTGCTGGGTGCTGTAGGCGAGAGGTCTGAGGTAGTGGCTTTTAGAGCTCAACATCTTGGTAATGTTGGTTCGACCTTTTCCCCTGCCAGTCCCGCGGTGACCTTTATCTTTCGGTGAGTGAAATCGGTCGTTCGTGTTTTTCGTGGGTCTTCCAACCACAGGCCGCCTGAGATGGTTCTAGTCCCTTTGAGTATACAGACCCTTCCTGTGCATTGACCGACACAGCTCGGCCCGGATCCCGAAATGAACGTTTCTACCTTCGGAACGCTGCGTCTCGGATCCTTCTGAACCCGCACGTTGACTTTCCTGGAGTCTGGAGAAAATCACTAGATTCTAAAGGAATCAAAACTGTTCAAGTGTTGTGCTACAACTAAAAAAATAAATGAACACTCTTAAAGAATAGAATCTCTCCAGTTCTGGCTCGTTGGTCTAGTGGTATGATTCTCGCTTTGGGTGCGAGAGGTCCCGGGTTCAAATCCCGGACGAGCCCCTTTACTTTCCTTTCCGTTTCATCTTTCTCTCTTTAAAGTCAGTAGTTAACAAATACTGCAATCGGCGCTACGGCTAGGTCACCTAGCCCTCTTCAACCTCGACCTATGGGGGATGAGATTGTTGAGCAAATTGCGGCTACTTTCGCTGAAAGAATCAAAGACAACGAAGACGCTGCGAAGGGCCAAGGTCTTCATCACAGATCGGGGTTCCCTGACGGGCTCTGACAGGATCTTTTGTCAGGAGCAGAGTGTTCGGGCAGTTCTTACCCAGTATTTTGTGTGGAACAAACTAGTGCACTTTTCACTAGGTCACTTCGTATGGAAAAGATTGCTACCTGAAGGCGTGTTAGGGTCACAATGTCCCAATAGAACCCGCTTTCTGAGACCCTGACCGCGCGGTGATCCAGCCGCGGGATGGAGTCTAGCCCCTGCCCTGGCCTTGGCGCCTGCTCCGCAGCGCAGTGTTGCACTCTTGGTTGTTGTAGTGAGACTGCCTTTCCGACAGTTGCAAGCGCTGTTGCATCGTTCGAATGCGAAGTCGCAGCCCTGGGAACTTGAGGGTTTACAGGACACAGACATTCATTTTGTTCAAGGAAGCGCAATTCGATTATTTCCAGGTGTTATTTTCGAAAACATAGTATAACATAGGAATAGTTGTTTTTTTCACTTCTGACAAGAATCCACCAGACCCATTAGCTCTTTGATGGCTCACCTGAAAAATCAACACGTTCTACTGTTGGGTGTCTACCTATAATCCTTGAGTGTTGTTCGATTCTGGAGTGAAGAAGCTGTCCTCGATATGAACTGCTGGGATGACCGGCGCTTCAAAGTTGCTTGTCTTTCTAAACTGCTTGTTTAGAAAGGATTCTTTAGGCCAGGCGCGGTGGCTCATGCCTGTAATCCCAGCACTTTGGGGAGGCCCAGGTGGGTGGATCACCTGAGGTCAGGAGTTCGAGACCAGCCTGACCAACTTGGTGAAACCCCATCTCTACTAAAAATACAAAATAGCCAAACGTGGTGGCGCACGCCTGTAATCCCAGTTACTCGGGAGGCTGAGGCAGGAGAATTGTTTGAAACCAGGAGGCAGAGATTGCAGTGAGCCAAGACTGCGCTATTGCGCTCCAGCCTGGGCAACAAGAGCAAAACTCCGTCTCGAAAAAGAAAGGAATCTTTAACAGGATTTCATCTAGCCCAGTTATATTTGTCCTTTCTGAGGTTTCCCCTCGAAGAGTTATGTGTCCAGAGGAAAATAAAGGGTTTTGTGATGATTACAGGAAGGGAGGAGAGAAGGAAGAATCTGTCAACATGCTCTGACTTCCAGGTTGGTTGGCGGGTGGGAAAGGTGAGATGTCTAGCCTGGTACTTTGTCTTTGCTGAACGACTACCAGTGGATAGGCCCAACAGGAAGTTGGATATAGTGTCTGTGATACATCACATAAACAGAATTGAAAATAAAAATCATATGATTATCTCAATAGATGCAGAAGAAAGCATTTGACAAAATCCAGCATCCCTTTATGATCAAAACCATCAGCAAAATCAGCATAGAAGGGACATATCTCAAGGTAACAAAAGCCATCTATGACAAACCCACAGCCAACATCATACTGAACAGGGAAAAGTTAAAAGCATTCCTCCTGGAACAAGGCAAGGATGCCATGCCCACTTTCACCATTTCTATTCAACATAGTACTGGAAGTTCTAGCCAGAGCAATCAGACAAGAGAAAAAAATAAAGGGCATCCAAATTGGAAAAGAGGAAGTCAAACTGTCACTGTTCGCTGATGATATGATCGAATACCTAGAAAACCCTAAAGACTCATCCAAAAAGCTCCTGGATGTCATCAATTGAATTCAGGAAAGTTTCAGGATACAATACAACGTACACAGTCAGTAGCACTGCTATACAGCAACAACGACCAAGCTGAGAATCAAATGAGGAACTCAATCCTGTTTACAACAGCTTCAAAAATAAAAAATAAAATAATTAGCAATATACTTAACCAAGGAGGTGAAAGATCTCTACAAGGAAAATTACAAAACACTGCTGAAAGAAATCATAGATGACAAAAACAAATGAAAACACATCCCATGCTCATGGATGGATAGAATCAACATTGTGAAAATGACCATACTGCCAAAAGCAATCTACAGATTCAATACAATTCCCATAAAAATACCATCGTCATTCTTCACAGAACTAGAAAAAAAAATCCTAAAATTCACATGAATCCAAAAAAAGAGCCTGCATAGCCCCCAAGCAAAGTTAAGTGTAAAGAACAAATCTGGAGGCATCACATTACCTGTCTTCAAACTATACTGCAAGGCTACAGTTACCAAAACAGCGTGGTACCAGTAAAACAAAACAAAACATGTAGACCAATGTAACAGAATAGAGAACCCAGAAAAAAAACCAACTACTTACAGTCAACTAATCTTTGACAAAGCATACAAAAACATAAGTGGGGAAAGGACGCCCTATTCAACAAATGGTGCTGGGATAATTGGCAAGCCATATGTAAAGGAATGATATTGGATTCTCATCTCTCATCTTATACAAAAATCAACTCAAGATGGATCAAAGACCTGAAATCATAAAAATTCTAGAAGATAGCATCAGAAAAACTCTTCTAAACATTGACTTAGGCAAATAATTCATTACCAAGAACCCAAAAGCAAATGCAGCAAAAACAAAAATAAATGAGACCTAATTAAACTAAAAAGCTTCTGCATAGCAAAAGAAATAATCAGCAGAGTAAAAGACAACCCACAGAGTGAGAGAAAATATTCACGAACTATGCATCCAACACAGGATTCAAATATCCAGAATCTACAAGGAAATAAAACAAATCAGCAAGAAAAAAGTAAATAATCCCATGAAAAAGTGGGCAAAGGACATGAATAGACATTTCTCAAAAGGAGATATACAAGTGGCCAATAAACATGAAAAAATACTCAACATCACTAATTATCAGGGAAATGCAAATTAAAACCACAGTGAGATACCACCTTGCTCCTGCAAGAATGGCCATAATTTAAAAATCAAAAAATAATAGATGTTGGGGTGGATGTGGTAAAAAAAGGAACATTTTGTACACTGCTGGTGGGAATGTAAACTAGTACAACCACTATGGAAAACAATATGGAGATTCCTTAAAGAACTGAAAGTAGAACTACCATTCAATCCACCAATCCCACGACTGAGTATCTACCCAAAGGAATAGAAGGCATTATATGAAAAAGACACTTGCATACACATGTTTATTTACAGCAGCACAATTTGCAAGTGCAAAAATATGGAAGCAACATAAATGTCCATCAACAAATGAGTGGATAAAGAAAATGTGCTATATTGGCCGGGCATGGTGACTCACGCCTGTAATTCCAGCACTTTGGGAGATGGAGGTGGGTGGATCACTTGAGGCCAGGAGTTAGAGACCAGCCTGGCCAACATGGTGAAACCCTGTCTCTACTAACCAGCTATGGTGGTGCATGCCTGTAATCCCAGCTACTCGCGAGGCTGAGGCAGGAGAATCATTTGAATCCAGGAGGCAGAGGTTACAGTGAGCCAAGAACGTGCCACTGCACTCCTGCCTGGGTGTCAGAGTGAGACTCCGGCTCAAAAAAACAAAAATAAAGTGGTACATATACACCATGGAATACTACTCAGCCATAAAAAGAAACAAAATAATGGCATTGGATGGAGTTGGAGACCATTATTGTAAGTGAAATAACTCAGGAATGGAAAACCAAATATTGTATGTTCTCACTTACAAGTGAGAGCTAAGCTATGAGGATGCAAAGGCATAAGGAGGAAATAATGGACTTTGGGAACTTGGGGAAATGGTGGGAGGGCACTAAAAGATAAAAGACTCCATATTGCCTACAGTATACACTGCTCGGGTGATGGGTGCACCAAAATCTCAGAAATCACCGCTAAAGAACTTCATGTAACCAAAAACTACCTGTTCCCCCAAAACAATTGAAATAAAATAAATAAATAACAAAGAACACATTGACTATTTCAAATAAGAGGACAAGATCAGTTGTGCCAAACTCTGCTGAGGTAAGTATAAAGAGTAACATATGCTTGCTGAGTTTAGCATCATTGTCATTATCAATGATGTCATTAAGAGCTTCATTTATTTATTTAATTTTTGAGACCAGGTCTCACCCTTTGGCCCAGGCTGGAGTGCAGTGATGCGATCTTGGCTGACTGTAGCCTCGAAATCCCAGGCTCAAACAATCCCCCTTGTTGGCTTCCCAGCATGCTGGGATTGTAGGCGTGAGCCACTGCACCTGGCCTTATTCAGAGTTTTATATGTAAAATGATGCAAACAGAAGCATTTTCTACTTCTTCTAAATTAAGTATATTCTGTCTTAACTGTATGTTTAAAAACAAAATACAAATTTCATGTCAATGAAGGTAAGATCTTTGAAAGGAAAGCTTAGAAATAAATATCAATAAACAGATTTTTATTTATTCTTTTATTTAATCACAAACTTTCATGGACACACAAGTTTGTATCACTGTTATATGCATGCACACATTCACATGCGCACTCAATCTACACATACCATCATACCAAAATTTCAGGCAAATTTATTTCATATAATAGTATGAATAAAGACGCTTGTCATGGTACCTTTATAGAAATTCGAAGCCAGGCGCGGTGGCTCACGCTTGTAATCCCAGCACTTTGGGGAGGGTGAGGCTAGCAGATCACCTGAGGTCGGGAGTTCCAGACCAGCCTGACCAACAAGGATAAACCCCGTCTCTGCTAAAAATACAAAATTAGCTGGGTGTGGTGGCACGTGCCTATAATCCCAGCTACTCGGGAGGCTGAGGCAGGAGAATCGCTTGAACCCGGGAGGCAGAGGTTGCAGTGAGCTGAGATCACGCCATTGGTTTCCAGCCCGGACAACAGAGTAAGACTCCATCTCAAAAACAGAAAAAAAATTATATATTTATATATTCATATGTATTATGTCTACCCCAAAAGTCTATGAATTCCTTGATGGCAGGGGCCAATATTTGTACCTCTAACATACCAACTTACTTCCTAGAACACAGTATTCAACAAATTTTATTGAATTAAATTGAGCCCAAAGTTATTTTTCACAATGAAACACATGTTGAAAATGGATGGTTTAACATGCTTTATTGCCATAATATGTGGCAATTACTTCAAGAAATGCTGTAAATTGTTGCATGAATTCCTTTCCTTGGCCAGTGGCTGGAATAGACTTCAGATTTTTATGTTTCATGAAACTAGGTAATTTTTAAGGCGATATTTCATCTCCTCTCTGGGCAACACTTCTAGATCACTCCAGAAGAGTTATTTTTACCTTCGAATCATTCTTTCCATTCCTTTAGTACTCAGAAATATTTTGGAATAAAATTATCTAGTGTGTTTGCATGCATTATGAATAGAACTAGATAAAAACATTTCTATTTTCCATGCCCACTGAAGCTTATGGCTAACTCTTTTGACGCTAATACGCACTTTGCCAGTTTTGCAGCACTATTTTGAGTTTAGTATGCTGTCGATACCTTGATATTTACATGTTTTGTACATCGTTCCTATGTACACACACTCTAACGTGACAAATCCTGTTTAATGAATGATGACCTCTGTGAAAATTTCTCTAACAAGAAAATGCACTGGGAAGAGTAAACCAATTTTTATAAGATCTCCAATGTCCTTTTGTAAATCTCCTTCTCATCCACATTTCCTTAAATTATTATCCGTCCCTTAGTTCTAAACTCTAAAGTTCAAGCTGCTTGAGGTTAGAAACAATTTATTCTTGTTCATCTTTGTATATATTCATATATCACAGTGTTCAACAAAGATTCTTCACAGACCTTTGCTGAATGAATGAATGAATAAATAAATAAATAAATAAATAAATAAATAAATAAATATTTGTTTCCAAGATTTCCAAAGGGATTTCCATGAATAGGAATCCCTTTTCAAATGTCCAATAAACTAGACAAAATTTACTACAAAGTTTGGTTCTTGGTAGATACAACAATATTTGGCATTTGGCATTCTTTTTTTTTTTTTTTTTAGATGGAGTTTTGCTCTTTCGCCCAGGCTGGAGTGAAGTGGCACGATCTTGGCTCGCTGCAAACCTCCGCCCCCTGGGTTCAGTGATTCTCCTGCCTCCTTATATAATGCCTCCTTATATAATGAAATTATATGAAATTACCCTTTTTGGTAGCTGGGATTAAAGGCGCCCGCCACCACGCCCGGCTAATTTTTGTGTTTTTGTAGAGGCGGGGTTTCGCCATGTTGGCCAGACTGGTCTAGGAACTCCTGACCTCAGGTGATCAGCCTGTCTCGGCCTTCCAAAGGGCTAGGATTACAGGCGTGAGCCACCGTGTCCAGCCTATGTGGCATTCTTAACTCTTTAATATTAAAGCTCCTTATTTTACTAAAAACAAAAGAAGATTTCACACAACAGATACAAGAATGTAAAAAGATGAACAAATGAATGAAACATAATCCAATGACAAAACGAGTGGAGATGTCTTTATCAATGTACTAAAGTGCACACTAGAAGAATACAGTAAATGCTATTACTCATGAAATCCCTCACTGATCTGCTTTCCCAACAGCACCTGGAATTACCACAGAGAAGTAATTAAGTCCCTTTATTAAATTTGCTTCACCTCTTTTTCCTCTAGCATTAAATGTAAATTTTTCTAACAAGCATGTACAAAAATATACAGATAATCTATTTTTATTTCATTTTATATCTATAAGGAATTTTTTCTTAAAATTCTTGACTTGCATAAACAGTTGGAAGGCTCTACTTAGACTTGCAATCAGTTTTTAGCTTTTGAGGAGAGTGCACGAATGGATTCAAATGTTGAATTAAAGCTACAGTCCCTCTTCTCAGACAAATGCATATATATTCAAGCACATAAAATTTAGATACCTATTGGGCATATAAATTTTCTGAAACCCATCCTTAGATTCCCTACATGACCATGGACCCATAGGTTAAGACTCACAGGTTGGAAGGTCTTAGGAAGTGGCGATGATATTGATCACGATATATCAATAATAATAATAAGTATTATTATTATTAGGTATGATCTAGGATCAAGAAATTTTGCCTGAAAGAGAAGAAGGTGGATTGATGACCTGAGAATTCATTAGTAGTTCCAGAATTCAGTCTTTTGGTGATATCCATAATGAAGACGGAAAGGAGCATGATAATGAGAATATTTGGATTTTAAAATATGATTTTTAAAAATGACAACAAGACCAGGTGTGGTGGCTCACACCTGTAATCCCAGCACTTCGGGAGGCTGAGGTGGGTGGATCACTTGATGCCAGGAGTTTGAGACTAGCCTGGTCATCGAGTGAAACCCCATCTCTACTAAAAATACAAAAATTAGCCAGGTGTGGTGGTGGGCACATGTAATCCCAGCTACTCAGGAGGCTGAGGCAGGAGAATTGCTTAAACCCAGGAGGTGGAGGTTGCAGTGAGCTGAGATCGCGCCACTGCACTCCAGCCTGGGCGACAGAGTGAGACTTTCTCTCTCTCTCTCTCAAAAAAAAAAAAAAAAAAAAAAAAAAAAGACTAGTTACTAGACTCTTCACTTTTACTTTACTGCTTTCTCACTGAGACATTTATCAAGTAAAAGATTCCCTAAAACGCCTGCCACTACCTTCCTAAACATGTCCTTCAAAGCTTCCTTGACTTGCTCATTACGTAAGGCATAGATGAATGGATTCAACAGTGGTGTCACAAATGTCGTTATTACTGTCACTGCCCAGTTAGTGTCCACAGAACCACTCTGCGATGGCCGCACATAGAGAAAAATGGCACTTCCATAGAAGAGGGTCACCACTATCAAGTGGGAGGTACAGGTAGAGAAGGCCTTCTGACGGCCTGAAGCAGAGGGGATGCTCAGGACTGCCAGCACAATGAGGCCGTAGGACACAGCAGTGATCAGCAAGGAAGATACAATGACGAGGGAGGCCAGGACAAAGTCAGTCTCCTCCAGCTTCTTGGTGTTGGTGCAAGCCAGGCGGAGCAGTGGGCCACTGTCGCAGAAGAAGTGCTGTACCACAGCACCCTGCTTACAGAAAGGAAGCAAGGCCACAGCCACTGTGGGACCAAGCACAGGGACGAGTCCCCCCACCCAGCAGGCCAAGGCCACACGAAAGCACACAGCCCCACTCATGAGCAAGGGGTAGCGCAGAGGATGACAGATGGCCAGGTAGCGATCCGCAGACATGACAGCCAACAGTAAGAACTCGGAGGCCCCGAGAAAGAAGTAGAAATAGAATTGGGTGATACATGCAGCAAAGGAAATAGTGTGTTGCCTTGAGAGGAAATTGCTCAGCATCTTTGGAATGATGACAGAAGTGAGCAGTATCTCTAGGCAGGACAGGTTACCCAGAAAGAAGTACATAGGGGTCTGTAGTCGAGTATCAGCCCTTACCACCCCCACAATCAACACATTGCCTGTCAGATTCAGGAGATAGACAAGAAGAAACACAGAAAATAATTCCACTCTTGCGCTGTTGAGATTTGGGAGCCCTGCCAGGACGAACTCTGTTGGATCACTACTGTGGTTCCCATCAGGACTCATTGTCTTTTTCACCTGTCCAACAACAAAAACATGATCCTGGTAAGAGCAGGTCCTCTGCTTACAGTCCTGAAACTTACTTCATCATGATATGGGACTCATATCCCCAGTTTATCCAATTGCAGGTCCTGTTAAGATCTGAAGCACTTAAGGTCATCATCTGATTGATTTTAGCACTAGAGAAGATTTTCTCTAAAGGGTAACAAAACTTAGGTATGAAAATGCCAGGAGCCTCCATCTCCTCCATCTTCACATATCCTGTTCTCAGATCTTAAATAATGACACCTCATTATTGTAATAACAATATCACTGAGCATCTGAGTTGGGCAAAAATATCTGAAAAAGGATTTTGTGAAGAATATGATTACCATTCAACTGGGATCAGAACTTGAGTCAGACTACCTAGTTTTAAATTCCTGCATCTCCACTTACTGGCTGAGTAGCCTTGGTAAGGTTACTTACCCTCTCTGTGCTCCTCAGTTGTGAAATGCTGTAAGGAGCAAATGATATAATAGTGCAAAGAATTTAAGAGTGTCTAGTACTTAACTTAAAAATTATATGGCAGAGAAAGCCCCTGGCTATAAGTTAGGACACCAGAATCTAGGCTTGGCTTGCCATTACTCTTGGAAGATTATCAATTTGTACTTTAACTGTCCAACTGTACAATGAGTCACAGGAATCTAGGCCATTAGTATACCTAATGAAATTATATAAAATTACCCTTTCCGGCAGGACGCAGTGGCTCATGCCTGTAATCCCAGCTTTTGGGAGACCGAGGCGGGCGGATCACTTGAGGCCAGGAGTTTGAGACAAGCCTGGCCAACATGGTGAAACCCCGTCAGATGTTTGTCAGAGCCAAAATTATGAATTTCTGACCGCAACTATTAATAAAAAATTATGTTCTTATTCTTTGATTCTTATTCTTTGCTTCAAGTCCTCCCAGTTCTGAGGACCACCACCAGTTAGAAAAATCAAGTCCATTATATCCAGAAAGCTTGTTTAAAAATGCCTCAGGTATCAGGAGAATCCTTACTCCCTTTTGACAGAGCAGGAGCACCATCGTCTTGGACAAACACTGCCACTTTAAGTTTCAGCTCCCTTTCTAGCCTCATGCATTTCAAAGAAATCACTTCTCTTCTAACTACAGGCAGCCAGAAAGAGCAGACAGTAAAACACAGATAAGACAGCTCGGGCACAGAGGGAGGTGAGGGGAAATTCTTTTGGGTAACCGCCAAACTTCACCATCATACAATGGGCCCCAGTAAAACGATGGGCCTTAATAAGCACCTTTCTTTCCCTTCAGGTGCACTAAGATAGGGAAGCTGAATGGGAGTATGCCTGCAGCTACAGAAAGATTATGGGAACAGACACAAAACTCTCCCTCCCAGATAAGCACAACAAAGAGACACAGAAGCAGTCCAAGCCTCTGATAAACTCTCCCACCCTGAATCCTTAAAAACTCCTAGTCTGTAAGAGAGTGTGCCTCTGACCTAGCTTGGCCAGAAGTTCCTCTCAGGTTTGTTTTCTCCTCCCAGGTTTGTTTTCTCTCTAAAATGAACCTGTCTTGACTAGCAAGCCACCTTTCATGTTTCTTTCCTCTTTCTTTAATTCTTATACCTTTAGCCATGCAAAACATAAGAACTGATCTTAAGACCCTTGGTTCTCTGTCAGCCCTATTGTTCTCTTTTGTTGTTGTTGTTGAGATGGAGTCTCACTCTGTTGCCCAGGCTGGAATGCAGTGGCACAATCTTGGCTCACTGCAACCCCACCTCCTGAGTTCAAGCGATTTTCCTGCCTCAGCCTCCTAAGCAGCTGGGACTACAGGCACATGCCACCACACCCGGGTAATTTTTGTATTTTTAGTAGAGACAGGGTTTTGCCATGGTGGCCTGGCTAGTCTTGAACTCCTGGCCTCAAGTGATCTGCCTCTCCTCGGCCTCCCAAAGTGCTAGGATTACTGGTGTTAGCCACCATCCCCAGCCAACCTTATTGTTCTCCAGCATACCCCGACAGTCTTTATTCTCAGCAAGCATTAGACTCTTTACTTACAATTTCTCTCCTGTGGGTCCCGCAGGTCCAGACAGGAAAATATCTGGAGCTTTTTTCTAGGATAAAGCAGTTCTGTGATCTTTCTCCCTGAGGATTCATTCAGTCTCCCCTCCCTCCAGCTTCTATAGAAATTGCTTGTTGTCGGTAAAGTCATTCGACTTTTGCTTCATATTCATTATGTACCAGATGCTGCTGTACTTGGAGATTTAGAGATAGAAGACATTGTCACTACCCTCATGTAGCTCACTGCCCACTAAGAATGACAGAAAAATTAAGATGTGTGACAGGTAGAATGTTGCAGGGAAGTATAGGATACCAAAGGGAAACAGAAAAGGGACCAAACTGAAAATCAGAGAGACAGGCGGTATTCTGGAGACAGGCAATGCCTGAAATAAGTACTAGAAAATGAGTATGCATTTGATAGAGAGAAGGAGGCATCTTCAGTGGAAAAGAGCAGTGTGTGAACACAGTACCTTTGGGCTACAGCACAGAACATAATGGGTGGAATATAAACAGATGAGACTGGTCACCCCAAAGGGGACTCCGTCTGGCACTCTGTTGCTCCCTGTGAAAATCCACCATTGAGCTGAACCTAAACTATATCTTAAGTGACAGGAAGATGAGTTACCAACTCTGAATATGGAAGGGATTCCTCCTACCTCCTCCTGAATGTACTTGTTGTTTCCACGAGGGTGGGGGTCACCCTGAAAAAAAATTTTTCCCCTTTTTATGATTCAAGGTCCTGTTCCATCTGAGAGTCCTTGCCACACCCTGTACCGTAAGGCTGACAATAGGCTCACATCCTTGGAGTTGGGGAGGATGGGAAAAGCACTTGGGAAAACAAGGAGAAATTGGATAATCTCCTTCTTCTCCTGGGCTTTCCTCTCATGTTGTCATTCTGCCTTGTGAACAAGGGGGCTTTCTAATCCTGAGGAGGATGTGTCATGCTGCCTTTCTTATGGCCATGAGCAAGCCATCAGGACCCACCCTTCCCTCCCTGTAGAAAGAATGCCTTCCGCAATGTGACCACTGTCTTAGATTTCCACAGGCGTAATTCAAGTGAAAGACAATTATCTCAATTATCTCACAAGTGAAAGACAATTATCTCACAAGAAATGTTACTACAAAAACAACATGGGGCTAGAAGGCAAGGGGTACATATGGAGGGGTTACACCATTTACCTCCTATTTTTGAAAAGACTTAGCCCACTTATGTAGTTCGTTTCATCTCTAGTTGTGGAAAAATGTTCCACTTAAAGCCATGTCTTCACTTTTTTCTGCTAATAGAACTTTTGTACAAAGCATCAGTTTTCTTCTTTTAGATCCCTACCTTCCCTGACTCCTGGTATTAGCCTGAGGGCAGGGAGGGAGAAGGCTGAAGTCTCTGGTTTCTAACTAATCTCTCTACTGAAGGGTGGGATCCTTCATGCATAACTTTAGTTTCCAATGGAGATATCTTCAGATGAGAACTAATCTGGGCATCAGAATTAATCTGGACATCAGGAGCCCAGCTAGCAGCAGTGCTTTTTGGAGAGAGGTTAACCAGGTGGCGAGAAAGTAAGACCGTAGAGAAAGAAAAAAAAAATCCTAAAAGACCCAGGGGAGATTTGCCATTCAATGGAAATTTCCTAGACTCTGTTAAAAAAAAAAAAAAAAAGCTTACCCTTTGTTCAAGAAAGGGTGATTGGGAATATTTCTGCATTTGTCTGTCAACTACATCAAACCAGGTCACTGCAAAAATTTAGGAGCATTAACGATGAGAATGAAGAAGAGGATAGAGCTTGATCAACCACAGAAGGCTATGACCATCATCCACCCTTCTCCTGCATGACACCCAGGGGAGATGTTTACATCCCAAGTAACACAGACACTGTGTTTTCTCCCTGATGACTTAAAATGATATTGGGAATCCCTCCCCTGGCTTTGGGGTTAGGAAATGATGGGAGTCCCATGAGCTTGACAAGATAAGGGAAATTTCCCAGTTTCATCTCTAGCTAATTCCACTGCTTCTCCCAGCCTTGCTGCTTATCTCCTAGTGGTAATATAATATATATGTTCCACATACCCAAAGCATTATTCAGAATTCTGGGCCATTGATCACATTTTTCCCATTTGTGTCCATTCTATGGCCCTGACTAAAATCTTGACTGTTCCTATTCATGTCCTAAGACTCAGTTGAGTCTAGTGCACATCCGGTCTTCTGAGACAGCTTCCCCTACCCCCCATCCTTAGTCTTACCACCCTACTCACTCTCCCACCTGAGGTATGGCAGGTTCTGTTGATCTCAATCTTAATATGTAGTCCGTTGTATTATAACGTTGCTTTTCTGTCTGTATCCCCTGCTAGACTTTAAATTCCTACGGCAGGAATATTTTCATCTCTGTATTTCTAGCACCAATCACAGTGCCTGGCACATACTAGGTGCTTGACAAATGGCATGTGAACTAGACTGCTCTGAACCCCAGACTTGAGGAGCAGCTGCCCTTGTCAGATGAGCACCAATTAAGTTTTGAACTAGAGGAGGAGTGCACAGGGCTCCTGGGAACTAGTTTAGCTAAATTACATCCTTTCTAGACATACTCCTTTCTAGAAAAAAGAAAATATCTAAAGGGAATGAAGCATGAGAAGTGTCATCACTAGACTCTAAAGGAGTGAGAGCAAAGACAGGGAGAAACTGGCTGAGCTAAGCCAAACAACAACAAACTAAACTAGAAACTGCAACTCCTGTTTGTTAAGCTGAGGGAAGGAGAGGTCTGAAAAAGAGACCCATGAAGTCTAAGAACTAGTAAAGCACATTTAAGCCACACTTTTTTTTTGTTTTGTTTTGTTTTTTTGAGACAGAGTCTTGCCCTGTCACCCAGGCTGGAGTGCAGTGGTGCGATCTCGGTTCACCACAACCTTCACCTCCCGGGTTCAAGCAATTCTCCTGCCTCAGCCTCCTGAGTAGCTGGGACTACAGGCGCCTGCCACCACACGCGGCTAATTTTTGTATTTTTAGTAGAGACGGGGTTTCACCATGGTGGCCAGGCTGGTCTTGAACTCCTGATCTCAGGTGATCCACTGCCTCGGCCTCCCAAAGCGCTGGGATTACAGGCATGAGCCACTACGCCCGGCCAAGCCACACGTGTTTTTAAACCTTAATCAAATCTTAAGGACTAAGGAAACTGCAGAAATAGATGAGATCAAAGACAGACAATTTGTTTAAAACAAACAAGCACACAGGCTGGGCTCAGTGGCTCAGGCCTGTAATCCCAGCACTTTGGGAGGCCAAGGCTGGTGGATCACCAGAGGCCAGGAGTTTGAGACTAGCCTGGCCAATATGGCGAAACCTCATCTCTACTAAAAATACAAAAATTAGCTGGGCCTGGTGGTGCCCACCTGTATTCCCAAGTACTAGGGAGACTGAGGTAGGAGGATGGCTTGAGCCTGGAAGGTGGAGGTTGCAGTGAGCCAAGATAGTGCCACTACACTCCAGAGCAAGACTCTGTATCAAAAACAAAACAAAACAAAACAAAACAAAACAAAACAAAAAACGCTATTTGACCAGTTGACATTGGCTTTGGTATTTAGCTTATAATACTTTTTCTTTTTTTTGATACAGTGTTTTTGCTCTGTTGCCGCCCAGGCTAGAGTGCAGTGGAACACTTTCGGCTCACTGCTACCTCCGTCTTCCGGGTTCAAGTGATTCTCCTGCCTCAACCTCCCGAGTTGCTGGGATTATAGGTGTCTGCCACCACGCCCAGCTAATTTTTGGAGTTTTAGTAGAGACAGGGTTTCACCATGTTGACCAGGCCAGTCTCAACTCCTGGCCTCAAGTGATCCGTCCGCCTCGGCCTCCCAAAGTGCTGGGATTACAGGCATCAGCCACCGCAACCGACCACTTATAATACTTTCAAACTAACTTGATCATAGGAATTTCCTAGTTTTTTTTAATGAAAGTAAACCATGTTAGAAGAAAAAATTGTATTTATTTTTAAAGCATACTCACATGGTTCAAAAATAAAAATGTATAAATTGAAAAGTTCTAGTCCCCCACATTCCTATTCACCCCATCCCCCTCGCCTAATTAACCATTTTCATTAGTTCATTGGCCTCCTTCCAGTGTTTTTTGTGTATAAACAAGGAAATAACTAAATGTTTACTTATTTACTTGACACTTTCTTACACAGTTCTGCACCTTGTTTCTTCTTTTCCCCTGGAAAACCTTCCCTGTCAGAAAATAAAGAACAAAAGAAAAATGTATAAACCAAGAAGACTACTAGAATGACACATCTATTGAATGAATGAGTTGCAACATTCTTGAATTACATGTCTGCTTTAATCATTGTTTGATATCTCTTTAGCTTCAATTTTCCTTACAAGTAAAAATCATATTGTAATGGAAACTGTATCAAAAAATCTAATTGACACTTTGTAAATAAAAATGAGCTAAAGTAAAATGAAATGATATCTGGAATTTTCTTCAAAATAAAGTGAGGGCTATAGATAAAACTTTCTTGGCCATGAACTGGGAATTCATGGAGCTATATGTCAGCTATAACTGTGGTTCATTATACTATTCTCTCTATTTTTAATATGTTTGAAATGTTTCATAATAAAAAGCCTCAGAAATATGTAGTGAAAATCAAGCATCTATTTCAAGAAAACTCTAAATTTTTAGAATACGATTTTCCCAGTTAAAAATTAATAAAGGTGTGAAATACTTCCCTGAATATGGAAACTCTAGTTCCACAAAATTAACCAGCCAGCCACTGGAGAATGTCAAATACCATGTGGGCTACTCAGAGCCAGAAAATGTAAAACTATAATGAACTACCAATTCCAAGAGGAACTTAACTTTCTCAGCAACAACCTGCCTTCTGGTTCAAAAGGAGTGGAGGCAATATAGAAACACACATAAACACAGAATCACAGTCTAGAATAAGTTTTTTTGTTTTTGTTTTTTTTGTTTTTCTTTGAGGTTGAGTCTCCCTCTGTCACCCAGGCTGGAGTGCAGCGGCGCTATCTCGGCTCACTGCAGCCTTCGCCTCCCGGGTTCAAGCGATTCTCTTGCCTCAGCCTCGTGAGTAGCTGGGATTACAGGCATGAGCCACCAGGACCGGCTAATTTTTGTATTTTTAGTAGAGAGGGGGTTTCACCATGTTGGCCAGGCTGGTCTCAATCTCCTGACCTCAAGTGATCCACTGCCTCAGCCTCCCAAAATGCTGGTACCACAGACATGAGCTACCGTGCTGGGCCTATGGAGATTTGATTGAGTTAACAGATTTCAGAACCTATCTTTTTCATTATGACAAATTCTTTAATATAAAACTTAACCTTTTTTCCTTTTCTTCCTTTTTCTTTTTCTTTTTTAACACATAGGAAAACAAGACAGAGTGCTATTACCAAGTCTCGTAGTAAGAGGATGTCTTTGTTCAGGCTGCTATAACAAATTACCATAAATAGGTAAACAACAAACATTTGTTTCTCACCATTCTAGAGGCTGGAAATTTGATATCCCAGAGCCAGCATGATGGGGTTCTTGGTGGGGCTCTTTCTGGTTTATAGAGGGCAGTCTTCTTTCTGTGCCCTCACATGGAGGAAAAAAAGCTAGCTAGCTCTGTGGCCTCTTCTTATAAGAAGACTAATTTCGTTCATGAGGGCTCCAGCCTTACATGCTAATGATTTTCCAAAGGTCCCATTTCCAAATACCATCACATTGGGGTTAAATTCATTATATGAATTTAAGGGGACGTGGCCATTCAGTCTATTGCAAAGGAACTATTAGGAGGAAAAAATAGCAGAGGGAATCGAATTTTTTTTGTTTTTTAGACGGAGTCTCACTCTGTCACCCAGGCTGGAGTGCAGTGGCGCAATCTTGGCTCACTGCAACCTCCGCCTCCCGGCTTCACGCCATTCTCCTGCCTCAGCCTCCCAAGTAGCTGGGACCACAGGCGCCCGCCACCACACCCAGCTAATTTTTTGTATTTTTAGTAGAGACGGGGTTTCACCGTGTTAGCCAGGATGGTCTCGATCTGCTGACCTTGTGATCCGCCCGCCTCGGCCTTCCAAAGTGCTGGGATTACAGGCGTGAGCCACCGCGCCCGGCGGGAATTGAGTTTTTAAAAAGAGAGAAACAAACACAAGTCTAAAATACAAACAGGAGAAATCTGCTCCACAGTCCTCAATCCATCTATTTGAATTGACATGCAAATACTACCAGTCCTTGAGTATAACCATAGTGTTAATGAGAAGGATAAAAATGAACAAATAGAATGAGTGACCTTAGAGGAAACAGATACTTAAATGATGGAAACAATCTTTACATTTCCAAATTTATATTAATAAAATAATGTAAATATGAGCAAACCAGGAATAGATGTTATGAAAAAGGAACTTCTAAGAACCAAAGAGTTCTTTAAATTAATAATGATATCATCAAAATTAAAATAATATATACACACATATCAATCATAGTCATGCCCTGCGTAACAATGTTTCCATCAATGACAAACTGCGTTTACAACAGTGGTCCCATAAGATTATAATGGAGTTGAAAAATTCCTATTGCCTAGTATTTACTATACCATATTTTTTGTTTATTTTAGAGTGCACTTTTTCTACTTATATATTTTTAAAATGTTAACTGTAAAATAGTCTCAGGCAGGTCCTTCAGGAGGTATTTCAGAAAGCATTGTTCTCATAGGAGATAACACTTCCATGCGTCTTATTGCCCCCAAAGACCTACCAGTGGTGGCCAGGCACGGTGGCTCACCCCTGTAATCCCAGAACTTTGGGTGGCCAAGGTGGGCAGATCACCTGAGGTCAGGAGTTCGAGACCAGCCTGACCAACATAGAGAAACCCCATCTCTACTAAAAATACAAAATTAGCCTGGCTTGATGGCGCATACCTGTAATCCCAGCTACTCGGGAGGCTGAGGCAGGAGAATCACTTGAACTCGGGAGGCTGAGGTTGCAGTGAGCTGAGATCATGCCATTGCACTCCAGCCTGGGCAACAAGAGCAAAACTTGGTCTCAAAAAAAAAAAAAAAAAAAAAACCAAAACAAACAAACAAACAAAAAACCTACCAGTGGGGCAAGATATGGAGGTGAAAGACAGTGATATAGTGATATTGACAATCTTGACCCTGTGAGGGTCTAGGCTAACGTGTGTGTCTTAGTTTTTTAACAAAAAAGCTTAAAAAGTAAAATAAAATAAAAAAATTTTAAATAAAAAAGTTTATAGAATAAGGACATAAAGAAAATATTTTTGTATAAATATACAGTGTGTGTTTTAAGCTAAGTGCTATTACAAAAGAGTAAAAAAGCTTTAAAAATTAAAAAGTTTATAAAGAAAAAGTTATAATAAACCAAGGCAATTTATTATTGAAGAAAAAAATTAAATAAACTTTTTTTTTTTTTGAGACAGAGTTTTGCTCGTTGCCCAGGCTGGAGTGCAACGGCATGATCTCAGCTCACCACAACCTCTGCCTCTGGGTTCAAGTGATTCTCCTGCCTCAGCCCCTCGAGTAGCTGGGATTACAGGCATGCACCACCATGCCTGACTAATTTTTGTGTTTTTAGTAGAGACAGGGTTTCTCCATGTTGGTCAGGCTGGTCTCCAACTTCTGACCTCAGCTTATCTGCCTGCCTTGACCTCCCAAAGTGCTGGGATTACAGGTGTAAGCCACTGCGCCCGGCCCCATTTTTTATCTGTGGCTTTTCTATGTTTAGATACACACAAATACTTAACATCGTTTTACAATTGCCTATAATATTCAGTATAGTAACATGCTGTATGGGTTTATAGCCTAGAAGTAATAAGCTACACCATATAGACTAGCTGTGTAGTAGACTATACCACCTTAGTTTGTGTAAGTATACTCCACTATGTTTGCACAATAATGAAATCGCCTGATGATGCATTTCTTAAACCATATCCTTGTTGTTAAGTGACACATAACCGTATATAAGAGGCTTGGCTGAAGACAATCTTCTAGAATATAGAACTAAGAGATGAAATATATGAGAGAAATATTAAGAGACATGGAAGTTAAATCCAGGATGCTCAACATATATCTAAAAGGAACTTCAGAAAATAACAAAAATGGAGGAGATAAAATAAAGAAAGAATAAATAAGTTTTCTGAACTAAAGAAAGACACTTCTGAAATTTGGGAGACCATGCAGTGAACAGTATTAAACATAAAAATACCCACAACTATATACACCTTGGTGATGTCTCCAAAGTCCAAGAATAAAGACAAAAGCTTAAATGCTTCCTGAAATGTAAAAGAAAAAAAATTATCTATAAAATAAGAAAAATCAGTTTCATCATCAATGAAAACTCTGTGTAACAAGAACAATGTCAGTTATCTTCAGGAGTAAGAGGGAAAATGATTTTGAGCCTAGTATATTGGTTTTCTAGGGCTAACATCATAAAATACCACAGACAGGGTAGCTTTAACAACAGGAATTCATTTTCTTACAATTCTAGAGGTTTGAAGCCCAAGATCAAGCTACTGGTTTCTGAGACCTCTCTTTGGCTTGCAGATGGCTACCTTCTCTCTCTGTCCTTACACAGTTCATCCTTTATTTGCATACATCTCTGGTGTCTCTCTGTGTCCAGATTTTTTTCTTCTTATAAGGGTATTAGTCAGATTGGATTATGGCACACCCTAACAGCCTCTAACTTAATCACCATGTTAAAGGTGCTATCCTATAGTCACATTCTGGTGTATGGTGATTGGGGCTTTAGCATATTAAATTTTGTAAAGACACAGTTCAGCCCATAATACCTCCAATTCTATTTTCAGCATAAATAGCAGTCAAAAGAGAGTTTACATTGAGGGCACTTGGTTGGGGGGTGTTCTAGAACTTATATCTTCATTAAGATCCATGGATGCATTCTAAAGGAATTGCTCAAGGTTGAACTCCTGAAAATAAAAAATAAAATCACAAAACAGTGAGATGCAAAAAATTTATGAGCAAGGAAAGAAATAGAACTTATATGTAAATGTAAATAATTGTTAAGACATTGTTTTAATATACATGAATTCAATTTTCTAACATGTTATTCAAATATTTCATCTAGTTTCATAAGAATATCAGTTATAGTGTCACCTAATGGCCATAAAAATCAATGACTTGGAGATAAAAATCCCAGATTATATAAAAAATTTGAAGATAGTAGAGAAAGCAATGACTTGAAGAATGAGCAGACTCCCAAGGCCACAGCATAGGCTGTGGGAAGCTGGGTAATCCGGAAAGGCCTTGCTAGGTTTCTCCTGGGAGAGTGTGGATGCTGGCTGGCAAAGCCTTTGACCAGGCAGAGATGCAGCCACGTAGTTTTGGTGCGTGCGTGTGCAAAAGAATACGGCAGCTCCTTCGAGCCGGAATCGAACCAGCGACCTAAGGATGTCCACAAATGTTTCTACAGGCTACAGTCCTCCGCTCTACCAGCTGAGCTATCGAAGGGCGCACGTTTCTGGGGTTGGGTCATTGATCTTTCAGCAAATGCAAGACTCCTTGCAACTCTAGTCGTCCAATAAGCTTTAAGTTGGTTGGAACTCGCCTTAGAGAGATAATCCTGCGCCGATCGCCACCGCGCTCCTTTTGCGGCGGAACAAAATCCTCTGGCTGTGGTTGACTGGCTTTCCCCGGCATCGATAACAACGACCCATGAGGGGCGAGCCGGGTAGGGGGCGTGGGGGTAGTGGTGGGAGTGTGCTCTCACTTGCTATCTTCTTCCTCCTGTGCATCCCCCTTTCTACAGGTGAGGATGACAGACCTCAGTGGCAAAAAAAAAAAAAAGTGAGAGGGTGAGAGGCAGAGGGGTTGGCGAGGTGGATGCAGGGTGCGGGGGTCCGGTGAGGGAAGGGTTGCTGGAGGAGAAAGGAGGAGACCTGGAATGGACACTGGTAGAAGGCTTCCAACCCCAGCCGAGCCGCAGGGTCTGGTGGTGGCCGGTAATGAGGCCCTTCCCTAACACTCTGACCTCCCTACACCTTCCACTGCTCTCCCACCCCCTCATCCCCCACCCCCGTTCTTCCTCCCGATGCGCTTTCTGCCTTCTACCTACAGTATCCTAAGTTCACGTATTGGCCCGTTGAGGTGTACTGGGAAGTGAGGGAAAGAACAAATAGAATTAGGTGAGGAGACCCCTCCCAGGGATTGCAGAGGCACATGTAATACCCCTCCTCCCTCGGGGCCAATCTGGTGGTTGGCTTCCCTCCTCTGCAAACCAATCAGAAATATTTTGCCACTTGCAACTTCTAGAAGTAGGACAAGGCTCTGTGGGCTCTGAAAAAGCAAAGGGGCAAGGACCAGCCTGAGCAACACGGCAAAACCTTATCTTTACAAAAATTACAAAAATTAGCTGGGTGTGGTAGCACAAGCTTGTAGTCCCAGCTACTTGGGAGGCTGAGGTGGGAGGATTGCTTGAGGCCAGGAGTTCAAGGCTACAGTGAGCTATGATTATGCCCCTGAATTCTAGCCTGGGTGACAGAAGAGACCCTGTCTAAAAAAAAAAAAAAAAAATAGGGGATGGGTGAAGTAGAAGACAGAAGTGTCAGTGTTGGACTGCTTACCCTGACCCCATGTGTTTGACAATGTTTCAGATCTTATCTGGTGTGTGTCACTATATCGGGGGACCTGCCCCGATAATCATGTAGGTTCTTTTCTATTTTCCTAAGCATCGACTGGCTTGAGAAATAAAAGGACAGAGTACAAAAGAGAGAAATTTTAAAGCTGGGCATCCGGGGGAGACATCACACATTGGTAGGATCCGTGATGCCCCACAAGCCACAAAAACCAGCAAGTTTTTATTAGGGAGTTTCAAAAGGGGAGGGAGATACGAATAGGTGTCGGTGACAGACATCAAGTACTTAACAGGGTAATAGAATATCACAAGGCAAGTGGAGACAGGGCGAGATCACAGGACCACAGGACCGAAGTGAAATTAAAATTGCTAATGAAGTTTTGGCACCATTGTCATTGATAACATCTTATCAGGAGACAGGGTTTTGAGATCAACCGGTCTGACCAAAGTTTATTAGGCGGGAATTTCCTCTTCCTAATAAGCCTGGGAGTGCTATGGGAGACTGGAGTTTATTTCACCTCTGCAATCTCGACCATAAGAGACAGGTACGCCCCGGGGGGGGCCAGTTCAGAGACCTACCCCTAGGTGCGCATTCTCTTTCTCAGGGACGTTCCATGCTGAGAAAAGGAATTCAGCGATATTTCTCCCGTTTGCTTTTGAAAGAAGAGAAATATGGCTCTGTTCCCCCCGGCTCACCGGCGGTCAGAGTTTAAGGTTATCTCTCTTATTCCCTGAACATTGCTGTTATACTGTTCTTTTTTCAGGGTGCCCACATTTCATATTGCTCAAACACACATGCTGTACAATTTGTGTACTTAACGCAATTATTACAGGGTCCTGAGACAATATACATCCTCCTCAACTGACAGGATTAAGAGATTAAAGTAAAGAGAGGCATAGGAAATCACAAGGGTATTGATTGGGGAAGTGATAAGTGTCCATGAAATCTTTACAATTTATGTTTAGAGATTGCAGTAAAGACAGGCACAAGAAATTACAAAAGTATTAATTTGGGGAACTAATAAATGTCCATAAAATCTTCACAATCCACATTCTTCTCTCATGGCTTCAGCCGGTCCCTCTGTTTGGGGTCCCTGACTTCCCGCAACACCACTACCCCAAGACCACTGGGACACCCACCCCCCAGCTGAACACCTACTGGAGGTGCAGCAAGCCACATCCAAGGAACCTGGCCACCATTGAGTTTAAGTCCACTCCCTGTCTTATGGCAAGTGGGTCTGGATCTCTGAGGGCAAGGGTCAGATGCTCACAGAACCCAGCTACTCTGTCATGGCTCAAACAGGAAGAGTTGGTACCCAGGTTTCAACCTTGCTTGTGCTGGCCACCAAAGCCCATTCACTGGCTCACCTCTGATTTTCCCACCAAAACACTAAACAGAGGTTCCGAAGAACCTGGGGGTCTCTATATCCCATCATGAACTTATCCAATAAGGGACAAAGGTACTACATTTCGTCTGTGTTCGCTAGCCTCTGCCTTTGGTGTCATTGGAGGCAGGGATCTCTCTGTGGCTCCAAAGCCATAGAATCATCCTGGGCACTGGCGATGCCACAGCTTGGCCTCCTTCTGTTAGCAATGAGAAGCAGGAAAGGCTGACAAAGCCAGGGGAACATTGGGGGAAATAGGGAGGTGGAGGGAGATCAGGAGCTGCTTCCCAAGAAAGACCTGTGTAGTCTTCAGTTTGAGACCTGCAATGAAACAGCTCTTGTGGCCACAGCAGGTAGTGGAGGCAGGTGTCCCAGTCCCCAGAGGGTTTCAGAGGGCCACGTTCCCATGGGCCATTTGGCTTGGAGTGCTCTCTGTGATAGGTTGCATGTGCGCATCAAATCTCTGGAGATTTTTTCTGAGATGGTGAGATGAGACCAAGGAACGCTTGTTGGCTTTCTTCTCTGCCCCATACCCACAGAACCCACTCCATCTCCCTGGAGGTGTAACCCCTGTTCGTTGGAGAAAACCTAAGTCCATTTCCTACTTCATTCTCTCTGATTAGGCCTCAGCACTTTTTCCTTTGGGGTGAGGGTAGAGTCCAACTGTGCCTCTAGTCCCAAAGCTCCAAACTGCTCAGACCCACCAGGCAGTGGCCTAAGGCAGCGAATTCGTGTGCCTCTGTATAATGACAGCTGTCACTCAAGCTTTACTTCTGCTCCCTGCCATGGACCCAACAGCCTCTAACTCTCCAGGATCACTGAAGCTCTTTTCCAGCCTGCACTTTTGTACTCCCCTTCCATCTCCCTTACCCTCTCAAGTAGCAGGGCACTCAACACAGGTGTTTTTGCTGGCTTTGAACTGAATATTAGGTCCTTTCTTTTCTAGCAGGGGCCAAACTCCGCTGTAGCAGCATGAAAAGTTGTGAAGGCTCAGAAAAAGTGAGGCTTGAGGGATTTGGGAAAAGCTATGGGGATAGGGGATAGACTCACCTTGTCCTCAACCTAAAGGGCAACCTGACCTTGCTAATGGAAGTTCTTAGGATTAGGAAATTCTCAGGGTGACAGCTGTCTCCCCAAAGTAGACACAGCAAAGTGGGAATGAACATTTTCTTTACGCCTGTATAGGTCTATACATTTCCAGCCAAGGAGAATGAGAGGGGCAGGCTGAGGGCTCAGGGAAGAGAGATAGGGAGGCAGAGACACAGAGACAAAGAGAAATATACAGAGACAGAGAAACGGTGAAAGAGAGAAAGAGAATGAGACAGAGACAAACATGAGACTGTCAGATCTCAATGCAGTGATAAAGAGCCTGAGATGGATGAGAGTGAGAGGGTGAGTTTTCACGGAAGATACCACGGTTATCCCCACTTTACACCCTTGTCAAGTAAGCTTGACGTTCTCCAGGGAACTTGACCTTCCAGGCTTTGCCCACCTGGTCAGGAGAGCTCTGTCAAAGGTGAGCACAGCGGTTTTGTCACAGCCAGTGGAGATGCTCAAGCTCGAGAGCAGTCTGTGAAGAAAAGCGAAGGAGCACAGGGTGGGGAAGTAGTGGTCAGCATGAATAGAGGGATTAGTGGGGTCACAAAGTAGAAGCAAGGCGTGGGAAGCTAGGTGATCAGGAAAGACTTCGTGGGTGTTTTGCCCGGGAGAGTGTGGTTACTACTTGGAAGCTGCAGGGCTTTTAACCAAAAGCATCACGCACTTCCTTCGAGCTGGAATCGAACCAGCGACCTAAGGATGTCCGCAAATGTCTATACAATCTACAGTCCTCCGCTCTACCAGCTGAGCTATCGAAGGATGCATGCTATCAAAGCTGGTTCATTGGACTTTCTGCAAACAGAGGGAGCCACATCCCTGGAATGCTTGAGGTCCAATACGCGTTGGGTTGGTTGGCACCCACCTTGGAAGAGAACCCTGCGCCGCTTGACACCACACCCCTTTCAGGGCGGAGCAAATCCTCTGGGCGAGGATGCCTGGTGTCTCTCGGGCTCTGATAGCCACCATCCACGAGGAGGAGCTCTCATCTGTGACAGCCTTCCTCTCCCTGAGCATCCACCTTTCTACAGGTGAGGATGACAGCCCCCAGTGGCCTGAGAGAAAATGAGAAGGTGAGTCAGCGAGGGCACAGGGATTGGCGAGGTGGTTGGGTGGGTCTAGTCGGGGAGAGAACGCTGGAGGAGGAAAAGAGGAGAACCCTAATGGGCGCTGGATAGGCAGCTGACAACTCCAACCCAACCTCAGAGTCTGGTGCAGGTCTCTAATGGGCGCTTCCATAATAGTCTGGCCTCTCTACTCCCTCCCCTACCACACACACAGGGCCCTCCTCCCCAGGTGCCCCGCCCTTCTCCTCATAGTAGTCTATGCTCACATTTTGGTGCATTGAGGTGCACTGGGAAGTGAGGTGAGGAAATCTCTCCCAGGCTTGCAGAGGCACATGTGAGATACCCTCTTCTGCAAACAGGCTGAGAATTCCAATCAGAAGCTGCTGATTTCTGAAGTAGGGCAAAGTTCTGTGGGTTTCTTTGAAAAACAAGAAGCCAGGTAGAGGACAGAAGTGTGAGCTTTGGACTCCTTATCCTGAACCCACATCTTTGACAAAAGTTTCAGATCCCATCTGGTGTGTGCCCACCACTCCGAGACCACTGAGGCACCCTCTCTGCAGCAGAACACCTAGAGGAGGACAGGAAGCCACACCCACGGGACCTAGCCTCCATTGAGTTTATGTCCACTTCCTGTCTTATGGCAAGTGGGTGTGGATCTCCGAGAGTGAGGATCAGATCCTCACAGACATCCTGCTACTCTCTGCCATGGCACAGCTGGGAAGAGTGGGCACCTGGGCTCACCTTCACTTGTGCCAGCCACCAAACCCATTTGTTGGCTCACCTCTGGTTTTTCCCCAAAGCACTGAGCAAAGGTTCCAAGGGCTCTGGTGACTCCACGCCCCATCAGGAATATATCCAATGAAGGCCTGAGGTGCTACCTTTGGTCCCTCTTTGTTAGCTGGTCTTTGCCTTTGGTGTCATTGGAGCTGGGGTCTCTCTGTGCCTCCAGAGCCATAGAAGCATCCCAGAGCACTGGTGACACCAAAGAAGAAAGGTTGACACAGTCGGGGTGACGTGGGGGAGAATAGGCGGTGGCGGGATACCAGGAGCTGCTTTCCATGTGAAAAAGATATGTGCAGTAATATGTGCAGTATCCAGTTTGAGAGGCACAATTAAACAGTTCATGTGGACCCAGCAGGTAGTAGATGGGGCAAGCCAGTCCTAAGCAGGCTTCAGAAGGCCATGCTTTCCTGGGCCATTCAGTTTGGAGTACTCTCTGATAGGTTGCATCTTTACATCAAACATCGGGAAGCTTTTTCCAAGATTATGTGATGAGACCAAAGGATGCTCATTGGCTTTCTTCTCTGCCACATATCCACCAAACCCACTCCAACTCCCCAGAGTTGAAGCTTCACTTGATTGATAAAGCCCAGTCCATTTCTGACTCCATTCTCTCTGACTGGGCCTCAGCACATTTTTCTTGGGAGTAGGAGAACCCAACTGTGCCTCTAGGTCCCAGAGCAAACGCTCCGAACTGCTTAGACCCACGAGGCAGTGGCCTGTCTAAGGAGGCAAATCCACGTGCCTCTGTATAAAGGCAGCTGTCACTCAAGCTTTACGTCTGCTCCCTGCCATGGACCCAATAGCCCCTAACTCTCCAGGATCACTGAAGCTGTTTTGAAGTCTGCACTTCTTTGGTACTCGCTTTCCCTTTCCCTTACCCTCCCAAGTAGGCAGGGCACTTGGTGCAGGTGTTTTTGCAGACTTTGAACTGAGTATTAGATATCCTTACTTTTCCAGCAGTAGCCAAACTTGGCTGTAGCAACATAAAAACTTGTGAAAGCTCAGGAAAGATGAAGCTTGACGGGTCTGGGACAGGGGGATGGGTGGGCAGTTTGTAAATACAAGTGGAAAGGCGTAGGATGGTGGGGGCACGAATTGGGGTCTGGCTGGGTCACAAGGCAAGGGGCACTGTTTTGAGCTGAAGACTATGAGGATTCGGGAAGAATGAATAGGCTCCCAGGCCTGTGATCAGGAAAGGCAGGATTTTGCTGGGTTTTCCTGGGGAAAGTGTAGTTATGACTGGAAGGCTGCAAGGTCTTTGACGAGGAACAGGTGCAGCCAGGCAGCATTGTGCGCAAAAGAGTCAGGCGCTTCCTTCGAGCCGGAATTGAACCAGCGACCTAAGGATGTCCACAAACGTTTCCGCAGTCTACAGTCCTCCGCTCTACCAGCTGAGCTATCGAAGGATGCACACTGTTAAGGCTGGGTCACTGGACTTTCTGCAAATGGAGGAAGCCAAGTCCCTGGACCACCGGAGATCCAATACTCGTTGAGTTAATTGGAACCCGACTTGGAAGAGAACTCTGCGCCGGTCTCCACTGCGCCCCTTTCCGGACAGAGCAAATCCTCTGGGCCCGGGGGGGTGCCTGGCGTCTCTGGGGCGCCGATAGCCACGATCCACGAGGAGGAGCTCTCACCTGTGGCCTTCCTCTCCCTCTGCATCGCTCTTTCTGCTTGTGAAGATGACAGCCCTTAGTGGCCAGAGGGAAAATGAGGTAAGACGGCGAGGGCAGAGGGCTTGGTGAGACTGATGGGTGGGTCCAGTGGAGGAGAGGACACTGGAGGAGGAAAAGAGGAGAACCAGCATGGGCGTGGTGTAAGCAGCTTCCAACCCCAGCCTAGCGTCAGGGTCTGATGGAAGACCATAAGGGGGCACTGCCCTAACAGCCTGTCCTCTACTTCCCACCACCTCAAACACACTCCTCTCGATGTGCGCGGCCCTTCTACCCAGTGTCCTATGCTCACTTTTTGGAGTATTGAGGCATAATGGGAAGAGAGGGAGGAAATGCAGGAGGATAGGTGGAGGCCAGGTATGGTGGCTCGCACCGCAATTCCAACAATTTAGCGGGCCGAGGCGAAAGGGGCGCTTGAGCGCAGGAGTTCGAGATCAGCCTGGGCAACATAGGGAGAAGCCATCTCTACAGAAAAACTTCTAAAAAGTATCCGGGTGTGGTGGCCTGCACCTGTGGTCCTGGCCACTCAGCAGGCTGAGGTGGGAGGATCATCTGAGCCCGGGTGTTCGAGGCTACAGTAAGCTGTGATCTTGCCACTGCACTCCAGCCTGGGCGACAGAGACAATTTAAAAAAAAAAAAAAAAAGATATGTGGGGAGAGAGTAGGGCCAGGGGCTCGCAGATCACCATGTGATACCCATTACCTCTAACCCCAAAGGCCAGCATAAAAGCTTCGATCCAGTCCTCTGCTACTGACCAAGAATCCTTTCCCAGAGGCTGCTGCTTTCTAAAGTAGGGGCCCCTGGAAAGAAAAGGGGGCTGATAGAGGAAACCAGGTGAGCTTTGGACCCCTTACCTAGGCCACAAATTGTTACAAAGGGTTCATATCCCATATGGTGTGTGTCCACTATCCCAAGACCACTCATCACCCACACAAACAGTGAGACAGTTACTGGTGGCACAGCAAGCTGAACCCAAAAGACCCACCCTTTATTGAGTTTATAGGGGAAAAGTCATGGTCAGGGATCACCCACACTTTTGCTGATGACCAAACACCACTCAATGGCCCACCTCTGTTTTTTCCCTCAAAGCACCAAGCCTAGGTTCCAAAAAACCTGGTACCGCCACATCTTATCAAGGACATATCCAGTATAGACCAAAGGTTCTACTTTGGTTTCTGTTTGCTGATCTCTGCAGCAATGTCATTCGAGGCTGGGATCTCTCTGGGGCTGCAGAGCTACAGAATGTTGCTGGGGCACTGGTGAGTCCACAGCTCTGCCCCTTTCCATCAGCAGTGGGAAGCAGGAAAGGCTGATACAACAGAGAAGAGGTAGGGAATAGGCCGTAGGGGGAGAACAGGATCTGCTTTCTAGGAGGGGAAGACATGTGTACTCTCTAGTTTGAGACGCAGAGTGAAAAAGCAGTTATGCCCATCGGGTAGGGGAGAGTGGTCACCGGGTTCCCAGAAGGCCTCTGAGAACCAAATTTCCATCACTGTTTTGCTTGCAGTGCTCTCTGTGATAATTTTCATCTGTATATCAAGCGTCTGAAGATTTTTTTTTTTTTCCCCAGAGCATAGGATGGGACCAGGGGACACTCATTGTGGTTCCTCTCTGGCTCATACTTTGATGAACCCACTTCATCTTCCCAGAGGTGAAGCCCAGTTGGTGAAAGCCAAGCCCATTTCCTGCTTCATGCTCTCAGATTGTGCCAGCCATCTTCCTCTTGTAGAAGGCGCAACCTTCCAGCTGTGCCTGCAGAGCCCCCACATAAAAGTGAGCATGCTGCTCAGATGCAACAAGCCAGTGGCCTAAGGAGGTGAACTTGTGTACCTCTGCAAGGTGGCAGCTGCCACCCAAGCTTCAATTCTGCTCCCTGCCAGGGACCCAACAGCCCCCAACCCTCCCGGGTCACTGAAGTTCTTTCCAAGTCTGCCCTTTTATACTCTCTTTCCCTCTCTCACACCTTCACAACCAGTAAGACACTTGGTATAGGTGTTTTTGCAGACTTTGAACTGAGTGGAAGGTATCTTTCTTCTTCCAGCAGGAGCCCAAAGTTTACTGTAGCAACATTAAAAGGTGCGAAGGCTCGGGAAATGTGAGGCTTGGTGTATGTGGGAAGGGGGCACATTTTTGTTCTCAACCTGAAGGAAAATATTATGGAGCCAGTGGAAGCCCTATTTATTAAGAAAATCTCAGGGCGGCAACTCTCTCCCACAAATAGACAAAACAAAACAGAAATGAACATTTTCTGTCTGTATACATCTATACATTACAAGCAAAAGATAATGAGAGAACTAGAGTCAGAGAAAAACAGAGAGAGAGAGAGAGAATGCTCAGATAGAAAAGCATTTGCTAGAGACCTGGAGAAGGAGATGAGAGAGAGACAGCATAGAGAGCATTTTTTTTTTTTCCTGAGGATGTCACAGTTGTCTCTGACCCTTTTCTCTTCCAGCAGGCTTGATCTTCTAGGAGTTGATGGTGGGCCCACTGGTTTAATAGATCGAGAGATCTATCAATGGTGAGCACACAATGTTGCTAGAGTCCATGGCCCTCAGCACCCAGAGCAGTCTGTGGATAAAAGTGAAAGAGCTCTGGATGGTGGGGGTGCGAAGGGGGTTGGGGAGAGGGGCTGACTGGGTCACAAAGCAGAAGCAAGGGGCCCTTTGCGTTGAAGAGTACCTGTCCCTGGACTGTGGGAAGAATGAGTGGGCTTACGGGCGTGTTTCCTGGCCACAGCACAGGTGTGGAAACCAGGTGATCAGGAAAGGTTTCTCTGGGTTTTGACTGGGAGGGTGTGGGTGGATACTAGTTGGAGGCTGCAGGGCGTTTGACCAGGCACCAGGTGGCATTGCATGCAAAAGCATCGGGCACTTCCTTCGAGCCGGAATCGAACCAGCGACCTAAGGATGTCCGCAAATGTCTGTACAATCTACAGTCCTCCGCTCTACCAGCTGAGCTATCGAAGGGTGCACGCTGCAAGAGCTGGATCACTGGACTTTCCGCAAATGGAGGAAGCCAAGTCCTTGGAACGCTGGAGTCAACACACTTAGAGTTGATTGGAACCCGCCTTAGAAGAGAACCTTGCGCTGGTTGCCACCGCGCACCTCTCAGGGTGGAGCAAATCCTCCGAGTGTGGTTTCCTCGCGTCCCAGAGCGCTGATAGCCACAATCCAGGACGGGAGGCTCTCGCCTGTGGCCTTCCTCCACCTGTGCATCTCTGTTTTTACAAGTGAGGATGACAGCCCTCAGCGAAAGAAAACAAGAGGGTGAGAGGGCTCGGTCAGAGGGATGGGCTAGGTGGATGGGTGGATCCTGTGGGACAGGGGTTGCAGGAGGAGGAAAGAAGAACTCGGAAAGCTTCTGGGTGGGCGGCCGCTATCCGCAGACCAGCTGCAGGGTCTGCTGAAAGTCCTTAAGCAGCCCTTTCCTAAAACTCTGGCCTTCCTACTCCCTTCCCGGCCAACACACACATGCCCCTTCTCCCGATGTGCCTCCGCCCTTTTCCCTACAGTGTCCTATGCTTGCTTTTTGGCGCATTCAAGTGTGCTAGAAGTGAGAGAGAGAACAAATGGGACTAGGTGAGAAGAACTCGCCCAGGGCTTGCAGATGCACTGTGATACCCTCCTTCCTCCCCAGCGCCCAACTGGGGCTTGGCTTCCCTCCTCTGCAAACTGACCAAGAACTCTTTTTTTTTTCTCCCCCAGAGGCTTCCTCTTTCTGAAGTAGGGCAAGTATATTAGTCCGTTTTCATGCTGCGGATAAAGACATACCCGAGACTGGGATGAAAAAGAGGTTTAATTGGACTCACAGTTCCACATGCCTAGGGGGCCTCAGAATCATGGCTGGAGGTGAAAGGCACTTCTTCTTCTTCTTCTTCTTCTTCTTCTTTTTTTTTTTTTTTTTTTGAGATGGAGTTTCACTCTCGTTGCCCAGGCTGGAGTGAAATGGCGCGATCTCAGCTCACCGCCACCTCCGCCTCCCAGGTTCAAGCGATTCTGCCGCCTCAGCCTCCGGAGTAGCTGGGATTACAGGTATGCGCCGCCACGCCCGGCTAATTTTGCATTTTTAGTAAAGACTTGGGGTTTCTCCATGTTGGCCAGGCTGGTCTTGAACTCCCGACCTTAGGTGATCCACCCTCCTCGGCCTCCCAAAGTGCTGGGATTACAGGCGTGAGCCACCCCTCCTGTCCAAGGCACTTCTTACATGGCAGAGGCAGGAGAAAATAAGAGAGAAGCAAAAGCGGAAACCCCTGGTAAACCCATCAGATCTTGTGAGACTTATTCACTATCCTGAGAATAGCACTGGAAAAACTGGCCCCCGTGATTCAATTATCTCCCCCTGGTCCCTCTCACAACACGTGGGAATTTTGGGAGATACAATTCAAGTTGAGATTTGGGTAGGGACACAGCCAAACAGTATCATTCCGCCCCTGGCCTCTCTAAATCTCATGTCCTCACATTTGAACACCAATTATGCCTTCCCAACAGTCCCCCAAAGTCTTAACTCATTTCAGCGTTAACCCAAAAGTCCACAGTCCAAAGTCTTATCTAAGACAAGGAAAGTCCCTTCTGCCTATGAGCCTGTAAAATCAAAAGCAAGCTCGTTACTTCCTAGACACAATGGGGGTACAGGTATTGGATAAATACAGCCATTCCAAATGGGAGAAATTTGCCAAAACGAAGGAGTTACAGAGCCCATGCAAGTCCGAAATCCAGCAGGGCTGTCAAATTTTAAAGCTTCAAAATGATCTCCTTTGACTTCAGGTCTCACATCCAGGTCACACTGATGCAAGAGGTGGATTCCCATGGTCTTAGGCAGCTCCACCCCTGTGTCTTTGAAGGATACAGCCTCTCTCCAAGCTGCTTTCCTGGGCTGGCCTTGAGGGTCTGCAGCTTTTCCAGGTGCACGGTGCAAGCTGTCAGTGGATCTACCATTCTGGGGTCTGGAGGATAGTGGCCCTCTTCTCACAGCTCCACTAGGCAATGCCCCAGTAGGGACTCTGTGTGGGGGCTCTGACCACACATTTCCCTTTCACATTGTCCTAGCAGAGGTTCTCCATAAGGGCCCCACCCCTGCAGCAAGCTTTTGCCTGGGCATCCAAGCGTTTCCATACTCTTCTGAAATCTAGGAGGAGGTTCCCAAACCTCAATTCTTGACTTCTGTGCACCCGCAGGCTCAACACCACATGGAAGCTGCCAAGGCTTGGGGCTTCCACCCTCTGAAGCTACCGCCCAAGCTGTATGTTAGCCCCTTTCAGCCACAGGGGGAGCAGCTGGGACACAGAGCACGGAGTTCCTAGGCTGCACACAGCACTAGGACCCTGGGCCCGGCCCACGAAACCACTTTTTCCTCCTGGGCTTCTGGGCCTGTGATGGATGGGAGGGGCTGCCGTGGTGGTCTCTGACATGGCCTGGAGACATTTTCCCCATGGTCTTGGGGATTAACATTAGGCTTCTTGCTACTTGTGCAAATTTCTGTAGCCAGTTTGAATTTCTCACCAGAAAATGGGTTTGGGTTTTTCTTTTCTATCACATAGTCAGGCTGCAAATTTTCCAAACTTTTATGTTCTGCTTCCTATATAAAACTGAACGCCGCCGGGCGTGTTGGCTCACGCCTGTAATCCCAGCACTTTAGGAGGCCGAGGCGGGCGGATCACAAGGTCAGGAGATCAAGGCTAACATGGTGAAACCCCGTCTCTACTAAAAATACCAAAAAAAAATTAGCCGGGCGTGGTGGCGGTCACCTGTAGTTCCAGCTACTCGGAAGGCTGAGACAGGAGAATGGTGTGAACCCAGGAGGCAGAACTTGCAGTGAGCCGATATCGCGCCACTGCACTCCAGCCTGGGCGACAGAGCAAGACTCCATCTCAAAAAAAAAAAAAAACCAAAACTGAATGCCTTTAACATACCCAAGTCACCTCTTGAATGCTTTGCTGCTTAGAAATTTCTTCTGCCAGGTACCCTAAATCATCTTACTCAAGTTCAAAGTTCCACAAATCTTTAGGGCAGAGGCAAAATGCTGTTAATTTCTTTGCTAAAACATAACAAGAATAATCTTTGCTCCAGTTCCCAACAAGTTCCTTATCTCCATCTGAGACCACCTCAGCCTGCATTTTATTATCCATATCACTATCAGCATTTTGGGTAAAGTCATTCAACAAGTCTCTAAGAAGTTCCAAACTTTCCCACATTTCCGTGTCTTCTTCTGAACCCTCCAAACTGTTCCAATCTATGCCTGTTACCCAGTTCCAAAGTCACTTCCGCATTTTTGGGTATCTTTTCAGCAATGCCGCACTCTACTGGTACCAATTTACTGTATTAGTCCATTTTCACGCTGCTGATAAAGACATACCCCAGAGTGGGATGAAAAAGAGGTTTAATTGGACTTACAATTTCACATGGCTGGGGAGGCCTCAGAATCATGGTGGGAGGCAAAAGGCACTTCTTACATGACAGTGGCAGGAGAAAATGAAAGAGAAGCAGAGCAGAAACCCCTGATAAACCCATCAGATCTCGTGAGACTTATTCACAAGAATAGCACAGGAAAGACTGGCCCCCATGATTCAATTACCTCCGCCTGGGTCCCTCCCACAACACGTTGGAATTTTGGGAGATACAATTCAAGTTGAGATTTGGGTGGGGACACAGCCAAGCCATATCAGCAAGGTTCTGTGGGTTTCTTGGAAAAAAAAAAAAAAAAACAAAATAAACAAACAAAAAAATGGTGGCAGAGTACAGAGGTGTGAGTTTCTCCTGACACCACATCTTTGGCAAAGGTTTCAGATCCCATCTGCTGTATGCCCACCACCCCAAGACCACGGAGACACCCACCCCCCTGCTGAACACCTAGTGGGGGTACAGCAAGCCACCCCAAGGGACCTAGCATCCATTGAGTTTAAGTCCACTCCCTGTCTTATGCTAAGTGGGTCTGAATGGCCAAAGGTGAGAGTCAGATGCATGAACACCCCTTGCTACTCTGTCATGTCCCAGACTGGAAAAGTGGGCATCTGGGGTTCACCCTCGCTTGTGCTGGTCACCAAAGCCCACTACCTGGCCCCCTTCTGCTTTTGCCCTCAAAACACCAAACTGAGGTTTCAGAGGACCTGTACCTCCATGTCCCATCAGGAACATATCTAATGAAGACCTAAGGTGCTACCTTTGGTCCCTGTTCACTGGTCTCTGTTTTTGGTGTCACTGGAGACTGGGGTCTCTCTGCAGCTCCACAGCCATACAATCGTCTCAGAGCACTGGTGAATCCACAGCTTGGCTCCTTTCCACTAGCAGTGAGAAGTGGGAAAGATTGACACAGCCGGGGGAACGTGAGGGGAATAGGCAGTGTTGGGGGAGACCGTCTGCTGCTTTCCAGGAGAAGAAGACACATACAGTCTCCAGATTGAGACCCACAATGAAGCAGTTCTTGTGGCCACAGAGGGTAGGGGAGGGCAGGGACCCAGTCCTCAAAGGGCTTCAGAGGGCCATGCTCCCATGGACCACTGGGCTTAGAGTGCTCTCTGTGATAGGTTGCATCTGTACACCAAGTGTCTGATGCACATTTTTCTGAGATCTTGGGATGAGACCAAGGGACACTCATTGGCTTTCTTCTCTGCCCCATACCCACAAAACCCACTGCATCTCCACAGATATGAAGCTCCACTGGTTGGTGAAAGCCCAGTCCATTTTCTGCTCCATCCTCTCTGACTGGGCTTCAACATATTTTTCTCAGAGGTAGGAGAGCCCAACTGTGCTGCTAGATCCTAGTGCAAAAGGTCCAAACTGCTCAGACCCACCAGGCAGTGGCCTTTCTAAGGAGGTGAATTTGTGTGCCGCTGTATGATGACAGATGTCACTCAAGTTTCACTTCTGTTTCCTGTCATAGACCAACAATCCCCAACTCTCCCAAGTCACTGAAGCTCTTTTCAGGCCTGCCATTTTGTACTTCCTTCCTGCTCTCACAGCCTCCTAAGTGGCAGGTGTTTTTGACATCTTTGAACTAAGCGGTGAGTGTTAGGTATTCTTACTCTTCCAGCAGGAGCCAAGCCCAGCTGTAGCAAAATAAAAAGATGTGAAGACTCAGGAAAGGTGAGGCTTGAGGGATTTAGGACAGGGGTGAGTGGGTAGACACACCATGTCCTCATCCCATGGGGCAACCTGACCTTGCCAATGGAGGTTCTTTGCCTTAGAAAATTCTCAGGGTGGCTGCTGTCTCCCCAAGTAGACACAACATAGCAAGGATGAGCATTTTCTGTCTGTATGAGTCTATACATTTCCGGCAAAGGAGAATGAGAGAGACACAGAGTGCTAGGGAGAAGGGGCAGAGACAGACAGAGAGAAATATACACAGACAGAGAGAGAAATTGTGAAAGAGAGAGAGAGAATGAGATACAGACAGAGGTGAGGTAGTAATAGCTCAGGAAGGAAATGAGGGGGAGAGGGTGAGTTCACGGATGGTATCATGGTTGTCCTCGACCCTACACTGTTGTCCTGAATGCTTGATGGTCTCCTGGGAGCTTGGCTTTCCAGGGTTTGCCAACCTGGTCAGGAGAGCTTGGTCACAGATGAATCCAGCTGTGTTGCCAGATTCCCCAGCAGTGCTTAGGTCCAAAAGCACCCTGTGAATAAAAATGAAGCAGCCCTGAGATGGTAAGGGTTCGGATGGGGGATTGGCTGGGTCACAAAGCAGAAGTAAGGGGCACTTTGCACTGAAGTGTACTGGCAACAGCACAGGCATGGCAAGCTAGGTAATCTGGATAAGGCTTTGCTGGGTTTTGCCTGGGAGAGTGTGGCGACAGCAGGGCGTTTGACCAGGCAGAGGTGCAGCCAGGGAGCACTGGTGTGTGTACAAAAGACTCAGACACTTCCCTCAAGCAGGAATTGAACCAGCAACCTAAGGATGTCCACAGATGTGTACAGTCCTCCACTCTATCAGCTGATCTCTCAAAGAGCACACAAAGTTAGAGCTGGGTCACTGGACTTTCTGCAAATGGAGGACACCAAGTCCCTGGAATGCCAGAGGTCCAATATGTGTTGGGTTGGTTGGAACCTGCCTTGGAAGAGAACCCTGCGCTCTTGTTGCCCAGGATGGAGTGCAATGGCACAATCTTGGCTTACTGCAACCTCCACCTCCCAGGTTCAAGCAATTCGCCTGCCTCAGCCTCCCGAGTAGCTGGGATTACAGGCATGTGCTGCCATGCCTGGCTAATTTTGTATTTTTAGTAGAGACTTGGGGTTTCTCCATGTTGGTCAGGCTGATCTCGAACTCCTGACCTCAAGTGATCTGCCTGCCTCGGCCTCCCAAAGTGCTGGGATTACAGGCGTGAGCTACTGTGCCCAGCCCGGAATAAAACAGTTTTACTTCTTCCTTTAAACATGGATGGCTTCCATTTTTATTTTTTTGCATTACTGTTCAAGAATCTCCACACATTGCTGATGATAGTGATGAAAGCAGATGTCCTTGCTTGTCCTAATCTCACAGGGAAATCATTCAGTCTTTCATCATTAAGTGTATTGTTAGCTGAAAGTTTTTCATACGTGCCCTTTATCAGATTGAGAAAAGGCCCTTCTATTTCTAATTCGCTGAGTTTATATGAGAAGCGAATGTGTAGCGGGCATTGGTGGCTCATGTCTATAATCTAAGCGCTTTGGAAAGCCAAGATGAGAGGATCACTTTAGCCCAGGAGTGCAAGACCAACGTGGGCAACAAAGTGAGAACCCGCCTTTATGAAAAATTTTAAAACATTATCAGGGCGCCAGGCGCAGTGGCTCACGCCTGTAATCCCAGCACTTTGGGAGGCTGAGGCGGGAGGATCACCTGAGGTCAGGAGTTCCAGACCAGCCTGGCCAACATGGTGAAACCCCATCTCTACTAAAAATACAAAAAAATTAGCCAGGTGTGGTGGTGGGAGCCTGTAATCCCAGCTACTCGGGAGGCTGAGGCAGGAGAATCACTTGAATTTGGGAGGCGGAGGTTGCAGTGAGATCGCACCTCTGCACTCCAGCCTGGGCAACAAAGAGCGAAACTCCATCTCAAAGAAAAAAAAAAACGAAAATAAAGAAAAAGATATTATCAGGGCATGGTGGCACACACTGGTAGTCCCAGCTACTCAGGAGGCTGAGGCAGGAAGATCACTTGAGCCTAAGAAGTTGAGGCTGTAGTGAGCTATGGTTGTGCCACTGCCCTTCAGCTTGGGGGACAGAGGGAAACCCTCATCTCTAAAAATATAAGTAAGCAATAAATAAACAAATGTGAAATTGTGACAAATGTTTTGTCTACATCTTTTGATATAATCATGTTTTTCTTTTTAATATAATATAGTTTGTTAATATAATAAATTACATTGATTAATTTTGAATATCAAACCAAATTTGCTTTTCTGGGATAAATCCCCCTTGATTCTGATGTATCATTATTTTATATACTGTTGGATTCAACTCGCCGAAGTTATGTTAAACTTTTTGGCTTCCATGTTCTTAAGAGACACTGACCTGTAGTTTTCTTTCTTTTGAAGTATCTTTGCTTTTAATATCAGAATACACTGTCCTCATGTAAAGAGTTGAGAATTATTATCTCCTCTCCAGTTTTGCTGCAAGAAGTTGTGTAGAATTGTCATTATTCCTGAAACATTTATTAAAATTCACCAGTGAAGTTATCTGAGCTTGGTAAATACATCCCAGAGCATAAAAACTGAAGCAACTGGAGCCCCAGTGAGGCTAGAACTCACACCTTTGTTACAGCCTGGCGCATTAACCCTTGACTTGCTGACCTTACTATTTTACTCTTCTAGGAGACATCTTCATTTTGTTGATCCACAACCAAGAAAACTAACAGAAGGAAAAAGGAATAGATATTTGTCTCTAGGCTCAAGCAATTGCAACCCTCCTCCCAAAGTCATCATACAAGAAGACAAGGCCCCAGGCCAGACCAGGAATACAATCTGCATAAATGTTGTCTGGACAAAGCCCTTGCCCCCATCCCCCTCCTGATTTTTCCTGCATGGCACTTGTCAGAAAAAGGAAAATCTGAAAGAACAATGTTTAAAAGTGGCCCAAGATGGCTGCAGGTTGAGCATATAGGTAATAGAAACTAGACCTATGAACTAAAGCTGAACTCTAGCCTGAAAGGCTAAAGTTTGTCTTTTTTTGTCTTTTTTTTTTTTTTTGAGACAGAGTCTTGCTCTGTTGCCCAGGCTGGAGTGCAGTGGCATGATTTCGGCTCACTGCAACCTGCTGCCTCCTAGGTTCAAGTGATCCTCCTGCCTCAGCCTCCCAAGTAGCTGGGACTATAGGCACACACCACCATGTCTGGCTACTTTTTGTATTTTTTTTTTTTTTTTTAGCAGAGTCAGGGTTTTGCCATGTTGGGCAAGCTGGTCTCAAACTCCTGACCTCAGGTAACCACCTACGTCTGCTTCCCAAAGTTCTGGGATTACAGCCGCGAGCCACCACACCCAGCCATGTCAAATGTTTTCACTGATGTCTACTGATTGTAACCTTGCCTAGCAGATGAAGCACAAAGGCAGTGTCAACTGAAAAGTGACATAACAGGCACTTGAACTTAAAGAAGTCATGGTTAGATTTATTCTCAGCCAAGTTTGAGGAGTTATGCCTGAGAACACAGACTTAGAATAGACCTACAATAGGTCCCAAAGTAGTTTACATGAGGCACAGTATACTTAAATTTTCTAACGGGGATGTGTGTGGCACAGGAGGGAGAAGTGGTTAATGAAACAGTGGTTACATTGTTGTGATTCTGATGAGTGCTCAGTGATGCCATACATAAGGTAAATATACAGTTGAGTGAGTAGGGAGAAAGGCTAAGCATCTTAGAGTCTGGTGGAGGAAGGGTGACTAATTCCATTCTGTCTTTGTTCTACATCTGATAAACAGGTTCATGGCCAGCCCCTGTCAACAAACTCCAGTTACACAGGCAAGAGATCAGCTTTAGTTTATAGGCCTGGGTTTTATTACCCATATGCCCAACTGCAGCCATTGTGGGCCCATATTAACATTTTATTTGAATTTTCCTTTTTCTAACAGCAAGATAACATCAGTCATTCCCCTCCAAACCCTAAGATGCGTACATACTCCTTTACTTGTTACCCTATCCCTATATATGTTAACCACACTTTTGGTTTGTCTGTGAATACCATCACTAAACATCAGTCAAAACTGTAAAAATGTCACCTTTGCTTCACTGCCCCCTTCTTTGATTTTTTATTTAGAAAAAACATGTAAATACCGTGCCTCATGTAACCCACTCTGGGACACATTCTCAGTTTGCACTGTTTGTGTTCCAGGCTACGGTTCTCAACTTGGTTTGGGACAAAATTAATTTTGATTTCTTTAAGTCCATAGTGCCTATTATTTTAACCTTTTGGCTTGACACACTGGGGAAACATGGGCCCACTATGACTACTTTGTCTCTCCTGACCTGGAAAATTAGTATCAGTGCAGACTGCCTGAGACCTTCGCTAGACCCAGATTCCCCACCGCCAGCAATCTCCCCAGTTTCTCAGTAGAAGCTATGAGAAGAGTGCAGCTGGTGAAACCACCTTTACAAAAATTATAACAGTGAAAGAAGTCTGATGTAACCAACTCCATCTTTTTTTTTTTTTTTTTCCGAGACGGAGTCTTGCTCTGTTGCCCAGGCTGGAGTGCAGTGGCGCAACCTCGGCTCGCTGCAACCTCCGCCTCCCGGGTTCAAGCGATTCTCCTGCCTCAGCCTCCCGAGTATCTAGGATTACAGGCGTGCACCACTACGCTCGGCTAATTTTTGTATTTTTTAATAGAGATGGGTGTTCACCATGTTGGCCAGGCTGGTCTCCACCTATTGACCTCAAGTGATCTGCCCGCCTTGGCCTCCCAAAGTGCTGGGATTACAGGCGTGAGCCACCGCACCCGGCTACCAACTCGATCTTGCTTCTAACCTCCAAGCTTCCTTTGCTCATTTCTGGGCGTATGCCAAGCAAACCACGGGAGGAATTTAGTTTGTAGTTTAACTTTCAGACAAACATGACAACAGCCCCTTCATGAAGCAAACCCCCTCCTTGCTTGGGGGTCAGACCTCCTTTGTAAAAGCAACAACTTAGCCCACAGTATTAGAAATTATGGCTCAGGAGTCATATAGCCAGAGGCCACAAGATCCTAACCTCCTCAATTGCTCCTATAGATAACATTATTATTGTAAAAATCTAAGATTGCTGTTCTAGGTATTTTTCAGACTCTGCATTCTGAATGGATCAGCTGGCGTCACCGAGATCGATAAACTGGCCCCCTCTCAGGAACTGACTCAGTGAAAGAAGGCAAGCTCCGACTCCCTGTGATTTTATCTCTGACCTAACTAATCAGCATTCCCCTGCCTGCCCAAATGTTGCGGGACTTTTCTTTAGTTCAGCTCAAGACAGAGTTCTTTGTCCCACGGCCACGAAAATTCAGGCTCGCAGACAATTGGAATGGTGAGTAAGACAGGGTTTTATTGGGTGAAAAAGGAAGAAAAGGGGGACTCTGCTAGGCCAGAGTCCCTGCTAGAGCACTTGCCGCCCAGGCTTTCAAATCCCAGGCTCCTCCCAGGAAGAGATGGGGCCAGGCTCCTCCTCGCTGCGAATGGCACTAACTTCCCGAGGTTCCACCCCAGTGCGCATTCGTCCCAGTGCGCAGGCTGGTCGGGGAGTCTGCGGGGACCCCCTTCCACCTGGCTGTCTCACAACTATCCTTGAAAAACCCTAGCCTCGACCGGACGCGGTGGCTCACGCCTGTAATCCCAGCACTTTGGGAGGCAGAGGCAGGCGGATCACGAGGTCAGGAGTTCGAGACCATCCTGGCTAAAACAGTGAAACCCCGTCTCTACTAAAAATACAAAAAATGTGCCGGGCGTGGTGGCAGGGATCTGTAGTCCCAGCTACTCGGGAGGCTGAGGCAGGAGAATGGCATGAGCCCGGGAGGCGGAGCTTGCAGTGAGCCGAGATCGCGCCACTGCACTCCAGCCTGGGTGACAGAGCGAGACTCCGTCTCAAAAAAAGAAAAACCCTAGCCTCTGAATTTTCGGGGAGGCTGATAGGAGTAATAACAAAGCTCCAGTCTTCCATTCTTCCATTTAGTTGGCTCTGCATTTACTAAACTCTTCATTGCAATAACACTGTCTCAGTAAATCAGCTTTTCTGGGCAGGGGCAAGATGAACCCATTAGGCAATTATGCTGGTGCTGGGAGCAGCATCTCTGTCCCATCTTTTCTATAAGCTCTGTCACAAAGAAGCTAATACTTTTAGAATATGTACCTCAAGTTAGCCTCTGAGGGTTGAAAATGAATGATTTTTAAGCCAAACTAATTTTAAGCACCCACAACCGACTGAATGGACTCCTGGGATTAAAGGTGTGAGCCACCACGCCCAGCCTCACCTGGATAATTTTTTTAAAAACATTTTTTGTAGAAATGGAGCTTTGCTATGTTGGCCAGGCTTGGCATAATTATTTTATAAATTGTATATACATATGTATAATTGTGTGTACTAGTAATAGTGAAAATTGACATTTTAAAAAGCAGTACAATTTACAACAGAGTAATTAAATATAAAATACTTAGGAATAAAATATGTCCAAGACTTGTACACTGAAAAAAATGCTAAGAGAAATGAAAGGAAACCTAAATACATCAAGAGACATTTCATATTTGTGCATGAACAGACTCAATATTGTTAAGATATTTGTTATCCCTAAATTTATTTATAGATTTAATCTAATTACAATAAAAATCCCAACAGGGTTTTTTTTTTTTTAAAGAAATTGACATGCTAATTCCAAAATTCATTTGCAAATTCAAAGACAGCATGCCCAAAACATCTTTGGAAAAAGCAAAGTTGGAAGACTCACTCTGCCCGACTTATTTATATTTTATTGTATTTATTATAAAACTGCTATAATTAAGACAGTGTCATACTGGCATTAAGAAATTTAAAACAACAGAACAATAGATCAGGAGTACGGAGATAAAACCACATACATATTGTTAATTGACTGTTGCCAAAGCTTCAAGGGCAATTCAGTGGAGAAAGGTAGTTTTCTCAGCAAACTTTAGAAAAATCACAACAACAAATTTTTTTTTTTTGAGACGGAGTCTCACTCTGTTGCCCAGGCTAAAGTGCAGTGGTGTAATCTTGGTTCACTGCAACTTCCCCCTCCTGGGTTCAAGCGATTCTCCTGCCTCAGCCTCCCAAGTAGCTGGGACTACTGTTGCGTGCCACCATGCCCGGCTAATTAAGAAAAGATTCTTGATCCCTACATTGCTCTACATATAAAAATGAACCTCAAGTAGATCACAGACCTACCAATAAAACCCACAACTTTAAAATTTTTATAATAAAATCTTTGTCAACTTGTGCTGGGGAAAGTTTTCTTAGATACAACACTGAAAGTATGACTCACAAAAGAAAAACACAATTAAATGAACTTCATTAAAATTAAGAAACCTCTGCCTTGGTAAAGACACTGTAAGAGACAAGCTACACACTGGGAGATAGTCATCTCCAGAGATGGCTTGGCCTCCTAGGGGACTTTTGGCAGTGGCTAGAGACAATTTTGATGTCACAGCTGGGTAGGGAGGGCATATTACTACTGACATGTAGTGAGGAAAGGCCAGGGGTTCCGCTAAGCATCCTGCAATACCCAGGACAGCCCTCTACAGCAGGGATGACTACAGTAAAGAGCCACATGGATAAACTTATCACTTGCCTACTTAAGGCACCGGCCAGTCAGATTCCATCACCACCTGCTAACATGAGCTGTCGCCTCCTTCCCAAAGCCTTGAGGTAGGGACAATGCCTGGATTCAAACTTGGATGTGATAGACCCCAAATCCTGCCCAGTGCTCCTCCTGGGTACCAAAGGTATCACATGGGGCAGGAAGGGCACTGCACTCAAAGGCTAGAAAGTAAGGTTGCTCCTTAAAGAGCTCAAATTCTGACTTCAAACTCATATTTGGACTTTTTGTGGTCTAGGTGGCAGCGAGGGTGGTCTTCTGTGGTTGGCTCAAGCCTGAGCATTGAATCTTCTGAAATATCACCTCCCTGAGCTGGTGACTAGTTGCCTCCCTTGGTGATTTGTGTCCTGCTTAACCCATCTTTTTTACTGTCCTAGTGACAGACCTAGAGGGACAGACACTGAAGGAAAAATGGTGGGTGAGGGAAGGGGTTGTAGCAGGAGATCACCAGTAGGTAAAGAAACCAGAGACAACATCCTGTAGGAAACGCAGGGTGTTCCCAGAGGCAGTCAGCAGCAGGGACGTAGGGATATTTTACATTCTGTGTGCAACTGCTCAGATTTCTTCTGGTTAACACTTAGGAGCAAATGAAACAAAGGCTCACCTCACTCCCTGCTCCCCTCTATTCTCTACCCTACCTTATCCTTCCCTTTCACAGAACACATACTGCACCTTCAAAATTATTTCAAGATTCCAGCTCAAATGTCATTTATTTGGCAAGGTCTTACCAGCTCCCTTTCAAACAGAAGCTGGGAGTACATCTCTTAGTGGTCTGGGTGTTCAATTGAATTAAGAGCTCCCTGCAGGTAGGCTGTGAGTCATTCATTCAGTGCCTCCATTCCCCCAGCCCAGTGCTAGGCAGTGAGAAAAATCACATGTTGGGTTTGACATTAGGTCAATCCCCTAGTGAAGACACACTGAATAATTATTACTGATGTAGGAACAAAAGACCCTTGCAGCAGTGGGATTTAAACCCACGTCCCCAAAGAGACTGGAGCCTAAATTCAGTGCCTTAGACCATTCAACCACACTACCAAACTGCTAAGACTAATTGGCGGCACCACCAAACCATCTTGTCCTTTTCCAGTGATGTCTTCTGGAAAGGATGATATAACTAGAAAGAGCAGGTTCCTATTCCAGCCGTCACCGCTCTTTCATTTTGTGCTTTGGCATTCTCCCCCTTAAGCTTTCTCTGGAGTACTGTTTTCTCTGCTTCTCAGTCCGTGTGGTGGACTATGATTGATGTTATAGCTCCCACAACTGCCATTTCCTTTCTAGTATTGGCAGGCTAATTAATTTAGACCAATCCTTCTTGAAATAAAAATTATTAAAAATATTGCATAAGATTTTTACCAAATCTCAGCTGGGTGCAGTAGCTCACGCCTGTTATCCCAGCACGTTGGGAAGCCGAGGCAGGAGGACTACTTGAGTCCAGTTCAAGACTAGCCTGGGCGGCATGGTGAAATCCCATCTCTAAACAGAAATAAATAAAATAAATAAATAGTTTTTTTGTTGTTGTTTTTTTTTTGAGACGGAGTCTCGCTCTGTCGCCCAGGCTGGAGTGCAGTGGCGCAATCTCGGCTCACTGCAAGCTCCGCCTCCCGGGTTCACGCCATTCTCCTGCCTCAGCCTCCCGAGTAGCTGGGACTACACGCCCCCGCCACCACGCCTGGCTAAGTTTTTGTATTTTTTAGTAGAGACGGGGTTTCACCGTGTTAGCCAGGATCGTCTGGATCTTCGGACCTCTTGATCCGCCCGCCTCGGCCTCCCAAAGTGATAAATAAATACTTTTATCAAATCTCCTTAGAAGCATTAAAGTGCTGATATGGTAGTAAGCAACTAATAGGCCAGAAACCAAGGGAAAGGTGGAATTCAGAGAGTTAAGGTAAGTTATCTCTGCATTGACCTTTGTAGCCCTAAAGGCATTTGTGATAGGCCAGGCGCGGTGGCTCACTCCTGTAATCCCAGAACTTTGGGAGGTCCAGGCGGGTTGGATCACGTGAGGTCAGGAGTTTGAGACCAGCCTGGCCAACATGGTGAAACCCCGTCTCTACTAAAAATACAAAAATCAGCCGGGTGTAGTGGCACGCACTTGTAATCCCAGCTACTCGGGAGGCTGAGGCAGGAGAATTGCTTGAATCTGGGAGGTGGAGGTTGCAGTGAGCTGAGATTGCACCACTGCACTTCAGCCTGGGCAACAGAGTGAGACTGTATCTCAAAAAAAAAAAAAAAAAAGTCATTTGTTAATTCCTGAAATGCTGGGCTATATAATTTTGGTAGCCTGTTTGGGTGGGAGAAACAAGAGGATCAGACATCAAGACACAGCACCCACCAGAGGTAGGAAGACTAGTAAGACACCCTCCCAATATTAAGTTGGGACTCCAAAGATCTATTCCCCTAAGGTAAGGGCAAATAAGAAGTACACCTATGTCTGTTCTCCTACTTCTAGTAATTGTTGTGGAGCTCAGCAGAAAAAAATTGAGCTTAGCAAAGGAAAATAGAAAGTGTGAGGAGTTTTTCTGAGAAGCTGGGACCACAGGTCAGCATTCTGATTTGCACCTTGGGTTTACGTATCTTGGAGATCCAGAGAATGCCTGGCCATTAACTTTGTTTAGGATCTTCTTGGGCTGATAGAGTGCCAAGTGCCTGGGAGAAAAAAAAGTCATATATATATTTTTAAAAGAAGATAACCTTCATCTTGTCCTCAAAAACTCACTGCATGTAATTTTGCAAAGACACTGAGCAGTACACATTCAAAGATGACCAAGTTTTACAAGAAAACAAAACAACATGAGTTGACAAAACAACGGCATAAAATTCAGATATTAGGATTATCAGTTATATATATTAAAACAACTGTAATTACTGTGCTTAAGGAAATAAGAAACAAGCTGGAAAATATCTGCAAAAAACAGGAAATAAAAAAATTCGGCCTAGTAGTTTTGAAAAACAATCAACTAGAACTTCTAGAATGGGAAATTACATTTTAACCAAAATAAATGACTTAATGGGCATATCTAACAGCTGATTAAACAGAGCTATAGAGAGAATTACTGATTAGTATTAAAGGTAAGAAAATGTTATCCAGAATGCAACATAGAAAAAAAGACCAAATATATATATATGTATATATATGTGTGTATATATATGTATATATGTGTGTATATATGTATATATATGTGTATATATGTGTGTATATATATGTATATATATGTGTATATATATGTATATGTATATGGAAGAGAGGTTAAAATAAATGGAAAACAAGGTAGGAAGCTCTAATAGATGTTTAATTTCAGTTCCAAAAAGAGAGAAAAAAATAGAGTAAAAACAATATAGGAGGCTGGCTGGTCTGAGTGCAGTGGTGTTTACAACTAATTGATCACAAGCAGTTACAGGTCTCTTTGTTCCTTCTCCACTCCCACTGCTTCACTTGACTAGCCTAAAAAAAAAAATTAAAAAAATATATAAAAAAATAGGAGAAGATAATGGCTACTATTAGTTAAAATGTATCTCCCCCAAATTTATATGTTGAAGCCCTAATCCCTAGTATCCCAGAATGTAACTGTATTTGGAGATAGGGCGTTTAAAGAGATGATTAAGTTAAAATGAGGCCATTAAGGTGGGCCCTAATCCAACCTGGTGTCCCTGTAAGGGGAGTAAATTTAGACACAAAGAGAGGAGCTAAGGGTGTGGACCCACAGAAGGACAGCTATGTGAGGCGGCAGCAAGAGGCCAGCCATCTCTAAGTGAAGGAGAGAGGCCTCAGAAGGAACCAAACCTGCCAACACCTTGGTCTTGGATTTTTGACCTCCAGGACTGTGAGAAAATGAATTTCAGTTGTTTAAGTCACCCAGTCTGTGGTATTTTATTATGGAAGCCCTAGCAAACTAACACAATGACTGAGAGTTTTCCAGAACTAAAGAAAGACAGCAGTATATGGATTTAAGAAAACCCATACCCAAAAACTTGACACTGATACCATATTTGGAAAAACATGGGTTTTCCTTATGGTATCCTGTACTCCTGTTTTATGTTTCTAAATGGAAAGCTTCCTGGGCGATGCATCTGATTGGTGGAGCCCAGGTCACATGCCCATTCTCAGCTGTAAGCTGGGAAAGCAAGTGTTCTAGGACAGACTTACTTATAATATGTGAAATATCCACATGTAAGGAGAATTTTTAAAAGATGTTGGACACACACTAACATAACATATGCCTATAACAGGGCTATTCAAAACTTATGTTCTAGTCTCAGCTGTTTTCTCTGTATTCTTTTCCTTCAAGAGTGCATAACTCGTAGAGTCTCTAACTCAATGGATGACTTATGTAATTTGATTAATTCATTTATCAATTCATGAAACTCTAGACACGAGACTATTCTGGCTATCATGCAATTCCCATGAACTGCTCCACCTTCACTTCATATTCAGCTTACCTAAATCCTAGCGTCACCCCTCCGCCCTCTCCAGATACGCTGAAGAAGTAGGCTTCCTTTTTTCTGCAGGTGTTATCTTGCCTCTTCAAGACACCTTTGAGAGTCCCCTCTCTTTCCTCTTGATTTCACTTCATACCTAGGTTCAGCAGAATCGCCCTGCCCTGTAACGCTCTCACTCATCCCTTCCTTTCCAGTCCCATAACGATTACCTTTTTGCAGCTTTATGTTTGAGCATCTTCACCATGGCCAGTCACTGGTGTTTCTGACTCTGGTTGCTCGTCCCTTCAATTAATTCCGCAAACTCATCAATGTTTGGTGAATTTCTATTTTCTTCTACTAATCTTCTCACCTGCTGCCCCAGCCAGTGTTCCCTTGAATGTCTCAGTCTTTCTCTCGGACTTTGCTCGTAATTTTATTCTACCAGGGACCACCCTGCTCCCATTTTTGTCTAAGTCTTAACCTCCCTTCATAGTGCAGCTCAGGCCAATGCCCTCTTGAAGACACCCCCGGATGGTTCACTTTGTAAATGTGTGGACCTTGGCATGGCCAACGCCCCTTCACACCTGGCACAGCTACTTTTCATTGTTTTCCTTCATGAAAACTAAAGTTCTTTTGTTCCACAAAACTGTGACAGTGACTTCAGGATAAAGATCATATCTGGATCCCTAATTCTTAGTGCAGAGCCTAGTACAGAACTGGAATGCAGTGTTTGTTGAATGAAGGAATGAATTAAACTGCAAATTAACGAATGCCTGCTCTGGCACTGAGACTCGCAGCTGTGAGAAAGGTCTCTGGAGGCAGACAGTTGCTGGTACGAAGTCCTGAGTCAAGCAGGAAACAAAATGCGGATGTCAGCAGTTTCAAGTGAGACCTGTGGTGAGCTCCTTCCTCTGCCGGTTTTCCCTTCTTAATTTTCAGTCTGAAGTGAGGGAGTGGAGAATCTTTCTGTGTTAGACTGTGTCGCGTTGGGCAGATTTCTCCAATCTTAGGATAGTAGTGGTCCCTCTCACTGGCCTTCACTTTGTACCATCCCCAGCAAGAACACTGAGTCTGTGAACCGAATTCTAGTAGTCGGGAAATGGATTGAAAGGACATCCAGGTTTTACTTAGTTTCTATGCTCAGATGCTGGCAGAAGCCCTGCAAATCTTTTCCTTTTCTGTGAAAGGAAGAGGCGGTTTCTGCGTGAGGCCCTATAGCTCAGGGGTTAGAGCACTGGTCTTGTAAACCAGGGGTCGCGAGTTCAAATCTCGCTGGGGCCTTGCGAAACTACTTTCTTGATTCAGGTGTTTTTTGAAAAACTCCCCTTCTAGTCTTTCTGAACTAAGTCACAGAAAATGTGGCAAATTAGAGCTTCTTTCCTCTGTTCAGAGCTTCCAAACACTAGCTCAGCAGAACGTTTCCTTTAGGTTCCAGTAGTAATGCTGCTTTAGCTCCTGGAATGCGGCGGAATCCATTACACAGGCGGTGGAAATCACCGTCAGCCTCTGCCCACGCCCTGGCTTGCGGACTGGCGGCGAGAGCCCTGCTGACTGCCGGGCGGGAAATGGGGACAGCTAGGCGAGACAATAGCCCTTTAAGCTATTCTCAAGCCCCGGGTCTGGGCATATTTGGAGTAGAGATCAAGGTTCCACTTCTGAAACGGGAAGAGCCAGCAATGGCCGCTCCGGCCAGGCGTCCAGAAGAGAGATGCACGTTGTGAGGCAAGGTTTCATGTGCCAGTGGGGTTTTGGGAAATTAAGGGCCCGACTTTAGGGGCGAGACTTGGGTCACTAAATTTGATTTTAACGCAGAGAAATGTGGCCTTCCTTTTGAATGAGCTGCAAATATTATCTCCAAAAGCGAATTCACACAGAAACATTGGGTTTGCCCAGATGTCCTCTATTTCAGGGGTTCCCAACCCTTGGGCCGCGCACCTGTCCATGGCCTGTTAGGGACCCGGCTGTACAGCAGGAGGTGAACTCCGGGCTAGCTACCAGTACCGCCTGAGCTCCGCCTCCTGTGAGATCAGTGGTGGCATTAGAATCTCACAGGAGCGCGAACCCTATTGGGAACTGCGCATGCCAGGGATCTAAACTGCACTCCTTATGAGAATCTAAGTGATGCCTGATGATCTGAGGTGGAACAGTTTCATCCCGAAACCATCCCCCAACTCTTCCCCCCGCCCCCGCGGTCCGTGGAAAAACTGTCTTCCACGAAACCGGTCCCTAGTGCCAAAAATGTTGGGGACCACTGCTCCATTCCACACCCTCTCCCTCCCGTGTCTGTGGACGTGTAAGCGGAAGAGCCGAGATTGGGAGGGAAGCGCAGGAAGTGAGGACATCAGGGAGCCCGGGCCTAAGCCTGGAGGCCCGCCCTCTCCGGCGTTCACAGTTGCGCAGTCAGAATTGTGTGCGTCCCACCGCCTCAGCCCCCAGTTCTCCGACGCCCAGGTGCCGGTCCCCACCCTACACACAAACACACGCATCCACGCTCGCGAGGCCCCTGGGTCCGCGCCCAGTGAGGCCAACAGCCCTCGGGCGCCCAGAGGATGAGCAGCCTCGGTATGCCCGAGTTTCAGGGGCGCCTGCTCTGCTTGGGAGCCCCTCAGTGAGGCAGGGGAATCCAGATTTAGAAAGGTTGTCCTCAGAACCTCGGACGCAGGACTGTCTTACAAGCTGGCTTTGTGACTCTGCAGTAATTACTTTCCGGGTATAAAGAGATTTCTTTCTTTCCCGTCTCTGGTTAAGGATGTCTCGAGTAGGGATTTTTAGGAGAGTTGTTTCCGTGCTTCCTTCGATAGCTCAGCTGGTAGAGCGGAGGACTGTAGTACTTAATGTGTGGTCATCCTTAGGTCGCTGGTTCGATTCCGGCTCGAAGGAGACGCTGCTGTTTTGGGGTTTACGGTTGCTCTTCGTTTGTGCAAAAAATCTCTGTATCTTGACGTGATCAAATCTGTTTCTGTCTCTCACCCTTGTCCGAAGGAAACAGCTTAGCCGCGAGGTGGGCTGCGTTAATCGCGTCTTGAAAAGTTGGTTACCTTTCTGAAAGATAGTAGACCCGAATCGTCCCACCGTTGGGGGAAGGCACTGTTGTCTTACCGAAGTGTGTTATATTTTGGCTTCTACGTTAAGTCCAAAGGCCGGCAGATATATACGTATCGCGCGTCTGTCCTGGGGCTCAGTACCCTACAGCCTTGCAACCGAGCTCAGCTCTGGCCCTCGATCTCTATTTCAGCCCCCTCCAGGTTCCCTCCAGGCCCTAGCGGGCTTAAATCGCTCCCCGGGCTCAGTGAGACACAAGCATGTGACCTAAAGTCTAAAAAGCTGCCTTCCTTCACCCCATCCTGCATCTGGATCGAGGAGAATAAGCCAGAGAATAAGCCACACTTGAAACTTGGTGAAGATGGAAGGAATAACTAAATAAGGCCTAAGGGAAATGTCACAACAGAGGAAAAGAAACAAAACAAAAAACCTTCAGAACAGCAGGCGGAAAAGAGAAATTCAGAGTGATAGGAAGCACCACTCAGCTACAGTGGCTCGTTGGTCTAGGGGTATGATTCTCGCTTTGGGTGCGAGAGGTCCCGGGTTCAAATCCCGGACGAGCCCTCGTGGCTACTGTTTTTCCACCCCCTTTTGTCAACTACTGAAAAAAAGTCTCCGTTAAATTTGAAACACAAACTGTCTCGCGATGGGCTGTCCTGCCAAAGAAAGCAGCAGCGAATAAGTACGTGGCAGATGGTGCTGTCGACCAGTGTCAAGACCAAGTTTCATGGGTTCCTGGACGCTCAGCCAGGGGTAGTCTCTGAAGGGCCGCCTGGCAATTGGGAGCAGAAGCCAGTTTCCCGCCATCTGCTCTCCGTGGAGGCAGTGCTCTCGCGGCTGCTGCCCGTTGGGGTCCAGCTGAGGAAGGAGCGCGGATCCCAGGCTCGTTCTTTGCCTGGGCTGCCCCTGCGGCCCCTGGGGCGGGTGCTGCTGCGGCGCCAGCTCCAAGGGCGGATCCAGGCGGGAGGGGCCTCCTCGGAGAAGCGGGGCGCGGTCCCAACTACGCAGAGGCTGGCACGCCGACCCTCCACACCTCACCACGCCCCCATCTCCGTCCGTGTACACACACTCACACAAGGACGCCAACCCCACCTAGATGCAAAGCAGGATTCAAAAGAACATCTTTGCGTTTTCTACCGGCTCCCCATCATCGTACTAGGGAGGAAGAAGCGGGTGAGAAACAAAACTTCTTTCCATTGTCCTGCCCGTTTCTGCGGACTTGTTCTGAGGCCGAGGTAGGTTCACACTCCTGCTCCTCCTCCTCCTCTCTGGTAGCTTCATAAGGGGCGTTTAGGCCGGGGAGTCCTTTCCTAGTAGAGGCAGCTTGGGACTCCTTGGGGAGGAGTTTGCGGGACGGGGCTGGAGAGGGAGGAATGGGGAGGGACGTGAAAGTCCCGTATTTGTATGAGTTAACGACTTTACATTCCCACTCAGGTTTACTTTGCGCAGCTGGGCACAGATGCCAGCTTCTATTGATTAGTAGGCTTGGAGGGGGACCACAGAATCGCCGAACCTAAGGGAAGCCCTAGGAGGCCTGCACTTGCCCACAACTAAGAAAGCTTTGCTAGTTATTCAGGCTAATCACCAGCTTTTTGAAGCAGGCCTTAGTTTTTTGCAAGCGTAACTAACATTTGGGGATCGGTGTTTTCTGTTTACTCTCCTCTGCCTCCTCACCCTTAACCCACCCTCAGCCAGTGTTGTGCAATTCTTAGAGACACTTGCCAACAGCCTCTTCTCTAAGCCTTCCTACTGGAAGGTTGGGATCCTCCGTTTTCTCGCTCTGAGACAGCACGTCAAATGCTAATAGCAGCACATGAGTAAAGCGCAACATCTTTATTAAAACAATTTCAGCACCACTCAGGGGGCTAGGGAAATCTCAGATGAGCCAAGACCCTCCCTCGTGACAGTAAAAATCTTATAATCAAGTCATAATGTAATCAGTAGAAACCCAAGGGACATCATTATCTGTGGCACAGGACCACCTTCCCAGAAGCAGCCTCAGGTATTCAAGACTTACTTAACCACAGAGCCACTAACAAGTTTTGCAAGAGGATAGGTTTATTACATACGCTTCAATTCAAGCAATTCTTTTACTGATGACAAGCAGAGTAAAATAATTTTTGAATTTATGGTAATAGTCAATGTAGGTTTCCTTCGAACAGCAACTTTCAGTGGCCCCTTTAAAGTTAGCTCTGATTGTCTAGAAAGTACTAGTATGGAATATAAAAGTTGTGTGGGCCCGGCACGGTGGCTCATGCCTGTAATCCCAGCACTTTGGGAGGCCGAGGTGGGTGCATCACAAGATCAGGAGTTCGAGACCAGCCTGGCCAAGATGGTGAAACCTCGTCTCTACTAAAAATACAAAAATTAGCCGGGCACGGTGGTGAGCACCTGTAACCCCAGCTACTCGGGAGGCTGAGACAGGAGACTCTCTTGAACCTGGGAGGCGGAGGTTACAGTGAACAGAGATTGCGTCACTGCACTCTAGCCTGGGTGACAGAGCAAGACTCCGTCTTAAAAAAAAAAAAAAAAAAAATTGTGTGGTGCATTGGAAAGCTTCCAGGCCGGCGAATGCAATGAGTTCCTTGGGCAATACATGTCTCTTTCTCTGTTCCTCAGTTGGCTCTTCTTTAATATGAGGGGTGGACAGAGTCTCAGAGGCCCCTCCCACTCTTGTTCTATGACTCCATGGAGTGGTACGATGTTAGTAACAGGACATGAGGCACTCTAGTAATGTGGAGATGAACTATCGTTTGGCAGAGAGGATGGAAAAAATCATTCCAGGAAAAGAGGAATGGCTTTAGCTATTGTTGAAAACAGATAATCAGGTTATAAGCAGGCAAGAGTAAGAGGTTTGTCAAGTTATTGTTGGAAGCATTGGTCACTGTGACTCAAATTAAAGTAGCTGGATAAAAAAGTGGACCAATGAAGGTCAGTGAAACCTTTCTTTAGGAGTTTTTATTGAATCTGTATTTAAGCAGATTCTCTGTAATTCTCTGTAAACAGTTATTCCCGGAAGAATGCCATGAAATACTTGGGAAAGAGGGAATGGGAACAAAGAGTGAGTGGGCACAAAGCCCAGAGTTGGTTGAAAAGCAAATGTTTAATTTTTGTCTTTGTTTGGAAATACAGGCATGTCAGCAGGACTTTGTCCCCACTGTCCTTCAATCAGTAGTGTTGCCTCTTCCTGGAGACGTGGTTCTTCTTGCCACGTGTGCTTTTCCTTCTTTACCTGTTACTTCCGTTATTGAATAAGTTCATGCTTATAGACCTAAAGTGTTAGAATAATAAAGAAATATAGAAATTATTTAGTCCATTCTTCCCATCATCTAATTTTATAATTAGTCCTAAGACAGAATGATACATATATACTCTGTATGAAGGAGGAAAGTGCTCTAACACTAGGGTCCTTGGAAACAGGACCCGTGCATCCCGTGTCTGTGTGCAGGGACATTATTGGCTTGAGGGAGAGAGAGAAAAAAATCTCCAGGAAAGGGGAATGACTTTCAAGTTAAAGCTGTCTGAACATTTAAAAAATATATGAGGTTTTTTGCAATTGGCGATTCCTTCATTTGTATTAAAATTACTGACAAAGATGTGATGTTCCTTAATCATAGAATATAATTCCTTGTTGTATTTTAAACACAAATGACTAAGTGCTTAGATGCATTCTAATGAAATAGTAATTTTTCCCCCAAACCCTACTTTTCATTTCAACAAAACTTCCTTGTGCCAAGTTTAAAAGAAAAACATAAAACTGTCTTTTTGCATTGTGGGCAGATTGTGTATCCTCCAAAGGTTGTCCAGTGAAGGCCCAGAGGCAGAGAAGGGACCTAACTATATTCAGAGGCTGCTGGTTGCCCCACCTCAGCACTACTGCAGAACTCTAAAATCAGAGGCTGCTCTGTTTGTGTGAGTCGGTGCTTGAATTGGTGCTTCAGGCCATGGGGCTGTGTGTGTGCAGGCGCATATGGGTTGTATGCTGTGGCAGGGTACCGCTTTTCGGGACTCAGAGGTGGTGTTGCTTGAGCTAAGCCTGGAAAGACAGGTCAGTTTTCTCCTTGCTTATGAAGGGTTCAAAGTCTGACTCCACCATTCATCTGCTGTTTGTTCTTGGAGTTTCCTCATGAGCAGAGCATATTTACATAATGCCTACCTCACACAGTCCTGGTGTTGGTTGAATGTAGTCATGTATGTGAGAGCTTCACAAAATGAAAGATTGCACTGAATATTATAATTATTGTGATTTCAAGTGCATTTGTTTTACTAGCAGGCAGCCTGTCTTTTCTTGACACCTTCTCAAGTGCAGCCAGACTGAATACTTGGCAGCTAGGTGGGTGACAACAGAGGATTGAGGATTTTTAAAAAGATAACACTGTCCTAGATCCAACACCACTGTGGGCAAATGCTGGGGGTCTGTGAAACAGTTGGTACCCTGCTGCTGTCTGATATTGGAAACTATGAGATCTATAAGGTGATCCTGGTGACCTTTGGCCCACTGTTTTTACGCAAGCAATGGATCTACAGCCCTGCTTTGATGATGGAGATAAGCAATTTTGCAACTACATTACAAGGATCAGAAGATTGAATGTTCAGGGTTAGTCTCTTGTGGACAGGTAAAGATGGAAGAAGGAGAAACCCAGGAAACATGGCAAGCCTGCTTCTGGGGGTTAGAAGCTGAGAAGTTGAGTGTAGGGGGAGGGGCAGTGTACTAATAGCTGTCACACAACCTTCTCTGGAAGTGCTTTCCTGGCTGTATGAAATCGATGGAATAACGTGCTTAGCATCCGTTCATGAAACCAAATGATGTGATACGATAAATAGGATGTGATATGATAAATGATAAATAGTACAGTGGAAAAGCATCCTACTGGAAGACCATATCTTACTCTGTGACATCTTCCAAGGCAGTTCTTGGAGTTGGCCCAGGGAGATCAGAGATGCTATCTTATGGATCCAGACTATTATGTGTGAATAGGGAAACCTCAGTCCTGCCATGAACAAGAGTAAGCACCACAGACAGCAGAAAAGGGCAACTTTTGGACAGAAGGCCATGTTTCTCAAACTTTGTCTTCCAGAACAAATCTCTAATCCATTCAGGTGGGTTAATATCTAACCCAATCATGCCCAGCGAAAAGGTGAATGACCCTCCTCGTTTGTTCAAGAGCAGTGTCCTTGGTTTTCATGTCCCTGCCAGGACTGGGACACTATATATTAGGAACACTATATAATCAGAACCTGGAGAGGCCTCCAGGTTCACACAACTGGAACCCATCTCCAGGAACAAACAGCTGGAACCCATCTCCCGTTGAAGGGAAACTGCCAGATTTTTGTAAGATTCTTCCTCCTGGGTAAACTATTGTTCAATTTGTTTTATATATTATTTCTAGCCATCCATCCATTTTAATGAAACCATTTTCCTCCCTTTAAAGCCTCCAGGCTCAAGCTCATGAATTAAAAAGAAAATGGATCAGATTCTAAAGTTTAAAATGAAAACAGGTTTCTTTTGGGATGGCCTATGTGTGGATAAAGAGAAATTAGTGAGACTGGGAGGAAGTGGAAGTTTAGGAGGGATTTCTAAATTGTGATAAAATCCCCAAAGGCCTGGGGGAGCCATTTGCTGAAGGCCATCGGGAGTCCTCCCCCGTCGTCCACCCCTGTTACAGGCATTACACGTGGCTTAACAAGGAAAGAAACAGTATGTTTTTAGCATTGTTTCCTTCTAACCTTCCCTGCTAATTTCTCTTCTTAGAAAAGTTTTGGATGCTCTTTCAAACAAAGTGGAACACATCCCAAGATCAAAAGAAGGCTCACTGGCAGGTTGAAGGGAAGAAGGAAGGAAAAGCAATAAAGGGATGAATATGCCTTGGGTGTTAGGCTCTTACTTTGGGGGATTTTGCCCTAGGATGTATAAAAGTGTGAAGCCACATTGATGAAAATGATAACTATAGTTACTCATCATAAACTGTCAAGTTAACTCCCTGGTGTGTAAAATTTGATGAATCTTTTGAATACTGAACATTGCCTGTGGGGAGAGGGAGAGAATAATTCTTGTGAATACTAACAGATTCATTTGATACAGAAGATAAAGTTACTCTAAAGAACAGTTGGGGCCAGGTGTGGTGGCTCACACCTGTAATCCCCGCACTTTGGGAAGCCGAGGTAGCCGGATCAACTGAGGTCAGGAGTTCGAGACCAGCCTGGCCGACATGGCGAAACCCCGTCTCTACCAAATACACAAAATTAGCCAAGCGTGGTGGTGGCCGCCTGTAATCCCAGCTACTTGGGAGGCTGAGGCAGGAGAATTGCCTGAACCTGGGAGGTGGAGGTTGCAGTGAGCCAAGATAGCACCACTGCGATCTAGCCTGGGCGATAGAACAAGACTCTGTCTCAAAAAAAAAAAAAAAACAGGCCGGGCGCGGTGGCTCACGCCTGTAATCCCAGCACTTTGGGAGGCCGAGGCGGGTGGATCATGAGGTCAGGAGATCGAGACCATCCTGGCTAACAAGGTGAAACCCCGTCTCTACTAAAAATACAAAAAATTAGCCGGGCGCGGTGGCGGGCGCCTGTAGTCCCAGCTACTCGGGAGGCTGAGGCAGGAGAATGGCGTGAACCCGGGAGGCGGAGCTTGCAGTGAGCCGAGATTGCGCCACTGCAGTCCGCAGTCCGGCCTGGGCGACAGAGCGAGACTCCGTCTCAAAAAAAAAAAAAAAAAAAAAAAAAAAGAAAAGAAAAGAAAAAAAGGACAGAGAACAGCTGGGACTAATTCCACTGACAAAAAGCTGACAGACAGTTACGTGTTTGGGTACAGAAGGATATATCTATAGGACTTTTGCCACCAGATGTGAGGCTTTGCACCCTTGGCTTAGGCAGATTCACTTTTACACCACAAACGATCTGTCTCTTACTGGTTTTCTCCCAATTCCATTTTACCTTGCTTTTTGAGGAATTTAGAGTTGAATATATTGAGAAAGTTTTGAGTGAGGGAGCAGATGTTAGATATTGGTGGTTTTGGTGTACGCTTGCTGAGATTTGGTTCCTGGATGTCTTAGGGAATCAAGATTACAGGCCCCCAACTAAACTTATACAAAATTTGTCTCTGTAACTGAGGGTCACTGGACCTTTGCTATTGAAACTAGCAAAGCCTCTATTATGTTTAATGAGAACCATGAAACTTCAGATTTTTAGAGCTAGCAACTCTTTTATTTTCTTGATGAACAAACCTAGGCCTGGAGAGAAAAATGAAGTCAATTACTTAAAAAATATTAAGGGTTATAATAAGGCAAGCATGTTGATTCAAGGTGAATAATATGAGTTCTGTGGAATATACACCAGTAAGAAACACTAACAAGTAAATACTTCATTGTTCATCCACGATCACGTGGGTAATGGCATGTTTGGAAATGGCACCCGTGAAACCTGACAACAGGTCGGTCTTTATTTTGTGATATCCTTATGGGTAGATTCTGAACTTTGTGGCTTTTACTTTGGCACTTATATCTAATGAGGTGTCCTTGGTCTTAATATCTAATGCAGAGCGAGTTTGGACAGAGATTCTAAACAGGTTCACCAGCTCATACTCCCTTCTGTGAACAGCAATATCCCCACAAGTTATACAGCATTGGCACCTCCTGCAAGTACGGTATTTCCTAGAGAAGACATTAGTAACATTCCTATCCACCACTGCCACCTAACGACTCTTTTAGGTACTAGCAGCTCTGGTTCCGTTTCCTGATTTCTGATTTCTGGGATTCTGGCACCAGGCAGAAGAATGTTGACTGTGTAAGGCAGACCTTTGACATTAGAAGTCAGTATTTGTTCATTACAGAGCAAGAGACTTAATTGATTACAAATCAATAAAACTTTAATAAGATCTTCCAAAAAACTAGAAACAGGAAACACACCCAGGAGACTGAAAAGCATGATGTAAATGTGAAGAACGTGGCAAGTGGGTGGCTTGGCAGCCCAGCAGCTATACTGGAGCAGCTGCATGAGTGAATACTTGTTACTCCTTTAGGGCTGGCTCTCCATTCTACAATCATGTACCTCTTTCTTGATAAACTCCCAAGAACACACTTTCAGCATGGAATTTCAGACTTTTAGAGATAGCAACTCTCTCAAGTATGGACAAATGTCGGTGCGGACAAATTTGATGCACTGCTGAAGAATACCAAATAATATGCTAAGGAATTTTTTCATTCCACAATAATGGAGTAAATAGCAGCTGGAAATGTTTGCATTAAGTTCATAGATTATAATTTGTAATGGAATCAACACCAAATGCAAATTAGAAAGAGAGCCCACTTTGCTCACCCAGTCACGTCTTCCCATGTAACCATAGAACATTGGGGTCCTGTGTCTTTCTAGATCCACAGTCTTGCTCTCAGAACAGGCTAGCCACACCACAGGCCTAGTGCCAGGACCCATGGCCTTTTTTTAAGCTCAGACTCCCTTCTGTGAACAGCAATATCCCCACAACTTGTACAACATTGGTGCTTCCTGCAAGGGCTACAGAACTATTTGATACGAAAATGTTCATTGACTTACACACAAGAGAAGCACAAAATAAAAAATTAATAATTAATTTAATGTCTTTGAAAATGTACCATTTATTTTTACATTTGGGGTCATAAGAATTGTATTACACTTAAGAATGCAATACAATTTGAAGATCAGATTTTTCTCCCTTTGTGAGAATTTCTCAGTATGTGTGATGACTACCAAGAAATCATAGCCAGTCATAAATTCAGTGAGTTACTCATAAACGAACAAGAACCACCTACTTCTTGGGGAGGTAGGTCTGCTTCCCTTCAACTCAGGATACAACTGCTTTCAACTGCTTTCTTCACATTAGCTGACTAATTAGCTAGAAGCCTGTCGTAAACAATTTTATGGTTGACTCCTTCCCTGGGCTCAGGGTTCCCTAGAACAGAGGTCCCCAAATCCCGGTCTGTGGCCTGTCCGCCTAAGCTCTGCCTCCTGCCAGATCAGCAGGCAGCATTAGATTCTCATAGGAGCTGGACGCCTATTGTGAACTGCGCATGTGCGGGATCCAGATTGTGCACTCTTTATGAGAATCTAACTAATGCTTGATGATCTATCTGAACCAGAACAATTTCATCCTGAAACCATCCCCCACCAATCCATAGAAATACTGTCTTCCACAAAAATGATCCCTGGTGCCAAAAATGTTAGAGACCACTCCCCTAAAACTCTCTTCTTAGCTCTCACCTCCTGTATTACTATCTCATCTCAGTACATTGAAGCCCCCATCTTTTCCCCATGGATGCCTCATTTCCTATTAGGGAGGCATTTTTTTATTTTTTGTTTTTATTTTTTTCCGAGACGGAGTCTCGCTCTGTCGCCAAGGCTGGAGTGCAGTGGCGCGATCTCGGCTCACTGCAAGCTCCGCCTCCCGGGTTCACGCCATTCTCCTGCCTCAGCCTCCCGAGTAGCTGGGACTACAGGCGCCCGCCACTACGCCCGGCTAATTTTTTGTATTTTTAGTAGAGACGGGGTTTCACCGTGGTAGCCAGGATGGTCTCGATCTCCTGACCTCGTGATCCGCCCGCCTTGGCCTCCCAAAGTGCTGGGATTACAGGCGTGAGCCACCGCGCCCGGCCGTCATTTGGTATGTCTTAATGTGCCTCAGGACCTAGCACAGTCCCTGGTACCCAGTAGAGACCTATGTAATGTTCATTATTCAATTAATAAATACATGAATTAAAGAGTGAGAGTGGATTTTGTAATGTTACGACTGATAGAGAAATACTCAGTGATTCTAAGGGATGGGGAAGAACGGTTGGAGCTAGAGGTTGTGCTCAGGAAACTATTAAATAGACGTTCCGCAGGAAGGGATTGACGAAGTGTGAGGTTAATGAGGAAGGGAAAATAGAATATAAAATTTGGTGGTGGAAAAGATCTGATTCATGATGCCGTGTCAGAGAGCAAAGCTCCTGTCCTTTTGGCCTAATTTGGTGATGCTGTTCTTGGGTCTACCACACCTCCTTTTGCCCTCCGCAGGAGCCTGTGTTGGAAGAGATGGTGATGGGCCTGGGCGTTTTGTTGTTGGTCTTCGTGCTGGGTCTGGGTCTGACCCCACCGACCCTGGCTCAGGATAACTCCAGGTACACACACTTCCTGACCCAGCACTATGATGCCAAACCACAGGGCCGGGATGACAGATACTGTGAAAGCATCATGAGGAGACGGGGCCTGACCTCACCCTGCAAAGACATCAACACATTTATTCATGGCAACAAGCGCAGCATCAAGGCCATCTGTGAAAACAAGAATGGAAACCCTCACAGAGAAAACCTAAGAATAAGCAAGTCTTCTTTCCAGGTCACCACTTGCAAGCTACATGGAGGTTCCCCCTGGCCTCCATGCCAGTACCGAGCCACAGCGGGGTTCAGAAACGTTGTTGTTGCTTGTGAAAATGGCTTACCTGTCCACTTGGATCAGTCAATTTTCCGTCGTCCGTAACCAGCGGGCCCCTGGTCAAGTGCTGGCTCTGCTGTCCTTGCCTTCCATTTCCCCTCTGCACCCAGAACAGTGGTGGCAACATTCATTGCCAAGGGCCCAAAGAAAGAGCTACCTGGACCTTTTGTTTTCTGTTTGACAACATGTTTAATAAATAAAAATGTCTTGATATCAGTAAGAATCAGAGTCTTCTCACTGATTCTGGGCATATTGATCTTTCCCCCATTTTCTCTACTTGGCTGCTCCCTGAGAGGACTGCATAGGATAGAAATGCCTTTTTCTTTTCTTTTCGTTTTTTTTTTTTTTTTTTTTGAGATGGAGTCTCACTCTGTCGCCCAGGCTTAAGTGCAATGGCACAATCTCGGCTCACTGCAACCTCTCTCTCCTGGGTTCAAGTGATTCTCCTGCCTCAGCCTCCCAAATAGCTGAGATTACAGGCATGCACCACCACACCTGGCTAATTTTTGTGTTTTTAGTAGAGACAGGGTTTCACCGTTTTGGCCAGGTTGGTCTTGAACTCCTGACCTCGGGAGATCCGCCCACCTTGGCCTCTCAAAGTGCTGGGATTACAGGCATGAGCCACTGAGCCGGGCCACTTTTTCCTTATCAGTCAGTTTTTACAAGTCATTAGGGAGGTAGACTTTACCTCTCTGTGAAGGAAAGTATGGTATGTTGATCTACAGAGAGAGATGGAAAAATTCCAGGGCTCGTAGCTACTAAGCAGAATTTCCAAGATAGGCAAATTGTTTTTTCTGTCAAATAATAAGCTAATATTACTTCTACAAATATGAGACCTTGGAGAGAAGTTTCCAAGGACCAAGTACCAACATACCAACAGATTATTATAGTTTCTCTCACTCTTACACACACACACACACATATACACATATGTAATCCAGCATGAATACCAAAATTCATTCAGGGTAGCCACCTTTTGTCTTAAGCGAGAGATAATTTTGATGTTTGAATGGAATGCTCCCAGGATATTCTCTTGTCATGGTTATTTTATATAAAATTCAAAAACCAATTACATTATTTCCTCTGTAATCTTTTACTTTATCAACTAATGTCTGGCAAGTGTGATGTTTTGGGGAAGTTATAGAAGATTCCGGCCAGGCGCTGTGGCTCACGCCTGTAATCCAGCACTTTGGGAAGCTGAGGCGGACAGATCACGAGGTCAAGAGATCAAGACCATCCTGGACAACATGGTGAAACCTTGTCTCTACTAAAAATGTGAAAATTAGCTGGGCGTGGTGGCACACACCTATAGTCCCAGCTACTCGGGAGGCTGAGGCAGGAGAATCGCTTGAACCTAGGAGGCGGAGGTTGCACTGAGCCGAGATCACGCCACTGCACTCCAGCCTGGGCGACAGAGCGAGACTCCATCTCAAAAAAAAAAAAAAAAGAAAGATCCCAGTTTATCCCAGTTTATCCCTTATTCTTCCTCAATTCTCAAGATTTGTTTTTAAGTTAACATAACTTAGGTTAACACACTCTTTGTAAAATACACTGTTCAATCTACAGACTCAGTGGTTAGCTTCCTGTTAACTAATTTCTGTTGACAGGTACTTGGATATTTTATTTAGAAAGTGGTTGCCAATAAATTAGTTATAAGTCGCCAGTTTCACTGCCTTGTGAACACATAATTATTGTGGTCTCAGTATTCCCTATGGTGGCTTCTCCTGCTCCTGGTATTGCCCTGAAATGGGCCAAAAGCCGTGGCTCCCCAATACTCAGGTTATAGAACATTGTCCAGGTACCACCTAGGAGAGCCCAGCCTCACTGAAAGTATTCAAATTTAGGAATGGGTTTGAGAAGTAGGTAGCTGGTATGTGCTTAGCACAAGAATCTCTCTTCCTTGGGTTAGTCTGTTTCAAAACTGAAAACACTGTCATTCCTTAAGAAAATAGGAAAAAGTATTCCAAACCTCTGTCACTAGAAAATTTGCCATATTACCAAATCTCAAAAACCTCTCAGGAAATGAGAAAGTCCCAGTTTCTGGTAAACTATTTGGGCCCTTTTCTCAAGTTCTCCAACCAGTGCTATTTCCTTGAGGTGAGGCAAAGTTACTCAAGATCATCGCTGCCACTCAAGGCCTTGATAGGGCAAGTGAAAGGCATGGACCATTATTATATTGATCACAGCATAAGCTGTGAAAACCCACATCTTCTCCAAACATCTGCTTGGAGCATTATCATCGCATAGTTTGCTCTGGTGTTCAGGGAAATCGCTGTTTCATAGGAAATCACATGGCAGTGGGATGGGAGTGTTTCCTGACCTGCCGATGGTACTGGCACCTGAGCAAGCATTCCTAGTCCTTTTTGGTCTGGGCCTCTTGTTCTATCACAACCACAAGCTGTTTAAAATAAAACGTCAAGTCACAGGCAGGTCATTTTATCCTGCGTGAATCAATTGAAGAATTGAAGTCCTGGTCAGCTGTGATTGTTGGCTTTGCAAGGAAAAAGAAGGAACACTCCAAAATGCTAAATGCTTTGAAGAATAGTGACATGCAAGGAAGAAAATTCCATGCAATTTGGAGAAGAAACATTTTTCTAGGAATCTAGTAGCTGAGATATTTTATAGTTTAAAAACAGACTTCCAATATCTTGAGAATACAGTTAGCTCTACGAAATAAAGAGGAGTCAATAATATATGCAACTCTGTAGTCATTCATTATTTTATCCAGATTGACAGAAGCAGAGGAAACCAAGAAAAATGGAAGTGGTAAAAAAAAAAAAATGCAGTAATTGCCAATATTTACTGAGCATTTACCCTGTGCTAGGCCTTGTTATAGGCGCTTAGATTGATTTTCTTTTCATAACATCCCTAAGAGGTAGGTATTACATGCTCATTTTGCTTATGAGGAAATCTGCTGAGAGAGATTAAGTAATTTTCTCATGGTCACAGCCTCAGTCTTTTAGACCACGGTGTCAAAAGAAGTTCTTACTGTGAGTCAGGGTGGTGCAGTGGAGAAAGCGTTTGGGGAAAATCCTGACCCAAAAGTGTGCGTTGGGATGATGTGGAGATCATTCAATTTTCTCTTGTAGCTACAGCTTTGAGATGCACCCATTGGTATCCACACTGGCCTGCTGTCCTCAAATATTTCTCTATGTCTTGTTTACTTGAGTAGTGCAGAAAAGCTGACGTCCTGGGTCTGCTCTCGCATGCATAGGTGAGGTTTTCTCTGTAGCTAGTCATCTTGCTAAACCATATTTTTGGTCACAAAGAATCAGGATGAGAGAAAGTAGATAAAACCATGGAAACTCGAGGTGCCACCGGAAGAGCAAACCAAAGTATATTGATCTGCTGAAGCTATAATCCAAGTACTAAGTATACCTTCAGAAGTTGTATGCATTGTTCTTGGGGCAAAAAGGAAATCAAACATCTGCCCTTCCTCCCACAACCTCTTTACTTCCCTCTCTTCCTAACACTGTATCTCACATCTACAGCTGCAGGCACACAGATATGACATACAGCTTGATATCTTTATGTGCAAAGGCAAAAGATGGCTATGGATATAGGAGGTGGCATTTAAAAGAACAATATCCATGTTTGATACTGCTTTCATTATCAATAATGAAAAGGTAGCCTTTCAGCAGAACAAAGTAAGGTACAGGTCGTTTGGAAGCCATTTCAGTCATTCACACAGTGTGATCCACCATTACGAAGCAGAATTTGAAATCAAAAGACAATAGTACCCATATACATCAAACTAGGAGTTCAACTGGGGTCAGTCCTTGGACTGCACATACAGAGTTGGGCTGCCTGACTCTCAAAACATTGCCCTTGCTAATTTGCGTTGCTCACTTCCTATTGAATCAGGGATGATTTTTCTTTGCTGTAGTGAATCAGCCCTGCTACACTGCAAGAATCAAGCCGATTCACAATTCACATCAATTCCAGGAGTGACGGCCAGATGGCAGCATCTGGCTAGTCAGTTGGTGAGTGAGTCCACCTCCAGTCTTGATTAAACTCTGCTGCTGGGAAGTAGCAATTCTGAGCATAAATGTCTTTGATATCCTGAATATTTTGGGTGTGGGATGAGAGAGGCAGTAGATAGTGGAAAGAGCACAGGGTGTAGACTAAGATAGGCCTGGATTCCTTTCTTTAATCTGTCAATGAAAGCAATGAATGTTCTGAAACTACATGGCAATGCTTTTTTTGTTGCCACTCTGGCTTTTTTTTTTAATGCTATAAAATATATGCCTATTTTTCACTGCCAAGAGGTGACAACACAATGATGCTGCAACCAGAGAAGACAGACAGCTACCAACAACTATTGACAAGACAGAAGGAACATCAAGAATAGATGCAAGACAAAGCAATGTATCTCCATGGCCTAGATTTTTTAGGTTATGCATAGAAACAGCAAGGAGAAGAAGACACAATCCAAGTTTTCTTTTGAGAATATTGTGCTGTTTAAATTTATTTTTTAAACATTTCTTAGCTTTTCTTATTAGTCAATTTCATAAGCCTGGGAAACATCTTTACTCTATCCATTTAATTGCATTTGTTCATTAGCTTACTCATTTCACTTATTAGTTCATTCAAACAGTAGCTATTATCAACTGTCTTCTAAGAACTGTAACTGGGTATTCTGGTTTTGCTTTTTTTTAAAAAATAGAATTAAAAGGATTTCCAAAAGGACCTGATTTTACATTAGAATTAGAATAATACATTTTAAATTAATGTATAACATATATTATTCTAGAATTAGAATAGATTTTAAATCACATTAGAATAATAGCCACATGACAAAAAAGAAAAGAAAAATAATAAAATTAATGACAAAGAAAAACAATAGTCATGTGAGAGGAAAGGCAAAGCCTAAATATTCCTCTGTCCTCTTCCTCCACCTAGATTCCCAGATGTAAGGTATTAAAAGTAGTTTGTAAACTTTCTGTGACGTATGCTGAGTCTATCCAAACTGTCGGGAATTGGAGCCTCCCGGGAACCAAACACTCCCCAAAGATCATACACCTACGGAGTTCCCCCAAGAGACACACAACTGCAGTTTCATGTAGGTTCACCTTTTCTCTCTTTTTATACTCTGTCCACACAAACCTGGCAGCCACGCAGTCAGTCCCTGCCCTGTGTCATTGTACTGGCCACAGCAACTTCTCTCTGTAAATGAGAAAGGTCTTGCTTTCAGAAAAGATCATGTTTGCAAACTACTCACTCTTGAGGAAGAAGGGTGGGAAAAGTAGCAGAGATGAGTGGGGAGATGGTGCATATAAGAAGGAGGAAAGAGGAGACTATGGAGTCAGGATGCCGGCTTGCTATTCTCAACACCTTTTTCCAGTGCCCAGTTCTTACCTTATTTCTCCTGCCCCTTGCTTTCTTTTCTAGGCACCTCTAAGATACTGATGGCTCTGCAGAGGACCCATTCATTGCTTCTGCTTTTGCTGCTGACCCTGCTGGGGCTGGGGCTGGTCCAGCCCTCCTATGGCCAGGATGGCATGTACCAGCGATTCCTGCGGCAACACGTGCACCCTGAGGAGACAGGTGGCAGTGATCGCTACTGCAACTTGATGATGCAAAGACGGAAGATGACTTTGTATCACTGCAAGCGCTTCAACACCTTCATCCATGAAGATATCTGGAACATTCGTAGTATCTGCAGCACCACCAATATCCAATGCAAGAACGGCAAGATGAACTGCCATGAGGGTGTAGTGAAGGTCACAGATTGCAGGGACACAGGAAGTTCCAGGGCACCCAACTGCAGATATCGGGCCATAGCGAGCACTAGACGTGTTGTCATTGCCTGTGAGGGTAACCCACAGGTGCCTGTGCACTTTGACGGTTAGATGCCACCATGTAGGGATTATCGCGAGTGGTTGACCTTACACTTACTCCTTAAATAGCAGTGAGTAATGCATTTGAGCTGTCCCAGGCTCTGTCTCCTCAGCTCATTTCCTACTCTTTTTCTCTATATAACTCATTCTATTAAATACATTGCACCAAAGAGATATGGAGACATAAACCTGTAATGAATGAGGCTGGGCTTTTCTGTAATAAGCTTCCTTTTATAATACTGGTCAGCTTAGCTCTCTCAGATCCTATCCTGTGGAATTTAGTTATTATGTGTATTTATGTAGTATTTCAAACATTTCAAAATGCTTTCATCTATGTTTATCACATTTTAATACCACAGCACTTATAATGATGTCACTACATATAGAAGCTCAAAGTTAAGGGATTTGCTGAAGACTGTAAAGTTAATGGAAGAATTGAGACAAAAATCCAGTGTAGCTGGCCACTTATCCAGGGCTTTTTCTACTTCATCACAAGGAATGTTTTGAAAGTGTCTGCTTTTTTTATCCTTAAAATTCACCTGTCAGGGAGGCATTAAAAATTTGGAAATGTATGCCAGCAAAATGTGAGCTCTGTATTTTTTGGCATTCTTATGTTTGGGTTTAATAAGATTAAGAAAATGATACTGGGAATTTTCTTTTTCCTGAAACTTTGAATCACCCTAGTAAGTCAAAGTACTAAAAAATGTACTAGATCATTAAGACTTATGTGCTCTTACTGATTGAAAGATTTTTTATGTTTTCCTTGTAATAAAGGACCTAAACCGAAGGTACCTGAGAAGACTGTGCTATGGTATTATTTTTTTTCTCTGACTTTTAAATTCTTGTTTAGTTTATAAACATGCATGCACCTTAATAACCTCATAAACTCTGGTCAAAGACTAATGCCTATCAGATCCATGACCACAACACAGAAGATTTGTCTCATTTACTCCAGAGAGAATGATTCCTCTCAAAGACAATTCTCACAGCTCTTCCTTCTCCCTTAGAATATTTAGAAGCAAATTAGGGAGCTGTCAGGTCTCTGAGCCCAAGCCTGCACGTATACATCCAGATGGCCTGAAGCAACTGAAGAACCACAAAAGAAGTGAAAATAACCAATTCCTGCCTTAACTGATGACATTCCACCACTGTGATTTGTTCCTGCCCCACCTTAACTGATCAATTAGCCTTGTGACATTCCTTCTCCTGGACAATTAGACTCAGGAGCTCCCCACCAGAGCACCTTGTGACCCCCGCCCCTGCCCGCTAGAGAATAACCCACTTTGACCGTAATTTCCCACTACCAACCCAAATCCTATAAAACTGCCCCACCCCATCTCCCTTTGCTGACTCCTTTTTTGGACTCAGTCTGCCTGCACCCAGGTGATTAAAAAGCTTTATTGCTCACACAAAGCCTGTTTGGTGGTCTCTTCACATGGACGCGTGTGGCATTTAGTGCCGAAGACCCAGAACAGGGGGACTCCTTCAGGAGACTGGTCCCCTGTCCTCGCCTTCACTCCATGAGGAGGTCCACCTATGACCTCAGGTCCTCAGACCAACCAGCCCAAGGAACATCTCACCCATTTCAAATTGGGTAAGCGGTCTTTTCACTGTCTTCTCCAGCCTCTCTTGCTACCCTTCAATCTCCCTGTCCTTCCAATTCCAGTTCTCTTTCCTCTCTAGTAGAGACAAAGGAGACGCATTTTATCCATGGACCCAAAACTCAGACACCAGTCACGGACTCGGGAAGATAGTCTTCCCTTGGCGTCTGATCATTGTGGGGATGCCTGCCCTGATCATTCACCCACATTCCATTGGTGTCTGATCACTGTGGGGACACCTGCCATGGTCATTCACCCACATTCCCTTGATGGCAAGTCAATCGCGGGATGCCTGCTTTGGCTGATCGTCCACGTTATAGCCCAGGGCTGCTCACCACCCCCTTTGCTGTGTCTCTACCTTTCTCTTTAAACTTACTTCTTCACTGTGGGCAACCTTCCACCCTGCATTCCCCCTTCTTCTCCCTTAGCCTGTGTTCTCAAGAACTTAAAACCTCTTCAACTCACACCTGACCTAAAACCTAAATGCCTTATTTTCTTCTGCAATACCGTTTGGCCCTAATACAAACCCAACAATGGTTCCAAATGGCCAGAAAACGGCACTTTTGATTTCTCCATCTTACAAGATCTAGATGATTTTTGTCGAAAAATGGGGAAATAGTCTGAGGTGCCTGACATCCAGGCATTCTTTTACACATCAGTCCCTCCCTAGTCTCTGCTCCCAATGTGACTTGTCCCAAATCTTTCTTCTTTCTCTCCTGTCTGTTTCTTCAGTCTCCACCCCAAGCTCTGAGTCCTTTGAATTCTCCTTTTCTACAGACCCATCTGACCTCTTCCCTCCTCCCCAGGCTGCTGCTCACCAGCCAGGCCAAGCCAGGTCCTGATTCTTCCTCACCCTCTGCTCCCCCACCCTATAATCCTTTTATCACCTCCCCTCCTCACACCTGGTCCAGCTTACAGTTTCATTCCATGACTAGCTCTCCCCAACCTGCCCAAAAATTTCCTCTTAAAGAGGTGGCTGGAGCTGAAGGTACAGTCAAGGTTAATGCTCCTTTTTCTTTATCCAACCTCTCCCAAATGAGTTAGCATTTAGGCTTTTTTTTTTTTTTTTTTATCAAATATAAAAACCCAGCCCAGTTCATGGCCCATTTGGCAACAACCCTTAGACACTTTACTGTCCTAGACCCAGAGAGGCCAGAAGGCCGTCTTATTCTCAATATGCATTTTATTAGTCAATCCACTCCTGACATTAACAAAGCTCCAAAAATTAGATTCTGGCCCTCAAACCCCACAACAGGACTTAATTAACCTCGCCTTCAAGGTGTACAATAATAGAGAAGAGGCAGCCAAGTGGCAACATATTTCTGAGTTGCAATTACTTGCCTCCACTATGAGAGAAGCCCCAGCCACATCTCCAGCACACAAGAACTTCAAAATGCCTGAACTGCAGTGGCCAGGTGTTCCTCCAGGACCTCCTCCCCCAGGATCTTGCTTCAAGTGCTAGAAATCTGGCCACTGGGCCAAGGAATGCCTGCAGCCCGGGATTCCTCCTAAGCCATGTCCCATCTGTGCGGGACCCCACTGGAAACCGGACTGTCCAACTCGCCCAGCAGCCACTCCCAGAGCCCCTGGAATTCTGGCCCAAGGCTCTCTGACTGACTCCTTCCCAGATCTTCTTGGCTTAGTGGCTGAAGACTGACGTGGCTCAATTATCTCAGAAGCCTCCTGGACCATCACAGATGCTTTCGGTAACTCTTACAGTGGAGGGTAAGTCCATCCCCTTCTTGATCAATATGGAGGCCACCCACTCCACATTACCTTCTTTTCAAGGGCCTGTTTCTCTTGCCTCCATAACTGTTGTGCATATTGATGGCCAGGCTTTTAAAACTCCCCAACTCTGGTGCCAACTTGGACAACATTTTTTATGCACTCCTTTTTAGTTATCCCCACCTGCCCACCTCCCTTATTAGGTTGAGACATTTTAACTAAATTATCTGCTTCCCTGACTATTCCTGGGCTACAGTCACACCTATTCCCACCCTTTTCCCCAGTTCACATACTCCTCTTCTGTCTCCCTACCTTAATCCACAAGTATAGGATACCTGTGCTCCTTCCTTGGTGACCGATCATGCACCCCTTACCATCCCTTTAAAACCTAATCACCCTTACTCCTCTCAATGCCAGTATGCCATCCCACAACAGGCTTTGAGGGGACTAAAGCCTGTTATCACTTGCCTGTTACAGCATGGCCTTTTAAAGCCTACAAGCTCTCCTTACAATTCTCCCATTTTACTTGTCCAAAAACTGGACAAGCCTTACAGGTTAGTTCAGGATCTGCACCTTATCAACCAAATTGTTTTGCCTATCCACTCTGTGGTGCCCAACCCGTACACCCTTTTGTCCTCAATAAATTCCTCCACAGCTCACTATTCTGTTCTTGATCTTAAAGATGCTTTTTTCACTATTCCCCTGCACCTGTCATCCCAGCCTCTCTTTGCTTTTACCTGGACTGATCCTGACACCCATCAGCCTCAGCAACTTACCTGGGCTGTACTGCCACAAGGCTTCAGGGACAGCCCCCATTACTTCAGTCAAGCCCTTTCTCATGATCTACTTTCTTTCTGTCCATCTGCTTCTCACCTTATTCAATATTTTGATGACCTTCTACTTTATAGCCCCTCCTACAAATCTTCTCAACGGGACACCCTCCTGTTCCTCCAATATCTGTTCTCAAAAGGATATCATGTATCCCCCTCCAAAGCCCAAATTTCTTCCTCATCTGTTACCTATCTCAGCATAATTCTTCATGAAAACACACGTGCTCTCCTTGCTGATTGTGTCCAGCTGATCTCTCAAACCCCAGTCCCCACCACCAAACAACAACTCCTTTCCTTCTTAGGCACTGTTGGATATTTCCGATTCTGGATATCAGGCGTCGCTATCCTGACGAAACCACTTTACAAGCTCAGAAAGGGCAACTTAACTGATCCCATGGACCCTAAGTCTTTTCCCCATTCTTCTTTTCACTCTCTCAAAAACGCCCTGGAGACCGCTTCCACACTAGCACTCCCCGACTCGTCCCATTCTTTTTCCTTACACACAGCTGAAATACAAGGCTGTGCTGCCAGAGTCCTCACACAGGAGCCAGGCCCGTGACCTGCTGCCTTTCTATCAAAACAACTTGACCTCCCAATTCTGGGGTGGCCCTCATGTGTGCATGCAGCAGCAGCCACAGCTTTAATACTTCTGGAAGCCCTCAAAATTACAAGCTATGCTCCACTTACTCTCTACTGTTCCTGTAACTTTCCAAATCTATTCTCCTCCTCACGCTTGACACGTATACTTTCTGTGCCCCAGCTCCTTCAACTGTACTCACTATTTGTTGAGTCTCCCACAATTACCATTGTTCCTAGTCCAGACTTCAATCCAGCCTCTCATCTTATTCCTGATACTGCATCTGAGCCCCATGACTGTATCCCTCTAATCCACGTGGCATTCTCCCCTTTTCCCCATATTTTCCTCTTTCCTGTTCCCTACCCAGACCACACTTGGTTTATTGATGGTAGTTCTTCCAGGTCCAATCGCCAATCACTGGCAAAGGCAGGCTATGCTATAGTATCTTCCACATCTATCATTGAGGCTACAGGCCTGCCCCCTTCTGCTACCTCTCAACAAGCTGAAATCATTGCCTTAACTCGAGCCCTCATTCTTGCAAAGGAACTACGTGTCAATATCTATACCAATTCCAGGTATGCCTTCCACATCCTTCACCACCATGCTGTTATATGGGCAGAAAGAAGTTTCCTCACTACACAAGGGTCCTCCATCATTAATGCCTCCTTAATAAAACCTCTTCTTAAAGCTGCTCTACTTCCAAGAAAACTGAGGCCATTCACTGTAAAGGCCAACAAAAGGCATCAGATCCCATCACTCAGGGCAATGCTTATGCTAATAAGGTAGCTAAACAAGCAGCTGGCGTTTCAACTTCTGTCCCTCATGGCCAGTTTTTCTCTTTCTCATCTTTTCACTTTACATTTCCAGTTTCGCCTTACACAAGGTCTCTTCTTCCCCTGTGGCTCCTCCCCTACATGTGTCTACCTGTTAATTAGACAGGCACATGCACACTAGTTTTCCTTACCCCCAAAAATCAACTTGCAAATGGGACCCAAGAGCTTCCTGTTCCCCTCATGACACCAACACTTCACTACTATTTTGTTTTGTTTTTCTTATTATTAATATAAGAAGACAGGAATATGCCCTTGACTTACTCACTGCTGAAAAAGGGGGACTCTGTATATTTTTAAATGAAGAGTGTTGTTTCTACCAAAATCACTCTGGCCTAGTATATGACAACATAAAAAAAACTCAAGGATAGCGCCCAAAAACTCACCAACCAAGCAAATAATTATGCTGAACCCCCTTAGGCACTCTCTAATTGGATGTCCTGAGCCCTCCCAATTTTTAGTCCTTTAATACATGCTTTTCTCCTTCTCTTATTTAGACCTTGTGTCTTCTGATCAGTTTCTCAATTCATACAAAACTGCATTCAGGCCATCATCAATCATTCTGTATGACAAATGCTCCTTCTAACAACCCCACAATATCACCCTTGATGCCCAAATCTTTCTTCAGTTTAATCTCTCCCACCCTAGGTTCCCATGCTGCCCCTAATCCCACTTGAAGCAGCCCTGAGAAACATTGCCCATTATCTCTCCATACCACCCCCCAAAATTTTTGCCGCTCCAACACCTCACCACTATTTTGTTTTGTTTTTCTTATTAATATAAGAAGACAGGAAATGTCAGACCTCTGAGCCCAAGCCTGCAAGTATACATCCAGATGGCCTGAAGCAACTGAAGAACCACAAAAGAAGTGAAAATAGCCAGTTCCTGCCTTAACTGATGACATTCCACCATTGTGATTTGTTCCTGCCCCACCTTAACTGATCAATTAACCTTGTGACATTCCTTCTCCTAGACAATGAGTCTCAGAACCTCCCCACTGAGCACCTTGTAACCCCTGCCCCTGCCTGCAAGAGAATAACCCACTTTGACTGTAATTTTCCACTACCTACCCAAATCTTATAAAACTGCCCCACCCCATCTCCCTTTGCTGACTCCTTTTTCGGACTCAGTCTGCCTGCACCCAGGTGATTAAAAAGCTTTATAGCTCACACAAAGCCTGTTTGGTGGTCTCTTCACATGGACGCACATGACAGGAGCAGAGATATATGAAGATGCTAGCTGCTTAAGAAGGGAAGTGTGAGTGTGTGTGTGTGTGTGTGTGTGTGTGTGTGTGCACATGTTTAAGGGCAAAACTGACAAAACTGAAAACATTTGAATTACAGCAGATACAGAAAGAAATCTTACCTGAACTTCTCTCACCTGACTAAAGCAGAGCCTCCCAGAAATGCCCCCACCATTATCTCCCTCCGGAGGGGTCCTCATGTAATGGTAATAGGTCTTTTGCCTGATGTGCACAGCATGTCAATATGCCAAGACACTGGGTTGCAGCAGAGAAAGAGGTTTAATTGCAGGGCTGCTGAACCAAAAGATGGAAGGAAACCTCAAATCCATTTCCTCAAAGAGTTTGAGGCTGTTGTTTTTAAGGATTTGGAGTAGGTGGAAATAAGAGATCACTAATTGGTTGAAGAATGCAGAGTGAAGTCATGGGACAGAGAGATGAAAAAACAGTATTCTCATGCTGATCAGTTCATCAGTTGGGCTCTTTAAAGTTGGTGGTGTCAGCTGTTCTGCCGGAATTCAGGATCTGCATAAACAATTCTTAAACAAAAGCCTTATGATTCTAATGTCAAAGATCTTATCTATGGGAACAATGAGAATGCAAATTATCAGTAGCTAGTGTTCGTGAGTTTTGGTTACAAGGAAGTGGGTCAAAGTGTAGCCTGATTAACACTTACTCATAATTATATTTTTGTCCAGGATTCTTGTTAACCGTGTGAGGATTACTTCACCCAGACAGGAGATATTCCAAGAAAATTGTGTAAAACTTTATCCAAAGCTTCTATTTGTCTTTCCCAAAAGTCATTTGTTTTCCTATAGAAGTCATTTCTCCCTCCTTCTTTTCCCCTATGAGTTGATAACTAAACTTCTGTCTCTAGCTCTTCATCAAGCCTCTTCATCTGAATGCTTCCACAAGTTATGAATACAACTTGTTTTCTTTCCCCCTGCTAACCTGTCTATAGTTAATTCACAGGCTCCCACCCACTGAACCAAAGTTGGTAGAGGGAAAGTTTTCCCTCCTAATAGCATGTCTGTGTATATTTAGAGTGAGAAAGAAGGATGAAGAGATAATTCGTCTTTGTCACCATCCAGGTAGTCATGGGAGTTGGGACCTGTGGTATAATAAAAAATAAATTTGAACTTAGTTCCTGGTTCCTGCCACAGACCTTCTAAAATGCTTGGAATTTCCTGAGTGATAGTGTAACCAAACTAAGGGTCAGCTGATCACTGCTCACTGCTCAAAAGCAAGACTTGCAAGACAAGAGTTGGTGCAGGAAAAGCAGGTTTATTCAAGAGCTAGCAACCTGAGGAGATGGTGGACTAGCGCCTCAAAGACTATTTCAAAATTTTAGGCTAGCTAAAGGGATTTTAAGAAGTAGGAGGCATGGAAACTATGAGCAGGAGTGGTGCAGGGTGCAGGTTTGCATGTCTTACTCTGATGGCTATCTTCAGTAACGGATCACCTGGAGGTCTGGCTGGCATCACCATGACTGCAACTAGCTTATGGATTAACCCCCCTCAGTGATTTTTCTGAGAATGTAGGATTCCACAATCTCAAATTCATGCCCGGTTTATTTCAAGATTAGCCCCTGGGTTTCTTAAGCAAGGATACGGCTAGATACTGAATAAATCAAAGGGTGAGGCTATTCATTATTGAAGCAGGCTGATTATTCCAGCTACAAACTCCCCACTGCCAATTCCTGTTTCATTTCTATGGGAGATCAGGTGTCAATTTCTTTCTAGCTACTTCCTGCTGAATGAGGGCATCACTAGGGAGCTGAAGAATGGAATTTATTTACCTGGAGTTGGAAGTATTCATGCATTCCTTGACTTATGGAAGTGATTTTTTACAGCATCATTGACCTGGGAGTTAGGAGCCTTTCCAATTAAGGAAAACACAATCTTGCAATATCACACATATGGTGCAACAAGAGTATAACCCATAGAGAATATACCTATTCCTATAATCATAGCTGGAACTACTAGCAGTTTTTTCCACCAAGTAGGTCCGTATCCAAACCATGAAGATAACCACTGGTTTAGGAACATTGTGGGGTCAGACATAGCATTGATTTGTCTGTGCACGTCTTGAAGGGCTAAGGAGATGTTTCGCAAATTACCTAGGATATACACAAAACATTTAGTTTCAATTATGGGTCAAGGTCCCTCCCAGCAGCTGTGAGTACATCAAGGGCCATGTGGTTTTGCAAGACTACTTTTCCCATCATAGTCATTTCAGAGGTTACTAATGAGATGCCCTTAAATGTGTCTTTCAGCACTTGCTATAATTTGTAAGTGCCTCAATATGCCAGATGATGCTTTCTAAGCCTGCTTGGGGGAAAACAAGGGACAGGAGATGGTCGTAGGAAGGGAAAACCGGCCTGGTCCATTGGTGTAACACATCTGGAAAGTGTGCAGGCTGCCTGGTGGTTTTTGTTAATCAGCCCCGGACCTATGGGGGTCCTAACGTGCACTGCCCTATCCATCCATCAGGTAGACATGGCCGAAGATTAGTTTCACATAACTATTGAGTTCCACTGGGGACCAGCCACCAAATTTTGGGTCTGTGTCCAATCAGTGGTAAACAGGTTTGTCTAATATAGCACTAAAGAATGTTCATATTGATGTAGAGGCATCCTATCCACATTTTTAGTAACATTCGGCCAATGATTCTAAGAGTGATTCCTTTGTTCCCAACATGAAGTGGCAATTTGGGTTAAGTGACTAATAGTGGAGATCATCCAGAGGTAATCGTCCCAAATTTGATAAAAACTCACCTACCGTGTAATGGTTATTAGTAGCCAAAATCTTGGGGGCCATCTAGGAAAACTCCTTTAAGAGAGGGATTGCATACTCAGAGGTCCTTTGGATAGTCCGGTTATAATGAAGAGTTTTCCAGGATCTGGATTCTGAAGCGTTATATTAATGCCAGGCCATTTTTAAAAAATATTACCTTAAGTTACCAAGGTCCTGATTTTCCCATGAACAGTTTTTCATATACGTTTGTAAATGTATCTAATCAGTCCCCTGCAGGGGTGATACTCACTAAAGTAGCCCAGAAGTGCTAGAGATGGGTAGCAATCCACATACCCAGCAAGCATCTTAGTGTAGACTATCTGCATAATGTTATGCCCACTGTAGAAATAGACTAGTTTTAGCAGATGTCAAAAAAGTTTACTCATTATGATAAAGAATAACAGAAATTTAATCCTATAGTACAAAAAGATTTTTCTTAAGCAGTAGCTTCAGTTCTCCAGTTGGCTCACAAGTCCAACCAGGTTGATTGTCTGCTGTGTCAGGTTGGGGAGGGGCGATTTTTACCGAAATGTGATGTATGCGTGGTTTGACTCCAGCCAGCTTAACAGATGAATGAGTAGTTAATAAAACATCATAATGACCTGTCCACTTTTTGGCTGGCTGTTGTTGGTCCAGTCCTTGTTTTTACCAAGATTTTAGCGGCACTTTATCCTTGGATGAAAAGGGTGAAGGGGCTTTTTTGTAAGACACATAAAACTGGAAAGAACAAAAAGAACAAACTTGTGCAGGGTTAGTGATTTATGTCTTAGTTGTTGTACATATTGTTTAATTCTTGATTAATTTATTAAGTCCAAGGGTGGGGTCCCTGGCCAAGAACTTCAGAAGGGTCTCCCACACACAATTTCAAAAAGGCTTAATTTAAGCCCACTTCAGGGTGCTACCCCAATCCATAGCAGGGCAATAGGTAAAACCCTTTACCATTTTAAATCTGTTTCCCGATAGAGTTTTGCCAGGGGTTTTTTTTGGTTTTTTTGTTTGTTTGTTTTGTTTTGTTTTTGTTTTTGTTTTTGTTTTTTAGCATGTGGATCATCTTTTCAGTCTTTCCAGTTGATTGTGGCCTCCAACAAGAGTGTCATTTCCATTTGATCTGTAATGCTTGGCTTATCCTTTGTGTGATCTCAGAAATTAAAGAAGGATTATTGTTGCTTGGTATGGAGTAAGGAAGTCCAAATCGAGGAATGATTTCTTTTAGCAGAGCCTTAGCTACTTCTGCAGCTTTCTCAGACTTGTTCGGATAGGCTTCAATCTCTTGCTCGGGTAAGCTTCAACCTTTCCAGAAAATGTGTCTACAAACACTAGTAGGTACTTATAAATCCCAGTGTTTTTGGCATCTGGGTGAAATCAACCTGCCAGTCCTCGAATGGTCATATTCCTTTGTATTGTATCCTCCTCTGGGAAGAGTTGCATGCAGTTCTTGAATCATTTGGGGTATATAGATAACATGCTTGTATAATCTTTTGAATGATCTTTTGAAGGTGTGGCCCTTTGAGATATGGCTACACCAGGTGAGCCAGTCCATCTCTGCCATAGTGTGTCCCCTCATGCAGGTCTTTCAGGACTGGGTATACCAGGGCCTCAGAGAGTAATATCCCATGAGTGTTAGCTTTCCATGAGGAACAAGGGTCTGTGTTGGTCAATGTCCACTCATGTGTGCATTCTTCATTTCATTCAGTGTAGTGGAGTTTAAATTCTGACAAGTTTAAATGGAGTATTAAGGTCCCAAGTAAATATGTTTCTTGAGTGGCCTGCTTTGCAGCTTTATCAGCCACTTGATTCCCTTTGGTTATTGGGGAGTCATCCTTTTGGTGGCCTTGGCAGTGCATAATAGCAACTTGAGTTGGCAGAACAACTGCCTCTGACAAAGCTAAAATTTCCAGCAGGTGTTTAATGTCTTTATTTCTTGAGGTTAAGAATCCCCTTTCTTTCTGAATGACCCCACGGGCATACACTACCAAGAAGGCATACTTGGAGTAGGTGTAAATGTTTACCCATTTCTCTTGAGACTGTTTTAAGGCCCTGATGAGAGCAATCCATTCAGCTTTTTGTGCTGAAGTACCAGCAGCGGGGACATAGGCTTCTACTACTTTGTCTAGGGTCACTGGAGCATACCTGGCCTGGCGTTGTCCTCCTTCTGTGAAACTGCTTCAGTCAGTGTATAGCTCCCAGTCCGGAGTGGCCATCAGATGATCTGACAGATCTGGTCTGCTGGAATAGACTGCATCAAGAATTTCTAAACAATTATGCTCCAGTTCATAGTTGGACTCAGTGGCTGGGAGCAAGGTGGCAGGATTCAAGACTGTGGTGGTTTGGAGAAAACATTTCTGTTATCTAATAGGCTGGCTTGGTATTTGCCCATATGCCCCGCTATCATCCAGTAACCTCCCTTTTGTTACAATAAGGTTAACACTTGATAAGGCACAAATGCAGTAATGGGCTGTCCTAGGGTGAATTTTTCTGCTTCCTGTAAGATATCACACGTAGCTGCCACGGCCTGAAGACAAGGTGGCCATCCTCTGGTAATCTGCTCCAGTTGTTTGGGAAAGTAGGCTATGGGTTGTGGGGAATTCCCACGTAGTTGAATTAGTATTTCCTGTCCTGTGCCCTGGTTTTCATGGATATAGAGTCTAAATAGCTTTCAAGAATTGGGCAGTCCTAATGCTGGAGCTGACACTATTTTTTTTTTTTTTTTTGATGGTATCAAATGCCTGAAGGCATTCAGCCATCCAGTTTAGGGCTCCTGAATCTAATCCCTTTAGAGCCTTGTAGAGAGGTTTGACTATGAGTCCAAAATTAGGGATTCAGATTCAGCAGAAACCTGCCACACCTAAAACCCCCCACAGTGTCTTCCATTCCCAGGGGCCTTTATTGCTGCTATCACCTGTTTCTGGTTGGACATCAAGCTCTGCTTTCCTTGTTTTTAGTCAGAAGCCAAGATAGGTCACTTCTTGTTTACAAATCTGAGTTTTCTGAGGTGATATGTTACGTCCGTATTATATCAAATAATTTAAGATTAAGATAGTGTTAGATAGGCACCTCTCATAGTCTTGGCTTGCGATTAACAAGTCATCCAAGTATTTTAGCAGAACCCCATCATCTAGTTGAAAATCTCTGAAGCCCTTTGCCAATATTTTGCCAAAGATGGTGGGTGAGTTTTTAAAACCTTAAGAAAATACAGCCTAACAATATTGGAAGGTGTTTTTTGTTTCCAGGTCTTGCCACTCAAAGGTGAACAGCATCTGGTCCCTCTCTTCAATCAGGATGCAAAAAAAAAAAAAAAAAAAAAAGTATCTTTTAAGTCTAATACCGAAAACTACCCATACTGCCCTGGTTTATCAGTTAGTAAGGTGTAAAGGATGGGCATAGTTGGGTGAATGTCTTGAACAATGTCATTAATGGTTCCCAAATCTTGTACAAATCAATATTCATTTGAGTGTGGGTTTTTAACAGTCAGGATAGGGGCATTGTATGGAGATCTGTAAGGACATATTTGTCCATTTTTTAGAAACTTCTGTAATATAGGTTGTATCCCCTCTAAAGCCTCTCTTTTTAGAGGGCACTGTGTTTGGGGAATACCTTAGCCCCTTCATTTATTTCTGTGCACACAGGCTGTGTATTTTCAGCACTACCTGTGGTCCCATCTGCCCTCATGACTACTTACTTGCTCACAGATTGCTGGCAGGAGGCATTCTTTTTCTTCCTCGGGGTGTGTGAGCAGCATCTGCAGCTGCAAAGCTTGCTCTGGCAGGACCTGCAGATGAAGTTGTTGTTTTTCTGGAGAAAAACGTCACATGGCAATTTAGTTTACAAAGCAAATCTCACTCCAGCAAAGGAATTTGGTATTCCAGCATATAGAGGAAACTGTGTCTCAGCTCCAGATCTCTGTGTCCGGCAGTCTCCAGACTCTCCAGGGTCTGGAGAAAGGCTGTTTGCTGCATCTTGCCAGCGACAACCATCACAGGCACTGTTTTCCTAGTACTTTCAGTTTCTTTAGTGTTTCTACCTGAATAAGTCACACCAGTATTGATTAAAAAGTCAATCAATTTGTTCCCCATTGTCAATCGTACCTGAGGTTCCTGTGGGGAAATTACAACCTGCTCCAAAAGATTTGGGCCTCCTTCACTATCTGAGCTACAGTCCTGCTTTACCATCAGCCAGTATGTTTCTTCTCTGTCACTGTGTCTCCCTTCTTCTGGTTTCCCTGTCTTTTCTTTAATTTGGGGCACTCAGATTTCCAATGACCTTCCTCCTTGCAGGGGGCAGACTGATCATTACCTAGAGTTTTGTTCTGGCCACCTCCCTGTGCCTGGTTTTTCCTTTTCGGATATACATTCTTTCCACTAATTCCAAGTATATCATGGCTTGCTTTAGCTTTTTGGCCTTCCTGGCATTATATACTCTGAAGGCAATGTCCAGCAGTTGGGAAAGGTTTATTCCAAATACCCCCTCCAGTTTCTGCAGTTTTCGTTTAATATTGGATGAAAGTCACGTTTACCATTCTCATATTCTCAGGAGCTTCTGGATCATAGTCCATACACTTGTGGTAAACCTGGTAAATGCACTCCAGAAATTCACAGGGGTTCTCATCTGCCTTTGGGAGAACTGCCCTGGCTTTATTTAAGCTCTTTTACATTCTTCTCTTTAACCCTGCCAACACATGCTTTTTATAATGACTGGACAGGGCCATTCCTCCATTGTTGGGGTCCCAAGTAAAATCTGCAAGTGGAGCAGCCATTTCTATTCCTTCCCCATCCTGGGGAGAGGAGCTGACACCTTGGCCTCTCCGGGTCCTGGGCTACATTTGGTAATCCTGGGAGGGCTGGTGCCCCCAGTACCACATGGGAGGGGAAATTTAAGATATTTATGAGGCCCATATCATCAATATCCTCTTCCTTTTGGGTCTTACTATCTGGAAAGAGAAATCTCTTTTTCCCTTTTCTCTACGTCATTCACATAGACCCCTCATGTGCTGAGTCTTTGTTATGTAATAAATGCTTAAACACATGGAATCTCATTTCATTTCCCAGATCTTAGGCAAAATAACGCCAACTGTAATAAGGTGTACTAATGTAAATCACTGTTCAGTAGCCACCATTTTTCAGATTCCAACACATACATAGGCCAAACAGTGTTACAATGAAAAAAAATCATTATCTTTTTTGTTATGAGTTCATAGCTATAAGCTTTCCAATAAGCCAATATACAGCCCAATGGCCACTTAGATGGAATGGAAGTCAAGTTGCCCATTCTCAGGGGAGAGATCAAAAGAACACAAACACACAGATCAACACAGAGTACTCCTGAACCAATTCCTGTAGAAGGAGACTGGGAAGTTAATAAATCTTAGGCTAACTGATACTGCAAAAGACCTGTGTCAGGTCCAAATGGCATAAAGCCCAAATGGCAGAGACAGAGGATTTCTAGCATGCAAACTGGTTTGATTTACCCAGTCTTGAATCCTGTCAACTTCCTCAACTATCATTTTCCTTATACTAATAAAGCATTGCAGGCAGCTGATGCCACAGAGGGGGAAGGAGGGAAAAGATGTTCTTGGCAGCTGCTGGGACAACCCTAGAATCCCAGCTGGGAGGTCAGCTAGCCACGAGCAGCTAATCCTCATGAGAAGTTGTTGCTCTGCCTGGTAGCATGAATGAGTAAGCCCTGGCATGATGCCACAGCCAATTGCTCCATCCATCGGAAACCAGGCACGCTAGACCAGTAGAGACATATAGCCCCATGCTGGGTGATAAAAAATGTAACCAAACTGTTGGAAGTAAGTGCTCGGTGCCACAGAGTGAAAATAGCACTCAGGCAAAAATTTTCTCAGCAAAGCAATTTACTTCTATAGAAGGGTGCATCTCTCAGATGGAGCAATGGTGAGAGCACACCAGACAAGGGAGGAGAAGGGCGTCTTATTCCTAATGCAGCTAGTCCCTACTGCTGTGTCTTTCCCCTGTTGGCTAGGGTTGGACCACACAGTCTAAGCTAATTCCAGTTGGAAATTTTAAAGAGAGTGAGTGTATGAGCTGGAGTGGTGGGGTGAGTAGTTTCATCAGGGAAGGACAGTTACAGAACAGGAGAGTAAGGATGCCTAAGGACAGAACAGGTGATAGAGGCTAGGAGGGGGTTGTTTACTGAAACTAGAGGCAAGGAGGTGTAAAGAACAAGGAAGTTAAACTTCAAAATGGAGAACAAAGAACAGGGAAGCTGAACATACTGACGTATTTGTTCTTTGAAGAGGAACTCAGAACTCATTGTACTTAAATGATTTTTTTCTCCCTCTTGAATTTTTTTTTTTTTTTGAGATGGAGTCTTGCTCTGTCACCCAGGCTGGAGTGCAGTGGTGCAATCTAGGCTCACTGCAAGCTCCGCCTCCTGGGTTCACGCCATTCTCCTGCCTCAGCCTCCTGAGTAGCTGGGATTACAGGCACCCGCCACCACGCCCGGCTGATTTTTTTGTATTTTTTAGTAGAGACAGGGTTTCACCATGTTAGCCAGGATGGTCTCAATCTCCTGACCTCATGTTCTGCCTGCCTTGGCCTCCCAAAGTGCTGGGATTACAGGCATGAGCCACCACGCCCAGCCACCATCTTGAATTTTAAAGGAAGTTAACAGGCTAACTCTGAAGAGGAATTTACTGTATCCTACAATCTCCCCCCTTTCAATTTTCATAGGCCTTCCTCTTCAAACCTTTTTAACATGTCTTGGCTTTGCTGCTTGACTTGATCCTCTAAAAGAAGAAAGCTTTTCTGAATAAGGTGGAGGAAAGTTAAGGGAGGTTTTAGTAGGTGCTGTTTCTTTGCACTGCCCCACGGACGCATGGTATGACACAATACCCAACAAGAATGAGTACACCTATTACGGCTGCAAGAGAAGTAAGAATCGAGGCTATGATCTTTTCCATCTACTGAACCACCTTTCTAGCCATCCTGAGAAAGGGTTATTGACTCCAGAATCTTTAACTAATTCATTGGATAAAGCAGTAAGTCCTTGTAAGACCCTTGTTATGCTCCCAGTGGGGGCAGTGTTGCTTGGGATAAAGGTACAGCCCTGAGTTTTAATCATAACACCAACACTGCCTTTTTCAGCTAATATCACATCTAGGGCCATTCTGTTTTCCCAGGCCATCTGGCTAGTGGGCCCCAATTGTTCTGCTATCCCTTTGACAGCATCCCTGGTGTAATTAATAAACCACTGCTAATTATAATAGACGTAATTTATCCAATCTATGTTTTTATTAATTGTCACCCACAAAATCCTGCAGCTATTTAATCTTGACTCAAATCCTGCAGCTATTTAATCTTGATCTTTAAATTTATCTGGTACTCCTCATGGGACTCCAATTGCATCTAAATAAATGTGGGAGTTGAAAGACCCATAAGGAGCTTCCCTTGTTTTATGATGTTGTATTTTTCCTCTCTCTGGTTGATGAAATGCTAGGGTGGAAGGGATAGCCAATTAAACTAGAGCACAAGTGCTGCTCCAGTTACTTGGCAGAGAGTCCAGTAAAGGTCCACCACAATACCACCATACATATGCTTGGGGATGAACAAGGGCTGACTGATTGGTAAGCTCTTGGAAAGTCTTAAGCTCACTGCATCTTTTTAGGTCTCCAAGGAATGCTAAGTTTCCTCCCTGTAGTGAGAGATATGAAGTGAACTTAGCGTCAGGGGACAGAAGCTGAGTGGACCTTGGGGGCTGACCTGCAGGGTATTGAACCTCAGGATATAGCAGAGAGAGCTTGACACGACTTTTTACCCCAGGCTGTGTAATCCTGGAAAAAAGTAACCATACAGCCCATGCCTAGTAGACTAAAGGACTATCCTAATGGAAAGGGGACAATCTGGGCTTCTGGTCTGCCGTGCGCACAAGCATAACAAATGCTTTTGTTTAAAGTGTGGATGGAATGTTTGATCCACTCCAACCAGGCATTAGCATCTTGATATTCTGTCTCAATTGCCAAAGTTTGTTTTAGGTCTTTAACTTCTATAATAACTACCTTGGTCTTGTCATTAGATGGAGGAGAACAACAGTTTTGTTGTGAGAGCTTCTGGAAGAAGGCTTAAGGGAAGGTGTAGGCGGCAGAGGATCAATGAATTGTGTTTCAAAGGATCTGATAGGGTCTGTTCCTGAAACCTCAGCCCCCACACCATAAAACCGGCTTAAAGAAGGGAACCGGCTTAGAGAAGGGGAAGAGCTTTGAGGGTTTGAGATAATAACCTGTATTGGATTGCACGGTTCAGCTGACAGCTAGGTGAAGCTGTTCCTTTAGTAAAGTGAATATATGACTTTAGGAAATTACAACCACTGGTTGGGGCAGCTCATCCTTGCTCTTTAGTGGTCCACAGAATGTTGGACCAACTGTGGCATAAAAGCTCTGTCTTGCAGGAGCAAGACTCCCAGCTGATACTGGGGTCTTTATTGAAATCTCTCCAGACTAAATGATCCCCATTCACTAATGTCCAGTCTGAGGAGAGCCGGGAAGGACAGAGGTACTTTTCTGAATTGGAGAGCTGTCTTTAACTTGACAAGTCTCCACAAGGTATAACAAGGCAAGCATCAAATGTAATAGTTTGAGGTGAAATTGACTTTGTTACATTAATAATGAGGTGGTCAGCAATAGAATGAGGAAAGAAGAAGGAGTAATAAGAGAGTTAAATTTTTCTTAGCTTGGCTCACGCCTGTAATCCCAGCACTTTGGGAGGTCGAGACAGGTGGATCGTTTGAGGTCAGGAGTTCAAGACCAGCCTGGCCAACATGGTGAAACCCCATCTCTACTAAAAGTACAAAAATTATACAGGCGTAGTGGTACACGCCTGTAATCCCAGCTACTCGGAAGGCTGAGGCGGGAGAATTGCTCGAACCCGGGAGGTGGAGGTTGCAGTGAGTGAAGATCGCACCACTGCACTCCAGCCTGGGCAACAGAGCAAGACTCTGTCTCAAAAAAAAAAAAAATTTCTTAGCTTTAGTTTGGTAGGGTTTTCCCCTGGGACTATGGCCCACGACTCTGGAGGGGGCGGCACTTTCTTGACTTGGGTGTGATAGGTCCATCCTTTTTCTGCTGTCTGGACTGCGCTTTCAGTAGTTAGGAGCACTAGATAAGGTCCTTCCCAGGCCAGTTCCAGCTTTTCCTCCTTCTAGTTTTTGATGAGGACTTGATCCCCGGGCTGATTTCGATGTACTGGGAACTCCAGGGATGGTGCCTGTGCTAAAAGACCTTTAGTTCTAAGGGAAGAGAAAGTGGAAGATAAACCAAGTATATAATGTCTGAGAAACTGATCTTTTGTTTCGAAGGTGGAAATGTCAGCAGTGGAGTGTAAATAGGGCAACCCATATAGCATCTCATATGGGGATAGGCCAACATCTTTTTGAGGGGTGGTTCAGATTCCTAGCAAGGCAATGGGAAGGCATTTAGTCCATGGCAACTGAGTCTTTAAGACTAATTTGGTTAAGTGACTCTTCACGGTTTGATTTATTCTTTCTACTCTTCCCGATGAAGGTGGGTGCCAAGGAGTATGGTATTCCCACGTTATGTCTAGTGCTTGGGCTAATTTCTTAATGATATGTGCAGTGAAATGAGTTCCATTATTTGAATTAATATTTTCAATTTATTTGCCCAGATCCATTGGAGGAACCACTATCTATGACCGCTATAGTCTTATGAAATGTATTTCTGAAGTAATAAGACTTGAAAGCCAAAATTACTCCTTGATCCATGGGCTGCAGAACTGCAGAACGGATGTTGTGTGAGCAGGCATGGAAACTATGGAAATTAATATCTTTGAACATCTCCATCAGAGGCCTTAGGTAACCAAGTGCATTGCCAATCAGCAGTAGTATTTTGAAAGGAATCTTTTTTTTCTGAGCAGGTCTCAATAATGAGCTTAAAATATTCAGTAAACCATGATGTAAACAGATGTGCTGTCAATCAGGCTTTGTTGTTCCATTTATAGAGACAGGCAAAGTAGATTCAGCATAATTCCTAAGGGCCCTAGGATTTTCAAATGATACATGAGCACTGGCTTCAACCTGAAGTCTCCAGTGGCAGGTGCCCCCTGACAAGAGAGTTGGCCTGCCCTCTGAAGCTCTGAAACCAGGCACTGACTCCTCCTCTCTAGCTATGGGAGTCCCAGATGGCACCTTCTTCCACTATAAAGCTGTCTCATCTACACTGAAAATCTGTTGTTTAGTGTGGCCACCTTCATCAATGATCTTATCTAGAGCTTCTGGAGAACTTGCTGCAGCTTCTCCTCAGGACTTGCTGCTTCATCCTGCACTTTTATGTTATGGAGATGGCTTCTTTCCTTAAACCTCACGAACCAACCTGTGTTGGCTTACAACTTTTCTTCTGTAGCTTCCTCACCTCTCTCAGCTTTCAGAGAATTGAAGGGCCTGATCTGGTTTTGACTTTGGCATAAGAGAATGTTGTGGCTGGTTTGGTCTATCCGAACCACTGAAATTTTCCCCGTGTCAACAACAATAAGGCTGTTCTGCTTTCTTATCACTTGTGTGTTCACTAGAGCAGAACTTTTAATCTCCTTCAAGAACTTTTCCTTTGCATTCGCAACTTGACTAACTGGCTCAACAGCATTTGGCCTATCCTAGCTTTTGACACGCCTTCCTCACTAAGCTTAATCATTTCTAGATTTTTAAAGTAAGAGACATGTGACTCTTCCTTTCACTTGAACACATAGAGGTCATTGTAGGGTTACTAAATGGCTCAGGGAATAGGGAGTCCTAAAGACAGGAAGGTGGGGAAGCCGCCAATCAGTGGAGCAGTCAGAACACACACATTTATCAATCAAGTTTGCCATCTTCAGTTTGTGGCACCCCAAAATAATTACAATAGTAACATCAAAGATCACTAACCACAAATTACTGTCAGATATAGTCATAGAAGAAGTTTGAAATATTCTAATAATTACCAAAATGTGACACATGGAAGCACTAAATGCTGTTGAAAAAATGGCGCTGACAGATTTGCTCAATGCAGGGTTGCCATAAGCCTTCAACTTGTAAAAAACACAGTATCTACGAAGTGCTATAAAGGGAAACACAACAAAACGAGGTGTGCCTGCACAACCAATGCCCAACTGTGTGTACCGCCTGAAGGAAAATGTTTCAAAGGTATCACAACTTTTTAGTCTGGAAATCTGAACAATATTTTGGTTTTTCACAGTGAGCATGTGGAACTTATATAACCAAAAAAGTAAAGTTGTATTTGAATGCATGTGGGCTACAAGTAAAAAGGAAGATGAAATAACAGTTTTATAAAGCGGAAAGATTTATGGGTCTAACTCTGTGTCATATTTAGATTTTCTAATAAATGGGTATAGGAACAGAAGGAGAGACAGAGTTAGATAAAAGGTGTAGACGGTAGGCTTTGCTGCTTCGAGAACTTGGTGCTGATTAGAGGTGTGATTGCATTCATGGTAATAGGGATGAGTGTCACGAACTGCTGTGTGTTCTGCTGGTGAGCTTCACTGCAATACTGCACTAACCAGTGAGTGTAAGCCTGCAGCACAGCCAGGGACTGAGCACGTACATCAATGAGGTCAGGTTTCAATACTGATGGCACATCAGTTTCAATGTTGCACAATTTTTTTTTTTCTTTTTTGAGACGGAGTCTTGCTCTCTTGCCCAGGCTGGAGTGCAGTGGCACGTTCTCAGCTCACTGCAACCTCTCCCTCCCTGGTTGAAGTGATTCTCCTGCCTCAGCCTCCCGAATAGCTGGGACTACAGGCACGTGCCACCGTGCCCACCTAATTTTTTGTGTTTTTAGTAGAGACAGGGTTTCACCATGTTATCCAGGATGGTCTCAGTCTCCTGACCTTGTGATCCACACACCTCGGCCTCCCAAAGTGCTGGGATTACAGGCGTGAGCCACCGCACCTGGCTCAATGTTGTACAACTTTATCTGAGATCCATACAGAGTGACTTTGACCAAACTCTCCACAACTGTGAGGGCATCATTGAACCATGCAGCAAACACATCCCCAATAAAGTACCCGGCCAGGTGGCCCATGGCCTGCAGCAGGGAGCTCAAGTCTCTCAGGGAGCAGTGCAGCCACCAGCAGTCGTTCTCTGCCATGATGTTCAACCTGTGTCCTGACCCTGATGTAACTATAACTTGCTGTAATCCCAAATAAACTTCTAAATTGCCCTGAAGAACTGGGAACAGTGTGGACAACGTGTGCGTGGGCAGGAGCTCCATCACTTTGACCGCCACCTCCAAGCTCTGCCGTAAGTACCGCTGTCACTCCATCTGCTGATCGTCATCCAGAGTCTCGTCATCCAACTCCTCCAGCTGGCCTGGTTGTATCTGAACTGGATTTGATTCAACACCTCTGTGGGGAGGAGCACCAGGGCATCTTCGTACCTGTTGAGAACTGCTTCCTTGTCTTCAAGATGACTTTTAATTTTATTTGTCAGATAGTCCAAAAAGAGTGTCCAGTATCCAAACAAGAGAATTAACCTTCATGAGTAGGCTGATGAAATGTGTACTTGAACAAAAGTGTCAAAAACTCCACCACAGAGAACTGGGAGTAAGACTCGATTCTTCTTAGGTGAACACTCACAAAGAGCCAAAGAAAGTCAGTAAACTTCTCAATAAAGCTCTCATCGAGCTCTTCTAGCCTGCTCTTCACTGTGTGGGCATTGTTATCCTTGGTGATCTTCTGCAGGAGGTAGAAAGTCTGCTGGAACATAAGCAGTAAATACTCCTCGAACTCCATCGGCACACAGCTCTTGGAAATGAGTTCACTGATGCAGGGCATGGCCAGGACCCCCGGCCGGCTCCGCTCCTGAACCGAGACACAGTTCTGGCTGCTGCCGTTAACTGACGCCATCTTTCTGGCACGGATGTCACAGCCAAATCACGCAAAGTGGAAGGTGGTGGTAAGGAGGGATGGGGTGATGCCGGCAGACAGAGGAATACAACTGAAGAGATGGGCTAGGCACTCCAAGGCAAGGGAACAGATATACTCACTCACCACATCAAGGATGGGAATTGGCTGATTCAACAGTTTGGCTGAACTAGGACTCTGCCACAGGTTACTCAGTAAGTCACCACTTTCTCCTGTCGGGGAGGGTGGTGGAGTGGCAGCAGTAACACTGTGTTTGTCCCAGACAGTCCCCAAGATAGCGGTCAGCAGCCCAAGCACTGTCTGCACCTGGTCCAGTGGCAGCTTCTGCAACTCCTCCTTCCAAGCCACACTGAGGTCCTCGTGGGGACAAGCCAGCTCCTCTGAAGTTGTCTTCAACATGATCGGCCCAAGGGGGGTTGTCACAGGGGATTGGTTCAACTGCAAAATGTTAGTAAAAAAGTCATGGTAGAACATGGGCCGATCCTGACGTCCAATATCAACAATAACTTTGCAGAACTTGCTCTGGATAAAGTAAGGTAAGGTTTTATGGTGAGCCAAAAGGAGTTTGGGCAGTCAGCTGTGGATTTCCATCTCATCCTGAGATGGGACCCCAAGCCACATTTTATTGATCAGATTCTCAAAAACTGTTAAACTGTACATCATTACATAGCCATTCCTAGTGCTGGAGAGAAAGTACAGGAAGAATCTCCAGGCTCCTATTTGCTGGGCAATGTTATTAAGAAGCTCCTCTATCTCACGTTTTCTTTCATTGGTCGTACCATCGTGAAAAAGTTCTGTCATCAGCCTTTCCAATGCTCTGAGAGGGGCTTCTTCAGATGCCATGCTGGCCGGGGAGGGGGCGGCTCAGATGAGCTGGTTCTTGGGCTTTGGACACATCCTACTCGCCCAGTTCAGGTCATGGTCCCGGCAGACTAGGGAAGTCCCCTACCCATGCAAAGATAACCCCTTCCCCCCCGGGCCCCGAGGGGATCCTCTAAAAAGGGCAGGGCTGCCTGGGTCGCCTCATCGGGGGCCCCTGAGACAAGTCATCTAGACCCACCGGCCCCTCCACAAGGAAACTGAAAAAGTAGGAAATGGGGCTCGATTGCTGGCGAGGAGGGCAGCAGCTCGGGACCCCCGCCCGGCCCGAACCCCGCGCGGGGGAGGCTGCGGGCGCAGGCGGGGGCTCCCCGGCCTCCGCGGGCAGAGGTGGCGGCGGGCTCGGCCCGGAGGCTGAAGGGGCGGAGGCTGACGGGGCCTTGGCTGCGCTGCCGGGGCAGCCGGCTCAGGGGAGAGGCCCAGGGGCCCGCGCTGTCCTCGCCGCCTCAGCCCACACGGCTGCCGCCGCCGCCCCCTAGAGCATCCCTGAGCGCGCCCGCCCTGGAGCCGCTCGCTCGTACCGCACGGCCGCCCCCGACCACAGCATTTTAAAATCTGCTACTGTAAACCACTGGTGGCTGTATGGGATCCTACTGATAATAGTATTAGGATTGGGAACAACAGAGTGTGTAGCTTGGAGTATCTGATTAATAGCTCTAAGGTCTTGCCCTAACCGGTATGAGCCATCTGCCTTTTTACAGGCAGTACTGGAGTGTTATAGGAAGACATGCAGGGTTCAAGAAGCCCATCACGGACAAGACCTTCAATCAGAGGTTTCAAATTTACCCTGGCTTTTGAAGGAATAGGGTATTGCTTTCGCTTTACTACTTCCCCAGGGGTGTTTAATTTAAGATGAATCAGAGGAATCTGTAACTTTCAATTCCCGTCTTTTGACCATACCTCGGGATGAATGTGTTCTTTGTCTGTGGTGGTGAGCAAGTTTAGGGAGGGGAGGAATTTTCCAAGACTGATCTGGAGACCTAAGCCTAATTTTAGCGTTAAATCTCTTTCTAATAGATTTGTCCCTGTTTCCAGAATTAACATAAATTTGATACTAGCTGATTGTTTTTTATATTTCACTTCTGTCTCCTCTAAGATTTTTTTTTTCTCTCTACCTTTGAGTCTCCTGGCTTTACTCTTTCATACCCTTTATATTGCCTGGAGAGTGGGTTCTTTATAGGTTCTGGCCCCCTGGGTACTTTGTTGTATGGTGGACAGCAGAATTTTCGCCTTCTGCTTTTGTTTTTCTTCATCCCTTCTTACATATACTTTCTGGGTTTCTCTCAGAAGCTCTTCTATAGGTCTATCTTTCCAGTTCTCTATCTTTTGTAATTTCTTGTTAATATCTGGCCAACTCTTAGTGACGAAATGAAGTTCTAAACATTCCCTGCCCAAGAGCGTCTTCTGATTCCAGGCCAGCGTATTTTCTCATTTGCTCTTTAAGCCTTTCTAAAAATTCTATTGGTCCTCATCTTTTCTCTGTTTTATATTAAAGGCCTTGGTAAGATTTTGGGCACAGGGCACTGATTCTCGAATTCCTTTTATTACCATCTCCCTAAGGTCTTTCATATTTCCTCAGTGGGCCGTATTGTTGTTATCCCATTAAGGATCCTGGGCTGGGAATTTTGTTCAGTTGCTGGGACATTCTGACCAGGAGGGTGTTCATGTTCCCAAATGGTCATGGCGGCCCTGTGTATCATGCTCATTTTTTCTCCTGAGAATAAGATGCCTAAGATAGACATTAACTCAGCCCAAGTATATAACTGGGGTCCTAAAACTGATCAATTTGATCTGCCACTCCATAAGGGTCATCTAAGAGTGGTTTAAGCTCCTTTTTTAGGTTTAGGGAAGAGTCTGGGATGGCAGCTAGTTGGGGGACAGGAAGGTACTTTAGTCCAAATAAAACAGCACTATTTTATCATTTTCTTGTGTTGGGTCCTTCCATTACCCTTCCAATATTCTAACATTAGGCTTAGGGGACTACCACAGGGATATTATCATGATCATGGTCTTTCCTATCTTTTGTCTTACTCGCTATATTTGCCATCCTGGAGAAAGTGTTTTTTCCTGAGTCTGCAGGGCTCAATCTCTCTTACTAGAGATTTCTTGCACCCTAGCGAGTCTGTGGGGCTTAATCTCTCCTACTAGAGCAGGTCGGTATAAACCCCACATGAGCAAGCCACCTTTAAGCTGTATGAGGTCAAGGCAGAACCAGATCTGGACTCTGCACTTGCTCTGCACTCAGTTGTGTGTCTCGGCCACACACTTTCAACCTCCAGGATGTCCCCACCGCCAAGGAAATACTTCACCGCCCCTGCAGCATTTCTTACCTTGGTGTGTCCCAACCAAGAAATACTTCACCACCTCCATGGCTTTTTTTATCTTGGTCACCACCACCAAGGAAATACTTCACCGCCCCCGCAGCTTTTCTTACCTTGGTCTGTGCACAGAGTTACCTGGTTGCCGTGGTATTTATTTGTAGGCCTTTTCTTCCCACTTTGCTGAGGGTCCAAGTTTATTCTTCACGCTGGGTGGGTCTCGATTCCTTTCCCCTGAGGCCACCGCAGTGAGGCAGCGGGATGCGTCTCCTCACGAGAGGTGATCAGAGACTTTTCCCCAGAGGAGAATGGGATCCCGGGCGGGCCCCCAAATTTGTTGGAAGTAAATGCTCGGTGCCGCAGGGTGAAAATAGCACTCAGGCAAAAGTTTTCACAGCAAGCCAATTTACTTCTATAGAAGGGGGCATCTCGCAGATGGAGCAATGGTGAGAGCACACCGGACAAGGGAGGGGAAGAGGAAGGGGAAGGGGAAGGGGAACGGGAAGGGGAAGGGAAGGGGGTCTTATTCCTAACCCCGCAGCTAGTCCCTACTGCTGTGTCTTTCCCCTATTGGCTAGGGTTGGACCTCACAGTCTAAGCTAATTCCGATTGGCTATTTTAAAGAGAGCGAGGGTACCAGCCGGAGTGGCGGGGTGATGAGTTTCAGAAGAAGGACAGTTACAGAACAGGTGACTAAGGATGCCTAAGGACAGAACAGGTGATAGAGGCTAGGAAGGGGTTGTTTACTGAAACTAGAGGCAAGGAGGTGTAAAGAACGAGGAAGTTAAACTTTAAGATGGAGAACAAAGAACAGGGAAGCTGAACATACTGACATATTGGTTCTTTGAAGAGGAACACAGAGCTCATTGTACTTAACAATTTTTCTCCCTCTTGAATTTTAAAGGAAGTTAACAGGCTAAACTTTGAAAAGGAATTTACTGTATCCTACAAAACTCAGGTTCAGCTGCTCACCACTTGAAAGCAAAACTCAAGAGACAAGGGTTGGTGGAAGGAAAAGCAGATTTATTCAAGAGATGGCAACCTGAGGAGGTGGTGGACTAGTGCCTCAAAGACTATGTCAAATGTTTAGGGTAGCCAAAGGGATTTTAAAGGAAAAGGAGGCATGGAAACTATGAGCAGGAGTGGTGCACGATGCAGGGCTGTGTGTCTCATTCTGATGACTATCTTCAGTAATCAACTACCTGGAGGTCTGGCTGGCATCACCATGACTGCAACCAGGTTATGGATTAACTACTCAGTGATTTTTCTGAGAAGGAGGACTCTACAATCTCAATTTCTTACTTGGTTTATTTCAAGATTGCCCCCTGGATCTCTTAAGCAAGTATATGGTTAAATATTGAACAAAGCAAAGGATGAGGCTATTCATCTTTGAAGCAGGCTATTTTGGCTTAAGTAGGAGTGCCTTGTTTTTCATAATGAGACCCTTTGATCATGCCTGAGATTATGCTAATGAGGTAACTTAAGGTGGGGCCCCTACATGACCTCAGGATGGGGCTGGCAACAGAAAGACCAGGGATTAGAAGGTTGACACTTTCAGCCAACCCACTGACATTTAGAAAGGGGGCAGGGACTGGAGACCAAGCTCCATAAAAACTCTCGGACATACAATCTGAGGAGCTTCCAGATTGCTGAATACATAGAGGTGTTGGGATGGTGGCATGCCCAGAGGCCACAGAAGCTCCACACCTTTCCCCTCCCACACCTAGCCCTATGAACCACTTCCATCTGGCTGTTTGTGAGTTGTGCTCATGATAATAAACTGATAAATGTAAATAAAGTGATTTGCTGAGTTCTATGAGCCATTGTAGAAAATTATCAAATCTAAGGAAGGAGTGGTTGGAACCTCCAATTTATAGCTGGTTGGTCAGAAGTACTGGAGGCCCAGACTTGCCAGTGGCATCTAAAGTAGGAGGCATCTTATGGGACTGAGCTCTTAACTTGTGAGATCCAATGCTAACTCCAAGTGGATAAAGTCAGGATTGGGTTAAATTTTAGGGCACCAAGCTAATGTTTGGAGAGTTGGAGAATTGCTTGATGTGGAAAAAACCCATGCATCTGGTGTCAGAAGCGTTGTGTGAGAATAGAGGAACAGAATGTGTTTTCCTAGAGTAATTAAAAGAAGTAATCCTTGCTGGACACATTATTTCACTTGTGGTGGAATTTATTTTCTATTCCTGTCTCTATGCCCTCTGCCCATATTCTATTGTCACATTTATCCCCCAATTGTGTCCCAGACACCACCACTTTTCCTTTTCAAAGTCACTCCTTTCACTCTTACTTTTAATTGTAACATAGCCAAGACTTGTACATAGTGTCCTGATTGAATCCGAAAAGGACATTTGAGCATTTTCACTGGGTTCTTCACGTTCTAGTATAAGGTGGCTAACTGCTCAGATACATATGTGTTTAATACACCTGACCCAATCAGGTGAGCTTTGTTGTTCCCTATTGTTCTGTCATGATCATTCTTGGTATTCTGTCAATATCTAACTTACAGAGAAGGTCTGTGGTCATGTCCTTTCCTTAAGTTCCTCCAAACTGTTTGGTCTCCTGAGAGCAAGGGTGAGAAACAGAGCAAGGGAGAGACATAGAGAATGAGAAGGAAAGAAAGAGAGAGAGAGAGAGAGAAAGATGGAGAGACAATATTAGAGCTGGCCTTGGGGGTTAGAGAATTATGAGGGAGTAAGTGCATTTCTGCCTGAATGCAGCTTTACTGGTACTTTAGAAATTCACCCAAAGCCTAACAAAAACAAACTAGTGTGTTGTCTTTTTTTTCTTTGAAATATTTATATTCCATTTCTGGTTAAAATAGTTAAGACAGAGTTGAATTATAATATCATTAACAGTAAAAGAAAATATTTAACACTGCTATCAAGATAATCACAATGGGGTTACTTAGGATAAGGCTGAGCTGCAAAAACAGCTCCGTAGTTTAAAAGCAAAATATTTTATTTTCCTGTCACTTGAGAGTTCCTCTCTAAGCAGTGCAAGTTATTTAGGAATCGGACTTCTTTCATTGTGTTACTCTGCCATCCCCTAGGAGAAGGGTGTTCACCTTTTCTGTGTCATGCACCCCTTCAGCATTCTGATGAAGCCAAACAGTTATTGAGAACAATAACAACTGAGAAAAAGAGAACAATAATACTTGTTCTCTGAAAAATATCATTAAATGCAAAAAATAAAATACATGGGATTTCAAAGGAAATCAAATATCAAACATTTAAAGTGTTTGAGATAGTATAGTATTGTATGTGTTTATTAACGCATTAAGTACTAAGACCTAAATTTAGGTCTAATTACTACTATAATTTTGAGGCAGTGATCAATGTGAAATAATATTTTGAGATATTGGCAACAAATATAAATGGCTACAAAAAGTCTATGATTTCCATTTTTTCTACATTCATTGGTAAAATAATTGCTAAATTTCAATATGGGTGAATGAAAAGATGTAATTTTCTGCCCTGCACCACGGCATGGATCCCATGAATTCTACCCATAGAGGCTTTCAAATCTCATGGCTTACAGGTTAAAACACCCATAGACGTGTTCATCCTCTGCATAAAGAAACCTAAGTCACTGTTATGGTTTTGTGAAACAGTAGTACACCTAAATTTAAGAATCGAATAGTGGTTAACAAAATAAAATACCGAGGAATTAATAGAAAGCAGTTCAAATCAAAAGCAATGTTTAAAGAACAAATATGATTAACAAGTAATTTGAAATTTATACTCAAAGAGGAATATCTCCTTAATAACTCAAATCAGCCGGGCGCGGTGGCTCACGCCTGTAATCCCAGCACTTTGGGAGGCCGACGCGGGCGGATCACGAGGTCAGGAGATCGAGACCATCCTGGCTAACACAGTGAAACCCCGTCTCTACTAAAAATACAAAAAATTAGCTGGGCATGGTGGCGGGCGCCTGTTGTCCCAGCTACTCGGGAGGCTGAGGCAGGAGAATGGTGTGAACCCGGGAGGCAGAGCTTGCAGTGAGCCGAGATCGCGCCACTGCACTCCAGCCTGGGCGACAGAGCGAGACTCGTCTCAAAAAAAATAAATAAAAATAAAAAAAAAATAACTCAAATCAGAAGTCACTACCCAAGGAACTCCTGTTGCAGAAACTGGTAGACAGCTCTAGGAAGTAGACCCGTTAAGCAGTTTCCAGAAATACTGGCTAACCTACCTTTCTGGGCTGCATTGGCAGTGGCTAATTTCTGCAAATATAATAGAATACTGTTCCCCTTAGCATAGTTTAGCTTACTTCCTAATTGGTTTTATATCCAAAAGGCTTTAGGACTTTTGGTTTAGCTCATAGGAGAGTTCATGGACGTATCCCTTGGAGTCCACAATAAATTTTTTTCCACATTGAAAGTAGAATATCTGGCCGGGTGCAGTGGCTCACTCCTGTAATCCCAACACTTTGGGAGTCTGAGGTGGGTGGATTGCTTGAGCTCAGGAGTTCGAGACAATACTGGGCAAAACCTCATCTCTACAAAAAATTAAAAAACTAGCTGGGTATGACCGGTGCATGCTTGTGGTCCCAGCTACTCGGGAGGCTGAGGTGGGAGAATTGCTTGAGCCCAGGAGGTAGAGATTGCAGTGAGCTGAGATCATGCCACTGTACTGCACTCCAGCCTGGATGAGAGAGGGAGATCCTGGACCTTGTCTCAAAAAAAATAAAAAATAAAAAATAAAAAAAAAGGAAAGTGGGAAAGTGGAATATCACTTATTTGAGAAACACTAGATTAACTAGTTGACATGGCTGAGGTAGTATAACCATATAATGTTATCAGCAGTAGAGATCAGCATAATGCTATATTGCTTAAAAACTACTTTCACATAGATCTCTTTCTTAGCTTGCTTCTTCACACATTGGCTCAGGTGGCTTCTCTCTCCTACCTCTCTCTACATTCATTGAGTCATTACTTGAATTTAAGTCTTCAATAAATAGTGCACACTTGTTGAAAAGAGCTCTGGATGTATGTGCACATGACAAACAACTGATTTTCCCACAGAATTGCCTCTCAAGTCATCCAAATTCAGATGCCCAGGATTGTTCCCTTTTTGCTCTCCCCTGTGCCCCAAAGACTAGAGAATAGAAAGATGCACAGAACCTGCTCTAATACTATCCTCCTTCCATCCAGTCTATCAGCACATGATTCCCTATTATTCAAGGATTGCTTGAGAGCTGCACTTTGAAGATAAGTTCTGGTTGTAAACATTCTGATATTCCAACAACGAGGTGGTCCAGTGAGAAAATCAACCAAGATGGCTTGGCTAGGAGCAGCCCTTGGAGGTGTTGATAGAAAACATATGCAAGTATCTTACTTTATTCATAAATTGCACCTTTGACTAGTTTTAATGAACCACTATTGGTCACATTTGCCAATTCTAGGGTAGTTGTTACAAAACATATGGTGAAAAATCTGGGCTGTGACGCGGAAAGGTGACCCCTTGGACGCTCACATGGGCAGGTGGTCTTGTCTGGTTTGAGCTCAGTTCAGGACTGAATCTTGAGTTCCTGAAAAACAACTCAGCCAGTACCTTGTGACCCATACTTCACAGTCAGACGTTATATATAGGAACATTGTGCAAACTATGGCTAGGCTACGTGACATTTTAATGGTAAGCACTACAGCGTCAGCAAACAGCTAAGGGTCATAGTTATAAGCTGACTAGAAAAACTTCAGATACTGGCTACCTAATCATTCATAGCTACCAGGCTATTGGTTTCATTAGACATTCTTTCACTCTCAATGAAGGCCCTACAGTTCACAATGTTAAATGTGGTTTTCCTCAGTGAAGTTCCCATGTAATGTAGCCTAGTCATCCAGAGACTTCCCAGAAGCTTGTCAGAAATTAAATGCGGGAGGCACATCTCTTGTTGTCTCCTGTTAGTGCCAGATAACCCCTTTCTGGGGTCACCTAGGGTCTTTCAGTTCTTTTGTGCCCTGAAGTCAGTCTTTGATGTTTGTGGCCTTTGCTCAAAGCCACTGTCTGAGTGAACCCAAGTGTTCCAGATGACACTATAGAAGAACAGGCTCACATAATAAGGCTGTTTCCCATCACCACCTCTGCTACCAATCAACTCAAGCGCTGAATCTCCCCCTGCCATTCCTTTCTCCACTGCTGCAGATTTCCTGGGCTCTGAGAAAAGGAGGAGGATGCAGACTCTGCTCTTCAGATCTACACATTGAACCCCACTATAACCAGTGACCTGAACTCAGAGTCTGAGTAGGGTAAGAACTGCTTTGCTGAGGACCCTCGGGGGATGACTAGGAGCACTGGCAGGAGGCTGATTGAACTTTTATTTTTATTTATTTGTTAGTATTAATTTTTTTTCTTTTTTTAGACAGAGTTTTGCTCTTGTTGCCCAGGCTGGAGTGCAGTGGCACAATCTTGGCTCACTGCAACCGCTGCCTCCCAGGTTCAAACAATTCTCCTGCCTCACCCTCCCTAGTAGCTGGGATTACAGGTGCATGCCACCACGCCCAGGTAATTTTGTATTTTTAGTAGAGATGGGGTTTCACCATGTTGGTCAGGCTGGTCTCGAACTCCTGACCTCAAGTGATCCACCCACCTTGGCCTCCCAAAGTGCTGGGATTACAGGCGTGAGCCACCACGCCCGGCCTAGTATTAATTTTTTGAGATGGAGTCTTGCTTTGTCACCCAGGCTCGAGTGCAGTGGCACTATCTTGGCTCACTACAACCTTCGCCTCCCGAGTTCAAGTGACTCTCCTGCCTCAGCCTCCTGAGTAGCTGGGGTTACAGGCACACGCCACCGTGCCAGGCTAATTTTTTTGTATTTTTAGTAGAGATGGGGTTTCACTACGTTGGCCAAGCTGGTCTCAAACTCCTGACCTCAAGTGATCCACCTGCCTCGGCCTCCCAAAGTGCAGGGATTACAGGTGTGAGCCACTGCCCCCAGCCTGATTGAGCTTTTAGATAGCAAAGAATGGAGAAGGATCCAAATCATGGAAAACTAAGGCCTGAATTCCAGTCAGCCTCATTCCCACTGATACAAGCTTTTCCCTGCCCCTCCCTTCCTTCACCCCCAGTCACCTCAACCACAATGCATTAAAGCTGCTTGCATCCTACTCTCCTAACATGTGTAGGTCTTTATCACCAGGACAGGGTTCCACAGATAGGAAGCGCCGACCCTTTGTTCTGTGTCTGAGGTGAGCATTTGACATTGTTAGAAGTGCTCTCGCATACATGCATCTCATTAGACTCTCACAGGTCTGTAGGGAGCTGTTATTAGGCCCTACATCGGTGAGGACACCGATACTCAGAGCTGTGAATCAGGTTAGAGGTTCAGTAGGGCCAGGAACACTCCTCATGGCAAATGAGGACAGAGAGCTTGTTTAAAGAGGTAACTTTTTCAAACAACCATACATCCTAGGCTGTGACCACAGTAGCTCCGGTGGGGACTTTTTTAGTCTTTATGCCTAATTGAGTACAGCTATATTTCTAAACTGGTGTCCTTTTACGATGGCATCGTCAATAAGCAGCTCTGACAAATGAAGATCACTTGTAATAGTGATAATTAGGGGAATGGCCCCTGAGAAGGAATACGGGTAGTTAGTAGTAACCATATGTTCCACCCAGGCTTTGGGAGAAGTGTTATAAGGAAGTCAAGATATTGGAGAAGCATCATTTTGCAGAGTCAGTGTAATTGTAGCCTGGGCTGTGATTTCAGAGAATCAAAGCCTTCCTGCCTAAGAACCACCTGCCTAGTAGTCACTCATCTTCTACACTCGTCTAAAATGTGACAGCCCTGCTCTTTTTGCCTGCTGTCATCCACATAAGATGTAACTTTCTCCTCTTTGCCATCTGCCATGATTGTGAGACCTCCCCAGCCAGATGGAACCAAAGTGGAGTCTCTGGAACCGCCCAGCAGCAGCCTCATTACTCAGAAGATGCTGACGAAGACCCAGACAGGAAGAAAGGAAGCAAAAGCATCCTGACTGGTACATTAGCAAAGGCACATCCCTGGAGAGCAAGGAGAGGGGGAGGGCAGGCAACAGTGCCCATGGCATGCATCTGCAGCTTGTGAGCAATGCATGAAAACAGGAATCAAAAAACAGCATTGCCTCCAGCATCCATGTGTTTATGGCTCTCATGGGGGGCATGATAGAGGAGGATGGATCAGCACTAGCTCTGCAGGCTGCCTAACCTGGAAGTCAGTCTCTGCCTTTAGATCTACTCACTTCTTTTGGGAACGGAAATATCCACGTATCCCTTGTCCTACAACCTCAATTAATGTCTTTGCAACAGCCATCTGTTAAATTCAAGAAGGCCCTGGAACAACTTAATTGGAAAAGTTTCCCTCTTATCCCTTGAAAAACCATAGAAAAGTAATGTCACACGAATGTTGAACTTCTGATTTCTACAATTTCAGATACCAGAGTTTATCTGTTACCATGACAACTAAGAGCTTTATAAATGTTTTCTAGGCTCTGCTTGCTATTTTCTGGAACTTATCTACATTTCAGTATTTGCTTAATAATTTTGAGCTGACACTAGCAACATAATTGTGTCTGGATTGTGTATTTGTTGTGTGTTGGCGGGGGTGGGTATAATTGATGTCTTTGTTTTTCAATATGAGCAATTTTTAATAAACTTTAATATTTAATGTGCAAAAAAAAGTTACAGCCCTTTCCACTTCGCAGACAAAAAGCTTAAAATGCCATTTTCTATTGCATGCGTGACTTCCTGAGAGTTGATCTGATGAAAAGAAGCCAGCTGGAGGGTGATTGGGTGATTCTACCCAGTGCAGGTTGGGTGGATGACAGAGTAGACAGGAGATGTTTGAAATTCTCAAAATGAACTTCATCTATTTTTTTCCAACTTTGTGTTTGGCTCACATAAGATGAAGCATACTTTTAGTTCTTAGAAACTTTATTCTCTTATGAGAATTATCTTCTAATCAGGGAACCAAATAGTAAAATTGTGCTGAGTGCTTGCATTGGCAGGAAACAGAACTTTAAGATAAAGGTCAGCTCTCTGGACATTGTCTACATGATGCTTTTCTTTCTTTTCCCTGTGGACACGCAGGTGTCCCTGGTGACTGAAATGGCATCCTCTCTGAAGATCTGGGGCAGTCCCTTGGCCCTGCTTTGCATTCTTTGCAGGCTACTTGTACACAGCAAGGACGTTTCCTGGAGAGAATTCATGACCCTGCACTATTTAGATCCAAGCCAAGATTTTGAAGAGTACAAATGTGATGTCCTCACGAGAGAAAAAGAAGCTCTGAAACGCAAGAGCTCTCATATGTCCATCTATAGCTTATGGCACAAAATGGAGTGTATATGCATTATTGAAATGGGAATAACCGATATAGATATGCCTATGTATGGGCCCAGGGTGCCCTCAAAGTACTCGAGTGTCAGTGGCAGAAGTACTGCAATAGCTACACAGAGATCTTCAACTACATTGAATTCCACTGTGGCAAGGATGGGTATGTTGATAGCATAGGAGACCTGAGGATGGTGGAGCCTATCAGTAACTAGAAGGTCCATGCACATCCTCAGGGATTGGTATTCAGTGCTTCCCGAGTGGTGGCCCCTGCCTCCATCAATAGCCCCTGACACTCCCCACTTGCACTTATGCATCCGTGTTTTCCAAAACTTAGAATTATGAAACGCATGATTTCTTGATACCATAACCTCGCCTGTGTTGTTTCTCTGCCTGGAATACACTTTTGTCTTCATTTACCTAATTTACTCCTACATGTTTGTCAAGATTCAGCTCGTAATGCATCTGATCTTTACTAACCAAGATTTTTCCTGATATTCACTCTAAACCTACCCAAGGTGGATGATCTTCCTTTCCCTAAATAAATCGTATTATGCCAAAATGTGTGACATTCTACATATGATGTGTGTAAAGTAAGTATCATGTAATTGGTATGGGTGTGTGAGATCTAGGATATGTTTGCCTGTGACTTATGCTGTGCAAGGTCACATTTTATGTGACTGTGTCTGTGCATGGGATATGTTTGTGTATATCATGAGGATGTAAATGATTATAGGCTAAGCTGGAGACAAACTGTGATGTAGACACTGATTGTGTTGACAATTTGATATAATCAAAAAGGTCATAATCCAGTTTTAATGATTTTATTAAAGTGAAAAGATGGGAATGGCCACTCTGTGACACACAAACTCCAGAGAAAGTTAAGTTTTTGCTAATGTAGGAAAAAGACAAAGAAATTCAAAAGGATTACAATATTTTCTATGCCAGGCTGGTTCAAGAGTTACAACAAATTAATTAGTTACAGATTTGTGCCCAACCTCATGACTTGTTTTCATTTATTCATAGCTGTGCTTCATTTCTGTTCCAATTTTAAAAGAGTGTATTTAACATTCCATCTCAAGACGATGTGATAGCAATGAAGTCTTTACATCAAAAACAGAAGAGGGGAGTTCATCCATAATGAAGATCAGCAGTGGAGTGGAATGAGTCTTCCCTGGCCCACTTCAGTCATTTTACATTTCACACAACAATGCAGGTAAGAAAGTGTCTTAATCTCTAATCAGAGAAACCAAGGTACACCTGCCTTGGTTACAGCTGCCTAGTATGTGACTCAGGCCCCATCATCACTTTTTTTTTTTTTTTTCTTTGAGACAGAGTCTCACTCTGTCACCCAGGCTGGAGTGCAGTGGCCAGATCTTGGCTCACTGCATCCTCCACCTCCAGGTTTCTAGCGATTATCCTGCCACAGCTTCCTGAGTAGCTGGAATTACAGGAGCATGTCACCATGCCCAGCTAATTTTTGTATTTTTAGTGAAGACTGGGTTTCACCATGTTGGCCAGGCTGGTCTCAGACTCCCGACCTCGGGTGATTTTCCCACCTCGGCCTCCCAAAGTGCTGGGATTACAGGCATGAGCCACCACGCTCCGCCCATCATCACATTTTAAGGTTCAAAATAATATAGAGTTCCAACAGCTTATATTTTGAATGAATTACTTTCACGGTGGTAACATGCTTAGTTCCACTCAGTTTCTTGGGTAAAGGCAGAGCTGACTGGGTATAAAACATGTGGCATGATTCCTGGCTTATGGTAGTTGCTCAGTAAAAATTCTTTCCTTTCTCATATTACTCTTTGGTTTTCTACTTTAATTTTGACTTTGATAAACAAACATAACAAGTGCCCATCAACCATTTCTGTCCCTGACTCTGGAGATGGGGATTTCTTTTATTTTTTATTTATTTATTTTTTTAAGACAGAGTCTCACTCTGTCACCCAGGCTGGAGTGCAGTGGCACGATTTCAGCTCACTGTAATCTCCTCCTGCTGGGTTCAAGTGATTCTCCTGCTTCAGCCTCTCTAGTAGCTGGGATTATAGGCGTGAGCCACCATGCCTGGCTAATTTTTTGTATTTTTTAGTAGAGACAGGGTTTTGCCATGTTGCCGAGGCTGATCTCAAACTCCTGAGCTCAGGGAATCTGCTTGCCTTGGACTCTCAAAGTGCTAGGATTATAGGCGTGAGCCACCAGGCCTGGCCTAGAGATGCAGACTTCTTTCTTTTCTTTTCTTTTCTTTTTCCTTTTTTTTTTTTTTTTGAGACAGAGTTTAGCCTTTGTTGCCCAGGCTGGAGTGCAATGGTGCAATCTCGGCTCACTGTAACCTCTGCCTCCTGGGTTCAAGCAATTCTTCTACCTTAGCCTCCGAGTAACTCAGGATTACAGGTGCGCAACACCACGTCCCACTAATTTTTTTGTATTTTTAGTAGAGATGGGGTTTCGCCATGTTGGCCAGGCTGGTCTCAAACTCCTGACCTCAAGTGATAGTGATCTGCCCACCTCGGCTTCCCAAAGTCCTGGGGTTACAGGTGTGAGCCACCACACCCAGCCCAAAACTGGTAGAGGTGCCGGAGAGTGAACTGGGGACCTCGTACATGCCAAGGATTTCTAATACAAAACTACAGTAGGCTGTCATCTGTATGTAAGCTATACACACGCGGGATGAGAAAGAACACCTCCTCTATCAACCATACACTCACAGATATCTCCACTAGACTCAGTTCCTTAAGAAGGTTTCTAAGAAGTTCAATGCATGTTTGCCGGGCTAAGGTGTTACCTTTCCTAAGGATGACACATCAAGTAGAAGATATTAGCACAAATGATTTTATCTGATAATAATCATGTTCGCTTGGCAGAAACATAGGGAGAAGGTTGGAGGACTTTAAAATACAATGGTCCTCAACAATGGACTTAAGACCTAAATTTTGTTCATGGAATGAATGAGAAAGGAAATAGGAGAAAGACACGTTGGGTTCACAGGCAAGTAGGAACTATGTGAAATTCTGTTTGCTAACTGTAGGAGAGAGATACAAAGTAAGAAATGCTTGCTTCATATAATTTTGTCCAGGTCCGGTATGGGGTGGAAAAGTGCTAAACATTAAAGTAACTTGTGTTCTTCAGCGTCCTGCAATGTTGAATGGCTCTGGCCTTGAAACAATTAGAGAAAAGACCAAAGTATCAACATTATTTATGAGGTGACTGCGCACTTTTTTAGAACTCTGGTCTCAATGAGGAGTCAGTGTATCTACATTGGTCATCATGTTCCAAATGCAGTTCCTCAACTTTGCAATTTTTGAGTGCACCTGGGGAGGAACAGACACCTGGGGATGACAATCTCTACTAACCAAAGTCAGAAGAGATTAGTATCAAACCAGTAGCAAGGCCAGGCATGGTGGCTCACGCCTGTAATCCTAGCACTTTGGGAGGCCGAAGCAGGCGGATCACAAGGTCAAGAGATTGAGACCATGCTGGCCAACATGGTGAAACCTCATCTCTACAAAAATACAAAAATTAGCCGGGCGTGGCGACATGTGTCTGTAGTCCCAGCTACTCGGGGGGCTGAGGCAGAATAATCGCTTGAATTTGGGAGGCAGAGATTGCAGTGAGCCGAGATTGTGCCATTGCACTCCAGCCTGGTGACAGAGTGAGACTCTGTCTCAAAATAAATAAATAAATAAATAAATAAATAAATAAATAAACAGTAGCTCCTCCTCAATGGTCAATTTACATATGGGGAAAAATACTAATTATTTTTCTCATTTGATAAATACTCTTCAAAATATAGTGTAAGGGAGGAAAAAATTTTCCTTCTACCCTTTTAGGATCTTAGCTGGGGCCCCTATAAGAAAAGTCAGATTAACGGAAGAAAAACAAACAGAATGTGGTAACATGTGTATCTCACGTATACATGGGAGAAACTCAGAGAGTATCTCACAGAGGTGGCTAGAGTGCCATCTTCAGCTATTTAGATGGCTAAATGCCATCTTCAGCTAATGCAAAGGAAAATGCATGTGGGGAGCAAGTCATAGGGAGATGACCAGGAAAAGTATAGTAAATGAGGGAAAGTTTGGTCATACAGATTTAAGTCAGTATCTTCTCCACTGAGAAGGGTCTCTTGTGATTTAGAGTCACCTTTCTCTATCTGGCACAGAGAAGGAGACATCCATAAGAATGGAGGTTTCCCTTATGAATGCACGTTACCCTTACAAAAGGCCAATGCATACTCTATTTTCAGAGCTTGTCTTGTGTATACTGTTTCTCAAAATAAGCAGTCCAAAATAATCTTTACGTTACAGAGCATACCTTGTGGCGGCATATTCTGATCTCCTATAGTAGATTCTCACAAATTTCTCATGTAAGTAGCTCTTTAAAAGTTGCTTTTACTAAAGGGTAAGCAGATGGTAATTCAAAACAGTATAGGAGGAAAGTGCATTTAAGGGCAATTAGTATATTAGGTTTGTATATCAGTGGAATGTGAAGCTGATACAGAAATGAATGAATATGCAGCTACCCAAATCAGGGATAAATATCAGAGCTTTATAAGCTCTAGCTTTCCTGATATCCATCCCTTATTTGGATAGCTGCACATTAATTTCCTTAGGGACCTGTCTTCCTCTTTTGTGGACCTTATAGGTGAGGCTGTCCACTAAGGCTTGCAGTCCCTTCTGCTAAGCCAAGCAATTGTCATGAGATCCAAGCTAGGCTAACTGAACCTTCTTTTGTAGGACATAAATATATGGCACCCTAAAATATGCCCCAGATACAAAGTCCTGTCAATTAGTATTTGTGTTGCTCTGCATCCTCACCAGCTTTGGTGATGTCAGTTTGTATTGCATTTCAGCCATTCTAATAGATGTGTAGTATTATCACATCCATTGTGTTAATTTGCAGTTCTCTAATGATAATAATACACTGAAAGGATTAACAGCTCATCAAAGCAGGAAAAATTATAGTTACACATTAATCATTGCATGCTGGTCCACTTGGAGCAGCTTCCCTGCAGCTGCTAACTAACCAAGAGTCACATAGCATGCTGACCACCTGCTCCCCCATTGTTCCTATAGGTAGAAACTCACAAACAAGAATCGTGGGTCTTTTTTGCTCAAGAATTGCTTCAGGCATTTCAGATTCTGAACTCTAGTGGAAAGACTGACACCAACCAGTCTGAAGACCCCCACCATGCAACTGGCTCAGAAGAATGCACCTTTGGCATCTCCCTGTCCCAAGACTGCACTCCTCACTTCTCAAGAATCAAAAATCCCTACACTTCAGCCGCTGTCCAGACCCCTCACAAACCCTACCCTAAACCTCTTGGAGAGGTGGATTTGACTTTTCCTCCCATCTCCTTGTCTGACTGTCATAAAAATATTACACTATTTCTCTGCTGCTATCACCATTATCTCAGTATGTTGACTTGCTGGGCATAAGGCAAGGAATCTATTATGGTTAAAGTTTAGTGGAGAGCTAGCCTGGAGGGTCCTCATGGGCATTTGTCCATGGTTCGATACTCTCTTGCTGCTGTAGCAAACCTGGAGATTCACCAAAGTATCTGGAGTTTTTGCCAGCATGGCACTGCCAACTTTCAGCTCAGGCTCACTTGCAGGGGAGAAGGGGTTTCCAGAATGGGAAAACATCTCTGGTAAGTGTTCCAACATCCTCTTTTCCTTCTCCTGATCTGCTGGCCTTCTTAGAGGTCCTGTCACCTCTTTGGAGGTCCTGTTGTCCCTCCTTCACAAAGGGCCCTGCTCAAGGACATTTTTACCAATTGGAAGGAGCACATAGGGACGTACAGTGGAACTATTCCTGGGCTCTTTGGGTTTCAGTTCTGAAATCTGTTTTTTTGTTTTGTTTTGTTTGTTTGCTTGTTTGCTTGTTTTTAAACAGAATCTCGCTCTGTCACTGAGGCTGGAATGCAGTGGTGCAATCTCGGCTCACTGCTGTTGGCTCTCCCTCCTTCACCTGGTGAAGGAGCTATGGCCAGGCCACCGGCACTTGACCAGGAGGCCAGGAATGACAAGATGCAGGAATGGCCTCCTCTTCTCACACCTGTCAGAGGACCTAATTTGGCCAGGGAACCACTTTAGCTCCAGCAGGACGATTTTCCCTTCAATAATTACCTACAGGAGGTGTTGACGCTGACACAGGGCAACCCATGGGGCTTATTTGGGTACACTCTCCATTCTCTATTTCTTATTTATAAAATTTGAAAAACAGTATTGCTACCTATTGAGAGGATCCAAAGCCAATGGAAAATTTGTTCTCTTCTATATTATTTTCTTCTATATCCTATATCCCATAATCCTACCTGGACCAATGTTCAAACCTGAACTCTGAAAGGGCATGCCCAAGCAGATGAGCCTTAAGAAAGTTCAGGAAGTAAGGCATAAGCCCAATGAAAGCCCTTCAAGTTTTCTGGACTGCATTTGGAAGTGTTCAAGGAATACACTGATATTGGTCCGAAGGCCTCAGAAAATTTAAAGAGGATAAACATGACATTTATTAGCCAGAGTGTCCCTGACATCCAGTGAAATTTGCAACAAGTTGAAGGGGCACTGGACATATCTTTGTCTCAAATGGTAGAAACAAGGGTGTTCACCGGCAGAGACCTGGTCTGAACCAAAGAGAACTATAAAACATGTAGCAGCAAGCCACCTTGCTAGCAGCTGCTTAAGGAACCCTCGGACCATGGCACGGACCCACCATAGGAGCCCCACATAAGTTAGGACCCCCTGGGACCCAGGCTCCCTATAAGTAGAAACACTCTACTTACTGAACTCCATGTGCCAACTACAGACAGGAAGGCCATTGGAAAAAAGACTGACCAAACCACAAAGGGGCCAATAATGGGAAAATCAATTTCCAATTCACCAAATGCCTGAAATATCTCAGGGATCTGGGGCTAAGAACTTCTGTAATAAGGATCAAAAATGATGGGGCCCGAGGGCAGCCTCTGACCCAGCTAGTACCCTCCATATTTCCCATGTGGAGCCCTGGGTCATTATGATGCTGAGAAATCAACTTTTAGCCTTTCTAGTAGATACCAGTGCCACCTACTCAGTAGTAAACACACACTTGTTCAAATTGTCTTCTGAAACTATGAAAGTGAAGGCAGTTTTAGAGGAGACCCTAAAAGAACCATTCCTGCAACCCCTAGATTTCCAACTGTGACAGACTTGCCTAAAGCGTCACTTCTTACATATGCCTGAATACCTTATCGATTTCTTGGGACATCATCTCTTGACTGAACTGAATGCAAATATTACCTTTTCCCCAGGATGGGTGAATATTACAGTGTCCCCAGATCAAGCCCGTACCTTGCAAGCTGCATTGTTGCAGCAACTGGCTCAGAATTTCTCTCTCATCCCTGAAGAATTCCTACAAGAGGTGGGTACTGATTCCCATCCTGGGCAGATGGGAAACCAGATAGTGCTAAGTCTGCAGTCCCAGGACCAGTCAAAGTATATGAGGGAACCACACTGCTGAGTCTTAAACAATACCACCTGAGAGAAGAGGTATGAGGAAGTATTCAGTTTTTGTTGTCTGATTTCCTCCAGTCTTTGTACTCAACAGACCTTGCTGGTCCTCGCGTAAGAAATCTTATCTGGACTTCTCTTAACTGACTAAAGCAGAGCATTGTGAAAATACAGCCACCATTATCTCTCTCCAAGGGAATCCTCGTGTAACCACGATAGGTGTGTGGCCTGATGCCTACATTCATCTTCTCATCTGTGTCTCAAGGAGTATGGGGTTAGGGTTTTGGGTTTTTTTTTAGTTTTTGTTATGTTTGTTTTGTTTTGTTTTTGAGAGACAGGGTCTCACTCAGTCACCCAGGCTGGTGCTATCATAGCTCAGTCCAGCCTTAAACTTCTAAGCTCAAGCAATCTTCCTGCCTCCGTTTCCCAAGTAGCTGAGGTTACAGGCACGTGCTACCACTACTGGCCTTAAAAATTTTTCTTTTTTTTTTTTGGTAGAGTCAGGTTATCATTATGTTGACCAGGCTGGTTTTCAACTCCTGGCCTCAAGTGATCCTCCCACCTCAGCCTCCTAAGTAGCTGGGACTACAGGCATGTGCCACCACACCCAACTAATTGTTTTAATTTTCTGTAGAGATAGGGTTTCTCCCTGTGTTGCCCAGGCTGGTCTCAAACTCGTGAGCTCAAGTGATCCTCCCACTTTGACCTTCTCAAGTGTTGGGATTACAGGTGTGAGCCACTATGCCCAGCCCCTACATTTCAATATGGGTGAGTGAAAATAGAGATGTAATTTTCTGCACTGCACTACTGCATTGATCCTATGAATTCCATCCATGGAGCCCTTGGAAGTCCGTGGATCACAGATTAAGACACCTATAGACGTTGTCATCCCCTGAATGAGGAACCTAAGTCACTTTTATGGTTTTGTGAAACAGTAGTTCACAAACATTTAAGAATTGAATAGTGGCTAACAAAAGAAATATTGGCTTGGTGCGGTGGCTCACGCTTTTAATCCCAGCACTTTGAGAGGCCAAGGCGGGTGGATCACCTGAGGTCAGGAGTTTGAGATCAGTCTGGCCAACATGGCAAAACCCTGTTTCTACTAAAAATACAAAAATTACCCGGATGTGTTGGTGCGCACCTGTACTCCCAGCTACGCAGAAGGCTGAGGCAAGAGAATCACTTGAACCCAGGAGGCAGAGGTTCCAGTGAGCTGAGATCATGCCTGGACGACAAGAGTGAAACTCCATTCCAAAAATAATAATAATAATAATAAAAGGACATATCAAGGAATTAACAGAAAATAATTAAAATCAAAGACAATAAAGGATGAACATAATTTTCAAGTGATTTAAAATTTATATTTAAAGGGGAATACCTCCTTAAAAACCGAAATCAAAAGTCACTGCCCAAGGAGCTTCTGTTACACAAGCTGGTAGACAACCCTAGGAAGTAGACCCATTACGTAGTTTCCAGAAATACTGGTTGGGTTACCTTCCTGGGCTGCATTCATAGTGGCTAATTTCTGTAAATATAACAATATGCTTTTCCCCAGTTTAGTTTAGATGGCCTCCTAATTGGGTTTATATCCAAAAAGCTTTAGGACTTTGGGCTTAGCTCATAGGAGAGTTCATGGATGTATGCTTGGAGTCCATGATTTTTTTTCCATATTAAAAGTGGAATATCAAGTATTTGAGAAACACTGGCTCATACATTGGCTCAGGTGGCTTCTCTCTCCCACCTCTCTACATTCATTGAGTCACTACTTGAATTTGTCTTCAATAGACAATGCACATTTGTTGGAAAGAGCTCTGGATGTGTGGGCACATGACAAAAAACTGATTTTCCCTCAGAATCGCCTCTCAAATCATCCAAATTCAGAGGCCCAGAATTGTTCCTGTTTTGCTCTCCCCTGTCCCCCAAAGACCTAGAGAGTAGAAGGATGCACAGAACCTGCTCTAAGACTATCTCCCGTCCATCCAGTCTATCAGCACATGATTTTCTATTACTCAAGGACTGCTTCACAGGAGTGGGGGTTTGAAGATAAGTTCTGGATATAAACTGAACCTTCTGTCATTCCAACAATAAGGTGGCCCAGTGAGAAAATCAACTAAGGTGGTTTGGCTAGGAGCAGCCTTTGGAAGTGTTGTTAGAAAAGATTTGCAAGAGTCTTACTTTATTCATAAATCGTAACTTTGACTAGTGTTGATGAACCAGTATTGGTCACATTTGCCAATTTGTGGGGAGTTGGCATGGAAAATATGGTGGAAAATTCCGGCTGTGATGTTAAAGGTAACCATTGAACACTTGCACAAACTCAGTTGAAGAAGTTGTGGTCTTGTCAGTTTGAGCTGAGTTCAGGACTGAATCTTGAGGTCCTGAAAAACAACTTAGCCAGCACCTTGTGACCTATACTTCACAGTCAGATGTTACGTATAGTAGCATTGTAGAAACTATGGCCAGGCTATGTGACATTTTAATAGTAAGCAGTACAGTGTCACCAAACAGCTAAAGGTTATAATTAAAAAACTGAGTAGAGAAATTTCAGATACTGGCTACCTAATCATTCATAGCTATTTGGCCACTGTGTTCACTAGATATTCTTTCACCTCTCAATGAAGGTCTCACAATTCACAACATTAAAAGTGATTTTCTGGCCTGACCAAGTGGCTCATGCCTGTAATCCCAGCACTTTTAGAGGCTGATGTGTTGAGGCTTAGCTAGGCTCAGGAGTTCAAGACCAACCTGGCCAACATGGTGAAACCCTGTCTCTACAAAAATTAATACAAAAAACTAGCCAGGCATGGTGTTGCATGCCTATAGTCCCAGCTACTCAAGAGGCTGAGGTGGGAGGATTGCTTGAGCCTGGCAGGTTGAGACTGCAGGGAGCAGTGTTTGTGCGACTGCACTCCAGCCTGGGCGACAGAGCAAGACCCTGTCAAAAAAAAAAAAAAGGCAAAAGACCAGGCACAGCGAGTCACACCTGTAATCCCAGCACTTTGGGAGGCTGAGGCAGGCAGATCATGAGGTCAGGAGATCGAGACCATCCTGGCTAACACGGTGAAACCCCGTCTCTACTAAAAATACAAAAAATTAGCTGGGCGTGGTGACAGGCGCCTATAGTCCCAGCTACTCAGGAGGTTGAGGCAAGAGAATGGGGTGAACCCGGGAGGCGGAGCTTGCAGTGAGCCGAGATCTCGCCACTGCACTCCAGCCTGGGCAACAGAGCGAGACTCCATCTCAAAAAAAAAAAAAAGGTGGCTTTCCTCAGTGAAGTTCCCATGTAACATAGCATAACCCTCCAGGGACTTCCCCAGAAGTTTGTTAGAATTGAGAGCAGAGCTAAGTCTCTGGTTGTCTCCTGATAGCACCAGATAACCCTTTTCTGGGGTCACCTAGGGTCTTGCAATCATTTTGTACCCAGGGCTCAGCCTTTGATGTTTGTAGCCTTTGCTCGAGGCTACTGTTTGAGTGAGCCCAAGTGTTCCAGATGAAACGATACAGGGACAAGTTCACATAATAAGGCTGTTCCCCATCACCACCTCGGCTACCAATCAGCTGGAGCCCTGCAGCTCCCCCTACTATTCCTTTCTCCACTGCTGTAGATTTCCAGGGCTCTGAGAAAAGGAGGAGGACGCAGACTCTGCTCTTCAGATCCACATGCTGATCCCCACTACAATCAGTGACCTGAACTCAGAGTCCAAGTAGGGTAAGAAGGGCTCTGCTGAGGTTGCTCGGGGGACAGCCAGGAACACTGGAAGGAGGCTGATTGAACTTTTAGATAGCAAACAATGGAGAAGGATCCAAATCATGGAAAACAAAGGTCTGAATTCTGGTTAGCCTCAGTCCCACTGATACAGGCTTTTCCCTGCCCCTCCCTTCCTTCACCGCCAGTCCTCCTAAGCACAGTGCATTAAAGCTGCTTGCATCCTACTCTTCTATCTTGTGTAGGCCTTTATCACCAGGACAGGGTTCCACAGATGAGGAACCCTGTGCCTGATGTGGGCATTTGACATCTTTAGAAGTGCTCTCACATGCTTGCATCTCATTAGACTCTTGCAGGTCTGTAGGGAGCTGTGATTAGGCCTATCTGAGGACACCGATACTCAGAGCTATGAATCAGGCTAGAGGTTCAGTAGGGCCAGGAATACTCCTCATGGCAAATGAGGACAGATAGCTGGTAAAGAGATAACTTTTTCAAACGACCATACATCCTATGCTGTGACCACAGTAGCTCTGCGGGGGACTGTTTTAGTTTTGGTGCCTGATTGATTACAGCAACAGTTCTAAACTGATGTCCTTTTATGATGGCATTGTCAATAAGCTCTAACAAATGAAGATCATTTGTAATAGCAGTAATTAGGGAAATGGCCTCTGAGAAGGGATGCCGATAGTTAATAATGATCACATGTTTCACCCAGACTTTGGGGAAAGTGTTATAAGGAAGTCAAGGTTGGAAAAACATCATTTTTCAGAGAAGTGCAATTGCAGCCTGGGCTGTGGTTTCCAGAATCAATGCCTTCTGCCTAGGAACCACCTCCCAAGTAGTTACTCATCTTCTACATTCCCTTAAAATGCAACAATCTTTTCCACTTTGCAGACAATACGCTTAAAATGTCATTTTTCTATTGGACACATGATCTCCTGAGAGCTTATTTGGTAAAAGAGAGCTCGATAGTGATTGGCTCCTCAAATTGGGTAGAAGACAGGGTAGACAGGAGATATTTGAAATTCTCAAAAGGTACTTTATCTATATTTTCCAAATTTGTGTTAGCTCTCACAGGCTAAAGCATATTTTTAGTTCTTAGAAACTGTATTCTTTTTTTTTTTTTTTTTTGAGACGGAGTTTTGCTTTTGTCACCCAGGCCGGAGTGCAGAGGTGTGATGTCGGCTCACCGCAACCTCCGCCTCCCAGGTTCAAGCGATTCTCCTGCCTCAGCCTCTCGAGTAGCTGGGTCTACAGCCACCATGTCCAGCTACTTTTTGTATTTTAGTAGAGATGGGGTTTCACCATGTTGGCCACGGTGTTTCTCGAACTCCTGACCTCAGGTGATACACCCACCTTGGCCTCCCAAACTGCTGGGATTACGGGTATAAGCCACTGTGCCCAGCCCAGAAACTGTATTCTTTAATGAGAATCATCATCTTCTAATATGGAACCAAATAGCAATATAGTGCCCAAGTACCTGCTTGGCAGGGAAAGGAATTTTAAGGTGGAGCTCAGCTCTCTGAGTATAGTCTGGTTAATGCTTTTCTTTCTCTTCCCTGTAGACACGCAGGTGGACGTGGTGACTGAGATGACATCCTCTCTAAAGATTTGGGGCATACTCTTGGCCCTGCTTTGCATCCTTTGCAGGCTGTGTGTATACAGTAACAACATTTACTGGAGAGAATTCATAAAACTTCATTACTTAAGTCCAAGTCGAGAATTCAAAGAGTACAAATGTGATGTCCTCATGAGAGAAAAAGAGGCTCTGAAAGGCAAGAGCTTTCATATGTTCATCTATAGCTTATGGTTCAAAATTCAGCGTGCATGCATCAATGAGAAGGGGAGCGACCGATATAGAAATGCATATGTATGGGCCCCAGGTGCCCTCAAAGTACTCGAGTGTCACTGGGAGAAGTACAACAATAGGTACACAGAGAGCAGAAGCTTCAGCTACATTGAATTCCATTGTGGCGTAGATGGATATGTTGATAACATAGAAGACCTGAGGATTATAGAACCTATCAGCAACTAGAAAGTCTATGCACATCCTCAGATATTGGTAGAGTATTCAGTGCTTCCAAAGTGGTGGGCCCTGCCTCCATCAATAGCCCCTGCCACTCCCCGCTTACATTTATGTGTCAGTGTTTTCCAACTACTTAGAGTTTATGTACCTCGTGATTTCTTGATACCAAATCTTTGTGTGGTTTCTGTATCTGTAATACAATTTTGTCCTAATTTGCCTAATTTACACCCACATTTTTTCCAAGATTCAGCTCATATGGCATCTGTCCTCGACTAACCTAAGACTTTCCTGATATTGACTCTCTTTATACCTACCCAAGCTGAACGACCCTCCTTTTCTTAAATAAAATATATTATTCTAACGTATGTGACGCTTATATATGTTATGTGTGCAGAGTATGTATCGTGTGATTGGTATGGGTATCGGTGATCTAGGCTATTTTTGCCTATGGCTGTGCAAGGGGTTTAATGTGCACTTTATGTGTCTGTGTCTAATGTATGTGATATGTTTATGTATATCATGTGGATATAAATGATTGTGTGCTAAACTGGAGACAAGTAGTGATGTAAGCACTCATCGTGGTAGCAATTTGAAATAATCAAAAGGGTCAAAATCCAGTTTTAAGGAGTGGGCTGGGCACTGTGACTCATGCCCATAATTTCAGCACTTTGGGAGGCTGAAACAGGTGGGTCACCTGAGGTCAGGAGTTTGAGACCAGCCTGGCCAACATGGTAAGGCCCTGTCTCTACTAAAAGTACAAAAATTTGCCAGGCTTGGTGGCACATACCTGTAGTTCTAGCTATGGGAGGCTGAGGCAGGAGAATCTCCTGAACCTGGGAGGCAGAAGTTGCAGTGAGCCGAGATCACGCCACTGCACTCCAGCCTGGATGACAGAGCAAGACTCCGTCTCCATCTCAAAAAAAAAAAAAAAAAAAGAGTTTACTAAAGTGAAAGGCTGGGAATGGACATTCTGTGGCACACAGATTCCAGAGAAATGGGGTCAGTACTCCAAAGTTAAAAGTTAAGTTCTTTTTTATGTAGGAAAAAGAGAAAGAAGTGAGAAAGGATTACATTTTCTATACCAGACTGGTTCAAGAGTTACAACAAATTAATTGGTTACACTTTTGTCCCCCCACCACATGACTTGTTCTATTTATAGTTGTTTTTCAATTCTCTCCAACTCTAAAAAGTGTGTTTAACTTTCCATCTTAAGACAGTGTGAAAGCCCAGAGGCTGAGATGGTTGGATCGCTTGAGCTCAGGAGTTTGAGACCAGCCTGGGCAACATGGCAAAACCCTGTCTCTACAAAAGAAAAACAAAAATTAGCCAGGCATGGTGGCATGTGCCTATAGTCCCAGCTACTGAGGAGGCTGAGGTGGGAGGATGGCTTGAGCCCAGAAGGCAGAGGTTGCAGTGAGCCGAGATTGTGCCACTGCACTCCAGCCTGGGTGACAAAGCCAGACCCTGTCGTGAAAACAAACAAACAAAAACAAAACAACAACAACAAAACAAAAAGACAATGTGAAAGCGATGAAGTCTTTGCATGAGAAAGGGAAGAGGGGAGTTAATCCATAATGAACATCAGCAGTTGAGAGGGGATGAGTCTTCCCTGGACCCCTTCACAAATGCAGGTAAGAAACAGGCTTAATCTCTAATCAGAGAAGGCAAGATACACTTGCCTTAGTTACAGCTGCCTGGTACATGACTCAAGCACCGTAATCACTTTCCTTTAAGGTTCCAAATAATTTAGAGTTCCAACAACTTAGATTTGAAATTGTAGATTTTAACAGTCTGACACGCTTAGTTCCACTCAGATTTCTGGGTATAGGCAGAGCTGACTGGGTATAAAACACGTGGCATGGTTTCTGGCTTATAATAGGTACTCAGCGAAAATTGTTTCCTTTCCCATTCACCCACCAGTTTTGTACTTTAATTTTGATTATGATAAACAATCATTATAAGAACCCATCAATTATCTGCTGTCCCTGACTCTAGGGATGGGAATTTCTCATACAAAAATAGAGTAGGCTGTCATCTGTATAAAAGCTATACACATCCAGGATGAAAAAGAACACCTCCTCCATCAACCACACACTTACAGATGTCTCTATTAGACTTAATTCCTTAAGAATGTTTCTAAGAAGGTCAATGCACGTTAAACAGGCCAAGGCATTACATTTCCTAAGGATGACACGTCAAGTAGAAGACATTAGCACAAATGATTTTATCTGATAATAAACATGTTTGCTTCACAGAAACATAGGGCTCTGGCCTTGAAACAATCAGGGAAAAGACCAAAGTATCAACATTATTCATGAGGTGACTGCACACTTTCCTAGAACTCTGGCCTCAATGAGTAGTCAGTGTATCTAGATTGGTCATCATATACCAAAGGCAGTTCCTCAACTTTGCAATTTTTGAGTGCACCTGGGGAGGAGCAGACACCTGGGGATGACAATCTCCACCAACCAAACTCAGAAGAGACTAGTATTAAACCAGTAGCTCTTCATCAATGATCAATTTACATATGGGGAAAAAATACTGTTTTTCTCATTTGATAAATGCTCTTCAAAATATAGTGTAGGAGAGGAAAAAAAATTTTTTCTTCTACCCTTTTAGGATCTTAGCTGGGGCCCCATAAGAAAAGCCAGATTAAGAAGAGAAAAACAAACAGAAATGTGGTAACATGTGTATCTCATGTATACATGAGAGAAAGAGAGTAACTCAAAGCAGTGGCTAGAACTTGGGCTTAAATGACATCTTCAGCTAAAGCTAAGGAAAATGCCCGTGGGGAGCAAGTCACGGGGAGATGACCAGGAAAAGTATAGTAAATGAGGGAAAGGTTTGTCATGTAGATTTGAGTCGAGTACCTTCTCCACTGAGAAGGGTCTCTTGTGATTTAGGGTCACCTTTCTCCTTCTGGCACAGAGAAGGAGACATCTGTAAGAATGGATGTTTCCCTATGAATGCACATTTTCCTTGCAGAAGGGTAACGTGTACTCTATTTTCAGAGCTTTCCTGTGTATCCTGTTTCTCAAAATAAGCAGTTCAAAATAATCTTTGCGCTACAGAGCATACTTTGTGGTGGCATATTCTATTCTCCTAAAATAGGTTCTCACAAGTACCTCATGTAAGTAACTCTTTAAAAGTTGCTTTTACTAAAAGGTTAGCAGATAGTGGTTCAAAACAGTACAAGAGGAAAGTGCATTTAAGGGCAATTAATATATTAGCTTTGTATATCAGCTGAATGTGTTACACAAAGTGATATACATTTAAAGGCAATTCGCATATTGGCTTTGTGTTGTTTCTCTGCCTTTCCCAGTATTTTATTTATTTATTTATTTATTTAGAGATGGAGTCTCCCTCTGTTGCTTAGGCTGGTGTGCAGTAGTGTGATCTCGGCTCACTGCAACCTCCGCCTCCCAGATTCGAGGGATTCTCCTGCCTCAGCCTCCCGAGTAGCTGGAATTACAGGTGTCTGCCACTATGCCTGGCTAATTTTTGTATTTTTAGTAGAGATGGAGTTTCACCATATTGGTCAAGCTGGTCTCGAACTCCTGATCTCAAGTGATCCACCCGCCTCAGCTTCCCAATGTGCTGGGATTACAGGTGAGAGCCACCATGTCCAGCCAAGAATTTTGTAAGGTGTTTCAGATCTTGAATTTCAGTGTTGCAGCTGATGCCAACCAGTCTAAAGACCCCCACCAAGGAACTGGCTCAGCAAAAGATTACAGTTTCTTCATCCCCCTGTCCCCATGACTGCACCCCTCACTTCTTGATGAATCAAAAATCCCCACACTTCAGCCGGGTCCAAACCCCTTATAAACCCAACCCCTAAACCTCTGAGGGAGGCAAATTTGAGTTTTCTTCCCATCCCCTTGTTTGACTGCCCTAGGAATATTACACTATTTCTCTGCCTCTATCGCCATTATTTGGTACGTTGACTTGCTGGGCACCAGGCAATGAATCTATTGTGGTTACAATTTAGTGGAGAGTGTCAGAGATGATAAATTCCTCTTCAAAAGGTTTTAATTCTCTGTTCTTCTGGTTCTTTGTTTCTCTAGTTTCTACAGTTACCCATGCTGTAAACAACCCTTTCCGCACACTGACATGCCCTGACAAGCCTAGACATGCCTTGTGCCATAAGGGATAGCCTTCCCCTTCCTGCCTAGATAGCTGTGGTCAATTTCAAACATTAGCCAGTGGGGTCAGTTTAGACTGTGCGTTCCAACCCCAGCCAATGGAGAAAGGACACAGCAGTAAGAACCAATTGCATTAGGAATAAAAACCCCTGCCCTACCCCGCTCAGTGTGCTCTTGCAATCATAACTGGCACAAGCTGCATCCTTCTGTAGAAGTAAATTTGCCTTGCTGAGAAAATTTCCATTTGAGTGGTATTCCTTTTGCAGCGCCAAATCTTGTTTCTAATTTCTAACAAGAGCTAGCCTGGAGGCTCCTCATGGGCATTTGTCTCTGGTTTAATGCCTTCTTGCCACTGTGGTGAACCTGGAGACCCACCGAAGTCTCTGGAATCTTTCTTGCCAGCATGGCACTGCCAACCTTCAGCTCAGGCTTGCTTGCAGGGGAGGAATGGTTTCTGGAAATGGAAGACATCTTTGCTGTGTGTTCCCAAGCACAAGCAACATCCCCATTTCCTTCTGATCTGCTGGACTTCTTAGAGGTTTTGTCACCTCTTTGGAGGTCCCATTGACCCTCCTCCACATATACAAAGGGCCCTCCCTGCTCAAGGGCATCTTTCCCACTTGGAAGGAGCCCACAGGGCACTGTCCAGGGGAACTACTCCTGGGCCTCTTGGTCTCAGTTCTGAAATCTGATTTCTGACTTGTGAGGTCTCATTATTGTTCTTGTTTGTCCCATTTACCTGTGTGTCAGGGGGCATTCTAAAGGAATCACTAGCTGAAGCTCAGTAGGCCTGACTCAGGGAACCCATCCTCTCTGCCTCGCAGTTGCTTTTGGTGAGTGCTGACGGACCAACCAGCAGCAGCTTGGTGGCCTAGTTCAGGGTGGCCTTCTGCTCCCTCTTCATCACGAGTGACCATTCACTGCATTGCTGGCTAGAGGTCATCCCTCCCCACATGGAGTGGATCAAAGGCACTCAGATATTGAGAGGAGCAACTGGTGTTTGTGTCTTTTTTGTATGTTAATTGTAATTTTACCTTGGTTAATATGAAAAATGCTAATTTTGTTCTCCCAGGCAGCCTGTTAGGCTGCATTTCACAAAATTGGGCATCCATTGCCTAAGAACCCATTAAAAGAAAAAAACATTTACTTTTGTAATACAACCTGGCCCCTTCACCCATCAGAATGTGGGGGAAAAGTGGCCAAAAATGGGTTCCTTAGTTATAATGTCATCTGGCATCTAGACCTCTTTTGTAACAAGGAAGAAAAGTGGAAAGAAATCCCTTATGGACAGTGTTTTGCGTTGCTTTGGCAATATAAGCTGATAGAGAAAAATGTAAAGTTATGGTACAGGAGACTGTTACTAAGCCTGTACTGTTGGAGTCATAGGAAAGGGAAGATGATACTTTGCTAGATCAGTTAAATGAGCTGTCGGTGCTCCCTCCTTCACCTGGTGAAGGAGCTATGGCCAGGCCACTGGCACCAGAGTCATAGTCCCCACGAGGGACCAAGAGGCCACGAATGATGAGATGCAGGAATGATTTCCCCTTCTCACACCTGTCAGAGGTTCCAATTTGGCCAGGGAGCCACTTCAGCTCCAGCAGGACAATTTTCCCTTCAACAATTTCCTAGAGGAGGCATTGACGAGGACACAGGGCAACCCATGGGGCTCATTTGGGTACAATCTCTATTCTCTATTTCTGATCTGTTAAATTTGAAAAATAGTATTGTCGGCTGGGCACGGTGGCTCACGCCTTAATCCTAGCACTTTGGGAGGCCAAGGAGGGCGAATTTCCTGAGCTCAGGAATTTGAGACCAGCCTGGGCAACATGGTGAAACCCCATCTCTATTAAAATCCAAAAAAAAAAAAAAAAAAAAAAAATTAGGCATGGCGGCATGTGCCTGTAGTCCCAGCTACTCGGGAGGCTGAGGCAGGAGAATTACTTGAACCCGGGAGGCAGAGGTCGCAGTGAGCCAAGATGGTGCCACTGCACTCCAGCCTGGCAACAGAGCGAGACTCCATCACAAAAAAAAAAAAAGAAAAAGAAAAAGAAAAAAAAGAAAAATAGTATTGTCACCTGTTGAGATGGTCCAAAACCAATGGAAAATTTGTTCTTTTCTATATTTGTTTTCTTCTGTATCCTATATCCCACAATCCTACCTGAGCCAATGTTCAAACCTTGTTAAACACACTTTTACTCTCTGAGGAGTGACAAATGGTCTTAAAAAAGCCAGAGACAAGTGTTTGCATGCTGACTCCCCCAGTAACCGGGTAAGGTCATCTTAGGTTGCAGTGCCCACAGCTGCCCCAGGTAAAATGTTAACACTGGGCATAGGCCCAAGCTCAAGCATTATTGTGATCACATTCTGGCTGGACTCTGTAAAGGAGTGCCAAAGCACAGGAGCCTTAACAAAGTTCAGGGAGTAAGGCATAAGCCCAGTGAAAGTCCCTCAAGTTTTCTGGAATATATTTTTGAAGCGTTCAGGGAATAAAAAGAAAAAAAGTTTATTTTTTCCCTATTTAGTCTTAATATATAGCCTTGAAACATACTTTAAGATTGTTTCCCTCCCTTTCCCACCATACACTCCCTTATACTTACACATTTATCTAATTGTAAGCTGGTATCTAATTATGTGCTTACTTAGAAGTTCCAGGGGCTAATTTTCAGGCAGAACTAGGCATGGAAACCCAGTTGCAAAATTCCAGATGCTACTTTAAGGCAGCTAGTCAACAACCTGGCCATTGTTAAGATGATGCCAGCCCATGCTCCAGGTGGACCACGACTCAATATAGCCACCAGAACAAGACACATAGACCTTGTACCCAGCACCACTCCCTGCATGCCACCCATTACAAGTTCCTTTTAGGGTCCCTCTCTCCAGTCTAAAGTTTGAAATGGTTCCTTTAAGGCATGAGCTTTGGCCATTCCCCAACTGCCAGCTATGGAATAAGGTCATTTTCACTGCATCTCATCCTTCTTATTGGCTTTGCAAACAGCAAGCAGCCGAGCCTGAATTTGGTTACAAATTTGGTGGCCCATACGGGAAGCACTGTGTGTTTTGAGTGGTCTGAGCCGGTTGATCTGGTTTCCAACAAGTGAGGCAATTGGCTGCAGAAATGTGCCAGGGCTTAACCGTTCATGCTATGAGATGGGACAAGAAACACTAATGAATACCAGCTGCTCATGGCTATCTGACTCCATCGCTGGGGCACTAGGAAATTTCCCTGAAGCTGCTGAGATACCTTTGTCTCGAGAAACCTCCCTTCTCTCCCTGTCACAGTGTCTGCTACCTACTATCCTTCTCTGGTACAAGGAAAGTGACATCTGAAGAAGTCAATGGACTTCAGAACTAGCTAAGTCAACCAGAGTTCACCTGGATCCCCTCTGCCTCTTCTGTGATGCTACTTGGGATCTGTTCTGTTTGGACCTAGCTGCTTGTGATGCCATTTGGGTGTGTACACCATCCGTGGCACCATGTGAGCTCTGTTCTGTTTGGACTTGGCTCTTCGTGGGGCCATCTGAGGTTGAGAAAAGCCTTCAGGATTTGTATGTAGCCCCTCTCAGTTGGGATCTATCTGGGAGTGCACTGTCTGAATCTGTGACTGTGTGAGTGTGTAGCATCTACATTGGGCCCATACCTATCTCTCTCTTTCTCTCTCTTTTTTTTTCCCAGAGTCTCACTCTGCTGCTCAGGCTGGAGTGCAGTGGTGTGATCTCGGCTCACTGCAACATCTGCCTCCCAGGTTCAAGCAATTCTTCTGCCTAAGCCTCCCAAGTAGCTGGGACTATAGGTGAGTGCCACCACATCCGGCTAATTTCTGTATTTTTAGTAGAGATGGGGTTTCACTATGTTGGCCAGGCTGGTCTCAAACTCCTGAACTCAGGTGGTCTGCCCACCTCTGCCTCCCAAAGTGCTGGGATTATAAATGTGAGCCCCCAGGCCCAGCCTTCTTTCTCTTTCTTTCTTTTCTCTGCAAGGTGACCTGCATAAGTCCCCGGTCAATCCAGGGACCTAGCCCTGGAGGGGGACAATCTCTACCACTTTGACTAAGTCATCTTTCTAGGACCCCAAAGTATATCTTACAGCTGTGCCAGACCTTGTGGGGGAAAAGAAGTGTGTGGACTCTTCTGCGGGTTATCTAAGTGGGCCTGTCACCCTGCTTACAGTGCTCAATGCTGTCTGTGTGAAAACAAGGCTGAAAACACCTGGGGTAAGTCCTTAAGTAATCCCAACTCCAACCCTTGTTCCCCTTTTTGTCTCTGATTTGCCATCCCCCTTTGTTGTCATTCAGTCATCCTTTATCAGAGCACTGAGCACAGCAACAGCTGAAAGTGGGACAAGGTTGATGTGGTAGCGGATATTATTGCCAGTCTCCCCCTACCTGTCCAAGAAGTTCATTCTCTGATCTCTCTGACTGTTTTTGCTGTGTGGCAGGAATTGCACAATTGTGCCTATTGGAACTGTGAGTGGTTTTACTCACATTGGTTGTGTGAGGTCAGGAAGATCCATCCAACTTCTAGAAGTCTAGTTATGGGAGATGATGAGTACAGGAGCAGAAGAAACAAGGCTGTGAAAAGAAGGTGTCACCACTGTTTCAGCAGGGTCAAGTGGTACAGGTACAGGAACCAAGCCAGAATGGGCAACAAGGTCTCAATGCCCTCTAGAAGCCCCTGAGTCGCATTCTCGCTAACTGGAGGGCTTATAGCTAGGAGCTCATGACCAAGAATAAGATGATCTATTATTACAATATTGTTTTTTGTTTGTTTGTTTGTTTCTTGAGATAGAGTCTCACTCTGTTGCCCAGGCTGAAGTGCAGTGGCACAATCTTGGCTCACTGCAACCTCTGTCTCCAGGGTTCAAGAGATTCTCCTGCCTCAGCCTCCCGAGTAGCTGGGATTACAGGCACGAGGCACCATGTCTGGCTAATTTTTTAATCTCTTTTAGTAGAGATGGGGGTTTCACCATGTTGGCCAAGCTGGTCTCAAACTCCTGACCTCAGGTGATCTGCCCACCTTGGCCTCCCAAAGTGCTGGGATTACAGGTGTGAGCCACCTCACCAGGCCTACAATACTGTTTAGACTTCTTACAGATTAGGTGATGAATTTGGCCTCTGAACAGGAGTACCCTGTACTGGACTTTAATTCAGTTAGAATTATTTTGTCAGAGATCTGGGAAATGGGAAGAAATGCCTTATTCCAAGTTCTCATATTATTGCAAAATCAGGATTCAGGATGGGGCAGGGGGCTTCTGCTGGCTGTACAAAGAGATGAGAAGAGGGTCTTTCATAAGCCAGATAGCCAGATGCAGGAACAAAGGGATAAAGATTTCTTTTAAATGCTTTAAACCCAGCTGCCCCAGCAGCTCCTGCCGCCATGGCTGCTGCACCACCTTCTCCACAGCTACTTGGCTGCCTCACCACCTTCTCCACAGCTAGTTGGCTGCCTCACCATCACCACATGATGCTCCAAATTTGGAGGAAGGGGCTACTGCCCCATCTCAATATGATGAGGGAGTTGGAATGGTCTGTCCCTCCAAGACCCAACAGGGCACTCTGTTTGGACAGGGCAATACTGTGACTGGAGCAGGGCAATTCCCACTTAGGCAGATGCCTATGGGTGGTTCACACATAGAAGTGCCATCTGTCAGACATTACTGGACTTACAGCCTATTTTCAACATCCAACTTGCTAAATTGGAAAAGCTCCAAACAACCTTATAGAGAAGACCCCCAGAAAATGACTAATCTCTTTGAATCCATCTTTGCTACCCACCAGCCCCCCTGGGCAGATGTTTGGTCTTTTTTATTATGCTTCTGACCACAGATGAAAGAAGGCTAGTAATAGAGAAGGCAAATGAAGAGGCCCATCACCTCCATGAGACAAACAATATCTCCGATCCTGCAGGGGCAATTCCAGGTACAAACCCTAATTGAGACCCCAATTGAGATGGGGACATGACCCATCTGGAACACTACCAAGCATGCATTCAGGTCAGAATCAGGAGGGGGCGCCAAACCAAAAGAGCTTCAATAAAGTTCAGACAGTCATTCAAAAGGCAAATAAGGACCGCTCTGAATTCTTAGAATGCATTTACCAAGCCTTCTGCAGATACACTGATATGAAACCAGAAGACCCTGAGAATTCGAGGTTGGTATATAAGACTTTCATTCAGCAGAGTGCCCCTGCTATAAAGAGAAAGCTAGAAAAGAAAAGAGGCTGCACTGGAATTACCCCTTCTCAGCTAGTTGACATTGCTTTCACAGTGTACAATGGCAAAGAAATACAAGTCAGGCACCGTATATGTGGAATAAGCAGGGAAGCCTCCATGCCAGAAAAGTCAGGGTAAGCCTTTGGGCCACAACCAATGCACCTGTCATAAGGAAGAGGGCCAATGGAAGGTTAACTGCCCCAAAATGAAGGAAGCCAAGGGCCACAAAAAAAGGAAAGCGCGAAGGAAAGGACCCACCAGCAGATGGTGGAACCAGGACTACAGCTCTGATAGAGAATGAGGAATTTCCTCACAGAAGCCCTGGGTGCAATTGACAATGGGGAACAAACTAATTGATTTATTGGTCAAAAAGGGAGTGACCTACTCAGTTCCTAACACCCCAGAGGCAAAGAGCACCAAAATGACTGTGCCTGTGACAGGGGTTGCAGGAGGAAGGCAACAAAAGGCTTTCTTACAACCTTCAGAATGCAAACTGGAAAACCCGGAACTAAGGCACAGCCTTCTCTATATGCCAGAATGGCTGATTCTCCTGCTAGAACAAGACATACTATGCAAATTAAGTGCTCAAGTAACTTTTTCCCCCGGAAAAACAGCAATTATACCTGCAGGTCCCACCAGAACAGACACTGAGACTATAGATGCTACTCACTCACCCTGAGATGAAAAAGGAAAAAGCTTTTTCCCCAGAAGTCTGCTAAAGAGTGAATATTGCATTTGGGCAGACGGGGGTCTCAGGAAAAGCAAGAAACATGCAGCCAGTGCACATGGAGATAAAAGAGGGGGCTGGAGTGCCCTGGAAAAAAAAATCACCCATTAAAAAAGGAAGCCTCAGAAGAGATAAAATCTATCCTACAAAAATTTCTGGAAAATGGACTGACCTGTCGTTATAAGTTCCTATATAACACTCCCATCCTGCCTGTAAGAAAGCCACATTCCAATGAATATCGATTTAAGACCTGAGCGCTATTAATGAAATAGTCCAGGATATTCATCCAATGGTACCTAACCCATATATTTTACTGCTATACCTGGAAACTACAGATGGTTTTCAGTGTTGGATCTAAAGGATGCATTTTTCTGCATCCCAACAATTGTTTACTTTTGAATGGCATGACCTAAAGACCGAAGTGACCTTCCTTGCTGGCCATAGCGGTTTATGCCTGTAATCCCAGCACTTCAGGAGGCTGAAGCACTAGGATTGCTTGAGCCCAGGAGTTCAAGACCTGTCTGGGCAACATAGTGAGGCCCTGTCTCTACAAATAATTTAAAAATTGGCCTTGGGCCAGGAGCAGTGGCTCATGCCTATAATCCCAGCACTTTGGGAGGCCAAGGCAGGAAGATCACCTGAGGCTGGGAGTTCGAGACCAGCCTGACCAACATGGAGAAACCCCATCTCTACTAAAAATACAAAATTAGCTGGGTGTGGTGGTGCGTGCCTGTAATCCCAGCTACTCGGGAGGCTGAGGCAAGAGAATCACTTGAACCTGGGAGGCGGAGGTTGCAGTGAGCTGAGATCATGCCATTGCACTCCAGCCTGGGCAACAAGAGTGAAACTCTCTCAAAACAACAACAAAAAATTTGCCTGGCATGGTGGAACATGCCTGTAGTCCCAACTACTTGGGAGGTTGAGATGGGAGGGTCATGTGAGCCCAGGAGTTTGAAGCTGCAGTGAGCCATGATCACACCACTGTACTCCAGCCTGGGTGACAGAGCAACACCTTGTCTCAAAAAGCAAGAACAACCAGGCACGGTGCCTCACACCTGTAATCCCAGCACTTTGGGAGGCCAAGACAGGTAGATCACTGAAGGTCAGGAGTTCAAGACCAGCCTGGCCAACATGGTGAAACCTGTCTCTACTAAAAATACAAAAAATTAGCTGGGAGTGGTGACGTGTGCCTGTAATCCCAGCTACTCGGGAGGCTGAGACAGGAGAATCGCTTGAACCCAGGAGGCGGAGGTTGCAGTGAGCTGAGATTGCGCCACTGCACTCCAGCATGGGTGAAAGAGCGAGACTCCATCTCAAAACAAAACTTGATGGAGTCCTGCTATACTATGTAGATGACTTACTTATAGATAGCCTCAAGCAGGAAAAATGTTTGTCTAACACCATCCTAGTTCTAAACCACCTGGCCCAGGGTGGATACAAAGTGTCTGTTTACAAATCTGTAAACAAAAAGTAAACTTATCTCAGATTCAGGTTAAAGAAAGGCAAGAGGAGCCATCAAAGCTCCTGAAAATAGGAGACAACTTCAAGTATTCTTAGGCATGGCTGGCTTCTGTTGGATTTGGAGTTCTAGTTTTGGACTGATGACTAAGCCCCTTCATGAAACCCTAAAGGGATTAGACTCTGAGCCCCTGCCTTGGACGGCCAAGTGCCAACACAGATTTAATATCATCAAGGAAAAGCTAGTATCAGCCCCAGTGTTGGGATTGCCAGAATCCCAAAGGCCATTCAAACTCTACATTTATAAGAAACAAGGCATAGGTCAGTCTAGGTGTGCTAATCCAGAAGCTGAAGACACCCCACAGCCAATACACTATTTTTCTAAACAATTGAATCAAATGACTAAGGGTGGACCCTTGCCTTCAAGCATTGGCAGTCACTTGTGAAGTCCTACAGAAAGCAGAAAAGTTTACCCTGGGACAGCAGGTCACTCTCTTTGTGCCCCATCAGGTGTTGACTTTGCTAGAACAAAAGGGAGTTTACTGGCTCACTGTGGGGTGAATGGGGAAATACCAAGCCATCCTCTTGGATGACTCAGATATCACCTTGCAAACCTCCAGGCTCTAAACTCTTCCTCACTGCTCCCAGCTACTGAATCTGATTCCAGGTTAGAGTATTACATTTTAGAAATTGTTCATGCAGTCTATTCCAGCAGGCAGGACCTGTCAGACCAGCCATTGGATGCCCCAGATTGAGAACTGTAACCTAGGGGAGCAGTTTCATGGAAGATAGACAACACAGAGCTGGGTATGTCATGGTGACCACCAACAGGGTAATACAAGCCCATGCCCTTATCTCCACACAAAGGGCTGAGTTAATTGCTCTTACCAGAGCTTTAAACTGTCCCAGGGGAAGCAAGAAAACATTTACACTGATTCCAGCTACGCTTTCATGAAAGGACATGCTCATGGAGCCATCTGGGAAGAAAGAGGCCTCTTGACATCAGGAGACAAGGACATTAAGCACCCAGTGGAAATTCTGGCCTTATTAGAAGCAGTTGCCTTGCCTGCCCACACCTCCGTTATGCACTGCCCCGGACACAAGAAAGATAATTTGCAAACAACAGGTCAGGCGCAGGTGGCTCATGCCTGTAATCCCAGTATTTTGGAAGACTGAGGTGGGTGGATCACCTGAGGTCAGGAATTCGAGATGAGCCTGGCTAACATGGTGAAACCCCATCTCTACTAAAAAATACCAAAAAAATTATCCAGGCATGGTGGCGGGTGCCTGTAATCCCAACTACTCAGGAGGCTGAGGCAGGAGAATCACTTGAACCTGGGAGGCAGAGGTTGCAGTGAGCCAAGATCGAACCATTGAACTCCAGCCTGGGCGACAAGAGCAAAACTCTGTCTAAAAAAAAAATTTGCAAACAACCAAAGGCCATCAGGCAGCCAATAAGACTGCAAAACAGGCTGCTTGGGAAGCAAAAACACTGGAGGCCTTAATATCCCATTTGAACTTATCAGACTTCAAACCTCATTACACTGAACAACATAAAAAATGCACCAGGGCCTGGAGTTTGATAAAACAGATTCTAATTCTCTCTGGGAAACGAATGGTTACAGGATGATCTTACTCCCTGAGGCCTTAGTTTACCCAATTTTAAGCATCTGCACGAAGGGACACGCTATGGGAGAGAGGCTCTCGCTGACCTAGCGCATTACAAACGGTGGCTTCTCTTCAAAATAAAACAGACTGCTGGGTCTGTGGGAACTACTCCTTTCCTGCACTGCATGCTTGCCATGGTGCTTACAAGCCGCCAACCTGAGCAATTGGAGTCATTTATATACCTGGTATAGGAGTTCATACCCATTCCCCTTCTATGATCATAGCACCTCCCACAGTGGGTTCCCCTCCTACCAGGAAACTCAGAGACACCTTATTTGCCTATTCTATTAATAGATTAACAGTACCCCCACCTTGGGATATGCTGTATGTGATGGCATGGGATGTCTGACCGCAGTACAAATACAAGTAATGGGTCAAGCACACCATAGCCCACCATATGGGATGGTTACATCCTCAACAATGTAGCCAATCTCTCCAGCTAACTGATGGTATGTGGCTAGGATAGCAGAATAATGCCCATCTTCATACTGGGGCCCATCCCTCCACGTGGGGTTGGCTATGGGCCTGCGGCACTCATGGTTGCATTACTTACCTTATAATGGAACCAGGAGATGCAACTGGGGGCACCCTTACCGGGACATATCCTGTCCCATCTGGATCCTCTCCCTGCCAATTGGGAAAGCATAAAAGCCAGATATTGTCATCAGAAATGGACACCCTTGTGGTTTTACCCCCCAGGAGGCGGCCATAGATGTAAAATTACAAGTAGAGGCCGTAGCTAAGCATATGGCTGCTGCCTTTAATAACACTCACTCTGCCATCACCTTTCTCCCTGAAGAAACCTCACAGATTAGACAGCCTTAAAGAACTGTATGGCCTTAGATATCCTGCCTGCAGCCCAAGGTGGCACATGTGCATTAACTAAGACTGAGTCTTGCGTGTATGTGTGTGTGTGTGTGTGTGTATCAGATTATTCCCACAGTGTAACCCTAGCTATGAAGGCCTTAAATATTTCCACCATAGATGCCTCATCCTAAGGCCTTGTGATGGCACGCTTTAGTCAACTCCCTAGTGCATGGAAGACTTATACATCGCTTAATTGGCATTCTACTCAGTGTCTTCTTCAGCTGCTATGGATTTTATTGCTATTGTGCTGTCTGTATGGGGATGCAAGACAGACTTCTCAGCAGCTCTTAGTTCCCCACACCAAAATGCTCCAGCAAGTTCCCACTGTCAATCTGGGAATTCAAGAATATTTCCAACTCCAGGTAAGCAGATTCCATCCCATTACCTCCTAATTATGCCTCTTTTCAGCAGGAAGTAGCCAGATCGCCTGCATTGACCACTTCCCATAGAAATGGATGGGATTTGACAGTAGGGAGCTGTAACCAAGTAACTGAACTTCAAAAATGCATTTCAGGCCAGGCACGGTGCTCAGGCCTGTAATCCTTGCACTCTGGGAGGCCTACGCAGGTGGATCACCTGAGGTCAAGAGTTCAAGGCCCGCTTGACCAACATGTGAAACCTCATCTCTACTAAAAATACAAAAATTAGCCGGGCGTGGTGGCAGGGCACCTGTAATCCCAGCTACTTGGGAGGCTGAGGCAGGAGAATCACTTGAATCCAGGAGGTGGAGGTTGTAGTGAGCCAAGATCGTGCCACTGCACTCTAACCTGGGCAACAGAGCAAAAACTCGCCTCAAAAAAAAAAAAAAGAAAAAGAAAAAAAAGAAAGAAAGAAAATGCATTTTAAAACTTTTTTCTTTTTTTCTCTCTTTTTTTTAGTCTCAAGATATAACCTTGAAGCAAACTGCAGAAATTTTTTCCCCTCCTCAGTCTTAATATATAGCTTTGAAACATACCAAGAGTCTTTGTTCCCCCGCCATTTCCCACCGTACACTCCCTTACGTCACATACATTTATCTGACTGTAGGCTTGTATCTAAATATGTGCTTACTTAGAAGTTCTAGGGACTAATTTTGAGACAGATTACAGGCATGGAAACCCAGCTGCAAAATTCCAGAGATTACCTCAAAGCAGTTAGTCAACAACCCGGCCATTGTGGGGATGATGCCAGCCCATGCTCCAGGTGGACCATGACTCAAGATAGCCACCAGAACGAGACGCACGGACCTGTACCCAGCACCACTCCTTGCATGCCACCCACTGCAAGTTCCCTTTGTAAGCCCCTCTCCCCAGGCTAAAGTTTGAAATGGTTCCTTTAAGGCACAAGCCATGGCCACTTCTCCAGTGCTAGCTCTGGAATAAAGCTTCTTTCTTTTCACTGCATCTTGTCCTTGTTATTGGTTTTGCAAGCAGCCAAGCCTGCATTTGGTTACATTTTATTGTTTTAAAACTACTTTCAAATGCATTACTTCTAAAAATTCTCAAAATTACTCACTGATGTACTAGAATATATCATCAGATATGATGCCTTGAAAAGCTCTAGAGCTCTTTCTTAGCTTGCTTCTTCGAACATTGGCTCAGGTAGCTTCTCTCTCCCACCTCTCTCTACATTCCTTGAGTCACTACTTGAATTTAAGTCTTCAATAGATAATGCACACTTGTTGGAAAGAGCTCTGGATGTGTGGGCACATGACAAACGACTGATTTTCCCTCAGAATCGCCTCTCAAGTCATCCAAATCCAGATGCCCAGAATTGTTTCCTTTATCTCTTCTCTATCATCAAAAGACCTAGAGAGTAGGAGGATGCATAGAACCTGCTCTGAGGCAATAAGACAGAGCAGGGATCTATCTTAGAGGTGAGCAGGGCACCCTCCCCAACCCAGCATGGAAATAAAGGAAAATCTTCAATTTCTTAGCTAGCCTTGAAAAGAAAAAAGAGGAACTAGATAAGCAAGAAGGTAATGCTAGCTTAAAACAATAACCAGGGAAGTTAGAATCAGGGGATGTTTGGTTCCCTATAGAAACTAAAAATAGCATCTTAACATACATCCCTGAGTTCTTCAGAAACTCAGACCCCCAACAAACAGATCTGCTGGCACATAGACCTCAGATAAGGGGGAAACTGAGGACTAAACTCTCACCACCGTTCATCTAAATTATTTCGAGTGGCCTGGAGAAAGTCACACCCATGATCCAAAGCTAACATTCTGTTCTGCTGACCCCCATTCTTAAACAAACTTTCATCTCCTTAACCAATTGCAAATCAGATGATCTTTGACTCTACCTATGACCTGTGAGCCCCTGCTTCAATACCTTGCCTTATTCAGCCAAACTAATGTGTAATCTCCACATTTTAATTTACTATTTTGCCTGTAACTTTTGCTTTCCTGAAATTTATTCCCGCCTTTATTTAATTATTTATTTATTTTTTTGAGACGGAGTTTCGCTTTGTCGCCCAGGCTGGAGTGCAGTGGCGCAATCTCGGCTCACTGGAAGCTCCACCCCCCAGGTTCACGCCATTCTCCTGCCTCAGCCTCCCCAGTAGCTGGGACTGCAGGCGCCCGCCACCACGCCTGGCTAATTTTTTTGTATTTTTAGTAGAGACGGGGTTTCACTGTATTAGCCGGGATGGTCTCGATCTCCTGACCTCGTGATCCGCCTGCCTCGGCCTCCCAAAGTGCTGGGATTACAGGCGTCAGCCACCGAACCCGGCCTTTTCCCGCCTTTAAAAACCCTTACCTGAAGTCATCAGAGAGGTCAGGTCTTCAGTGTGAGCCACAAGGTTCTCCTTGCTTGCTGCTTTGCAAATAAACTCCCTCCTTTCTCCTGCCGCAGACCTTGGTGTGGATATTTGATCTTACTGTGCTGGACGATCAGACCCCAGTTCAGTTCCATAGGAACAATATCTCTCCCGTGCCCCACAGAGTCTATCAGCACATGATTCCCTATTATTCAATGATTGCTTGACAGGAGCTGAAGTATGAAGAAAAGTTCTGGATATAAACGGAATATTCTGACATTCTAATAGCTAGGTGGTCCAGTGACAAACTCAACCAAGGTGGCTCAGGTAGGAGTGGCCTTGCGGATGTTGATAGAAAATACATTCAAGACCAGGTACAATGGCTCACGTCTGTAATCTCAGCACTTTGTGAGGCCGAAACGGGCGGATCACTTAAGGTCAGGAGTTCGAGACCAGCCTGGCCAACATGATGAAACCTCGCCTCCACCAAAAATACAAAAAACTACCAGGGTGTGGGGGTGCCCACCTGTAGTCCCAGCTGCTTGGGAGGCTGAGGCAGGAGATTCACTTGAGCCTGGGAAATGGAGGTTGCAGTGAGCCAAGATTGCTCCACTGCACTCCAGCCTGGGTGACAGAGGGAGATTCTGTCTCCAAAGTAAATAAATAAATAGAAAAAGAAAATACATTCAAGTATCTTACATTATCCATAAGTGAAACCTTTGGTTACTGTTACTGAAACAATATTCGTTGCATATACCAATTTAGGGGGAGTTGGTATGAAACGTGCTGGAAATTCCAGATGTGATATGGAAAGGTCACCCATGGGATGCTCACACAAACTCAGTTTAAGGGCTGGTGGTCTTGACCAGAGTGAGCTGAGTTTAGGGCTGAGTCTTGAGTTCCTGAAAAACAATTAGGTCAACACCTTGTGATGCATACTTCAGAGTCAGATGTGATATATAGGAACATTGTGGAAACTATGGCTAGGCTACCTGACATTTTACTAAGGCAGTAAGGACTACAGCGTCAGCAAAGGTTATTGTTAATGAGGACTAAACTCTGATTTTTTTTATCTTGCCCAAATTCCTATCTAAGGGGTCTGGGGAGTCATGCCCTACAAATCATCAATTCTCATCAGATGAGTTTTATTTAACCCTGTATATCATGTTTTACTTTCCAACCTGACTCTGGCATAACATTACCAGACAAACAAGAAAAAGTATTTTGCCCCAAAACATGTTTCTTTGCCACATTTTGAAATTGCCCTGCAAAGCTGTTCTTTGTGGGGGAAAATTTGCATCTGTAAAGAATCTCTATTAACATAGCTAAATATTTTTCTTCCAGACCTTCCAATCCTAAAGATATTAATTAAGATCTGAAAGGGAAACATTTGTCATCTATTGTCTCTAAGGGCAGCCACTATAAGACTTCGAAAGAATTGGTCTCTACCATCTTTATTTTAACCTGAATATTCCCTTTCTATCAATCTCAGGTCTTTAGACAAAACTAGTTGTCAACCAGAAAATGTTTAAATACACCTATGGCCTGGAGGCCCTCCACTCCCCATCAGCTTTGAGTTGTCCCGCCTTGCTGGACCAAACCAATGTATTTCTTAAATGTATTTGATTGATGTTTCATGCCTCTCTAAAATGTATAAAACCAGCTGTGCTCCAACCACCTTGGGCACATGTCCTCAGGACCTCCTGAGAGCTGTGTCATAGGCCATGGTCACTCATATTTGGCTCAGAATAAATCTCTTCAAATATTTTACAGAGTTTGACTCTTTTTTTTTTCTTTTCTTTTGTTTTGAAATGGTGTTTTGCTCCTGTTGCCCAGGCTGGAGTGCAATGGCGTGATCTCGGCTCACTGCAACCTCTGCCTCCCAGGTTCAAGCGATTCACCTGCCTCGGCCTCCCAAGTAGCTGGGATTACAGGTGCCCACCACCACGCCCAGCTAATTTTTGTATTTTTAGTAGAGATGGGGTTTCACCACCTCGGCCAGGTAGGTCTTGAACTCCTGACCTCAGGTGATCCTCCCGCCTTGGCCTCCCAAAGTGCTGGGATTACAGGCGTGAGCCACCACACCCAGCTGACTCGTTTCATCGACAATAACAAACTGCCTAGTAAAACTTCAGATACTGGCTACCTAATCATAACTATCTGGCCACCAGTTTCACTAGATACTCTTTCACCTCTCAACGAAAGTCCCACAGTTCACAATGTTATAAGTGGCTTTCTTCAGAGAAGTTTCTGTGTAACATAGCATAACCCTCCAGGGACTTCCCAGAACTTTGTCAGAAATTGAGTGCAGAAGCCAGGTCTCTCGTTGTCTACTGATAGCACCAGATAACCCCTTTCTGGGGTCACCTCACTCTAGGGTCTTGCACTTCTTCTGTGCCCTGGAGTCAGCCTTTGATGTTTGTAGCCTTTGCTTGAGGCCACTGTCTGAATAAACTCAAGTGTTCCAGATGAGAAGATACAGGAACAAGTTCACATAATAAGGCTATTCCCCATCACCACCTCCACTACCAATCAGCTGGAGCCTTGCAGCTCCCCCTGCTATTCCTTTCTCCACTGCTGCAGATTTCCAGGGCCCTGAGGAAAGGAGGACTCAGACTCTGCTCTTCAGATCCACACACTGATCCCAACTACAACCAGTGACCTGAACTTGGAGTCTGAGTAGGGTAAGAAGGGCTCTGCTGAGGATGTTTGGGGGACAGCCAGGAGCACTGAAAGGAGGCTGATTGAACTTTTAGATAGCAAACAATGGAGAAGGATCCAAATCATGGAAAACAAAGGTGTGAATTCTGGTCAGCCTCAGTCCCACTGATACAGGCTTTCCCTGCCCCTCCCTTCCTTCACCCCCAGTCTTCTCAAACACAATGCATTAAAACCGCTTACATCCTGCTCTTCTATCCTCTGTAGGTCTTTATCATCAGGACAGGGTTCCACAGATAGGAAGTACCGACCCTTTGTTCTGTGTCTGATGTGGACATTTGACATCATTAGAAGTGCTCTCAAATACATGCGTCTCATTAGACACTTGCAGGTCTGTAGGGAGCTATTATTAAGTCCATCTGAGGACACCAATGCTCAGAGTTGTGAATCAGGTTAGAGATTCAGTAAGGGCGGGAACACTTCTCATGGTAAATGAGGACAGAGCACTAGTTTAAACGGTAGACTCTTTCAAAAAGATCCCCACACTCCATGCTATCACCACAGAAGCCACTGTGGGGGCTCTTTTAGTCTTGGTGCTTGATTGATTACAGGAATATTTCAAATCTGGAATTCTGGTTGGGTGTAGTGGCTCATGCCTGAGAATCCCAGCACTTTGGGAAACCGAGGTGGGTAGATTACTTGAGGCCAGGATTTTGATACTAGCCTGGCCAACATGGCGAAACATTGTCTCTACTAAAAAAAATACAAAAATTAGCTGTGTGTGGTGGCAGGCACCTATAATCTCAGCTACGTGGGAGGCTGAGACAGAGAATCTATTGAACCCTGGAGGTGAAGGTTGCAGTGAGCCAAGACTGTGCCACTGCACTCCAGCCTGGGTGACACAGTGAGACTCTGTCTCAAAAATAAATAAACAAATAAAAACCTCAAAACTGGAGTTATTTTATGATGACATTTTCAAGGAGCAGCTCTGACAAACCAAGATCATTTGTAATAGTGATAATTAGGGGAATGACCCCTGAGAAGGAATATGGGTAGTTAGTAATGAACATACGTTCCACTCAGGCTTTGGAGAAAGTGTTATAAGGAAGTCAAGATTGGAGAAGCATCATTAAGTAATTGGAGAAGCAGGCAAGAAGTAATTGCAGGCTAGGCTGTCATTTTAGCGAATCGAAGCCTTCCTACCTAGGAACCACTTCCCAAGTAGTTACTCATTTTCTACATTTCCCTAAAATCTGACAACCCTTTCCACTTCAAGGACATAAACCTTAAAATATCATTCTCTTTTGGACACATGATCTCCTGAGAGTTGGTCTGGTAAAAAGGAGCCAGCTGGAGGGTGATTGGCTCCTCAGGTTGGGTGTAAGAGAGGGATGAGAGGAGATGGTTGGAATTCTCAAAATGAACTTCATCTATTTTTTCTAATTATGTGTTTCGCTTACACAGGCTGAAGCGTGTTTTTAGTTCTTAGAAACTCTATTCTCTAATGAGAATTAGCATCTTCTCATCGGGGAACCAAATAGTAAAATTGCACCCAAGTGCCTGCCTGGTGGGGAAGGAATTTTAAGGTGGAGTTCAGCTCTCTGGGCATTGTCTGGATAATGCTTTTCTTTCTCTTCTCTGTGGACACGCAGGCGGCCCCGGTGACTGAGATGGCATCGTCTCTAAAGATCTGGGGCACACTCTTGGCCCTACTTTGCATCCTATGCACACTGCTTGTACAGAGCAAAGAAGTTTCTTGGAGAGAATTCATGAAACAGCACTACTTAAGTCCAAGTCGAGAATTCAGAGAGTACAAATGTGATGTCCTCATGAGAGAAAATGAAGCTCTGAAAGACAAGAGCTCTCACATGTTTATCTATATCTCATGGTACAAAATCGAGCATATATGCACTAGTGACAACTGGATGGATCGCTTCCGAAATGCATATGTATGGGTCCAGAATCCTCTCAAAGTACTCAAGTGTCACCAGGAGAATTCCAAAAATAGCTACACAGAGAGCAGGAGCTTCAACTACATTGAATTCCATTGTAGCATGGACGGGTATGTTGATAGCATAGAAGACCTAAAGATGGTAGAACCTATCGGCAACTAGAAAGTCTATGCACATCCTCAGGTATTGGTAGAGTATTCAGTGCTTTCTAAGTAGCAGCCCCTGCCTCCATCAATAGTCCTACCACTCCCCTCTTGCATTTATTTGTCAATGTTTTCCAAATACTTAGAGTTATGAATAGCATAATTTCTTGATACCATAACTTTGCCTGTGTTGTTTCTCTGCCTGGAATACACTTTTGTCTTCATTTACCTAATTTACTCTTATACTTTTGTCGACATTCAGCTCATATGGCATCTGTTCTTGATTAACCCAAGACTTTCCTGATATTGACTCTCTTGATACATACCCAAGCTGAACAATCTTCCCTTCCCTAAATAAATTATATGACTGCAATGTGTGTGACATTCATATATGTTATGTGCACAGAGTGAGTATAGTGTGATTGATATGGGTGTGTGTGATCTAGACTATGCATGTGATTGATGCTGTGCAAGGGATTGAAGGTGTATTTTATGGGTGCATATCTAATGTATGTAATATGTTTGTGTATATGATGAGGGTATGAATGATTGTGTGCTTAGTTCAAGACAAGTTGTGATGTAGGCATTGATTGCAGCATCAATTTGAAATAATCAAAAGTGTCAGAATCCAGTTTTAAAGAGTTGATTCAAGCAAAAGGCTAGGAGTGGCCATTCGGTAACACACAGACTCCACAGAAATGGAGTCAGTGTTCCAAAGCTGAAAATTAAGTTCTTGCTTATGTAGGAAAAAGACAAAAGAATTTAACAGGATTACAACAATTTCTATAACAGCTGGTTTAAGAGTTACAACAAATTAATTAGTTACAGTTTGTCCCCCAAGTCTTCTTTTCTTTTCTTTATAGTTTTTCATTTCCTTTCCAATTTAAAAGAGTGTATTTAACATTCCATCTTAATGTGATAGCGATGAAGTCTTTCTAAGAGGAGAGGGAAGTTACTCTATCATGAAGATCAACAGTGGAGAGGGAAGGAGTCTTCCCCTGTACCCTTCAGTAATTTACAACATTTCACCGAACAATGCAGGTAAGAAAGAAGGTTTAATCTATAAACATAGAAACCACGGTTACAGCTGCCTTGGTTACAGTGGCCTGGCATGTGACTCAGGCCCCCAAATCACATTTCTTTAAGGTTAAAAATAATTTAGAGTTCCAACAACTGGGTCGTTAGATTGCTTATTTTCACAGTGGTGACATGCTTTAGTTCCATTCAGATTTTGGGGCACTGGCAGAACTCACTGGGTGTAAAACATGTAGCATGGTTTCTTGCTCATAGTAGGTGCTCAGTGAAAATTGCTTCTTTTCTCAACTCATTATTTGGCTTAGTACTTTCATTTTGACTTTGATAAACAAACATAACAAGTGCTCATCAATCATTTGATCTCCCTAACTCTAGAGATGGGGATTTATAAAATAAAAATACATGCTGGGCATGTTGGCTCACATTTGTAATCCCAGCACTTTGAGATGCCGAGGTGGGTGGTTAGGAGTTTGAGGTCAAGAGTTCACCATTTGAGGTCAGGAATTTGAGACCAGCCTGACCAACATGGTGAAACCTTGTCTCTACTAAAAATACAAAAAATGAGCCGAGTGTGGTGGCACATATCTGTAATCTCAGCTACTCGGGAGGTTGAGGCAAGAGAATCACTTGAACCCAGGAGGTGGAGGCTACAGTAAGTTGAGATCGTGCTGCTGCACTCCAGCCTGGGTGACAGAACCAGGGCATCTCAAAAAACAAAAACAAATAAACAAACAAAAAATACAGCAGGCTGTCATCTGTGAGGACTGAATTCTGACCTTTTTTTCTCTCTTGCCCAAATTCCTGTCTAAGGGGGTTGGAGCATCACACTCTGAAAACCATAAAATATTATTAGGTGGGTTTTATTTAACTCTGTACAATTCATGTCTTATACCCAGTCAGTTCTGCCAATACCCCAAAATCTGAGTGGAACTAAAGCACGTCACCACTGTGAAAATAAGTAATTTAATGTGGCTTACCTTCCAACCCAACTCTGCCATAACATCAAATGACAAATAAATCAAAATATTTTATCCCAAAATATTTTTTGCCTTATTTTGAAAAATGGCCCTGCAAAGCCATCTTCTGTGGGGAAGAGTTGCATCCGTAAGGAATCTCTATTAACATAACCAGATCTTTCCCCTTCTAGGCCCTCCCAATCCTGAAGGATTAACTAAGAGTCTAGCACCTTTTAAAGGTCTGAATAGGGAACGTTTGCCATCTATTGTCCCTAAGGGTAGCCACCTGTGAGACTTCATCTACATAATAAGAACCTTGTCTCTACAACCCTTTATTTTAACCCAGACATCCTTTATCTATTGAGTCTAGGTCTTTTCAATAATAACAACTATTTCAAACAATTGCCAATCAGAACATCTTTGAATTCAACTAATTCCTGTAAGCCGTTGCTTCAAGTTGTCCTGCCTTTCTGGACTGAACTAATGTATACATCACATGTATTGACTGATATATCTCCCTAAAAACTATACAACCAAACTGTAAACCAATCACCTTTGGCACATGTTCTCAGGTCCTCCTGAGACTGTGCCTTGGGGCCATGGTCACTCATATTTGGCTCATAGTAAACCTTTTTAAATATTTTATGGAGTTTGACTCTTTTTGTTGACATTTGTACGGAAGCTATACCTGCCTAGGATTAAAAAAAAAGGAACTCCTCTTTTATCAACCACAGACCTATAGATGTCCCTACTGGACTCAATTCATTAAGAATGTTTCTGCCAGGCGCAATGGCTCATGCCTGTAATCCCAGCACTTTGGGAGGCCAAGGTGGGCAGATCACGAGGTCAGGAGTTCGAGACCAGCCTAGCTAACATAGTAAAACCCATCTCTACTAAAAATACAAAAAATTAGCTGGGTGTGGTGGCGTATGCCTGTAATCCCAGCTACTCAGGAGGCTTAGGCAGGAGACTCGCTTGAACCCGGAAGGCAGAGGTTGCAGTGAGTCGAGATCACGCCATTGCACTCCAGCCTGGGTGACAGTGCGAGACTCCGTCTCAAAAAAAAAAAAAAAAAAGAATGTTTCTAAGGGCCAGGTGAGGTGGCTCATGCCTGTAATTCCAGCACTTTGGGAGGTTGAGGCAGGCAGATCACTTGAGGTCAGGAGTTCGAGACCAGCCTGGCCAACATGGTGATACCCTGTCTCTACTAAAAATAAGAAAATTAACCAGGAGTGGTGGCCCATGCTCGTAATTCCAGCTACTTGGGAGGCTGAGGCATGAGAATCACTTGAACCAAGGAGGCAGAGGTTACAGTGAGCTGAGATCACGCCACTGCGCTCCAGCCCTGGCAACAAAGTGAGACTCTATCTCAAAAAACAAGAAAAATGTTTCCAAGAAGATCAATGTATATTACATGGACTAAAGCATTACATTTCCTAAGGACAACACCTCAAATAGAATATATTAGCACAAATAATTTTATCTGAAAATAACCATTTTTACGTGGTAGAGACAGGACAGTGGTTGGAAGACTTTAAACTGCAATACTGCTCAAGAATGGAGCTTAAGACTTAAATTTTGTTGTAGGAAAGAGGAAATAAATGGGATAAAAAAGTGTTGGGAAGGCCAGGTGCGGTGGCTCATGCCTGTAATTCCAGCACTTTGGTAGGCTGAAGCAGGTGGATCATGAGGTCAGGAGATTGAGACCATCCTGGCCAACATGGTGAAACTCCATCTCTACTAACATACAAAGAAAAACATTAGCCAGGTATGGTGGCACGCCCTTGTAGTCCCAACTATTCAGGAGGCTGAGGCAGGGGAATCGCTTGAACCCAGAGGTGGAGGTTGCATTGAGCTAAGATTGCGCCACTGCACTCCAGCCAGCCTCAAAAAAAAAAAAAAAAATTGGTTCACAAGCAGGTTAAGTGGATTGTGCCACTGACTCCAGCCAGCCTCAAAAAAAAAAAAAAAAAATAGGGTTCACAAGCAGGTCGAGAAATTCTGTTTGCTAATTGCAGGAGTGAGATGCAAAGTAAGAAATGTTTACTTCATACAATTCTCCCTGGAGCAGTATGGGCCAGGGAAAATGCTAAACAATAAAGTACCTTGTGTTCTTCAGACTCCTACAATGTGGAATGACTCTGGCCTTGAAACAATTAAAGAAAAACCAAAGTGTCAACATTATTTATTAAGTGACTGCACACTTTCCTATAACTCTAGTAGCCAGCGTATAAGGCAGTTCCTCAGCTTTGCAATTTTTGAGTGCACCTGGGGAGGAGCAGACACCTGGGGATGACAATCTCTACCAACCAAACTCAGAAGAGACTAGTATTAAACCAGTAGCTCTGCATGTAGGATCAATATACATATGAGAAGAAACAATACTGTTTGTTTTTCTCAGTTGACAAACGCTCTTCAAAATGTATGTAGGGAAGGAAAAAATTTTCCTTCTACCCCTTTGGTTCTTGGCTGGGGCCACCGAAACAAAAGTCAGATTAACAAGAGAAAAATAGAAGTTTAGTAACATGTGCATCTCATGCATACATGAGAGAAATTCAGAAAGCAACTCAAAGAGGTGGCTAGAACTTGGGCTTAAATGCCTTCCGCTAAAGCAAAGGAAGAAGCATGTCGGGGAGCAACTTACAGGGGGATGACCAGGAAAAGTACAGTAAACAAGGGAAAGCTTTCTCATGCAGATTTAAGTCAGTACCTTCTCCGCTGATAAGGGTTTCTTTTGATTTAGAGTCACCTTTCTCTTTCTGGTGAAGAAAGGGAGACATCCTTACAAATGAAGATTTCCCTTATAAACGCAAATGTCCCTTACAAAACAGCAACGTGCACTCTATTTTCAGAGTTTGTCTTGTGTATACTGCTTCTCAAAATAAGCAGTTCAAAATAATATTCATAATAAAGAAGCATATTTTGGGGTGGCATATTCTGGTCTCCTATAGTAGATTCTCACAAATACCTCATTTAAGTAACTCTTTAAAACTTGCTTTTATTAAAGGGTTAGCAGATGGTTGTTCAAAATAGTATAGGAGGAAAGTAGATTTAAGGGCAATTAGTAATAGCTTTGTGTTGTTTCTCTGGCTTTCCCGGTGGTCCACCCCTTATTTGGATAGCTGCATATTGACTCTCCTTAGGTATCTACCCTTCCTCTTTTGTGTGTAGTATTGGTGAGGCTGTCCACTAAGGTCTGCAGTCCCCTCTACTGAGCCAAGCGATGGTTATGAGATCCAAGCTAGCCTAACTGAAGTCTCATAGGAAACAAGAATATGTCACCCCAAAATATGCCTCCAGGTTGAAAGTCCTGTCAATTAGCATTTTTGCTGCTCTGCATCCTTACTGGCTTTGATGATGTCAGTTTTCACTGCATTTTAGTCATTCATGTAGGTGTGTAGTATTATCCCATTGTTTTAATTTGCAATTTTCTAATGACAGATTGAAGGGATTCACAGCCCACCAATATGGCAAAACTGCCCTTGCAGAGTTATGGAGTGTTGCAAGCCAGGCTCTAGGCAGAATTGCACATTAATCATAGCATGCTGGTACACTTCAACCCACTTCCCTGTAGCTTCTAATTTCCCAAGTAGCATGCTGACCACCTACTCCCCGATTGTTCCTATAGGTAGAATCTCCAATACTAGAATCATGAAATCTTTTTGCTTAAGAATTGCTTAAGGTGTTTTTCTGATCCTGAATTCCAGTGCAACAGCTAATGCTAACCAGTCTAAAGACCCCTACCAAGGAACTGGCTTGGCACATGAATGCTGAGTTTCTTCATGTCCCTGTCCCATGACTTCACCTCTCACTTCTTGATGAATCAGAAATGCTCACATTTTGGCCCTTGTCCAGACTCCTTAAAAACCCTATCCCCAAACCCAAAACCAAATTGTAGGTTACCTCCCATCTACTCATTTGGCTGCCCTATGAAAATTAAACTCTCTCTTTTTCAATCCCTGTTTTCTTAATATATCCATTTGTTGTGCATCAAGTAACAAATCTGTTATGATGATAGTGGCATGAAAATTATTTTAAACTGAAAATGTCTGAACAGACAGAAGCTGCAGAAAGAAACACTATTTAAACTTAACCAGAGCCTCTTGAAAATTCAGCTGCCATTGATCCCCTTCAAAGGTATTTTCCTGTTTGAAACGAGACAGCCCCTTAGCACTGGGATGTGTAAATTAGCTTCCATAAACCCCCATACAGGGAAACTTCCAGCCAGGAAGAAATCAATCTACCCATTTCTATTAGCATCAGAAAGCTTACTAGAACCTTCCATATTTTCCTTTTGAAGCCCCAACAAAAATCTTTTATTTTTTATTTTATTTTATTTTTGAGACAGACTTTCACTCTTGTTGCCCAGGCTGGAGTGCAGTGGCGCAACCTTGTCTCACTGCAACCTCCGCCTGCCAGGTTCAAGAGATTCTCCTGCCTCGGCCTCCCGAGTAGCTGGGATTACAGGTGCCCACCACCATGCCTGACTAAATTTTGTATTTTTAGTAGAGACGGGGTTTTACCATGTTGGCCAGGATGGTCTCAAACTCCTGACCTCAGGTGATCTGCCCACATTGGCCTCCCAAAGTGCTGGGATTACAGGTGTGAGCCACCATGCCCGGCCAAATCTTTTTTTAAAAAATAGAGATGGGGGTCTTGCTATGCTGTTGGTTTCAAACTCCATGCCTCAAGTGATCCTCCTGCCTCAGTCTCCCAGAATGTTAGGATTACAGGCATGAGCCACTGCACTTGGCCAAAAACACTTTTTTTAAAGTTGATATATAACTTTACCTCTGGCTATTCAGCAAGTTACGCATTATGTAATACTCCTGTGTGCATGTGTAAATAAACTTTGAATTTTCTCCTATTAATCTTTTTCTAATTCACAAGCTCCTTTACCACCACCTTTAAAACCTAAAATGATAGAGGAAAAGTTTTTCTCCAAACAATGTGATGCTGAACATCTTTTCATTGCTCATCTGCCATCTGTATATCTTGTTTGGTGAAGTGTTGGGGTACAGAGAATCATACTACAAACTATGATGCATGGCATTCTGAGCACTTTTGAATTAAAGAAATTAAATTAAAGAATTAAATTTAACTAGAATTAAAGAATTAAAGAAACCAAAACTTCTTAGAAGCTGCCTCAGGACCAAAGATGTTCTAATCTTCTCTCATTCCTCCCCCAGCTCTCAAATGCAGAGAGGAGCTCTCTCTGGAAGTTCCCTTGTCTGGATAAGGAAAACTTCTTCCAAGAAATGCAATTGTCTTAAGACCCCCCTTTCTAAAAATCTCATCAGATAACCAGGAAATATTAGCCACCTGAAAAAAAGAAGAGACTAGAAGTCTCTTCACACCACACTCAGATAGACCTTTCATCTATTCTTCCAAGAGCAGCTCCAAAAGAGTACCTAAGAGACTTTATCTGTATAATAAGGCAACCTTTGTTCATAGTGCAGTTCCACCCTTCACCTTCCCATAACTCGTCACCCTTCCATTCAGCTTCCAAAGAGACTCATTTACAAACTATTGTCTGCTATTTGGGGCCAGTTCCCTAAAAAATATTTAAAACTCCTCAAAATTGCCTACATTTTCCCCATGTTCCTCTCCCCTATGAAGAGAATACATGAATTTCAACTATTTAGTCTTTCTTTGAGTCTCATAATTTGTATGGTTCCCATGATTATGCACAGTAATAAATTTGTATGCCTTTTTCTCCTGTTAATCTGTCTATTGTCAGTTCATTTCAGAAGTTTTGAACCTTCAGAGGGAGAGGAAAAATTGTCTTTGCCCCATACCATTCAGATGTTTTGCCCATTTTTCAACTAGGTTGTTGGTTTTCTTATGGTTGAGGTTTTTTGAGTTCTTTGTATATTTTGGATAATGTTCTTTTATCAGATATATCTTTTGCAAATATCTTCTCTCAGTCTCTGGCTTATCTTTTTATTCTCTTAATAGTATCTGTTGCAGAGCAGAAGTTTTCAATTTTAATGAAGTTCCACTTATCAATATTTTTCTTTCATGGATTGTGCTTTTGGTATTGTATCTAAAAAATCATTGCCAAACTCAAGGCTGCCTAGATTTTCTTCTATGTTATTTTCTAGAATTTTTGTAGTTTTGTATTTTGCATTAGGTCTATGGTCCATTTTGAATTAACATTTGTGCCAGGCGCGGTGGCTCACGCCTGTAATCCCAGCACTTTGGGAGGCCGAGGTGGGCGGATCACCTGAGGTCAGGAGTTCGAGGCCAGCCTCACCAACATGGTGAAACCCTGTCTCTACTAAAAATACAAAATTAGCTGGGTGTAGTGGTGCATGCCTGTAATCCCAACTACTCCGGAGGCTGAGGCAGGAGAATCACTTGAACCTGAGCGGCAGAGGTTGTGGTGAGCTAAGATCATGCCATTGCACTCCAGCCTGGGCAACAAAAGCGAAACTCCATCTCAAAAAAAAATTGTGAAAGATATAAAGTACAGGTCTATGAAAATGTATGAAGTCTAACCTATGAAAAGATTTATTTTTTGCATGTGTACATTCAGTTCTACTACCATTTGTTGAAAAGACTAACTTTTCTCAATTGAAAATTGATCCTTTGTCACAGATTAGTTCACTGTATTTGTGTGGGTCTACCTCTGGGCTTTCTACTTGGTTCCATTGACCTATTTGTCTATTTTTCACCAATAACACACTGTCTTAATTGCTGTAGCTTTATAGTAAGTTTTGAAGTTGGGTCACGTCAGTTTTCTGACTTTGTTCTTCTTTTTCTGCATTGTGTTGACTATTCTGAATCTTTTTTTTTTTTGAGACAGAGTCTCGCTCTGTCACCCAGGCTGGAGTGCAGTGGTGCGATCTCGGCTCACTGCAAGCTCCACCTCCCGGGTTCAAGCGATTCTCGTGCCTCAGCCTCCCAAGTAGCTGGTACTATAGGCGCCCGCCACCAGGCCTGGCTAATTTTTTGTATTTTTAGTAGAAACGGGGTTTCACTGTGTTAGCCAGGATGGTCTTGATCTCTTGACCTCGTGATCAGCCTGCCTCGGCCTCCCAAAGTGCTGGGATTACAGGCGTGAGCCACCGTGTCCAACCTGAATCTTTTACTTTTATATAAACTTCAGAGTCAGTTTGTCACTATCCACAAAATAATGTGCTGGGATATTGATTGAGATTGTGCTGAATCTATAGATCAAGTTGAGAGGAAATGACATCTTAACATATTGAGTATTCCTACTCATGTACATGGAATATCTGTGCTTCCTCAATTTCTTTCATTAGAGTTTTAAATTTTTCCTCATACCAATTTTTACATAATGTATTAGATTTACACCTAAGTATTTCACTTTCTTTGGTGCAATATAAATGGTATTGTGTTTTAAATATCAAATTGCAATTGTTCATTGCTGGTATATAAGAAAGCAACTGACTTTTGTATATTAACCTTGTATCCTGCAACCTTGCTATAAACAGACATTATGTTTATTCTGCAGACATTTGGAGCCATAAAAGCATGGGGCAAGAGTGTTGTACTATTATATCTTGTTCAAAAAAAGACTAATCTGGAAGTAATATGTAGAATGGATTGGAAGGAGAAAAAAACAAGGCAAGGAGTCCATGTGGGAGGCTTTTATGTGAGCCCTCCATAAGACAATGAGTTTCTGAATAAGGGTGTTGCAGTACCAGTGAAAAGGTAAGAACAGATTCAAGAGGCAAATATCCTAAATTCGGCCTTCTTCTTCAGGCTTACAGGTCTTTTCATACACAATTCTGTCTTTGGGAGGCGCTTAACACTCTCTTCACCTAACTTCTAATTATTCCTCAAAATTCAGTTCAGGTGTTGTGCCCTCCAACAATCCTTCCCCTCTACTATCTTCCCGTAGCCTCCTGCAGTGTCCTCCATCACACTGTAAGTGCTATTTATATTAATATAATCTACTTGTCTATATACTTACCTGCCTGTCTCTAATCTCTTTCATTAAATCATGAGCTCCTGGCAGATCACGAGGTCAGGAGATAGAGACCATCCTGGCTAACACAGTGAAACCCCGTCTCTACTAAAAATACAAAAAAATTAGCTGGGCGTGATGGCAGGCACCTGTAGTCCCAGCTACTCGGGAGGCTGAGGCAGGAGAATGGCATGAACCCAGGAGGTGGAGCTTGCAGTGAGCAAAGATCGCACCACTGCACTCCAGCCTGGGCGACAGAGCAAGACTCCGTCTCAAAAAAAAAAAAAAAAAAAACTCATGAGCTCCTGAATTTGTGTAGCCTAGTACCTGGCCCAATAAGTATATGCATAAATGAATAATGTATTCACTTCTGTTGTAGGAACTTACAACATTACCAAGTATGTGGCAGGCATTATATCATATTTATGTGACATATTTTCTCTTAAGAAACAGGAATCATAAAGCTTCAAAAAAAAACACTGAAGCCTCAGATGAGGCAGGAAGCACTCATTCCATATCAGGAAGTGATCAGTTCCTCAAAACTGTGAGTTTTCAGTCATGTTGTTTCTTTAAGTTGGTTTAGCCTTCCTGTATACATGTGATAATGATACTGTTTTAAAGAACAGGTGTGAAAGTCTAAGAGTTTAATCCAGACTCTGCACAAGAAGTTAATCTGCCAAACCCTAGGATTCTCCTTCTGAAAGCTCAGAATATTTCTTCCCCTTCCCTATACACACAGGGCTCGAAGGGTTAGAGAAGAAAGGCAGACAACAGCTTCTGAGCTTTGGACTAATCACAGCCTCTGTTCTCAGCAGGAGCCCCAACACTGAGACCAGGTAAGAAAGAAAGCCTCAGGGCTGGAGCGAGTAGAGCAGTAAAGACGGCTGGGAGGTAGTGGTCAGATAGAGGGTAAATATTTCAGGAGGGAAGAGGGAAGAAACTTTCTGATATGACAGCCATCAAATGCATGAGTACTTGTGAAAGAAAATGGGATATGCCAATCAAAGGAGAGGTCATATTTCTGTTTCCTGGGCTTCAGGTTCTTCATAGAATTGTGAGACTATGTGAGAAAGAAGATTTTAAAGGGAGCTGTAAAATCTTAAAAGGCAAAATAAAAATCTAAATAGTTATGATTAAAAATTTTGCTCTTATTGCTTCTCCTACTATAACTATCTTCTCTCTTTCTACACAGAAAAGATGGTGCTATGCTTTCCTCTTCTTTTACTGCTGCTGGTTCTATGGGGACCAGTGTGTCCACTTCATGCTTGGCCTAAGCGTCTCACCAAGGCTCACTGGTTTGAAATTCAGCATATACAGCCAAGTCCTCTCCAATGCAACAGGGCAATGAGTGGCATCAACAATTATACCCAGCACTGTAAGCATCAAAATACCTTTCTGCATGACTCTTTCCAGAATGTGGCTGCTGTCTGTGATTTGCTCAGCATTGTCTGCAAAAATCGTCGGCACAACTGCCACCAGAGCTCAAAGCCTGTCAACATGACTGACTGCAGACTCACTTCAGGAAAGTATCCCCAGTGCCGCTATAGTGCTGCTGCCCAGTACAAATTCTTCATTGTTGCCTGTGACCCCCCTCAGAAGAGCGATCCCCCCTACAAGTTGGTTCCTGTACACTTAGATAGTATTCTCTAAGGCATCCACTGCATTTCCTTTCATTTGACATAGCTTCTGTTACAATTGCATCCATGTTTTCTTTTCTTTTGTTGATTTTCTTGTTCCCGTAGAAGAAAGAAGAAAGGTGTTTGGAGAATTCGAGTGCCTAGGATGCCAGACCAGAGTTGAGACAAAAAGAAATAAGATTATTTTCTGCTTTGTAGTTCTGTACTTTTCGAGAGAAGGGAATAGGGAAGACAGCAAAGAAAGATTCAGATTTCTAACCCTGCAACTTTTGCCAAGCTTTATTGCCCTGTGTTCACAGCAATAAAACCACTTCCTGCTGCATTCTAATGAGTGTGTGTTTGAGATCCGCTTTCAAAGCATTGTTGACCGGTACTCAGAGGAACACTGTTTTGACTTTAAGTCCCTAGAAAACTTTTGAGGCCTCCCTGGGGCCCCACTTCCTTGCCCACAAGAAAGGACAGCGTTTGGGACTTTGGAGCATTTCTTCAAACTCTGCTCATGACTTTATATATTCCCCTGGAAACCATTGTCTATGCTTAATTGGAGGTAGTACTGATACCTCAAAGACAGTTGATGATAACTCACACATAGATTCTGTCACTGGCAACTGAAGGATCCTATGTCTTTTCTATTTGTTTCCGTTTTTAATCAGATAATGTTTTAAATATAAGGTGATAGTAGTAGTAATAGGGATAATAATCCATTGTAGTAACCTTAGGGTCAATCCTCCATTATTTATTGAAATGGATAAATAGAAAGCATAGATCAAGAAAAAAGCACTAGGCTTGTCGTGGTGGCTCACGCCTGTAATCCCAGCACTTTAGGAGGCTGAGGCAGGTGGATCGTCTGAGGTCAGGAGTTCAAGACCAGCCTGGCCAACATGGTGAAACGCTATCTCTACTAAAGATACAAAAAAAGTAGCTGGGCGTGGTGGCAGTGCCTGTAATCCCAGCTACTCGGGAGGCTGAGGCAGGAGAATCGCTTGAACCCAGGAGGTAGAAGTTGCAGTGAGCAAATATTGTGTCACTGCACTCCAGCCTGGGCAACAGAGTGAGACTCCCATCTCAAAAACAAAAAAAGAAAAAGAGAAAAGCACCAGGAGACCCAATGCAGTGGCTCACACCAGTAATCCCAGCACTTTGGGAGGCCGAGGCAGGCAGACGACTTGAGGCCAAGAGTTTGAGACCAGCCTGGCCAATGTGGTGAAACCCCATCTCTACTAAAAATACAAAAAATTAGCCAGACATGATGGCAGGAGCCTGTAATCCCAGCTAATCAGGAGCCTGAGGCAAGAGAATCGCTTGAACCTGGGAGGCAGAGGCTGTAGTGAGCCGAGATTGCACCACTGCACTCCAGCCTGGGTGACAGAGCGAAACTCCCGTCTCAAAAAAAAAAAAAAAAAAAGGAAAGAAAGAAAGAGAAAAAAGCACTAGGAAACTAAAAACATTCTAGTCCTATGTAAATACTGAAATACCACAGAAGTATTGGGGTTTTGGAACAGAACCTGAACTAAGCCATTTCACAGAAGGAACTTCAGTTTCCTTGTCAACCTCTAGAGTCATTGGGCTAGTGGGCCAGTGTAAATCCCAAGTGCTTTGTACAGTGATGAGTCTTCAAGTAGCAGCCAAAGACAATGAAGTTTTTTTGAAAAGGCTACATATTGTAGTGTCTTCATTACCTGTGCTGCAAATGATTCTTTCCAAGCCAGACTATTAGTTTAATAGATATGCTAACTCAGCTCACCTTCCTTTACGCTACACATTTATGTCATATCTTAGGAACAAAGAATGGAATATGAGGTTTCAGGAGCCTGGATTCCAGGGTGATGACTGATCAAGGGCCCTCCCATTGGGAAGAGATTAGCAGGTCAGGGCAATATGGCACCTAAGAAGGTGGGTACCTTATAGAGGGAATCCTACAGTGGGACTTGAGTGCTCTAACTCAAAGCAGCTTTCAGTTGTATTCAGCTTTAAGCCATGTTGCATTTACATTTTATTGTCTCAGAGTCTTCATGTAAAGTGTGGTGGAATGGCAGGGAGAATCTGTGCTCACGTTTGGTATGAACAAGTATACGAAAGTAGCAGCATCTGAAAGGAAAGGGGTTGAATGGATTTATATGAACATTACCTGGAAATTGCCAGAGATTCTTAAAGGTAATCTAGTAAAACCAAACAACTCAATTGCTCATGCTATTGTTATTTATATAGTAAAGGTATCTCATGGATTGAATACATCTGTGCTGCAAAAATTTTTCAACTGTCAGAAACATTAGGGAACATGAAATGTTACTTAAAATTAGTGAAATAAATTGTGAGGTCTAAAATACTGCAAATATTTTGTAACAAATGGTTAAAAACAAAAATATAATGAGTGCCATCTTTTGAAGAGATTTGCAGCAACAATATCTAATCTTCCCCACCCTCCCATGACAAACCTATCCCCAACAACAATTAGAGTCACTTTTTGTTGCTGATCAAGGAAAAGGCAACAATGAGGGTAACTTTTCAACAATCTATTATGCCCAAACTTTTAGAAGGTATTAGTTCTAAACAAGTGGAATAGACTGGGATGGAATCTCTCATAGATTTATTTTCTTTTCTACATGCAGTTATGTATTGCAGAAGTTCAATACATAATTGCTAAGAAGTTCACTTAGATATATCCCTAGAATATACAGAATGATCCCAAAGCAGGCAAAGCTTAGAAGTGAATTCAGCAGATGTTCTAGCAGCTCTCAACTCTGGCTTCATATTAGATTCACCTGGGAGCTTTTAGAAAAATACCAATGACGGGATCTACTAAATAAATTTTATGAACATTTAATGAACAATTAAATGAATATCTGGGGGTGAGACCTGGGCTCTAATGGATGTTTGTTAAAGATCCCCATGTAATTGTAATGGGCAGCAAATATTGGTAACAACTGTTGATGCAGGGGTAAGCAAACTACATCTGCAGACCTCTGGCCTGCCGCGCCTATTTTATACTGCCTGGAGTAGTGTGGTTTTTACTTTTATTTTTTTTTTTGAGATGGAGTTTGGCTCTGCCGCCCAGGCTGGAGTGCAATGGCTGGATCTCGGCTCACTGCAACCTCCACCTCCTGGATTCAAGCGATTCTCCTGCCTCAGCCGCCTGAGTAGCTGGGATTACCCGCCACCACGCCCAGCTAATTTGTTTGTTTGTTTGTTTGTTTGTTTGTTTGTTTTTTGAGACGGAGTCTCATTCTGTCGCCCAGGTTGGAGTGCAGTGGCGCGATCTCAGTTCACTGCAAGCTCTGCCTGCCGGGTTCACGCCATTCTCCTGCCTCAGCCTCCCGAGTATCTGGGACTACAGGCGCCCGCCACCACGCCCGGCTAATTTTCTGTATTTTTAGTAGAGACGGGGTTTCACCGTGGTCTTGATCTCCTGACTTCGTGATCCACCCGCCTCGGCCTCCCAAAGTGCTGGGATTACAGGCGTGAGCCACCGTGCTTGGCCGATTTTTACTTTTTTAGGGGGAGAAGAAAAAGGAGGAGGAAGAGGAGGGGGGGAAGAACAGGAAGAAGGAAGGAGTAGAGACGTGAGGGAGGGGAAGGAAGGGGAAGAAGAGGAAGAAGAAGGAGAGGAAGTGACACAGACCCTATGTGTTCCACAAAAGTGAAATATTTACTGTCTGGTCCTTTATAGAACAAAGTGTGTTGATTCCTGGTCTTCTAGACTATTCAATGGATCTTGTCCTTTGGCTGTGGCTGAGGCAGGTGGCTGGAATTCAGTAGGAAGGACGACACCTGGCAGGCTGAGAATTTTGAACTGGGGCCTCAGGAAAGTAATGATTTTTTTTTTTTTTTTTTTTTTTTTTTTTTTTTTTGAGACGGAGTCTCGCTCTGTCGCCCAGGCTGGAGTGCAGTGGCGCGATCTGGGCTCACTGCAAGCTCCGCCTCCCGGGTTCCCGCCATTCTCCTGCCTCAGCCTCCCCAGTAGCTGGGACTACAGGCGCCCGCCACCACGCCCGGCTAATTTTTTGTATTTTTAGTAGGGACCGGGTTTCACCATGTTGGCCAGGATCGTCTCGATCTCCTGACCTCGTGATCCGCCCGCCTCGACCTTCCAAAGTGCTGGGATTCCAGGAGTGAGCCACCGCGCCCGACCGTAATGAATTCTTAATATTCCTTTCTGTGCCCTGTTTCAGTCTTTTTCTGCAATGTACTCATTTCCTCTGCTTTTCTTTTTCACACAGTAAGTAGACAGTCATCCCTTTCCATCTCACTTTCTAATTTTCTCTGAAATATTATTTATTTTTGAAGGGATTCTGACTGATCCCATCCATAGATCAGACATGACCATCGGACAGAATCACATTGCAAAAAATAGCTTCCAGGAGCCTTTCTTGTGGACCATGCAGAAGAGAGGCTTAGAGAGAACTGCCCTTAAGGCTGGCCAAATGGGGTCTCTGGCCTCGCCTGTTCCTCAGGCACCCCGTTGCATCTTGGAATACCCTTCTCAACATTTTCTAAGTCTCTCATCAGTGGCTGCAGTCAGCCCAGGCTGGTAGTGCCTGGCCTGAGATCCGCATGGGATCCTATTCTCTTTCTCTCCTTTGGGGCTTTCTCCCACCCTCAACCCTTCCTTCCAGCACAGGAAGCCCTAAGGAGCTTCAGGACTCATGTCTGTAGTGTTGTCTTGGGGCCAGGACTGGTTCCAGGTGAGTTAGCCCTGGTTAGAGATGTCATAGTTCCCAGAGAAAAGGGGCTAGATAGACAATTCAATACTTTTTCTTTAACCACACAGTGTGGAAACAGAAATTGAATAACAATGTACTCTTGAGGAATAGAGGAAAGTTTATTTTAAGACAGGAGGATGTGGGACCAGTAAAAACATTAAACCACTTTTACAGCTGTACTTAGTGAGTTAGGTGGATATTTTAATTAATTTCGTCTGAAAAGAAATTATACAATCTAAAACTGATTTTATTGATTCTTTTGATACTGTGAATATTTCTTCAAGTCATCTTTTTAATTTGTAAAGTTATTTTTGAAAATGCCATTTTATCTAGACAGTGCTAATAAAAACAAGAAAGTGTTTGTCCACATTTGAGTCAAGATTGCAAAAAACCCCACAAAAACCCAGGTGTAGGGGTGGCAATAGCAGAGCCAAAGAGCTTCGCAAGGAGGAGAAGCAGAAGCTCGTGGGGATGGGAAGTCTTTGGGGGCTCTTCATACTTGATGGATTTCGTCAAGTTTTTCCCTTGCTCTCTCTCATGAGTTCACTTCATTTTTAATGGGATTATTTACTTTTCAAAAATTAAACAATCCAGATAAATACAATATACTAGTGGCATGCAAAAGAAATAAATATTAAGTGTTTCATTTGCTTAAAATTTTAAAATAAATAAAATATAAAAACATTGGGGTCCATTTTATTCCTTTCTGGTAATTCTTCTTAACTCTTCTCAGCCGGGCGCGGTGGCTCACGCCTGTAATCCCAGCACTTTGGGAGGCCGAGGCGGGTAGATCATGAGGTCAGGAGATCGAGACCATCCTGGCTAACACGGTGAAACCCCGTCTCTACTAAAAATACAAAAAATAAGCCAGGTGTGATGGCGGGCGCCTGTATTCCCAGCTACTCGGGAGGCTGAGGCAGGAGAATGGCGTGAACCCGGGAGGCGGAGCTTGCAGTGAGCCGAGATCGCGCCACTGCACTCCAGCCTGGGCGACAGAACGAGACTCCGTCGCAAAAAAAAAAAAACAATAAAACAAAAAAAAACTCTTCTCAGATGAAATCATACATTTGGGGTATATTCAGTCCTTTTTTTGTACTCTTTAAGTATAATACATTCATAAGCAAAATATAGTGTTTCAGTGTGCAATTTTAATACATTTGTATAAATACTATCATAAGGTACGTATCATTCTGCAACTAGTTTTTTTCACCCAACAGTGTTTCCAAGACTCATCAATATTAAAATGTGTATTTGTTGTTCCTTTATTTTTATTGATTCATTATTTTCCCCTCTGTATTAGTATACCACCATTTATTTATCTGTCTTCTGGTGGATATTTAGGATGTTTCCAAATTTTCACTCTAACAAGCAATGTTGCAATGAGTATCTTTGTACATTTCTCCGTGTGCACATGTGGTAAATTTTCACTAATATATGCCCAGATGTGGAATTGCTAAGCCATATTCATGTCCAATTTTACCAAATATTGCCATATTTTCTTCAAACTAGTTGTGGCCAATTGTATTTTCCAAAATGTCCACACAGCCAGGCACAGTGGCTCACACCTGTAATTCCAGCACTTTGGGAGGCTGAGGTGGGCGGATCACTTGAGGTCAGGAGTTTGAGACCATGGCTAACATGGTGAAACCCCATCTCTACTAAAAATACAAAAATTTACCGGGCATGTTGGCACACACCTGTAGTCCCTGCTACTTGGGAGGCTGAGGCAGGAGAATCACTTGAACCTGGGAGGTGGAGGCTGCAGTGAGCCGAGATTGCACCACTGCACTCCAACCTGGGTGATAGAGCAAGATTCTGTCTCAAAAACAAAAACAAAATGTCCATGCCAACACATCCCATTCTACATGTTCTTTTTACATTGTAACATTGGCTCCCCTCTGTCTAAAATAGGCTCTATGTTCCCATTCCTTGAGTATGAGTTAGTCTTGAGAACTCACTTCTAATGACTAGAATGCAGTGAAAGTGACACTGCCTGACCTTCAAGACTAGATCATCAAAGGTGCTACAGCTTCTGCTTTGGCTTACCCTCTCTGTCGTGGGACACTCACCCTTGGACCCAATCTCCACACTGTGAGAACTTCTATGCTACCTGGAGAGGCCTTCTATAGATATTTCAGTCAACAGGCCTAGTTAAAGTTTCAGCCAGCGTCAACCACCCAACATGTGGGTGAGTGAACCCTCAAATGATTGCAGCTCCCAGCCTTTGAGTCTTCCAGTTGCGGTCCCAGTCATTGAAACAGAGTCAAGCTGCCCCCGCTGTGATTTATCTGAATTTCTGACCCACTGGGAGCATAATAAATGATTGTTTTATGTTACCAAGTTTTGGATTAATTTGTTACACCGGTACAGCAACTGAAGCATTGATTGTACAATTTCATATTCAGAAACTATGGTATATGAGATTTTCTTTTTCTATATTCTATCTGTAGCAAAACACGACATGGTTATACTCCTACATTTTTGCCAATCTGATGGCTATGAAATAGCACAGTGTTTTTTTAAAAAGAAAAAAAATAGCCCACCATTATTCCATTATTGTTCTGTAGGAAAAAACAGCAACGACCACAGATGTTATCAGTGTCATTACATCCTCAGTTCCAAAAACAACAGCAACAGCAAATCCTCAGTTTCTAGCACAATGCCTGCCACTAGTAGGTTTTTAAGCAATATTTGCTGAATGTAGGAATTAGTAAGTGCCACTGTTTGCTCAACTCTATTCTAAGTGGTTTACGTAACTTGATTTCCTTAATCTACACATTAACTTTAATGAGCATACTTATCTTCATTTTGTAAATATTGAATAGTCTTCAGGAGATGAAGGCATTTAAATGAGGTCATATTTATAAGTGGCACTTATAATTGGCAGAGCTTGAATTCAGACACAAAGCCCTTTCCCTTTCTCTTTTACATTAAGGCCCAAAGAAGCTTACAAATTATATAACAACACTTTTTTAAAGAATTATATTTTATTCCACTTACTACTTTATTTTTGTCTTTCATCAAATATTTGCCCTTTATGGGTCACTCAGATTGCCACTACATAATTTATATCAGAGTTGTTCCCGAGCTAGTTGACAGCCCTCTCAAGAAACAAGCCATAACATACTTGGTTCTCTTTAATCAGTAGGATGTCTCAAGGCAGCCCAGTGTTTTTAAGACAGCTGTAGATTCTCTGTATATCATTTAATCATTATTCATTTATTCATTCAAAAATTTACTATGTGACCAGGCTGCATTGAGAGCTACTGATATAATGATGGACAAAGAGTCATGGTCTTTGTTTTCATGGAATTTGGGGTCTAGTAGGGGAAATAGATATTAACCCAATAATCACTCAATTTGAGTCAATTCTAGAAAGAAAGTGTATACAAAGTTATGAGACCATCAAGAAGGAATATGAGTAAGTTTAGAGGGTCTGGAATGACTTCCCTGAAGAAATGATGCCACTTGACTCTGAGACAGGAGGGGGCAAGGAAGTGCTGGGTAGAGAAGGGTGGGTCCCTGGCTAGGGCTCCACCTCCGGGCCTGTGCCCACCCACCGAGGTGAGGACAGGCATTTGTTTTTGTGCCCAAATGTTGCATTTTCCAAGACCACCCTGGCCCACCATGTCCCCATCCTGTGCCTATAAAAACCTCGAGACCCTAGTGGGCACAGACAGAAGTGGCTGGACGTCGAGAGGATCACACCACTGGAAGAACACACGAGCTGCTAGATGTCGAGAGGAGCATGCTGGCAGGAGAACACACCGACAAACACCAGCAGATGCTGGCATGCCATCCACCGGTGGAACGACGTGGACGCCGAGGGGAATTTGGTGCTGGGCAGCCTGACTCCAGGGGAAAACCAGCTTCCCACTCCTTCCCTCTTCTGGCTCCCCATTCATCTGCTGAGAGCTACCACCACTCAACAAAAAACCTTGCACCCATCCTCCAAGCCCACACGTGATCCAATTTTTCCAGTACACTAAGACAAGAACCCCAGGATACTGAAAGCCTTCTGTCCTTGAGATAAGGCAGAGGATCTAATTGAGCTCATTAACACAAGCCACCTGTGGATGGCTAAACTGAAAGAATGCACTGCAACACATGCACACTGGGGCCTCAAGAGCTGTAAACACTGAACCCTAGACACTGCTGTGGGGTCAGAGCCCCACAACCTGCCCGTCTGCATGCTCCTCCTAGGGTATGAGCAGCAGGGTACCAAAGAAGTGAGCCCTGGGAGGGGGATAAGGGAACTTTTCCCATTTCAATTTGATATGTGAAGAATCAATACCATTTCAAGGCAGTTATTATTATCAGTTCATAGGTGAAGAAACTGAGGTTCAGAATCTTCCCCAAATAACAAAATTAGTAAAGGGTCTACCTGTGATTTGAAATCAGATCTAGTTGAATTAAAAACTCAGACTTTTCCTTCATTTATAACAAAAAGTGCCAACGAAGAAAAATCTCTCACACAAATCTTGGAAGGGAAACATTCAGCAACATAACTGCCTATGGTCCCACTTACAGTTTTCACCACAAATGCGGAAATGTTCTTTTTTCTTCTTCTTCTCGTGGTCATGTTTTATAGCACTTAACAACAGTTGCAGTTGATAAGTTAAGCCAAGGTCTCAGGACAGGGTCTTGCTCAAGGTGTCGGAATCCCACTAATGCTGTGTTCCAGCTACGATTTTAATCAAAGGTGCGCTCCCTGAGAAAGTCCCGGAGGGTTCACTACCAAGGACAAAGTGAGGAGGGGGAGGGTTTGGGTGGTTTCTTTAAATTATTGTTATTAACTAGAGTCCTTACTTTATTCAGATTTCCTTAGTTTTTACCTAATGTCTTTTTTCTGCTCCAGAATTCTATTCAGGACACCACATTACATTTAATTGTGATGTTTCCTTAGGCTTCTTTGGCTATGACAGTTTCTCAAACTAAACTTTTTTTGATGACCGTGACAACTTTGTGGAGAATTGATGAGGTATTTTGCAAAACGTAACTGATGTATTTTTAACTTGACTTCTCTTTCAAACAGTATCATTAATTATTAGGCCCAGGCATTCAAAATTTCTCCTGTTGGCAAAAGGAAGCAGTTGACTATTTTGTGGTGAAGATATGTAGTCAAAATAAACAAGAAAATCTCCTTGGAGGTGGGGTTTGAGGATTATTTAGTACAGGCTTTTTCTATGGAAGCGATAGTGCCCCTGAGAGGGCAAAAATTATTTTTTGGCCAGGCACAGTGACTCGTGCCTGTAATCACAACACTTTGGGAGGCCGAGGCGGGCAGATCATCTGAGGTCATGAGTTCAAGACCAGCCTGGCAAACATTGTGAAACCCCGTCTCTACTAAAAATACAAAAATGAGCCAAGTATGCTGGCGGGCACCTGTAATCCCAGCTACTCAGAAGGCTGAGATAGGAGAATTGCCTGAATCCAGGAGACGGAGGTTGCAGTGAGCGGAGATCGCATCACTGCCCTCCAAGCTGGGCAACAGAGTGAGATCTGTCTTAAAAAAAAAAATTATTTCTTGAGGGGTAAAAAAATCATAGATATTACAATGGTTTGTCGTCCTTCAAAATCAACCCTACTCAACAAAACTCATTTCATAGTATTTAATTTCATAGGACGGGTGGAGTGGTTAGGAAGAAAAATATCTAAAAGGTCTCCTCCTATGTATTTGTCCACTCCCCAGTTCATGTTGAAAGGTAATTGCCAGTGTAAAAGTATTAAGAGGTGGGATCTTTAAGAGGTGATTAGGCCATGAGGGCTCAGCCCTGAATAGATTAATGCTATTATTGCAGGAGTGGGTTCTTTACAAAAGGACAAGTTCAGCCCCCTTTTATCTCTCTCTTGCTCTCCCTTTGCCCTTCCACCATGCGATGATGCAGCAAGAAGGCCCGTGCTAGATGCTGGCACTTTGATGTTGGACTTCCCAGCATCCAGAACTGTGAGTCAATAAAGTTCTGTTTATTATTAATTACTCAGTTTGTGGCTTCCTGTTTTTGTTTTGTTTTGTTTTGTTTTGTTTTGTTTTGTTTTGTTTTGAGACAGAGTTTCACTCTTGTTACCCAGGCTGGAGTGCAATGGCACGATCTCAGCTCACCGCAACCTCCACTTCCTGGGTTCAAGCGATTCTCCTGTCTCAGCCTCCCCAGTAGCTGGGATCACAGGCATGCACCACCTCGCCCGGCTAATTTTGTTTTTTAGTAGAGACAGGGTTTCTCCATGTCGGTCAGGCTGGTCTCAAACTCCCAACCTCAGGTGATCCGCCCGCCTCGGCCTCCCAAAGTGCTGGGATTACAGGCGTGAGCCACTGCACCTGGCCAGCATCCTGTTATAGTAGCATGAACTAGACTAAGACAGCTCCTTAGGGGTCTGATAGGAAAACAAAGATTGAGTATAATGTTAACTGTAGGGTTTCTGTAGATGATGTCTTATTCAGTTCAGGCTGCTGTAACAAAAATACCATAGACTGGGTGGTTTAGACAACAAACATTTATTTCTCAAAGTCCTGAAGGCTATGAAGTTCAAGATCAAGACATCAGCCAGTTTGGCTCCTGGTGAAGACCCACTCCCTGGTTTGCAGTGGGACACCTTGCTCTCTCCTCACATTTCAGAGGGATAATGGTCTTCTCCCTCATGTCTCTTTTTATCAGGGCACTAATCTCATGAGGAGAGCTCTATTCTTATGACCTAATTACTGCCCAAAGGCCCCATCTCCAAGTATTAACACACTGGGGGTCAGAGTTTACATATGTAAACTTTGGAATGATATAAACATTTAGCCCATAGCAAATACCCTAAAGGTTGAGAATTTCCCTTCCATTATTAGTGTGCTGACAGCTTTTATCAGAAATGAATGTGGGGTTTTGTCAAATGCTCTTTATGTGTCTGCTGAGAACATCAAATGGTTTTTTTTTAAGTTTGTTAGTATGATGAATTATATTGATTGACATGAAAAATTACATCAACATTTGTTCCTGGAATAAACCCCACTTGGTAGTGATATATTATTCTTTTTATACATTGTTAGGTTCAAACTGCTAAAATTTTGTTTAGAGTTACATTTATGAGAACTATTGGTCTGTAGTTTTCTTCTAAATGTCTCTGGATAATTTGTCTTGAATGACATCGGAGAATTAGTTGGAAAACCTTTTCTTCTGGAGTAGTTTGTATAGAATTAACATGGCTTTCTTAAATGTTTAATAAACTTCACCAGTCAAGCATAAAGTTTTCTTTGTGGAAAGGTTTTTAACTGCAAATTTAATTGCTTAAATAGATCTATGGCTATTCAGGTTACCTATTTTTTAAGTGAGCTTTGGAAATTTGTGTCTCTTAATTACTTTTCCATTTTATTGAAGTTTTTAAATTTATTGACATAAAGTTGTTCATCATATTCTCCTATTATCTTTTTGCTATCTGTGTAATCTCTGAGGAAGTCATCTCTCATTTCTGATATTGGTTGTTTGTGACATCTTTTCTCCTCCTCAGCTTAATGAGAGGTTTAGCAATGTTGTTGATCTTCTCAACGAAACAGGATTTGGTTTTATTAAATTCCTCTCTCATTTTTCTGTTTTTTATTTCATTGATTTCTGCCCTGACCTTTATTGATTTCTTTCTGCTTCCTTTGGGTTAAATTTTATCTTTTTCTATTTTCTTAAGGAGGATCCTAAGATCATAATTTGAGATTCTTCCACTTTTCTAATATAGGTATTTAGCGATAAAACCTTTTAACCTAAGTAACAAACAGAGAGAGGGTCTTTAAAAGAAAAAGGTATTTATTTGGGAATAAAGTATTGCAATGGGAATACACGTGCCATAGTAAACTATGTGCATATTCAGGGAGGTAAAGGGAGACAAAGGTTTTCAAAAGAAAAACGAAGAGGATTACAAAATTGTTTTGAAATGATTATCCTTGGCTACAAAGATCACTAACAAGGATGACACCAATTTGAGGTTGGATAGGCAGTTGTTGAGTAAAAATCCTTGCAGAAATATTTTTAGATGATGTTGCAATGGCCTTTATGCAAGATGGTGGTTTTTGAGGTCTTTTGTGATAGTTATCAGGCATACAAGCATAAGAATTCTCCCTTCTTAGCTTTCCCCAGCTCTATTGTCAGGATTTTTGTTGTTGTTGTTGTTTGTTTGTTTTTCTGAGATAGAGTCTCACTCTGTCACCCGGGCTGGAGTGCAGCTGTGCAATCTTGACTCACTGCAATCTCTGCCTCCTGGGTTTAAGTGATTCTTGTGCCTCAGCTTCCCAAGTGGCTGGGATTACAGCTGTGCCACCAAACCCAGCTAATTTTTTTTTTTTTTTTTTTTTTTTTTAGTAGAGACGGGGTTTCACCATTTTGTCTAGGCTGGTGTGGAACTCCTGGCCTCAAGTGATCCGCCCACCTTGGCCACCCAAAGTGTTTAGATTACAGGCGTGAGCCACTGCACCCAGGCTTGTCAGGGTTTCTTTAACATTAGTGACTCCGTTTTGATTCTGACAACTTTCACAAAACTTTCTCTTAATTGTACTTTCTTATCATCACCCAATTTTTTATATATTGTATATATTTTAATTTTTTTCTTTTGATTTCTTCTTTGACCCAAATGTTACTTAGAAAATGTTATGTTAGGCTGGGCGCAGTACTTCGCACCTATAATCCCAGCATTTTGGGAGGCTAAGGCGGGTGGATCACCTGAGGTCAGGAGTTTGAGACCAGCCTGGCCAACTTGGTGAAACTCCATCTCTACTAAAACCACAAAAATTAGCTGGGCATAGTGGTGTGTGCCTGTAGTCCCAGCTACTCAGGAGGCTGAGGCAGGAGAATCTCTTGAATCCAGGAGGTGGAGGTTACAGTGAGCCAACATCATGCCACTGCACCCCAGCCTGAGAGACAGAGCAACTCAAAAAAAAAAAAGAAAATGTTATGTTACATTTCATGTGTATATATACGCACGTGTATATATACTCACGTGTGTATATATATACACGTGTGTATATATACACACACATATATAATATAATATATATAATATAATATATATAATTTATATATGTGTGTGTATATATATACACACACATATACACACATACACACATACATACATATATGTGTATATATATAATATATATATACATATATATATAGTGGCAATGGCGCAATCTCAGCTCACTGCAACCTCTGCCTCCTGGGTTCAAGCAATTCTCCTGCCTCAGCCTCCCAAGTAACTGAGATTACAGGCATGTGCCACCACGCCCAGCTAATTTTTGTATTTTTAATAAAGACGGGGTTTTGCCATGTTGGTCAGGCTGGTCTCAAGCTCCTGACCTCAGGTGATCCACCTGCCTCGGCCTCCCAAAGTGCTGGGATTACAGGTGTGAGCCACCATACCCAGCCTGTATCTTAGTTTTAACAAAAAAGTTTAAAAATTTTTTTAAATAGAAAAAAAAAACAGATAAGCCTGAGCAACATGGTGAGACCCTGTCTCTACAAAATATACAAAACTTAGCTGGCATGGTGACACATGCCTGTAGTTCCAGCTACTCAGGAGGCTGAGGTGGGGAGGCAGAGGTTGCCGTGAGCCAAGATTGTGCCACTGCTCTCCAGCCTGGGCAAGAGAGCGAGATCCTGTCTCAAAAAAAAAAAAAAGAAGAAGAAGAAAAAAGCTATAGAATAAGGATACAAAGAAAACATTTTTGTACAGCTGTATAATGTGTTTTAAGCTACGTGTTATTATAAAAGAGTCAAAATTTTTTTTATTTAAAAATGTATAAAGTTTAAAAGTTAAAGTAAGCTAAGGTTAATTTATTATTGAAGAAAGAAAATTTTTTCATAAGTTCAGTGTGCCCTAATGATACAGTGTTTATAAAGTCTACAGTAGTGCACAGCAATGTCCTAGGCCTGCACAATCACTCACCACTCACCCACTGACTCACCCAGAGCAACTTTTAATTTTTTTTTTTTTTTTTGAGACCGAATCTTGCTCTGTCACCCAGGCTGGAGTGCAGTGGCACGATCTCGGCTCACTGCAACCTCTGCCTCCCAGGTTCAAGTGATTCTCCTGCCCCAGCCTCCTGAGTAGCTGGGATTACAGGCACATGCCACCATGCCTGGCTAATTTTTGTATTTTTAGTAGAGACGGGGTTTTGCCATGTTGTCCAGGCTGGTTTCGAACTCCTGACCTCATGATCCACCCGCCTCGGCCTCCCAAAGTGCTGGGATTACAGGCGTGAGCCACTGCACCTGGCCGTAGCTTCTAATTCTATAAGCTCCACACATAAGTGTCTTACAGAGGTGTACCATTTCTTACCTTTTATACCATATTTTTACTGTAACTTATCTATGTTTATGTACACAAATATTTACCATTGTGTTACAATTGCCTATAGTATTCAGTACAGTAAACTGCTGAACAGGTTTGTAACCTAGGAGCAATAGGTTATACCATATAGCCTAGATGTAGAGCAAGCTATACTGCCTAGTTTTAGGTAATATAGTCTGTAAGGTTCCCAACAATGATGAAGTCACTCAATGACACATTGTATCCCCATCATTCAGCAACACATGACTGTACTTGGTGTATACACTGGTTTTATACTCACTCTTTTGAGAGTCGGTTCTTGAAATCAAGTTTAGGCCTTTCTACTGTCTCTGCCTGATCTTCTGTGCTTTCTAGATCTCTGGTTATCCCCTCTCTTGGGATGATAGAATTCATACTCCTGTGAGTTCCAGTACTAATGTTCCTGGCCCCTCTTTCATCTGAGGCCCTCAAACAAACAAAAATCATATGTTGGCACCTTGAATTATAAATACAGAAAACTGTAGTGAGACATTGTCAATTCTGTCCCCAGTCTTGATTGGTTGCATGCAAGTGATAGAATAGGATGTATGATTCTTGATTCTAAGAGTAATAGCTTTTATTATGGACAGACATTGTCCTAAATATTTTTTATATGTGACCTCAACTAATCCTCAACAAATCTCTGAAGTTGATACCATGTTTATCATGATATTTTACATAGGGAACCTGATGTTAAAAAAGTTACGTTCCCTGCCTGCGGCCACACTACTCCCAAAAGGCACAGTGGAGTGTGAAACAGGTCTGTTTCACTCCAGAGCCAAGGCTCTGAAACACCATACCCCATGCCTCGGTGATAGTGGCTAACTTTCTGAGTGTCCACAGAACGCTGAACACTACGCTTTCTCTGAATGTCATCTTTACCACAGTACTTCTAATTAAGTGTTATGAATATTTCCATTTTACAGAAGTCCCACAGGCACTTGGAGTTGTTATCCTGTCTCAGGTTTTTAAAATCCAGGCTAGACCCATAAAAAATAAGCCAATCTTTGTAACTACTGCACTCCTTCCAACCTCCATTCATTCACTCCTTCTTTCACAAATGCTAGAAAAATGTTCCTTTGACTTAAGAATGTGTATGTCCAGACATTCCCTGGATTTTAAAAGGGCAGATTTTTTTTTTGGTAGAATAGTATATCCGTCTCTCTATGTTCATTAATAGTGCATTGGGAATTTCTGAATTGAACCATATTCCAAGAGTAACTGAGAACATGAACACTCATGAACCGAGAACATGAACTGAGAACATGAAAGCTCAGCTGATGGCAGGGGAGAAGTTGCAGAGGAAGCGTGAGGGCTGTTGCACACTAACTAGCTGGAGGTACACAACTGACCAAGCATGCACGAAGGCTGCCTCGCTTCACATCTTGCCAAGGGCTTTCATGCCCCTACTTTTTCTTTTCCCCTTACAGCAGCCTCAGAAGGGACGCAGGGCCAGTTCCCTAAGACCTGTTAACGGTTTCTAAAGTCCCTCCACTCCATCCAGCTGTCCCAGGAAGAAGTAGATGTTCATTTGTCCCCACAGACACTTCTATTCACCCCACAGCCACCCCATCCCCACCACCGTGGCATCTAATTTAGACCAGCCCGCCATAGGGATGTGTCAGGGCAGCTACGGATGCAATCCAAGAGAAGTGGAAGAATTGGTTAAAGGGTGTATTCATTTCCTAGGGCTGCCATAACAAAATGGGCGGCTCAAACGATAGAAATGCATTTATTTATTTATTTATTTTTTAAAATTTTGAGACAGGGTCTCATTGTTGCCCAGGCTGGAGCGCAGCCTCGACCCCCAAGGCTCAAGTGATCCTCCATCTCAGCCTCCCGAGTAGCTGGGACTATAGGTGTTTGCAACCTTGCCTGGCTAATTTTTTAATATTTTTTTGTAGAGACGGGGGTCTCACTATGTTGCCCAGGCTGCTCTTGAACTCCTGAGCTCAAGCAATCCTCCTGCCTCAGCCTCCCAAAGTGCTGGGGTTACAGGCGTGAGGCAGCATGCCCAGCCAGAAATTCATTTTCTCACTGGAGGCCAGAAGTTCAAGAACACGGTATGGCAGGTTTGGTTTCTCCTGCTTCCTCCTTCCTTGTTCTGCAGTGAGCAGGTCTATGCCAATGTACCCCCAAGGGCTGAGGGAGATGAGAGGCCAAAGAAAGGGCTTGACTGAAGTAGGAAACTAAGAAAATAACAAATAATAGCATACGTAATAATAATAAGAGAAATAACAATAGCTCATAGAATGAATTGCTGTATTAACCAAGGCTGAAAAGAATTTAAGTAGCCCCCCTGAAGTTAAAGTTAGAAGAGAATATTAACTGTCTGTCCCAAGAAACGTTAACCATATCTATCCTCCACATATTTTGTAGGCTCTGTAAACTCCTGTTTCTTTCTTCCCTGCACAGCTGCAAGGTCACAAGACAGATAAGCATAAGCTGCAAACCAAGTTCTCACAGAGATGTAAGACATGTTCCAAAAGTGTCACAGCGGCCTTTTGTTCTCACTTCTGTAAGCCTGCTTCACTTAGTTCCTGCCTCAAAATGCTTAAAAGGGACTCATTTTCTTTGTTCTTGGGCTCAGCCTTTTAGGACACAAGTCCGCTGGGCCAGTGTACACCTTAAAATAAACACCCTCCTGCACGCCATCTGGTCTCTCTGGTTCCTTAAATCCCACTTCATGACAAGTTCAGTTTCTCAGAAAGAAACATTTAATAGGGACTTACAAATAGAAGCCATGTCTCAGGCAGCCACAAGACAGTGGATCTCCGCACAGGCCCTGCAGAAAGTATTCTTTATATGGCAAGCTTCCCCACCCCCCACCCTGTGAGATGGAATCTTGCTCTGTCACTCAGGCTGGAATGCAGTGGCGCGATGTCGGCTCACTGCAACCTCTGCCTCCCAGGTTAAGTGTTGACAGATGCCAAAGGTAGTCTTTCAGTGGCTGTCAGGAAGGGTTGCCAAGAGTGGAGTGGACTCACAGGCTAAGAACACTGGGAGCCTGTGAGAGCCCACCAGCAAGCTCTGGGAGAGAGCTACCGCTCCACAGCACTTACTGAGGAGGGGAGCTTTCTTCCTGAGTTAGAGCAATGGCTTCCTGAGTTAGAACAATGGCTTGGAAGTCAGGAAACCTAGGGTGTAGTCCCGGCTGTGCCACTAACTAGCAACAAGCCATGTGCAAGTCACCGGAAAGGCAGGGGTCACATTTGGTCAGGGATGGCAAATGTGTGGCACACACACCCTTCCCCCTCTCGTGCCTTCGATAGAGGCTGTTGTTCAACCACACCACTGTCCAGAATTTTTTGCTACAGCATTTTGGGTAGGCACTTCCTTTTTTTTTTTTTTGAAACAGAGTTTCACTCTTATTGCCCAGGCTGGAGTGAAGTGGCACCATCTCAGCTCACTGCAACCTCCGCCTCCCAGGTTCAAGTGATTCTCCTGCCTCAGCCTCCCTAGTAGCTGGATTACAGGCACCTGCCACCACGCCCCACTACTTTTTGTATTTTTAGTAGAGAGGGGGTTTCACCATACTGGTCAGGCTGGTCTTGAACTCCTGACCTCAGGTGATCCACCTGCCTCAACCTCCCAAAGTGCTGGAATTATAGGTGTGAGCCACCACGCCCGACCGGCACTTCCAATTAGAGTTGGTACACAAACTGAAATCTACTTGCTATCCCTCAATTCCGTGCTCTCCAAAGTCACTTCTGGCTCTAAAATGTAAGGTTCTGGCTTTCCAACTAAGAGGTGCCCATTTTTCTGATTTAGTAATAGCTCACTCAAAAAAAAAAAAGGAAAATGGAAATTTAGGATCATAATTTCATTGAGTCCTCTTCCCCACCCTGAGGCTAAGCAGGATCTTCCTGAGGTCACACTTGCCTTCCTTCTGTGCCAGAGAATGATTGTATTTGAGCTTCACCCCTCTGTCAGTTCACCCTGCATGGCAGTGTCCCAGGCTGTAGCTCCCTTTTGTCTAAAACAGCCCACACTTAACAGTTTTATGTTTGGCATCAGGGAATCTACAAGGAAAGGAATTTTCTCAAGCCACTAAAATCCAAGTCAGAAGGGAAGGCATTTAATTACTCCATTCACCGTTCTCCAAAGTGAATCAGATTTACAGTTCTTACCCCTTGCTGGAAGGCAATGCCAGAAACAGTACCTAGACAGAACCGCTTCAGAAATCAGGTGTTTGCAACTGCGTTTTATTGAAAGAAAGAGTGGAGGGGTTAACATGGGGCCCACCTCACAACCCACTCTTCACCCCCAAAATCACGCAGGGATGGGACTCAGGAAAGGGAAGCATGTGTGTGTTGAATAGGAGCCCTAACTGTAGTTACTTCTTTCACAGCAGGGAAGGAAGAGGGAAGAGGCAGCTGTGGAGAGGATGAGGTTGAGGGAGGTGGGGTATCTCGCTGCTCTGACCTTAGGTAGAGTCCTCCACAGAAGCATCAAAGTGGACTGGCACATATGGGCTCCCTTCACAGGCCACAATGATGTGTCTCTCCTTCGGGCTGGTCCGGTATGCACAGTTGGGGTACCTGGAGCCGTTTGTCAGGCGGCAGTCTGTGATGTGCATGCTGGAGTTGCTCTTGTAGCAGTTGCCCTGCCCGTTCTTGCAGGTGACCTTTTCCTGGAAACAGACATTCTGGACATCTACCAGGGGCTCGTGCACAAAGGTGTTCACTGGTTTGCACCGCCCCTGTGTCATATTCCGGCGCCTCATCATTTGGTTACAGTAGGTGGAGCTGCTGCTGGGGGAACTGTCTGAGTCCATATGCTGCCGCTGGAATTTCTTGGCCCGGGATTCCTTGCCCAGGGAAGGCTGGACCCAGCCCAGCACCAGCAGTATCAGGACAAGCAGAAGGAGCCGGACAAGAGACTTCTCCAGAGCCATGGTGGCCTCACTTTCCCAGAAAAGCCTAATTGAGAAAAGGAGAGAGAAGGAAAAGAGCCCTCTTAGAAAAAGAACTCCAGCTCCCACCTATGGCTTGCCTGGTTTACACTTTCTGTTTCAGGTCAGCCAGAAAGACGTCCATCCTACTTCCTGAGGTTTTTCGTGTAATGAGACACTCACGTGTACCCTTTTCCACGAGCGTTTTATTCCCACTCTCCAAAGCGAGGTCTTCCTCCCCTCTAGGTGGTGACCTACAAAGTGACCTAAAATCCTGTCAGTTCCTATCTTTGAATACTGGAGTTTCTTTGATCCAAAATACATTTGTACCCAGTGCTCAAATGGCTCATCGAAACATCAGTTTGAATAAATCATGAACCAAATTGTATCCCCGACATCCAGGGCCATGGGTGACAGAGCCTTGTTGTCTTGGAGCATAAGGGAACTCAGGCCAGTGCCTGACACTGGCATCATAAAAGATTCCATTGTATTCCAGAGAGAAACGCTGGCCTCCCCCAATTTGGAGGCTCCTTCTTCTCCAGTCCCATGGATGCTCTGCAGCCTGCACGTTCCACCCTGACCCCTCTGCCCCCAGCTGATGTTTGCCTGGGCCACATTTTTTCAGCGCTAGCATCACCCAATCTTTCTCAGTGCTGTGGACTGGCCCTAGCTCCCTCTTCTGCAACCCTGAAGCAGAAGCGGCACCTGAGAACACCTCTTGGGCTGCTTACCTGGATCTGCAGCTTGGTGTCTGAGAGAGATGGAAGGCCAGTTTCTGCAATCACTCAGCTCCCGGGGTGTGGACCTTATACAGATTACAAAGGGGTTTGGCTTCCAAGAGGAAAAGGGTGGGAGGAGCATCTGGAGCTCAGTTCAAATAAAATCAAGGACGTGAGGAAGGAGTGGTGAATCACCCAGGCCGCCGTCTTTCTAGGGCTGCTGAAGAAAGAGCAAATCTTTGCCTACGTTAGTCTTTCTTCCTATGTGAACCACATCTGTCTGCTGATGCACAAGGAGCAGCAGAGAAAGCCACTACAGCACTGGTGCCCAAACCTGGCACACTAGGAACAAAGTCCTTGTTACTTCTTCGTGGGCGTTTTCACCAAGTAGACTTGGAGGTTAACAAAGGACGCAAAGGAGAGGTTCTAATGGGAGATAGGGAATTCTGGCCAAAGCTATTCCAGGGCTCCTAGGGAGCAAAACCCAAGTCTCTTTCTAGGAGGGCATTCTCCCAACGCTACCTCTCCCGGGGATGGGAGGCGGGGTCGGGGGGAATGGAGGCTGTCCTGCTGCCCCCAGCTGGAAGGCTTCCCAGATCTGGAGAAGAAAGGGGGAGTAACTGAATAGGGAGGAGGAGGAGGCCTCTAGGGTGCGCTCACCCAGTTCTGGCCACTTCCCACCCACCCTCCACCCCTGCTCTGGGGGCATCGAGAGGATGGGGCTGTTCTTATCTACAGTAACCACTGACCCTGTAGGTCGGAATTGAGTAGAGGAACTAAAGATAAACTTAAATCCCAAATCTCAAATTCTTTTTGGGGAAAAAATACAAAGAATATCATATTTATTAGCAGCAGAATGCCCTCCTAGAAAGAGACCTGTTTTTTTGCTGAGTAACAATTTGGATACCTCTAAGAATTATCAAAATATCCCTTCGTGCTGTGTATTCAGATTGTTTCAGCCTTTCTGTGTAAAAAGTGGCCATAGTGAAATTATCTGACCTACCTTGTGTGATTGTAGGTCGTAAGATCCTCATTCCAGAGAGGGTCCTGCCCCCCATACCCAGAAAAAAAGGACGAATGCTCAGAGAGGCCAAGAAGAATCTAGACAGGGAGGCCTTGCTGGGTTTCCCCACTCAGTCTATTTTCATTAGATCGCCCTGTTGTCCAGTCATATTTCTACACAGCTGTTCATACTTTGTTGATATCCAAGTGTAAGAATGCCCACTTTCCCCTGTTATCTTTGGGTCTTCTGAAGGCTCCCGTGTCGTGTAAAACTACGATCAAATCAATTTGTATGCGTTTTTTCCTATCAATCTGTCTTTTGTCAGTTGATTTTCAGCAAACCTTTGGAGGGTGAAAGGGGAATTTTTCCTTGGCCCCTACAGTTTCCTTACTCCCCCAGCCCCCACCTGTATTTTATTTTTCTGAGTCTTTAATAATACTTTTATTCTCTTGAATAGTCAAGTTAGAATGTGTTCATTCATTCATTAGACTGTGGGATACAGACATAAATAAGGCACAGGACTCACCTGAAGGGCGCCTGGTGGGATGGTTTGGTTAGTCAGGTGGACCCCACTAAGGCACTGGGCGTGGCTGCACAAAAGTGGCCTCCACCCAGCAAGATGATTTCAGAACCACAGTTCAGATGTGAACAGATCTTCTGTAACTATAATAAGGCTCTTCAACAGCCCCTGGCCCTAGGAATCCTGAAACTACAGGAAGCCATTTTGTCTATTTATGCATAGCAATCTAGACAAGCCCTTGGAGCTTTAATTGCACTTCAATGGGGAACCATCAGAAGCCCTTACTGCAGCCTTATCCTTGACCCAGTTGCAGAGGCATAGCCCCGCTTGTCTTAGGGCAGTAGATGCCATGGCAACATTTGTTGTTGCTTCTGCTGAACTTGTTCTAGACTCCCTGCTTGACCTCCTGGTTTCTCACGCAGCACAGGCATTACACCTGACTGAGAACTCACTGCACACTTCAGGCAGCCGATTAACCTCTTATAAGATTCTATCCCTCTCTCCCTCTCATAAATTACTACTCATCTCTGCAACACACTGAATTCTGCCACCCTCTGTCCCTACCAGAAGGGGAGCCTCTTGATTGTCTTACCTCAGTAGGAAACATTCTGCATGTCAGTCAGATTTATTAGCAACTCCTATTGAGAACCCGGACCTAATATGATTTATTGATGGAACATACCCCAGAATTGAAACTTGAAGTTAGTACACTGAGGAAAGAAAAATCAATTCTTCCTTTACCCTCCTAGAGGGCTGGGGGCCCTGTAAATTAAAATGACAAAAGACAGATTTAACAGGAGAAAAGGCATAAAAATTTAATTTAATATTAATATTCTACATGAATATGGAAGTCTTCATAAAAAAAGAAGTGAAGACTCAAAGAAGCAATTAAACCTGAGAGTTTATAGGCCATTTTGACAAAGAAAATTGTGCAGAAGTGACAAGACAGTGTTCCATGAAAGGGCCACATATGTGAAGTGGCCCCAAATGCTGAAGGAGCCTAGAAACTAAAGAAAGGCAGACAAATTCAGTTTGTCAGTAAAGCGTGTTTTATTCTATTGGGGAACTTATAGCCAGAAGTGTCGTCTTGGGCAGCAGCAAGACATGTAAATCTCAGCACTGTTATTCCCCAGACCCAGAGCTTATATACCATAGGGAAAAGGGGTACGTGCTATATAGAGACAATGAAAGGCAACTCTTCAGAACAGGCAAGAATGCTGTGTTTGTCATAGCCCATAATTTGCATGATAACGTTAAGGTTGTTTTGATCTAAAGGCAGGATTTATAGTGAATACATGTTTCTACACTAGAGACAGTAAATAAAGTAGAAATCAGGAGGCATTCCCGGGACATGGTTAATCAGACGTCAACATGGTAGATTAGCATTCAAGATGGAGTCACTTTTGTCTCTGCACATAGGAAAGGGATTTTGAGCTTCTGGGGAGGTTGCGACAAGCGGACTAGGAAATGTATAGTATATAAGGGTTGTTTAGTAAAGTTTGTTAAGCAAATTCAAGTTGGTTGTCTTCTCCATTGATAAGTCCTCCGTGATTAAGTCCTCCTCTTCCTGGCACAGGAAAGGGAGACATCCATACAAATGGGAATATAAATGGAAATTTCTCTTACAAAAGGGAAACTTGGCTAGGCATAGTGGCTCACTCCTGTAATCCCAGCCCTGTGGGAGGCCAAGGCAGGCAGATTGCTTGAGTTTAGGAGTTTGAGACCAGCCTGGGCAAGGTGGCGAAACCCTTTTTCTACAAAATATACAAAACTAGCCATGCATGGTGGCATGCTCCTGTAGTCTCAGCTACTCAGGGGGATGAGGTGGAAGAACACTGGAGATGGAGGCTGCAGTGAGTCGTGATTGTACCACTGTACTCCAGCCTGGGTGACAGAGAGAGACACTGTTTAAAAAAAAAAAAAGGACATTTATAGTTCTTTCACAGCAGGGAAGGAAGAGGGGAGAGGCAGCTGTGGAAATGATGAGCCCTGTTTTTTGAGTTTTTCCTGCATTTACTGTTTTTCAAAATAATCAACTCAAAATTATTGAGCTGGCATATTCTGGTTCCCTACATTATTAATAGGCTATGCTACCCCTATTTTAAACTCTTCTTAAGAAAAAGTCTACTACCTGCAGTAAAATCAGCCCAGATAGCAAAATGTATTGCATTTACTAGAATTTGTCACCTAAACAAAGACCAGAGAGCAAACATATATACAGACTGCAGGTATGCTTTTGAAATAGCATATGATTTTGAGATGCTTTGAAAATAGGCATTAGAAGACCAGGCATGGTGGCTCGTACCTGTAATCCCAGCACTTTGGGAGGCTGAGGCGGGTGGATCACCTGAGGTTGGGAGTTCGAGACCAACCTGACCAGCATGGAGAAACCCTGTCTCTATTAAACATACAAAATTAGCCGGGCATGGTGGCACATGCCTGTAATCCCAGCCACTCAGGAAGGCTGAGGCAGGAGAATCGCTTGAACCCAGGAGGCAGAGGTTGCGGTGAGCCGAGATCGTGCCATTGTACTCCAGCCTGGGCAACAAGAGCAAAAACTCCGTCTCAAAAAGAAAAGAAAAGAAAAGAAAATAGGCATTAGAAATGGACAGCAAGTTAAGGAACTTTCAGATGCACCCCCACTTCCTAGAGAAGTGGCTATTATATAGGTAGAGGTCCATATAAAAAGAGACAATATGGAAACTAAAGGAAATTCTCTAGCAGATCATTATGCCAAAGAAGCTACTTTAACCAAGCTTATGACTCTATCTATACCTTTAAAGGATAAATCTCTGGGGGATTCAAAGAGGCCATTATAAAATATTGACATTTAGCCCCTGATTTTGAAAAAGAATGGAAAACATCTAGTTGTACTCTTCACTCAGATAATTCCTGGTGCTGCTTGGTGACACCAGATGATCTCAAGTAGATATTTCTAAAGGAGTTCAAAACATACCACCCCAAAATATGCCTTTCTGGCATATGGATTATTTTGAATTAAAAGCTCTTGAAAAACAGCAGATGCAAGAAGGGCACTCTGATCTTTCTAAAAGCAGGAGACAATGCTCCCACGTAGCAGGGACCCTCCGTGGAAGAAGGAAGACATTCTTATTACCAGAGATGGGGGCAGCTGAGGTTGAGAGAAAACTACAAATAAACCTTGTTAAACTAGCCCTTATCTCCCTAGCCACTTCTCCACGATTAACAGCCCTAGCCCATATCCCTTTGACTTGTTTTCACAATTTACTGTTCTTTGTCTAACTTAGTATATAAGCATCCACTCAGACTGGTTCATTTCCAGAAGGCTTCCATGCCATGTAAAACTTACATTAAATAAATGTGTATGCTTTTCACTTTTTAATCTGCCTTCTGTTACAGAGCCCCGCCTTAGAACTTAAGACAAATAAGAAAGATATTTCCTCCCCTACATTATCTGGATTTCTCCATGAAACACCCATTATGGCATAGACAAATTGGTTACTATCTTAAGTAAACATTGGTAGGAAAACTTTGAAAAGGCAACTGAGCTTACTTTTGGGTCATGTGTCACCTGTCAAAAATATAACTCTGGAAAAACTGTAAAGTTGGGACATGGCCAGAAACCAAAGCCTCTTTGGACACCTTCGGACTGTTACATGGAATAAAACCTTAGACAAGTGTACATTTTAGCTGAGTTTATTTGAGCAAAGAAAAGCAGAACAAAACAAAGCAAACAAAGCAAAAACAAAACAAAAAAAAGCAGTTCAAAAATCAGGCACGATTTGGAACTAGAGGAAATTCAGAGAACTCCAACCAATGACATAATCTGATAGCATTTATAGGAGACAAAAGAAGCATGGTACAGAGGCAGCTTAATTGGTTAATTGGTTACAGAGTCTCCTGCAATTAGTTAAAGCTCAGCTGCAACATATTGTAAGCCTGTAAACAACTAAGCCTAACAGATCAAACAACACACCGTATCTGTTTGATCTGTTAGGCTTAGTGCAGGAGCCCAGTCCAAATCAATGGCCTTGCTTAAATTTTATTTCACAAGACACTTCACCGGCTTTCACTCTCCCTGGGATTTGAATATGTTTTAGATATTGTATGTCTGTTTTCAGGATGAGTTGAAGAATTTCTTTGCCAAAATGCTACAGCCCTTACAGCCGTGAACAAGCTGCTTGATTTTATGTTTTCAATCTGGGGCATCCCACCTTTTATATCAAGTGACTGAGGCACACACTTTAAGGCGACCTTTATAAAAGAACTCTTACTCAAAAACTACACCATCCTTACCACCCACAAAAACGACCCATGGCATCCTTACATTAAAATAAGCAACAATTTCAGAAACCCTTGAGCTCCCTTGACCAAGAGTATATCCACTATCCTTTACGGATATACAGGCCACTTTCTTGGAGACACATAGGTTATCCCCCTATGAGTTGATACCGGGAAGGTCCATGCATTTAGAGATTTCACCTCCAATACTAGAGTCTGTCCTACTCCATGCAGACATGACAAGATACTGCAAGGGACTCATGTATTGTACGTGGTCCTATCACCAACAGGTTAAGGTCCCCTTCCTACAAAATCTTCCTAAACAACCTCTCCATGATCCTCAACTAGTGGATTTGTCTACTGGAAGAAAAATCAGAGAATAACTGCTTTTGAACTTCATTCAAAAGGAAGAGATCTTATCAGATACTGTTAACAATAGATACAGCAGTGAAACTCCAAGGAGCCAACCTTTGGGTTCATGTTTCACAACTGAAGAAGAGATTCAAAATTCCACACAGTTGGAAGGCCACTTCGATTTTGTCTGCACCATTGCCAGTGCTTCTTGTGATACTTAGGTCAAGGACACAGGCAAGGTTAAAAAAAAAAAAGACTATATTGCTTCAAAAAAAAACCTATTAATATTTGGATCTCTAAGGTCCTCATGGCTTATGGGATTTGTTTTCTTGGCCTAGGTTAAGCAATTGGAGTTCCTGGTTCTAAAGCATCTCAGAGGGACTATCAATTGTTTCTTATTTTTCTGATAGTGGTCATGATGCTAGTCTGTTCCGTTTTATCCAGAGTTTTAAATGCTTCTAGCAGCCACTCTGTCATCAGATGATTGCCATAATGATACAATAGAAAGATCAAGAAGATCTTACAATCCAGGTCACTATGAAGATGACTGAACAATTTATGATTGGTGAAGATGTGAAATTCTAACTTTCTCTGAGTTGGTCAACTTCTCAGAAGTCAGAGAATGACCAAAAGGAGGGACTGAAAGACTGACCATACAAATGAACAATGACCAGACCATATATAAAGATGGAACTCTGACCTGTAGTCTCCAGCAATAAGTATGAGAAGCCAACCCACTATATACAGCAAACAATCCAGGAAGCCAAACAACTCCTATAGCAATTGGCCCCAAACAGCTAGGACTTGATTACCCCTATTTTATTTCTTAATTTTTTCCTTGCTTGAAAGTCTCTCTTTATGGACTTGATTAATAACTGAAAAGTTCCCTAATATTTATTTCCGCTTCCCCAAATTAGGACCAATCAGAGAAAGCCAATATGCATCCCTAATCCAACACATAGGATGCCCTGCTTCCAGTAGCCCACTTACAGCTTCTGCATGCCGCAGCCTGCAACCAGAGCATCCCTGAAGCCTTTCCTGTTTTCCATTGTGAAGATTCCCACTCTCCTGCCTACTGTGAGTGTCTGCCAAATGCAAGTGATGGTGGTTACCTGCCATCTGTGGCCAACTCTGAATAAACAGCCTTTGCTTATTCTCATTTGGGTGGCTGTGCTCATTTCCACAAGCTCTTTAGAAGAATAAGGAAGTGGGTATGTACAGGGTAAGGACGTTTTTACAAGAAAAGCTCAGATAATCTGAAGGATGTCCTATCATTAGGCTGGCTACAAAAGCTCAGCACAGCCCCCCAAATACACATGTACGAGCACACACACACCCTGCATGCACGTACATACAATATGCACACACACATACAATAGATGATATTCCGGGATTCCTTTTGAACCCCAGAAAGTGAGAAGGCAAAGGAAAATTAGAACAGGAAAAGACGGAACAGTGGGGGCAGACAAAGGGAGCGGAGTGGTGTTTGAAAGTTGAAGGAAGTGAGGGGAAAGAATGCAAGAACCAGCTAAAAAAGATCCGAAGCCCGTGCTGTCCCACGCCTCTCACCCATTGCCTACAACCCAGATGCCCATGAAGATAAAGTAGGATAACAGCCAAGATGACATCCCTCAACTCATTCCCTTTATTTTTTATTTTTTTATTTTTTATTTTTGAGACAGCTGTTGCCCATCTCAGCTCACTGAAACGTCTGCCTCCCGGGTTCAAGCAATTCTCCTGCCTCAGCCTCCTGAGTAGCTGAGATTACAGGCACCTGCCACCATGCCTGGCTAATTTTTGTGGGGTTTTCTTTTTAGTAGAGATGGGGTTTCGCCATGTTGGCCCAGCTCGTCTTGAACTCCCGACCTCAAGCGATCCGCCCGCCTTGGCCTCCCAAAGTGCTGGGATTACAGGTGTGAGCCATCACACCCAACCAACTCTTCCTCTTTTGTAGGAAGCTCATTTCTGGCCTGCAGAGTCCTCTTCCCTGAATCGTGTGCGCTTAGGCCACTTACTGGCTAATGCTGACCTATGATGGATCAAGGAGCAGAACTGGGCAAGAGGCTACAGTGGAAGTGGCAGAGTCAGAGACCTCCATCTTAAGTTCCCTCCGTCTGGGGACTCTTTCTCTCTTCTGTCTCTCAGTGGCCTCAGACATTAAAGAATTTGGGACAGATACATTTAAGAGTTCATTCTCAGCCATGTCTGAGGAAGTATGTCTGAGTCTGAGGGCGTTTGAAGGTATGTGAGGGGCAGGAATGCAGCTTCAGAAAAGCTGTGCTTCGTCTTCAGTTCTCAGCCTCTCCTTCCTGAGCTCCTTCCCTGTCTGGCTTCTTCCACACATCTATACAGAGACTGTCTGTCTGTCTGTCTTTTATTCTTAAGAATCCAGAATCATTTAGAACCCAGTCAGGGCCAGGCACGGTGGCTCACGCCTGTAATCCCAGCACTTTGGGAGGCTGAGGTGGGCAGATCATGAGGTCAGGAGTTCAAGACCAGCCTGGCCAACATGGTGAAACCCCCGTCTCTACCAAAAATACAAAAATTAGCCAGGCATAGTGGTGCATGCCTGTAATCCCAGCAACTCAGGAGGCTGAGGCAGGAGAATCGCTTGAACTGGGGAGGCAGAAGTTGCAGTGAGCCGAAATCACACCACTACACTCCAGCCTGGGTGACAGAGCGACACTGTCTCAAAAAAAAAAAAAAATGTAGCTCCTATTTAAAAGGACTTCACTCAGTGAGGGTGGATATAGCTGAATCATTTTCTTCGGGAGAGCATCTGCTGGCTCCCCAAAATCTCTTTGCAGAAACTTGTGATAAGCCTGAGTGCGAAGGAATGGTGTGAGGGGGAAACATCCAATTGCAGGAAGGTGAGAAACAAGGAGCTGGAGTCTGGTGGGCTCCAGAAGGTATGAGTGCAACTGGCCTACCTCATGTTCTTGGGAGCCTGAGTCTCCTCCTTAGAAAGTGACTCTGCAGTGAAGACATCAGATTTCTTAGTACTTTTCCCAAAATGCCAACTTCTCTGTCACTGAGCATGACTGGGCTATCCAGGTCCCAAGTTTGAATTTTTGAAGGGAGGACAAACTTCAGAGTTCAAGGTGGTCTCCCCAGACCACAGTCATGTCAGGAAACCGCACCAGTGACTGGCCTGCTGCCAGGCTTCGGTGAGGATATGAAGGGAAGTACATTTTTGCCCTTTTCACAGAGTGCCTGGAAATGAATCCCTGAAATCCTCCTAAAGCCAAAGGCAGCCCTAGACGGTTAGAGCTACACCACACCCAAGGGCTCAGGGCCCCAAGGAACCTCCTCAGAGACAGGCTGTGGGAAGGCCCACCCCTCCCATGTTCTCTCAGGAAACACATCTGCCCCCGTCCCAATCTACACAGTTTTCCTGACTGGAGCAAAGGTCAATTTGAACTGCAGGAGCTTGGGAGATTTTATGATCCTATGGGCTAAAGAGTCTCTTAGGAGACAGTATAGCCCCTCAAGCCCAATCCAAAACTAAGCATTTATGGGCCTCAACTGAGAAACCCCCTCCCCAGTGAAACATTATGCAAGTTTTTCCTAATTTCTGTCTCCCGTCCACATTGCAACGTTTTGCCTCATGTGACAAACCAATTACTGAAGGGGAAAAGGCAACCGTGGCTGTGCTGGCTATCATTCCTGTGTTTATTCCCCTTTTATAAGACTCTCCACCTCTCTGTCCATTAGGCTTCCACTCCCACCCCCAATCCCACCCCACCCCCACCCCACAGTATGAACTGGGAGAGAAAGAGGTTCTGATGCCTGAGCCCTTGGCTGAGGCCCACCAAGCACAGGTTCTACTTTCCCAGACAGTGGCTCTGACTGGCCTGTGAGCACACCAGGTGCAGTCAACAATCTGGTCTCCAGAACACACAGGGGGCCTCCACCTCCTCTGGTGCCACCATCCCAGCCTCCTGACACTACCAGTTTTCCTCACTCTCCATAGGTCCCTTCCCACCCCACAGACCAGCCCTGGTCTTTTAAAATGGAAATCAAATGTTGCCAGGGTGTCTATAGAAAGATAGAGACTTCGTTATCTCTGGTTCCTGATTACAGAAGACCTGATTCCCTTTCAGCCTGGGTTGTTCAGTGGTCTCTTGACTTCATCCATTTTCTGAGAACTTTTCCTATCCCTGACTCAACCCAACACCACCATTCACCTCTAGATCAGGCACCAGTGCCTCTCATCCCTTCCCTAAGGGACAGCCCACCTGCCCCAGCCCCTCTAAGAGCTTATTGCTGAGGTCGTCAAAGTATGAACTTTTGACCAGGACTCCCACGTGAAAGAAAATATGGACATTTACCTTTGAACTCAAGGAACAAAAAGACCCAAGCAATGGAAAGTAACTTCCGCCCATTGGAGGAGACTGAGAGCCGGGGCAGACCAAGGTCAGACAGCACCTTGGCAGCAGAGGTGGAAAGCATCCTCGGTCCCTGGCTTCCCCACTCTGTGGCAGCATTCTCACTATACCATGCTGGCAAGTATGCTTCAAGTGGGGAGACTGCCTCCAGGATGTGCACTCAAAGGGCTGAACTTATGGTGAAACTGATCTCTTCTTTTAGGTCTGGATTTCCCCTAGAGTCCCCCCACATCTCTTCCTGCTGGGAATTGTGGTGGGAGAAAACAGATGGCTTTGCTGCTGACCCCTTCTGAGGAGTTGGAGGATTGGGGACTCCTACTGAGGTCTCATTAGGGGCCCTTCACTGGCGCAGCTGGAGTGTGGGTGAGCAGGTCAGGCCTCCCGCTCTTCAGTCCATGGGGGCATTTGTTGATTCCAATGCGACACTGGAGGAAGGGAAGCCTTCTTAGGGGGACGAGGCCTCTAGGAGGACACCTGCTCCAAGCAGTAGCCTCCCTCTCTTTGAAGAGGTCTCACATGCTGGCTTCATCAAGGAAGCAAGGTCTGGAGGAAAATCATTGCTTAGAAATGTTTCTGGCTGGGCGCAGTGGTGCATGCCTGTAATCCTAGCACTTTGGGAGGCCCAGGTGGGCAGATCACTTGAGGTCAGGAGTTAGAGACCAGCCTGGCCAACATGGCGAAACCCTGTCTCTACTAAAAATACCAAAATAAGCCGGGCGTGGGAGCACATGTCTGTAATCCCAGCCTCTAGGGAGGCCGAGGCAGGAGAATTGCTTGAACCCAGGGGGTGGAGGTTGCAGTGATCTGAGATCATGCCACTGCACTCCAGCCTAGGTGATAGAGTGAGACTCTATCTCAAAAAAAAAAAAAAAGAAAAAAAAAGAAAAAGAAAGCAATGTTTCCTTTCACATCTGCCATCTCCTGCCTCCTCCTTCTGTTAATCTTGAGGACTCTCACAATGGCATGACAGTACCTCTTTTCCCATAGGAGGACATATTGCCAAGGGACAAAGCACATGGATGGGGGAGCCTATCAGGTCTATCAAGGTGAAGAGAGGCCAGTGTTATCTCATTTAGAGAACAAGACTCACATTTGCTTAAATGGAGCCTGTTATCTGTCACTAAATTCAGCCTTCTGACCCATTGTCTGACCTGCTTCCATCACTCCAATCCAATCTGGCTGAATTCCTGCCCACTGAACATGGTTCGTGTCACACACGTCTGTATGAAGGGAGTCCACCAACAGGCTTTATGTGAGCAACAAGGCTGTTTATTTCACCTGGGTGCAGGTGGGCTGAGTCTGAAAAAGGAGTCAGCAAAGGGTGATGGGATTATCATCGGTTCTTACAGGTTTTGGGATAGGCGGTGGAGTTAGGAGCGATGTTTTGAGGGCAGGGAGTGGATCTCACGAAGTACATTCTCAAGGGTGGGGAGATTACAAAGAACCTTCTTAAGGGTGGGGAGGTTACAAAGTACATTGATCAGTCAGGGTGGGGCAGAGACAAATCACAATGGTGGAATGCCATCAGTTAAGGCTATTTTCACTTCTTTTGTGGATCTTCAGTTGCTTCAGGCCACCTGGATGTATACCTGTAGGTCACGGGGGTATGATGGCTTAGCTTGGGCTCAGAGGCCTGACATTCCTGTCTTCTTATATTAATAAGAAAAACAAAACAAACTAGTGGTGAAGTGTTGGGGCGGCAAAAATTTTGGGGGGTGGTATGGAGAGATAATGGGCGATGTTTCTCAGGGCTGCGTCGAGCGGAACTAGGGGTGGTGTGGGAACCTACAGCGGGAGAGATTTAACTGAAGAAAGATTTTGGGGTAAGGGGTGATATTGTGGGGTTGTTAGAAGGAGCATTTGTTGTATAGAATTATTGGTGATGGCCTGGTTGCGGTTTTGTATGAATTGAGAAACCAAACAAAAGACACAAGGTCTGAATAAGAGAAGGAGAAAAACAGGTATTAAAGGACTAAGAATTGGGAGGACCCAGGACGTCCAATTAGAGAGTGTCCAAGGAGGTTCAGTGTAATTACTTGTTTGGTTGGTGAATTTTTGGGCTCTATTTTTGACAGAGTCCTTTTTGCTAAGTTGGAGGCTGAGCTTGGCGAGGTGTGTTTTGAAAAGACCATTAGTCCGTTCTACCTTTCCTGAAGATTGAGGATGGTAAGGGTTATGAAGTTTCCACTGAATACCAAGAGCCTGAGAAACTGCTTGGGTGATTTGACTAATAAAGGCTGGTCCGTTATCGGACTGTATAGAGGTGGGAAGGCCAAACCGAGGAATTGTGTCTGACAGAAGGGAAGAAATGACTGCGGTGGCCTTCTCAGACCCTGTGGGAAAGGTCTCTACCCATCCAGTGAAAGTGTCTACCCAGACCAAGAGGTTTTCTAGTTTCCTGACTCGGGGCATGTGAGTAAAGTCAATTTGCCAGTCCTGGGCAGGGGCAAATCCCCGAGCTTGGTGTGTAGGGAAGGGAGGGGGCCTGAATAATCCCTGAGGAGTAGTAGAATAGAAGATGGAACACTGAGAAGTGATTTCCTTGAGGATAGATTTCCACAATGGAAAGGAAATGAGAGGTTCTAAGAGGCGGGCTAGTGGCTTGTAACCTACATGGAAGGGGTTATGAAACAACGACAGAATAGAATGGGCCTGTGAGGCTGGGAGGTATTGAGGGTAGGAGAGTATATGGGTTTGGCACCACGGGGTGGATAGGCAAGACAATTTGGTTGATAAGGTGCAAATCCTGAACTAACCTGTATAAAAGGCCATGCTGTAACAAGCAACTGATAACAGGCTTTAATCCTTTTAAAGCCTGCTGTGGGATGGGATACTGGTGTTGAGCAGGGTAAGGGTGATTAGGTTTTAATGGGATGACAAGGGGTGCATGATCGGTTGCCAAGGAGGGAGTAGAGGTATCCCATACTTGTGGATTAAGGTGGAGAGATACAAGGGGAAGGATGCGAAGGAGGCTTTGAACTGGGGAAAAGGGTGGCAATGAGGTGTGGCTGTAGCCCAGGAATAGTCAGGGAAGCAGATAATTTAGTTAAAAAGTCTCGACATAATAAGGGAGGTGGGCAGGTGGGGATAACTTAAAAGGAGTGCATAAAAGAATGTTGTCCAAGTTGGCACCAGAGTTGGGGAGTTTTAAGAGGTTTAGCAGCCTGGCCGTCAATATCCACAATGGCTATGGAGGCAAGTGAAACAGGACCTTGAAAAGAATACCTTCTTAAGGGTGGGGGAGATTACAAAGTACATCTATCAGTTAGGGTGGGGCAGAAACAAATCACAATGGTGGAATGTCATCAGTTAAGGCTATTTTCACTTCTTTTGTGGATCTTCAGTTGTTTCAGGCCATCTGGATGTATACGTGCAGGTCACAGGGCATATGATGGTTTAGCTTGGGCTTAGAGGCCTGACAGTTGTCACTTCTCCAGAACAGCCAATCTTTTTTTTTTTTTTTTTTTTTTTTTGAGAGAGAGAGAAAAAGAGCGAGACACAGAGAGATAGAGACAGAAAGACAGACAGACACACACACACACAGAGAAAGAGGTCCAAACAGAGGAAAGGACAGAGGAGAGCAGCTTCTTGCAAGAGAGAGAGAGAGAGAGAGAGAGAGAGAGAGAGAGAGACAGAAACACACACACACACACACACACACACCTCACAGAGGTCCAAACGGAAGAAAGGAGAGAGGAGAGCAGCTCCTTGCAGGAGAGAGAGAGAAAGAGACAGAGAGAGACAGACAGAGAGATAGCCAGAAAGAGAGACAGAGAGAGACACCCAGAGAGACAGAGAGAGAGAGAGAAGGAGAGAGAGACGAGAGAGAAAGATCCCAAAAAATGGAGAAGGGCCAATCTTCAACCTCTCTCTGCCATTCTGGTTCTGCCCCAAACTCAACTCTACTTCCTATTTTTCTTTTTCTTTTACCTATTTATATCTCTCATACAGATGCTAAAAAGCAGACCTCAGCAGAGCTCTGGTTGTTTTATGTGAGCAGAAGCGGGTATCCTACTTAGCACATACACATGTGAGGAAAAGTGTGGGTATCTGTGTTTCTGCACTAAGGTGTGGGATTTGTTTTCTACAAGCCCCACACATAACCCAGCCCCCTCCACAAGCTGGGTCTTGATGCCTTTGCCAGTAGGTCACTTGGTGACTGAGGTCAAGTCTTGTGACCTCCCTGTGTCTTAGTATTATCCCCTAAAGAGTAAAGAACAACAATCTCTAAGATGGCTCCCAGTTAAAACATTGAGTTTTGTTTGTTTTTTGTTGTTGTTATTGTTTTTCTTTTGAGACGGAGTCTCACTCTGTCGCCCAGGCTGAAGTGCAGTGCCACAATCTCAGCTCACTGCAACCTCTGCCTCCCAGGTTCAAGAGATTCTCCTGCCTCAGCCTCCCAAGTAACTGGGATTACAAGTGCCTGCCATCACACCCAGCTAATTTTTGTATTTTTGGTAGAGACAGGGTTTCACCATGTTGGCCAGGCTGGTTTTCAACTCCTGACCTCAGGTGATCTGCCTGTCTTGGCCTCCCAAAGTGCTGGGTGGGATTACAGGAGTAAGCCACCACGCCTGGCCCGTCTGTTTTTTAATGTTATCTCCTTCTAAAGATCTTCCCCTCAATATCTCTAAGGAAGAAAGGTTGGATCTTAATAGGAAATCTAGTTTCTTAAGACTTTTATGCTTCTCACAGAGCCAGAGTTACTTTTGTGAGTGTATTCATCAATTGCCTTTGGTCTAACTGAAAAAACAAACCCCACACCTTAGTGCAGAAACACAGATACACAGAAAGAGACAAAGTTCTCACCTATACCCCTTCCCCCATACTCCTAAATTCCTGTGAAAGACCAGCAAAAAAATGGATTTTTACCCCAGTATGGATTTTGTGTATGTTCACACTAAATACAATTCACAAAGTTTTATCTTTCTATGAAGAAACTAAATGCCACAGTGTATTCACACTTACAGGAATTTAAAGCTTTTATTGTAAAGCTAAGGCAGCATGAAGAGTAAGTGCTGTAATTTAATGTATAAATTCATTCTATGTTGATTTCTATAGTAGGAAAAAGCAACTTTGGTCTGTCTGTGGTTCCATCATCAATTCACTGAGTTAAATAGAAAGCTTCAGGAATATAGTATTAACAGAGACCCCAAAATTACAGATAAATCCAGTAATGGAGCTTACAATACAGAATTAGAGGGTGCTAATTAATGAATTTTGGGAACAAGTCAGCAGTTAATAAATATTCATTAGGAAGTTGCAGTATATATTTCTCTAAGTTACCAAGTGACCTAGATATGGAATATTGAAAAAGATAATTTTGTATCTTTTGTATCTTTTTTAATTCCTGCTAAATTAATAGAAATATACTACTTGTATTTTCATCACCTACAACATTATTAACATTTTAGGGTGTAATTCTCCACACTTTTGTCTATGTGTAAGATTTTATAAAATATGAAGTACTGTAACACTGCTTCAGATTCTGCTTTTTCTCTTCAAATGCATCTGGGGTCCTAGTAATATGTAATTTCTTAACCTGGATAGTGGTGAACACAGATCTGTTTGCTTTGAGCTAACTTATTGAGCTATGTAATTATGTTTTTTCTGTGTGTATATTTCAATTTTTTTAAGTTTATTTAAAAACATATCCTAGGCTGGGCTTGGTGGCTCACGCCGGTAATCCCAACATTTTGGGAGACGGAAGCAAGTGGATTGCTGGAGCCCAGGAGTTCGAGACCAGCCTGGCCAATAGAGGGAGACCTCGTCCCTACTAAAAATTTAAAAAATTAGCCGGGCATGGTGGCTCACACCTGTGGTCCCAGCTACTCAAGACCTGCCTGCGCAGTATAGTGAGACCTTGTCTCTACTTAAAAAAAAAAAAAAATTAAATTAGTGGTCCCAACTACTCAGGAGGCTGAGGTGGGAGGATGGCTGGAACCCAAAAGGGTGAAGCTGCAGTGAGCCATGATCAAACCACTGCATTCCAGCCTGGGCGAGAGAGTAAGACCTTGTCACACACACACACAAAAAATTCCATCCTATATATTCCAAGTCAACATATATCTATATTACTCTAAATGGCTCTATAGTATTTCATGTTATGGATATATCATAATTCATTAAACAAATTCTGTATTTGGGGACATTTATAAGATTTACAACTTGTTACATGTACACTGCCTTCAATAAAAACTCTTCTATGTCTGCATTTATACTCTTGTGTCATAGGGCAGATTCTCTACAAAAATAAACACTGAGATTAAGATGTGCATTTAAGATGTTTACTGCAGGCCGGGCGCGGTGGCTCATGCCGGTGATCCCAGCACTTTGGGAGGCTGAGGCGGGCGGATCACCAGGTCAGGAGATGGAGACCATCCTGGCTAACACGGTGAAACCCCATCTCTACTAAAAATACAAAAAAATTAGCCGGGCGTGGTGGCGGGTGGCTGTAGTCCCAGCTACTCAGGAGGCTGAGACAGGAGGGAGAATGGCGTGAACCCGAGAGGTGGAGCTTGCAGTGAGCCGAGATCGCTCCACTGCACTCCAGCCTAGGCGACAGAGCGAGACTCCGTCTCAAAAAAAAAAAAAAAAAAAAAAAAAGTTTACTGCACAGCAATCTTGGGGCAATATCTGCAGAGGGAGTGAAGGAAGCATTATCGGGCAGAAGAGGTAGGATTTTGATGCAGTCACAACAAAGGCCTTGGCCAATCCCACAGGTATTCTAGCTTTCTTTAGAGCTAGATTGACCTTCAGAGTTGTTCTGAATTAAGGTAAAGGGACCAAGCCTTTATATCCCGTTACCATTTATTAGATGTTGACTGCCCTTGGGGAGGAGGCTTCACTTTTAGCAGGATGGTTCTCTGCCACTGTTACACTCTTGCCAATGCACCACAATGTAGTAGTCTCTCGCTGCCCAAGGCATCATCCTAAGTTCTTTGTCTCATGACCAAGAAAGTTAAGGATCCTGGACACCAAGGGTGAGGTTGGAGTGAAAGTTTAATAAGCGAAAGAAGAAAGCTCTCCGCTGCAGAGAGGGGACCTGGAAGAGGACTGTTGTTTCTACAGTTGAATGCAAAGGCTTTTATAGAAAACCCATGAGGGCTGGGAGTCTCCTTTGCATAAGGGGTGAATGTGTCGTAGCCCCACCGTGTCTTCCTAATGTGCGTGCGGGCCCCTTATTGCACGTGTGTCAGGGGACGGAATTTTCCATTGCAGGCATGTCTAAGCAAGTCACCTGGGTCGCCCTTCTCATGTTTGTGGGCGTGTCTTAGGCAAGCCCCTATGCAAATTCCTGTATCTGTGCCTGCAGGCTGTTGTTTTGTTTGAAAGGATTAAACCAAGGACCCACCCTAACTGCCTGCCTGACTGGGTTTTTTCTTTTCTCCTCTGTCAACACAAAGGGCTATTCCCAGAGAGAAAGAGACTCAGCTGAGAGCTAGCTGTTCATCACCATCACTAGTCAGTGGAGGGAATGAGTGCCGTGTTCCTGAAGTGGGGGAACTGGGACATGCACCACCGCATCCACTACACCTTGCCCAATTACTTCCTTGGCATATATTCCTAGATGTGTTTAGAGAACATGGACTTTTGATAAGGCTTTAGATAATGTCAATTGCCTTCTATAAAAGTGGTATTTCAGCGAGGTGGCTCACGCCTGTAATACCAGCACTTTGAGAGGCCGAGGCGGGCAGATCACGAGGTCAGGAGTTTGAGACCAGCCCGGCCAATATGGCAAAACCCCGTCTCTACTAAAAATACAAAAATTAGCCAGGCATGGTGGCGGGAGCCTGTAATCCCAGGTCCAGGGAGGCTGAGGCAGGAGAATCGCTTGAAACAGGGAGGTGGAGGTTGCAGTGAGCTGAGATCGTGCTGTTGCACTCCAGCCTGGGCAACAAGAGCAAGACTCTGTCTCAAAAAAAAAAAAGGTATTTCACTTCTAATAGGAGAGCAAGAGACCATTTTTTCTTCTGTGTCAAACAATAGCGTGCCCTTGCCTGCTCTTTTATCTGTGATTCCACAGCATTTCACACTTTATTATACCATGTCTCACATTCAGTGGGAATTCTTTCTTCTCAGTCTCCCAAATTACACTGTTTTCAAGAACAGAAAGGGTGTTTTATTCACACATATCTCCTGATCATGTGCCATGTATACAGTTGGTCTCCAATTAATACATGTCAAGTAAATTAATGTCTCATTGTAGAAGGCTACGGAGTCACAGAAGATTAACTGACTAGAAACAAAGAAAATACTATACAAAAAATATTAGACATGGTGCAGAATCAAAAGGTGGTTGTGGAAGAAATGGAATGTGTTTTTCATGAAGGAGGAATGTAACTACCCAGTGGTTTCACCTTGCCCACAGCCTAGACAGAGCCAGTTTATCAAGACAGGGGAATTGCAATGGAGGAAGAGTAATTCACACAGAGCCGGCTGTGTGGGAGACCGGAGTTTTATTATTACTCAAATCAGTCTCCCCAAGCATTCAGGGAAGCAGAGTTTTTACTGACAACTTGGTGGGTGGGGGGAAGCCAGTGAGCCAGGAGTGCTGACTGGTCAGTTAGGAAACAAGACCATAGGGAACTGAAGCTGTCCTCTTGCACTGAGTCAGTTCCTGGGTGGGGGACACAAGATCAGATGAGCCAGTTTATCAATCTGGGTGGTGCCAGCTGATCCATCAAGTGCAGGGTCAGCAAAATATCTCAAGCACTGATCTTAGGAGGAGTTTAGGGAGGGTCAGAATCTTGTAGCCTCCAGCTGCATGACTCCTAAACCATAATTTCTAATATTGTGGCTAATGTTAGTCCTACAAAGTGAATCTAGTCCCCAGGCAAGAAGGAGGTCTGCTTTAGGAAAGGGTTGTTATTGTCTTTGTTTTAAACTACAAACCATAAAGCAAGTTTCTCCCAAAGTTAGTTCAGCCTACCCCGGGAATGAACAAGGACAGCTTAAAGCTTAAAAGCAAGATAGAGTTAGTTAGGTTAGATCTGTTTCACTGTCTCGGTCATAATTTTGCAAAGGTGGTTTCAGAAAGGTGTCATGATGTGTACAATATCATCTGAAAAAGAATAAATGAGAAGCCTAGCTCTCCAATAAAAAGGCAACAATTAATGACTGCTACTGTAGAAAGGTGAATTTTCAAAAACAGAGAAGTGGTGTAATAAATATAGCTCAGGTAATATAAAAGGTCAGGGAAAAAAAGTGTGTTTTTTCCCCAGCTCTGCTACTTATAACTTGATGAGACTTTTCGATAAATCTTTTTGGAAGCTCTTAAAAACTACCAATGCCAGCCAGGTACAGTGGCTTACGTGTGTAATCCCGGCACTTTGGGAGGCCAAGGCGGGCAGAACACTTGAGGTCAGGAGTTTGAGACCAGCCTGGCCAACATGGTGAAACCCCTAGTTATAAATAAAGTTTTGGTGCCACAAAAGAAATAGCACTCGAATATAAAATGTTCTTTTTAATTCTCAGCAAGGCAATGTACTTCTATAGAAGGGTGCACCCTTACAGATGGAGCAATGGTGAGCACACACTTGGACAAGGGAGGGAAAGGGGTTCTTATCCCTGACGCATGTGGCCCCTGCTGCTGTGTCGTTCCTCTATTGGCTAGGGTTAGAACGCACAGGCTAAACTAATTCCGACTGGCTAATTTAAAGAGAGTGACAGGGTGAGTGGTTTGGTGGGGAAAATGGTTATGGCAGAGGAAGTAATCGGAATGAGTCAGGGTGGAGCAGGTAATTGGAATGAGTCAGGGTGGAGCAGGTAATCGAAAAAGGTTGCTTTACGAGGAAGTTAAAAGTAGAAGGCAAAGAATTGAACATACGAACATACTGACATACTGATTCTTTGAAGAGAAATTTAGAACTCATATCTAACAACCCCTCCTCTTATATTTCCTTACAGTTTTTTCTCTTCAAAATTCTTTAACATGTCTCGGCTTAGTTGTTTTGCTTGATTTTCCAAAGGAAGAAGCTTCTCTGGATAAGGTGGAGGATAGTTAAGGGAGGTTTTAGTGAGTGCCATTTTTATGAGCCTCTGCACCAACCCATGGATGCATGGTGTGACACAGCACCCGACAAGAATAAGTACACCCATTACGGCTGTGAGGGAAGTAAGAATTGAGGCTATTATCCTTTTCCATTTACTGAACCACTTTTCTAGCCCTCCTATAAAGGGGTCATTTACCCCTGAGTTGTTGGCTAACTCATTGGACACAGCAGTCAGACCTTGCAATGCCTTTGTTGTACTTCCATCAGGGGCGGTGTTGTTTGGGATGAAGGTACAACATTGAGTTTTAATCATGATGCAAATTCCTCTTCATTCTGCTAATATGTCTAAGGCTATCCTATTTTCCCAAGCCATCTGGCTAGTAGCCTCTAATTGCTCAGCTATTCCTTTAACAGCAACTCTAGTGTAGTTAATAAATTGCTGTTGGTTGTAGTAGATGTAGTTTATCCAATCTACATTTTTATTAATTGTCCCCCACCAAAATATTGACTCAAATCCTGCAGCTCTTTGATTTCAGGTTTTAAATTGATCTGGTATTCCCCATGGGATTCCAATTGCATTTAAATAGATGTGAGTCGAAAGACCCGTAAGTGGCTTCTCTTGCTTTACAATGTCTTATTTTTCCTTCCTCCGATTGATGAAATGCCAGGGTGAAAAGGATAGCCAATTGTACTAAAGCACAAGTGCCACTCCAGTTATTTGGCAGAGCTTCCGGTAAAGGTCCACAATACCACCACACATCCGCTAAGGGATGAACAAAGGCTGACTGATTTGTAAGCTCTTGGAAAGTCTTAAACTCACTGCATCCCTTCAGGTCTCCAAGGAACGCTAAGTTTCCTCCCTGTCATGAGAGACACTAAGTGAACTTAGTGTTGGGAGATGAAACACTCCCAACATCCCCGAGGGGATGGCCCTCGGGGGCTGACCCACAGGGTGCCAGACTTCAGGATATAGCAGAGAGAGAGAGCATGGCATGACTTGTTACTCCAGGCTGTAGAATCCTGGAAAAGAGCTACCATGCAGCCCATGCCTGGTTGACTGGAGGACCACCCTAGTGGAAAGGGGACAATCTGGGCCTCTGGCCTGCCGTGCACACAAGCATAACAATTGCTTTTGTTTAACGTGCAGATGGAATATTTGATCCATTCCAACCAGGCATTTGCATCTTGGTATCCCGTCTTAATTGCCAGTTTGTTTTAAGTCTTTAACTTCTATGATAGCTATCTTGGTCTTGTCATTAGATGGAGGAGGAGCAATTGTTCCACTGTGAGAGGGTTTGGAAGAAGGCTTAGAGGAAGGTGCAGGTGGTGGGGGATCAAAGAAACACATTGCAAAGAATCCAGTAGGGTCTGTCCCTGAAACCTCAGCCCCCATACCATAAAACTGACTTAAAGAAGGGAACCAGCTTAGAAAAGTGGAAGAACTTTGAGGGTTTGAGATAATAACCTGTAGAGGATGGCACTGGTTTACCTGACAGTTGGGTGGCAGGGCTGTCCCTCTAGTAAAACGAATGTATGGTTTTAGGAAATTACAAAAACCAGTTGGGACAGTCTATCCTTGCTCTTTAGTGGTCCACAGAACGTTGGACCAACTACGGCATAAAAGCTCTACATCGGGGGGCAAGACTCCTGGTTGACATTGGGGTCTTTATCAAAATCTCCCCAGATTAAATGGTCCCAGTTCACTAATGCCCAGTCTGAGGAGAGTCAGGAGGGACAGAGGTACTTTTCTGAAGTACAGAGCTGTCTTTGACTTGGCCAATCCCCACAGGGTATAACAAGGCAAGCATCTAATGCAATAGCTTGAGGCGAAATTGACTTGGTTATGTTAATAACTAGATGGTCAGCAATAGAGTGAGGAAAGAAGAAAGAGTAATAGAATAGATGAAAGAGAGTTAAATTTTTCTTAGCTTTAGTTTGGTAGGGTTTTCCTCTGGGACTATGGCCCACGACTCTGGAGGGGGTGGTGCTTTCTTGACTAGGGTGTGATGAGTCCATCCCCTTTCCGCTGTATGAACAGCAGTCTCGGTGGTTAGCAGCACAAGGTAGGGTCCTTCCCAGGCTGGCTCGAGTTTTCCTTCTTTCCACCCTTTGATGAGAACGTGATCCTCAGGCTGGTGCTGGTTTACCGGAAATTCTAGGGGTGGTACCTGTGCTAAAAGACTTTTAGTTTTGAGGGCAAGGAAAGTGGAAGATAAACCAAGTATAAAATTTCTAAGAAATCGATCTTTTGTTTTAAATGTGGGAACATCAGCAGTGGACTTTAGAGTCCTTGGTGCCTTCTTACTGAGAAATTTCCTTTAGCACCTATTTTTATTAGTTTTTAGACCAAAGAAAGCCAAATACCATTTTATATTTGACAATGCTTCCTGTATGACTTTTATACCACGTAAGCTAAATTTCACCTTTATATTAGTGTGTTATTAATGTTAAACTTAATTTTAATAAAATCTTGTAGACATATTTATCTAATTCTTAATGTCTGACCGTAATGTAAGATTTTTATAGACTCTTTTTAACCTTCTATAATTTTGGTTAAAGAGCAGGTTAGTGCTTTAAGAAAAACCTGTTGTGCTTTTATATTAATGTCCAGTTCACAGAAAAACTAGATTATACCCCTTTAACTTTAGCCAATATGCTTACACACAGAATTTCCTTTACAATTAATGTTTCAGAACTTGCTTAAACCTTTATAACCAGATATATTTTTTTAACCTTTTAATATAGGTAAAAATCCACATTCTTATGCCTCCTTATAATACTTTTACCAAAGGTATATCTTACTTTCCTTACACACCTTGCACATAAACTGTTTCTTCAATAGTTTTACATTCAGGAGGCCTAATTACTTTTAAATTATACAACATTTCTTGCATAAACTCCCTTTTACACCTTTTTTTTTCATGACTTTCACAGACAATTCTTCAACATGCCTCAACTTTTTGACTTGTTGCAAACATCCCTTTCTTTAAACAATCAGTTAATTTATCTTAGGACAAGAATTTACCATGTAACATTCCTTTTCATAAATTCTCCCCACCCCCTTTTTTTTTCTCAAAGATGATAACCATTCTTTTCCAAAGCGAACTTCCTTCCTGTCTGTGGACTAGACTGTCTAAGGCCACAAGGTTAGAAGTTAGGATAATACATACACTGCTAACTTTTATCAGACTTTACTTTTATTGAAAACCTTTTAAGTTTGGGATTTCAAGTATTCTTTGCCATTAATAAGACCTCATTCAGTCCATATTAACTTAGAATTGTATAGATGGCTCCTTCCTGATTTGTAAGTACTTTAAGGCTTGGCTGAGTGCAAACAGCTTGCACGTTTGAGCAGACCAATTATTAGGCAATTTTCCTAACTCTGCTTCTAGAAGAATTTCCTTGTCACTTAGTGAATACCCATTGTGTCTTTTTCCCTCAATCACCGGGAGCAACCATCTATGGTCCTGTCCTGAAGGGAGTTCCTCCTAGGTCTGGTCAGACCTTTGTATGGTAATTAAGATTTAGATCCCCTGTTAGGAAACCTGCTGGGTTAAGGGAATTTTCAGTGGTTAATGTTGAGTCATCTTTTTCTACAGAATAGCCTCACACTTTAAGGTTCTTGAGTCAGTAAGCTACCTTTTTGCCTTTTTTTTTTTTTTTTTTTTTTTTGGACTTAGGATAGTTCTGACCTGATGAGGTTTGCTCACAGTGAGGTTTTCTCTAGAAGTTATTTTTCTACTTTCTTCTGTTAGCAAAGAAGTTGCCACTACAGATTGAATGCATTTGGGCCATCCACAGGTTACTGGGTTAAGGATTTTTGATTAGGAAGGCTACGGGTTGTCAGTGGCCTTAGTGCTTTCAGGCTATACCCTTGTTTACACTGACAACAAGGTGGTATTGGAGCGTTATAGGGTCACGGAGAAGACCTTCAATTACTAATTATAGGTTTTAAATTTACCCTGGCTTTTAAACAAATATAATACACTCTTTTCTCTTTACTACTTCTCTCTCTCTCTCTTTGACTCTGTCTCTTTCTCTTTGACTCCCTCTTTGTCTTTCTCTTTCTCTCTCTCTTTGACTCTCTGTCTCTTTCTCTCTGACCTCCTCTCCCCGTTTCTCTTTCCTCTTTGCTGGTCTTTCCCTGCCTCTGCCAGCTGCTTATGCTGCCATTCTCCCCTCTCCTTCCCCTTCCCTTTCCCCTAGGGGAGGGACCAGCGGGAGTGGAACTACTCTTTCTTCCCCCGAGGGGAAAGGAAAGGGGAGTTCTGAATGTTTTTCTTACTACCAGAGGTTTGTATGAGGTTCAACCCCCTGAAATTTGCAGAAGGCTCAACCCCTTAAACCAGGGGTGTCTTGCCTTGCTGCTCTGGAAGGTTGACCTGTTTCCTCCCTTTCCCCCTCTGAAGGTCCCTTGCACACTTCCCACTCATGTTGTCCTCTCTGGCTGCTCCCCAAAGGGAGAATTAGGCCCCTCTTAGTGTTGGCTCACTGGTATAAATCCCACAGAAGGATCTGCCCTAAGCCACAGGAGGCTTACAGAACCGCGGAGAGGACCCACTCACTCCATCCAGCAGTAGGACTTGTCATAATCCACACGAACGACACGGCAAGTAGGGTTGTTTGTGATCATTCATACACACACATTTAGCCCTCCAGAATTTGACCACCAAGGAAGTACTTTACCGGCTCCTGCGGCTTCTCCTTCCCTGGTCTACGCACAGTCATCACTGCAGTATGTGAGAATCCTTTAAGTCAGGTTGCTAGCCAGTTTCTTTCTGCGTTGCTGAGAGCGCCGGTTACTCCTCACACTGGGTGGGTCCCACACTGGGTGGGTCCTGATTTCTCACCTCTGAGGCCACCACAAGGGGGCGGGGCATGCCTTCTCATGAGAGAGAACCAGAGCCCGCCCCCCGGAGGGGAATGTAATCACTGGCAAAACCCCAAATTGTTAATAAAGTTTCGGTGCCGCAAAAGAAATAGCACTCGAATGTAAAATTTTTTTTTTAATTCTCAGCAAGGCAATGTACTTTCTACAGAAGGGTGCACCCTTACAGATGGAGCAATAGTGAGTGCACATTTGGACAAGGGAGGGGAAGGGGTTCTTGTCCCAGACACACGTGGCCCCTGCTGCTGTGTCTTTCCCCTATTGGCTAGGGTTAGACGGCACAGGCTAAACTAATTCTGACTGGCTAATTTAAAGAGAGTGACAGGGTGAGTGGTTTGGTGGGAAAAAATGGTTATGGCAAAGCAGGAAATTGGAATGAGTCAGGGTGGAGAATGAGCAGGTAATCTGAATGAGTCAGGGTGGAGAATGAGCAGGTAATCTGAATGAGTCAGGGTGGAGAATGAGCAGGTAATCTGAATGAGTCAGGGTGGAGAATGAGCAGGTAATCTGAATGAGTCAGGGTGGAGCAGGTAATTGGAATGAGTCAGGGTGGAGCAGTTAATCGAAGAAGGTTGCTTTACGAGGAAGTTAAGTTTAAAAGTAGAAGGCAATTGAACATACTGACATATTGATTTTTTGAAGATAAATTTAGAACTCATATCTAACACCCTCTCTACTAAAAATACAAAACATTAGCCGGGCATGGTGGCAGGTGCCTGTAATCCCAGCTACTCTGGAGGCTGAGGCAGAAGAATCACTTGAACCCAGGAGGCAGAGGTTTCAGTGAGCCAAGATCGCACCATTGCACTCCAGCCTGGGTGACAAGAGCGAGAAAAAAATTAATTAATTAATTAATTAAATTTAAAAAGTCAAATAAACTACTGATGCCTGGATCCCACCACCAGAGTTTCCTGAGATAGTTAGTGTGGGGTAGACCTGCTAATCATGATGTTCAGATCTCTCCTAGTAATCTAGATGTTCAGCCAGTGTTGAAATTTACTTTCATAGGCATGGTGGCTTATGCCTGTAATCCCAGCACTTTGGATCACCTGAGGTTAGGAGTTCGAGACCAGCCTGGCCAACATGGTGAAACCCCGTCTGTACTAAAATTACAAAAATTAGCCAGACATGGTGGTGGGCACCTGTAATCCCAGCTACTCAGGAGGCTGAGACTGGAGAATCTCTTGAACCTGGGAGGCAGAGTTTGCATTGAGCCAAAATCGCACCACTGCACTTCAGCCTGGGCAATAGGGTGAGACTCTGTCTCAAAAAAAAAGAAATTTACTTTCACCAATTTACTTTACCTCGTGTGTAAAACAAAAGAGGGAATAAAAAGATTTTAAAATGAGGCTGTTAGTATAGATCTCTAAATTCTCTTAAAATTCATTTGTTCCATAATTCTCTGAACTCAAGTGAAAAAGACAAGCAAATCCCCCAAATCCATAGGGCTGCTTGTGTGCTGTGTTTGGGGAAAAAGATCTGACCAAGGTTCTAGCTACCAAAGAGTTCTCTACTGAGTGAAAGGTGAGCTCATTTCTTTCGTGTGTCCTCTCACAGCAGAAGAGGTTCTGAATGTCTTCCCAGAATCTTGCAGGACTCTGTGATACTAGAAGTAGAAGCTGCAATGTTTAATGGGAGAAAGACTGAAAATAGGTTTCAGATACACAAAGATCTTACATAATGAATGATTCATGGCCAGTGAGAACAAGACAATATAGATGTATTCTAATGCATCTTTCTTATCTTGGTGGGGGGCTCTTACTGGGCATAATCTCTTGAATTGAAAATAAACTTTTACCCTTACTTGACATATAACTAATTGTATGGCAATGAACACAAGAATTGAGTCTTACACTTACCTATGAACACAAGCATTGAGTCTTACACTTACCTATGTACTCCCCCCATGAATCAAATATAGTTCTAGGAACAGAGTGGGTAAACACATTTTTCTTAAATTAAATTGAAGTTTACCTATTAGTACAACAGTATAGATCTGAAGTCCAAGGTAAACGATGAATCAGACAATTAAACATGGCGATAGCTATAGTTTGATCAGCCTAGATTTTCATTGTCTCTCTGTTTGGGGGAGATAATAGCTTAGTAATGGTGTCTGAAATTGTATTCTGGGTCAGACTAGATTGTAGTGATGATACTTCATGTGAGTTACATTCTCTGGGGTACCTCCTTTGATAAAAATACTACAAGTAACACCAGATTAACAGATTTTATTTACCAATTGCTATTTTTTTTTAAAGAGACAGGGTCTCAGTATGTAGCCCCGGCTGGTCTCAAACTCCTGGGCTCAAGCGATACTCCTGCCTCAGCCTCCCAAGTACCTGGGATTCCAGGCACATGCCACCATGCCCAGTGTATTTTCTAGTTCTTTAAAGTGATTAGGGAGTCCCAGGAACACATCATCCTCAGAAAAAGGCTAACTCATCTTAAGGTTCTACATTTGTCCTGATTTGTGTAGACATCCCTCCTCTCAAAGTGTGCAACAGGAGAAAGGTTTTTAACGTGTCCTTTTCTGGGACTTTATCTTACTATTTATCTTTTATTTCATAGCCATTTTTTATGTAAGGTTCTTGTATCAGTTCAAACCCTGAGAACGTGCCAACAGACAACTTGAAGTGGTGTGGAGCAACATGCTGTTTTAATGAGCGCCTGGGTGCAGGCGGGCTGAGGCCTAAAATGGTGTCAGCACCAAACTGAGGAAGAGGCAGGGGTTTTATGGTCTCCTATAAACAGGAAGTGTCCCAGTTTGATGTGACCGCTACGTAGTACCCGGATGGCCTCTTTCTCGATCTTCAGGGTACGTGTCTTCCAGCCAGCTCTCTTCCTGCTTCTCCTATCTTGCTGGCACACGCTGCTGAAGCAAGCAGCCTTGCGCCTTGGGACTGGGCCTGAGAAGGGAGGAGTTACTCATCCCTTCAAGCTTTCGGGCCTCAGGGAGAATCTCATATTCCTGTCTATTTGGTTATAGAAAAAAGGGAAAAGGGATTACTTTCTCAATAACTACTTCAGGCGCGACACAGTGGGTGGTGAGAGCACCCTGAGAAAAGAAAACTTTAATTTTCGGGGGTATTCTTGAAAGATGGGTTGGTATCTACTGTGTCATTGTAGCAGGAGCACTGTCTGCATTGTCTGGAGACACATCTGTGCCTGCAAGACAGTTATGTTGAGAGGACAAGGAATTGTTGACAGGGAGAGGCATGGCCTTATTTGCTGCTTTACGAATGAAAGACCGTGTCTGGATTAAGGAAGGGAGGTAATTCTTGAGTGGCTCCAAGTCTGGTAAGGATGGAGGCCTTAAGACAAAATTTCAGCCATACATGATTTTGAAGGGACTATAAAAAGAGGGTGCTTTTGGTGTTGTGTGGAGTCTCATGAGGGTGAAAGGGAGATTTCTTGTCCATGACTGATGGGTTTCAAGAGCTAGCTTGCTGAGTTGAGCTTTAAGGACAGAGTTGACTTTTTAAACTTTGCCTGAAGATTGAGGCCTGTAAGGTGTGTGGAGAACCCATTTTATTCCTAAGGATGTAGAAATGCCTTGAGTAACTTGGCTTTAAAGTGGGCCCATTGTCGAACTGGATGGATGTTGGGAATCCAAAATGGGGAATTATATGCATGATGAGAGTTTGTGTGATGACATTTGTACCTTCTGAACTTGTTGGGAACACTTCTACTTACCCAGAGAAAGTACAGACAAAGACTAGGAGATAGCGGAGCCATTTATCGGGTGGCGATGTGAGTGAAGTCTACTTGCCAATCTTGCCCGAGTACCTGGCCCTGGGCTTGGTGGGTAGGAAAAGGCAGTGGCCAGAGGGAGCCCTGGGGTGACACTGAGTGGCAGATAGAGCAGGACTGGATGATTTTTTTTAACATGGCTGGAAAGGTGAGGACAAGAGAGAATAGGGTGGAGAAGTTGTAAGAGAAGTTTGTAACTGACATGGAAAGGGTTGTGGAGACCTTGGAGGATAGGGATTATTTGAGAGTGAGGAAGAATGAAGCGCCCTTCCTTGACATACCATGGTCCTTGCTTTTGAAGGTTTTGGGCCTGGAAGTCCTCCTTTTCTTTTGAGGAGTAAAGAGGAGAGAACAAGGACAGGGACAGAGCGTGGCTGGGTTTAGATGGGAGCTGGTTAGTACGGTGATGTGGGGAGTTTCTATGAATAGAGCATATAGTTGGAGGAGCTGTGGGGCAGAGATGAGACTTAGTACACTGAGCTAGAATATCTTTGATGTTTTGGGTTGAACAAACTGTTAGGTTGGCATGGAGAGATAGTTTTAGGCTTTTAAGGGTGAGGACAGCAGCTGCCACCAATGCTTGGAGACAGGCAGGCCATCCAAGAACTGTGGCTTCAAGCTGTTTAGAGAGATGGCAACAACCTGGAGGGTGGGTCCTTTAGGCTGGGTTAGAACACCCAGTGCAACTCCATGCCATTCATCGGTGTAGAGGGAAAAAGGTTTGGTGAGGTCTGTGTCTGGGCAAGTGAGGACGGGGGCTGAGGTGAGAGCCTTCTGGAGTAGACAGAAAGGTTGGGTAATAGGCTGTGCAGGGTTTAAAGGCTCACGGAGGGGGCCTTTAGCGGCTTGGTATAACCGTTTGTCAAGTAGAGTGAAGGAGGGAACCTCGAGGCTAAAATATCCTGCTAGTCCTAGAAAAGAGAGAATTTCTTGCTTAGTTTGTGGAGGTGGGAGGGACCGGAGGAGGGATATGCCATTGGTTGTGAGCCTTCGGGTTTCTGGGGCAAGGGCTAAACTTAGGTAGGTGACTGAAGGGGTGCATATCTGTGCTTTCTTAGGGGAGACTTGATACCTTCGTTCTGCCAGGAAGTTTAAAAGAGAGATAGTATGGGTGTTGCAGTTTTTTTTTGAGAGGGGCTACCCAGGAGCAGATCATTAGCATATTGAAGGACAGTGGCCCGTTTTAGGGATAAGGTACAGAGATTGCGAGCAAGGGCCAGTCTAAAAAGGTGGGGGCTGTCTCTGAAACCTTGAGGTAGCACGCACCAGGTGAGCTGACGTGAAAGGTGGGTGTCGGGGTTTTCCCACATAAAGGCAAAGAGGTTTTGGGAATCAGGGTGTAAAGGAATTGTGAAAAAAAGCAACCTTTAGGTTTAGAAGAGAAAAATGGGTGGTATTGGAGGGAACTGAGGAAAGTAAAGTGTATGGGTTAGGAACTGCTGGACATACTGGGAGTACAGCTTGGTTAATGAGCCTGAGGTCCTGGACTGCGTGATTAAGTTCCATCTGGCTTTTTAACAGGTAGAACTGGTGTGTTAAAAGGGGGGTCTGTTGGGCGGAGTAGGTGACAGGCAAGGAGGTGAGAAATGATAGGCTTTAGGCCTATGAGAGCTGTTAGGGGGATGGGATACTGCTTCTGTGATAGGAACTGGGCTCCTTAAGGGTAACGTGGACGGGGCTGTGGTGTTCTGCGACTGAGGGTGTGGAAGTATCCTAAACAGCAGGGTTAACTACGGTTGGGGGATAAGGAAAAGTTGCATGTTTTAATATGGGAGGTTGGAGGAGTAGAAGAAAGTTAGAAGCTCCGGAGGGGTCTGGGTTGATGCGTTGGGTACCATGGAGAACGTGGAGGTGGAGAGTAGTGTGGAGTTTTGAAAGGATGTCTCTGCCTAGGAGTGGAGTTGGGCAAGAGGGCAGGACTAAGAAAGAGTGAGTGAAGGAAAAGGTGTTCAGGGAGCGGAACAGTGGAGGGGGGCTCGGGGTTTGGAGACTTCTTCATCAATTCCTACAACAGAGACTTGGGAGGGCTGGGTGGGTCCTGAAAATTTAGGTAAAGTAGGGTAGGTTGCCCGGTATTAATAAAAAAAAAAACATACTGTCCTACCTGCCACCATCAGGGTTACCCTTGGCTCAGATGAAGCGATGGTAGTTGCCAGGGCGTCCATTCCAGGGCACCGTCAGTCTTCAGCAGCAAGGCCGATGAGATCCCAGTAGGAGGTTTTGGTCGGCTCAGGAAGGGATGGGGGCAGTCCTTGCGGGGGCTGCTCACAGTCCAACTTCCAGTGGGGTCCTCTGCAGAGGGGGCATGGCCTGGTGGGCTTACCTGGGTTTGGGCATTGTCTGGACCGGTGGCTTTCATTGCCACACTTGAAATAGGCACGAGGTGGAGGTGGATTGCTAGGAGGCCTCCATGTGGAGCTGCAGCCCCGTGGGCCTGCAGGGCCCCTGATGGCGGAGGCAAGCATTTGAAACTGTGCCTGTTTTTTGCCTTTTACTTTCCTCATTATGATTGTTAAAGACTTTGAAGGCTAAATTAAGAAGGTCTTGTGGGGTTTGAGGGCCGTCATCAAGCTTCTGAAGCTTGCACTGAATATCAGGGTGGATTGGGAGATGAAGTGAAGGTTTAAAATAGTGGTTCCTTCTAGGTTGGCTGGATCTAGGTTGGTATACTTTCTCCTGGCTTCAGTTAAACGAGAGAGAAAAAGGGCTGGGTTTTCGTCAGGACCTTAGGTGATTTCTGAAAGTTTTTCATAGTTGACTGCGTCTTGAGTCCTGCAAGGAGACACACAATTATACGGTCTTGACAGCAGCGTCCAGGGGCCCCATCTTGATAATCCTAGTGGGGGTCCTGGCTGAGGACTGCCTTTGTACCAGTGGGTTGGGCAGCCCAGTCATTAAGTGTATCAGCATGTGCCTGAGCTAGGGCCCAGATATGGTCTTGGTTTTCTGGGGTGAGGGTGGAAGAGAGGGTAATGTAGAGGTCATGCCAAGCTAGTTTATAAGACTGGGTAAGGTACTGAAACTTCCTAATATAAGAGGTAGGGTCTTCTGGAAATGAGTCTTTTGTTAATTTGAGAATGATCAGTGAGGGAGAAGGGAACATGAATTTTAACAATACCTTTAGCTCCTGCTACTTCCCGAGGGGGGCACTCTAGCACTGGCGCTGAAGTAAGGTTGGGACATGGGCCAAAGATGATACCCAAGCAAGTATGGGTGGGAGAGAAGGAAGAAGCCAGAAGTGGTTGGTTCCTGCTGAGGGTTTGAAGGGGGAAGGGGGGTTGAGTTGATAGGCAGTGGAGGATAGATAGGGGCTTAAGGTGATGGGATGGGTTTATAGGCCTCAAGAGAGGGCAGTGAGGAAAGAGAATGGGTACAGGCAATGCTAGAGTTGACCTGAGAAGGGGGGCGGGGTGTAGGAAGGGAAGTGGGTACGTTTGGAGGTGATGCCATCTGGGAAGATGGCAGCTGAGAAGACAAAGAAGAGGCTTGGGAGGTTAAAGAAGACGGTTGAGAGGGAAAGGTAGGGGCTGGGAGGGGTGGACAGCAGTCTGCTGGACCCAACGAGGAAAAAGAGGTAGGGTCAGGAGAAGAAAGGCGATCAGGGCGGCAAGAATGGAGGAGAAGGATTTGAACAGGTAAGCAAGAATTGTAGAGTTCGGGTTGTGATCTGAGTGCAAAAAGGCCTGGACATAAGGAATTTCTCCCCATTTCTCCAGTCGTTGGCAATAACTGCTTAAATCAGTTAAAACTGTGAAGTCGAGTGCTCCATTTGCAGGCCATTTGGACCCATTATCCAATTCATATTGTGGCCAGACTGAATTACAAAAAAGACAAGGTGCTTAGGGCAGATATCTTGGCTGAGGCCTAAGGTTTGCAGGTTTTTTTATGAGGCAGCCTAGAGGGCTATTTTTTGGAATGGACGACTGGGAGTTTTTTATAAAGGAGGGTTGGCTCGGGAAAACAGGGAAAAGGACACTGTCCTGGATGGCCAGAGGGAGACGATAAAAAGAACGATCGTCACCGCTGCCTTTTTCATTCCTGGAATGGGATCGAATGGCTTAGAGGTGTCCCCCTAAGACCAGATGATCAGCAAGTGCTTGGCACACTCCAGAGCCTTTTTGGACCAATGTTGGATTTTCGGACCAGAGAAACCAAGAGAAACCATGCGGATTTTTCCCTGTTAACCAGGGTCCTGGGGAAACTCACCAGTAGGCGAGATCAGTGACCGGTGTGCACGCACAGAGAGCTGACTGGAGGCTGAGGAGCTTCCTTTGTCCGGCTGCTGTGGCCTGCTCTCCGGGGTGGAGGGGTAGGTCCACGGGGGATGCAGACCTGAGCCTCTCCCGGGTTTTGGCACCAAAATGTAAGGTTCTTGTATCCGTTTGAACCCCGAGAGGGAGCCAACAGACAACACGACGCGGTGTGGAGCAACATGCTGTTTTAATGAGCGCCTGGGTGCAGGCAGGCTGAGGCCTAAAATGGCGTCAGCACCAAAATGAGAACAGAGCAGGGGTTTTATGGTCTCCTGTAAACAGGAAGTGTCCCAGTTTGACGTGACTGCTATGTACTACATACTACAGTACCCAGACGGCCTCTTTTTCAATCTTCAGGGGTACGTGTCTTCCCACCAGGGTAGGGGTCTTCCAGCTGGCTGTCTTCCTGCTTCGGCTACCTTGCTGGTGCACGCTGCTGACACAAATAGCCTTGTGCCTTGGGACTGGGCCTGAGAAGGGAGGAGTTACTCATCCCTTCAAGCTTTCAGGCCTCAGGGAGAATCTTACAGTTTTTATCATGGACAGGTGGAAATCTAGATGTTTCTAATTCAGACCCCAAGTTTTGGAATGAGTTTGGCATCTCACTTGGAAGACCTGGGGATACTTAACTCCCAAATACCGGGAGGCTCCAAGTTTCCACTAGAGGGCCACACATACTTTGAGACAAGAAAGAGGTTGGCAAATAACACAGGAATTCTAAAGCAATAAGCTGCAAAAAGTAGGGGGAGGAGGAATGTTTTTATGCAGAGCCTTGCGAGAATGAGCCGCTGCTGGGAGGTGGGTGGGAGGGTGCCCATAGCAGCAGCAGTGACTAAAACCACCACCACCTCCATCTTAGTTGTTTTCCTTTGTTGATGAAAAGAGTCAAACTCTGTAACGTATTTGAAAAGGTTTGTTCTGAGCCAAATGGGAGTGACCAATGGCCCATGACACAGCCCTCAAGAGATCCTGAGAACATGTGCCCAAGGTGGTCAGGCTACAACATGGTTTTATATATTTTAGGGAAACATAAGCCATCAGTCAGTACATGTAAGATGTACACTGGTTCAGTTCAGAAAGGCAGGAAAACTGGAAGCGGTCAGCTTCCAGGTCATAGGCAGTTTCAAACATTTTCTGACTGACAATTGGTTGAAAGAGCCATTATTGGCTGGGCACGGTGGCTCATGCCTGTAATCCCAGCACTTTGGGAGGCCGAGGCAGGTAGGTCACTTGAGGTCAGGAGTTGGAAACCAGCCTGGGAAACATGGTGAAACCCTGTCTCTACCAAAAAATACAAAAATTAGCCAGGCATGATGAGGTACGCCTGTAATCCCAGCTACTTGGGAGGCTGAGGTGGGAGAATCACTGGAACCTGGGAAGCAGAGGTTGCAGTGAGCCAAGATGACACCACTGCACTCCAGTCTGGGTAACACAGACTGTGTCTCAAAGAAAAAAAATTATTATCTAAAGACCTTGGCCAGGCATGGTGGCTCATGCCTGTAATCTCAGCACTTTGGGAGGCTGAGGTGGGTGGATTACCTGAGGTCAGGAGTTTGAGACCAGCCTGGCCAATATAGCAAAACCCCCATCTCTATTAAAAATACAAAAATTATCTGGGTGTGGTGGCACACACCTGTAGTCTCATCTACTTGGGAGGCTAAGGCAGGAGGATCTCGCTTGAACCTGGGAGGTGGAGGTTGCAGTAAGCCAAGATCACACCACTGCACTCCAGCTTGGGCAATGAGCAATGAGCGAGACTCTGTCTCAAAATAAATAAATAAAATAAAGACCTGGAATCAATACAAAGGAATGTCTGGGTTATGATAAGGAGTTGTAGAGACCAAGGTTTTATGATGCAGATAAAGTGTCCGGTAGCAGACTTCAGAGACAATAGATTGCAAATGTTTCTTATTAGACTTAAAGAGTCTGTTGTATTAGTCTTAAAGTCTGTGTTGATGTTAAGGCTGGTCAGCTAAGCCTGAATTCCAAAAGGGAGGAGGGTATAATGAGGTGTGTCCAACTCCCCCTTCCCATGATGGCCTGCACTAGTTTTTCAGGTTAACTTTAGAATGCTTTTGCCTGAGGGGAGGGTCCATTCAGATTGTTGGGGGGCTTAGAATTTTATTTTTGGTTTATATCTTCTCAAGAAAAGAAACAAAGCAAAACCCAGAAATCCAGACAGTCTTGATAATCAGAAGTACTTGGAAACCATAATCACTTCAAGAGACTTTATTTAAAACAAATGACTTGACAAGATTGAAAAAGTATGTTGTATGTTGATTGTTTTTTTTTGTTTTTTTTTTTTTTTGAGACGGAGTTTTGCTCTTGTTGCCCAGGCTGGAGTACAGTGGCACAATCTCAGCTCACTGCAACCTCCGCCTCCCGAGTTCAAGCTATTCTCCTGCCTCAGCCTTCCAAGTAGCTGGGATTACAGGCATGCACCACCACGCCCGGCTAATTTTGTATTTTTTTTAGTAGAGATGGGGTTTCTTCATGTTGGTCAGGCTGGTCTCGAACTCTCAACCTCAGGTGATCCGCCCACCTTGGCCTCCCAAAGTGCTGGGATTATAGGCGTGAGCCACCACACCCGGCTATGCATGTTGATCTTTTAAAGGAATAGAAAAAATGTTTCCTTACTATACTAAGGGTATTTAGATCCGCATGACTAGTGGGTTTCATTTGACGAGCCAAATCTAGTCAGTCAGGCAGTTACCCTTAGGGTTTTGTAATCAATTAGCCAAGCTGACCACGAAAAAGTCAGAAAGAGTATCTAGGACTTACCAACATTTATCTACCTAGACGTATCCTCCTAAAATTAGAATCAGCAAATGATACCAGTAATATTTATTATTATTTGATATTGTTTCGGAAGTCCTGGCCAAATCAATAAGATATGAGAGAAAATGGTGGTTAGGGAATCTGAAAAGAAAGAAACTACTGTAGCATTTTCTGTAAGTAATTAAGTAGGAGAAAAAACATAGATCATTTTTAAGCTTCTAGAGTTATAGCAAGAGTATAGAAATGACCAGACACAGAGGTCCATATATGATTATCTTTTTGAAAATAGTTCTATATTTGAAGTAGTTATATATCAATTAGACGATTGTGTTATGAAGAAAAGGAGGATAAAGACACACACAAAAAAAACTAATGTGACCTATGTTATAAAAATAACATTTTATTTGGAAATTGTTAATGTTTGAAAGCAGACAAAATAAGGATAGCAACACAAAATGCCTTCTGACTTAGTGTGATAATATTCACAATATAGCATTTACCTGGTGAATTATTCATCACATATCATGGTGCTTAGGTTTGCTGGCTCAAGTTGTGACGTTGTTTTCAGAAAAAAAAAAAAGGGGGGGCTTAACGAAACTCATAGATTACTCAGATATAACCTAGAATGATATTTTTTAATATGTAAAGGATAACTGTCACACTTCCTGAAATACAGATGTCAGCATGACCAGTGCAATCTAAGATTTTAATTAGAAGGTTGCTTGGTAAGCGTAGAATTAAAGGGAAAGGAGATAACTGAATAGTTGAAATGCTTTTTGGCCCCAGGCAATTCAGGTGAAGGTACAGCATTCAATGAACCCACAGCCAATTCTACCTCTTTTGTTCCTTGTTTTCATGTTTTATTTTTCATTTTTATTTTTATTTTTTGAGATGGAGTCTCGCTCTGTTGCCCAGTCAACGCTCTGTTGCAGTGGCGCGATCTGGGCTCACTGCAAGCTCCGCCTCCCGGGTTCACGCCATTCTCCTGCCTCAGCCTCCTGTGTAGCTGGGACTACAGGCGCCCGCCACCACGCCCGGCTAATTTTTTGTATTTTTAGTAGAGACGGGGTTTCACCGTGTTAGCCAGGATGGTCTCGGTCTCCTGACCTCGTGATCCGCCCGCCTCAGCCTCCCAAAGTGCTGGGATTACAGGCGTGAGCCACCGCGCCCGGCCTTCATGTTTTATTACTGCCTATCCTTGCCATACCTCATCTGATTCACACACATTTTATTTATGTAACAAAGGTTTTTAAAAATGTATAGGTTAAAATTAGGCAGTGTGGTGAAGGGGAAACTTTTTTTTTTTTTACTGAAATCTTATGAGTTCTTAGTTGGAGAGGAGCCCTGAAACCAAAGACAGATCAACAAGAGAAAAACAAACTTAAATTTATTTACTTGTTTATTTCCTATATACATGGGAGATACCCAAGGAATGAGTAATTCTTGAGGTGGCTTTGGTTTTTTGTTTGTTTGTTTTGTTGTTGTTGTTGCTGTTTAGACAGTCTTATTCAGTTACCCAGGCTGCAGTGCAATGGCGCGATCTCGGCTCACTGCAACCTCTGCCTCCCGGGTTCAAGCGATTCTCCTGCCTCAGCTTCCTGAGAGGCTGGGATTGCGGGCATGCGCCACCATGCCTGGCTAATTTTGTATTTTTAGTAGAGACAGGGTTTCACCATGTTGGTCAGGCTGGTCTCAAACTCCCGACCTCAGGTGATCCGCCCGCCTCAGCCTCCCAAAGTGCTGGGATTACAGGCATGAGCCACCGCGCCTGGCCCTAAACCCACTTCTTTTGTCTGAATTCTCAATTTGCTTGATGCGAGACGGAGACGATGAACCTCGGGTATTTACCCCAGACAAATGACGCCACTTCACAAGTATGTTGCAGAATATTCAAAACCAGAGAATGAGGATGAGCACAAGAATGACTGGGACAAAAGCACATGAATGGGATATTCTTGAGAGATCCCCTAAGATAAAGACAGGATTGGATATGATACCTGGGTGCTCTGGCCTGTTAAAGGGCCAGAGGAAGTAGAAACAAATGAGAAGTAGGTGGAACCAGAAAAAATACACTAATTCCAGGAAACATTCCAGGCAAGTGTATTAAAAATAATGATTTACTGCTTGGATTTGTAGTGAACATGATAATAAATAACAGCACAGATTCACATGGAAATCATGTTAGACTAATCTAATCTCCTGCCTTAGGTAGAATTAGGAAATGTGGAGAATATTTTGCATCTTTACTTCTGCAAAGCACTTGATAAAGTCTCTCAATGCAATGACTACCTTCCTAACTGGTTAAACCAGATCATGTGATGATGTGACACAGACCTGTCTCCACAGGCCTATCTTATTCATCATATTTTCAGGTGACTTGGATGAAGATGCAAAATCTCATCACAATAATAGATGACATGATAGTCAGGGAGAGCAAATAACATGGATGATGGAATCAAGATCCAAAGTTCTTACCAGTCTGAAGCAGTGGATTATATCCAGTAACAAGAAATTTCACAAGTATAAATTTTGTGCCCTTGAAACAAAATCAGTTGCATAAGTACAGGACAGGACTTGGATGCTAACTAATAGTTTGTCATAAGTACCTTTACTTACCCAACATTAATTGAGGGCTTCCCCAGTGTTGAGGTTGTGTTAGGAACTGGGGATACAAGAGTGAGTGAGACACAGTTCCTACCTTCAGTGATTTTGCAGTCTGTTGAGGAATATAAACAAATAAACAGGAAATTATAATGTTACGTGAAAGACTCCTAGAGCTAAGCCAGGCTCGGTGGCTCACACCTGTAATCCCAGCACTTCGCGGGGCTAAGGCAGGCGGATCACCTGAGGTCGGGAGTTCAAGACCAGCCTGACCAACATGGAAAAACCCTGTCTCTACTAAAAACACAAAATTAGCCGGGTGTGGTGGCACATGCCTATAATCCCAGTTACTCGGGAGGCTGAGGCATGAGAATTGCTTGAACCCGGGAGGCAGAGGTTGCAGTGAGCCAAGATCACGCCATTGCACTCCAGCCTGTGCAACAAGAGCAAAACTCTGAAAAAAAAAAAAAAAAGAAAGAAAAGGAAAGGAAAGGAAGGAAGGAAGGAAAGGGAGGGGAGAAGAGAAGACTCCTGGTGCTAAAGATCCCAAAGGAGCACTTTACCCCACTCTGACAGGTTTAGGAAATTTTTCCTATGGTAAGTCACAGCTGAGTGCATACCCAAAGATGAGTAGGAGTTATGTAATGTTGAGGGAAAGAACTTTCCTGACAAATCCAGTAGCACGTCAATGGCCTGTAAACGAGGAGGACCTGGCTCAGTGGGCCCTGAAAGCCCTGGATTGCTTGCGTGGCTGAAGTAGAAGTCTACAGGGGCTGGAGAAGGGAGCAAGGAAGGACCAGACCGAGGAGAGGGGTGAACTGGAATTTAATCCTGAGGAATAAAGACATTTAAATAGGGTGTCAGACTTATTATTTAAAAAGAGCACTCCGGCAGTAAAGTAGAGAATGGATTAAAGTGGGGACCAGCCTGGGCACAGAGAGATTATCAAAGAGGCAATTACAGTAAACGATCTAGGAGAAATGTGGATGGCCCTAAATAAGCCGTGAGAATGAAAAGCAGTGGAAGTTAAAGATATGGAAGAGAGAAAAATCTACAGAACTTGGTGATTGATTGGTTTAGGGCAATGAGAGAAAGGAGGAAGTCAAATAGAACACAGGATTACATTGTCCTGTGTAGCAATTTAATTTTTTTGAACACTCCCAGTAACAGTAAGAGAGAGATGCTAGTATTATGTCTGCTTTACACTTGAGCAAGCTTGGAGAAGTTCACTAACTTGTTTAAGTTCAGGCTAGAAAGGAGTATATATTCGCTATTCAAACCTAGACAAACTAAAATATAGACTGAGCTTTTATTTTCATATATCAAGTACAAGACATAAGAAATAATAATTTTTGAAATATCAATTCCTGTTTAACATCAAAAGTTTTATGATTGTATCCTATTTTCTGAGTCTCAAGTCTTTGTCCGTAAATGTTCACGGATACCCAAAAGTGTTGACATTTGAATCCCAGGTTATAGCAAAGAGGACAATAAAGCGACTTGCAGGATCTTCCTTTGTTACTAATGGAATGTCCAACAGCAGAAGAAGTGCAGAAGTCCTGAGAAATGATGACTCTAGGGATTCTGCTTAGGCAACTCATTTATAAAAATGAGAGTCACAACAGGAACATTTACTATAATCAGAAAGATAAACTCCAAGGTTTTTAAGATTACTTTCAATTAAATGACAGACTGATTTCTGACTTCTCAAGAGACCAGGTAAACCAGAAAACAGTAACTATTATGTTTAAACTACTGGCTGGGTACAGTGGCTCATGTCTGTAATCCCAGCACTTTGGGAGGCCAAGGCAGGTGGATCACTTGGGGTCAGGAGTTTGAGACCAGCCTGGCCAACATGGTAAAACACTGTCTCTACTAAAAATATGAAAATTAGCCAGGTGTGGTGGTGGGCGCCTGTGGTCCCAGCCACTTGGGAGGCTGAGGCAGGAGAATGGCTTGAACCCAGGAGGCAGAGGTTGCAGTGAGCCAAGATCACACCACTGCACTCCCACCTGGGAGACAGAGTGAGACTCTGTCTCAAAAAATAAATAAATAAACGACTGAGAGAAAAGTACAGCCAACTTAAAATTATCTAACCTGCAAAAATGTCACTTTAAAATGAAGGTAAAATAAAACTTTTTCAGACCAAAAAAAACCTAATAGAGTTTATAACTAGTGGACCTTCACTAAAGGAAATTTCAAAGGATATACTTCAGGCTGAAGAGAAAAGCTACTCGATGGAAATCTGAAGTTCAGGAAAGAATGAAACACAGAAAGCATGATAGAGCTGGGCGTGGTGGTATGTGTCTGTAATCCCAGCTTCTCAAGAGGCCAAAGTCAGAGGATTACTTGAGCTCAGGAGTTCAAATCCAACTGGGGAAATTAGCAAGATCCTGTCTCCTAAAGAAACAAAAACAAAAACAAAAAAAAAACAAAGCATGATAAATAAATATGTGAGCAGCTGGGCTCAGTGGCTCACGCCTGTAATCCCAGCACTTTGGGAGGCTGAGGTGGGTGAATCATTTGAGGTCAGGAGTTTGAGACCAGCCTGGCCAACATGGTGAAGCCCCATCTTTACTAAAAAATACAAAAAATTAGCCAGGCGTGCTGGTGCACACCTGTAATCTCAGCTACTGGGGAGGCTGAGGCAGGAGAATCACTTGAACCTAGGAGTCAGAGGTTGCAGTGAACTCAGATTGTGCCACTGCACTCCAGCCTGGGCAACAGAGTGAAACTCCATCTAAAAAAAAATAAATAAATAAATGAAAATAAAAAACAAATAAATATGTGAGCAAATATAAATTTTTTGACTCTATAAAGCAATAATGTCTTATAGAATTAAAAACATAAAATTAAAATTAAAATTAAATATACAACAGCAGTAACAATTTGAGAATGTTATAAATTGAGTCAAGTGGGCCTGGTGCAGTGGCTCATACTGTAGTCCCAGCACTTTGGGAGGCCAAGGCAGGAGGATCACTTGAGCCCTGGAGTTAGAGGCTGCAGTGAGCCATGATCACTTCATTGCACTCCAGCCCGGGTGACATAGTAAGATCCTGTCTCTAAAAAAAAAAGAAAAAAAATTCAGTCAAGTACAAGAGATGATTTAAAATATGAATTAGATTTTTATTTAAAATTAATATTTAAAATAATTAGATTTTTAAAATATAATAGATTTTTATATGTTTAGTATGCATGCTGAAATTTCTAGGATAAACAATTAAAGGAATAGAGACACCGTGTATACATTCCAAACTAGCAGAGAGAATAAGTGAAATGTGAATCAGTTAGAATAGGCTTACTTGTGCTGCAGTAACAAAGAACCTCAAAATGTCAGTGGCATAAGATTTATTACTCATTTCTCCTACACGTCCATCATGGTCCAGCAAAGGGGTTCTCCCTACCATAGTCACTTGGGAACACAGGCTGACACAGGCTTCATCCTGACACACAATTCCACAGTAACAGAGGCAAAGGGAAGAAAGCATGGTAACCTGCAGGCCAACTCTTGATCCTGCTGCAAGAAGGGACATACATGACTTCTACTCACACATAATTGACCACAGAAAGTCACGTAGTCACATCTAAGTACAAGGGACAAAGAAGTAGGATCCTTCTAAGTGCCTGGAACAAGAGAACTAAACACCTGTGATTAGCCTTAATGGCTTTTATGGAGTGATATAGAAATACACAACTAATCCAAAAGAAGGGAAAACAGGAGACGAAAAAGAAATACCAAACAAACGAGACAAATAGAAAAGACTAAATAGATGATAGATGTACACTGAGGAAGATGGAGATGAATAATTGCAATAAATATAAATGGTCCAGTTAAAACACAACACTGATGGAGGAAAATCTAACTCTATGATGTTTACAAGAAATACTTCAAAAATGTAAGAATTCAGAACTCTGGAGAATGAAAAGATAGAAATGATAAAAATTGCAGCATAGTCATGCTTTAGAATCCTTTAGGGCAATAAAATTGAACAAAATATATCCCTTGTAGCAACATAAATGGATTGAATAAACATAAGGTAGTTCAGTCACAAAAAATATATATACAATGAGATTCTATTTATATAGCATTCAAGAACAGGTGAAATTAAACTGTAATGGTTAGAGACGGATACATAAGTGATATAATTATAAAAAGAAGAAAGGAAATTGTTATCTCAAGCATAATTTTTTTTTTTTCTGGAGGGAAAGAAAGTGCCGTGGTCAGGAAAGAGCACATGGTTGAGAGCTTCAGAAATACTGCCATTGTTCTGTTTCTGACCTTGGCAGAAGTCAAAAGGGTGTCTGCCTCATAGATATTCTTTAAACTTTGCCTACATGTATGATTTTGGCACTCTGGTACGTGTGCGTGACTGTGTGTGTGTGTGTTATATAATGTACCTTATAATTTTTAAAAAATGCTTAAGAAGTAAAGATTTTATTAGATGATTAGATGTGAAAATCAGGAGGTCATGGATTCTTTGCTACAGTAGTTTCAGAGCGTCCTTTTTCCAGCTGAAGAGAATATTAGAGCTAAAGGAACAGAGTCAACAAGGAGCTTGGCAATGAAGAGAAGGAGCCAACTGGTAAGTAGTTTCGGAAGGCTGCGTAGAAGGTGACATGAGATTGTCCATATCCTAAGGAGTCAGTACAGAAGACACTGGAAATACAGGGCACAGATACAGCACAGTCTCAGGAACTGGGCAAAGATGGGATCCAGCTCACAGGCAAAGGTACAGGAGAATGTCCTACCTATAAGAATGTTGGAGGCCAGGCACAGTGGCTCACGCCTATAATCCCAGCATTTTGGGAAGCCAAGGTGGATGGATCGCCTGAGGTCAGGAGTTTGAGACCAGCCTGGCCAACACGGTGAAACCTCATCTCTACTAAAAATACAAAAAGTAGCCCGGTGTGGTGGCAGGCATCTGTAATCCCAGCTACTCAGGAGGCAAGGCAAGAGAATTGAGTGAACCCGGGAGGTGAAGGTTGCAGTGAGCTGAGATCATGCCCCCGCATTTGAGCCTGGGCGACAGAGTGAGACTCTGTCTCTTCAAAAAGAAAGAAAAAAAAAGAATGGTAGAAAGGAAGGGAAGTAGGTACCAAAATGGAAACGGACGCAGCCAAGAAACAAGGAAGTTGACCAAGAATATGAACAGAAGAGGAAGGTCCTTTCAGCAATGGAACCTACTTCTACAACTGGAACTTAAGTCACTATCCCCCTTTGCCTCAGACTTGTTCTGAAACAGGGTTCGGAGAATGTGTGCATCACCTGTGTTGTCTGGATCATGGGGAAAGATAACTGGTACGGAATGACCTGTGACCTGTCACTGAGAGGGCTCACTTCCTGTGCATTAAATCACAGCTACTGTATTCAGATTCATTACACATATTAAAATATGACATTCATCTCTCAGAATATTTCTTTTTTTTTTTTTTTTTTTTTGAGACGGAGTCTCGCTCTGTCGCCCAGGCTGGAGTGCAGTGGCGCGATCTGGGCTCACTGCAAGCTCCGCCTCCCAGGTTCACGCCATTCTCCTGCCTCAGCCTCCCCAGTAGCTGGGACTACAGGCGCCCGCCACCACACCCGGCTAATTTTTTTTTGTATTTTTAGTAGAGACGGGGTTTCACCGTGTTAGCCAGGATGGTCTCGATCTCCTGACCTCGTGATCCACCCGCCTCGGCCTCCCAAAGTGCTGGGATTACAGGCGTGAGCCACCGTGCCCGGCCAGAATATTTCTTAAGTAATTCAACGTATATCACAACTGTAATTTCTTGTTTTTCTTTTTGAGACGGAGTCTCGCTCTGTCGCCCAGGCTTCAGTCCAGTGGTGTGATCTCGGCTCACTGCAACCTCCACCTCCAGGCTTCAAGTAATTCTCCTGCCTCAGCCTCCCGAGTAGCTGGGGCTACAGGCATACGTTGCCACGCCCGGCTAATTTTTTTGTATTTTTAGTAGAGACAGGGTTTCACCGTGTCGCCCAAGCTGGTCTCAAACTCCTGAGCTCAGGCAATCCGCCCGCCTCGGCCTCCCAAAGTTCTGGGATTAAAGGCATGAGCCACCGTACCTGGCCCCAGCTCCGTGATCTGTAAAACAGACAAGCTGGATAACTCACAAAACAATAATAAAGAATAACTGAAATGTATATGTATATTGGGGGTGGATTTAAAGAGGGGTGTAGAGTCGGTTCACCTTTTTAATCTTTCCTGTAATACTGACTGATATTTTTCTGGATGAGTACAGATTTACAGACAAAAGTCCTGATTTAGTATTTTAAAGATAAGTGATTTTTGATCTTCTGTAATTTGTTTCTTTATCTGTAAATTAAAGCACCTTATTCAAAGGGTTATTGTGTGAACTAAATAAAATAACCCAGGTAAAGCATCTAGAACAGTTCAGCCAGCTCAGTGATCAGAGTTGCAGCCTTATTTGCCTGAATAATGAAATAATTATTGATTTAAGTTCCCAGCTATGAAACCATATGTCCCAGTTTGCCCAGGATCTGCTCTATGTATGCTGCTGTCCTGGCTTAATTACTAGTAGTATTCCTTCTCACTCTCAAAAGTATCACAGTTCAGACAGTAAATTAGATGGGCACCCTATTCAGAGCACATAGTAAGCTCTCCATAGATATCATTATATTGTTATTATTACCAGTTTAATATAGCTTCTGAAAAGGTCACAATTAACAGGTAAGTTTGGCTGGCACGGCGGCTCATGCCTGTAATCCCAGCACTTTGGGAGGCCAAGGCAAGTGGATCACCTGAGGTCAGGAGTTCGAGACCAGCCTAGCCAACATGGTGAAACCTTGTCTCTACTAAAAATATGACAATTAACCGGGTATAGTGGCATGCGCCTGTAATCCCAGCTACTCGGGAGGCTGAGGCAGAAGAATCGCTTGAACCTGGGAGGCAGAGGCTGCGATGAGCCGAGATTGAGTCACTGCACTCCAGCCTGGGTGACAGAGCAAAACTGTCTCAAAAAAGAAACAGTTAAGTTTACATTCTGAATTAGTAGGAGTGACAATGATTGAAGTTTTTGACTGGGCAGGAAAGATAGACTGACAGTTCCCTCATTCTATCTTTATATAGAACTGGAGAGCAGCACAGAAGGAGGGGGACATGTCAAGGAATACCAGGCGGGCAGAGCCTGCTTTAAGGCATCTTCCAAAGGTTATGAGTCACTGCAGACACACTGAGAGTCACACTGGGGGAAGGTGCAGCAGACAGGGAGAAGTTCAAAGTGGTGTTTCTGAGAGACTTGGGGCACTGTGTACAATTAATCATCTCTCCACATGGGTGACTGTGGGAGCCACAGCAGTGCCTGAGTCTTCCAGGGGAAACACTGAACATGGAAATTTGTGGAAAGGAAACGAAGGAGGTGGATGAAAGCTGGAGGAACAAGTGTTTAAACAATGCAGCTTTTCTTGCCCTGGAAGGTTCTTTGGGTACTAACCTTCTGTGTGGTAGACAGAGGGCGGCCGGGGAGAGGAAGGAAACTACCAAGAGAGAGCAGCAGCAGTCTTGCCTGTGCTCCCCTGTGGTGCCCTTTCTTTTGAACTCTTTCTTGAACCCTTAATCCCTGTCAGGCTCCTGGAGGAGCCTCACTGGGCAGCCTCAAATCTCCCCAGTTTGCCCTGTCCTCAGAAAAGCAGACCATTGAAATTGCTATTTCAGAGCTGGAAGCTGGTCAGCCAGCTCAGATGACCGGAGTTGCAGCTCTTATTTGCCTGAATAATAAAATCATTATTGACTTAAGTTCTCAGCAAACAGTGGGGTATTTGTTTCACATTTCTGAGCTGCTGCTCAAGTTCCAAAAAATGTCCCCTTCCAAAGAAAAGTATTTAAAATTGGATTGAGAGCGAAGAGTAGGTGGAATAGGCTATTGTGGGGGAGGTCCTGGATTTGCAGTGAACTTTCACTGACCTTTCAGCTCCTTAGGGCATGCTCCTTGTCATCTGTCCATCATGCCCAATGGCCAGCCTAAGGGGAGAAAATAGAGTGCTCTCTCCATGATGGCCAAAACTACCTGCCTGGCTGGCTGTCCGTCCGTTATCATCTCAGTCTCTAACCCACTTCTTGCTGCTCCTGATTCTATGCCCACTTAACTTGTCAACTGTGACTTTGTGGAACATAATATAACAAAAAAAGGCATGGGCTTTAGGGAAATTGGCCCCAATTTAGGCAGGAATTTGAGCCCCAGTGCCACTGCATAACCTAAAGCTAATAACATCATTTTGGTTATCTGTTATTGCATAACACACTTACTAAACAGTACTTTTTATTTTATTTTATTTTATTTTTTTAGATGGAGTCTCCCTCTGTCACCCAGGCTACAGTGCAGTGGCATGATCTCAGCTCACTGCAACCTCTGCCTCCTGGGTTCAAGCTATTCTCCTGCCTCAGCCTCCTGAGTAGCTGGGACTACAGGTGCAAGCCATCATGCCCAGCTAATTTTTGTATTTTTAGTAGAGACAGGGTTTTGCTATGTTAGCTAGGCTGGTCTTGAACTCCTGACCTCAAGTGATCCAACTGCCCCAGCTTCCCAAAGTGCTGAGACTATAGGCATGAGCCACCTCACCTGGCCTTACTAAGCAATACTTTTATTAGTTCTCCTGATTTTATTATTTAGGTATAAACCTGCAGTCTTAACCAGGGTGAGTGAAGTGGGGGTAGAAAAAAAGTTCATATCCTGAACCTTTTTTTAGCAATCTTGTTTACTATAGTGGTATGAACAAAGCATTCTTAAACTACTTTTGATTTATTATAAGAGTGAGCAAATAAGTACAAGGGTTAATGTTGTTAATCACGCTGTGGAAGAAAGGACATGCAATTATGGAAGGGAGGAAGGCAAGGAAGAACCCTGTGAGGATGGATTGAATTAAAGGTATCTCTGTAAACTAATAATTTTTTAAATATGTATATGTACATATGCATACACATTTATGTATGTGTACATTCTTTTGTGGATAAATGCGGGCATATATTTCTTAACTCTGTTCACTAAAAAAGCCTTGAAACAAAGACACTCCAGCAGCAAAGAACACACCTACCAAGATCTTGGTCTCTAACACCATCCCCCCACTAAAAAATCAGGGCACCTTAGGAAAATGACTGAGGTGGAGCAGGTGCAAGATGAGGCTGGAACATATTGCTATGCCGCAAAAAAATGAAGTCCTGAGAAAGCAGAAAGGATAGCATATCACAGAGACACGGAAGGTAGCTTGAAACGGATCTCAGTGGCCAATACTGGGACTATTTGGGCACCAAAATATTAACTACAATAGTGAATTATAAGCCATTGAAAAAATAAAAATTTGTGAGTCCTACTGGCAATTAATATAAACACAAATAAACCAATGTGAAGAACATAGGGTTTTGCTTACAGTAGAAAGCTGAAAGCTAGCTGTTAAATGTGGCATGCAGAAACTTAAAAATTATCATTTTGTCACTACCATAGCAAAAAGTGGATTAAGCAAGAATTATCAATGCATGCTAAATCTAGGGGAATTTTTTTTTTTGAGATGGGAGTCTTGCTCTGTCACCCAGGCTGGAGTGCAGTGGCACAATCTCGGCTCACTGCAACCTCCACCTACCAGGTTCAAGAGATTCTCCTGCCTCAAGCTTCCCGAGTAGCTGGGACTACAGACATGCACCACCACACCTGGGTAATTTTTGCATTTTTAACTAGAGACGGGGTTTCACTATGTTGGCCAGGCTGGTCTCAAACTCCTGACCTCAAGGGATCTGCCCACCTCGGCCTCCCAAACTGTGGGGATAACAGGCATGAACCACTGCGCCCAGCCAATCTAGGGGAAATTTTGAAAAGAAACAGGGTGTTTACAAGACCTTAATGTATCCCCTCCACAAACTGTTTATTAGTAGAAATGGAGAAAAAAATAGCAATTATATAATGAAGATAACTGACAGCATCTTCCCTGGGTGATCACAACTGACATCATCATTGCAGGACACATGGATGTTTCATGCCTCCAGGCTTATTGCCCTGAGGACACAACATCACCTATGCAGTATTCTGAAACAGAATGCATAACCTGAATTTAATCATAAGGAAGCATCAGACAAACCCAAAATGAAGAATGTTAAAAAAGGAGGTGTCTTATAAAACTAAACACACTCAGGCCAGGCACGGTGGCTCACACCTGTAATCCCAGTACTTTGGGAGCCTGAGGCAGGTGGATCACCTGAGGTCGGGAGTTTAAGACCAGCCCGATCAACATGGTGTAACCCCGTCTCTACTAAATACAAAAAATTAGCTGGGTGTGGTGGCACATGCCTGTAATCCCAGCTACTTGGGAGGCTGAGGCAGGAGAATCTCTTGAATCCAGGAGGTAGAGGTTGCAGTGAGCCGAGATTGTGCCATTACACCCCAGCCTGGGCAACAAGAGCAAAACTCCATCTCAAAAAAAATAAAAAAAAAATAACTAAACACACTCTTAACACATAATCCAGCTGTCACTCTCCTTGGTATTTGCACAAATGAGTTAAAAACTTATGTCCACACAAACACCTGCACATGGATGTTCATAACAGCTTTATGCATAACTGTCAAAGTTTAGAAGCAACCAAGGCGTCCCTCAGGAGCTGAATAGATAAATTACTGTGGTACATCCAAATAATGGAATATTATTCAGCACTAAAATGAAATGAGCTCTCAAGTCATGACAAGACATAGCGGGACCTTAAATGAATATTATTAAGTAAAAGAAGCTATTCTGAAAAGGCTACTACTGTATGTAGCTGCTACTACATACTTTATGTACTGTATGATTCCAACTATATGACATTCTGGAAAAGGCAAAACTATGAAAATGGTAAATAGATCAGTAGTTGCCAGGGGTTAAGGAGGAAGGGAGAGACAAATAGGCAAACACAGAAAATTTTTGAGCAGTGAAACTATTCTGCATGATATTATAATGGTGGATGCATGTCATTATACATTTGCCAAAACCCACAGAATGTACATGACCAAGAGTGAACCCTAATATAAACTACAGACTTTGGGTGATAATACTGTATCAATGCAGGCTTCTCGGTTGTAACAACTGTATCACTCTGGTGGGGGGATGTCGATAATGGGGGAGGCTGTGCTTGTTGGGGGGCTGTGAACCTGAAACTACTCTAAAAGATAAAATCTCTCAAAAAGGTGGGATAAAAAGGTCTTCTCTTTTGTGATTTCTTTAAAAATGTTGAAGACCAAAAAGACACGGAAAGGCTGTGGAAATGATTCAGGTTAAAGGTAGCTAAAGAGTTTTGGCAGTTAACTGCATCCTGACGCTAGCCTGGAGCCTGCACTGGGGGGAGAAAGTATACTTCAAAAAAGATTGTGGGTCAACTAACAAATTTGAACACAAACAGTACATTTGATAAAATTATTACATCAATGTTAAATGTAATACTCTAGCCAAATTTGTCTATTTACTATCGTCTGAATTTTCCTTTTGAATCACATTTGCCATTCCTACTGCCTGGGGTGCCTCTTCCCACCTATGCAAGTCCTACCCACCTCCAAATTTCACCTAACCACTCATGACCACCCAGAAGACTTGCCCAAACATTTCAGCCCTGGGTGAGCTAGTCCTTCTCTGAACTCACAGAATCTGTTTCTACACTGCTGACTTTGTGCTTTTACAGCCTGCACTCTCAGTTGTCTCTCTCTATAAACATATCATATCTCTCCACCTAAACCGAAAGCAAACTGGTAAAGGGAATGTTGCTTTATGCTTCTTTTTACCTTGTAGACCTTCCTACGATAGATGTTCACTGTAATTCATTTATTTGACAATTATTTATTAAGCACCTGCAACGCACTGTCAGTATACAAAGATAAATAAGACGTGGTCCCTGTCCTCAAGGGACTTACAGTTCTATGTGGGGAACCAAACTATAAATAACAAGTTTTAAATGTGCAAGGAACATAAAAGAAAGAATAGGAATTTTTCCAAGGTAGGCTCTGGAGTAGTTGATACTTAAATTCAGGCTTGAAATATGAGTAGGCATTCACCAGGTGACAGAGAACTGTTGGCAAGGTCCTAATATGGTACACGACTGAGAGAATGTAGGTGTCAGAAGAAAGACTTCTGCAGGTCTGTCCTTGTTTGTACCTGTGGGCTTTTTGCATGAGAGCCACACACCTCGCCCTATCCCATATTTGTGACTGGAATGTACATTAAAGGGAGGTAGTGATGGGTGACCTCAGGAGATTAAAGCCATTGCTGTAGACAAGAGGAGTTAGAGTGGGGTAGGGGCAGTTCCAGGGTTCTCCAAGGGTGGAGAACGGAGAAGGAAGCCTTGCTACTAATTAGGGACATGTGCACAGTCTGTGAGATTGAGAGGGTTCAGTTAACCCATCTGGAGAACAAGCTCTCACACAGTTAGGCAGCCTTCACACGGTGCGCAATGCACCCCAAGAGGACAGACTGTGTGCTCTTGATGTGAACAGACTGCTCAGGTCATGATCGAGGACAGAAAGACTCAATTCAGACTCTTCCCATTGTTCCAAAATCTCTCTCTCGGAAGAAGCATAGAGACCTTTATCAGAAGAAGAAAAGTAATCAGCTTTCATGCTTTATCTGAGTGAAAGAGAACTAAAATAATTTTTCACGTTATTTTTGGCCGGGTGCAGTGGCTCATGCTTATAATCCCAGCACTTAGGGAGGCTGAGGTGGGAGGATCACTTGAGTCTAGGAGTTCAAGACCAGCCTGGGCAACATAGGGAAACCCCATCTCCACTAAAAATACAAAAATTAGCAGGTGTGATGGCGCACACCTGTAGTCCCAGCTACTTGAGATGCTGAAGTGAAAGGATCCCTAGGGCCCAAGAGGTGGAGGTTGCAGTCAGCCAAGATCATGCCACTGCATCAGTCTGGATGACAGTGAGGCCCTGTCTCAAAAAAAAAAAAAAAAAAAAAGGAAAAGAAATTTTCCTGTTATCTTTGTGGATCTTTGTGCTGTGAAAGTAAATGGCACCAGCTTTCAATTGGCATTTGAAAGCTTTCAGCTGTCATGGCTCTTATGAAATACTGGCATCGTGTGTAATGTCAGGTTCACTACCTAGTGTGACACCAAGATTACACTGGACTGAACAGCAAACATGAGGAGGGAAAGAACTGCAGCCTCCAAAGGGGATCATGAAATATTTCAAGAGCATTTCCCAAAGTTTATCAGGAGTTATAGGGAAAGGTCTTCCAGGGCCTAAACATTTGTAAATAAAGAAAAAAGTTGACATAAATAGAATTTATTACAGAGCTTTTCATGTTCTAAGAGGCACTGTAAATATCTAAGAACCAACTACGGGAAGCAGATTTCCTAAATGTATTTGAATGGGTCCTATGGAAGAATCACTCTTTCTCCTCAACAGAGCATCCAGTAGGATCAGTGTTCCTGTAGTATTGGCCCTCTAGGATACAAGAGGATTAGGGACCCTTAAAAATCACTATCAGGAGAACAAAATGGAAATGAAATGAAGGTCACGGGGGAGACGGCTTTATTTACTTTTACCTCCTCAGAATGGTTTCAGTGTCTATTTTGGTTATTCTTTTTAAAGCCTCATAAGGTGGTAACTATTGACTAATGTTAATCAGTAAATTTACTTGACCCCTTTCTCCCCCTTTACAGCACCTTGCGGGATTAGGGGTCCTACAACATTGTCTTCTAAAGTAAAGAGGAATGAAAGAACTTTGAAATTCACTATTCAGGAGAGGAAAAGAAGCACAAACCAAGTGAGAGAAATGGCTCCATTTTAACTCTCTTAGAAGGTCCTAGTGACTTTTCAGATTGCCCTTTGTAAAGGCATGGTAACTATCGTAGCCATACATTAGTATGAATTAGAATCAAACATTCCATCACACCACCAATTTCCAGAGGATGCATTAGGATACTGAAGATACAAATGCATCTTCCAACACTCCCTCTGTCATGCTCCCACATGACTCTTGGTCCCATGGAAACCCTTGAGATAGGTCACTGAGTAAAGGAAGAAGCCAGTTCTTGGTAGGATTGACTGAACTGGCTAAAGAGCTCATTCCCAAGGTGGATGGTCAGCAGTCCAAAGTAAAATGCCTAGTAGATTGAGGCTAATATCAGAATTCTAGAAGAACCAACCCAGTGGGGGAGTAGGTTTCAAGCACTGGCTAACGCTATAAGTCACGTGGGAGCCAGGGTAATGTTTCAGTGAGCAGTCCATTGACAGAAGTTCTGAAACAGGACCCAGCCCTCAGCAGGAGAGCGCTGGTGAGAGATTTGAATCGCTAGGGTCTGGTCATGGTGTCAGTCCCAGAGGACATCTAGTGTTCAAAGCGGGAAATTCAGACAGACGATCACTGAGATATAGAACAGAGGGTAGTATAACATATAATTGGTAGAACATTCTAATTTACACATTTAATGACTTTTTGCAAACTCAGCATGCTAATGTACTACCTGTCTCTCCATTCATCAATGAAACACTTTCTGAGCATAGACTCTGTGCCAGGCAGACCGCTAGGTACTGGAGATGCAAAACACATAACCTAGTCCCAGGGAGCTTCTAGTCCAGTGGACTCACTAGACAGAGCCTTTCATCTTTCTCCACGCACAGCCAGATTCCAGGCATTAGGGAAGGAAGAGAGTATCTGCCACACTGGAAACTTCATCTTCTCATGTGCTTATTGTTTGTATCCCCTTGTATTCTTCTTTCCTCCTTTCCTTTTCTTGGCTCCTTTTCTTCCTTTCAGATATTTCATATCCCCTAATCTATTTTTTTTTTTTTGAGATGGAGTCTCACTCTGTCACCCAGACTAGAGTGCAGTGGCGCGATCTTGGCTCACTGCAACCTTCGCCTCCCAGGTTTAAGCGATTCTCCTGCCTCAGCCTCCTGAGTAGCTGGGATTACAGGCATGCGCCACCACACCCGGCTAATTTTTTGTATTTTTAGTAGAGATGGGGTTTTGCTATATTGGCCAGGCTGGCCCCTAATCTATTGTATTACATGGCTCACATTTTATTGTAGCACAAGTGTGTTTCTGTCTTCAACAATGTGTACTGACTTGGACATCCCAGAGTCAATAATCTGGAGATACTCTGACTTGTATTATTAGTAGTAGGCCTCACGTATTTTTGTGTTTTTACCTAATAAACTTCCAGCTTATTAGAGAATGCTAATCCAGGAGATCCTGGTTTATGTTAGAGTTTGTAGACCACTACTTCAGAAAAATCAGGAGTGTTTGTGAATTCATGATCACACATAGTAGTGAGAGCAAAAAGACACAGTCTAAGGGCATTTGTTTTTTAAATGATTCTAATAGAAATATTCCACATTTTTATAGAATTATCTTGTTTCCCAACTAACAAAAATCTGTACAACAATAACTTCTAACTTTTGGCAATGAGTAGAAAGGGTGGTTCTCACGAATGCTACCACACAGTGGAAATTTCCCCATCCACATTGAGACTGAGGAAGAGATAATCATCAAAAAAATCAGCCCCTTTCCCAGTTAAGGTTCTCTCTTTCTCTCTCTCTCTCTCTCTCTCTCTCTCACACACACACACACCACACACACTTCAAAGCCCTTCTTTAAGTTAGGCCAGGAAAGAGCAACTGAGGCGCCCAACATACAGACCCCTTTACCTTTTCAGAGATTGTCTTTGCAAGTCAGGATCTAATACTGGGGTTCAAGGTAAATTTGATATTACACCCACATGGATATAATTTCATATTCTCCCTATTCTGGACCCTGAGATGGAAAGAGCATAGAGACAGGGCCCAGAGATTTTCCAGCAAGAAAATTAAAGAACATATGTGAGGCAGGATAGTTTGCTGAGATACTACTTTTTCTTTCTTCTCTTTGTATTTTCCTCATGCCTCTAGTTCCAAGCAGAGAGCCAGACCCTTTTGCAATTCCTTAGGATATCTGCAGAATGGAAAGGAGGAAGTGTATGAAGCCAAACTTAATCTTACTGTCTTTTGAGAACCCTGAAATTTGGTGAAAATAAATTGCCTCTTGAAAAGTGTGGCAAAGTTGAGATTGGAGAGAGACTGAGGGCGAAGTTGGAGGGGAGGAAAAATGCAGAGGAGAGGCAGCATGGTGAACCTAGGCTGACTCCAGGCACAGAAGATCCGGACCGCCATGAAAACCCCCACGCCCTCAAGAATGAAACAGAAGCAGCTCAGCTAAGGTTTCTGTGCACCTTCTAAACCGAGGAAGGGGAGCCGGGTCAATCAGGCTCAGAGGTAGAGATGCCTAGCTCACTGCTTGCCGGCAGGGGGCGCTCTCCTATTATTGTATTTTCTTTTTTGAGGACATCAAGACTCAGTGTGCAAAAATTCTCATCAAAGATACAAATTCAAATGTGGTTGCTTTTGTAAAAATACCCATCTTCACAACCCCAGACTACTCCTCAACTCGTGCTTGCTGGAGGCTCCACCCTCTGCATTCTCTTCATTACTTCGGGTCTCTTTGACTTGTCTCTTGTAAGGACGAAGGCTTCGCCAGCATCGGCACACATCTGCTGCCTGATCTGGCCATGTGAACCACTGTCCATCCCTCAGAGGCAAATTCCTCCCACAACACCTGACTTACACCAGCCTTTTCTATCCAGAGACCTTGGCACCAGGATTAAAAAGCAAGTATCTCCTTTATTTGCCTCTATTTGGTGGCCGGATGCTAACACAGTACGATTTTCACCTTTTCTCCCTTCTCTTAACTCTCCCATTTAGCTACACAGGTTTGAGGTTAAGCCTAGGATATAGTTGTACACATTAATTATTATTTTACTTGACTTCAAGTAGACTTCTCAGGATATCATTTTGGACTGCTTTCTTGGGATGTTTACTGTGACTCAGAGATGAAAGGTCTTCAGTGACACAGTCCACCTTCCCCCTCCAATGGATACAAAGAATCAGAAGAGTAAAGAGAGAGGTGTTTTTTGCCCCTTTGTCAAGTCTAGAGACAGCAGATTCCCTGGAAACTTCCTAGGTTTGTCTAAGCCTCCCTAGTTTACATTCATCTCTTCTCCTTTAGTCTATAGTGAAGATGGAGATCTCTTGACCTAAATAACATGTTCAAGCATGATCTGTCCCTGTCTTAAAGATTTATTCTTGTTCATTATATTATATCCTACAATCACCCTTGTAAGCATGGTAAGTATGATTTAAAGTCTTCACTTTCTGAGCTTCAGACTAAATAATTCTATTTCTTTCCTCATTTTTCCATAAGCATGGACTTACAAATAATTCAATTCACTTTCTCCATTTTCTCCATCATCATGAACTTACTTAAATCCAGGTGTCCAGTGTGCTGGGTAAGGATGACTGACCAATAAGTATCTTTCCTGTGGGCACTCAGTTCATAGTGTGTGTGTGTGTGTGTGTGTGTGTGTGCACATGTGGTTTGGGAGTGATAGATCTTGTTTTACACACAGAGGTAAGACCCACTTTCCAGCTGGATAGGAAGATGGGGAATAATAAACACAGAAGTCCACCTCATGTCAAATGCAGATCCAGGTGCTAGGGAGACATGGATGAATACGTGTGTCTTTTTCCTGGTGATCTCTTAATTAAATTAAAGCTAAGACTCTGGACACAGCAAACCTAAAGAGGAAATATTCTCCATAGAATAGTGGGCATACTCTGTAGTTACCTCTCTCTATCCCCTAATCCTGTAGAAAAGAAAGTTCATATGCATCAAAAGATGAAAATGCATCAGGTCTGACAATAAGCTTAGCCTTGTTACCTAAAAAAGCTAATGTCATGCTAGCTTTTTCACAGCTATATACACCATGTGATTTTGTATATGTGGCTTTATTTCCCATATAGTCATGGAACTAGTCGGGCAGAGCACCCTGGGTTTGGTTTCTGTCCTGTCATTTGCTTGCAGTGGCAGCTTAACAAATTCCTTTGCCTTTTCTAGTACTGACTGCCTTATTTTTAAGGGCCTTTCTGCAGCTAATACAGGCCATGGTATTGCTTCTTAGTGGCTCAGATGGGACAGGCACTTTGCTTAGGTCCCACAAGACTTTTAATGATATCTGTATCTGTTTTCAGACAACGCCCAAGCTTTCCTCCTAAAACCTAGCTTTGCCTTCTTAAGAATGACAGAAGACAAAGGGAAGAGTCAATAATAATAATTCTTGGAGAAAAATATTGTTTCAAAAGTAGTGGTTTCCTGACTAGTGTGTGTTACCAAGCAGCCTTCTGAAAGACAACAAAGAGGAAATTCTAGTTATCCAGTAGGTGAAGCATTTTTCTTGAGGAGGATGCACTGGGAGAAAGAAGTAGATTCACCCCATAAAAATTAGCCAAGAGTTCTCTGAGCAAATCCTGGAATTCCAAATATTCTTCTATTAGTATCACCTACTACTCAGAAGAGGAGCCCAAAATTCTAGGTGAATGTGCCACCTCCACTATAGTAAGAAGAGGGGATTTGCAGGGCTGGAGAGGACCTCAGAATGTCTGATTTAAGGAGTCAGTATTTTAAATAACATGTTAATTTTTTTTTTTCTGATTAGAGAAGTAACACATTTCAAATACAGAAATGTTAGGAAATTTGGAGGGAAGGTTCCAAGACGGCCGAATAGGAACAGCTCCAGTCTGCAGCTCCCAGTGTGAGCAACGCAGAAGACGGGTGATTTCTGCATTTCCAACTGAGGTACCAGGTTCATCTCACTGGTGCTTGTCAGACAGTGGGTGCAGGACAGTGGGTGCAGCCTACGGACTGTGAGCTGAAGCATGGCCTTGCCTCACCTGGGAAGCACAAGGGGTCAGGGAATTCCCTTTCCTAGCCAAGGGAAGCCTTCAAAGATGGCACCTGGAAAATCGGGACACTCCCACCTTAATACTGTGCTTTTCCAACGGTCTTAGCAAATGGCACACCAGGAGGTTAATATCCCGTGCCTGGCTTGGAGGGTCCCACACCCACAGAGCCTCGCTCATTGCTAGCACAGCAGTCTGAGATCGAACTGCAAGGCAGCAGCGAGGCTGAGGGAGGGGCGCCTGCCATTGCTGAGGCTTGAGTAGGTAAACAAAGCCGCTTGGAAGCTTGAACTGGGTGGAGCCCACCGCAGCTCAAGGAGGCCTCCCTGCCTCTGTAGACTCCACCTCTGGGGGCAGGGCATAGCCGAACAAAAGGCAGCAGAAACTTCTGCAGACCTAAACGTCCCTGTCTGACAGCTTTGAAGAGAGTAGCAGATCTCCCAGCATGGAGTTTGAGATCTGAGAACGGACAGACTGCCTCCTCAAGTGGGTCCCTGACCCCCGAGTAGCCTAACTGGGAGGCACCTCCCAGTAGGGCCCAACTGACACCTCATACAGCCAGGTGCCCCTCTGAGACAAAGCTTCCAGAGGAATGATCAGGCAGCTACATTTGCCATTCTGCAATATTTGCAGTTCTGCAGCTTCCGCTGGTGATACCCAGGCAAACAGGGTCTGGAGTGGACCTCCAGCAAACTCCAACAGACCTGCAGCTGAGAGTCCTGACTGTTAGAAGGAAAACTAACAAACAGAAAGGACATCCACACCAAGACCCCATCTGTACGTCACCATTATCAAAGACCAAAGGTAGATAAAACCACAAAGATGGGGAGAAACCAGAGCAGAAAAGCTGAAAATTCTAAAAATCAGAGTGCCTCTTCTCCTCCAGAGGAGCACAGCTCCTCGCCAGCAACAGAACAAAGCTGGACGGAGAATCACTTTGACAAGTTGAGAGAAGAAGGCTTCGGACAATCGGTAATAACAAACTTCTCCGAGCCAAAGGAGGATGTTCGAACCCATCGCAAAGAAGCTAAAAACCTTGAAAAAAGATTAGACAAATGGCTAATTAGAATAAACAGCATAGAGAAGACCTTAAATGACCTGATGGAGCTGAAAACCATGGCACGAGAACTACGTGACACATGCAAAAGCTTCAGTAGCCAATTCGATCAACTGGAAGAAAGGGTATCAGTGATGGAAGATCAAATGAATGAAATGAAGCGAGAAGAGAAGTTTAGAGAAAAAAGAGTAAAAAGAAATGAACAAAGCCTCCAAAAAATATGGGACTATGTGAAAAGACCAAATCTACATCTGATTAGTGTACCTGAAAGTGACGGGGAGAATGCAACCAAGTTGGAAAACACTCTGCAGGATATTATCCAGGAGAACTTCCCCAAC